>NC_000001.11:227321006-228558364 GCF_000001405.40 Homo sapiens
GCTCTCTTCAACTAATCCTCCAATTCAGGGCTAAAAGCAGGAGAATTAATCCACCAATTAATATTTATAACAGTCAGCCTCACTCTCACCTTGGTATATCTAACTTCAGAATAACTATAGGGTCATTGCTGGAGAACGGAGCCAAAAACAAGGTGCGTGCCACAGTAGGGCTTAATGTATAGCAACACTGAGGATGTTTTACCACATCTCCTTTTAGCCTAGCCACATCCTGACCCTGCAAATGAATGACTTGGCTTAGTACCCTCCCAGGATAAAATGCCAGCAAATGCCTGTCCTGTCTTCATGTCAGGCTCCTGACATGAGTGAGATCAACTGCAAGGGCTTGTATATAAAAAAGAAACTTTCTGATTAATAATTGCTTCCTTTACAGAACACTTAACAACCTGTAAACACTGTCCTGGGTAGTTTGAGCTCATGTTTTATTCAATCATCATAACCATATGAAGTAGGGAAATTACCTCTATATCACAGACGATGGAAGAAGCTGAGGCTTAGAGATCTTAACTTGTGAAAGATCACACAACTAGTAATTGACACAGGAGCTACAAGTCAACACCAGGCCTGTCTCATGCCAGTGCCCATGGCTTTAATCACAAAGCAAGTGAGGTCTAAAAAATCTGCAGGTTCTATAAACTCAACTTTTCCTTCCTATTGTAACAAGGAAGAAGTGGGATGTGTTGTTAATTCACATATTTGGGCATTAGAAGTTGATATGAGGGCAAAAGAAAGAACTACGCACATGATTATATCAGAGTTCAACCAAAAAAGCAGAAATCACCTATTTATTTAAACCAGAGAAAGCTTTTTTTTTGAGACAAAGTCTCACTCTGTCTCCCAGGCTGGAGTGCAGTGGCGTGATCACATGCTCACTGTAACCTCCATCTCCCTGATTCAAGCGATTCTCCTGCCTCAGCCTCCCAAATAGCTGGGACTACAGGCACATGCCATCACATCCAGCTAATTTTCTTTTCTTTTTTTTTTTTTTTTTGAGACAAGTCTTGCTCTGTTGCCCAGGCTGGAATGCAGTGGCACAATCTCAGCTCACTGCAAGCTCTGCTTCCCGGGTTCACACCATTCTCCTGCTGCAGCCTCCCAAGTAGCTGGGACTGCAGGCACCCCCTACCACACCTGGCTAAGTTTTTGTATTTTTAGTAGAGACGCGGTTTCACTGTGTTAGCCAGGATGGTCTCGATCTCCTGACCTTGTGATCTGCCCGCCTCAGCCTCCCAAAGTGCTGGGATTACAGGTGTGAGCCACCGCGCCTGGCCCACATCTGGCTAATTTTCTTGTATTTTTAGTAGTGACAGGGCTATGTTGGCCAGGCTGGTCTTGAACTCCTGACCTCAAATGATCCTCCCGCCTCAAATGCTGGGATTACAGGCGTGAGCCACTGTGCCCGACCAAAACCAGAGAAACCTTAATTCTGACACATGGTTCCATGGATGGTGGAAGAGCTGAGGAAATGCAGGGCAAGTCAGGTAACCCAGTTTGGCAGCAGCAGGAAGCTATTCCCACCCCTAGGCTGGTGGAAGCTAAAACCAGGGCTGGTGGGAGATGGAGCCACAGAAGAGATGCAAATGCTACAGGGGAGGCTGCCATAGTCAGAGAGAGGGGAGGAGAATCCTCTTACCACAAATCTCCTGTCATTTGAAGCTAACACGGAGCCTCTGAAAGGGAGGCTGCATGACTGGTCCCCAAAGACAGAGTAGAGCAGGCAATGGGTAAGAAATGAATGCAAGAGCAAACAGGCAGAATTTGCACACATATAATCAACACAGTTATAGTTTAACCGAAACTATAATAAAATCAATAAAACAAATGTTTTATCTCTGAACAACCATTAAGTAGATTTTGACGTGGCATTATTTAAACATAGGAGAAGTTTTTACCTTTTCCTTTTCAAATTTGTTTTTTGTTTTGTTTTGTTTTGGTTGTTGCTGTTGTTGTTTTGTCCCTCAAGAAGTTAAAAAACAATCCAACCCTCATTAGGGCAGGTTTACTTAGGTATACAGACTAATAGTTTCCACTTGCTTGTCAATGGATCTTGTCCATCTTGCCCTATCTTTAAATTTATCATTTAAAATCTCTCACTAAAGCTCTACTATAAATGGGACTTTCCAAAATATGTTTAGAATCAAACATTATAATACAGATATTGTCGGCTATTAGAGCTACTTAGCAAATTTGAACACTGCAAAGATAAGTGGCATTCTTTCATAAATTCTATCAGCAGAAAACATTTGATAAAGACTGTATTGCAACGTGTGGTGACAAAACCAAACCAATTAAGCCAGTGTGAACCTTCGGTCCTGAGGTGGGAGTGGAGGTGACACACCCAGGACCTACAGAGGCTGGCAGCCAAGGAGGTGAAAGTTGACGAATTCAGTTACCACACTCTGGAAATTGCTCTGGCCAAGATTGCCAGTGACTTCCACATTACCAAAGTTAATAGGCAGTCCTCAGTCCGCATCTCATTTGCCGCTTTAACAGTATTTCACAGTGCTGATCACTTCTCTTAACTAAAACACTTTCCTTCACTTAATTTCCGCACTCTCCTGATTTTCTCCTACCTCACTGGCCACTCTTTCTCAGTCTCCTTCGCTGGATGATCCTTATCTTCTTGATCTTCAAATACTGGAGTGGCCCAGGGCTCAGAACTTCACCTCTTTTCTAGCTACACCCATTACCTAGGTGATCTCAATTAGTCTTAAGGCCAAAAATACTATCTATGATGGTTTGAAAAACTTGTCATAAATTCGACACTCCCATTGAAAGATTGGGTCCATATCCTCTTACCTTGAATCTAGGCCAATCTTGGTGACTCACTTGTCCTAAATAGAATGTAGCATAAATGACTGCTTACCTTCCTAGGCTGATCCATAAAAGGCAATGCAGTGTCAGCTTGTCCACTGGAACACTGTCACTAGAACCCTACATTGCCATGTAAGACATTCAACTAAATTCAACTGTCCTAAGGCTGCCATGCTAGTAGGGAGCCCAAGCTGCATGCAATCACCCATTCAGCAGCTCCAGGCAGCATCAGCTGCTGGACATGTGATTGCAGACACCTCCAGATGATTTGAGCCTGCAGCTGTCAATCACCCTAGCCAAGACTCCTAGTCTTCTCATCTGAGGCCCCAGGCATTGTGGAGCAAAGTTAACCTCTCATCACTGTGTCTTTTCCACATTTCTGATGCATAACATCCATGAACCTGATGAAATAATTGCATTAAGCTGCTACATTCTGAGATAATTTGTTATGCAACAGTAGTAAGTAGAACAATATCTTTTTGTTGTTGTTGTTGTTGTTTTAGGCAGGGTCTCACTCTTCACCGAGTCTGGAGTGCAATGGTACGACCATAGCTAACTGCAGCCTCCACCTCCCAGGTTTAATTGATTCACTCACCTCAGCCTCCTGAGTAGCTGGGACTACAGGTGCGCACCACCACGCCCAGCTAATGCTTTTTGTTGGGGGTAAGGGTAGAGATGGTTTCGCCATGCTGCCCAGGCTGGTCTCAGACTCCTGGGCTCAAATATTCCTCCTGCCTCAGCTCCCAAAGTGCTAGGATTACAGGTGTGAGCTACCACGCTTGGCCCAAATGGTCTTTACACTCATTGAATCCTCTTTAAAATCCTATAGAGGAGAATCTATTATTATTTCCACGGAGAAAAACTGAGAGAGATTAAGTAACTTTTCCAAGTTTACAAAGCTGATTATTAGTATCAGGATTCCAGCACAGGTGGGATTCATTCTAAAGCTTGTGTGCTGAAATGCTTTCCTCACCTACCTCATAGCAAGGTAAGAGAAACTAATACCAGCTACCTGATTAATATTTAGACTATGCCCTATTGTCTAAAAAAAAGAAGAGAAAACGGAAATGACTTAGCTATAACCTGGAAGCAGAGAAGACATTCTTTTGCAGAGATTTTTGTCCATTGTTTTCCTTATTAGAGAAGAGCAAACAAGAGAGAACAGTTTTATTAAAATAGGACTTATTTCATGGAGACAAAAAAATGAAACTCTTCATTATCAGGATGGTAATGGATGATAACTCTAAATTTAAATACAAAGAGATTGTCAAATTGTAATCTGCAAAGATTTTTTAAATGATTATTTCAATTCAGTTCCAACAGCCACCTCTCTTGAATGGTTTGGAACCCACCTGCCAGAAGGTGAAGGGACCAGAACAGATGCGCTCTCCAGGCCTCATTCAGCAATAAGATTCAGCGCTTCACACCAGTATGGGGGACTAATTAAACTCACAGTTGTATGGTGGAGCCAGCGATTATGTTTTAGAACAGACTGTGACCTCTCTCTGACCCAGAGGATAGCAAGCATCAGCATTTACAAGCCAAATGAAATAAGGCACTGTCAGCAATGTTCCTTACAGTAAGAAATATAACAATAATAATAATAAAAAGCACCAAGACATAAACCCACAAATAGGATGGTATCTGGAGACCCCAGGCATCCATGAGAATAAGGGAAGTGAAAATTCAATAAAATTCAATCTGAGATCTTAACAGGGGCTTTCCTCAAATAAGAAAGGCCCCCAAGCCGGTACAGTGGCTCATGCCTGTAGTCCCAGCACTTTGGGAGGCTGAGGCAGGCAAATCACCTAAGGTCAGGAGTTCGAGACCAGCCTAGCCAACATGCTGAAACCCTGTCTCTACTAAAAATACAAAAAAATTAGCCAGGCCTGGTGGGACGGGCCTGTAATCCCAGCTACTCAGGAGGCTGAGGCAGGAGAATTGCTTGAACCTGGAAGGTGGAGGTTGCAGTGAGCCAAGATCGCACCAGTGTACTCCAGCCTGGGCAACAGAGCAAAATTCCGTCAAAAAAAAAAGAAAGAAAAAATAAATAAAGGCCCCAAATATTATAAAAATCAAGGAAAAATTCATGCAGAGGACAATAAACAGTACAAAAGACTTCATAAGTATTAAAATGTGGGACCTTGTTCCAACCACTTCTTCAGATACTAGCATGACATTGACATAGGTCAGGATAAAAAGCTAGAGAACAATATCAAATAATGTCAGAAAAAAATTAAGTATTTTTTATTACTGTAACATTAGGTTTTCCTGTTCTTTGGAACGTTGTTTCTCATAATGATAACGTGTTATCCTATATAAAAACAACTAACTGATGATTAGTGGATTATTTTCTCAGCAGTGGAACTGAGTTTTCTCTAAACCATCTATATCCATACTCTTGTTCATCCTGCCTTGTGAGAAGGGCATGATTTATTTAATGACTACTTTAGTGCAAGGTACCATGTATGACTGTGAAACAAATACTACACAAAAATAAATTATCTAGGCAGTGATAAAACTACCATCTTGTCCTCATTCGTACCTCATACTAAAAATGGAATTAATCTGCCGGACACACTGGCTCACACCTGTAATCTAAGCACTTTGGGAGGCCAAGGGGGATGGATCACCTGAGATCACACCACTGTACTCCAGCCTGGGTGACAGAGCGAGAGTGTCTCAGGAAAAAAAAAAATGGAATTAACCATCCCACAAAACTACTAGATAATCATTAACAAGTACTAGAGCAACCATTCCCAAATTCCTTTTTTAAAACCACTATTAAGATGTTTCAGTTCATTCATTCAGTCACCAATGAATGTCATCAATGAAGTACTTACCAAGCCCCCAGTCTCCACCAGATACAGAGTATAAAGTATAGGTGGATGATGTCCAACTTTCATTGTAGAAATCTCCAAGATAAACTTACAAATTGTAAACAAAGGTATCATAATATTGTTAATGTCCTTTTAGTTGGAAGGGGAAGGTTGGTTGGTGGAAGGTAATGAAGTAGAGAAATTTCCCTGAAAGCTGTATTGTAGTATACCTTTTGGTACACTTCGGTTTGCTCGGAACAGAGTAGACAATAGAGAGGATTTTTCCAAGAGAGAAACGAATAAGCCACAACTATTATTAAAAAAATGAAATCATGTCCTCTGCAGCAACATGGATAAAGCTGGAGGCCATTATTCTAAGTGAAATGACTTCTTAGCCAAGAAGGGGTAGCCTCCAGTTTCAGCAAGGAATGGGAACAAATACTGCATGTTCTCGCTGTGGTATTTGGTAACTAAACCATGAGTACACATGGACATAAAGAAGTAAATCACAGATACTGGAGACTCTAAAAAGAGGGAGACTGTGGGGGTTAGGCTTGAAAACTTGCCTATTGAATACAATGTTCGCTATTTGGGTAATGGGTATACTAGAAGCCCAATCCCTGCAAATATGCAATATAACCATGTACCCCTTGAATCTAAAATAAAATGAAAATTAAAAAAAATAAATAAGCCAACTTCAGGGCTGTGGGAAGCAATATGGGACAGAAGAATCAGGCCCCTCCAGGAAAAGACAGAGGTACAAATAACCAAATCCAAGCATGGCTAAGTGAAATCTAATGAGGGTGATTAAATCTTCAAGTGGTGGCCAGGCACAGTGGCTCACCCCTGTAATCTCAGCACTTTGGGAGGCTGAGGCGGGCGGATCACCTGAGGTCAGGAGTTCGAGACCAGCCTGACCAACATGGAGAAACCCCATCTCTACTAAAAATACAGAATTAGCCAGGCATGGTGGCGCATGCCTGTAATCCCAGCTACTCAGGAGGCTGAGGCAGGAGAATTGCTTGAACCTGGGAGGCAGAGGTTGTGGTGAGCTGAGATCGTGCAATTGCACTCCAGCCTGGGCAACAAGAGTGAAAACTCCATCTCAAAAAAAAAAAAAATATTCAAGTGGCTCAGTTCCACAAAGACAGGGTCAGGTAGAGCCACTCCTGAGAAGAGATGGTTATAGTTGTCAAGTGGGGGCTAGGATGATAGATGGATGATGGTGGTCCTTCTAGGTTAGAGGGGCATTGGTTACTAAGGGGTGGGAAGAGGACACGTGGCAGAAACCCATAAGCACTTCCAGGTCTTAGCCAAGAAGGGGTAGCCTCCAGTTTCAGCAAGGAATTGGAACACACATCAAAAACCAAGATGCAAAGCTACAAATACAAGCTAACCAGGTAAACTAGGGGTCAGCTGGAAGCTCTCTGACATATCTGAGGCCTAAATGTTACTTTGGGCCCACTAGACCAGTGGTGTGGAAGCAAGGACCCATTTTAAGATCTCACCAGCTATTGGTCAGAGTTCTCAGTGTGCACTATAAGGCCAGACTAGCCCTAAGCAAGGGTCTATATGGAGTAGAACTTGAAGGTTGTGATAGGAAAATAAAAATCCAGGACCCCAATTCGCTCTGCCAAAAGGAAAAAAATGAAGCTGAAAGCTGAGTTGTGCAAGAGCTGCCTTTCCTTTTGTTCCTAAGCAGATAGTCACAGATAAAGGGTTAAATATCTCCACAGGTAGCTATTCTATGTTCACCTTATCTTAGGTAAAGCTTCAATTTACTGAGCACAAGAGGAATACATAATTGACTATTCCCCTACCTGCTCCTTTTCTCTTGCAACATGTGGATTCAGTAATGTAACCACCTCTCTCCCCTCCAGCCCACTATTCCCTCTTTAAATATTGAAGCCCTCAGACCATAGACTGTTTCGCAATTCTGTGTTTGTTTGTTTTCCTCCTGGACATGTCCTTAACCTTGGCAAAATAAACTTCTAAATTGATTGCGACCTGTCTCAGATGCTTTTTGGTTTACAAGGTCATCACTGCTGGCATCTGGTTAAGACTGAATAGCCATGAACTTATGCTGCCAACCTAAAACTACTCCCTCACTGTGATGCCTAACACCTCGGACAGTGTGGCCATCGCTTTGAGTTAAGGTCGAATCAGGGAACATCTTTCACAGGTTGGGTACAATCTAAAGCTTGGATTGACCTGCCCACTAGCAGACTTTGACCTGCCCACTAGCAGACTGATACTTATTACTTAGAGCACTGGAGCTAAAATGCAAATAATGATTTCTCCCTTAATTGGCTGCTGTGGTGATCCCATTCGGAGTGGAAGCACTGAAGGTTAAATAATAAAGAGCTATTGTGGAGCTATAAACCATGGTTTAAAAACAAATTACCCCTTTAAAGGAAATGATTAGAAGAGATAGCTAAGGTATAATACCCTCTGCCCAGTGAACAATAAGATGGACTAGAATGCCTAGATAACACGTTAGAACGAGCTATTGACTATCTCTTCCATACACTCTTTCATTCAGCAAATATATATTGAGCACTGACTGTATGCTGGACAGTATGCTGGGTCTTTCTCAGGCTTGGAGAATACAAGCAATTCTTCTCTCTCTCTTTCTCCTCTCTCTCTCTTTTTTCTTTTGGACAGGGTCTCACTCTGTCACCCAGGCTGGAGTGCAGTGGCACGATCACAGCTCACTGCAGCCTCGACCTCCTGAGCTCAAGCTATTCCCCCGCCTCAGCCTCCCAAGTAGCTGGGACTACAGATACGTGCCACCATGTCCAGCTAATTTTTGTGTTGTTTGTTGTTGTTGTTGTTGTTGTTTTGAGACAGGGTCTTGCTCTGTCCCCCAGGCTAGAGTGCAGTGGGGCAATCTTGGCTTACTATAGCCTCCGCCTCCCGGGTTGAAGTGATTCTCCTGCCTCAGCCTCCTGAGTAGCTGGGATTACAGGCAGGCACCACCATACCTGGCTAATTTTGTATTTTTAGTAGAGATGGGGTTTCACCATGTTGGCCAGGCTGGTCTTGAACTCCTGATCTCAGGTGATCCACACACCTCAGCCTCCCAAAGTGCTGGAATTACAGGCATGAGCCACCATGCCTGGCTAATTTTTTTTAGTTTTTGTAGAGACAGGGTCTCTCTGTGTTGCCCAGGCTTGTCTCAAATTCACGGACGCAAGTGATCTTCCTGTCTCAGCCACCCAAAGTGCTGAGATTACAGGTGTGAGCCACTGTGCCAGGCCAAATTCTCTCTTTCTTATACTCACTCTGGCTTTCTCTCACTCTATTCCTCTGTTTCTGCCTTTTCCTCACTACAGACTCTGTGAATGTATCTTTCAGCAGCAATTTGTTTATCTGTTTTTTCCCCTTTTTCCTCTGCCTACCTATCCTTCTCCATTTGTCCTTTCTCTTCTCTAATCTTTTCTCATCTTTCTGTTTTATTTCCTTACCTTTCCACTACCCTCCCTTCCCTTAACTTCTCATAATGCTGAATGAAAACCAGTTTTAAAATATATTAATATAATATATATATAATATAATATATATTAAATATAACCAATCTCAATGAGGGAAAAAGTATCCTCTCAAGGGAGCTCCTGTTAAATGCATTACTCTTGGGACAAATAACATAAAGTTAGCACTTATTTGCGCATTTATATAGACACAGATGAATATCCTACCTAGAAGAGACAGGGCACTGAAGGAAGAGAATCCCAGGTGTTTGACTTTTTCTGGCCATTGGTGATGGTAGAGGGAGGAAGGAAGGGTTTATGCATGGGACACCCCCTGGGGACAGTGAGGAAGTGTGTCATCAGGGCAAGTGGTTTAGTGAAGAGACTGTCCTGAGCCTTTTCCCCACATCATTTTTCTGATTCTCACAACATCCCTACGAGGTAGACAGCATTATTATCTGCATTTAAGGAAGCAGGTGTAGAAAGTCAGTGATGGAGCTAGAACAAGGGCCCAGTCTGTCTGATACCAAAGCCCATGGTGACAGAACAAAGCTGGCTGAACAGTTCTGTCTGCCAGAACAAAGCCAAGTCATAAAAAGGAACTGCGGTAAGATGTTCTGAGGGCTCATGGTCCCACGGCACTGCTCTCATTCAACTTTGCACGCGTGGTCCCTAACAGTGTGCTGGCCCAGGCTTGGAGCTCAATAAAAGATTAGTGAATGCATGAATAAGATTCAAAGCAGCAACCACTAGAAATTTCTGAACTGGAAAAATCATTATCTTACCCAATTCAGGAATCATGCGGCCCCTGCATAAACATTCCTAGGACAATCCTACAAAATAAGAGTCGTAATTTGGCCACATTTTTGATACAGCAGTTCAAGGCCTTAAGCTTCTGTATAAACAGAGGACTTAAAATACTTTTCCTATACTATCACTTTTGTAAAATTTCATCTATCATAAAATCTTGAAAATCATCAGAATGTGGCTGGGCACAGTGGCTCACACTGTAATCCCAGCATGTTGGCAGGCTGAGGTGGGAGGATTGCGTGAGACCAGGAGTTCAAGACTAGCCCAGGCAACATAGCAAGACCCTGTCTCTACAAAAACATTTTTTAAAATTATCTGGGTGTGGTGGTGTAAGCCTGTAGTCCCAGCTACTTGGGAGGCTGGGGCAGGAGAATCACTCAAGCCCAGGAATTCAAGGTTACAGTGAGCTGTGATTATGCCACTGCACTCCAGCCTCAAAGACAGACAGACAGACAGAGAGAGAGAGAGAGAGAGAGAGAGAGAGAGAGAGAGAGAGATACCATGTCTCGAAAAAAAAAATTTTTTTTTGAGACAGAGTCTGCTCTGTTGCCCAGGCTCACTGCAACCTCTGCCTCCTGGGTTCAAGTGATTCTCCTGCCTCAGCCTCCTGAGTAGCTGGGATTACAGGTGCCCGCCACCACACCCAGCTAATTTTTGTATTTTAGTAGAGACGGGGTTTTGCTATGTTGGCCAGGCTGGTCTTGAACTCCTGACCTCAGGTAATCCACCCGCCTCAGCCTCCCAAAGTGCTGGGATTACAGGCATGAGCCATTGCACCCGGCCATAAAAAAATATATTTTTTTAAATCATCAGAATGTAAATATATGTGCATTCATGACATTTGGCCAGGCTGGTCTCGAACTCCTGACCTCAGGTGATCCACCCGCCTTGGCCTCACCAGCTCCCAGCCACATCTATTCTTTCAGAAGTTTTAATAACTCATATTTCTCAGCCAGGTATGGTGGCACTCATCTATATTCCCAGTTATTCAGGAGGCTGAGGCAGGAGGATCACTGGAGCCCAGGAGTTCAAAGTTGCAGTGAGCTGTGATCACACCACTGCACTCTAGCCTGGGAGACAGCAAGATGCTGTCTCTAAAAAAAAACCAACAATAGGTTGGGCACTTTGGGAGGCTGAGGCGGGCAGATCATCAGGTCAAGAGATCGAGACCATCCTGGCTAATACGGTGAACCCACGTCTCTATTAAAAATACAAAAAATTAGCCAGGCGTGGTGGCGGGCACCTGTAGTCCCAGCTACTCAGGAGGCTGAGGCAGGAGAACGGCGTGAACCCGGGAGGTGGAGCTTGCAGTGAGCCGAGATAGCACCACGGCACTCCAGCCTGGGCAACAGAGCAAGATGCCGTCTCAAGCAAACAAACAAACAAAAAACCCAACAACAATAAAACTCATATTTATCTTCAGGATTCTGTGTAAACATAAATTTTCTACAGTAGCATATGTTATATATATATATATATATATATATTTTTTTTTTTTTTTTGAGGCAGTGTCTCATTTTGTTGCCCCCAGCTGAAGTGAGCACAATCATGGCCTACTGAAGCCTTGACCTCCTGGGCTCAAACAATCCTCTCACCTCAGCCTCTCAAGTAGCTGGGACTACAGGCATGCACCACCATACCCAGCTTGCTTATTTATTTATTTATTTATTTATTTACTGAGACAAGGTCTCACTATGTTGCCCAGGCTGTTCTCAAACTCCTGGGCTCAAATGATCTTCCTGCCTCAACCTCCCAAAGTGTTGGGATTACAGGGGTGCACCACCATGCCCAGCCATACATATCTTATACTTTAATCAGTTTGATCATTTGTCTTCTGACTTGATTATTTCTTCAATGATACTTTTACTTGGGGATATTCACGCCTTAGGTGATATATTTACTAAGATACTCTCCTTACGAGATTTATTCTCCTTGTGTGATAGTATGTTGTATATATCTAATCTATTTTGAGTTCTCAGCTCTTTAGAAGGAATATGAAATTAACTTATACCAAGTATCAAGTTAGAGAAGTTTACTGTGCCTATTTTGCTAATCATGAAACAAAAACTCAAAAGTGTAAGGAATTTGCCTGAGGTCTCACAGCAACAGTGGGAAGATATTGAAGACATGACCATGACTTAGAAGTTGATACTTGTGTTTCAGAATCTATTACGTGTGTTACACTCTCATTATACAGCCAGCTGGCTTCTTGAGTCTAAGAAGCTCAACAGATTTTTTTATTTACTTGGGAATATTTTAATGCTAATGTGCAGAAGTTTTCTTTATGGGAAGAAGAGGACAACACATTTAGTACATTTTTCTGCATTTAGAGAGATAGATGAATACAACTATCATACAGTAGGATTTTGGAATTGTGGAACTGAAAACTCTCCTCACAATCATTTCTCAGGTACAGTATAGGAATCACAGAACCTCTGCCTGGTGATCCCTGTGACAAGGATTTTATTGCTTTTCAAGATTGCCTTTATGGCTGAATAAGTCTATTTTTAATTGTGCATAGTAAATAATATAACAGTTAGCTATTGCTACTATCACATAACAATTCACTTCAAAATTTAGCAGCATAACACACCATTTTCGTGACTACAGTCAGCAATTTAGGCTCTGCTCAGCTGGGCGGTTCTTCTGTTAGATTCCTTCATGGGTCTGTGGTCAGCCACAGATTGGTTTTGCCAATCTTGGCTGGGCTCTCACACATGTCTGGAGCCTCAGCTGGGACAACTGAGCTGACTCAGCTCCGGTCCAGATGATCTGTCGTTCTCTAGCAGGCTAGCCTAGACTTGCTCATATGGCAAAGGCAGGGATCCCCATAAAGCAAGTAGAAATGCACAAGGCCTCTAAAGTCCAGTACTGAAATTAGCACACCATCACTTCTGCCACATGGTATTGGCCAAAGCAAAATCACAAGTCCAGCCTAGAATCAAGGGGTGGGGAAATGGACTTCACCTTTGAATGGGAGAAGACATATTATAAAGTGTTTGGAGGGCTAGGGAAAGTGGCTCACATCTGTAGTCCCAGCTACTCAAGAGGCTGAGGCTGGAGAATCAGTTGAGCCCAGGAGTTTGAGGCTGCAATGAGCCAAGGTCATGCTGCTATAGTCCAGCCTGGGTGAAAGAGTGAGACCCTATGTCTTAAAAAGAAAGGTTGGGGGGTGTTGGATATAAGAAGGTCTAAACAACTGTGAACATTTTTGCAACCTACCGCATATATTAAAAATTGCAGCTGGGTGACCGGGCACGGTGGCTCACGCCTGTAATCCCAGCACTTTGGGAGGCTGAGGCAGGTGGATCACGAGCTCAGCAGATCGAGACCATCCTGGCTAACATGGTGAAACCCCATCTCTACTAAAAATACAAAAAATTAGCCGGGCGTGGTGGTGGGCACCTGTAGTCCCAGCTACTCGGGAGGCTGAGGCAAGAGAATGGTGTGAACCCAGGAGGCAGAGCTTGCAGTGAGCTGAGATCATGCCACTGCACTCCAGTCTGGGCAACGGAGCGAGACTCTGTTCCCCAAAAAAAAAAAAAAAAAATTGCAACTGGGTGCAGTGGCTCACGCTTGTAATCCCAGCACTTTGGGAGGCCAAGGCGAGTGGGTCACTAGGTCAGGAGTTCGAGACCAGCCTGGCCAACACAGTGAAACCCTGTCTCTACTAAAAATACAAAACTTAGCTGGGCGTGGTGGCAGGCACCTGTAATCCCAGCTACGTGGGAGGCTGAGGCAGGAGAATCACTTGAACCCGGGAGGTGGAGGTTGCAGTGAGCTGAGATCACGCCACTGCACTCCAGCCTGGGCAACAGAGCTAGACTCCATCTCAAAAAAAAAAAAAAAATTGCATTTAGGGCCGGGCGTGGTGGCTCACACCTGTAATCCCAGCACTTGTGGGGGCTGAGGCGGGTGTATCACCTGAGGTCAGGAGTTAGAGACCAGCCTGGCCAACATGGTGAAACCCTGTCTCTACTAATAACACAAAAATTAGCTGGTTGTGGTGGTGCATGCCTGTAATCCCAGCTACTTGAGAGGCTGAGGCATAAGAATCACTTGAACCCAGGAGATGGAGGTTGCAGTGAGCCGAGATCATACTGTTGTACTCCAGCCTGGGTGACAAGAGTGAAACTCCATCTCCAAAAAAAAAAAGCATTTAGGAAGGAGGTGTTGAGTATATTAACAAAATAAGATATAATATTCAAAATGCCAAAAGGACAACAGTAGGGCATGGACATTAATCAGTCAGAATGGACAGTTGTAAACAATAGACATGGCCGAATTAATGTATGCTGACTGACCTGAAAGATGTGATATTATGATGATATTTCACTAAGAAGCTAGGAATACCCAAATTCTATCCTTGTTCATGACTTTCTCCCAAGAGAAATATATACCCAAGAGACACAGCAAGGCACTTTATCATTGGCTGGAGCTTTGGCCCCAACTCCTAGCAAAGAACTCAAGTTCAGTCTGAATAACCTCAAGCCAAAATATGCGCAAAGGCTTGCTGTGGTTTTTTTCCCACTGGAAGCCTGAACCTGAGACACAGATCTTTTCACTCCACTGCACGAACAGGTCACATCCACCAGATGGGAGGCAGAAGACCCAAAGGAACAGAGAGCAGAAGAGACGGTTTGCCCCAAAGCCTACACCTGTCTACCTCAGGGCTTCTCAGATCAGAGCAGAAGCACTTCTCAAGTAAGTTACAAAATGGGAGGGGTCAGGGGTAGGAGCATCTAAAGAGAGGAAGAGGGTCAGGGTTTATTACACCAACTGCTTCACCCTCTGGTGAGGCATGAGATAACCGTGGGTGGGTCTCCACTCTGATGACGGGAACTATAAGCCTTATCTCACATCTCTAGCTTTCTAGAGGGAAGAGGTCAGAAAGAAACCTATCCCTGTAAACCAGACATTTCAGCACAGCACATAGTTTCCATTCACTGGTACAGTGGTGAAATAATTGTCCTTAAACTTGTATGTCTGTACCATTTTGGTATAAAGGGTGGGGTGAGGGTGAGGAGCAAAGAGAAGACTAGAGACAATACCATATAGCACTGACATTTTGCAAAGTACTTTCACAAATAATTCATGCACAAACTCTCTTACCACCATCTTGAACTTTCAGGACTCCATGTGAATTTTACTTTAATGGCCAAGGTTACATAAAGTGTCTCTAGTCACTGAATTCATGAGTGTCTGCTGGGGTCCTATTGTTGCAAGGATAGAAACCAATTATAACTTAAAGACTTTACTGGAAGCTTATCAGATAGCTCATGAAAACAAAGGAAAGGCAGAAGTACCAGGACAGCTGTAGGATCTAAGCAGTGAGAACCAGTGGTTATTTCTTCCAGGTGCCAATGACAAGATAAATCAGCTCCAACATTTCTGGCTCTGACCCAGCAATTCCATTACTGGGTATATACCCAAAGGAATATAAATCATCCTATCATAAAGTCACATGCAGCCGGGCACAGTGCCTCACACCTGTAATCTCAGTACTTTGGGAGGCCGAGGCAGGCAGATCACTTCAGCCCAGGAGTTCAAGACCATCCTGGGCAACATGGCAAAACCGCGTCTCTACTAAAAATACAAAAATTAGTTGGGCCTGGTGGCGCATACCTGTAGTTCCAGCTACTTGGGAGGCTGAGGCATGAAAATTGCTTGAACCTGGAAGAGGGAGGCTGCAGTGAGCCAAGATTACACCACTGTACTCTAGCCTAGGTAAGCGAGATTTGGTCTCAAAAAAAAAAAAAAAAAAGACATATGCATGTGTATGTTCATTGCAGCACTATTCACAATAGCAAAGACATAGAATCAACCTAAATGCCCATCAACAGTGGACTGGAAAAAGAAAATGTGGTACATATACACTATGGAAAACAACACAGCCATAAAAAAGAACGAGATCATGGACGTTGCAGGAAAACGGATGGAACTGGAGGCCATTACCCTTAACAAACTAACGCAGGAACAGAAAACTAAATACTGCATGTTCTCACTTATAAGTGAGAGTTAAATGATGAGAATACCTGAACACAACATAGAGGGGAACAACACACACTGGGGCCTACTGGAGGGTGGAGGCTAGGAGGAGGCAGATTATCAGGAAAAATAATGAATGGGTACTAGACTTAACACCTGGGTGAAGAAGTAATCGTACAACAAATGCCCATGACACAAGTTTACCTATGTAGCAAACCTGCATATGTACCCCAAACTTAAAAGTTTAAAAACAAAAATTTCAGGGAAACACTATCTGGATGACCTAGCTTGGTTGTATGTTCATCCACTGGACAGAAAAAGCCATGGCCTCTAACAAAGGACTATTTTGGTGGTTCATGGGGAGAGACTAATTTCTCATTTTCCAAAAGAATAGGTAAAGTTGCTGGGCCATCCAAAACAATCCACAATGTTATAGCCACTGCATCATTAAAGTACTGAATAAAGACATGCAGCAAGGGTAGGGTGGCCTGGGGACTGTAGTGTATAATAAGCTAGTGAGCAACCTCAGAAAATGTATTCAGTTGGCGCAGTCTAAGGGGGTAGTTGGGAAATTTGCTTATCACCATTGTTCTAAAAAAGTACCCAGCACTTGTGTTGAGCTGGTATAGTAATACACACAGACATAAAAATGATTGCCATGATGGAAGAAGTTTTTTATTATAATCACAGTCCCTAGAAAGAGGAGGCACAACACACATGCAGGACCACACAGGGAAGCACCAAAGCTAGATGAGCAGGCAGGGAGAGACAGGATCTGTGGGTGGGAGATTTAATTGTAGTTTATGCAGGAAGGAATGGGCCAAGCAAAGTAGGCAAGCAGTACAAGCTTATGGTCAGAGAGTCTAAATAATTTCAGTGGGCTCTGGCGCTATGTTGGTGGTCCCCAGTTGTCTGGTACTTGGCCCTGCGGTGATTAAGGTAGGGGATAGAGTCCCAGACAGTAGGAGTCTGATAAAAGGTGACATATGGGCAATAGAGTCTTGGAATTGGTTGGTTTGCATATTAAAGGCATACTGGCAGGGAAGTTCCTTATCTTTAGGAATTAGTTAATCCTCGGAGGGGTGGTTCCCAGGGTCCAGAAGACCCCAAATGCCAGGGCATCAAGAATACAGAAAATTAGCTGGGTGCCGGGGCACAAGTCTGTAGTCCCAGCTTCTCAGGAGGCTGAGGCAGGAGGATCGCTTGACCCTAGGAGTTTCAGGCATAGTGAGACCCTATCTCTTACAAAAAAAAAAAAAAAAAAAGAAGAAGAAGAAGAGGCTGGGTGCGGTAGCTCACACCTGTAATCCCACCACTTTGGGAGGCTGAGGTGGGAGGATTGTTTGAGCCCAGCCTGGGCAACATAATGAGACCTCATCTTTACAAATAATAAAAAAGAAATAGCCAAGTGTGGTGGCACACAGCTGTGGTCCCAGCTACTCTTGCTAGAATGAGGTGAGAGGATCACTTGAGCCTGGGAGGTCAAGGCTGCAGTGAGCTGTGATCACCCCACTGCACTCCAGCCTGGAAAACAGAGTAACACCCTGTCTCACAAAAAAGAAAAAAAAAAAGGAATACAGAATATAAGAAAATACAGCTAATACAAAATATAGTGGTTTTTTGTTCTTTTGGGTTTTTTTTTTTTTAATAATAGAGATAGGGTGTTGCTCAGGCTGATCTTGAACTCCGAGTCTCAAGCAATCCTCCTACTTCAGCCTCCCAAAGTGCTGAGATTATAGGCATAAGCCACCATGCCTGGCCCAAAATATACTGAATGTAACTATAGGCATAACTTGAGATACTGCAGGTTCAGTTCCAGACCACCACAAAAAAGTGAATATCACAGTAAAGCAAGTCACACAAACTTTTTGGTTTCCCAGTGCACATAAAAGTTTATGTTCATACTATACTGTAGTCTATTAAGTGTGCAATAGTATTATGTCTACAAAAACAATGTATATACCTTAATTTAAAAATACTTCATTGCTAAAAACTGCTAACATTAATCTGAGCCTTCAGTGAGTTGTAATATTTTTGCTGGTGGAATGTCTTGTCCTGATGGATACTGACTGACCAGGGTGATGGTTGCTGAAGGCTGGGGTGCCTGTGGCAATTTTCTAAAATAAAACAATAATGAAGTTAACTCCATCAATTGATTCTTCCTTTCACAGGAGATTTATCTGCAGCATGTGGTGCTATTTGACAGCATTTTACCCACAATACAACTTCTTTCAAAATTAGAGTCAATCCTCTCAAATCCTGACACTGCTTAACAACTAAGTTTATATAATATTCTAAATCTTTGTTGTCATTTCAACAGTGTTCACAACATCTTCACTGGGAGTAGTTTCCATCTCAAGAAACCCCTATCTTTGCTCATCAGGTAAGAAGCAACTCCTCATCCATTCAAGTTTTATAATGAGATTGCAGCAATACAGTCACATCTTCAGGCTCCACTGCTAATTCTAGTTCTCTTGCTATTTCCACCATATCTGCAGTGACTTCCTCCACTGAAGTCTGGAACCCCTCAAAGTCATACATAATGGAATGAATTTCTTCCAAACTCCTGTTAAACTCCTCCCATGATGAGAATCATGAATGTTCTCACTGGTATCTAGAATGGTGAATCCTTTCTAGAAGATTTTTAATTTACTTTGCCCAGATCCATCACAGGAATTGCTATCTATGGCAGCAACAGCCTTGCAAAATGTATTTCTTAAATAATAAGACTTTAAAGTTGAAATTACTTCTATAGAATGGATGTTCTGTTAGCTGGCATGAAAACAACATTTATCTCCTTGTACATCTCCATCAGAATGCTTGGATTAACTAGGTGCATTGTCAGTGAGCAATAATATTTTAAAAGAAATCTTTTTTCCTGAGTAGTAGTTCTCAACAATGGACTTAAATTATTCAGTTAACCATGCTGTAAACAGATGTGCTCTCATCCAGATTTTATTTTTCCATTTATAGCGCACAAGGAGAGTAGATTCAGCATCATTCTTTTTTTAATGACATGAAATCCTGAACTTCATTAGCATAATTCTAAAGGACCCTAGGATTTTTAGAATGGTAAATAAGCTTTGGCTTCAACTTAAAGTCACCAGCTACATTAGCCCTTAACAAGAGAGTAAGCCTGTCCTTTGAAGCTTTAAAGCCAGGCATTGACTTATTATTGACTTCTTTCTTTTTTTTTTTTTTTGAGACAGAGCCTCATTCTGTCAACCAGGCTGCAGTGCAGTGGCGTAATCTTGGCTCACTGCAACCTCTGCCTCCTGGGTTCAAGTGATTCTCCTGCCTCAGTCCCCCAAGTAACTGGGACTACAGGCATGCATTACCACACCTGGCTAATATTTGTATTTTAGTAGAGACGGGGTCTCACCATGTTGGCCAGGCTGGTGTCAAACTTCTGACCTCAAGTGATCCAGCCACTTTGGCCTCCCAAAGTGCTGGGATTATAGGTGTGAGCCACTGCACCTGGACTATATTGACTTACTTCTAGCTATGACAATTCTAGATGGCATCTTCTTCCAATAGAAGGCTGTTTCATCTACACAGAAGATCTGTTGTGTAGTGTAGCCACCTTCATCAATCATCTTAGCTAGAACTTCTGGATCACTTGCTGTTTCACCTTGCACTTTTATGTTATTAAGACAACTTCTTTCCTTAAGCCTCTGAACCAACTTCTGCCAGCTTCAAACTTTTCTTTTGTATCTTTCTTACCTCTCTCAGTCTTCTTAGAATTGCAGAGATTTAGGGCCTTGCTCTGGATTATGCTTTGGCTTAAGGGAATGTAGTGGCTGGTTTGATCTTCTATCCAGACCACCAAAACTTTCTCCATATCAGTAATAAAAAGTTATTTCTCTTTTTTTTAGTCATTCATATGTTTATGAAGTAGCACTTTTAGTTTATTTCAAGAACTTTTCCTTTGCACTCACAACTCTCCTGTTAATGCAAGAGGCCTTGTTGGCCAGGTGGGGTGACATATGCCTGTAGTCCTTTGGGAGGCAGAGGCAGGAGGATCGCTTGAGGCTAGGAGATTGAGACCAGCCCGGGGAATATAGCGAGACCCCATCTCCACAAAAAAAAAAAATTTTAGAAGTCTGATAAAAGGTGACAAGTGGGCAATATGGTCTTGGAATTGGTTGGTTTGCATATTAAAGGCATGCTGGCAGGCAAGTTCCTTATCTTTAGAAATTAGTTAATCCTTGGAGGGGCAGTTCCTGGAGTCCACAAGACCCCAGATGCCAGAGCATCAAGAATACAGAAAATTAGCCAGGTGCCATAGCACAAGCGCCATAGCATAAGCAGAATATGGATGAAAAAAATTTTTTAATTAATTGGGCATGGTGGCATGTGCCTGTCCCAGCCACTCAGGAGGCTGAGGTGGCAGGATCACTTGATTCCAGGAGTTTGAGGCTGCAGCGAGCTATGATTGTGCCACTGCACTCCTGCCTGGGTGACAGAGTGAGACCCCATTTAAAAAAAACAAAAAGGCCTTGTTTTTGGCCTATCTTGCCTTTCATCCTCCTTTCCCCTGTAAGTGTAATCATTTCTAGCTTTTGATTTAAAGTGAGAGATGTGTGACTCTTACTTTCACCTGAACACTTAGAGGCCATTATAGGGTTATTAATTGGCTTAATTTCAATATAATTTCATGGGGAATTGGAGGCCCAAGGAGAAGCAGAGGGATGAGGGAAGGGCCTGTCCATGGAGCAGTCAGAACACATACAGCATTTATCTAAGTTAGTGTCTTATATGGGTTCAGTTCATAGCTCCCCAAAACAATTACCATAGTAACATGAATGATCACTGATTACATATCACCATAATAGATATAATAATGATTATTTTAAAGTTGGACATATTGTGAGGAATACCAAACTATGACATGGAGACATGCAGTGAGCATGTACTGTTGGAAAAATGGCACCGATAGACTTGGTTTATACAGGTGCAAGTTTCTCTAAAGGGACAGAACTAATAGGACAGACGTATATATGAAGGGGAGTTTATTAAGGGGTATTGACTCACAAAATCACAAGGTAAAGTCCCACATAGGCCATTGGCAAGCTGAGGAGCAAGAAAGCCAGTCTGAGTCCCAAAACCTCAAAAGTAGGGATGCAGCCTCCAGTCTGTGGCTGAAGGCCAGAGAGCCCCTGGCAAACCACTGATGTAGGTTCAAGAGTCCAAAAGCTGAAGGACTTGGAGTGTGATGTTTGAGGGCAGGAAGCATCCAGCATGGGAGAAAGATGAAGGCCGGAAGCCTCAGCAAGTCTGCTCATTCCACCTTCTTCTGCCTGCTTTATTCTACCTGCACCGGCAGCTGATTCGATGGGGCCCACCCAGATTGAGGGTGGGTCTGCCTCTCCCAGTCCACTGACTCAAATGTTTATCTCCTTTGGCAACACCCTCACAAACACACCCAGGAACCATTCTTTGTATCCTTCAATCCAAACAAGTTGACACTCAATATTAACCATCACAACAGGGTTGCCACAAACCTTCAATTTGTGAAAAATGCACTGTGAAGCACAATAAAGTGCAATAAAATGAGGTATGCCTGTGTATTCTTTGGGCAGACATACAGCCATATGAAGATACTAGATAAATGATACAGAGTATAGAATGAAGCCTACAGAGCTCCTATCTAGGTTCAATTTTACTGACCATGCAATATGCTACAGACACAGTCTGCTGAATCTCCTTCCACCACTCCAGCTCCTCTTCCTTTCCTTCAGCCTTTTTCATCATGCCCAAACTCTTGGGTTTATTGAAGCAGTTGCTATAGCCACAATTATTGCATGAATCTATTTTTCAGCATGACAGTATGGTATGTGCAAGTGTACTTTAAGATACTTAAAAACTCAGTTATATTATAGATTAATGGATGTGTGATCTTCCAAATTGATGCCAACCTATAAATTCCCAGTCACTGAAACTATTTAGTATGTGAAACTAGTCCAATTTTTTTTTTTGAGATGGAGTCCTGCTCTGTCACCCAGGCTGGAGTGCAATGGCATGATCTCGGCTCACTGCAACCTCCACCTCCTGGGTTCAAGCGATTCTCCCACCTCAGCCTCCCAAGTAGCTGGGATTACAGGCACCCACCATCATGCCTGGCTAATTTTTGTATTTTTGTAGAGATGGGGCTTCACCATTTTGGCCAGGCTGCTCTTGAACGAACTCCTGACCTCAGGTGATCTGCCCACCTCAGCCTCCCAAAGCGCTGGGATTACAGGCATGAGCCACTGTGCCTGGCCCAATTTTTTTTTTTTTTTTACTTTGATATTCCTCAATCTTCACATTTATTTCAATTCCTCTACTAGAATCATATTCTTATTTATTTTCTCTCATGCATTCTTGAAATATTTCTGCTCAGTAGAGAAGCAATATGAAGCTTCAGTGTTTTATTAACTATATCAAACAGCAGACTCTCTAGATGGTGAGCCAAAAGTTGCTGAAGGGTGTATTTTTTTGGTCTGCTGTGAATTATGCCTTCAGGCTCAACAAAGTGGTAAAGACTGTTTTAAATTATTAGCTGAATATGTGAGAACTGGCTGTTGCAAAATCTGACTGTCATGTAGCATTATGCTATCATCAAGAGAAATTTTAGCATTTTCTGTTTTCTCCAAAGATAAACTGCTTGTTTTCTTTAGCTTTTCTTCTATTGAGGTTGATTAATCCTTTTCAAACCAGGAAACTCAGACTTAACATATGTAGACTTTGTTTTGCACAAAATCTTCTATATCTTGCATTTAGGGGCACACAGTCCATCTGTCATTTTAACTGTGCTCACACAAATTGTGCTGATTTATACTTAACCATAGCTAATTTCATTTGTGTTTTTGAGTTTGTTTTTTGATTTTCAAAAGCAGCTGAAAGTGAGTTGACATTTTAGTACTTTGGTCTCTTTTATAAAGAGTGATGATATAATATTCATCCATAATTATAACCTTCAAAGTTATTTAATGTCATGTTCATAGAAAAGGAAACTGCTGACATTGACTTTCTACACTTTAAATCAATTCTTTAGTATCTTCACATAAGTCTCCCCCTAAATTTCCGGTTTTTAGAAGTGATTTTTATACTTACCCATTGCATAAACCTGGACAAATTCTTTTCTTCATTTATTTCAATTTCCCAATATATAAAAGAGTTAATAATGTAGCTACCACAGAGCATATTGTGAAATTCACTGAGAAATCACAGAGATATGCTGCTTTGGGAAGAGCAGGAAGAACTCCGTGAATAATAGGTTGTACCAATCTTCCTCCAAACACTTCTCTGACAAGCACACAATTCTGACACATATTTCTGCAGAGCTCTAGGGTTTCAAGTTTTCTCCTTTTATGATGTAATCATTCTCCATGAAGTTTAGTCATATGCTGCTCATTTTCAGTGTCTCTATTTTCTAAATAAAGGCATGAATAGAATTAACTCTTGGATTCTAGAAACTACAATAAACCTAAATGTGTTTAAAGAAAACTTAATGAATCATCGTGCTACCCCTCCCCCATAAGACTGTAGAATGTTAGCTTTAAAAAGAATACAGGGAACATCCAGTCCAATCTTTGCATTTTATAGACAAGACAACTGAGCTTTTGGGAGCTTAGGGAATCTTGTGATTTTGTCAAAGTGAGAAGATTAGTTAAGTGGCAGATCTGTCTGTGTGTGTGTGTGTGTGTGTGTAATTTCAAAAACATGCAATACTAGTGTATTTTTCATTTTCATTGGTTTCTTTTTTAAAAGTATCTTCAAACTAATATACTTGGTTAAACTTTTTAAGTCTCAAAACACAACTAAAATAACCTGCTGTGTTTCATTTTTTAACCAAAAAACTACTACTGAGGCTTCTGCCTTTAAGAATAATTTCTGGGGCCAGGTGTGGTGGCTCATGCCTATAATCCTAGAACTTTGGGAGCCGAGTGTGGGAATCATTTGAGGCCAGGAGTTTGAGACTAACCTGGGCAACATAGCGAGATCCTGGTTCTCCAAAAAAATTTTAAAAGCTAACCGGATGTGGTGGCATGCAACTGTACTCCCAGCTACGTGGGAGGTTGAGGAGGGAGGATATCTTCGAGGCTGAAGTAAGCTATGAAGGCCCCACTGCACCCCATCCCAGGGGGCTGGAGTGAGACCCTGTCTTAAAAAAAAAAATTCTAAGAAATGGTATATTCAGAGGTATTTCAACTTATTTAATAACAGTATATCATGGGCACTGCCCAACAACTGGTGTGTCTGTCCTGGTTCTACCAGCTGCACATGAGCCTGGGTATATTACTAAAAAATAGGCAGTGCCATATGCTGGAAATAAAGATGTAATCCTTGAACATTGTTATACCACTATGAAAATGTAACAATACCCAGTAAAGCTATATTATTTTCATTATTAAATTTGTTCAACACTATTTGTTTTTGTTTTTTTTTTCACAAAAAGTTGAAAAGAAAACAGGATTTTTTTTCCTATATGATATTTCTACTGGATTAACCACTAGATTTAGGTAATAGTAACAGAGCTGAACCTCTGGACCTGGTAACATTGTCTCTTCAAGTTAGCATTTTCGATATATTATAAAATAAATTCTGGCAATAGTCATCTACATATGTAATTTGAAGAGCTGTTATATTGGGCTTGGTGAGTAAGGACAACATATGCGCTTTATTAGCAATGTTAAATAGGTGCCCAATTAATGTTTGCTGTTATACTACAGAATTTCATAAACAATGGCAACAAATTTTTCCCAAAATCAATATGGAAGTGAGTTATGAAATTTGCTTTACTGAACAAGTCTTCATTTGTGGCAGGAACGCATTTTGGTTTTTGTGTTTCCCTGCTGTTTGAAAGAACAGATTGAGTGTTCCTTTGTTTTCTTGCTCCTACATAGAAGACATTTAAAATAATCATAAATTATTAGTACTAGAAGGAAACCTAAAAATCTAACTTCCCACACAATGCAAACCCTCAGTGATTCTGATGCATGCTAAAGTTTGAGAAACATTGCCCTATGTAACACTCCACGTAGCCGGGTGCAGTGGCTCATGCCTGTACTCCTAGCACTTTGGGAGGCTTGAGGCAGGCGGATCACCTGAGGTTGGAAGTTTGAGACCAGCCTGGCCAACATGTTGAAACCCCATCTCCACTAAAAATACTAAATTAGCCAGGCGTGGTGGCAGGCACCTGTAACACCAGCTACTTGGGAAGCTGAAGCAGGAGAATCAGTTGAACCAGGAGGCAGAGGTGGCAGTGAGCTGAGATCGCACCACTGCACTCCGGCCTGGGCGACAGAACAAGACTCTCTCAGAAAAAAAGAGAAAGACGCCACACGACAGAATTGGGTTGCAGATATCAGAAATCTAACTATAAAATTAGATTGAGTGTAAAAGGGAATATCCTAGTTCGTGAGGCTCAGGATAATGGAGTAGCTCATAGGATCAAGGGATTGATCAGGACCTACAGGACCTGGGCTTCTGGGACTGGAAAGAGAAATGTTTCACTTCATGTTTGCTCATGAATGCTCACAATGGCTCCGTCTCCCACCCACCCTCAGCCCATGTATTGCCATTTCTCTGTCTCTGCTCGTTTTTATCCTCTTTCACTGCAGATAGACTTCTGCACATGGTGAAGTTGGCCACCTCCTCTACCCTGCAACCTGCACGCATACATACCTTCATATCCCTCTAGGACTTGACCTCTGAGGCAAGGCTATTCCTCTCCAGGCTCCAAATCAAGAAATCCCAGGGAAGAACTCCAAGGGCCAGAAATGTTAATGGAAGAAAAGTGTTGGGAAGTCTTGCAGAGGAGATAAATAACAGTAGCTACTGCAGCCTATTACATAAACTATAGTCAATTTTACTTTGAGAAAAGGAAGTTTAGAAAGATCATTTGCCTTGCCCAAATCACTAAGTCAGTGAAAATCAAAACCAAAAAAACTCAAAAATAGTAATATTTAAGACCATACCATAGTCACTCATTTACTAAGGAATTTCCTAGAAAAATTTAGTTTAGGTTTTAGCTCTATACATTTGCACTGAACTTTCTCCCTCATGGGAAAAAAAAGTTAGTTTTATAAAAATAACTTCATGAGTCTGTAGTAAAACAATGGTGAAAGAAATATAATTTTTCCTATTGCAGACAGACGGTTGAGACTTTTTTGCATTTATGTCATTCAAACATGATTGTTACAAACTTTAAACTTGGTAGCAATGTACTCCCAAAGGAGGAAGGGAAAAAAATCAAGCCAATCTAAAGCCATGAAGATTTAAATAATGTATTTAAGAAAAAAACACAAAATAGAACATTTATGGTTTTTTGCAAGAACTTGGACTTACAGCTTCCTGATGCGAAAAAAAAAATCATTTAAGAATTCTACTTTAGCAAACAATTACTTTTTTTGAAAATGTGCCTTCTACTTAACCCCAGAAAAATATATAATAATGAAGCCTACAAGCTAAGAACATACATAATCAAAGCATCAGTTTCCAAAGCTTTTCGTATTTTTTTGAGTTGGAGTCTTGTTCTGTAGCCCAGGCTGGAGTGCAGTGGTACGATCTCAGCTCCCGGCAACCACTGCCTCCTGGGTTCAAGAGATTCTCCTGCCTCAGCCTCCTGAGTAGCTGGGATTACAGGCACACACCACCCATGCCCACCTAATTTTGGTATTTTTAGTAGAGACGGGGTTTCACCATGTTGGCCAGGCTGGTCTCAGCTCCTGAGCTCAAATGATCCACCCATCTTGGCCTCCCAAAGTGCTGGCATTACAGGCGAGAGCCACCGTGCTCAGCCTCCAGAGGTTTTCATAGCGCTATTTATTTGATCTCTCCAGCCATAAACTGGTCTTCCCATTTTCCCTTTAAGAAAAATCATAGTCCATTATGGCTTTTATTTTTAGGGCATATTATAAACCCTATTAAATGTGCTATATAGCTGAATCAATATAAGAACCTTAACTCTGGAATTTCCTGATCCTTGAATGTCTAAATTCGTAACATTGTTGTGTTACACCATTTGTGGACAGTTTTATGAAAATAAGCACCATTCTAGGTTTTGCCTTTTCAACTTTACATTTGCTTCTGCCAGTTGGGCTACTGTAGCTCCCCAAGACAGCCTGAGACTGACTAGGGCTTATGACAAGCAAAGGAGAGTTGAGCTATTGTGGCACTATGTAGATTCTGAGACTGAAGCTCTTATCAACATTTGAAGAAGATTCTGTACAAAGTAATTCTTTTTCTTTCTTCTTTCTTTCATCAACATTTGAAGAAGATTCTGTACAAAGTAATCTTTCTTTTCCTTCCTCTCCTCCCCTCTCCTCTTCTCTTTCTTCTAGATGGAGTCTCGCTCTGTCCCCCTGGCTGGAGTGCAGTGGCGTGATCTCGGCTCACTTCAACCTCTGCCTCCCAGGTTCAAGAGATTCTCCTGCCTCAGCCTCCTGAGTATCTGGGATTAGAGGCACCCACCACCACACCTGGATAATTTTTGTGTATATATATATACATACACAATATATATATTTTAGTAGAGATGGGGTTTCACCATGTTGGTCACGGCTGGTCTCGAACTCCTAACCTCAAGTGATCCGCCCACCTTGGCCTCCCAAACTGGTGGGATTACAGGCATGAGCCACCATGCTCAACCTATGCAAAATAATTGTTTTTCAATTCTTTTTTTTCTTTATTTTTTCTTACTTGCCTCTATATTTAAGACTCAGTTTTTCAATTTTTTTTTTTTTTTGAGACAGGGTCTCACCGTGTTGCCCAGGCTGGAGTGCAGTGGCATGATCTCGGCTCACTGCAACTTCTGCCTCCCAGGCTCAAGCAATCCTCCCATCTCAGCCTCCCAAGTAGCTGGGACTATAGGCACATACTACCATGCCCAGCTAACTTTGTGTGTGTGTGTGTGTGTGTGTGTGTGTGTGTGTGTGTGTATTTTTGGTAGAGACAGGGTTTGCCATGTTGTCCAGTGTGGTCTCCAACTCCTGAGCTCAAGTGATCCGCCTGCCTTGCAGTTTTTCAATTATTATTATTATTTTGTTTTTTTTGAGACGGAGTCTCACTCTGTCGCCCAGGCTGGAGTGCAACGGCGCGATCTCTGCTCAGTGCAAGCTCCGCCTCCCGGGTTCACGCCATTCTCCTGCCTCAGCCTCTCGAGTAGCTGGGACTACAGGTGCCCGCCACCATGCCCGGATAATTTTTTGTATTTTTAGTAGAGATGGGGTTTCATCTTGTTAGCCAGGATGGTCTCGATCTCCTGACCCCGTGATCTGCCTGCCTCAGCCTCCTAAAGTGCTGGGATTACAGGTGTGAGCCACCGCGCCCGGCCTGCAGTTTGTCAATTCTTAAAATCATTATTGGCTGGGCACGGTGGTTCACGCCTGTAATCCCTGCACTTTGGGAAGCCGAGGTGGGCAGATCATGAAGTCAAGAGATTGAGACCATCCTGGCCAACATGGTGAAACCTCATCTCTACTAAAAATAGAAAAATTAGCTGGGCGTGGTGGTGCAGGCCTGTAGTCCCAACTACTCCGGAGGCTGAGGCAGGAGAATCACTTGAACCCAGGAGGCAGAGGTTGCAATGAGCTGAGATTGTTCCACTGCACTCCAGCCTGGCATCAGAGCGAGACTCCATCTCAGAAAAAAAAAAAATCATTATTGCCTCTTTCCTCAAATTTCTGTCAAACAATCAAGCAGGACAAAAGGATGTTGCAAAAATAAGAAAACATTAGTAGCTCATATGTAAAGGTCAGATCTTGATAAAACATGAGCTCTCTGTTTTTCCATGTCCTTTTGCAATAAATGTTAAATCTGAAACTGCGTAGAATAGAGAGATTAAACCTGGTTTCCCTTCACTCATAATTCCATTTAAGCAGATAAGTGGTAAAAATAAAATCAGAGAAATCCAGTTCCATTCTCCATTTTGGACACTAAATAAGTCCACCCACACCATTTTGCCATAAGTAGATTACTTACAAAATGCTAAATTCCAAATCTCAATATGGAGATTCCCCCAAACCATCTGAATCTACTTTCACCTGTCACTTTCTACTGGGACTCAAAACTGGTGACATCCTAGAATGAGTTCTTGTTTTAACAGAAACATACGTAATGCCTCTGGCTAGGGTCAGAATCTTGCTTTAGAATGGGTTTCCTTATGTCTCATTGTATGCTGGTTCTGTGTAGTAACTTACTTCTCTATTCTGAATTCCTGACTAGTGGGGATTAACATATATCATGATAATTTTGATGATAAGTATGATGAGAATAATGAAGACAGTTGGGGTGTGATGGCTCATGCCTTTAATCCCAGCACTTTGGGAAGCCAAGACAGGAAGACTGCTTGAGCCCAGGAGTTGGAGGCTACAGTGAGCCATGACTGCGCCACTGCACTCCAGCTTGGGTGGCCGAGGTGAGATCCTGTCTTAAAAAAAAGAAAAGAAAGAATAATGAAGATGACTTCACAATCATTTAAGGAGCACTTACTATGAACCAGCCCCTGTACTAGGGACGGTCTGTTCTGCTGCACCATCTATATCTATCTTGGAAATTAGTCCACACATAAATGATAAATCCAGAGATATCACCAAAATCAAGATTGCTTTCATACGTGATTTTCCCCAGCATGTTAATATTTTGCAGCTCTAAGTTGTGTGCAGTGGCCCATGCCTGTAATCCCAGCACTTTGGGAGGCCAAGGCTGGGGGATTACTTAAGCCCAGGAGTTTGAGACCAGCCTGAGCAATATGGTGAACGCGCATCTCTGCAAAAATACACAAAAATTAGCTGGGTGTGGTGGCACACATCTGTAATCCCAGCTACTTTGGAGGCTGAGGCAGGAGGATTGCTTGAGCCCAGGAGGCCAAGGCTGCAGTGAACCTTGATGGCGCCACTCCACTCCACTCTGGGTGACAGAGTGAGACTGTATCTGAAAAAAAAAAAAAAAATTGCAGCCCTATGCACACGTTACTATTTTGCAGCTAATGTACCCTAATAAGCTTTTAAAAAAAGAAACCATGAAGTAATCCAGTACTTAACATGGTGCCCATTCACCCCACTTTCTTGGCTCTATCTTGGAGGTACTCACTGGGTCTCACTGCATTTTGCCCTCATCTCTGTAACTTGGCAGCATCAACCCTCATTCACAGCCTCTTCCATCAAGTAACCATTGCCTTTTCTTAAAGGCAAAGGCAATCTTATAAATTTACTTGATAGTATTTCTTCTTTTTAGAAGCTTAACTATGGTGCATTTTATTAGGATGGATATTGTTACTGTCACTGCTTTGGTTACAAAGCTGCATAGGCCTTGAATGAACTGCTTCAAACCTGTTTTTTCCATAAATCCTCTTACTTTTAGTGCACAAGTCTGAAGAATGAGTGGCTTGTTGTTCCTGCACATACTGCAGAAACATCATCCAATATCCATACAGTCTCATTCAGTTCTTGCCACTATTTCATGGCATAGATATTATTCCCATTAGCTGATGGAAGGAAACCAAGGCTCAGAGAACTTAAGTAACTTGCCCAAAATGAGGAGGCAAGATGCCTTTGAGTCATTATATACACCTCACTTATTACCTTGCCTCATCGACCTCTATTCAATTAGTCCTTGCAGCCTTAAAGAGGACCAAAGTGAAAACACAGGCAGTTGAGTCATGGGGAGGTCAGGGCAGTGATCTGCACTGCTGTTCTCCAAGATTGACAGCACTTCCTTTCCATTTATCCTGGAAGATATCCCAGAATTTTTTTTTATTGTTCCAGAAAAAGGCCCATAAAAATAAATTAAATATGTGGGTCAGCTGCAGCAAGCTACTGATAATGTCACATGAGGGAGGCTGTGGAGTTCTGTACAGGGAAAAAAAGGACAGACCAGGCCTGATCTGGTCCTGGCTTTATGGTAGAGTGATATATAGCACATTCCAGAAGAAAAAAGTTGGATGTTGAAAATTCAAATAAAAGGCAATCCCAGAAAAGATTTTCTATCATCTATTCAGTTCTTTTTAGAAACTGAATGTGATTTCTCACAGATGAAAATAGTGCATTTTAAAAAAGAAATTGTGTTACACAACAGGATCCTATTTTTATCAAAATAGAATACACACACAAAACCTTTAGATGATAAACATCAAGATATTAATGGTAATTATTCATCTCTAAGTGGTAGAATTATAGTGTTTTTTTCTTTTTGCTAATTTTATGAACTCTCTAAAATAGATCAGCATAATTTTTCTAACAAGAAGTTATAAAAGTTACTTTTGAAAACAAATTTTTAGGATAATTTGTGATTTTCTTTTCTGGAAACAATTGATTTTATAACTGGGACAAATATTCATAATTGTTTCCAGGTAGAACAGCCTTTTAAAGATTGATGTCACTCAGCATTGCTGTCCTCCTTATAAAATGTCACAGACTCATATTGATTTTTTTTTTCTATTCTCTCATTTCAGCTTTTCACAACTCTGCTTCTCTCACTTTCCCATGCCTTTTTTTTTTTTTTTTTTTTTTTTTGAGACTGAGTTTTGCTCTTGTTGCCCAGGCTGGAGTGCAGTGGCATGATCTCGGCTCACTGCAACCTCCGCCTCCTGGGTTCAAGTGATTTTCCTGCCTTAGCCTCCCAAGTAGCTGAGATTTCAGGCACCTGCCATCATGCCAGGCTAATTTTTGTATTTTTGTAGAGACGAGGGTTTCACCATGTTGGCCAGGGTGGTTTCAAACTCCTGACCTCAGGTGATCTGCCCACCTTGGCCTCCAAAAGCTCTGGGATTACAGGCGTGAGCCACTGCGCTCGGCCTCCGTGCCTTTTATCTCATCCACAATCACTGGTTCTCGGTCCATTCTGCATTGCCCTACTTTGGGCTGCTTTTCACTTCTCACCCTCCCTCATGCATAACTGCTTGCCTGGAACCCGCCACCTCTGTGCTGACTCTTGCATTCTCTTCCACCATATGATGCCAGCGTCCACACCTAATTGCACACTCCTGTAGTTTTTCACATCTTTTTTATTACCTTGTTCCTCCCAACATAACAGGGACTATTGTCTGCTTCTAAGGAAATCATGTCGTTTGGGCTTCCTGGCAGCAACAATAAGAAGACAAGATTCCCCCTAGAAAATTATGCACAAAACAACAACAAATCCGTGTTTGTAAGGTTCTTTCTGATGCCTTTCTCTCATTAGTTCCTAAGTTGCAGCAGCAATATGATCATACCTAAAAATCAGGAGACGGTAGACACAAAAGGTTATTGTAAACTATGTGCCCCCAATCCCGAAACTTTTCCTTTCTTTTTATTGTCTATTATGGGTGAATTACAATAATATACAGACCTACTATCACTAGTAGCTTTGTAAGTTCCATGGAAGATTGCTATAAATCCCCAGAGCTTGTCTGCAATTACATCTTAATGTAGATTGGCTTTGTGACCCTGCCCAAACCACGTGTTGAATTGTAATCCCCAGTGTTGGAAGAGGGGCATGGTGGGAGGTGACTGGATCATGGGGGCGGATTTTCCCCTTGCTGTTCATATGATAGTGAGTGAGTTCTTATGGTATCTGGTTGTTTAAAAGTGTGTGGCACCTCCCGCTGCTCTCTCTTCCTACTTCTCCAGCCATGTAAGACGTGCCTCCTCCCCTTTGCCTTCCACCATGATTGTAAGTTTCCTGAGGCCTCCCCAGCCATGCCTCCTGTACAGCCTGAGGAACTGTGAGCCAATTAAACCTTTTCTTTAAAAATTACCCAGTCTCAGATAGTTCTTTATAGCTCTGTGAGAATGGACTAATATAAATCTACTTCCATCCATGAATGCTTGTGGTGTATATCTTCCACCCTTTGACACAATTGTATTTACTAGGGCATCCAAAGTTCTCACCAATTCCTGCTGAGTCAAAATGGGCCTGATGTCATTAATTCAATAAATCGGCATCATGTTCTGCTTCCACAGATGATTGAGATGGTCAAGTTCCCTGTGGGCTACGTAGTAACAGAAACAAGAGTTGACACAGCAAAACGGTGCCAAGGTAGTGACTATGTCCGGCTGCCTTGTAAAAAGAAGTTGGTTTTAAAATTTTCTTTACTGATGGTGATGAGAAAGAACACATTCACTCCATCAACAGTTGCATTCCAAGTGCCAGGGTCTGTTAATCTATTCTAGTAAAGATGCAGCATCTGGAAAAAACAGCTGCAACTGGGTGCCCCCATCTCCACCTACCTTAATCCACCTGGTGCTCACTAGAGGCATGCAGGTGAATTGAATAGAGATTTGGTGGAGGCCACTACCCTCGCATCCCTTTGCCTACCTCTGCAGTTCCTTCTGGGATACAGTATTGCCTTGGTTTACTATGTTGCCTGGAGGAGAGCAGTTTCAGGCACCTTCACTTGGCTCTTCCCTCTATAATAGCTCTTACTCCATAGGTCAGGTATTTAATGTAAGATTCTACCTGCTGTTAATTTGCATCCTAATTACACAGTTGGGAACCAGGGTAATAACCACAGGAGGGGGCTGGAGACTTACTGGACCACTGTCAGACTTGAGCCAGGATTTCATTTATTGCCTTGTTTCCATAAGCTTCCACTATAACTGGGGGATCATAATGGTGTTTTGAGTGCCCTCTATCCAATGGCTCTCAAAAGGCTGAGCATTCCCTTTTCTCCTCTGTATCCTTTTTTTGGTACATGACCACAGGTCCATTTAGGGAAGGAATAAGAGAAATAATGTCTATTCCTGTAGTGTCATTATAGAGTCCTTTCTCAAAGGGACCCAGACTCTCCTTCAATTGATGGCCTCTGGGAGTGAGAACTGATTCAGACCTGAGGGGTCATGATTTTCCACTTCTGCAATTGATGTAGGTTCACCAAGCTCTCAAGTTTTTCTTGTTATATAAGTGAAGTAACTTCTTAGTCATTTGCCTACCTACCTTGTCCCTCCAGGATCACTATGGTCTATTTGTTAGCCATTGCCACAAAACCTTTTGAGAGGAGACACCTGGCTGAGATTTCAACCTTGCTGCCTGTTTCTGTTACATCCACCTTGCCTTTTGTTAAGTGCTACCACCTGGACCGTGCTATTCTGGAATTGTCACCATCACTGATACTACTAGAGTCTTACAGTTACCTCTGCCCTATGGAGGATAGCCAAAACTGGGCTTCTCAAAGATGTGTGCACCCCTCTCAGCAGCTCATCCTTATTGCTTCCATGGAAGGGATATTCCTTAGACCACATGCTTAGGGAACAGGTTCTCTGTATCACATAATAAATCCATTCCTATATTTCCATCTCCCCAAGCTTTCTAACCTCTTCCTCAGAACTCCGCAAGACAGCTGGAGTACCTCTGGCCTTACTGCAGGTCACCATCATGTTCAATTTTTAGGGAGCAATCCCAGCACATCCTGGGACTGGCTCAGATGTCCTTGCTAGTATGTGAAACTCCTCATCGTAGGAGGATGCTCTTATATCAATGAACTCTCACCTACCCAGCCTTAGATGCTACCCTCTCTAGCCCACCTCCCTCAAGATCCACCTGTCTGTACACCTTCTCATTTCCTGCCGGTTCATATTAGCCAGCTCTTGAGGCAATGAAGGGAGCCAGGCATGGGTCCTAAAAAGGACACTCACCATTTTGTGAGGCAACAGCCTCAGGCGAGGTTTTTGAAGGGTCTTTTGGAGAGGAGAGGCTCCTCTCCGCCAGTGTGAGATAGTGAGCTACTTCTGCTAACCTCGACAGTTCAGGAGGGCCCGGGGCCTCAAGATTCTCTGGTTCATCCACTCCAATGCCCCCTTTCTATGTCCCAGAGTGTAACCCTGGGAGACCCATCAAAGTTGTGCAATCATTATCCGTTGTAGCACTGCTGTCCTGGGCCCCAGTTACAGAAGACAAGAGCCCTTTAAAATGCCTCCATGAAGGCATGTCTTAAGACAGCATGCCTTGAGTTGATAGTTGACTAACCTGAGCCTATCATTTTCTTTTTCAAGGTTTCTAATTCTGTTAACAAGACCCAGCCAACTCCACATTCATATAATACACATTGTTACCAGGCTGTTCAAGGACCATTACTATGACATAATACAACGCTTCAGCATTCACCGGCGTCTCACCTTCGTCCATCACTGGGTGAATTCTTAGGGATTAGGATGCTGCTGTAAACCGGTAGTAATTAACCACTTAACACCAGTCACGGGTTCTTATCTGTGATAAGGACTGTTAAAGGACCCTGAAAGTTTCCTTTTTAGGGTCACTTCGGTACAACTGTCTTAGCCTGAGTTTCCTTAACAAGTAGATTCCATGGCTGGGTGCGGTGGCTCACACCTGTAATCCTAGCACTTTGGGAGGCCGAGGCGGGTGGATCACCTGAGGTCAGGTGTTCGAGACCAGCCTGGCCAACAGGGCGAAACCCTGTCTTTACTAAAAATACACAAAAATTAGCCAGGCATGGTGGTGTGTGCCTGTAATCCCAGCTACTCGGGAGGCTGAGGCAAAAGAATCACTTGAACCCAGGAGGTGGAGGTTGCAGTGAGCTGAGATTGTGCCACTGCACTCCAGCCTGGGCGACAGAGCAGGACTCCATCTCAAAAAAAAAAAAAAAAGATTCCATGATAAGGGTTTGTATGCAAGTAATTTATTTTGGGAAGTGATCCAGAAGAATAGGAATGAGGGAGTAGAAGAGTAAAACAGGAGAGAAAGCAATCCAAGGGCCTGCTATTAAGCTGGCCATTATCATGTGCAACTGGGGCTCCATCCCTCTGGGAACGCTCTATGGTCATGTAAATTGTGACCATCTCCCACTGGTCAAGCGTTGCCCCAGGAAATGAAACTCCCTGCCAGGTTTGCACAGCCACTGTGTGACAGTGGCTGAACAGTTCCTATAGCCAGCCAATAGGGCAGGAAGTGAGATCAGTGGAGAAAAATGTGATACAGCTGAGGTAAGCTGCTGCCGGCCTCACCTGCACTTCATTGCTGGTGAAGTTCTTAGTGATTAGGATACTGCTGTAAGCTAGCCCCACCTGTCCCCACTGACACCAGCCACATCAATGGCTAGAGTAAAAAGGTGAGCTGAGCGGATGGAAGATGCCGTACAAGATGTGTCTGATAAGTTGCCTCTCACAGAACATTGCCTGATATTATTCTCTTTGCCCAAACCTTCTATTTCATTTATCCGTCATTCTGATTCGCCTCTGGACACAGTCTCAACAGGGAATCTTCCTCTATCTGTAAAGATTAACCCAACAACACTCTTATTATCTAATAGCACTATTCATCCAGTTCCTCTGCAATTTCCTTTGTGAATTATCAGATGACTCTTTCCTTATGTTGTGTCTTACATTATTTAACTTATAAATTACAGTAAATTGATAACGTTTTCTTAGGTCAGGTCCCCTGAGACAGACTCTGAGACAGATTTGCCTGCTGGAGGTTTACTGGGGTGTGTCTTATGAGTCAGCACTAATGGGCATGGAAGGAGATAGGATTGAAAAGAGGGAAGAGCTGAACTGGGGAGCAGCTGGAACAAAGCCAGGCTGCAGTCAGAGGGGAGCTCTGGATAGCCCATCTTGTCCCACCTTGGTGCAAAGGGGGATGGGCCTTTATACTGCCTCCCTCAGTCAGTGGCTGGAGACTGACCCCAGGCAGGGAATGTCCTTGGGCGAGGGACTGAGAACATTTCCTGGAGAGTGACTCAGCTGAAAGCCCTTCGGCCAACACTTCCGACAGCTGGGGAAATGGTATCTCAGTCCTGCAGGGAAGTTCTGGGCAGTGCATAGTATTAACTACAGTCCACCCTTTTCCGCTGCTTGGATTTTTTTTTTTTTTTGTAAATTAGTCTTTGCAAATAGTTCCTCCAAGATTCTGACTGGTTCTTTTTCTGGGAAATTTAAGGAGAGGATTGGCAGGAAAAACCACAGCTCTGTCACTACAGCAATGGATCCTGAGAGGCCAGCTGATTATCTCACTCTTCTACCCGTTCTAGAGTCCCTTCACCCTTGGCTATCATCTCTGTTGGTTTCGGTGGCTTAGCTGCTGGGGTGACCTAGACCCTCATCTTTGATGGGTCTGAGACCCTGGTTGTCACGTCCTTCTCAGGCTGCAACCATGGCACTTGGCAATTTGCCATCAAAATTGGTAAAGGGAGTACAAGGAGATTCTCCTGGAGATGTCCCGGGTGCCAAATATTATATACCTTTCCTGGCACTATTGTATATCAGCAGTTTTACTTCCTCTTAGTGATCAGAGTCAATGACCCCTGCTGAATCCCCAATATGACACATTCCCAGAATGGTGACTCCTTTTTTCTTGTCTCTTATAACAAGAAACCTAAAGTAATTAGGCAGTAGCTATAAAATTTAATGGGACTGGCCGGGCGCAGTGGGTCACGCTTGTTATCTCAGCACTTTGGGAGGCCGAGGCAGGCAGATCACTTGAGGTTAGGAGCTCGAGACCAGCCTGGCCAACTTGGTGAAACCCCATCTCAACTAAAAACACAAAAAATTAGCTGGGCATGGTGGTGCGCACCTGTAATCCCAGCTACCTGGGAGGCTGAGGCAGGAGAATCGCTTGAACTTGGGAGGTAGAGGTTGCAGTGAGCCCAGATTGTACCACTGCACTCCATCCTGGGCAAAAGAGGGAAACTTTGTCTCAAAAAAAAATTAAGTTAATGGGACTACTGCTGTGTCCCCTAGTGTGTTTTCCTTTAGAATATAAAACCTGTAAACCCACAGAGTACAAAGCTGCAAGGACAGAAATCACACATTCCTAATAGTCACTGACAGTGATGATAAGCACAGCCACTTCTATTTTCACCCTGTTTCCTAGACCCAAGTATTCTTCCCAATGGGGATGCAACACCATAGAGTGGTAGCTGATTTAGGACATGTCCTGCAATCTGGAAAATGATGCCCCAACTTCTTAGGTTGGCATCTCCAAGCGTAAGCTTCTGTGGCTCCCTTACAAAGACCATTTTATCCCCTCAGCAGGCTGGCAGGGTCTGGGTGGTAGAACCAGTTGATCTCCCCACCACGTGTCTACTTTTACTCTCCTTTGCTGTAAAGTGGGCTCCTTGAATTAATAGAATGTCACACGGCATTCCATATTTCTGGATAAAAACTGTAATTATTCAGAAGGTGGTGCTGGCTGACACACTGTGGGTAGGAAAAGCAAACCTACATCCATATGTATCCATTTTTATCGAGATTAACTACTGCCCCTTCCAGTGTAGAAAGGATCCAATGTAATTAATACCAAATGGTTAATTGGTCGGCTGGTACACAGGGTTAGTTTGTGTTGCTGGCAGGTTGGACATTGGGCAGTTGCAGTAGCAGGATCAGCCTTGCTGAGTGGGAGTCCCTGCTGTGAGCCCATGTACAGCCTCCATCCTTGCCATCAGGGCTGCTTGGTTCATGTGCCCATTGTGCCAGCACTAGAGCGTGACAGGGTCTGGCTGGTCATCCTTTAGTAGATGACCAGTTAAGTCATCCTGTCTACTTAGTTCTTCAGTGCTTCTTCCATGGGGGATGCTCACTTATGGGCATTAACAATGGGATTCAAAATCTTCACACTTTGGGCCATGGCCATAGGTCCATCGACACACCTCTTCTTTAAATGTCTTTCCACCAATCTTCCAGTCTTTCTGCCCTGCTCTTAACAAGCCAGCCAAGCTAACCACCAAAAATATTTGACCAGGCCAGGCACAGTGGCTCACGTCTATATTCTCAGCACTTTTTGGGGGCCAACACAGGAGGATTGCTTGAGGCCAGGAGTTCAAGACCAGCCTGGTCAAAATAGTGAAACCCCATCTCTACAGAAAAAAAAAAAAAAAAAAGTATTTGACTAGGTGCACTGCCCAGAAATCTGCCAGTTGGTAGGATTTCCTTTGCCATCGTCTTCCAGGCTCTCACACTGCAGGGCTACAATGAAGCTGTAGTGCAGCCAAAGACCATTTTCATGTTGCATCCACACACCAAGCTGTGGTCCTGGCATGGCCTTTTCCCTCTTCTGTCAGCTTGCCATAGGGACCCTCTACGGTCCATAGGCATGAGCTGACAGAGAGGAACCAGTGCAATAGAGGTGGATAACCTGAGTTCAATCTCTTCTGGGACTCCCCTTCTTTTATATTTAAGACTTGGGCCTGATCCTCAGTTTTTTTTTTTTTTCTGTGTTCCAACTGCAGAATAAGAGTCTCTTTATTATGAAGCCAAGGAGAGCTTCGGCCTTTCTGATTGTTGATTAATCACTCTCAGCCTTTCATTGTTCTTCTTCAATACATAAAATGTCAACAGTAACAGCCAGCCATTTCCATAGTTCTTATAGTTATGACTTCCCTTGAACTTCTCAAATGCCTGAGGCCCCTGCACTGCCTTCCACCAACATCTCATCCCAGTTTACGACCATGAAAGTTTTAGTCTCCCTCTGTCACCCAGACTGGAGTGCAGTGGCGCGATCTCGGCCCACTGCAACCTCTGCCTCCTGGGTTCAAGTGATTCTCCTGCCTCAGCCTCCCAAGTAGCTGGGATTACAGGTGCAGCCACTGCACCCGGCCTACTACCAAGAAAGTTTTAACAAGCACGTGGCTACAGCATGCTAAGCACTGTCCATGCTCCACCTACCCCCAGGGATGATGTTCTCACTGCTGGTGACCCATTTTACACTTGGCTTCCTCAGACCATTCCTGGAATGAATTATCGCAGGTCAGATTCCCTAAGAAGCCGACTTTGAGATGCGGGTTAGTATACAGTAAATTCATGGCGGGGAATGGGAGGTGTCATCAGACTGACATCAATAGGAGATGAAAAAAGAAGGATTTAACAGAAGGAAAAGATGAACTGCATTGAAATCACAGAGGCCTTAGATGGTGTCACAGAGAGCTCTGGGTGCTAAGATGTGGGCCACCCCAGGGAGACAGCGTGACTTGGGCAAAGTGGCTATCTTTGGTTAACGGCAAGTCACAGAAAATAATTCAAACAAGAGCAGTCAGCCACCACAATTTCCAACGGCTGGGTGAATGAGGGCCTCAGTCTTAAAAGGGCCTTTGGGTCCCACACCATAGCATCCATCAGATGAGGCAAATTCTTCTTTCTCAGATGAAAAGAACTAATAAGCATATAAGTTTCTCTGTTATAAGGAAGGAGACTTAGCCCAGAAAAATTAGGCCTAAAAATATCAGCAGTATTAATAACATGGTAATTGTGAATGACTTCATATAATCCCAGGTCAAAAGGAAAAACATATCTTCTCTCACCCTGAGAATGTTCTTTTTATATTTTGAATGTCCTTTTCTGTATGAATGGTATGGCAGAGAAGCAAAATCCTGTTTAAACGTCCTATAAACTTTTAATATCACCCATCTACAAAGACAAGACTTAAAATCTCTCCAATTTTTGACACAGACCTTTTTAATTTTTAATTTATTTATTTTTGAGACATAATCTTGCTCTATCACCCAGACTGGAGTGCAGTGGCAGGATCATGGCTCCTTGTAGCCTCAACTTCCCAGGCTCAAGTGACCCTCCTTGCCTCAGCCTTCCAAGAAGCTGAGACTACAGGCATGTGCCACCATCCTCGGCTATTTTTTTTTTTAATCTTTTGTGGAGACGAGTTCTCACTGTGTTGCCAGGACTGTTCTCAAGCTCCTGGGCTCAAGCGATCCTCCCTCTGCCTCCCAGTGGAGGTGGTGCAGAAACAAGAAGACCAGTCCTGAAGTCAATAAAGTAATCTGGGAAAGAGATGATAATTAGTTTGGACCACAGTTGTAGCAAGAGAGATGGCTAGTGGTCAGATCATGAACATATTGTGAAGGTACAGCTGATAGGATTTGCTGATGAATAGGATTACAGGCGTGAGCCACTACTCCCAGCCTACAGACCCTCTTTAAATGTACCCTCCAGCAAAGTAATTCTGGAAGAGTTGAGGGTAGGCTACCCTTTCTAAATCACTCTTTTCTTAATGAACAATATTGCTGTCACACTTGTGTACCTTGTCAATTTTAGCCTTTCTGCCAAAATGTCCTTTCCAAACCTTTGTCCAGAGTTCCATTCGTTCTTCAGGAACCTCACTAAATATTCATTCATTCATAAGGTTACCAGATTTAGTAAATAAAAATATAGGATACCCAGTTAAATGTGAATTTCAAATAAACAAAAATTTTAGCATAACATGTCCAAATATTCCATAGGACATACTTATACAAAATAATTAATTGCTATTTATTTGAAATTCAAATTTAACTGAGTGTCCTGTATTCTATCTAGCAACTTATTCATTCTTCAAATTCAAATACTTGTTGAGTATCTACCACGTGCCAGAAACTACTGAATGTTGAGATTACAGCACTGAACAAAATAACTCCAAATTCCTCCTCTTGTTGAGTCTGCATTCTAGTGGAGGGAGTCATTTATACACAAGTATTTATACAAGAAAATATACAATAATATTGTTGGAGCATAAATCTGTGCCATGAAGAAAAATAAAGTGAGGACAAGAGGATAGGGAGTGTCAGGGCTGGGGGCTGGCAGTGCTGTTTCATGAAGGTCTTACTGATTGGTTGAAACTTGAGCAGACACCTGGAAGAAGTGAGAAAGTGAGAGCCGTAAGATTTGGGGGATGCATATTCTAGGCAGAGCGAGCCCCAAATACAGAGTGCCTAAGGTGGAGGTACATTTGAGGGACAGCAAAGAGGCCATTATGGCTGGAGAATAGTGAACAGGAGGGGTTAGCTAGGAAATGAACCCAAAGCCAGACCATTTTCAGGCTTTGGGCCACTGGGCAAGTTTCAGCATTTACTCAAGGGAGATGGAGCAGACACTTGACTAGATTTCACATTTCAGACACAGCAAATATTCATTTAATAAATATTTTTTTCTTTTTTTCTTTTTTTCTTTTTTTTTTTTGAGATGGAGTCTCGCTCTTTTGCCCAGGCCGGAGTGCAGTGGCGCTATCTCGGCTCACTGCAAGCTCCACCTCCTGGGTTCACGCCATTCTCCTGCCTCAGCCTCCCGAGTAGCTGGGACTACAGGCAGCTGCCACCACGCCCGGCTCATTTTTTGTATTTTTAGTAGAGACAGGGTTTCACCGTGTTAGCCAGGATGGTCTCAATCTCCTGACCTCGTGATCCGCCCGCCTCGGCCTCCCAAAGTGCTGGGATTACAGGCGTAAGCCACCGCGCCCGGCCCATTTAATAAATATTAAATAAATGGAAATTACCTCTTCTTGTTGGGAAGGGAGGTGGTGTAGAAACAAGAAGGCCAATCATGAGGCCAAAAAAATAATCCAGGAGAGAGATAATGATTAGCTGTAGCAATAGAGATGGCAAGTTGTTGAATCCTGAACATATTGTGAAGGTACAGCTGATAGGATGATCAGATGAATTAGATGTGGTGTGTAAGTAAGAGTCAAGATAGAGGCTTGAGGCCAGGCATGGTAGCTCATGCCTGTAATCCCTGTGCTTTGGGAGGCTGAGGCAGAAGGATTGCTTGAGCCCAGGAGTTTGAGGTTACAGTGAGCTATGGATTGCACCACGGCACTCCAGCCTGGGTGACAGAAATTAGGAGTTCAGCTTCAGACTTGTTAATTTTGATATGCCTGTTAGAAATCCAAGTGGAGATATTGGAGCAGCAACAAAACGTTAAAGTCTGGAGTTCAAAATAGAGATGTGGCCTGGCTAGAGATATAAATTTGGGAGCCATCAGCACATGGACATAGCCAGTATACTTAAAGCAGGGGGTCTCAACGAGATTCCCTGGGGAGTGGGTATAGCTAGAGTGGGCCAAAAACTGACCCCTGGGATCTCTGAGTATTTAAAGATTGGGAAGATAAGTGGAAAAAGAATGAGGCCGGGCGTGGTGGCTCACGCCTTAATCCCAGCACTTTGGGAGGCTGAGGTGGGTGATCACCTGAGGTCAGGAGTTCGAGGCCAGCCTCACCAACATGGTGAAACCCTGTCTCTACTAAATACAAAAAATTAGCCATGCGTCATGGCAGATGCCTGTAATCCCAGCTACCTGGGAGGCTGAGGCAGAGGAATCACTTGAACCTGAGAGGTGGAGGTTGCAGTGAGCTGAGGTTGCCAGTGCACTCCAGCCTGGGCAACAAGAGCGAAAAACTCCGTGTCAAAAAAAAGAAAAAAAAAAAAGAATGAGTCATCAACTGGACAGAAGGAGAATCAAGAAAGTCTCACAGAGGCCGGGCACGGAGGTTCACACCTGTATTCCCAGCATTTTGTGGGGCTGAAGAGGGAGGATCGCTTGAGCCCAGGAGTTCTAGTCCAGCCTGGGCAACAAGGTGAAACCCCGTCTCTACAAAATATACAAAAAATTAGCCAGGCATGGTGGCATGCTCCTGTAGTCCCGGCCACTCAGCAGGCTGAGGTAGGAAAATCGCCTGAGCCCTGGAGGTCCAGGCTGCAGTGAACTGTGATCGTGCTACTGCACTGCAGCCTGGGCAACAGAGTGATACCCTGCCTCAGAAAAAAAAAAAAAAAAAGGAAAGAAAGTGTCTCAGAAACCAAAGCGAAAAAAGTGTTCTAAGAAAGAAGGCATGATTACCCTCACTAATCAGGTAGAAGAGGCCTGAGCATTGGGTTTAGCAACCTGGTATTATGGACTTCTCGATAATAACTATTTCAGTAAGATGGTGGGAAAGAAAGCTTGATTAGAGTAAGTTCAAGAGAGAATGAGACAGAAAATAGAGAAAGCAAAGACAGACAACACTTTCAAGGAGTTTTGCTATAACCTGGGGATGATCCAAAAAAAGTGAGAAGGAAAATAATGACACTGGGGATGAGGGGAAAGATACTAGGAGCAAAGCCCTTGAACAGGGGAGAGAGAATGGAAAAAGAGAATAAGTGGAGATGTTGGCCTGTGACAGGAACACAGGCAGACCATGGGAGGGGAATGAAATATCCTATGTGGTCAGAGATGCAGGCAGGTAGGTGGCAGAAGCAGTGGGAGGAGCAATCACGTGGGAGTTTTTAGGATTGCTCCTGTTTCCTTGGTGGAATCAGAAGCAAGGTGGGAGTGAAGAAGAGGGAGGATGTGCTGCTAGTTTGGGAGAGAGGGGAAGGTGTGAAGTGGTCAGCTAGGAGGGTGGAAGAGTGGACTCGAAGTATAGTAGGATGGCCAGGTAGTACTTGGGGTACTTGAGATTAGTGGTTGTGAATTTAAATTGTGACCAACAGCATGGTTGTGTGTTTTTCTTCAGCCATATTCAGCTGTGCAAATGCAGGCAGGGAGTAGTTCAACAATTGGATATAGGCAGGGGTGGAAATTTTGACAAGGAAATATGTCAAAGTGAGACAGGAGCCAGGGAGCCCAGCGTGTAGGCAAGGGAACATTCACAATGACTGCCCAGGAGACCTAAATCCAGTTACGAGGGAAATGAGGACATCAGAGTGTGAGAGACAGTGAACAGATGGGAGCATCAGTGGATTGGAGCGTCCAGTGGGATTGAAGGGTTACTGGAATTAGGGTACCAGAGAGACGGAGAGCTGAAAAAATAGAAAGTGGTAGTCAGAGTGGAATCCCTGAGAGTGAGTTTATGGAGGGTTTGCTATTATTGGTAATATTAAGTCTAGGTTATGACCAAAGTAATGAGTGACTGAAGCAGAGATCTCTAAAGAAAGAAAATCGAGGAACTGAGAGGCCTGAAAGCCGGGTGGGTCCTCTATGTGTATATTGAAATCATCAGGTGTGATTTTAGCAAGTGCTCTAGAAAAAAAATAGAAAGCAAGGAAGGAAGGGAAGGAGGAAGGAAGAAAGGGAAGGAAGGAAAGAAGGGAAGGAAGGGAGGAAAGGGATGGAAAGGAAGAAAGGGAAGGAAGGGAAAAAAGGGAAAGAAAGGAAGAATCACCAGTAATTACACACTGCAGAGACTGACAATGAACCAGTATGTTAGTTTTCTATTGCAGCTCTAACAAATCACCACAAACTTAGCGGCATAAAACAATACAAATTTATTATCTTACAATGATAGAGGTCAGAAGTCCAAAATCAGCCTCACTAGTCTGTAGTTGAGATATCAGCCAGGCTGGTTCCTTTCTGGAGGCTCAAGGGCAGGACCTAACCCTTTGCTTTTTCCAGCCTAGAGACTGCCTGCATTCCTTGACTTGTGGCCCCTTCCTCACAATGGCATCACTCCAGTCTCACTTCTGTCTCCCATTGCCTCCTTCTGACTCTGCCCTGCCTGCCTCCCTCCCTCTTATATGGGCCTTTGTGATTACACTGGGCCCACCTGGATAATCCCCCATCTCAGGACACCTAACTTCATCACATCTGCAAAGTCTCTTTTGCCACTTACATATATTCATGTATGAATACATACATATATTCGTGTATGAATACATGCATATATTCGTGTATGAATACATGCATATATTCGTGTATGAATACATACATATATTCATATATTCTGGAGATTAGGGCATAGGCATCATTGTCAGGGGGGCGGGGATGGAGGGGGCATTACTTAGCCTATGACAACCAGCAATATATATTTTCCTCGGTGGAGATTTTCCAGATTCTGGTCTTCCCACTCCATCCATTCCAGGCTAAGTTGATGAACAATCCTTTTGGGTCACCTGCTTGGATTCCCGTATTAGAGGATACGCTTTCTTTATTTGAAACCATATTTACTGTGCTAGGTTCTGGGTTAATTGTTGTTGATACAAATAGGATACAATGTCTTAAAAGTTCATTCCCCTAATGCAAATGTTTGTTGATGTGTCTGTCTCCCCAGGTAGGGGGCAGATCATACCAGGAAAGGAACTACTCACATTCCTACCCATGCCCTAAATGCCTACCATGGCACCTGACCTATAATACCCTGGGGACCTTTTAGAATGAATAAATGAACTCTGGTTGCACTTGGTAACATAAGCACTTTGAGCGATTTCATGCACACCAAAATAAACTTTTCATAATTCTAATCCAGTTTCATGAAGATGCTAAATTAGTATGCCTTAACATTCACGTATATCATTTAATAATCTGCATGCCCATCACTCTGATTTCTGGAACCAACTGCTTGTCTTCTACATAGTATGTAATATATTATCTATCAGCTAATGTATTCATTTAGGAACACTTGGACATCAAAATTTGCAATGGTTCCGCCAAGGTATATTTAGAAACTTTAGATTGGGTCATATCTCTAGGGACTTTTCCTGAGTTAAAAAGGACAGTATCATCCATCTCTTGTTCAATCACAACAATTAGAGACTGATAAAAAACACACAAGCAATCATACAAAAACCCAAATCCCTCAAAAGCAGCTGGCAAAGTAATAAATAACAGCACGTACAAAAATCAACTGTAGTCACTTATTAAATTCATATCCTTTTATAATTATTACCTCAAAGAGTTAGATGACAGCAGATTTCAATGGAGATTGTGATATCTACAGTTATAGATCATGATGAAATTAGATTCTGTGAATGCATTATGAATCTTTTGTAAATTGGTTTTTCAAAGCATAAATCATGTTTTAACTAGACAAGTTGCTTCCTTCGGCCGTGCAATCCTACAGCTGTGGATATGTCTTTTGTGGATTGTAAAGACCTACATCATAACTCCATTCTAATAGCTGACCAGCTACCCAACTGAAAAAGGGCCAGATTTCTGTCATCAAAATTATTTAGACTCTATCCTGATTTATAATTCCCAATCCTTGCCAAATTATGACACCTAATTAATACTAGGGGCATTTTCCCATAGAATGTAGACAGATGTTTGTCCACTCTATTTTTAGAAAATACTCGTGAAGTTACAAGCTAGTGTACTGGGTATTCCTTCAAAACTCCAGGCCTATTTCTTTTCAACAAATCCTAGGGTCAAGACTGGGCGCAGTGGCTCATGCCTGTAATCCCAGAACTTTAGGAGGCCAAGGCAGGTGGATCACCTGAAGTTAGGAGTTCAAGACCAGCCTGGCCAACATGGCAAAACCCTGTCTCTACTAAAAAAATACAAATATTAGTTGGGCGTGGTGGCACATGCCTATTATCCCAGCTACTTGGGAGACTGAGGCAGGGAGAATGGCTTGAACCCAGGAGGTGGAGGTTGCAGTGAGACAAGATTGCACCACTACACCCTAGCCTGGGTGACAGAGTGAGATTCTGTCTCAAAAAAAAAAAAAAAAAAATGCTAGGGTCATAGGTTCTAAATTCAGAATTTGTGTAAAGAACAAACATATTTCAGGCATCAGAGGGGCACTGAGCACAGTTATTCTGTTTTAGCTGCTTAAGCAAACAATGTAGCCAGGTGTGGTGGCTTCAGCCTGTGGTCCTAGCCGCTTGGGAGGCTGAGGTGGGAGGATTGCTTGAGCCCAGTTTGAGGTTACAGTGAGCTTTGATCCCACCACTGCATTCCAGCCTGGGCAACAGAGCAAGACCCTGTCTCAAAAACAAAAACAAAATGCAAAATAATTTAAGGAGGCTATTACTAGCATTTACCAATCATTCATCAGTCTTTGATACCATAGACAAAAGCCATCCAAAGACCAAGTTGTATTGTCCTAATATAAATACAAGACACTAATGTTTCTGTGGAGTATCGTCTTACCATTAAAATCAGAATGGGTCTAGGTATCTACCTGAGAAATGAATGCACACGTGATTAAAGGGACATGCACAAGTGTGTTCATTGGAGTATTGCTGGTAACAGCAAAAGTGAAGGAGGTCAGATTCCATTTACATTTGGGGAAAAGTCGTGACTGGATGAGGCACAAGGAGGGCTCTGGGTGCTGGTAATATTCTAATTTTTTTTTTTTTTTTTTTTTTTTGAGACAGTCTCGCTCTTCCACCCAGGCTGGAGTGCAGTGGTGTGATCCTGGCTCACTGCAACCTCCGCCTCCTGGTTCAAGCAATTCTCATGCCTCAGTCTCCAGGTAGCTGGAATTACAGGTGCGCACCTCCATGCCCAGCTAATTTTTGTACTTCTAGAGCCATGTGGGCCAGGCTAGTCTCAAACTCCTGGCCTCAAGTGATCTGCCCGCCTCGTCCTCCCAAAGTGCTGGGACTACAGGCATAAGCCACCGTGCCTGGCCAATATTCTAATTTTTGATACAAGGGCTGGTTACACAGATGTGTTTACTTTTTGAAAATACATTGAACTTTGATAATTTGTGCACATTTCTGCATATATGTTATACTTCAATAGTAAGTTTAAAAAAAAAAAAGAGAAAAAGAGCGAGGGACTTTCCCTCCAGCTTTCAAGGAGCTGGCCTTACTGCTCAATCAAGTGCAGGCCACCAGACTCACAGCCTTGACATCTCCCAGGCACACACCAGAAACTTAGACTATCAGGCCCCACCTCGAACCTGCTGACTCAGGAACTGCATTTTAACAAGGGCCCCAGGTGACTTGAATGCACAGTGATGTTTAAGAAGCACTGATCTGGAACACAATCTTGCAAGCAGAAAAGTACAATATGAAAGTGTCCTGAATGGCACGGGGGAGGGAAGCACAGGGCACCAGAGAAGCCAGAAAAGGCACCTCTCACCCAGGCCAGCTCAGTTCCCCCGAGTTTGCTCCTAAGCCCAGCAATCCTGGGAGTATCTAATTGCCAGATATGTTAGTGGAGAACCTCAGGTTTACTACCTTCCTTATTTACGGCTTAGCATTTTAGTCAAGAGCAGTAATTGTTTAGAATCAATACCAAAGGAAGCCTGAATTTCAGGCCAGAAAGTGCTGCTGTGACTCTGCAGTTGTTTAAAAAGATAAACGGTCTCTACATTTTTTTTTTTTTGTCTTCAGCTAGGGACAAAGAAAAGTAGGACAAGCACGAGGAGAACCTGATAGAGGAGTGCTTTGCAAATAATTAGTAGCTAATTTTAGCTGATCAGCTTACCTATTTTTTCATTATTCTGTAAAACTGAGTTCCAAAGTTGTAAAATTTGATCCTGTCCAAAAGCCCCCAAAATAACATTTAAGATCCAATGATGCTATCTCAGGTAACAGACACTGAAAGCAGGGCCTCAGCAACATCTCAAATGTGAAGAGTTATTATACTTTTGTCTTTCTTCTATTTGTCATCCGTATCATCACTGTTATTGTATTTCTCTAGAATATTGGCTTTTTAAAAAATGAAATCATAAAAAATAAACTCCAACTGCTCATAATGCTAAACACCATGAAGAGATGATTTCTTTTCTTTGCATAGCACACTTTCTTTAATTTATCCTTGAGTCACAAGGAATTGTTTTAATTATATTACTACATTGCTAACTCATTCTGTTTGTTGTCCACTCTGACTGGAAGCACTTTCTTCTGCATTTATGGCTCTTCAGCCTAATGCCACCTTGAGTCTATATTTCTAATTTCTAAAGCTTTTAATGTGCATTTGTCTCTGTTGAGATTAAAAGCAAATTTTGCTATTAATGGATACATTTTCTGATGTTTCAGAGTCATATTGAAATAAACGATCAAATTGATATCATCCACTCCCTGCAAATGAGTGCCCTCTCCAAATTTAGTGACCACTTTTAATATTTTCATCTAAATTGGTGATAAAGAACAATCCCTAAGGGTGTCCTTGGGTTGATAAGGAACCACTGATAATTACTATTGAGGAGTTTTCAATAAGCTTATAGTATTACCAGTATCTCAGCTCCTTGCTTAGACTATCGTGTGACACAGAATCAACTGCTTTATTTGTATTCACACGGGCTGATTCACTCACCCCACCCTCCACCCTCCACCACCCACCACCATATACCCGGCCCCTTTAGCACAAAAGGAAATAACATTGGTCTGGCATAATCCTCTTTTCACCAAGCCATGCCTTGGCATTAATCATGTAAGGAAATAAGACCATATTCTCTGCATCATAGCCGAGGCCCTCTGCAGCAAATCCAGTGCGGTTTCTGAGCAGCATTGAATAAGTGGAACAGGGGACAGGCTGGGTCACCCGGTGCCTGGAAACATGCACAGGGTCTGCTTGTTTTTGTTAGTATTTATTAGTAAAAGTGGCAAGGATGACTCGAGATCTGAGGTCAGCAGAGTCTGAGAATAATGGATTGGAGGACAGACAGTCACCCTGGGTAGAATCTCACCTTCTTCCGCAATCCCGCTCAGCAGTCCTCTGGCTCAGAAGCAGCCAAGGGAAGCTCTCGATTTTTTAATCTAAAACAGAAATGCAGACAATCAGCAAGCAAAGACAACTACATACTCTATAACAAGAAAATATACATTGCTCTGTGTTAAATTATACCTTAACCGTGCACAGGCAGGCCTGTTAGAGGGTCTGATAATTCTTCTACTCTGCTTTAACTGGTCCTGATAATTGACTTTTTGGATGAAACCCATGCCATTTTCATGGGACTCCCTGAGGAATTATTTTTACTCACTAGAACCACCTCCTTTCAAGAAATAAGCCTCATTCTTCCTTCTCCAGTTTTGACTTGATATCACATACACACTGTTTGTTCAGGGTCAAATGTCTGCTAGTTGCATATTGAATTCCTTTTCAGTGTCAGAATCATTGTTTCAACTGTAACCAGCTAGATGTCATAGTCTTTCTCTCTCTCTCTCTCTCTCTCTGTGTGTGTGTGTGTAAATTATTCTCTTAATACAAGTATTCTTCATCCTGTAGCAAAGGGAAAACGTCTGCCAAATTTCAACATTAGAAAATAAAGCAAGCAGCCTAAGCAACATGGTGAAACTCTGTCTCTACTAAAAATTCAAAAATTAGCAGGGCATGGTGGCACATGCCTGTAGTCCCAGCTACTCAGGAGGCTGAGGTGGGAGGATTGCTTGAGCCCAGGAAGTTGAGGCTGCAGTGAACTATAATCACGCTACTGCATTCCAGCTGGGCAAGAGAGTGAGACCTGTCTCAAAACAAAAATTTTAAAAATGAGGGGAAAGCAGTGATAGTGAAATGCAAAGGGTATTTTGGGAGCTCAGAGAAGAATATCTTACCCATCTTGGAAGGGTTACGGAAGACCCTTGGACAAGGCTGGCATGAGATCCAACTTATTACTTGGTATGAAGCAAATCTAGAATTAAGACAGCAAATGAAACCAAGTTACGTGTCAGAAAACCAAGTGATAGCCCTATAAATGTTCAGCCAACATATGGAAGAGATTTATATTATACCCTTGACCAAATATACCCAATCTTCAGCAGGCAGCTTCTTGCTGTGAGCACATTGGTATAAAAGGTGGTATGAAAATGTTGGTTTGTGGAAGTCGTTATGTCCTTGGGAAATGTTTTGAGGATTCCAGGTCCACTTTATCTGCCCTGGCTCATTAACTATTTTCATAACAGATCTTCAGAGGAACCAATATACTAGCGACTGAGCTGTTGCTAAGAGATGATCTCTTAAGTCAGAAAATTTGAACATGGACTCAGGGACTCTCCTGACAGAACTGTATCCAGAATCTTTCATATGTAAAAATGCCTGAAAGGGTGACATTAGCCATCTACATCCACATGGATACAAGCCACAGTGCTGATCTACTTAGGCTTGCTGCTTCCTACAAATAGAGAGAGGAGAAAACAGCTTCCAGTCAAAATGAGATGAACTCATCTGACCCATAAAAAAGAATTCAATTAATTTAAAATAAGACAATTAAGGCAATTCCCACGGAATAAACTAACTTGGGCTTTTAACTAATCCTGGGTAAAACTTGGAGGCCAAGTTGATTTAGATGGCAATCTACACATTTACATGTTTATTTGGATTTGGGTCTCTTATAGGAAGGGTCCCTAATACTTTCTTAATGAAAAGTTCTTGCATTTTCCTAATTTTTGTCATTGCCAAGCCCCCAGAAGGCAGAAATGTGTCTTATTTTTTGTATCCTTGGTATGTAACTCTTAGAAAATAGAAGAAATTTAATAAATGTTTACTGAATGCATTTTTAAAACCCCAAATTTGGAGACAGGATGAAAGGAGAGGGAGGAATAATCCAATCTGTTTGCACAGGGTAGTGAATCATGTACCCTGGCCTGGCTCCAACCATCTTAACCCAGAACTTAAGAACAAGTAATAATCCCTGCTCAGAATGTCAATATTTAACATTGTATTTATTTGCTGGGTAGGGTCTCCATTTGTTTATGTTTCTCTCAATGTTGTGTATCTCTGTTTGTCTGCCCTTCAACATGTTTGTCCACCCTGATGGAAAGCTTAGATGGAGTGGAAATGATGCCTATTTTAATGGCTTCATGGCACTCAAGTGGGTACTTAAAGACGCTATTTTGAATGGAGCCTTTGGGAGACCCTAATGAGTGACACCATTCTAAATGAACTGAAATACCAAAAGAACAGCCTCTCTCTTTGGAAGAAGAATACTGAATGACATCACTGTTTCTTCAAAGCACAACACCATCATTTAGAAAACATTCCTCATTACTTCGGAAGTCTTTCCTTCTATGCTCCAGTGCCCATTTCCCTGAAGGGGGATGTCTGGGGTTAGCAGAGGGAGGCGAGGTAGAAGTGGAGGAGACATTGCTTTGTCACTTCTTCTTGGGGCCATGACACTGTCACACACTTTCAGTATATAAATGGCCACCCTTATACATACTTTCACCCTCCACCTCCAACAAACATCCCAGCAGTGGCACTCCAGCTGCGGCATCTAGGGAATCTTCAGTTTAGTCAGGCTTCTGCCCTGCTGTAAGCCAGCATCACTGAAAGATGGAATCAGAGCTGGGAGGAACTCTTCTTTTTTTTTTTTAATTTTTAGAGACAGGGTCTCACTCTGTTGCCCAGGCTGGAATGCAGTGGCCTGATCATAGATCACGGCAGCCTCAAATTCCTGGGCTCAAGTGATCCTCCTGCTTCAGATTCTTGAGTAGTTGGAACTACAGGTGTGTGCCACCACACTCGGCTAATTTTATTTTATTTTATTTTTATAGAGACAGGGTCTCACTATGTTCCCCAGGCTGGTCTTGAACTTGTGGCCTCAAGCAGTCCTCCCACCTCAGCCTCCCAAAATGCTGGGATTACAGCACCTGGGAGAAACCTTAGAAAGCACTTGTTAAACATAAAATTCCCAGTGGCCCTCCCCCGGAAATACTGATCCAGTGGGTCTGGAGTAAGGGCAAGAACTCCAGGAGATGCTTGTCATTAGGTAAGTTCCAGAATCGCTGATTTCATTTCCATCCATTTAATCTTACAGATGATGAGATTGAAGCTAGAAAGATGCAATGACTTTGCCAAGGTCACATAGCAAATCTATGTTCAAGCCTAAGCTAGACCACCAAGGGCCACTTTTTTTCACTTTATCCCCCAAAGATACTACATTAATACCTTAATTAATTAATCTGTAAGTGATTTTTTTAAACAAGCAGTTTGGTCATGTTGATCTTTAGTAAGCATATGTACCTGTGCTGGCACATGTCATCTTGTGTATTCCCACATGAGTGGCTGAATTAGACAAAATATCTGCATGGGTAACATCTGCTTCCAGAATGTGCACAATTAAAGGTAATAAAGGCCAGTGCTGCATGAGTGAGGGATTTGCAGAAAGAAAAAGACAGTAGAAAAAGTAGCAGGCCAGGCGCATGGCTCACGCCTGTTATCCCAGCACTTTGGAAGGCCTAGGCAGGTGGATCACTTGAGGCCAGCCCAGCCAACATGGCGAAACCCTATCTCTACTAAAAATACAAAAATTAGCCGAGTGTGGTGGCTCACACCTGTAATCTCAGCTACTCGGGAGGCTGAGGCAGGAGAATCGCTTGAACCCGGGAGGCGAAGGTGGCAGTGAGCCAAGATTGCACCACTGCACTCTAGCCTGGGCAAAATAGCGAGACTCTGCCTCAAAAAAAAAAAAAAAAAAAAAAAGGCATAAAAAAGCATGCTTTCTCCTAGCTCAGCTCTGTCCTGCACTGTTTGCAGAGTTACCTTCCTTTTGAGAAGCTGATTGTCTTTCACTGGCTCCCCTTTGCCTCTAAGGGAAAAGCTGGGATTTCTCAACAGGGCATGCAAGAACCTTCAGGGTAGTTTTGCCTATCATTTTGCCCAATTCCTCACCACTCCCCCAGTCAACCCACCTTTTTGCCAAATTAATTCACTATTGTCTGAACTCTCCAGGCTTTCCTGTGGTTTTGTGCCTTTACATGCACTGTTCCCTGAACCTGGAATTCCCCCTGCCTTCTTTCCTTCTTTTTCTTCTTTCTTTTCCTTTTCCTCTTTCTTTCTTTCCTTTTCCTTTTCCTTTCCCTTCCTTCCTTCCTTTCTCTCTCTCTCTCTCTCTTTTTCTTTTTCTTCTTTCTTTTCCTTTTTCTTTTCTTTTCTTTCTTTTTTTTTGAGATAGGGTCTCACTCTGTCACCCAGGCTGGAGTGCAGTGGTATGATCTTGACTCACTGCAGCCTCGACCTCCCAAGCTCAAGTAATCCTCCCACCTCAGCCTCCCAAGTAGCTGGGACTACAGGTGTGCACCACCATGTCTGGGTAAATTTTGTACTTTTTGTAGAGATGGGGTTTTGCCACATTGACTAGGCTGGATTTCTCTTTCATTGTGTAGCAAACTTCTACTTGTCCATCATCTTTTAGTTTAAACACACCTCCTCTGAAGAGTCCTCTCTAACACCTTGGGCATAGTAACTTGTTCTGCCTCCTGGGCTCCTGCAGTGCTTTGTTTGAGTTTCAGTTGATCTATTTCTGTGAATGGCTTCTTCACTTAACTGTGAGTCAAGGTACTTAAGGGCAGCATTTTGTTTTCTCTAGCTTGGCATCTACACGTGTAGCACAAAGAAGCTGAAAAGCAAATGATGGAGGACCATAATACTAAAGTGATAGTAAAATGAGTATTTCTAATTATATTTTTTTATCAGTCTTATTGGGATGTAATTAATATACTACACAATTTACCCATTTAAAGTATACAAGTCATGGTGGGCGCCGTGGCTCACACATGTAATCCCAGCACTTTGGGAGGCCGAGGCGGAAGGATCACTTGAGGTCAGGAGTTCAAGACCAGCCTGGCCAACACAGTGAAACCCTAGCTCTACTAAAAATACAAAAATTAGCCAGGTATGTTGGCACGTGCCTGTAATCCCAGATACTCAGAAGGCTGAGGCATGAGAATCGCTTGAACCCGGGAGGCAGAGATTGTAGTGAGCCGAGATCACGCCATTGCACTCCAGCCTAGGGGACAGAGCAAGATTCTGTCTCCTAAAATAAATAAATAAAGTATACAACTCAATGGTTTTTAGTAAGTTCACAGGGTTATACATCTACCATCATAATCTAATTTTAGAACTTTTTTGTCCCCCGCAGAAAGAAAACCCCATACCCTTTAGCTACCACATCCTCAAGACCCCATTACTCCCCGCTCAGCCCTAGGCAACCAGTAATCTACTTTCTCTATAGATTGCCTGTCTTGAAGATTTCATATAAATGGAATCATAAATATATGGCCTTTTGTGACTGGCTTCTTTCACTTCATGTAATGTTTTTAAGACCCATCCACATTGTAGCACGTGTTACTACTACATTCACTTTTTATGCCCAAAAAATATTCCATTGTACAGGTATCCCATATTTTGTTTATTCATTCATCACCTGATGACCATTTGAGTTGTTTCTAATTTTTGTCTATTATGAATAATGCTGCTTTAAGCATTCATGTACAAATTTTCGTGTGGACATGTGTTTTTATTTCTCTGGGGTAGAACTGCTAGCCACGGAATTGCTGGGTTATATACTAACTCTATGTTTAACCTTTTCCAAAGCAGCTGCTCCATTTTATATTCCCACCGGCAACATTTGAGGGTTCCAACTTCTTCTCCTCCTCACTGACACGTGTTATAGTCCATCTATTTGATTACAGCCATTCTGGTGGGTACCTCACTTTTATTTTCATCTCCCTAATGACTTATAATTTTTAGCATCTTTTCATATGCTTATTGGCCATTTGCACATTTTGTTTAGAGAAATGTCTGTGAATCCTTTGCCCATTTTCAAATTGAGTTACAGGTTTTTTTATTGTTGAGTTGTAAGAGTTCTTCCTATATTTTGGGTTTTTTTGTTTTTGTTTTTGTTTGTTTGTTTGTTTTGAGATGGAGTCTCTCTCTGTCGCCCAGGCTGGAGTGCAGTGGCACGATCTCGGCTCACTGCAACCTCCGCCTCCTGGGTTCAAGCAATTCTCTTGCCTCAGCCTCCCGAGTAGCTGGGTCTACAGGCACATGCCACCACACCCAGCTAATTTTTGTAGTTTTAGTAGAGATGGGGTTTTGCCATGTCGGCCAGGCTGGTCTAGAACTCCTGACCTCAGGTGATCTGTCACCTCGGCCTCCCAAAGTTCTGGGATTATAGGCATAGGCATGAGCCACCATGCCCGGCTATTTTGAATACAAGTTTCTTATTGGATAGTTGATTTGCAAAAATTTTCTCCCATTCTGTGGGTTGTCTTTTCACTGTCTTGATTTGTCCTTTGAAGCACAAAAGTTTTTAATTTTAATGAGTTCAATTTATCTATTTTTTTTTCCTGACATTTTTGCTTTAGTGTCATATGTGAGAAAGCATTGCCTTACCCAAGGTCATAAAGATTTACCACTATGCATTCTTCTAAGAGTTGTAAACTGTTAGCTCTTACGTTTAGGTCTATGATTGATTTTGAGTTAATTTTTGTGAATGGTTTGACATAGGGGTCCAATTTCATTCCTGTGCCTGTGAATTATCTCAGCACTATTTGTTGAAAAGAGTATTCTTTCCCCATTAAATTGTTTTATCCCCTTGCAAAATCAACTGACCATAAACATGAGGTATGTGGACCCTCCATTTTTTACATTAAGCTATATGCCTATTCTTCTGCCACTACTAATTAAAACCTTTTTCTCTTTAATTATGGATTGAAAGACTTTGCCTGTGCCAATAATTAAGTTGCAAGCAATGAAATTCGAAGCACAAAGTGTGCCTAAAATTAAAGCAACCTCAAGGACTTGAGAGAAACTCTCAGAGGGTACAAGGCAATGGGCTTCCACTGCTGAAGGCCTGTGCTTGGACACTGTTGAGGTCAGGGAATCATAGGTCACCCATTCTTTGGAAGTGGCTGGGCCCCTGCTCAGCAGGCTTTCTCTCTTCAGGGAGTCTCACTGAAAACTTCCTTTCTTCTTCTGCTTCAAAACAAACCCCACCCCATTCAAATCTCACTCTCACCCTTATCCCAAGATTCATATTTTGAGTTTCTCAGTATGCGAGGTGTGGTTTTCAGTAGGGTATAATTCGTTTTTTCAACATATATTTATTGCGCATCTGCTCTGTGCCACATTTTGTTCTTGGCTCAGGGAATAAAGTAACAAAACAGAAAATGCCTTTCTCTCAAAGAATGTATGTTTTAGTAGCACAAATTAGCAAAAAAAAAAAAAAAACCTCAAGTAATGCAATAAATAAATGAAGTAATTCCAGATAGTTATCAATGCCATGACAAAAATAAAAAGGGATAACAGAACTGCAAGTAAAAGAGAGGTCCTATTTTAGGTAGGCTTGTTAAGGGAGCTTTGCCAAGAGGGTGGTTGGTATTTAAGGACTGAGGAGTGAGCTATGTGAAGATCTGAGAGGAGAGTAATCCAGGCAGAGGTAGCAGCAAGTACAAAGGCTCCAAGGAGGGTATGTGGAGCGGCAAGAAAACAAATGTGGCTGGAGCAGAATGAATGAGGGAGAAAGGGGCAGGGGGTTGAGGTCAAAGAAGAAGCCGAAGGCAAGATCATGCAGCACTTTATAGGCCTGGATTAGGAGTTTAGATTTTGTTCTAAATGTGAGGGAAAGTCCTTAGAGAATTCTAAGCAAGGGAGTGATGTGATCTGATTTACACTTTAAAAAGAGTACTCTGAGAGAAGAAACATTAAAATCATTGTGACCTTGAGTTAGGCAAAAATGTCTTAGATACAATATGTAAAAGCTTGATCCATAAAAGAAAAAAATGGAAAAATTAGATTTCAAAAAAATTAAGAATTTCTCCTTCCTTTCTGAGAAACATTGTTTAGAGGATTAAAAGACAAGGCACCATCGGTCAGGCATGTAAGGAGCTTGGAAGTCGTCACTCCATCCAAACAAGTAAAAAGCTGAACAAACTGAAAAATGAATGAAATGAAAAACCAATCAGCAGGAACCAGCATGGGGAAGGAAAACTTGAACTGTAATTGACAAATTGCTGGAGGCTTAGTGTAGACAAGTCTCTGAGTCAAAAACTCCAGGGGATACGGCCAATGGGATGTGGGACACTTTTGAGTTTTACCTCCAGGAGCTTGACAAGATTCTCACAGTGAATATTGGACAACAATTCCCTCATTCTCTTGGTAGGGGTGGGGAAAAATGAATCATTTGGAAATACACCAAAGCATTCTGTACTTCTTAGCAAGGTCTGCCCTCAGGACGTGCTAAGGACCCCTAACCTCCTGGGGTTTAATCAGAACCTAATTGTCCTGGGGGAAGGGAAATACTCAACTTCAGCCCACTTTAGCTGTTCTGTCCAACTAAGGCAGGGAAGAAAACACTAACACTTCTAAAGTTCACAGTCAGTCCATGGGCACAGGCTCACCAAAAGACCTAATCTTAGGACTACAGATAAGTAGTCCCCCACCACTTACAGGGAACTTCCTTTCCTTTCACACCTTACGCCTACATGACTAAAGGTCTATTTATCATAGTTCCCTTTACACTGTACATCAAGTCTGGCTATCAAGATAAAATTACAAGGCCATGCCTGTAATCCCAGCACCTCGGGATGCCAAGGTAGGCAGATCATTTGAGCTCAGGAGTTAGAGACCAGCCTGGCCAACATGCTGAAATCCCATCTCTACTAAAAATACAAAAACATTAGCCGGACGTAGTGGCTCATGCCTGCAGTCCCAGCTACTCCGGAGGCTGAGGCAGGAGAATCACTTGAACTTGAGAGGTGGAAGTTGCAGTGAGCCTAGATCGCGCCACTGCACTCCTGCCTTGCCTGGGAGACAGAGCAAGACTCCGTCTCAAAAAAAAAGATAAAATTACAAGGCATACTAAAAAGCAAAAAGCATAGTTTGAAGAAACAGAGCAAGCATCAGAACCAGATAGATACAGCAGAGATGCTGGAATGATCACACTGGGAATTTAACACAAATATGGTACATAGGCTAAGAAAAGTAGATAGCATGCAAGGACAGATAGGAAATGTAAGCAGACAGAGGGCAATATTAATAAAGAATTAAAAAATGCTGGAGATAAAAAAACACTGTAACAGAAATGAAAAATGCTCTTGACAGGCTCATTAGTAGACTGAATATGGCTGAGGAAAATCTCTGAGCTTGAGGTCATCTCAAGGCAATTTTGAGTTTTCACCTCAAACTTAAAAAGCAAGAGAAAAATGTCTGGGAAAACAAAGAAAGAAAAGAACATCTAAGAGCTGTGGGGCAACTACAAAAGGTTTAATGTATGCATAATAGAATACTAGAAGGATAACAAAAAGATATATTTGAAGCAATATTGACTGATAATTTCTCCTAAATTAATGTCAGACACTGCAGATCCAGGAAACTCAGAGAACACCAAGCAGGATAGTGCCAAAACAAACAAACAAAACAAACAAACAAACAAAAAACAAAACCAACAACACCTAGGCACACCATATTGAAACCTCAGAAAATCAAATATGAATTTTAAAATCTCCAACAAAGCCAGAAGAAATAAACACCTTACCTATATAAAAGCAAAGATAAGAATTATATCTGACTTTTCCTCAGAAACCATGAAAGAAAAAAGAGAGTAAAGTGAAATATTTAAGCTATTGAGAGGAAAAAAATGAAACTAGAATTCTGTCTCCTGTGAAATTATCTTTCAAAAGTGAAGAAAAAAATAAAGATTTTTCATACAAATGAAAATTGAGGGAATTTATTGCCAGTTGACCTGTTCTGCAAGAAATATTGAAAGAAATATTAAAAATGTGAAGGAAAACGGTATAAGTCGGAAATTCAGGTCTGCAGAAAGAAAGAAAGAGCATCAAAGAAGAAATACATGAAGGTTGAATAAACTCTTATTTTTCTTATTCTTAATTGATCTAACAAATAACCATTTGTCCAAAGAATAATGGCAACAATATATTCAAGTACGGATGTGTGTGTGTGTGTGTGTGTGTGTGTGTGTGTGTGTGTGTGTGTTGATGCTTATATATAAATGAAATGAATGATAGCAACAATACAAGGAACAGGAAGAAGGAATTCAGATTATTTTGTTATAAACTACTCACTATCTGTGAAGCAGTATACTTTTATTTAAAGGTGGACTTAGGTTAGTGGTAAATTAATATTGCAAACTCTAGGGCAAACATTAAAACAAGTAAAAAAGAAGTATAACTGATATGCTAAGAAAGGAGAGAAAATGAAATCATTTTATAAAATGCTTGATTATAACCAAAAAAGACAAAAGTAGGAACAAAGAAAAGGGCAACAAGTAGAAAACAGTAACTAACATGGCAAATCTTTTTTTTTTTTTTTTTTTTGAGAGTCTTGCTCTGTTGTCAGGCTGGAGTGCAGTGGCGTGATCTTGGCTCACTGCAACCTCCGACTCCCTGGTTCAAGCAATTCTCTTGCCTCAGCCTCCCGAGCAGCTGGGATTACAGCCCACTTAATTTTTATATTTTTAGTAGAAACGGGGTTTCACCTTGTTGGCCAGGATGGTCTCAATCTCCTGACCTCGTGATCCGCCCGCCTCGGCCTCCCAAAGTGCTGGGATTACAGGCATGAGCCACCGCACCTGGCCTATGGTAAATCTTAATCCAACTATGTCAGTGATCACTTTGAAGATCAGTGGTACAAATATACCAATTAAAAGACAGAGATTGTCTGTGTGGGTCAAAGAACAAGATCCAACTATATAGTGTCTATAAGAAATCCACTTTAAATATAAAGACACATATAGATTAAAAGTAAATGGGTGACCAAATATTTAAGGAAGAAATCATACCAATTCTTTACAATCTTTTTCAGAAGACAGAAGCAGAGGGAATACTTCCTAACTCATACTGTGAAGCCAGTATCACCCTAAACCAAAATCAGAGTAGACATTACAAGAAAAGAAAACTACAGAACAATATCTCTCAGGAACACAGATACAAAAATCCTTCACAAAATATTAGCAAATCAAATTCAACAATGTAGAAAAGGAATTATACACTATAACCAGGTGGAATTTAACTCAGGTGTGCAAGGATGATTCAACATTTAAAAAATTCAACTAAAATCAACTAATGTAATCTATCATCTCAACAAGATAAAGAATAAAACTAACATTATCATATCAATAGATATAGCAAAAGCATTAGATAAAATCCAACACCCGTTCATGATAAAAACTCTCAGTAAACTAGGAACACAGAGGAATGTCCTCAAGTCCCTTCACAGGGACTACTAAAAAAAAAAAACAAAACAGCTAACATCGTACTTAATGGTGAGAAAATTAAGCTTTCCCACTAAGATCAGGATCAATACAAAGATGTCCGTCACCTATCGTTCATTGGTTTCTTTCTCCTTCATTTTTCTTCCCTCCCTCCCTCCCTTCCTCCCTCCCTTCCTTCCTTCCTTCCTTCCTTCCTTCATCTTTCTTTCTCTTGCTCTGTCATCCAGGCAAAAGTGCAGTGGTGCAAACCTGGTTCACTGCAGCCTCGACCTCCTGGGCTCAAGTGATCCTTCCATCTCAGCCTCTCAAGTAGCTAGGACCACAGGCACGCAACACCATGCCCAACTAATTTTAAAAGCTTTTTTTGGAAATATGGGTCTCCCATGCCCAGGCCAGTCTTGGACTCCTGGGCTCAAGTGATCCTCCTATCTCAGCCTCCCAAAGGGCTGAAATTACAGGCATGAGCCACTGCACCTAGCCATACTACCCCTTTCAACATTATACTGGAAGTCCTAGCTAATGCAATAAGATAAGGAAAGAAAATAAAAAGTGGAGTGATAGGAAGGAAGAAATGAAACTGTCTTTGTTGTAGATGATATGACTGCCTATGTAGAAAATCTGAAAGAATTGCCCCCAAACTCTTGGAATTAGCCAGGTGTGGTGGCTCATGCCTGTAGTCCCAGCTACTTGGAAGGCTGAGTTGGGGTGATCACTTGAGCCCAGGAGTTTGAGGCCAGCCTGGGCAACATAATGAGACCTTACCTCTTTTTTTTTTTTTGGACGGAGTCTTGCTCTGTCGCCCAGGCTGGAATGCAGTGACGCGACCTCGGCTCACTACAAGCTCCGCCTCCTAGGTTCACGCCATTCTCCTGCCTCAGTCTCCCAAGTAGCTGGGACTACAGGTGCCCGCCACCATGCCTGGCTAATTTTTTTGTATTTTTTAGTGGAGACGGGGTTTCACCGTGTTAGCCAGGATGGTCTCGATATCCTGACCTCGTGATCCGCCCACCTCGGCCTCCCAAAGTGCTAGGATTACAGGTGTGAGCCACTGCGCCCGGCACCCCCTCCCCACCTTTTTTTTTTTTTTTTTTAAAGGAGTCTCGCTCTGTCGCCCAGGCTGGAGTGCAGTGGCACGATCTCAGCTCACTGCAAGCTCCGCCTCCCAGATTCATGCCATTCTCCCGCCTCAGCCTCCCGAGTAGCTGGGACTACAGGCGCTCGCCCCTAAGCCTGTCTAATTTTGGTTTTGTATTTTTAGAAGAGATGGGGTTTCACCGTGTTAGCCAGGATGGTCTTGATCTCCTGACCTCGTGATCTGCCCGCCTCAGCCTCCCAAAGTGCTGGGATTACAGGCGTGAGCCACCGCACCCGGCCAGAGACCTTACCTCTTAAAACAAACAAATAACTGGGGGGCCAAAACGGGCAGATCACCTGAGTTTGAGAGTTTGAGACCAGACTGACCAACATGGACAAACTCCATCTCTACTGAAAATACAAAATTAGCCGAGTGTGGTGGCACATGCCTGTAATCCCACCTACTCAGGAGACTGGGGCAGGAGAATCGCTGGAACCCGGGAGGCGGAGGTTGTGGTGAGCCGAGATCGCGCCATTGCACTCCAGCCTGGGCAGCAAGAGCGAAAGTGTCTAAAAAAATAAAAAAATAAATAAAAATAAAAAATAAAGAAAACATTTAAAAAATAAATAAATAAAACAAAAACTCCCGGAATTGATATGCAATTATAACAAGATTGCAGGGTACAAGCTTAATAAACAAGTCAATTTTTTTCCTCTATACCAGCAAATAAGTGGAATTTGAAAATAAAAACACAATACTACTTACATTAGCACCCAAAAAATGCAACAATTAGTATAAATCTAATGGAACATATACAAGATCTATATGAGGAAAACTACAAAACTCTGTTGAAAGAAATCAAAGAATTAAATAAATGGAGAGATAGTCCGCATTAACGGAGAGGAAGACTCAATGTTGTCAAGATGTCAGTTTTTCCTAACTTGATCTATAAATTCAATGCAATCCTAATTTGTCATTGACAAAGTAGCAAAGGCAATGCAATGGAAAAAAAAATAATGTTTTCAACAAATGGTGCTGGAATAACTGGACATCGACAGGCAAAAAAATGTATTTAGACAAAGACCTTACACCCTACACAAAAATTAACTCAAAAACGGATCTAAATATAAAACACAAAACTATAAATTTCTAGAAGATAACATATGAGAAAATCTGATGACTTTGGGTTTGGAAATGACTTTTTAGATAAAATATCAAAGGCATAATCCATGAAAGAAAGAACCAATAAGCTGGACTTCACTAATATTAAAAATTTTGAAACATACTGTCAAGAGAAGGAAAAGCTAAGCCACAGATGGGGAGAAAACATTTGCAAAATAAGTATCTGATAAAAGGCTGTAATCCAAAATATAAAAATAACTCTTAAAAAGCAACAATAAAAAAAAAACAATTTAAAACTGGGCCAAAGATCTTAACAAACACCCCACAAAAGAAGATACAGAGACGGCAAATAAGCACATGAAAATCTCAGCATCATACCTCATCAGGAAATGCAAATTAAAACAAGACACCACTGCACATCTATTAGAATGGCCAAAACCCAGAACACTAACCCCACCAAATACTGATGAGGATGTGGAGCAACAGAAACGCTCACTCTTTGCTGGTAGGAATGCAAAATGGTTCAGCTACTTTGGAAGACAGTTTCGCAGTTTCTTGCAAAACTCAACATACTTGGCCGGGCGTGGTGGCTCATGCCTGTAATCCCAGCACTTGGGGAGGCCGAGGTGGGCAGATCACGAGGTCAGGAGATCGAGACCAGCCTGGCCAATATGGTGAAACTCCGTCTCCACTAAAAATACAAAAATTAGCCAGGCATGTTGGCACACGCCTGTAGTCCCAGCTACTCGGGAGGCTGAGGCAGAGAATCGCTTGAACCCAGGAGGTGGAGGTTGCAGTGACCTGAGATCAGGCCACTGCACTCCAGCCTGGGTGACAAAGCCAGGCTCCATCTCAAAAAACAAAAAAACAACAAAAAAAACCCTCAACATACTCTTAACATACAATCCAGCATTCACACTCCTTGGTATTTACCCAAGTGAGTTAAAAAAAAAAAATGTCCACACAAAACCTGCACGCAGGTGTTGATTTATTCATAGTTGCCAAAATTCAGAAGCAACTAAGATGTCCTTCAGTAGGTGAATGGATAAATAAACTGGTACATCCAGACAATGGGGTATTATTCAGCACTAGAAGGAAATGAGCTAACAAACCATGAAAAGACATGGAGGGAAGTTAAGTGCATGTTACTAAGTGAAAGAAGCCAATCTGAAAGGCTATATGCTGTCTAATTCCAACTGTGTGACATTTTGGAAAAGGCAAAATTATGGAGACAGTAAAAAGATCATTGGTGGCTAGGGGTTGGTGGGGAGGGAGGGGTAAGTAAATAGAAAACGGAAGATTTTTAGAGCAGTGGAATACTTTATATGACACTATAATGGCAGATACATGTCATTGTATCTTTGTCCAATCACATAGAATGTAGGACACCAAGAGTGAACCCTAATGTAAATGCAGGACTTTGGGTGAGAATGATGTGTCAGTGTAGGTTGATCAGTTGTAACAAATGCACCACTACAATGGAAGGTGTGGAAATGCACTGGGAGAAGCTATGCATATGTAGGGGCAGGTTTATATGGGAAATCTCTGTACCTTCCACTCAATTTTGCTGTGCTAAAACTGCTCTAAAAAATAAAGTTTATTTTTTAAAACATACAAGGCATACACTGAGAGAAAATATTTTCAAATCACATATCCAACAAAGGACATATATCCATTTTCTAAAAAAAAAAAACAAAAACAAAAACAAAAAACAAAAAACACCTTTCTAAACTCTACAATTAGAAAAATATCAAATTAGAAAATAGTGGTCAGGCACAGTGGCTCTTGCCCATAATCTCAGTACTTTGGGAGGCCAAGGTGGGAGGCTCATTTGAGCCCAGGAGTTTGAGACTAGCCTAGATAATATAGTGAGACCTCACAAAAAATTAAAAGATTAGCTGAACATGATGACACATGCCTGTGGTCCCAGCTACTTGGGAGGCTGAGGTAGGAGGATCACTTGAGCCTGGGAAGTGCAGGCTGCACTGAGCTGAGATCGTGCCACTGCACTCCAGCCTGGGTGACAGACTGAGACCCTATCTCAAAAAAAAAAAAAAAAAAAAAAAAAAAAAAAAATATATATATATATATATATATATATATATATATATGTATATAAAGACTTGGATATTTCACTAAAGAAGGTATATGAATAGCTAAAAAAGCATATGAGAAGATGTTTGACATCATTAGTCATTAGAGAATTGCAAATTAAAAGCACTATCTCCTACACATCTTGTAGAAGAGCTAAAATACAAAACAATGATAATATGAATGCTGGTGAGATTGTGGAGAAACTGGATCTCTCATACATTGTTGATGGGAATATAAAATGGTACAACTACTTTGGAAAACAGTTTGGGAATTTTTTATAAAGTTAAACATATACCTTAAAACCTTGATACCAGGCCAGGTGTGATGGTCACGCCTGTAATCCCAGCACTTCAGGAGGCTGAAGAAGGCAGATCACTTGAGGCCAGGAGTTTGAGAGCAGCCTGGCCAACAAGGCAAAACCCTGTCTCTACTAAAAACACAAAAATGTGTTGGGTGTGATGGTGCGTGCCTGTAATCCCAGCTACTCAGGAGGCTGAGGCACAAGAATCACCTGCGCCCGGTAGATGGAAGGTTGCAGTGAGCAAGGTTGTGCCACTGCACTCCAGCGTGGGCGATGAAGCAAGAACCTGTCTCAAAAAAACAAAAACAAAAACAAAAAACCTTGATACTACTCTTGAGTATTTACCCTAAAAGAAATGAAAATTTATGTTCACTGAAAAACCTGTATATGAATGTTTACAGTAGTTCTATTTGTAATCATCAAACACTGGATAGTCCATTCTCACACTGCTATAAAGAACCACCTGAGACTGGGTAACTTATCAAGAAAAAAGGTTTACTTGGCTCACAGTTCTGTACAGGTAGCATGGCTGCAGGGGCTTCAAGAAACTTTCAATCATGACAGAAAGGGAAGGGGAAGCAACCACGTCCTATGTGGCTGGAGCGGGAGGAAGAGAGGGAAGGAGGAGGTGTCACACACTTTTAAACAACCAGATCTCGTGAGAACTCACTCACTATCACGAGAACAGCAAGGGGGAAATCTGCCCCCTGATCCAATCACCACCTACGAGGCCCCTTCTCCAACACTGGGGATTACTTTTGACATGAAATTTGGGCAGGAGCACAAATCCAAACCATATCACAACCTAAACATCCTTCACTGGGAAAAGGGATATACAAACTGTGGTACATCCATACCATGGAATACTGCTTAGTAAGAAAAGGGAAAGGACAATTGAAAGGCACTCCAACAGGAATGCATCTCAAATGCATCATGATAAGTGAAAGAACCAGAAAGACTCATATCATTAGATTCTGTTTATATAACATTCTGGAAAAGGCAGAACTATAGCAATAGAAAATAAATCAGTGGGCCAGGCGCAGTGGCTCACGCCTGCACTTTGGGAGGCCGAGGCAGGCGGATCACTTGAGGCCAGGAGTTTGAGACCAGCCTGGCCAACATGGCAAAACCCCGTCTGTACTAAGAATACGAAAATTAGCCGGGTGTGGTGGTGGGCTACTGTAATCCCAGCTACTCAGAAGGCTGAGGGAGGAGAATCACTTGAACCCGGGAGGCAGAGGTTGCAGTGAGCCGAGATCGCACCACTGCACTCCAGCCTGGGTGACAGAGCAAGACACCATCTCAAAAAAAAAAAAAAAATCACCATATTCATGTCGCCTATGTTATTTCTACACTGGGCAGCGTTGGTACAGACTACTAAGTGCATTTTCTTCATTAGTCCTGAAATAAATGGAGATGAGACAGAAGTTATTTCCTCCATTTTATTCAGGACTTAATCTAGGTGTACCTAGTCAAAGGCAAGTGCCTGTAAGCAGAACCTTTACCTTTGAACAACCTATTTTGTGAGTGTTAAGTTGCAGTTCAAAACAGGGTGAAAAGCCTCGAAAATGTGAACCACTGTGGACTACAAAGAATGCCAGATTTGATCGGTCCTATAAAAGTGATTTATTATACATATGTATGTGTGCATATGATTCATAAGCATTTTCAGCCTGTTGAAAACGAAAACACATTTTAAACATATGAAAATCAGCAGAAATAAAAATGGATCGGGAAATAACATACTAGATTTGTGGCTTTATGTAAATAAAAAAAGAGAAATTACTTAAACAAATCCATCCTGTGTAAATACAAAGTTAACAAGAAAAGCCAGCTCTAATTTACCCTATGTTTGCACTTCTAGAGTCACAAGCATTTTATTTTTTGTTTTGTCTTGGAATTTGTTCCCTTATATAATGCATGTCAAAATAGCTGGAAAAATATGATTAACTACTGCCAGCTGAAATTCTTGTCCCACAAAGACAACTCCCTCCTGGCTCCTAATTTTCTTTTCATATTTTGGGCACTGTGAGATAATGGTTGGAGCACAGGCAGGAAGGCAGTGTGGCTCTACAGGAGAGAGAATTCCAGGTTGGGCCTTCTAACTTTGCAGCTATCATTAATTTACTAAGTCCTCCTGGCAGAGCCTCTTAAAGACTGACTGTGGTCTCACACAGGGTGTGGTCAGCAGGAATTTTGCCATAGGCTAGGTTTCCACAGGAGCTCAATCTTGCTAAAGTGTAATTTGGGTGCTAAAGGAAGAAGGAAAAGTAAACCAAAATACTTTCCATAGACCTAGGCATGACACTAACACCTTTGCTTTTATTACCTCATCCACAAAAGCAGGATGGCATTATATACATTCAAGAGCCTACCTTGAGAAGGTTTTAAACAAATATGCGACACATTCTTATCCTACTTCCACCAAATGTGCTGTTTTAGGTACCTAACAACTCCTCAATTTCCCAGTAAGTTATCTACGATGAGGTTCATAAACATGATCAGAAAGTTTCTTTGGTAGGCTAGGTGTGGTGGCTCAGACCTGTAATCCCAGAACTTTGGGAGACTGAGGTGGGAAGATTGCTTGAGCCCAGGAGTTTAAGATCAGCCTGGGCAACATAGGGAGACCCCATCTCTATTTAAAAAATAAAAATAACAATAATAAAAGTTTCTTTGATAGAAGACCCTCTTAGGAAGGAATACGTTCAAAATGGCTAACATAGTGTTGCCACCTGCGTACTCTGAAAAATTGTTTAAATTGAGTTCTTTAGATGACTAATACTAAATAATACGAACGGGCGTTTGTGAAACAATTATGGGAATAAGTGAAATAATTCTAAAAGTCCTTTAGTCTTTAGGGTGCTAAGTAAATCTTGAGATTTTGACAACCCCCTTCCCTATTTCTCAGATATTGTCCTTTCTTGCTCGTACTAGATTCCTTTTTTTTTTTTTTTTTTGAGACAGGGTCTCACTCTGTAAACCAGGCTGGAATGCAGTAGTGCTATCACAGCTCACGGCAGCCTCAACCTCCCGGGCTCAACCTCAGCCTCCCAAGCAGCAGGGATTACAGGCACACACCATAATGCCCAGCAAACTTTTAAAAAAATTTTGTAGAGACTGGGTCTCATTATGCTGCCCAGGCTGATCTAGAAATCCTGGCCTCAAGTGACCCGCCCACCTTGGCCTTCCAAAGTGCTGAGATTATAGGTGTGAGCCACTGCTCCCAGACCATTTTTCCACCTTAAATCAATCAATTGATTAATATTTATAGAACATTTACAATATAACTGGCAGTGGAATAGGCAACAGGGAGGATCCAGAAGATATGGAATGCATGGTCCTTACACTCAAGAAGTTTATAATCTATTTAGCAAAATCTAAGATTCAAAATAGCAGCAAACACCATACACCTAGGCATTAGACATTTATACCCTGGTGCTTTACCAACACAGTCAGATTCTGAGCAAGAAAGATGGGTGAAGATCAGAGTGCTTAGGAAAATCTTTAGGAATCTCATCTTTCTCCTGAGGAGAAAAGTGGGGAAAGAGGAATGTAAGGCATGGAATCTTGAAGGCTGGAGACTTGAGGACAAAAATGTCATTTCTCACTGAGCAGCAGGCCATCTAGAATTATGTAACCAAGTTGAATGGGACAAGACAAGTGAATTTATCAAAATGGGGTGCCTAAAACCATGCTGTACAATGTGGCAGCTGTTAGTCATATGTGGCTATTTAAATATAAATTAATTAAAGTTCAATAAAATTAAAATTTTACTTCTTCAGTCTCACTAGCCACATGTAGGTGGCCAATTGCCATATGTGGCTAGTGGTACCATATTGGATAGTGCAGATATAAAACGTTTCCATCATTACAGAAAGTTCTCTTGGACAATGAAGTTCTAGAACCACAGAAGTGTTGAGCAACAGGCAGAAAGGCATGGCTCAAAAGAATTCCCCAAGCCAACTGGCATGCTGGGGTTTCTGGCTTACACATGATTTCCATGACCACAAGTTGTGCAAAATGTGAAAGGGGTCTAATTAATTTAACAAATACACATTGAGCACCTACTAATACAAGAAGGCTAGGTGATATGAGAGACACAAAAGTAAAGCAGGTTCGAGTCTCAAAGAACTGGACATGAAGAGAGGAAATAAAGGCCTGTACATGAATAACAATAGTGCCAAATAAAAAGTGATAAGCAACCCTGTCTGTACTAAAAATACAAAATTAGCTGGGCGTGGTAGCACATGCCTGTAATCCCAGCTATTCAGGAGGCTGAGGCAGGAGAATCGCTTGAACCCGGGAAGCAGAGGTTGCAGGGAGCCGAGATCGCGCCATTGCACTTCAGCATGGGCAAAAAAACCGAAACTCCGTCTCAAAAATAAACAAACAAACAAACAAACAAACAAATAAATAAAGGGATAAGCATCCGAGGGGCTGCAATTCAAGCATGCAGGTGCTGAACGAAAGGACAGATTACTTCTGTTTGAAGGTTTCAAGAAGACTTCTTAGATAGGCATTATTTGAACTAAACCTTGAAGAAAGCAGTGGGGTGCGGTGGAAAGATCCCAGGGGACCAGGAGTCCAGAGATTATCTCTAGGCTCAGTTATGTCCTAATTAACTGTGTGATCTTAGGTAAGTCAGGCTCCAGGCCCCACTGTCTTTATCAATTGGGTAACAGAAGCAAAGAGGAACTAAATGTCCAGGCCGGGAGACCAATAAAAGCAAAAGCACAGGGATAGATTGATAAGTGTAGAGGAAATCAAATAGTCTACTTAATAATGAAGTGTAGCCATAGTACAGCTATCTTATAACTTGTACCTGGGCATTATATAATTCTTGAACAACCCCAAAAACGTGTATATAAAAATGAAAAGTCACCATCACAAAAAACAAAAGCTAGATTTTGGTAATGTCTTGATAGTTTAGATCAGATATGAGAAGCAAAGCAGATAGAATGGAAGTGATTGTATTTGCATTTAAATATGGTTGTGAAGTGGAGCTGGAGAATAACTACTATTTTGGTTCCCTTTGGGAAAAGGCTGTCATTCATGAAATTATGAGCAAGTGCCACACTTCAGGAAACAATAAATAAAATTACAGGACATTTCTGAGGGGGAAGAAAAGCAAGCTAGAATTTGAAGCTGAGAAATCACTATCGAACAGGTGGTTAAAAGGATAAAGCTGACATGAAAAGAGTAAAGCCAAGAACTTGGGAGTTAAAATGAAATGTAGATCGTATGTGGAATGTGGAGCCCCTTGTTAAAAAGCAGACAGAAAAATAGTGCATAAAATACCAGCTCAGCAGGTTTGTCGATCTTTATCTCTGGAGCGAACATGAATATACATAGAGAAATATTTGCATTTTGCAGCTGTACCAAAGCATCTGTCAGTAGCTCCATTATCATTTTCTTGTGTATATATTTTCATATCCACATAGAAACATTTGAGTAGGTAAAAATATATGCTCTGTGTGTTCAAATATACTAAAATATTTACTTAATGGTTAGCATTAAAAGTTCCTAGTAATTGTTTTTCTAACCCCACAGCTTCCTACTAGCTAAGGGCACATTTCTTAGTTCTTCCTTTTTTTCTCTAAAATCCTGAAAATAAGATCCAATATAGCCAGGTGCAGTGGCTCATGCCTGTAATCCCAGCACTTTGGGAGGGTGAGGCGGACGGATCACCTGAGGTCAGGGGTTTGAGACTAGCCTGGCCAACATGGTGAAACTCCATTTCTACTAAAACTGCAAAAATTAGCCAGGCGTGGCGGGTGCCTGTAATTCCAGCTACATGGGAGGCTGAGGCAGGAGAATCGCTTGAACCCGGGAGGCAGAGGTTGCAGTTAGCCGAGATCACGCCACCGCATTCCAGCTTGGGTGACAGAGTGAGACTCTGTCTCAAAAAAAAAAAAAAAAATCCAATATAGCTAAGAGAAGACACATAGCTATTATAAATAGAGATATGTGATCACCTACCCATCCAAGTTTTAAAAATAGTCTTAAGTGCTATTCCCTCGAAGATCTGTAGAATTTGCTTTAAAAATAAATATCGGTTGGGCATGATGGCTCACATCCGTAATCCCAGAACTTTGAGAGGCTGAGGTGGAAGGATGGCTTGAGGTCAGGAGTTCAAGACCAGCCTGGGCAACATAGTAAGACCCGCCCCCCCACCCCATCTCTCCAAAAACATTTTTAAAAAATTGACCAGGCATGCTAGTACATGCCTGTAGTTTCAGCTCCTTGGGAGACTGAGGCAGGCAGATTGCTTGAGCCTGGGATTTCGAGGCTTCAGTGAGTTATGATGGCACCACTGCACCCAGCCTGGGCAACAGAATGAGACTCCATCTCCAAAAATAATAAATAAATAAATAAATAAATAAATAAATAAGTATTCTTTTTTATAGTGCAATGATCTGTGATTTTATATATCTGTGGGTGCAATTGTATCTCTTTATGATTCCTAATATAGTTTATTTGTGCTCTTTTGTTTCTTTATCAGTCTTATTAAAGATTGGGTAATCAAACCGGATTTTTTTCTTAAAACTAACTTTCATTTGTATTTATTTACTCTATTTTATGACTTTGGTTTCTATTTCAGCCTTTTCTGCCCTTATTTTTACTGATGCCTCCTTCTGTTATGGGTCAAATTGTGCCCCCTGCCCAAAGATAGGTTTAAGTTTCAATCTCCAGTACTTCAGAATGTGACTTTATTTGGCAACGGGGTCATTGCAGATGCAATTAGCTAAGTTCAGATGAGGTCATAGTGGAGTAGGGTGGGCCTCTAATCCAACAAGACTGGTGTCCTTAAAAGAAGAGGGAAATATGGACACAGACATAGACACAGAGGAAGATGATGTGAAGACACACAGGGAAAACATCATGTAAAGACAGGCTTGGAGTGGTGCACCTACAAGGTGAGGAACATCTGAAGCTGCCAGAAGTTGTGAGAGAGGCATGGAGTAATTCCTTTCCTAGCACCTTCAGAGGGAGCACGGCCCTGCCTATACTGATAACGATGGTTCAACTTACAATTTTTCAACTATACAATGCTTTAAAAGCAATTCAGTAGAAACTATACTTCAAGTAACCATGCAACTATTCAATTTTTCACTTTCGGTACAGTATTCAATAAATTACACAAGATATTGAAAAATAGGCTTTGTATTAGATGGTTTTGTCCAATGGTAGGCTAATGTATGTGTTCTGAGCACATTTAATTTAGGCTAAGCTAAGCTGTGATGTTTGGTAAGTTAGGTGTATTCAATGCATTTTTTTTTTTTTTTTTTTGAGGTGGCGTTTCACTCCTGTCTCCCAGGCTGGAGTGCAATGGCACAATCTCGGCTCACTGCAACCTCCGCCTCCTGGGTTCACGCTATTCTCATGCCTCAGCCTCCTGAGTAGCTGGGACCACAGGCATGTGTCACCACACCCAGCTGATTTTTGTATTTTTAGTAGAGACGGAGTTTCAACATGTTGACCAGGCTGGTCTCTGGTCTTGAACTCCTGACCTCTGGTGATCTGCCCACTTCGTCTTCCCAAAGTGTTGGGATTACAGGTGTTAGCCACCACGCCTGGACGGATTTGGGGTTTTAAAAAATTCATTCTCACTTGGGAGGCCAAGGCGGGTGAATCACTTGAGGTCAGGAGTTTGAGACCAGCCTGACCAACATAGTGAAACCCTGTCTGTACTGAAAATACAGGTGTGGTGGCGTGTGCCTGTAATCTCAGCTACTTGGGAGGCTGAGGCAGAAGAATCGCTTGATCCTGATGGACTGGAGGTTGCAGTGAGCCTAGATCATGCCATTGCACTCCAACCTGTGTGACAGAGCGAGACTCTGTCTGGAAAAAAAAAATCATTCTGATAATCTCTTTTTGAAAGTCAATGTTTAACACGTTTATGGTTGCTGAGGCTAATGATAATGTTTCAACTTATTTTTAATTTTCTTATTTTTTCATCTTATGTTTATCATTCTTTGCTTATTTTTTCCTTTTTCCTTCCTTCTCTTGTGTTGAAAACATTTTCTATAGTCCTTTTTTCTTCTGCTGTTACTTTAGGAGCCAGACATGGTATCTTATTTATTTTAGTAGTTGTCCTCATAGTGTTAACTTGCATACTTAACAATTCCATATTCTAAGAACATCTAAATTATTAAATATTCCTCTTCTTTTTCCTTTCTAGAGTAGGAGAAGCCTGCCTTGCCTCTGGCTTCAAGTAGTGATAATTCAATTAATATTCAATCAATATTCAATTAATATTTCAATTAATATTTTTGGGGGGGACATAGTCTCACTCTGTTGCCAGGCTTGAGGGCAGTGGCGTGATCTTGAGTTTAAACAATTCTCCTGCCTCAGCCTCTTGAGTAGCTGAGATTACAGGCGTGTGCCACCACGCCCAACTAATTTTTGTATTTTCAGTAGAGACGGTGTTTTGCCATGTTGGGAAGGCTGGTCTCGAACTCCTGGCCTCAAGTGATCCGCCTGCCTTGGCCTCCCAAAGTGCTGAGATTACAGGCATGAGCCACTGTGCCCAGCCACAGTTAATTTTTTTATCTACTTTTTTTTTTTTTATAAAATAGTAAACATTTTTCAAAAATAAAAAAGATGTGGAAAATATCATTTCTTAGCCCCTGGATTCTGGAATTTTCTAATGATTATTTTTACCAAGTAAATAAGCCCAGGAGTAAATGAAATGTGGTTTACTGCTTGTGCTTCCTGGAATTTCTTGCAGCCAACACAGAATCACAGCATCTCAGAGTTGGAAGGAATTCTTCATATGACCACATTGATTTTTTTTTTCCTGTTGGTCGGCATCAGATTTGTGAAGGTTAGTGACTAAAAGGCTAAGACTTTAGAGAGTCCAGTGGCAAAGGTAGAAGTCCACTTCAAAGGAAGTTCAGACACCCAGCTGGTTCCTCTGAGGATAATTTATTTTCATGAAAACTTTCTGACGAGACCAGAGAGCAGAGAAGGCCATTTCCCTTTTCAGCTTATTACAAATGGAGTCATATTGTCAGTGGCATGCTGTTACATGTTTACAACCAGCTCTCCAAAAACAAAACAAAACAAACAAACAAAAAAAACCATAGAAGTGGTTGCTAACTTCCACAGTGGAAATACTCCCACCATGGCTACCAATGTGTCATCACTAAACACAGAATTGGGAAAAGATGCCCACATAGATTCTCTGCACTGATGGGAGTCAGTTTCAGCACACTACTACAACAATACCAAATACAGTAGATACATTCCCAACCTCAACTTAACCTCTCAGAAGCACTAGACATAGTTGCTTGCACCGTTATTGAAACACTCTCCCCTTGGTCTTTTTGTCACCATGCTGTCCTCTCCTTTCTCCTATGTCCAGGCTAATCCAAGTCTCACAGCTAACCCTATCTCCTCTCCTCTGCCTCTATGTATTAGAGACCACTTGGCACTCCTTATGGACCCTGTTTCTTTCTTCTCTCTACACTTTCCCCCAAGTAATCTTATTCAGTCCTGTAGCTTTACTTTTATTTCATTTTAGGTTATTTTATTTTTTGAGACAGAGTCTCGCTCTGTCACCCAGGCTGGAGTGCAGTGGTGTGATCTTGGCTCACTGCAACCTCCACCTCCTGGGTTCAAGCGATTCTCCTGCCTCAGCCTCCCGAGTAGCTGGGATTACAGGCATGAGCCACCATGCCCAGCTAATTTTTGTATTTTTAGTAGAGACAGAGTTTTTCCGTGTTGGCTAGGCTGGTCTTGAACTTCTGACCGCAAGTAATCCACCCATCTCCGCCTCCCAAAGTGTTGGGATTACAGGGGTGAGTCACTGTGCCCGGCCCAGTTCTGTGGGTTTAAATATCACCAAATGCTGTTAACACCCACATTTTAATCTCCAGTCCAGGCCTTTTTTCTGACCTCCAGGCTTGTGTAGCCAACTGCCTACTCACATATCTCAGAGGCAACTGAAATTTAACTTGTCCAAACCTGAACTCTTGATCTTCCTCCTCCCATCTTCCTTATCTAAATATATGTTACTACCATCTGTTCATTTGCTAAAGCCACAAACCTAGGAGTCATCTTTTCAAATGCCCTCTCCTTTGCTTATAACCGCCAGCCCATTACCAAATACTACTGATTCCACTTTCAAAATATTTCTCAAGTCTTTTCCTATTTCTCCGTCTCCAAGTCCTTATTCCCTCTCAAATGGACTACTGCAACTCAATTGCTACGCACCATCCCACCCTCTTTTCCTGCCCCTCCCTCTTATGCTCACTATGGTGGCCAGAGAGATCTTTGAAACATAGTTCAAACCTTGATAAGGATCCTTATATGGTTAGTGACTAAAAGGATCAGACTTCTGAGAGTCCTGTGGCAACGGTAAAATCCTACTTCAAAGGAAGTTCAGATACCCACCTGGTTCCTCTGAAGAGAATTTATTTTCGTGAAAAATGTTCTGAAAACTTTCTGGTGGGACCAGAGAGTGGAGAAGCCCATTTCCCTCCTCTCATATAAGGAGAAGTCCTTATATGGACTGCAAGCATCTGCATGATCAGATTTAAGTTTAAATCTCCAACCTCATCTCCTACCACGCTCCTCACTTACTACACTCTAGCCACATTAAGTTGTTTTCGGTTCTTAACCATGCAAACACCATCTTATCTTGGATCTTTCACATATGCAGTTCATTTTCCTGAAATGCTGCATGTGCCCCACCCTATAACCTTCCACCTAAACCTCGCCTTTCTGACACTAACTCATCCTGATGCTCTCGGCTCATCATTTTTTCAAAGAGGCCTTTCTTGGTCTCCCAATCAAAATCCAGTCCTCTCTTGTAGTCTCTCATGGTTTTCCATTTATTTTCCTCATAGCGCTTAATATGGCTTATAATTCTAAGTACTGATTGTGCTTGTTTAATGTCTATATTCCTCCCTTAGACTACAGGCTCCATGGCTGCAAGGATCATGTCTGTTATATTCATTGTATACCCAAGGCCTGTCTTACAATAAGTGCTCAATAAATATTTGCTGAATGAAGTAATACATAAACAAATGAATGAAACTTCAGATTTTCACATAAGTCCTTTTAGGTTATACATTTGGGACATGTATAAAGGGGAGGTTGGAGTGGCTGTTGGCATTGAAGCTTTAGAATGCTGTGATAGAAAAAAAATTATAGTTCCTTTAATGAGAGGACTGTTATAGCACTATAAAGTGGAATGATTTGTTCTGAAAAGGAATCCTAGAAAACAAACCAAAGAAAACATGAACTTTTCCGAGGACTAGAATTCAAAACAAATGATCAAGTAATAATATAATCACCAAGTAGATTCATTTTATGAAAAGAAGTGCTGAAGGAGAACTCTAGCATAGAAGTCAGACAATATGCTCTGGAGTTAGAGTTGATTCTGTCACTTAAATAGCTGTGTGAACTTGAACAAATTCCTTAGTCTCTTATTTCCTTCCTCTCTAAATCAGGGACATTAATATCACTGACTTCTTAAGGTTTTTGTGAGATAATGCATCAAAAACACATTTTACCACTGAAGTCCCTCTACCTTTAGTTAATTTCTCTGAGCTCCAGTATTTTCATTTATAAAACAATGGATTTGTGCTTGACTTCTCTTAAGAGCCTCCAGTGCAAAGACCCTTTTTATTCTATGTAGTTGGATGCTCTCAAAGCCATCCCTACTCTCAGTTAACTAGATGAAGGGCACTGCACTGTAAGGGTCCCCTGTGGTACACCTGGGCAGGAACAGGGTGTATTGGGCACTGTTTTGTAAGGAGACTGCTTGTCTGGTGTGCCCTTACCCAGTACAATGAGTTTTAGAATCAACTTTTAAAAACGTTTTAAAAATATTTATGGATTTTTTTTCTTTTCAAGAATAGTACATACTAGTAAGTATACTCCATTAGGGCAGGAGCTATACCATCTCCCTTTTCTCTTTCATTTAGTTAATTTTCTTAAATAGACTTTATTTTTTAGAGCAGTTTAGGTTCATAGCAAAAATAAGTGGAGGCCAGGCACGGTGGCTCATGCCTGTAATCCCAGCACTTTAGGAGGCCGGGGCAGGTGGATTGCTGGACCCTAGGAATTTGAGACTAGCCTAGGCAACATAGCAAGATCTTGTCTCTACTAAACATCAAAAAAATTAGCTGGGCATGGTGGCACTTTCCTGTAATCCCAGCTACTTGGGAGGCTGAGGTTGGAGGATCGCTTGAGCCCAGGAGGTCGAGGCTGCAATGAGCTGTGATTGAGCCACTGCACTTCAGCCTGAGTGACAGAGTGAGATCCTATCTCAAAAAAAAAAAAATACTGGAATAGATACAGAGTTCCCATATTTCTTCTATCCCTGCACATGCATAGCCTTTCCTACTATCAACATCTTCCACCAGATTGGTACATTTCTTACAATTGATGAATCTACATTGACACATCACTATGACACAAAATCCAGAGTTTACATTAGGGTTCACTCTTGGTATCTTACGTTCTATGGGTTTGAAAAAAATGTATGATGACATCCACCATTATAGTGTCATACAGAGCAGTTTCACTGCCCTAAAAATCCTCTGCGTTCTGTGTCTTATCCCTCCCTCCCCGACAATGATCAATGATTTTTTACTGTCCCCATAGTTTTGCCTTTTCCAAAATGTCATGTCATTGGAATTATACAGCCTATAGCCCTTCAGATTGGCTTCTTTCACTTAGTAACATGCACTTAACTTTCCTCCATGTCTTTTCCTGGTTTGTTAGCTCATTTCCTTCTAGTACTGAGTAATACCCCATTGTCCAGATGTACCAGTATATTTATCCATTCACCTACCAAATGACATTTGGTTGCCTCTGAATTTTGGCAACTATGAATAAATCAACACCTGTGTGCAGGTTTTGTGTGGACATAATTTTTTTAACTCACTTGGGTAAATACCAAGGTGTGTGAGTGCTGGACTGTACGTGAAGAATATGTTGTGTTTTGTAAGAAACTGCCAAACTGTCTTCCAAAGTGGCTGAAACATTTTGCATTCCCACCAGCAAAGAGTGAGCCTTTGTGTTGCTCCACATCCTCATCAACATTTGGTGTTGTCAGTGTTCTGGGTTTTGGCCATTCTAATAGGTGTGTAGTGGTGCCTCTTTGTTTAAATTTGCATTTCCCTGATGAGGTATAATGTTGAGCATCTTTTCATATGCTTATTTGCCATCTGTGTATCTTCTATGGTGAGGTGCCTGTTAAGATCTTTGGTTCATGGCCGGGCGTGGTGGCTGACGCCTGTAATCCCAGCACTTTGGGAGGCTGGGGCGGGCAGATCACAAAGTCAGGAGATCCAGACCATCCTGGCTAACACGGTGAAACCCTGTCTCTACTAAAAATACAAAAAAAAAAAAAAAAAAAAATTAGCCGGACGTGGTGGCGGGCTCCTGTAGTCCCAGCTATTTGGGAGGCTGAGGCCGGAGAATGGTGTGAACCTGGGAGGCGGAGCTTGCAGTGAGCCGAGATTGCGCCACTGCACTACAGCCTGGGTGACAGAGCGAGACTCTGTCTCAAAAAAAAAAAAAGATCTTTGGTTCTTTTTTTCTTTTTTTTGAGACGGAGTTTTGCTCTTGTTGCCCAGGATGGAATGCAATTGCATGATCTTGGCTCACTTCAACCTCCACCTCCCGGGTTCAAGTGATTCTCCTGCCTCAGCCTGCTGAGTAGCTGGGATTATAGGCATGTGCCACCATCCCCAGGTAATTTTTTTTTTTTTTTTTTTAGTAGAGGCAGGGTTTCACCATGCTGGTAAGGCTGGTCTCAAACTCTTGACCTCCGGTGATCCACCTGCCTTGGCCTCCCAAACTGCTGGGATTACAGGCGTGAGCCACCACACCCAGGGCTTTGGCTCATTTTTTGATGGGGTTTAGCGTTTTCTTATTTTAAAAACATCAATTGTTTAATTTAATCGTTTTTGCTATATTCAGAGTTTTGCACCCATCGACCCCCCACAGTCAATTTCATCATTTTTTTATCTCCAAAAGGAAACCCATACTCATCAGAAGAAACTCATCATTCTCCCCTCTCCCAGCCCCAGGCAACCATTAATCTACAGTTGACCCTGGAGCAACATGGGGCTTGAGGGCACTGACCCCCTGTGAAGCCACAAATCTATGTATAACTTTGGACTGCCCCTAAATTTAACTACTAATAGCCTACTGTTGACTGGAAGCCTTACTGATAACAAACAATCGATTAACATATACATATTATATACTATATTCTTACAGTAATTAGAGAAAATAAAATTTTATTAAGAAAATCATAAGGAAGATAAAATATATTTACTATTCATTAAGTGGAAGTGAATCAAAATAAAGGGATCATCATGGCAAGTGGGAGGCAGAACTAGATTGCAGCTCTGACTTGGATGGACAGAGCAGCATGCAGAGGCTAGCGTCGTGAATTTTAGCTCCAGAACAACTGCAGGAATAAACCAGGAATCCCAAGAGGACCCACAGACCCTCTGAAGGAAGTGGACTGCTCCTGCAGGACCCAGGAGACACCCCAAATATTGTGTGTCCAAAGTGTGAAAGTGGGAAAGGGAGATCTTCCGCCCCTGAGGCACATACCCCCACTGGGGAAACTGAAGGTCTTGTTTGCGGGAGAAGTTTCTGACCTCACCTGAAGCTGAGTCAATTTAGAGAGTCACGCAAAATACAGAGGTAGAGGAAGCAGCAGGAAAGGCCCTGGGAGCTTGCTGGGTCCCCAAGCAGCCCATTCCTGCCTGGCACCACAGGGATCTTTGGGAGGGTGGCCAGAGGCGGGGGGAAAACACCGCAGGGAGAAGAAAGTCTTCAGTTGAACTTTGTAACAATTTGAAGCAGGTGAGAAGCCTCCTGGCCAGAACTTTGGGTGGGGATGGGGGGCGTGAATCCAGCGTGCAGACTCCACAGGTAGGGGAAGAACTAAAGCCTTTTTCTTTCACAGCCAGGAGGCGGGTAGCCTGGGGCAAGTTCTCAGCCCTGCTTGCCCACTGCCTAGAAACAGACTTGGTGCTGTTAGCAGGGACACAGTAGGAGTGAGACCAGCCCTTCAGATTGTGTGGGAGCTGGGTGAGGCCTGTGACTGCCAGCTTTCCCTCACTTCCCTATCAACCTGCATGATTCAGAAGAGGCAGCCATAATCCTCCCAGGCACACAACTCCAGTGACCTGGGAACCTCACCCCCATCTCCCACAGCAGTCACAGCAAGACCCGCCCAAGGAGAGTCTGAACTCAGACACGCCTAGCCCCTTCCCCCACCTGATGGTCCTTCTCTACCCACCCTGGTAGCTGAAAACAAAGGGCATATACACTTGGGAGTTCTAGGGCCCTACCCACAACCAGTTCCTCTCCATACTACCACAGCTGACGCTCTCTGGAAAGCACCACCTCCTGGCAGGAGGTCAACCAGCACAATAATAGTGCATTAAACCACCAAAGCTAAGAACTCTCACAGAGTCCATTTCACTCCCTGGCACCCTCCACCTCCACCAGAACAGGCGCTGGTATCCGCAGCTGGGAGACCCATAGATGGCTCACATTACAGGACTCTGTGCAGACAAACTCCAGTACCAGCCCAAAGCCTGGTAGACTTGCTGGGTGGCTAGACCCAGAAGAGAGATAACAATCACTGCAGCTCTGCTCTCAGGAAGTCACATCCATAGGAAAAGGGGGAGAGTACTACATCAAGGGAACACCTCATGGGACAAAAGAATCTGAACGGGCCGGGCGCGGTGGCTCACGCCTGTAATCCCAGCACTTTGGGAGGCCGAGGTGGGCGGATCACAAGGTCAGGAGATCAAGACCATCTTGGCTAACATGGTGAAACCTCGTCTCTACTAAAAAATACAAAAAATTAGTTGGGCGTGGTGGCGGGCACCTGTAGTCCCAGCTACTTGGGAGGCTGAGGCAGGAGAATGGCGTGAACCCGGGAGGCAGAGCTTGCAGTGAGCAGAGATCGCACCACTGTACTCCAGCCTGGGAGACAGGGCGAGACTCCATCTCAAAAAAAAAAAAAAAGAATCTGAACGACACCCTTCAGCCCTAGCCCTTCCCTCTGACAGAGCCTACCCAAATGAGAAGGAACCAGAAAACCAACTCCGGTAATATGACAAGATATTACCTAAATGCCCCACTTAAATGATACAGAACTGCAGAATGGATAAGAACTCACCAAACATCTGCTGCCTTCAAGAGACTCGCCTAACACATAAAGACTCACATAAAGTAAAGAGATGGAAAAAGGCATTTCACGCAAATGGACACCAAAAGTGAGCAGGGGTAGCTATTCTTATATAAGACAAAACAAACTTTAAAGCAACAGCAGTTAAAAAAGACAAAGAGGGACATTATACAACGGTAAAAGGCCTTGTCCAACAGGAAAATATCACAATCCTAAAAATATATGCACCTAACACTAGAGCTCCCAAATTTATAAAACAGTTACTACTAGACATAAGAAATGAGATAGACAGCAACACAATAATAGTGGGGGACTTCAATACTCCACTGACAGCACTAGACAGGTCATCAAGACAGAAAGTCAACAAAGAAACAATGGATTTAAACTATACCTTGGAACAAATGGACTTCACAGATATATAGGAACATTTCATCCAACAACCACAGAACACACATTCTATTCAACAGCACATGGAACTTTCTCCAAGATACACCATGAGGCCACAAAATGAGCCTCAATAAATTTAAGAAAATTGAAATTATATCAAGCATTCTCTCAGACCACAGTGGAATAAAACTGGAAACCAATTTCAAAATGAACCTTCGAAACCATGCAAATACATAGAAATTAAATAAGCTGCTCCTGAATAAGCATTGGGTCAAAAACGAAATCAAGAGGGAAATTTTAAAAAGTCTTTGAACTGAACGACAAAAATGACACAACCTATCAAAACCCCTGGGATACAGCAGAGGCGGTGCTAAGAGGAAACTTCATGGCCCTAAACACTCATATCAAAAAGACTGAAAGAGCACACACTCACATTCTAAGGTCACACCTCAAGGAACTAGAGAAACAAGAACAAAGCAAACCCAAATCCAGCAGAAGAAAGGAAATAACCAAGATCAGAGCAGAACCTAATGAAATTGAAACAAACAAAATGCAAACGAACAAACAAAAAAATGAAACAAAAAGCTGGTTCTTTGAAAAGATAAATAACATTGATAGACCATAGCAAGATTAACCAAGAAAAGAAGACAGAAAATCCAAATAAGCTCAATAAGAAATGAAATGGGAGATATTACAGCTGACACCACTTAAATACAAAAGATCATTCAAGGCTACTATGAACACCTTTCTGCACATAAACTAGAAAACCTAGAAGAGGCTGGACGCGGTGGCTCACATCTGTAATCCCAGCACTTTGGGAGGCTGAGGTGGGTGGATCACGAGGTCAGGAGTTCAAGACCAGCCTGGCTAATATGGTGAAACCCCATCTCTACTAAAAATACAAAAGTTAGCCAGGCGTAGTGGTGCATGCCTGTAGTCCCAGCTATGCAGGAGGCTGAGGCAGGATAATCGCTTGAACCCAGGAGGTGGAAGTTGCAGTGAGCTGAGATTGTGCCACTGCACTCCAGTCTGGGTGACAGAATGAGACTCCATCTCGAGAAAAAAAAAAAAAAAGAAAGAAAGAAAGAAAATAAAAAGAATAAGAAATCCTAGAAGAGGTGGATGAATTTCTGGAAAAATACAACCCTCCTAGCTTAAATCAGGAAGAATTAGATACCCTGAACAGACCAATAACAAGCAGCAAGACTGAAATGGTAATTTAAAAATTACCAACAAAAAAAAGCCCAGGACCAGATGGATTTTCAATAGAATTCTACCAGACATTCAAAGAGGAATTGGTACCAATCCTTTTGACACTATTCCACAAGATAGGGAAAGAAGGAACCCTCCCTAATTCATTCTATGCAGCCAGCATCACCCTAATTCCAAAACCAAGAAAGGACACAACCAAAAAAGAAAACTACAGACCGATACCCCTGATGAACATAGATGCTAGAATCCTTAACAAAATACTAGCTAATTGAATCCAGCAACATATCAAAAAGGTAATCCACCATGACCAAGTGGGTTTTATACCAGGGATGCAGGGCAGGGGTGGTTTAACATATGCAAGTCAATAAATGTGATATACCACATAAACAGAATTAAAAACAAAAATCACATGATCATCTCAATAGGTAGAGAAGAAGCATTCGACAAAATCCAAGCATCCCTTTATGATTAAAACTCTCAGCAAAATTGACGTACAAGGGACATACCTAAATTTAATAAAAGCTATCTATGACAAACCCACAGCCAACATAATACTGAATGGGGAAAAGTTGAAAGCATTCCTTCTGGGAACTGGAACAAGACAAGGATGCCCACTCTCACCACTCCTCTTCAACGTAGTACTGGAAGTCCTAGCCAGAGCAATCAGACAAGAAAGAAATAAAGGGCATCCAAATCAGTAAAGAGAGGAAGTCAAACTGTCACTGTTTGCTGACGCTATGATCACTTACCTCGGAAACCCTAAAGACTCCTTCAGAAAGCTCCTAGAACTGATAAAAGAATTCAACAAAGTTTCTGGATTGAAGATTAATGTACACAAATCAGTAGCTCTTCTATACACCAACAGTGACCAAACAGAGAATCAAATCAAGAACTCAACACCCTTTATAATAGCTGTGAAAAAATTAAAATACTTAGGAATATACCTAATCAAGGATGCAAAAGACCTCTGCAAGGAAAACTACAAAACACTGCTGAAAGAAATCATAGATGTCACAAACAAATACAAACACATCCCATGCTCATGGATGGGTATAATCCATATTGTGAAAGTGACCATATTGCCAAAAGCAGTCTACAAATTCAACACAATCCCTATCAAAATACCACCATCATTCTTCATAGAATTAGAAAAAACAACTCTAAAATTCATATGGAACCAAAAAAGAACCTGCATAGCCAAAGCAAGACTAAACAAAAAGAACAAATCTAGAGGCATCATACTACCTGATTTCAAACTATACTGTAAGGCCATAATCACCAAAACAGCATGCTACTGGTATAAAAATAGGCACACAGATCAATGGAACAGAATAGAGAATCCAGAAATAAACCCAAATACCTACAGCCAACTGATCTTTGACAAAGCAAACAAAAACATAAAGTGAGGAGGCCAGGCGTGGTGGCTCACGCCTGTAATCCCAGAACTTTGGGAGGCCAAGGTGGGTGGATCATGAGGTCAGGAGATCGAGACCATCCTGGCTAACACGGTGAAACCCTCTCTCTACTAAATATACAAAAAATTATCCGGGAGTCGTGGCGGGCGCCTGTAGTCCCAGCTGCTCAGGAGGCTGAGGCAGGAGAATGGCGCGAACCCGGGAGGTGGAGCTTGCAGTGAGCTGAGATCGTGCCACTGCACTCCAGCCTGGGTGACAGAGCGAGACTCCATCTCAAAACAAACAACAACAACAACAACAACAACAAAAGCCACCACCACCACCACCAACAAAAAACATAAAGGACACCCTTTTCAACAAATGGTGCTGGGATAATTGGCTAGCCACATGTAGGAGAATGAAACTGGATCCTCATCTCTCAGCTTATACAAAAATCAACTCAAGATGGATTAAGGACTTAAATCTAAGACCTGAAACTATAAAAATTCTAGAAGATAACATTGGAAAAACCCTTCTAGATATTGGTTTAGGCAAGGACTTGATGACCAAGAACCCAAAAGCAAATGCAATAAAAACAAAGATAAATAGCTGAGACCTAATTAAACTAAAGAGGTTTTGTATGGCAAAAGGAACAGCCAGCAGAGTAAACAGACAACCCACAGAGTGGGAGAAAATCTTCACAATCTGTACATCTGACAAAGGACTAATATCCAGAATCTACAATGAACTCAATGAAATCAGCAAGAAAAAAATAATCCCATGAAAAAGTGGGCTAAGGACATGAATAGATAATTCTCAAAAGAAGATATATAAATGGCCAACAAACATATGAAAAAATGCTCAACATCACTAATGATCAGGGAAATGCAAATTAAAACCACAATGCAATACCACCTTACTCCTGCAAGAATGGCCATAATCAAAAAAATAAAAAAACAGTAGATATTGGTGTGGATGCGGTGATCAGACAACACTTCTACTCTGCTGGTGGGAATGAAAACTAGTACAGCCACTATGGAAAACAGTGTGGAGATTCCTTAAAGAACTAAAAGTAGAACTACCATTTGATCCAGCAGTCCCACTACTGGATATCTACCCAGAGGAAAAGGATTCATTATATGAAAAAGATACTTGTACATGCATGTTTATAGCAGCACAATTCGCAATTGCAAAATCATGGAACCAACCCAAATGCCCATCAATTGAGTGGATAAAGAAACTGTGGTATATATATATATATACAATGGAATACTACTCAGCCATAAAAAGGAATGAATTAACAGCATTCACAGTGACCTGGATGATCTTGGAGACTATTAGTCTAAGTGAAGTAACTCAGAAATGGAAAACCAAACACCGTATGTTTTCACTGATATGTGGGAACTAAGATATGAGGACGCAAAGGCATAAGAATAATACAATAGACTTTGGGGACTTGTGGGGAAGGGTGGGATGGGGAAGAGGGATAAAAGACTACAAATAGGGTGCAGTGTATACTGCTTGGGTGATGGGTGCACCAAAATCTCACAAATCACCAGCAAAGAACTTGCTCATGTAACCAAACACCACCTGTACCCCAATAACCTATGGAAAAAAAATAAACAAAATGCAAGTGAATTATCCTAAAGGTATTCATCCTTATTGTCTTCTCATTGAGAAGGCTGAGGAGGAAAAGAAGGAGGAGGGGTTGAGTTTTATTGTCCCGGGGTGGTAGAGGCAGAAGAAAATCCACATATAGGCGGACTCATGTAGTTCAAATCTATGTTGTTCAAGAGTCAACTGTTCTTTCTGTCTCTATGAATCTGTCTATTCTGCGCATTTCATATAAATAGAATAATGCCATATGTTGTGTTTTGTGACTGGCTTCTTTCACTTAGCATAATGTTTTCAAGGTTCATACATATTGTAACATGAATCAGAACTTCTTCATTGCTGAACAGTATTCCATTGTATAGAATCAGCCTGTTGTGGGGCTTCTTAGTGTCCATAATCACGTGAGCCAATCTTCCTAATAAATCCCCTCTCATCTACCTATCTATCTACCCTATTTTCATTCATTCATTCATTCACTCATTCATTCATTCATCTAACAGCTTTTTAACTAGACTTTCCTCTTATCTGCTAATCTTCACTCACCTTCAACCTCACTTTAAGAAGAACCTTGTTACCAGTTCCTAAGACTTTGGGAGTTCTTCAGTGTAAGTTGGACTCTTCGCAGCTTCCCAACCACTGCTATACAATTTGACACCCTCAGGTCTTCTAATTCAGTTGTCACTTGTCTGAGTGCTTTCCACCATCCGAAATTTTGTTTTTGCTTTCTCCTCTCCTCTTTGTCCCTGTGGTTTATGTCTTTTTTGTGTTTCAAAATCTGTTTAATTACTCTTTAGAATAACTTGAGAATAAGAGTTAATGCATGCATTTTACCTGCATCTTTAACTAAAATTTCTAGTATCAATCTCTAATAATAAGAGATGGCTTTAACCTGATTTTATAAAATCAATACAAATAGTGTAAAATTACTGTGCCAACATCATAGAAAACCATAAACAGTTAACTTAGACAGATACATGCATACATGAAGCTATAAATGATACACAATGTGCCTCTGGTTTTCATTTTAGACAAGCCTGATGGACAGAAATCTCTCTCTCTTGGTCCTTCTTGATCCTTCCATTGCCATTGGTTTATTGTCGTCTACTGATCTTTTTCTGTCACACACATTGCCTATATCCCACACCTTCCTCTATCAGTAAGTCCTCTTTCTGGTATGAAGAATTTTATATAGGCATACTTCAGAGATATTTCAGGTTCGGTTCCAGACCACTGCAATGAGGCTAATATTGCAATAAAGTGATTCATATGAACGTTTTTGTTCCCCAGTGCATATAAAAGTTATGTTTATACTATACTGTAGTCTATTAAGTGTGCAATAGCATTATGTCTAAAAAATGTACATACTTTAAAAACACTTTATTGCTAAAAAATGTTAATGATAGGCTGGGTGCGGTGGCTCACGCCTGTAATCCCAGCACTTTGGGAGGCCGAGGCAGGCAGATCACGAGGTCAGGAGATCGAGACCATCCCGTCTAACACCGTGAAAGCCTGTCTGTGCTAAAAATACAAAAAATTAGCCGGGTGTGGTGGCACTCACCTATAGTCCCAGCTACTTGGAGGCCAAGGGAGGGGAATCGCTTGAACCTGGGAGGCGGAGGTTGCAGTGAGCTGAGATTGTGCCACTGCACTCCAGCCTGGGCGACAGAGTGAGACTCTCTCTCAAAAAGAAAAATTGCTAATGATAATCAAGTCTTCAACAAGTTATAATCTTGCTGGTGAAGGGTCTTGACATTGATGGCTGCTGATTGATCAGGGTGGTTGTTGCTGGGGGTTAGCATGTATATTCGTTGGAGTTCTTCAAAGAGATAGAACCAATAGGGTAGATAGATAGGTAGATGAGAGGGGATTTATTAGGAAGATTGACTCAGTGATTATGGACGCTAAGAAGCCCCACAACAGGCTGACTGCAAGCTGGAGACTCTGAGATGCTGGTAACATGGCTCAGTCCAAGTCTAAAGACCTCAGAACCAGGGAAGCGGGTGGTGTCACTCTCAGTGTGAAGTCAGAAGCCTGAGAACAGGGGAAGCCATTGGTTTTAGTCCTGGAGTCCAAAGACTGGAGAGCCTGAAGTTGTTGTCCAAGGATAGGAGAGGAAGAGTGTATTCCAGCTCCAACAGACAGTGCAACATAACTGCCTTTTTCTGTTTTGTTTTCTCCAGGCCCCTGGAAGATTGGATGGTGCCTGCCTATACGGAGGGCGGATCTTCCCCTCCTCGTCCACTCAGACTCACATGCAAGTCTCCTCTAGAAACACCCTTGCAGACACACCCCAAAATGACACTTTTAGAGGTTTGTATGTTTCCTTAAACTAGTCAAGTTGACACTTGAAATTAACCATCATCACAGGGTGGCTGTGACCATTTCTTTTTTTTTAACCAGTTCAGAATTCATCTTTATCTTCTACTTGCCTCATCAGTGTAAGTTTAAAGTCATGTTTTTTTAGACATTTATACTTGTGTACATAGACAAATAAACTCATATTGGATGACAACTGATTTTTTAAAAGTCCAGGTAGAGAAAGAAGCAATCATTTTGAACTAAAATCTGTCTACGTTTTTTTAGTTACTATTCAACTTGCTATTGTTCAGCAAGAAGCAAAGTTTCCATAGTGTTCATCTCAAATCTTACTGCTTTACAACTGCGGTACACCTTCCATTAAAAATAAAAAGATGAAGCCATCAATCCAGTGATTAATTTGACATAGCTTTCATTGGGAAAGGGCAGCTGGGGGTGGGTGGGGGCATTGGCAAAGAGACCAATAGACAAAAAGGTAATTTAAACAATTAAACATACAATGGTTTTATTTTTAAAAGAGAGAGAAGTGTTACTTTCAACAATTGGAAAAAAGCACTGAAAGCCCATGGGTCAAGCCGTAGACAAAACCATGTTCTATCTTAAGTAGGTTCTTTTTTTCCTCCCTCTCTTTTCTTCTTTTCTTTTTCTTTTTTTTCCTTCTCTTCTCTCCTCCTCTCCTCCTTTCCTCCTCTTCTCTCCTTTTCTTAAAAGCTCTCCCCAAACCATCAACGCTTTTAAGCCTCCCCAGATGCCTTCATCACCAGATTTCTTGGGTGGGGGCTTGTAGATGTTTTCTTTTCTGGCGGGCTTTCTGGTACCTCATCTTCCTTGGGAGAAGTAATCTTTTCCTTCGATGGCTTTGAAGCTGTGGGGCGACCCACATTCCCTTTGCCTTTCACTGGACTTGGCGTCACTGTAGCCTTTAGCCTGGGTTTGGACATTTTCTTTTCTTTTCTCTCAGGTTTGGACTTCTTAACCATCTTTTTGTTTTTCTTTTTTGAATTGCCATAGTCACTATTGTCATCATCTTCCATCAGGAAATCTTCATTGCTGCTGGAATTCTCCTGGAAGGGTGTCTCATCCTCTTCTTGTTCTTCCTCATGCCCACATCTTCCATGAGCTCTGTTTGGAAGCTGCTTTAGATGCTGCCTGCTGTGCTGGCGTACATTTTTATCATCTTCATTTTCATCTTCATTATCCTCTGCTCAGTGAAAATCATCCTTCTTTGTCTTCAGATCTTTTTCTTCTGAGTCCTCACTATCTTCCTGTGAATTCTTTCCAGATTGCCTTATTTTTAGCTTCTAGGGGAGATGATGAAATTTTCTTAGTGATAGGGCCCGAATCTCTTCCATAATCTTCATTTGCATCACCAGATTCCTGAAACTGTGAGTAATCAACAAACCTTCCTAGTTCTGAAGAATCGCGACATGTTCTCTGTTGAAACAAGACAGAGTTGAGAAGCCAAAGACCAGGACACCCTCAACCCCGTGCACTTGGCGGCCACCCACCACTCCTAACTTCAGCCGAACCCTGAGCTGCCGGCTTCTCAAACTCTGCTGCTTTTTGGTTTAGAGGAGCCCCCCGCTCCCCCTGCTCTTCAAAATGCAACCATTTCTTAAAGTAAGACAATGAAGTTTGCTGCATCGATTGACTCTTCTTTTCATGAAAGATTTCTCTGTAGCATGCAAAGCTATTTGATGGCATTTTACTCACAGTAGAACTTCTTTCAAAATTGAAGTCAATCTCTCAAACCCTGCTGCTGCTTTAACAACTAAGTTTATGTAATATTTTAAATCTTTTGTTGTCATTTCAATAATATTCACAGTGTCTTCATCAGGAGTAGTTTCCACCTCAAGAAACTACTTTCTTTGCTCATCCATAAGAGGCAACTCCTCATCCATTAAACTTTTATCATGAGATTGCAGCAATTCAGTCACATCTTCAGGCTCCTCTGCTAATTCTAGTTCTCTTACACTTTCTACCACATCTGCAGTGACTTCCTCCACTGAAGTCTTAAAGTCCTCAAAGTCATCTATGAGGGTTGGAATCAACTTCTTCCAAACTCCTGTTAACATGGATATGTTCTCCCATGAATCATGAATGTTCTCAATGGCATCTGGAATGGTGAATCCTTTCCAGAAGGTTTTCAACTGACTATGCCCAGATCTATGAGAGAAATCACTATCTATGGCCACTATAGCCTTACAAAATGTATTTATCGGCTGGGCGCAATGGTTCATTTCTGTAATCCCAGCACTGTGGGAGGCCGAGGTGGGTGGATCACCTGAGGTCAGGAGTTTGAGACCAGCCTGGCCAACAAGGTGAAACCCTGTTTCTACTAAAAATGCAAAAATTAGTCAGGCGTGGTGGTGGGTGCCTGTAATCCCAGCTACTCGGGAGACTGAGGCAGGAGGATTGCTTGAACCCGGGAGGCGGAGGTTGCAGTGAGCCAAGATCGTGCCATTGTACTCCAGCCTGGGCAACAAGAGCGAAACTCCATCTCAAAAAAAAAAAAAAGTATTTTTTAAACAATAAGACTTGAAAGCCAAAATTACACCTTGATGCATGAGCTGCAGGACGGATGTTGTGTTTGCATGAAAACATTAATCTCCTGTATAGCTCCATCAGAGTTCTTGGATAACCAGGTGCATTATCAATGAGCAGGTAAATTTTGAAAGGAATCTTTTTTTTCTGAGCAGTAGTTCTCAATGGTGGGCTTAAACTGTTCAGTAAACCATGCTGTGAAGAGATGTTCTATCATCCTGGCTCTGCTGTTCCATTTGTAGAGCACAGGCAGAGTAGATTTCACATAATTCTTCAGGGCCCTGGAACTTGCAGAATGGCAAATGAGCATTGGCTTCAACTTAAAGTCACTGGCTGCATTAGCCCCTAGCAAAAAATTCAGACTGTCCTTTGAGGCTTTGAAGCCAGGCATTGACTTCTCTCTAGCTACGAAAGTTCTAGATGGCATTATCTTCCAATAGAAAAGGTTTCATCTATGTAGAAAATCTGTTGTTCATTAATTATCTCAGCTAGATCTTCTGTGTCACTTGCTGCAGCTTCTCCATCAGTACTTGCTGCTTCACCTGGCACTTTCATGTTATTAAGACAGTTTTTTCCTTGAACCTGATGAACCAACATCTGCTAGCTTCAGACATTTTTCTGTAGCTTCCTCACCTCTCTCAGCCTTCAGAGAACTGAGGTGCATTAGAGCCTTGCTCTGGATTGGGTTTTGGCCTAAGGAAATGTTATGGCTGGTTTGATCTACCCAGACCACTAAAACTTTCTCTATTTCAGCAACAAGACTGTTTCATTTTCTTATTCATGTGTCCCATGGAGAGGTGCTTTTAATTTCCTTCAAGAACTTTTCCTTTGCATTCACAGCTTTCCTAGCTGTTGGGAACAAGAGGACTAGCTTTCGGCCTATCTCAGCTTTCAACGTGCCTTCCTTACTAAGCATAATCATTGCTAGTTTTTTATTTAAAGTGGGAGATGTGCCTGTAATCCCAGCACTTTGGGAAGCTGAGGCAGGCAGATTGCTTGAGCCCAGGAGTTCGAGACCAGCCTGGGCAACATGGCAAAACCCTGTCTCTACCAAAAAATATAAATATTAGCCAGGCATGGTGGTGCTTGCCCGTAATTCCAGCTACTTAGGAGGCTGAGGTGGGAGGATTTCTTAAGCCCTGGAGGCAGAGGTTGCAGTGAGCTGAGATGGCACCACTGTACTCTAGCCTAGGTGATAGAGCAAGACCCTGGCTCAAAAAATAAATTAAATAAAGTGAGCAGGGCGTGGTGACTCACGCTTGTAATCCCAGTACTTTGGGAGGCTGAGGCAGGTGGATCACCTGAGGTCAGGAGTTCAAGACCAGCCTGGCCAACATGGTGAAACCCTGTCTCTACTAAAAATACAAAAATTAGGCAGGTGTGGTGGCTCATGCCTGTAATCCCAGCTATTCAGGAGGCTGAGGCAGGAGAATCACTTGAACCAGGAGGCAGAAGTTGCAGGGAGCCAAGATGGTGCTACTGCACTCCACCCTGGGCAACAGAGTGAGGCTCCGTCTCAAAAGAAATTAAATAAATAAATAAAGTGAGAGATGTGCAACTCTTTTACTTGAACACTTAAGAGGCCACTGTAGGGTTATTAATTGACCTAATTTTAATACTGTTGTATCTCATGGAATAGGGAGGACCCTGAGGAGAGGGAGAGAAATGGGGGAACAGCCAGTCAGTGGGAAGAGCCGGTTGGTGGAGCAATCAGAGCACACACATTTATTGATCAAGTTCATCTTCTTATGTGGGTGCTGCCCATGACTCCCCAAAACAATTACAACAGTAACATTGGAGATCACTGATCACAGATCAGTATAACAGAAATAATAATGATGAAAAAGTTTGAAATATTGTGAGAATTACAGAAACGTGACACAGAGACCATGAAATGAGCACATGCTGTTAGAAAAATGTCAAAGATAGGCTGGGGCATGGTGGCTCATACCTGTCACCCCAGCACTTTGGGAGGCCAAGGTGAGAGAATCACTTGAGCCCAGGAGTTCAAGACAGTCTGGGCAACATAGTGACAGCCTCATCTCTTAAAAAAAAAAAAAAAAGTTAAACCAGGTATGCCTTTAATTGCAGAGCATTCCCAATCACTCAGCCCACCACTGCTCCTTTAAGAAGGCTCTTTGTGATGTTCTGTGGTTCTAGCCCTGCACATTCCCAGTTTCCTCTTGCATGATTCTACCTTCCACTGAAACAGAGCAAGATCTGCTTAAGATCCTATAAAAATGACTTTGGCATGTGCCCTTTGCCTGGGAACAGCTTTTTCAGTTGCTGCTGCTGCTGTGTAATATGTTAGGTTACATGGACTACCATTTTTTGTTAAAGAGAATGACTTCCAAGTTCAGTAGGTGCTTCTTGAAAATATAGTTCCCCGTGATGCAATAATAATTGATTCTGTTATTTCCTATTCTTGTTCTTATGTATGTGACATATGACATGTAACTGAGACACAGTTCCTATATTTAATATTTGCTGTTTGTTCCACAATCTTTTCATAGATGGGATTAGGTTGAACATTACCCTGTTCTATCTGAATTATATGTAATATGCTATAAATTTGAATAATCCACGGTAAGGTGATTTTAAGCTTAACTCTGCCCCAGCAGGTGATAATTATTTTATTAGAGCATTCTGTATCTAGTCACTCCGCATAGTGTTGACTCTTGGTTTGAAGTCACACCTCATGCCTGTGGTTCAGCATGCATCTTTGGGCCTCAATGTCTTAGAAAAACTTAGCTTAGTGGACTGGATTTACAGACCTGGGGAGGACATGGAAATTTCAAGTTTCTCATCCAGAATCTTCTTCCAACTTGCTGTGTGGCCTTCCACGCGTCATTTCATACTCGCTCGATCATTTCTTCATTTCAGCATGGAAACAGAGCCCATTAGCTTCTCAAGGGCATTGTAAGAAAGGGGAGAGCAGTGGTCAAAAAGGAAACAAACTGAAAAATATCAAGATCCCTTCAATAGTTCTGACCTCTAGTGAAAAAAGGAACAACGTGGTACCGGAAAACCCAGCATGTATATAGCCAAAACCAAAGACTTGTTGTTGTAAAGAAAAGGGAACAATGTCTGATTTTAACATTCACATATTCCAAACCACAGTCTTCCAGGTCTCTCTCCCGCAGCCAAGGCTGATGGTAGCAGCCAGGTCTAGAGGAAAGTTTCCAGAAAGCAGATTTTGGCAAAGGTTGCCTTTAAACCTGCAGAGAATACAATTCCAGTTTTTGGGTTTTTTTTTCTTAAGCACATTTTCATTCCTTTTTGCCACAGAATTTCATGGACTATGTTTATCTTTCCTTTTCAGGTCATGGTATATAGACTTTTCACAGTCAGACGTGAGGAGTAGACATATTTCTTGAGTGTTTTTTTCTTTCTTTCCTTACAAAATTCTTTCAACTTGGAGGTGGAGCCAAATTCTAAGATTATATTTTCAGAGAATCATTTTTCTTATGTGATCATTAAATTACTTCAGAGAAAGAATGAGATATTAAAGTCCACTCTCTGACTGCTTTGAGAAGAGGCTCACATGTGCCAGGTGAAAGGAATAATTATTGATTTTAATTCTATTCCCTGGACAAATGGCCCCTGTGGCCCAGAGTCCTGGCACCCGGAGATGGCAGTGAGCCCTGGGTCTGTTTAGGATAGTTTTGTAAACAACAACAACAACAAAAAAGCCACTGCAAGTGCACTGGTTTTAGAGGAATGTCCAAGAAAATTGCCCTCCTTCTCCTCACAACATGTCATTACAGAAAAATAGAAGTCCCTGCATTCCAATCTGATTTTTATTTAACTCTGCAAGCCTGTAAATTTTGCCATGAGGTAAGGGGCTGATTCAGAGCTCCAGAATCCTTTTGGTGCCACAGACACTATTTCAAAATGGATATGCTTTTGGGTTTCTTAGTGTTATTCTGCTAGGGTCATGGAATAAATGGGGCTCTGTCTGAGGAGAACTCCCAGTCCTGGTAAACAAGAACCAGGATGCCTGGTGGTCAAAGTAGCTGCCTTGCGTTTTAAAGGTTAGGAGTTCAAATCTTGTGGGTTTGAGCTTGGGTTAAAGTATCCACGTATCTAGGTTGAAGAAGCAATAACGTCGCACAATGGAATCTGGCTTACCCATATCTAATTTCTGGCTACAATTAATTAAATACATACTTCCTATGGAATTCTTTACCTTGTAGATCGTGGACAAAGGGTCCACATTCCAGAGGGCACAGGAAAGCTTTACTTTCCAAGCTTCCTGGGCTGTACAGTGTATATAGACTTGAATTCTACCACATAGGCATGCGGTTCATATTTGTCAACATTCCTTAAATTCTGATAGACCTATAGCCCTAGGCCTCCTTTCTCCTCTTAATTTTCTTTTCTCCTGATTTCCCAGGGAGATAATAATTTACAGGTTTTCTTTTTAATTTTTTTATTTTTATTTTTAAAAACAGAGCCTTGCTCTGTCATCCAGGCTGGAGTGCAGGGGCGCCATCTTGGTTCACTGCAACCTCCACCTCCCTGGTTCAAGCTATTCTCCTGCCGCAGCCTCCCAAGTAGCTGGGATTACAGGCATGTCCACCTAATTTTTGTATTTTTAGTAGAGACAGGGTTTCACCATGTTGGCCAGGCTGGTCTTCAACTCCTGGCCTCAAGTGATATGCCCACCTTGGCCTCCCAAAATACTGGGATTATAGACATGAGCCACCGGGCTCAGCCTAATTTACAGTTTTAAAGACATATTTTTTGCACAGATGACCCATTGGAAATAGGCCCCATTGATAGAAAATATAACCTGTATTAGGGCCTGCAATTGTAGTGGTCTAATCTTTGTAATGCTTTGTTTTTCTATAGCATTTCAATGTTTATGAAACATATATATGATCTCTTTTTACCCTTAGTGTCTTCGAAGAAGGTAAATATTGTTCCCATTTTGTGGATAAGAAAAATGAGAACCAGAGCGATCAAGGGCTTGCTCAAAAGTACTCAACCAGTTAATGTCAGAGCTGGCACCTGAACTCAGGCCTCTACAACTCTAAATGTTTTCAATGATAGCAGAATTGCCTCTAATGGCAAAACATTGTAGAATCATATTGATGTTTCAGATTATATTGCCAGTCGTACTTCGTTGAGCTATGCTTGGTAATGCCACTGCCATCTTGGAAAGAAAATAGATGCTGAAGTTCCCCATAGATGCTGAACACTCAGAAAGTGCCAATAGTTGCATCGATTTGATTGTATCTGCTACCTCATTCCCTCTGAAACACCTGCAAATAAAGGAAAATAACTAACCCATTGTGCCCCCATCTAAGAATGCCTGAAATCAGAAATATCCCAGCATTGTGACCTGAAGTTGCCTCAGCAGGAAGTTCTGTTTTTTAAATTAGGACTCTAGCCATTTTTTTTCCCAGTAGCTCTTATTGCCAGTGGGGCTTTGAGCAAACAGTTCCCAGGAAAGCTGTCTATACCTACATGATATGAAGACAATAATGATACCTGCTTCCTGTCTACCTGGCAAGTGTGTTGGGAAAAGCAATAAGATAATGTCTGTCATGTGCTTTGAATGCCTAGAAAGAAAGATAGGGTTTATGAGCAAGGGTGTGATTATATTGAGTCAGCCATGATATCATTGTCTATATTATACATATGTGGTTGTTGCCTAAGACACTGCTGAGTATAATTTGGCTCTCATATTTGATGTTTTAAGGACATGATGATGTTACAATAAGTTAGCAGAAGAGCCTAAGTTGGGAAAGGAAGGTATCCTTTTCTTTCAAAAATTCCTGTATGACTGAAATTTATTTTAGGCTATCTTCTCCAGCTGGTCCTGCAATTAGGACGGCCTCCAATGTTCACAATGCACTCCTTCCATTTCTTCATCAGTCAAGTGATTCCTCCTCTAGCTGGTCCAGGATTTATGGCAGGAGGGTGACCTGGAGAAGAGAGAAAATGTGTCCAACTCTACCGAGGGACCACTACAATTTAAAAGCCCAAATAGAGGATTTCTATGACCATGCTTCTAGCAAACCCATGCCTGCCTGTCAGGCCAGTTCCCATAGAGCAATGTCCTGTCCCACACCTAACAGGGCCAGAGCAGATGACTTGCCCCCAACCACCATTTGAATTTGTTTAAAAGAATAATTCTAGGCCGGGAGCGGTGGCTCATGCCTGTAACTCCAGCACTTTGGGAGGCCGAGGCAGGTGGATCACCTGACGTCAGGAGTTCGAGACCAGCCTGGCCAACATGGTGAAACCCCGTCTCTACTAAAAATTCAAAAATTAGCTGGGCATGGTGGTGGGCACCTGTAATCCCAGCTACTCGGGAGGCTGAGGCAGGAGAATCGCTTGAACCTGGGAGGGGGAGGTTGCAGTGAGCCAAGATCACGCCACTGCACTCCAGCTTGGATGACAGAGCGAGACTCCATCTCAAAACAAAAACAAAAATAAAAACCAAACCAAAACAAACAAACAAAAAATAATTCTAAAACCACAACTCATAACCATTCAAGCACCTTTTGGAATGCCAGGCACTGCCTAGGGCACTAGAGATACAGATGTTAAAACATTATTCCTGGGCCAGGAGCTGTGGCTCTTTCCTGTAATCCCAGCACTTTGGGAGGCCAAGGCAAGAGGATCTCTTGAGTCCAGGAGTTCAAGACCAGCCTGGGCAACACAGGGAGACCCTGTCTCTATAAAAAATTAGCCAGGCATGGTGGTGTGCGCCTGTCGTCCCAGCTACTTGGGTAGTAGGGCTGAGGTGGGAGGATTGCTTGAGCCCGGGAGGTCAAGGCTGGAGTAAGCCATGTTCATGTCACTGCACTCCAGCCTGGGTGACAGAACAAGACCCCATCTCAGAAAACAAACAAACAAACAACCCAACAACAATAAAAACTTATTCCTTAGGGAAATGGCTGTCCAAGGAGGAGACACTTGGAAAGGACTAGCACCCAGTAAAGTGCCTGAGACACAGTAGGACCAGAAGCACACTCACTGAATGAATTGCCAATAATGTATTACAAGGTGATGAGGACCATAATAACAAAAGCACAAGGTGCCATGGGAGCATGTTAGTGGCCACCTGACTAAGAGTGGTAAGAGGAGGAAGGAGAGTGCATGGAAGACCATGTGTAACGGCTTCACATAGGAAAGAGTGGGCAAGCCCTTGGTTTGTGATGACAACAGCACAGAGTGTCAGGCTTTTTATTCTATTCTAGTTCACTTAAAAAACAAACAAACAAACAAACAACATGCAAGTCTCAGCCCACTAAAGGTTTCAAGCCACAGTGTGAAAGTTCTATATTATTAGAAAGGATTTTCTCTTCTTCACACCTGTCGGCCTAGGAGCCAAGGACTAGACAACAGAATTAAAATGTTTGCTCAGGAGTTCCTAAATTTCTGCCACTGAGCACAATCATTTCCACCCCATCTTAACATTATTTATTTCAGTCATGAGCAAACATCGGTATTAGTTTCCTATGGCTGCTGTAAAACATTGCCATAAATGTGGAAACCTAAAACAAATATATTCTTTCATGGTTCTGGGGGCCAGAAGCCTGAAGTCAGTTTCACGGAGCTGAAATCAAGGTGCCGGCAGGGCTGAGCCCCTCCCAAGGCTCTAGGGGAGAATTCGCTCTTTTCCTTTTCTCCCAGCTTCTGGTGGCTGCTCCTTTCTTCGGCTTGTGGCCACATCACTCCAGTCTCTGAGTCCCTGGCCATGTTGCCTTCTACTCTTCTGTCTGTGTTGAATCTTCCTCTTCCTCCCTCTTATTTAGGGCTCACTGGCAATCCCTCTGTCGAAAGATCTATAATTTAATCACACCTGCAACATTCTTTTTTTGCCATATAACTTTCACAGGTTCCAGTGATTAGGAGGTAAACATCTTTAGGAGTTGAGGGGGCGTTATTCAGTCTACCACAACATCTCTGTCTGAATCACCGAGTCTCCAGTACAAACCTGTTGAATATCTCAGTTGAGTTTCTCTTTGCTTTCATTCAAGAAGGCAGAATAACTCCTCTCCTCTTTCTTTACGGGAGAAGAACATAGGCGAGAGGATGGGAGGTAACTTTTGCTGAGCCCCTACATTTGCATGCACTCTTCATAGCAAGATTGTGCGTAGCTATTATCACCATTTTCCAGATGACAAAGTCGAGGCTCAGTGGGGCTGAGTGACTCGCCCAGGTTCTCCCAGGGAGAAGAGTCTGAATTTGACTATGGATCTGTCTGATTTCAAAGCCCATGTCCTTTCTGTTATATCAACATTCCTCAAATTTCAGGAATGCACCAGCACCTCATAAAGGAAAAAAAAAACATCTACAAGCTCCAGTTTGAGAAAAAAAACTAATTTAAGGAACTAAGTTTTATCCTATAAAAACATAAATTTTACTTATTTATTTCTTTATCTTTTATGAGACAGGGTTTTGCTCTGTTACCCAGACTGGAGTGGAGGGGCACCATCATAGCTCACTGCAGCCTTGAACTCCTGGGCTCAAGCAATCCTCCAGCCTCAGCCTCCTGAGTAGCTGGGACTGCAGGGAGCACACCACCATGCCCAGCTAATTTTTTAAAACAAATTCTTGCAGAGACAGGGTCTCACTGTGTTGCCCAGGCTGGTGTCAAACTCCTGGGATCAAGGAATCCTCCCACCTCAGCCTCCCAAAGTGCTGGGACTTGTAGGCATGAGCCACCACACCTGGCCTGAAACATACATTTTAAAATGCTCAAATTGTCCCCAAATCCCAGTGACTGACACACCTGTGTGAGAAACGCTGCAAGACGCTAAAGTCCCCCTCATTTCTGAGGACTCTGTTTTCAAGGATCTTTTTTTTTTTTTTTGGAGACAGGATCTCACTTTGTCACCCAGGCTGGAGCACAGTGGCATGGTCATGGCTCCGTGTAGCCTCAAACTTCTTGTCTTAAGCAATCCTCTCTCCTCAGCCTCCCAAAGCACTGGGATTACCGGCATCAGCCACCGTGCCCGGCCTCAAGGCTCTTAAAACTAAGACCCAGGATGGCCACATTTCAACCATGTTGTGCCACTGCTTAGGAAATGCTTCGGTGAAACAAAGCATTTGCCACTAATAAGACTTTAACACCAGCAATCTGTTAATATTACAGATGTAAGTTAAATATTTCCACCACAGAGATGCTTCATCAACTTCAGTCAGATTAAAGTAATGGCCGTGGCATTTTCTGACCTTAATCTGAATGAAAGTTTACCTGGATGTCCCACGCAAGCCTTGTAGGTGAAAAATGTTACCCTTGTTCTGGCATATTCTAACCACCTGGAATAAAATTGAAGCCTAATGCTTATTGAGCAGTCACTTGGTTACACTTATTATGTGCTAAGCACTTTACATGAATTAATGTATTTAATATTCATGAAAACTTTATGGGGCAGGTCATATCCTTATTGCCCTTTACAAGTGATAAACAGAGGCACAGAAAGGTTAGGTAATTTCTCCAAAGTCCTACTGCTAGCAAGAGGTGTAGAGCTAGGATTAAAGACAGTCATCTGGTTACAGACACCATCTTTTTTTTTTTTTTTTTAAAGACAGGGTCTCACTTTTTTGCCTAGGCTAGATTCGAACTCCCAGGCTCAAACAATCCTCCCACCTCAGCCTCCCAAGTAGCTTGGACTGTAGGCGTGCAGCACTGTGCCCAGCCAGACACCATGTTTTAATATAACTGACAACAAAGATGTTTATTCTGTGTCCAGACTCATCTCTTGGGCCCAGGCCTGAGACCTCAAGTGTCATGCAGAGCTCCAGCCCTGTCTGCCTCCTACCTCCCTGGCCTATAGCAGTTTTGCTATATCAGGCTCTTTCGTGAGGGCTTATGCTTCCCTTTCACTGTCTATTCACCCTGGGACACAGCAAAAGGTGAAATGCACTATCCCTATATTGGATACTAGAAATTCCAATCTACTTCCTACCTCCTGTTCCAATCTACCACCGTAGAGGCAGTGAAGAGAAAAATGGAATATCCCCCCCCACCATGCCTCTCTGTCTTCACTCTATTCCCTTAGTCTACCTTTTTGTGACCTTTTTCCTTCAAAGATTTCCCTGGAAAAATGCTGGGGTTACAGGAGAGACACCATGTGGTTTGTCTCAAATTTCCTAGGAATGGATAGGCTTCCAATTTCAAGAGATCCTTTGAGTCCTTAATCATTTCTTCCTTCATCATGACTCAGATATTCTTGCACACTGATCACTAACTTTGTCTGTGTCAGTGAAATTTGGTTCTAGTTGAGATTCAGTTCCAGGTGACTGAGTACTTGCACATAGCTGCACTCTCTAAGGTGTAGTACATTCTCATGTTCCTAAAGATTTGCTCTTCTCTTTCTAGCATGTGTTCCCAGGAAGAATACGATCCACTGTGTAAGAATGCATTCTACAATGCATTCTACCAAAGACTTGTGCTTGTTTTGTTGTCTTGGTTGCATTTCTGGGAGGCATAATCCTGATCCTCGTCCAACTGAAGAATCTAAGTACCCAAGCTTGGAAGCCCTTTCTCTAAGAATATACAGTAGTCCCCCACTTATCTGAAAGGGATACATTCCAAGACTGCCAGTGGATGCCTGAAGCCACAGATAGAACCAAGCCTCACATATACTATGTTTTTCTGATCTGATAATCAAGATGGCTAAATGATTTTGTGCAGATAAAAAGGTAGGATTCGCATCCTGGGCAGGAATGGAGTAGGACAGCCTGAGATTTCATCATGCTACTCAGAATAGCACAAAATTTAAAACTTATGAATTGTTCATTTCTAGAGTTTTCCATTTAATCTTTTTGGGTTTTTCATTTGTTTGTTTGTTGAGACAGGGTCTTGCTCTGTTGCCCAGGCTGGAGTGCAGTGGTGTGATCATGGATCACTACAGCCTTGAACTCCCAGGCTCAAGTGTTTCTCTCGCCTCAGCCTCCTGAGTAGCTGAGACTACAGGCATGCACCACCACAACTGGCTATTTTTAATTTTTATTTGTAGAGACAGGGTCTCACTATATTGCCTAGGCTGGTCTTGAACTCCTGAGCTCAAGCAATGCTCCTGCCTCTACCTCTCAAAGTGCTGGGATTATAGGTGTGAGGCACCATGCCCTGCCATTTAATATTTTTGGACTGCAGTTGACCAGAGGTAACTGTAACTGTGGAAAGTGTAACCGTCAATAAGGGGGGACTATGGTATAGACAGTCCTCAAAAGGCCCCAGTCAATGATGAAAGCTGTGCAGATGTCCTGACAACCAAGAAGCAACTCACTGTAGAATATTATAATAATATAAAGATTACATAAGGTCAACTTTGCGGGGTTCTCAAATTATACCTCACTTACTCTGAGGTGAGCAGATCCATATTAGTTCTACTGTTCTTTTTTGTTTAAGAAGCAGTCTTACTCTGTTGCCCAGGCTGGAATGCAGGGGCGTGATCTCAGTTCACTGCAACCTCCACTGTGAAACCTCTGGGTTCAAGTAATTCTTCTGTCTCAGCCTCCCAAGTAGCTGGGATTACAGGCATCCACCACCATGCCTGGCTATTTTTTTTTGTATTTTTTAGTAGAGATGGGGTTTCACCATATTGGCCAGGCTGGTCTTGAACTCCTGACCTCAAGTTATCCACCCGCCTTGGCCTCCCAAAGTGCTAGGATTACAGGCATGAGCCACTGCGCCTGGCCTCTCATTTCTTAATCATTGATTTCCAGTTCTACCTGAAAGACTCCAAACTCTGAAGTAGTTAACCCCACAGGTTTTCTCCTACGTAGTCCAGATTAGGGTCTGTGTCTGGCGTCTAAGAATCCCACAGCACCAACAGCCACCCTGACTCTCTCCTTGGATTTCATCTTTTAGTCTCTGGACTCAGCCCCAACATTTGGACATTTGCAAGCAGAAAGATATGTTCCCGAATAAGGAAGTCAATAAAAAAATCCATGTTTACATTTTTCACTCCTTTCTCATTCCCTGCACTTATAGGGCCCTTCTCTAAGATAATATCAATCTATTTAATCTGCTTCCCTAAACTGTAAAGTTCTTCAGAGAAAAAACAATCCATCAAGTGCTCTGTTTCCCCTTCACTTCCCCTGGTCAGGGTCCATCAGACAATCCGTGTGGCTGACAGAGTGAGTGAGAAACCCCAGCCCTTCCGGCCAGGTAGGCATACTTCCTCTGCCCCCAGGTTCCTTAAAAAATGGTCATTCTTATTTTGTTATTTAGTGCGGTTTTTATCCAGAGGGGTCAGTTCTTCCGAGGGGCAGACTTTCAACCAACTGATTAAGAAATCTGGCAGAACCTTTCCCATCTCAGGATTCCCGGTAGAAAGAAAACCATGCTGCATGTGGCTCTGGGAGAGGAGACCACTTCTGAGCATGGTTGGCTGCTTTATCCCCTGCCCCTCCGAGATCCTGGCAGCCGCTTTACAGAATCCCTAAATGTTATGTTTATTGGTCATTCTGGCTACCCAGACTTTAAACATCCTTTCCCTTTGGAAAGAAGCATCCAAAAGAAGGGAGGCAAGACTCCATTTCCTACTTCAGAAGCCAAAGAGGGCAGAGAGTTTCTTTCTTTGGCGCAGCAGCTAGGGAACCAGCATATTACCCTGGGTTCAGCTGATCAGTGGCCCCAGTAGGACAGGAAGACTGTGGGGAGGCAGAACGTTTTGGCGGTGGCTGTGCTGGAGTTGAGTGTCCAGCAGCGCAGCAATGAGTGTTCAGGGGTGCCAGAGCCCAGCAGCATGATGACAAGTGCCCAGCATTGACAACACCAATGGCAGCATGCCAAGTAGAATATCTTTGTGCCTTGCCACCTTGTTTTTTTTTAAACAGTCTCGCTTTGTCACCCAAGCTGGAGTGCAGTGGTGTGATCATGGCTCACTACAGCCTCGACCTGGGGCTTAAACGATCCTCCTGCCTCAGCCACCTAAGTAGCTGGGACTACAGGCACGCACCATCATGCCTGGCCAATTTTTAATTTTTTTTTTTTAATTGATGAGGACTCTCTATGCTGCCAGGCTGGTCTTCAATTCCTGAGCTCCTGCCTTGGCCTCCCACAGTGCTAGGTCATGAGGCCTCCCTAGATTTTTATCCAATTTCATCACCTGGTTCTCCAGCCTTGCACTGATTCTTTGAACCATATGATACATTTCCAATAAATCCACTTTCCAACTGAGATTTCCATTGGTGGCAACCAAGAATTCTGTCTGATAGACCATCTGTTTCTTCTTGAACACACAATCCAGGAACAACTGAGTTTGGTGGACTTGATGAGGCCATTTCCTGCACTCTTACCGATCCTCCCACTATGTGCTAATTGCTTTACTTTCTCTTAAAACTGAAGAAGCTGTGTGTGCTCCCGAAACTGCCATGCAGGACCTCAGTAGATGTGTGCCATAGAACCACAAGCAAGCTCAGATAAATGACTAGGAAGCAGGAAGATGCATCTGATGGCTTCTCTGCATGAAGACCAAATAAAAGGAACCTTGTACGTGGACTCTTTTTAAAAATTAAAATTTATTTTGTTTCTTGCATCTAATATAGAAATAATTCATATTCATTGTGGAAGATCTGTGGGAAAAAAAATAGAAAGAAAAAAAGACTCACCTGTCATCTACCAAACACCAATAGACACAATTGAAATGATGATGTGTTTCTAATGTTTTTTTTATAAAGATCTTTTCATAGCTATGTTCATCCTGAAAATTCTGAAAAGAGCAGCAACATTTCCAGTACATTATTGATATGCACACACATACAGTATATACACATTGTATTAGACTGTTCTGGCATTGCTATAAAGAAATACCTGAGATTGAGTAATTTATAAAGAAAAGAAGGTTTAATTAGCCACAATTCTGCAGGCTGTAAAGGAAGCATGATGTTGGCATCTGCTCGACTTCTGGAGAGGCTTCAGGAAACTAACAATCATGGCAGAAGGTGAAGAGGAAGCAGGCACTTCACATGGCCAGAGCAGGAGCAAGAGAGAGAGGGCGGAGGTGCTACACACCTTTAAATGACGAGATCTCATAAAGAAGTCACTCACTATTGCAAGGACAGTACCAAGGGGATGGTACTAAATCATTCATGAGAAATCTGCCCCCATGATTTAAACACTTCCCACCAGGTCCACCTCCCATATGGGGAATTACAACTGAACATGAGATTTGGGTGAGGACACAGATCCAAACCATATCAGATATAAAGTATGTATATATGAAAAGGTAATGGGAATGTTTATCATATGTTATATATATTCCTCCACTTTATATATAATATAAATATTGAGATATAAACATTATGAATATAAATTATATATGTAAATATAAATTATAATTATAGGCTGGGCATGGTTGCTCACGCCTGTAATCCCAGCATTTTGGGAGGCCGAGGCAGGCAGATCACTTGAGGTCAGGAGTTTGAGACCAGCCTGGGCAGCATGGTGAAACCCCATCTCTACCAAAAACACAAAAAATTAGCTGGGTGTGGTGGCAAGAAACTGTAGTCCCAGCTACTCAGGAGGCTGAGGCAGAAGGATTGCCTGAACCCCAGAGGTGGAGGTTACAGTGAACAGAGGTCCTGCCAGTGCACTCCAGCCCGGGTGATGGAGCGAGACTCCATCTCAAAAAAAAAAAAAAATAAATAAATAAACAAATAAAATTATCATTATACATATTATATTTATATTATATAATACAATACATAATATAATTATATGTAATGTAATATAGAATATATTATATATTAGAATTATGTTAATGTTATAATATAAATATAAATTATAAACATTTATATATCATATATAATATTTATATTATTATCACTATAAATATATTTATATTTATGTTATATAATATTATATACTATAATATAATGATTCATATAATATATAACATATATTATAAATATTCATATTATATACTATAACATAAATACATATATTTATCCCCAGTACTAAATATAAGACAGTGAACTCTATTTTTCAGTAGGAAGCATTTCTCAAAGTGTCACATAGAACACTTATTCCTCCATTTGTTAATATCTGCTATACACATAATATAAAAAGATATTTTCTTGATCAGATAAGTTTGGGAAATGCTGAGCTAAAGTCAAACATATTTCTTTATTGCATGAATTTTCAGAGCTTTTAACACAGCAGAGTGCAAACATGCATTTCCCAACCCCTGTGTGACCACAGGACTCCCTTTTAAAGCACATTTCTCAGGATTAGTGTTCTAAGGAGCACGGACCCAGAAAGCTTAGAACTTCCTATCATGTTCCTTCTTCTTCCACCTACTTCATTATTGAAGAAACAGCTCAGAGTTGGTGGGAGGAAAAGAAGAATGTATTTCAGACACACAAAAGCAAAATTTGGAAAAGAAATAACAGAATGGGACCTTGGAAGTGATTTTCCTTTGTGGATGTGTTTATCTGTAAGGACATGTTTGAGGGTATGAGGTTCACAGACAAATGCCACGATTCGCACCCGAGAGAACTGAGGATAGAGCCATGCTGAATTCTAAGGGGGCAATCTTGTCTTGAGAAATATTGCTTCATAAGTGGGTCTACCCCTGCTTAAGTAAAATATCCAATTAATTTACTAGAACGCTGCATTGTCTGACTACAAGCAATTAATTTAATGTTACTCAATATCATTTCATTATTTGCCTCCCAAAAAAGACAGTTCTATATAACACATTTTCTAAATGATGCAAATAAGGATAAATGAGAAAATAAGGTAACACAAGAGGCATCGTTGAAGATGATGAGCATGTTCTTACTGGAACAAAGCTTGGGTTGACACAGGAAATCTCCATAAGAAATCCTGTTTTTGCCCCATGACTTTCCCAACTGACCTAAAGTCTGGTCAATCTCCAAGTGCAGTCTGCGCAGAATCTGAATTCATCCACAGATTAAGAATGAAAACATGCCTCTTCCATTAAACCAACAAGTGTGAATGCCAAACTGCAATTTGACATATACAGAAATTGAGGGAAACTGGAAGTAAAAAAAGAAACCTGAAATGGGTGATGTCTCCTAATAAACACCTTATTCACTGCCAGCTCTGCAAACTTGCTTTGTGCCAAAACCCATCCACGAGACTCCACAATACTCCTGACCCTGGTAGCTGTCATTTTTGGGATACGCTAAGCGTCTAGGAAAGTCTGGGAAATACCAGAGTTCAGAAGCACCTTCTTTCTGTGAAGGAGCCTAAAGGATATTCCAAGGCAACTTTCTAATTTTTTGGTTGAAATTTTCTTCATGCTTCTGTTTGGTGAGCTGCTCAGCTGACTCCCATGCCTGAGCTTCACAGTGCCAGCTCCCGCTGACCCTTGAGAGGGAAATGGAACCTGAGATTGTCAAAGCTGGAGGGGACCTGAATGATCATCCCCTCTAGCCCAACCTCCTCTGTTTACAGATCTGAAGGCAGGGAGCCTGAAACCCACCCAGCATCCTGGGAGTAAATGTGCTTTCCTCCCTTCTTCTATTTCTGTGCGATTTTCCCATGGCATCCAGCCAGAGCATCTACACCAGTAATGTCTAGAGGATTTATGAGGCCAAGCGATCCTTTGGGTTTCTACGCAGACCTAAACAGGAAACCCACACAAGGAAATGCCCTTTCTGTTTGCAGGCCAAATTCCCAGGATGCCTTCGCCAGAGTGCCCTGGCTGGAACAAAACAAAGGCCTGGCACAATAAATGCCCTTAGCTCCAAAGGCAGAGGTGCCCTCCCCACCTCTCCCCACCTCTCCCCATCCCCTCCCTAGTCCAGGAGGCCCTCTATTAGTTTAATGAGAATGAAACTTCCTTCTCTCAGAACTCAGCTTCACTTAATCCAACTGGTTGAGATGCTGGAGGGGGTCCCCCTGGATCTCCAGGTGGATTTCAGGGTATTACTTCTCCTTACCTGTGCAAAGTCAACCTGGGCAAGTCCTCCAGGTTAATTAACCAGACACCCTACTCACACCCCTCTTATTCTTTCTCCATGTTTAGCCCCTAGAAGATGCCTTAGAGATGAAAAAAAAAACACACGCATTTCCTAATGAAGAGGCAGCCAGATGCAGCCTCTGAGCCCTGACTGCACAGTGTGACAGTCACTCAACCCAACACAGCTCTCTTGCCTTTGCTGCAACCTCAACACCCTGCGTCCTGCCAAATCTCTTCCCATTTCATCAGTCCATCTATGCTGGTGTCCAGCCATTCCAGCCCACCATGGCATTTAAAAATCTTTCCAGCTCTCTGTGGAAGATCTGAGACTTGAGAAAGAGACTGTTGCTCAGGGCTGGACAGGAAGGAAGTATGCATTCCTGGCTCCCAGAACAGAACAGCAATGTGGGTGACCCTTCGTCCCCTCCCCAAGGCGTCCCCTTGGGCCGACACAAAAATAGATTCTATCCTCCTTGGTTCGTCTCCACCTCCCTCGGGAAAGAAGACACAGGCTTCGAGTGAGTCAACAGTATTATCGGGGCTTGACTGTCTTTCAGGAATGACCAGATGTTGGGAAGAGGATAATGTGCCATTTCCTTTAACAAATAGTCCGGGCATCTGTGCATTTCCTTTTGAGCCAGCTCTTCAGGAGACTGTGCTGCTGTGACAGGGAAGGACGAATCACCCTGGTTTCTACTCTCACGGATACTAGGGGGCTCCTTGAACCCTTTGGATTCCAGCCCTCCATTAAGAAAATATTTCTGTCCTTTGTATGCATGAGTGACACCACGAGAAGACAGCATAGGGAGTGGTTACAAGCAAAGAATTTAGAGACAAAATAAATGCTCTAAGGGAAAAAGACAAGTAGCCAAGGAACGCTGGGAGAGGGCTTGGAGGAAGCAAATTGTTCATCCATTCCCCCAAATCAGTGGTTCTCAGTAGAAAACCAACATGAGTAACATTTGCCTGGGAACTTGTCTACCACCCCAGCCCTACTGAAACTCCAGGGGTGAAGCCCAGCAATCTCCTTTGACAAGCCTTCCAGGAGATTCTGATGTGAGCTCAAGATTGAGAACTACTGATCCAGATAGATCTTAGCTGGTCCTAGGGCTTCCCAGAAAGCATTTTTAAAAAAGCAGAGATTCTCCTCCACAGGAGGCCTACATGCTGCCACCTCTGTGGCCACCATGTCTCTAGTGATCCCTGAAGAGTTCCAGCATATTCTGCGAGTACTCAACACCAGCATCGGTGGGCGGTGGAAAAAAAGCCTTTGCCATCACTGCCATTTAGGCTGTGGGTCGAAGATATGCTCATGCGGTGTTGAGGAAAGCAGACTTTGACCACACCAAGAGGGCAGGAGAACTCACTGAGGATGAGGTGGAACGTGTGATCACCATTATACAGGATCCATGCCAGTACAAGATCCCGGACTGGTTCTTGAACAGACAGAAGGATGTAAAGTCTGGAAAATACAGCCAGATCCCAGCCAATGGACAACAAGTTCTGTGACCACCTGGAGTGATTGAAGAAGTTTCAGGCCCATAGAGGGCTGCGCCACCTCTGGGGCCTTCGTGTCTTGAGGCCAGCACAGCAAGACCACTGGCTGCCATGGCTGTACTACGGGTGTGTCCAAGAAGGAATAAGTCTGTAGGCCTTGTCTGTTAATAAATAGTTTATATACCAAAAAAAAAAAAAAATGCAGAGATAGTGTGGGATGATTACCTGAGAAAATGCTTTAGCTCCCTTGCAGGGGTGGAAGGAAGGGACAGGACTTGTAAATGAGGCTATTCTGGCAAGAGAAAGATCCTACAAATAGAAATGAACTGACAGCAAATAAAACAATCCAAGATGCATCTTATCTCTCTGCTCATACTGCATTAATTTGCAGCACTTCTAGAATATGGCTCAATGACGTAAGAGTATATTCACAGCATATTTTTCAGTTTAAATAAAATGCTCAATGTGGGCCCAATTATGTAAAACGTACGTGCATATCAATCCATATTTAGAAAAAATATTAGAAGATTATATATCAAAATGTGATCATCTCTGGGTGGTGGAATACGAATAACCTTTACTTCATCCTTTATGATGTTTTGTTTTTTCCCCAATGTTTCCATAATAAATAGGTATTTTTTAATAACAAAACAACTGTAATAAAGTGACAAGCTCGTTGGGTCAAAATAGTCATTTAAAAAAATCTGTATAGCCCTCTCCAGAGGCTACCTCTCCAAGAATTTATGTCACACTGATAATTAGCACCACCTGTTACACTTGTGCTAAAATGGGCACGAAGAACGTTGGATTCAGAACTTATAAAGAGATTGTTAAACTCATCAGCTCTAGTTGAAACCAGCACAGCAGGGAGAGCTGCAGAAAAATGTCAGTCAGAGCCCACCCTGGGGCTCCGGGGCCTCGCTGGGGCTGGCCCAGGGCCCTCGTGTGCTTCCAGCACGTGAATCTGGGTTGCTGGGTGTCCTCAGCAGCCTGCAGGGATCCACTGTCCTTCTGCACAGCTTTGTTCGGGAGCCCCAGCACCCTCTCAGTTTTTACACCCTGATTTCCTACCAGGGAGAGGCCCTGGGCAAAAACAAAACAAAATGAAAACACTGAAAGGGCTCTCAAAGCCTAGAAAGGAAGAAAGGACAATGGAACGTGATGTAAGGGTCGCTAAACAGCCAGTGACTCAGCGCTTCTGCACCATCAACACCAGCTGCAGCCTGCAGCGGTGGCCGTGGCAGCTCACAGAACACACACACACACACACACACACACACACACACACACACACACAGTACAAACATTACACTGCCTGGAGAATGGCAAAAATTCTGACTCTTAGACTGTGCTACAGCCAAGAAGACACAGAATCAAAGACTTATGGAGCTTCAGGGAGCCTGGAAGAATATATAAGTATGTTAGATCTTAATCCAGTTTTCCATTAATATCTTTTATCAAGATCCCTAAGGAGGGCTGGGCATGGTGGCTCATGCCTGTAATCCCAGCACTTTGGGAGCCCAAGGTGGGAGGATCATTTGATGCCAGGAGTTTGAGATCAGCCTGGACAACATAGTGAGACCCCATCTCTACAAAAAACTAAAAATTAAAAATTAAAAAAAAAATCCCCGAGGAGCTGGACTTGTCACTGGGGTCAGATTCTCCAAACTGGACCCACTCTCTGCCTGCAAGCATGGATATAACTCATTCTAATTTCTTGTGAAACATCACATGATGAAATTTGGTTAGTGTGGTAGATTCTAGTGTGGGCTTCTGGAGGAGACTTTAGGGGAAAATTCTCACCCTTCATGAGTCATGTGAGGGGCTGGCAGAAATTCTGCACAAATCACAAATGGGAGTGGGGGTCGGGCATGGTGGCTCACACCTATAATCCCAGCACTTTGGGAGGCTGAGATGAGCAGATCACTTGAGTCCAGGAGTTCAAGACCAGCCTGGACAACATGGCAAAACCCTGTCTGTACAAAAAATACAAAAACTAGCTGAGTGTGGTGGTGCAGGCCTATAGTTCCAGCTACTCAAGAGGCTGAGGCAGGAGGATCACCTAAACCTGGGGTGGTCAAGGCTGCAGTGAGCAGTAACTGTACCACTGCATTCCAGCCTGGGCAACAGAGTGAGACCCTGTCTCAAAACGAAACCAAACAACAACAATGACAACAAAAACCAAGTAGGAGGAGGAATCTGTCCCACAAAGTTTCGACATGGGCAATAACTCTGTCTGCAAATGTATCACCTTATTAAAAGATATATTTTTAAATTCAGCCTTTACCTCAATCCAAGTCTGTTGAAGCAACTCCTCCCACAGAATGAGCTGGGCTCACCCACTCTTCCCAGATTGCTCTGCTCCCACTGGGCCCACAGCAAGGAACCCTGCAGATTAGGTTGGTCTTAGGAGGCCTGACGCTCACCATTAACCACCAAATCCATTTGTTGGACCAGCACTGCTCATGGGATGTGATCAAAAAGCAACTTTATTTTTGTTACCCACTGCTCCTTCAAAATTTATTCCATGAGGAAAGCTCTTTCCTGCCATTAGATAAAAATTATGAGGACTCCAGAATTTTTCTGCTCACTCTAAGGTATAAGATCATTCTATGGGCATTTTAAATCACAAAATACAGTCTCATTCGAGCAATTGTCTGAGTCTGGCATGGTGGAGCACACCTATGATCTCAGCGATTTGGGAGGCTGAGGAGAGAGGATCACTAGAGACCAGGAGTTCAAGACTAGCCTGGGTAACAAAGTGAGACCCCTTTTCTAAAAAAAAAGTTTAAAAACAGCAGGGCATGGTGGTGCATGCCTGTAGTCCCAGCTGAGGTGGGAGGATTGCTTGAGCCCAGGAGTTCAAGGTTGCAGTGAGCTATGATCATGCCAGTGCACTCCAGCCTGGGTAACAGAGCGAGAAAAAGGAAAGGGAAGTGAAGGGGAGGGGAGAGGATGGGAGGGGAGTGGGGAAAGAGAGAGAGGAGAGAGGGAGAAAGAGAGAGAGGAGAGAGAGAGAGAGAGACAGAGAGAGAGAGAGAGAGAGAGAGAGACAGAGAGAGAGAGAAAAAGAAAGGCTTTAGCTGCCATCTTGCATCACCACGTGTGTGCGCCTAGTCTCAGCTGGTCCACCCAAGAGCCCCTGAGCACCAAGCCTAGTCCCCCGCGTGGCCCCTTATCCACTCTGAGAAGATGAAAGAAACAATCATGAACCAGGAAAAACTCCAAAGAACAATGATCCACTTTAACAACCCTGAAGTTCAGGCATTTCTGGCAGTGAACACTTTCACCATTACAGGCCATGGTGAGACAAAGCAGCTGACAGAAATGCTACGCAGCGTCTTAAACCAGCTTGCTGCAGTCAGTCTGACTAGTTTAAGGAGACTGGCTGAAGCTCTGCCCAAACAATCTGTGGATGGAAAAGCACCACTTGCTACTGGAGAGGATGATGACGATGATGAAGTTCCAGGTATCATGGAGAATTTTGATGAGGCTTCCAAGAATGAGGCAAACTGAATTGAGTCAACTTCTGAAGATAAAACTTGAAGAAGTTACTGGGAGCTGCCATTTTATATTATGACTGCTTTTCAAGAATTTTTTGTTTATGAATCTGATAAAATCTAGATCTCTAATATTTTTAAGCCCAAGCCCCTTGGACACTGCAGCTCTTTTCAGTTTGTGCTTACACACAGTTCATTCTTTACAGTTAATTAGGCCGAAGAAGCCTGGGAATAAAGTTTGAAACAAAGGTTAATAAAGTTCTTTGCCTAGAGGAAAAAAAAAAGAAAGGAAGGAAGGCTAGATTAGGGGCTAGGTGTGGTAGCTTATGCCTGCAATCTCAGCACTTTGGGAGGCTGAGGTGGGAGGATCACTTGAGCCCAGGAGCTTGAGACCAGCCTGGGCAACATGGCAAAACCCCATCTCTACTAAAAATACAAAATATTAACTGGGCATGGTGGTGAGCACCTGTAGTCCCAGCTACTTGGGAGGCTGAGGTGGGAGAATCACTTAAGCCCAGGAGGTCGAGGCTGCAAATGACCCATGATTGCACCACTGCATGCCAATGGAGGTGACAGAGCAAGAACCTGTCAAAAAAAAAAAAAAAGGAAAAGAAAAGAAATTCAATGTCTGGGCCAAGAATCCAGAATATTAACACTTTAATATTCATTTAAAGAAGAGGCTTTCCAGCACTTCACATGCCCATCCTGTAGGAAAGAGCAGAGCTCAGGAGACACAGTTCTTACCAGGCTCTCCCTGTTACAATTGTCCCGTCCATCTCAGCTCCCCAGGCTTGGATTGAATTTAGAATGTCTCCCAGCCTGCTCTCTCTGCCATGAGGCTTCCATCTGTTGGTCCCAGCTCTCTGTGGAAGTGTAATTCTTTCCTAAATGCAGCTCTGTTTTCTCCATCACCTACCTCCTCTGCCAAGGCTGCTTTCACAGGAGTTCCCCAAATACAGATCCCAGAGTATTTACACATCGAAATAAGCAAATGCTACAAGTTAGAGTTTTCTCCTCTCCCTTCCCCAGCCAACTCTGGTTACTAACATTTACCAGCATAGCACTGCATGCAGTTATAAATGTAGTAAATCATACTGCTATATATTTCTATATCCAGATCCTTCATATGGCATGGCTGGAAGATAAGGTTCCCAGTCAGAGCCACGATAGAAAGAGGGTGGATGGGTGGAGGCTTCGTTTCACCTAGGAATTTCCCCACGGGTAGTCAGCAAAAGTATGCTGAAGGAAAAGACAACAGACTTCCTAGGGCCTGGAGGAAGCACCTGTTTTCTAGGAAAAGTAATTTTCTTTTTTAAAATATATTTTTAGTAGAGATGGGGTTTCACCATTTTGGCCAGGCTGGTCTCAAACTTCTGACCTCAGGTGATCCGCCTGCTTCAGCCTCCTGAACTGCTGGGATTATAGGTATGAGCCACTGCACCTGGCCTCAGGAAAAGTAATTTTCTTTCTTTATTTTTTTTTTGAGACGGAGTTTGCTCTTGTTGCCCAGGCTGGAGTGCAGTGGCACAGTCTTGGCTCACTGCAACCTCTGCATCCCAGGTTCAAACAATTCTCCTGCCTCAGCCTCCCAAGTAGCTGGGATTACAGGTGCCCGCCACCACGCCCAGCTAATTTTTCTATTTTTAGTAGAGACGGGGTTTCACTATATTGGCCAGGCTGGTCGCGAACTCCTGACCTCAGGAGATCCACCCACCTTGGCCTCCCAAAGTGCTGGGATTATAGGCGTGAGCCACCGTGACCGGCCAGTAAAAGTAATTTTCTAACAGGTGAAGGAGATGAGTGGGTCTGTGTTCCTCAGAATGGGGACACTGGCTGGGTGGCTAGAGAGTGGCCCACTGAGGCAGGGCTGCCCCCAATAGGCAGTCTAGGTCCTTGCTCATCTGGCTGGCAACTCTCCCTGCAGTAGTGGGGATGTACCCAGACTAGGAGGATTGGTGAGAGCCCCAGACTCGGGATGTGGAGGGCTGGTTTCTGACTGTGACAGTTATGATGGTCCCCGGAGAGGGTAGGGGAAGAGGGAGAAGGCTGTGAGTTAACAGTGAAACACCCTGTAGCAATGGCCCAATGAATGAGGGATTGGCAGTGCCAAGTTCCTAAAGGAGCATTAACTGTGCTGGGGGCACGGATGCAGGCTCCCACAGAGGTGGAATGAACTGCCCTGGCAAGTCTAGGACCCGTGGAGCCCCACTGAGACTCCATCACCTTAACTCCAAAAACAGGAAAATGTTTGTAAATCAAATCCGCTCTGTTTTCTTTATTTCTCCAGATTTGTTTTCTTCTTGGACTCATTATCTTTATGGAAACTAGGTCGAATTGGATTCTTTTCTATTTCTATCAGCCATGTATAGCCCCATTAGCTTTCTAATACTGTTAGAGAGTCTTTCAATTATGTTAAAAATGGAGCCAAATTTGCCATTCTTAAAAACGTTTAAGCTTCCATGCAAGTTCCCTTGACCTGGTTTTCTTTTGTCCCCTTGGGACACGGAATTCCTGTTAATGATACCTTATGACACTGCAGAAGACAGGAAGACATTGATGTCAAAGGGCAGCTGACCCTTGAAACCAACAGACTGGAGAAGAGCCATTTTTCCCTTTCCCAGGTCACAAATGATGTGGGAGAGAAGTTGCCAAACACTGCCCTTGTGTGTTTTTTAAACATCAATTTAGGAAAGTATAGACACAAGGAAGAGAAAATTCAATACTAATTCAAAGAAATGTATTTAATTTGAATGTTGGATAAACAATAGCTCTGTCATGAGGTAATAATAAATTATATATTTCGACATCCAAATTTCGAAAACTTAGCCAGGTGTGAGGATGTGTGCCCATTGTCCCAGCTACTCCAAGGCTGAGGTGGGAGGATCGCTTGAGCCCAGGAGTTTGAGGCTGCAGTAAGCTGTGATCACACCACTGCACTCCAGCCTGAGTGACAGAGCAAGACTCTGTTGAAAGAAGGAAACAGAGAGCGAGAGAAGGAGGAGAAAGAAAAGAAAGAAAAGAAAGGAAGAAAGAAAGAGAAGAAAGAAAAGAAAGAAAAGAAAGAAAAGAAAGGAAGAAAGAAAGAGAAGAAAGAAAAGAAAGAAAAGAAAGGAAAGAAAGAAAGAAAGAGAGAGAGAAAGAAAGAAAGAAAGAAAGAAAGAAAGAAAGAAAGAAAAAGAGAAAGAAAGAAAGAGAAAGAGGAGGGGAGGGGAGGGGGGAGGGGAGAAAAAGAGAGGCCAAAAGCTGTGCTAAGGAGTCTCAGAACAACACCCCCAACCCATCCAAGCATTCTTAGGCTTAAATGATAATTATCCCAGATCTGGAGGTAACAGGGCAACCTGAAACCAATGCTCCTGTTTATAACATTCACCCCCAATCTGACTTGCCACAGTCTTAGGACTAAGGTCCTAGACCCAAATCTACGGTGTTGGGGTTGACGAAGACCATCTGATGGTTCTATTAAACCAACTTAGACCTTTCTGATCTTATTTAAAATGGGGGACGAGACCGTGCCTCTACCCCTAAATCGTTATGTCTATTACTGTGCTACCATCTAATGGCGAAGTGTATTAAAACACAAATGAAACCTACTCCAAGGAACACTGACTACCGTTAAATTTTTTTTCCTATGGCCAATAGTTATATCTCTCTATCTCTCCAGATAAGGCACCAAATTTTCTCCATCATTCATAAAAAATGCCCCCAGATTAAGATTTCTGGCAGGGAAAAAGTAATAAAGTCTAATTTACGCAGAAAAAAATTATGTAACATTAGGGAGGACAGAGGGATTTTTCTAAAACACTCTCAAAGTGTACAACATAAGACAAAACATTATTTTAAGATAGATATTGTTTAACTTTCTCATATATGAGAAGTTACTAATGGCAGAAATATTAACGCAGTATAGTTTGTGCAGAATGCATTACCGTCTTACAGAGAGGATAAAAATGAAGCCATCACCCTCTACAGAGACTATTCACCACCCTAAAAATAAAGTCTCATAGCAAAAATAAAGTTTGACTGTTACGTGATAAAAAAGATAGCGGATTACCAACATTTTTCCCTCTGCTCCTGCTGGCTAAGATTTCAGATTCCTATTACAACTTATTTGGGAATTTTCCTCCCAGGGCTAAATGTTAGAAGTGGGGATCATTTAGGGAAATGTAGTAGGCAATGAAAACAAAGAATTCTCCTCCCCACCCCTAAGCTCTTCCTTTTCTCTAAAAGGGCACAGGACATATATATTGGGGATTTTCTACTTCCTGAGCAGTTGCATTAATGTCACCAATAACTCAAACTTTAAATCACATCAGGAGACAGCCAGGTCCCCAAGAACTCCTGGGACACAGCCAGCTGGTCCACAGTGCATCGAGGCTTGCTGCAGAGCCCCCACAGAGTGGTCCCGTATGGGCTGGGAGGGTGACATGGACAGGTGACAACCAGACACTCAATCAGTTGGTAGGGCACAGCTGCCATGGGAACAGAGAGTGAGATGGGTAGGCAGAATTAGGACACCCCAAAACATGGCTTCGAACACCAGTTGTGCTGTGAAATTTTGAGACACGTATTAGTACACTTAAAAAAAATCTAGAGATGCAAATTTCAAGTTGATTTCCAACCAGGGCGTGGACAGGGTCACTATAAGAGCAGAGAATATAGCTTCTGGGTTGGGATACACACTGATGTGCCCCTTCCCAAACAGTGCCTCTCTTTCCCACAACTACTGGAGCACGGAGTAATGGAAATCGTGTACTGCTAAGTTATAAGCATATGTAAAAACACAAAACTGGGCCAGGCACAGTGGCTGGTGCCTGTACTTTCAGCACTTTGGGAGGCTGAGGTGGGAGGATTGCTTGAGCCCAAGGGTTTGAGACCAGTCGCTACTGAGGCAGCTGAGGCAGGAGGATCCCTTGAGCCCAGGAATTCTAGGCTGCAGTGAGTTATGATCAAGCCACTGCACTCCAGCCTGGGTGACAGACAGCAAACTTCTCTTCGAAAAACAAACTAACAAAAAAAAAAACAACTCACAGAACTGTACAAAACACCACATCTGTTCCCCTCTTGACCTTTATTTTCACCCCAGCCCACAGGTAAGATACAACCACCAGTCCTGTCTCCTAAATCAGTGGTTCTTAAACTGTTGTTCCCAATCAGCAGCATCAGCGTCCCCTGGGAGCTTGTTAGACATGCAAAGCCTGAGCCAGGTGCGGTGGCTCACACCTGTAATCCCAGCACTTTGGGAGGCCAAGGTGCATGCATCACCTAAGGTCAGGAGTTCGAGACCAGCCTGACCAACATGGTGAAACCCTGTCTCTACTAAAAATACAAAAATTAGCTGGGCGTGCTGGCACAGCTTGTAATCCCAGCTACTTGGGAGCTGAGGGAGGAGAATTGCTTGAACCTGGAAGGCAGGGGTTGCAGTGAGCCGAAATCGTGCCACTACACTCCAGCCTGGGCAACAAGAGTGAAACTCCATCTCAAAAAAAAAAAAAAAAGAAAAGAAAAAAGAAATGCAAAGCCTCAGGCCTCATCCCATTATTACTGAATCAGAAACTCTGGGGGTGGGTTCCACAAATTTGCATTTTAACAAGTTCTCTGGGTGATTCTGATACACACACGAGCTTGACAACTGTTCCAAATGCAGATGCTGAAAGCGCATACAAGGATGCAGTTTGTTGGCTAAAAGATGTCAAACAAGGGTGTAACCAAGTCTAGCTAAAACGTGAAGCTCTGGAATCAACACCTTCCTCCTGTAACTTCAACTCCCTCAAATGTCATATGATGTGGCGTTTTGGTCCAGACCACCCCAGCAGCTTTAGTGGGGTCAGCCCACCTCAAGAGCCTGGTTATTTTCTCCGGGAACTGAAGCAAAGTTGTTGGAACAAAGCTAGTAATCCGAGGTAGAGTTAAATAGAGAAGTCCTTGGGGACCCTATATCTCCCTATTTTGTTTTCTAATCTTTAGGATCAGTAGTTCATTTCCTAATCCAGCAAGAATGGTTGGCAAGTCTGGGCTGTTAGGTGGGAGAAACACCGCCCTGGAACACTGAGATCTCGTTGTACACAAAGGAAACAGCGTGGTCCTGCTAACAGCTTGGGAACTGAGATAGCAACAGAACCACCAACAGAACCCCGTGAAAAGAGGACAAAAAGCCATTTATCGTATGGTTGTTCTTTTCTGATAAATATGAAAGTTACAGAAAAGTCTAAATAATACTGTAACTGAAACCTATATTCCCACCACCTTGATTAATAACTGTTAACACTGTGTCAAATTAAACAGCAGTTTTGCAAAGCTGTGAAAAACTGCATCTGGCAGTGAGCTGGGAAACAAAGAGGAAAACAGCTAGAATAGGGAGAAATGAGCTAAGTATTTCTGAAATAATTTTTTAACAAAGAATGTCCCCATTCTTTTATCAGAAAACATTTCAAATATGAAGTTTCCACAGAGCCACTAATAATAGTTTGTAAATTTGCGTAGCTGGAGGCTGGAGAGTTGAAATTTACAAGTAATGAAGAGCAGAAAAATAGCTGTAGAGGAAGCCAGCTCGTTTCCTTGGGGAAAACAGAATATGCTTTAGGACAACCCCCTACCCTCTGAAGAGAGCAGGAAAGAAATCAGGCTGGTTCAACAGAAATCCGGCTGCAGATCAAGAAAGTGTGAGGCTTTCCCATCGCTGTTTATGGAGTTGAGGCCAAACGCTGGAAGACCCACAAGAAAGAACTGTTACCCAGGGCATTCCCTCGCTGGCTGACCTTGGACTATCTGCTTGGTGTTACCCATCAAAGCAGAGGGGCAGTAAGAACATGCACTGAAGTAAGAATCATGAGCTATTAGTGCTTCTACCCAGGGTGGGGAAAACATGGAAGTGTGGAGGCTGGAGGGCTGCTTTCCAGAGGACAAGGTCACAGGGAGCTGAGCTGGCCAAGGAGCAGGCAGGAAGGGCTGTCATCTTTGCTCTGATTCAACCAGTTTTACAGTCACCATGGCAGCCCCTGTGGCAACATCCAGAACTTCTGAAATGATAACTCCTGCAGCTCTGAGGGTGTGTCTTCTGTTCTTTGACAAGTGCATTCCATTGCTGAAGGGGAACAAAATTTAAAATATTTATCCTGGCTGGGCGCGGTGGCTCACGCCTGTAATCCCAGCACTTTGGGAGGCCGAGGCAGGCGGATCACGAGGTCAGGAGATCGAGACCATCCTGGCTAACACAGTGAAACCCCATCTCTACTAAAAATACAAAAAATTAGCCGGGCGTGGTGGTGGGCGCCTGTTGTCCCAGCTACTCGGGAGGCTGAGGCAGGAGAATGGCGTGAACCCGGGAGGCGGAGCTTGCAGTGAGCCAAGATTGTGCCACTGCACTCCGGCCTGGGCAAAAGAGCGAGACTCCGCCTCAAAAAAGAAAAGGAAAAAAAAAATATATAGATATATATATATTTATCCTTCCCTCTTAACCCTGCTGGAAAACCTCTTCCTTGCTTAGACAAACCCATTTCCCCTGCAGGCAGGACAAACATGGAAAGGGACAGAGAAGTTTTTTTTGTTTGCTGTTTTTTGCTGTATAAGAGGGCTAGAGGAGGGGAAGTCTAGACTAGACATCCCCTGGGTATCTCTTGTTTGTGTACATATTGGTAAATTTAATATATTCATTGGAGAATTTAATAAAGTGAAGCATAGAGTTCAGCTGGGCAGCCTCAGCTAAACTTCCCACATTCCCACACTCCAGGTGCAAAGCTGTGTTGTCTATCAACCAGCACCTGCCCTTTCAAAGAAATGTTATGTGTCATCACAGTCACAGGCTTTATGAGGACCAAGGGCACCAAGCCCCCAACTGATGTGCTTCCTCCCAGATCCTTTGGAACCCAATTGATGCAATGAGAGTCTGTTTGCCATAGCCAGAGGAAACTGTGGAGGATGGCTGCAGAAACATTCAGGCCCATTAAAAACCAATAACAAGAAATGGATTTTTCACCTGGTTTCCTATGTAAAAAAAAAAACAAAAAAAAATTGCAGGAAAAAGAGAATGTAAAATACTTGTATGTGTGGCTGTGTATGCATTGCTCTTACCTCTATTAGAAATTCATTCTTTCAGCATAAACATTTTTGACACTTACTATGTACAAAACTCTGTGCTAGATTCTGTTAACAAACATGAGTAAGGTGTAGTTCCTGGCTTCCAAGAGCTCATGATGTGGAGGAGAAAATCACACATAAAAACTAAAAAATCGTATTATAAGTTCTATAATTAAGGCTCATTCATCTGGTCAACAAAGATTTATTGTACACAATGTGCCAGCCTCAAGTATGAACAAATAATTTTGAGAGCACAGAGGCCAAATATAACTACCATTCTCCTTTCAACCATGAAAGGTGTGATAAAAGAACTCCCATGAAAATGCTCTTTAAGGAGGGGGTCCCTATCTTTTTGTACACCGGTCGTACCTGGTGTGTGCCTGGCAAACGTTCAATAAATACTGCTCGTTAAATAATGGATTTTTTGTCCTGTTATTCATTAAGCATTTTCAACCCCATCTTTCTTTGCCATCTACTCCCTAATTTCATAAGCACTTACGGAACATCTACACATATGCTGGGAGCAAGGGCTATAGAAACAAGAAGCTGTTCAGTGAGGGAAACAGGAGCGAAACTAAACTGAGCCTCAAAGAATGTGTAAGAATAAAACAAATTATGGCCAGGTGCAGTGGCTCATGCCTGTAATCTCAGTACTCTGGGAGGCCAAGGCGGGAGGATTGCTTAAGCCCAAGAGTTCAAGGCCAGCCCGGACAACATAGGAAGACCCCGTCTCTACAAAAAAATTTTAAAAATAAAATAAAACAAGTTGTGTGTTTCTGAGGGATGACATTTCATGGAGGGAGGACGGTTTAAGAAAGACATAGAAGAGAGGTGCAGTGTGGGCATGTGGGGATCTCCAAACAGTTCAATGTCTTGAGCTTTGCATTTTCAAAAACTTGATCTTGTCAGATCTAACCTTGAGCTAACCAAACTTTTGAGGGAAAGTGTATCAACTAGAATGCCAATTCCTCAAGTCATTACTCTGTCAGTGGGCTAGGTGTTCATATGGGCATTGGAATCTGTGTATGTCCAAAAGGATGCTTGAGTGAGCATGACCTTGGGGCAAGTTGCAAAGCTAGTGATCTTGTCATCAACGTAGGATAGCCGGCTGCATCTGTCTTTATCACCATCTTCCCTCTCCCTCTCCCTCAGTCATAAACAAGCTTCCAGGATGCTGCACTCTTTTCCTACTTCCTCAGCTCACACACTCCTCACCCCATTGCAATCTGGATTCTACCCCACCTCTCCCCTGAAGCTGCCCCCACCTAGGTCATAAACGCTCTCTCTGTCGCTAAATACAGGATTCCCCTTAGTCCTTCTTTCTTGATGTGTCTGTAGCTTCTGACCCTAAGATGAGCTCTCTTTCATCCATTTTGACGCTACCACTCCTTCCTGTTTTCCCTCTGATGTCACAGGCCCTCTTGCATCTTCCTTTTACTCTGCCAACCCTACAACTAGTAGTTTCCTCCACTGTTCTCTCTCTCGGTGAGATCATGACTTTAGTTGTCACCTATATAGTCTAAAGATTCCCAAATTACGACCGGTGGCTCTAATGGCTTTTTCAAGAAATTGAGGTAAAATACACACATTATGAAGTTTACCACCTGCTCTGGTTTGAATATTTGTCCCCTCCAAAATTCATGTCAGAATTTATTCCCCAGTATGGCAGTATTGAGAAGCGGGGCCTTTAAGAGGTGATTAGTCTCAGTTATCACTCCAGCTAGGTGGCAATGCCTTGTGATGCCAGGGCAAGGCTATTCAGGAGGCTATACGTGCTCTGAATCAGCATCCAATATATGGTGCTGTTTCTCCGAGGGCCAAAATTCAAGGGTCCAGGAATCAAGGGGTGGAAATAGAAATAGCACCACTTGCCATTACCCCTAGTGACCCACTAGCAAAATTTTTGTTTCCTGTTCCTGCAATTTTATGCTCTGCTGGCCTAGAGGTCTTAGTTCTGGAGGGAGGAATGCTTCCATTAAGAAACACAACAATGATTCAATTGAACTGGAAGCTAAGACTACCACCCAGCCTCTTTGGGCTCTTTATGCCTCTGAGTCAATAGGCCAAGAAGGGAGTTACTGTGTTGGTTGGGGTGACTGATCCAGACTTCCAAAGGGGAAATTGGACCTCCACTCCACAATGGAGGTAAGGAAGAGTATGTCTGGAATATAGGAGGCCTCTTAGGGCATCTCTTAGTATTACCACACCCTGTGATTAAGGTCAACGGAAAACTACAACAGTGCAATCCAGGCAGGACTATGAATGACCCAGATCCTTCAGGTATGAAGTTTTGTGTCACTCCACCAGGTAACAAACCTCGACCAGCTGAAGTGCTTGCTGAAGGCAAATGGAATACAGAATGGGTAGTAGAAGAAGGTAGTGATCAATACCAGCTGTGACCACATGACCAGTTATGGAAATGAGGACTGTAACTGACATGAGTATATCCTCCTCATTTTGTTATATGTTTGTGTATATGTACACATGTTTTAAGCAAATATCTTTGTTTTCTTTCTTCTCTTACTCCCTTATTATGTAACATAAGATGTATTCACTTTATATCGGTATTTAAGTTAATTTTACGTCATAGTGTTTACCTGGAGAACAGTAAACATCACTCAAGAGCTTCATCTCCTCTTCTGGGGAAGGCATTAGTATGAGATAAATATGTCATGTTAGAATTAGGATCTTGTTATTGTTTTTATTTGGGGATTAAGTATGGTTTAAGGAGATGCAATGCATATGGGTGCCACATTGACGAGGAGTGAATTTGTGATGGTAGTTTTATGTGTCAATTAGATGTGCAGATAGGTGATAAAACATTATTTCTGGATGTGTCTGCGAGGGTGTTTCTGGAAGAGATTAGCTCATCAGTAGACTGAGTAAAGAAGGTCTGCGCTCATCCATGTAGGTGGGCATCATCCCTTGAGGTCCTAAATAGAACAGAAGGGTGGAAGGAGGGCAAATTTGCTCTCTCTATTTGAGCTGTGACATCCATATTCTCCTACCCTCGGACATTGGCACTCCTGGTTTTCAGGCCTTTGGACTCAGATTGAACTACACCACCAGTTTCCTGGTTCTCCAGCTTGCAAACAGCAGACTGTGAGACTGATTAGCCTCCTCACATGAGGCAATTTCTATAATTACAAAAAAATATAGGGCTGGGCACAGTGGCTCACACCTGTAATACTGCATTTTGGGAGGCCAAGGTAGGTGGACTGCATGACCCCAGGAGTTCAAGACCAACCTGGACAACATGATGAAACTCCAACTCCACCAAAAAAAAAAAAAAAAAAAAAAGTAGCTGGGCATGGTGGCACATGCCTGTAGTCCCAGCTACTCAGGAGGCTTAGGTTGGGGGATTGCTTGAGCCCAAGAGGTGGAGGTTGCAGTGAGTCGAGATCACACCACTGCACCACTGCACTTCAGCCTGGGTGACAGAGCAAGACCTTGTCTCAATAAATACACACACACGCACACACACAGACTATAAGTTCTGCTTCTTTGGGGAATCCTGACTAATACAACAGGTGAAGAAATACCTCAGGCAATAGAGGCAACAAGCAAAGATGCAGGTGTGTGATACAGAATGATGCATCAGAGAACTGCAGGTTATGCAAGGTGGCTGGAGCACTTGAACTACAAGGCAAGGAGTGGTCAAGGACAAGGCCAGGTAATGTCTGCCAATAGACTCAGAGGATGGACACTATCAGGCAGTCCTGACCAGGAGACCAAAGTATGGATCTATTACACAAGACCAGATAGAGGTGACACATGGAAACCAGGAATCAAAATTAAGGAGGAAATGACTGATAACAGGTAAACGTATTATCCTTCCAGAGTATGTGCGATGGAATGTTTGTTGAAAACATGTTTGTTGAAAAAAAAATTAATCAAATATGTAATATACACTAAAATATGAGCATAAACCTAGATTAATACAGCTATGAAATTAAATTATGGCACTTCAGGTATGAGTCAGGTTGAGGGAGATATACGTGTCGTCAGTGTACTGAAGTTCCTGAAACTGGGAACCACTAGTTCTTCCTACTCTTTAATGAGCAAGAGGCCAGAAAGTAGAAGGAGTAGAAGCAGGAGGGGTGAGGAAGAAAAGAGATTGGGCAATTTACAAACGAAAGAAGATTAATGGACTCACAGTTCCACATGGCTGGGGAGGCCTCACAATCATGAGGGAAGGTGAAAGGCAGGTCTCACATGGTGGCAGACAAGAGAAGAGAGCTTCTGTAGGGAAACTTCCCTTTATAAAACCATCAGATCTCGTGAGACTTATTCACTATGACGAGAATAGCACCGGAAAGATCCACCACCATGATTCACTTATCTTCCACTGGGTCTCTCCCACAACACGTGGGAATTATGGGAGCTACAATTCAAGATGAGATTTGGGTGGGGACACAGCCAAACCATATCACCAACATTAGGTGAGATGACTCTGGATTCTGATTTCCGCTCCTCATGGCAATGTGTCCCCTTACGCGCCCTTCAGCTTTCTGTGTTCCTCACTCGGTCCTTGTTCTCTATTCTTTCATCTGCCCCCAGCCTTCTGTTTGCTCTTTCCTCACTCAGAGAGCTGTATTTCCTTGGTAAATTCCAGTCTTTTTTTTTTTTTTTTTTAGACGGAGTCTCACTTAAGCCCAGGCTGGAGTGCAGTGGTGCGATCTCGGCTCACTGCAACCCGTGACTCCCGGGTTTAAGCTATTCTCTTGCCCCAGCCTCCCGAGTAGCTGGGATTACAGGCGCCCGGCTAATTTTTGTATTTTTAATAAAAAGGAGGTTTCACCATGTTGCCAGGCTGGTCTCAAACTCCTGACCTCAAGTGATCTGCCCACCTCGGCCTCCCAAAGTGTTAGGATTACAGGCGTGAGCCACAGCGCCCAGCCGGTAAATCCCAGTCCTTTACCTACATCCTCCAGAGGTATTTTGAGCCTGTTGCCCCTGGCCTTTCAGAACCGGTCTCCCCCTCCCGGGCCATGCCCGTCTCTTTCTCATATTCTAACCCAGCTTTCCCACGTCTAAACCTATTTTTTGATTACTGGTGAGGCATTCTCTGGGCTCCCCGCAACCTCCCCGGGACTTGACTGGGAAGGGCTCCCTTAGGCTCTCTGTCTCTTTGGTGCCTGGGCTGCAGCCACAGAGCAGGGAGAAAGGCCCCGGTGGCCCTGTCGGCTCCGCGCGGCGCCCTGCGAAAGGCCGGCCATGCGACACGGAAGCTCCTGCAGAACTGTCGCCGTCGAAAAGAAAGAGGCCCTCGCCGCAAAATGACTCAGTCAGTTCAGGCCTCGGCCCCAAGAGAAGTTCCCTGGTCATGTCACACCCTCCACTGAAGCAGTTCCAAAAGGCTGGGGAAAGAGCTGTTTTCTGGGAATTTGGAATGTGGGAAAAATTTCCCCAGGGAGTCAAAGTCGCCCGCGGCAGGAAGCGGGGTTCCGGCCACTGGACGGCTGGTTTTCCTGCTCTGCCACCTCCCGGGGGATGTGAGACCTGCAGGCCTTCTCCCGGGTGGAGGAGAGCAGCTGTTCATGCACCGAGGATGGATTCATTTACTGTGCACCTAGAACAGAGAGGACTAGACAACGTCCCCGACCATAATGAGGCTACACTCGGGACGGGAGGTGTCTGTAACGGGTCGTTGTTGTAAATGCGAAAGAGAGAAGTGTGCAAGTCAGAATCCCGGGAATCCTCGGCCTCCAATCCATTATCAAGTCCTCTCAATTCCAAATCCAGCACGTCCCTTAGATCCATCCACTTCCCTTTCTCCAGGTCCAAACCACTCCTCTGTCTCCTCTCTGAATGCTTTCTCCTCCCTCAATCCATTCTCCACTTAGCAGCCTGCTTAAATCCATTTAGCTTAAATCCCCACCACAGTCCCAGCCCCGCCAGGTCCAGCAGGTCCTTCATCCAGAGCCCTTCTCCCCGACCCTCTCTCACATCAGCACCCAGGTCTTTCCGTACTCCAAACACCACAAGCTCTTCTCGCCTTCGGGACTTTGCTTCTTCACAGCTCCTTCTACCAAGCATACTCTTCCTTATCTCCCCCCTATTCATTTCATTCTATTGACCCTTGGATAGCGGCTCAGCATCAGTTCTTCAGGGAAAGCTTCCCTGACCTGCAGGTAACAGATCCTCCAGTCATCTATTCTAAAACTTCTCATGCTCTTCCCTCATAGCAAACATCACAGTTTAATTACATCTGTGTGCATTAGTTTAATTAATGTCTCCTTCCCCCGAAGCTGTAGATGCAATATCACTAGTACCTAGCATGGTACCTGACATATGGTAGATGCTGAAGAAGTATTTGTGGAATAAATTTGAAAGGACCTGTGGACTTCTTACAAGCAAGAGGAGAACAATCTGGTTTGCTGAGTGGGTGTAGAAGTAAAGTTTCCACCACAGAAGTAGAACAGGACCAGGATTTCCCAGCCACTTTTATGGGATGCTTTAACCACAGTGGCATCTCCTCTTGAGCCTTCCTGGACTGTATCACTAGAAGTCCAACATCTGTTCCATCCTTGGACCCTGGGGGCAAGGGGCTATCACTGCTAGAGGGAGGGGAAGCTAATGGCCCAGTGAGCTGAATGAAGCAGAGAATGGGGAAAGATAGTGGAGGGAGATCATTCAAATCAGAAGGCCATTGGATTGATGACCTCTGAAATCTTGACGCCCCCAGGTACTTTCTCCAGGTTCCTGAGCGGATGATGCTGTCTGTACAATGGGGAAGATCAGACACCTACTTGAGTGTCATACCCTGAGACTCAGCCTGGTTGGATTCGTTCATTCAGTAACCTTTACATTAAAGTTCCTGACCTCTAAGAGGTTATACATGCTCTTGACCCCCAGAGGGCACCCTGGAGACTCTTCTAGCAGCCTGTTGAGCACCATTACTGGTCAGCTTCCAGGGTCAGTGGAACTTGATGTAAAAGCAGCTGGGGTTGTTACCGGTGTTGGGTATCCGAGTTACTGGCGACAAATTCATACAGGTCTGCAGCAACTTCAATTCTTGCCTCCTCAGAAGAAAGAATTTGACTGACGGGCAGAAGGCAGAAGGAGAGACTGAGGCAAGTTTTAGAGCAGGAGTGAAAGTTTATTAAAAAGCTCTAGAGCAAAGGCCAGGAGCAGTGGCTCACGCCTGTAATCCCAGCACTTTGGGAGGCCAAGGTGGGTAGATCGCCTGAGGTCAGGGGTTCGAGACCAGCCTGGCCAACATGGTGAAACCCTGTCTCTACTAAAAATACAAAAATTAGCTGGGCATGGTTGTGGGTGCCTGTAATTCCAGCTACTCAGGAGGCTGAAGCAGGAGAATCGCTTGAACCCGGGAGGCAGAGGTTGCAGTGAGCTGAGATCGTGCCACTGCACTCCAGCCTGGGTGACAGAGGGAGACTCTGGCTCAAAAAAAAAAAAGCTCTAAAGCAGAAACAAAAAGAAGGAAAGTACACTTGGAAGAGGGCCAAGTGGGCAATCTGAAAGACAAGTGTGTGGTTTGACCTTTTGACTTGGGGTTTTATACATTCGCATGCTTCTGGCGTCTTGTGTCCCTTCTCCACTGATTCCTCCCTTGGGGTGGGCTGTCCACAGGCACAGTGGCCTGCTAGCACTTGGGAGGGGAGCATGTACAGTGTGTTTACTGGAGTTGTCTGCATGCTCACTTGAAGCATTCTTCCCTTACCAGTGGAATGTCTCTAGGAGAACATATACCAGTTAAACTCTGCCATTTTGCCTCAGTTCACATGCATGAGCCCACTCGTACAACTCCCGAGATCTTATCGGGAAGCTGCTGATTACCAGCTTCAGGCGTTTCTACATATTGGGAAACTGCCTTTCTCTGGAACCAGCTGCAACCAGTTATTATTTTAGCGAGACAGTGTGACAACTGCCTGATCATCATCTGATGGTCACCTGATATTCCTGGTGGGGTCGATGGGGGAGCTCTCATCTGCCGGGCTCATGCCTGACTAGCTACCTACTGTAACGGGGTCAAAGCCATATGATTATGGAGCAGGCCAGGCAGGATATGTGGGAGAGCTTTCCTGTGTGGTCTCTGCAGCGGTGAGGTGAGCTGATGGAACGTACAGCAACATAGGTACTTGTAGTGGCTATTTTTTTAATTGCTCAGCCTCCATTTCCCTTTTATTGGATACAGCACCCCAATTTCTGATTTGTGGACTTAACCCTCTCTCCTTGTGTGGACTCTTGGTAGGACAGTAAATCAAGGGGCTTTTCCTCATAGCCAAGAGATGGGCACGTGACCTAGGCTGGAGCACTCAGACTGTCTCCTGAGACAGGATCTTGCATCATCAGAAATGAACACTTGGATGACACTTGTCTCCTCAGCAACTCTCAGACAAAATAGTTGGCCAGTTTCTGTTGGTTCCAGTTCTATTTCAAGACTGGCTCTCCAGCCTGTCTCCTCTGTGAGCTACCTGATAACCTTTCAACAAGTTATCCTTTTGTTTGATTAGCTGAAGTTGGTTTCTGTTGCTTGCAACCAAGGAACCATGATAAATTATCATCTGGTTCATAATTTCCATTTCATGAACCTCAGATGGTGAGCAATACTACAAAGACTTGGATAGCAGCTGCTAAAAGAGGAGGTGGCTGGAAGCATCTGAAATGTAGTCCAGAATAGTCCTGGGAGGCTAAACAGGTAAGCACTAATTGGTGAGGATATGGGAAATAGCTGGAAGAATTAAGTGCACCAACTTGCTGAAATTTGCTCTTACCAGTAGGAATGAGCCAGGGATATATAAGCAAGGAATGTAAGAGGTGAAGCATAGAAAATTCATATTCCATGGAAATTTAGGACTGAAGATTGTGCAATGATCCTCAGATTACCCAAGGCACAGATGTCAGAGGTGATGTCACAATACAAGAAAGCAAGTGAGAAAAATGCCCCTTTCTAAAAGGGCTCTCTGACCTCTGCTGCAGCCGGATTCTGAGAAAAATAGGCACCGGGGAGGCCCCTTCCTCTGCTGAAGTCTTCTGTTCTCAACAATGTGAGGCTGGGCTTGGTCAAGATGAGTTGGGATGACTGCAGAGGTGGTGGGTACTTGGTAGTGCTGGAGATGGGAGTCTGAAGTGTGGTGAGAAGTCTGGACATGGCTCGAGGACATGGCTGCCCCTCAATAGGAAGCTGAGGCAGTGGATGACAATGCTAAGCTCTTGACATGTTCCTCCATGAGCAGCTGGTTGGGGAAGAGCTTGTGAGTCACACCTCTTCTGCAGAGGATATGTGTTGGCTGTGTCCATCTTCACCTGAGCAGTCCTGGATCATGCTGGAGGCTTGCTCTGATAGACCGAGGCTTGCTCCACAGCCTCCCCATGTTCTGAATCCATAGTGCTTTGATCTAAAGGCAGAACCCTGCCCTTCCTTTCCCCCAACCTGCCCTCAGAGCTCCAGAAGACTGAGGAGCCCTCCACTGTGGCTGCAGCCTGGTGGCTGGGGTCAGGAAAAATGCGGCTGGCATTTGGCCCATCCTATCCTCTGCAGTCAGCAGGTGGAGGGGAGCCGAGGGTTATGTAGCAGGGGCCAGGATGAGGCATACTACAGGGATCTTAGTTGTAAGCAACAGAAACTAATTATAGTAATTTAGAATGGAAAACAAGTACACCAAAAAGACATTGGGTACCTCACAGAATTGCTAGAAGGACTGGAAAAACAAGATCTGGAGGAGACACAAACAGAAACAAAGACCCAGCCCACTGCAGGAAGGGTTCAGTGCAGACATCATTGCTTGTATGCTGGACAGCAGACATCACAGCCACCCTGCTAATGCTTGCAGCACTGGAAGTGGGATGTTGCTGTAATCCTTTTATAATCTGACAGGATCCCCTTGCTTGTTTGTTTCACTGACTTCCATTTCTGACTTTGGTGCAGTGCTTCTGATTGGCTGGGAAAAAAGAAGGAAAGATGTCCAGTAGAACTCCCCTCTACCTTCATTTAATCTTATTCTTTAACTTACCTTCTTTTATCATCAGAATTCTCCCCCCCCCTTTTTTTTTTAAAGAGACAGGGTCATGCTCTGCCACCCAAGCTAGAGTGCAGTGGTGCAATCATAGCTCACTGCAGCCTTGCACTCCCGGACTCACATGATCCTCCTGCCTCAGCCTCCCCAGAGGCTAGAAGTATAGGCAAGTCATTATACCCCGCTAATTTTTTGTAGAGATGAGCATCTTATTACACTGCTGAGGCTGGTCTGGAACTCCTGGCCTCAAGTGATCCTCCCCACTTGGCCTCCCAAAGCACTGGGATTACAGGTGTAAGCCACTGCACCTGGCCTTTACATATTTTATTTATTTTATTTTATATATACGTTTTGAGATAGGTCTTGCTCTGTCACCTAGGCTGTAGCGCAATTGTGCAATCGCAACCCACAGCAGCCTCAACCTTCTGGGCTTAAGCAATCTCCCACCTTAGCCTCTGGAGTAGCTTGGACTACAGGCATGGGCTACTACACACAATCCTCCCACCTCAGTCTCTGGAGTAGCTGGGACTACAGGCATGGGCCACTACACCCCGTTAATTTTTGTATTTTTTGTAGAGATAAGTCTCCCTATATTGCGTAGGCTGGTCTCTAACTCCTGGGCTCAAGCGATCCTCCATTTAAGACTCCCGAAGTACTGGGATTACAGGCATAAACCACCACACCCAGCCTACCATATGTATTTTTAAAAGAAGAACCCTTAGCTGGGCACAGTGGCTCATGCCTGTAATCCCAGAACTTTGGGAGGTTGAGGTGGGAGAACTGATTGAGCCCAGGAGTTCAAGACCAGCCTGGTGAACATGGTGAAACCCTGTCTCAACAAAAAATTAGCCAGGTGTGGTGGTGCACACCTATGGTCCCAGCTACTCAAGAGGCTGAAGTGGGAGGATCGTTTGAGTGCAGGAGGTGGAGGCTGCATAAGCCATGATGGTGCCACTGCACTTCAGCCTGGGTGACAGAGCAAGACCATGTCTCAAAAATAATAATAATAGGCCAGCATGGTAGCTCACACCTGTAATCCCAGCACTATGGGAGGCCAAGGTGGGCAAATCACTTGAGGTCAGGAGTTCAAGACTAGCCTGGCCAACATGGTGAAACCCCAATACAAAAATTAGCCAGGTGTGGTGGTATGCACCTGTAACCCCAGCTACTCGGGAGGCTGAGGCAGGAGAATCATTTGAACTCGGGAGGCAGAGGTTGCAGTGAGCTGAGATCCTGCCATTGCACACAAGCCTGGGCAACAGAGCGAGACTCCGTCTCAAAAATATATATATACACATATATATGTGTGTGTCTCGGTATGTGTATGTGTGTGTGTGTGTATATATATATATATAAAGAACTCTTAGCTACCATCCTGTAGCAGGTGCGGTGGTGCCTTGCCCAGATCCCCATACCCAGCTGCTGTGAGTGTGAGCCACTAACACATCACAGCTGCTCTCCTTTTCCTGTGTTTCAGGAAAATTGCTCTTGGCTGAGAAGAGCTGCCCTGCTGGGAAGTTATGGAAATTATGAGCCCATTTCCCCCAGGAAGAGTGGGGGCAGCTCCAGCCAATGACTGGCTGATATCGGGGTACAAAAGCTGGCCCCTTGTCTCCAGGTAGGTTGGGGTCCAGAGCCCTCCGCTGCACTTCCCTTCCTCCCTCACAGATCTTTCCTGAGAACAGTGCTACAGTGATCAGAAGCAGCTGTGCTCCCTGGTCTCGGGCTCTGCTTCTAGACAACCAGGTCTCAGGCACAGCTTTGCTGTCAGGATCATTATCGTACTCTCTCTGCCTTCTATTCTGAGCCTGATCATCTAATGTGTCTCATCTTCTGCTTCCTGGGCAGACAGGCAGAGAGAAGCTGGAGTCTTGTGACTGGTGCCAGGGAGACAGGTTTTAACCCAATAATCGTGCAAATGAATGCAGGGGTGTGAGTGTGATCACCCTTGTGAAGGACAGGTGTGTGCTGCTGTGTAAGGGGGTTTGACCTAGTTAGGAGGTCAGGGAAAGCTTCTCCGTGAAATCGATGAGCTGGTGTTCAGAAAATGAGTAAAAATATAAAGTGGGGAGAGTAGAGCATTTGTGGCAGAGGAACCACACACGGGAGGGAATATGCAGAGGGTAAGAGACCATGCGATGCCAGTGTAATTGGGGCAGAGAAATCAAAGGCTGGCAGCACTCATAGGCTGCGGGGCTGGGCAGGGACCAGAACAGGCAGCCTTGGCTTTGTAAGGAATCTGGTCTGTATTGTAAAACAAAAGGAAGCAATGAAAAGTTTTATGCCCACGGGAGAAGGGTAAAGTGACAAGTTTGCGTTTTGAGAGATTTCTCTGGCTGCAATGTGGAGAATGGATTTGAAAGGGGCCCATGGGGTAAGCCAGGGAGAAGGCTTTTGTAGAGCTCAGGGGAAAGCAGAGAAAGAGCTTGGCTGGGGTGGTATGGTGGGGGTGGCAGTGGAGGGAGGGGGCAGATTTGGGAGATCTTTAGGAGGAACACTGACAAGATTTGGTGATGGATTTTATGCGAGGGCTAGGGGAAGAGAGGGAGTTGTTAAGGGTGACATCTGAATTTTTGGTTCTCCTAACTGCAGGGATTGTAGGAAATGCTGGGAGACACCAGGGCAGGCTCTACCCCAGACCTCGGCTTTCCTCTAGAGCCAGGACAGTCTTCTCTAGTGTTACCTACGTGTGCTTGCTCAGCATGTGTGGCTGACCGTCCGATATGTTTTGCAACCGACCAGTTGTCTTGGATGACAACAGATTTCCCTCCAAGATTGGCTCTGTATATTTGGTTTGAATCAGGGTGAGATGATGAAAGGGTGAGGAGGGAAAGAGAGGGAAGAGCTGTGGAAGGAAGGGCAGGGGGGTGGCAGATGGGGGTGACATCCTGGGAAGAACAGGGTAGCAGTGTCCCTCTTGTATTTGGAATAAGTTCCACCTCTGCCAGTCCTGGTTTATCCTCTTCTTGCTACCATCTGGCTTACATAAATATTCTGAATTGTGACTCTGAAATACTCAAATGCCATTTGTCACCTGGAGGAAATAATTTCCTTCACGCTAAAGAAGTTCTTTATAGAGAAAAAAATGGCCCTGAAAGTCTAGTGATGCAACTACCCTAGTTCAACTATGGCTAGAAAGCACCTGTCTACAGGAATAACAAATATGACTTGCCTCACCAACATGCATGTATCCCTTTTATTTATTTGTTTGTTTTTCAGACAGGGTCTCACCCTGTTGCCCAGGCTGGAGTGCAGTGGTGAAATCTCGGCTCACTGTAGCCTCTGCCTCTGGGGCTCAAGCAATTCTCATGCCTCAGCCTCCTGAGTAGCTGGGACTACAGGCCCGCACCACCACGCCTGGCTAATTTTTGTATTTTTTGGTTGAGATGGGTTTCACCATGTTGGCCAGGCTGGTCTCGAACTCCTGACTTCAAGTGATCCACCTGCTTCAGCCTCCCAAAGTGCTGGGATTACAGGTGTGAGCTGCCGCACCCAGCCCCTTTTATTTTTTGATGAATTTTCTGAGCCCCAACTTTTTATTTCTTTCATTTTAGGCAGTGGTGCAATCATTCCACTGCAGCCTCCAACTCCTAGGATCAAGTGATTCTCCCACTTCAGCATCCAAAGTAGCTGGGACTACAGGCACGCACCAACGCACCCAGATAATTTTTATTTTTTGTAAATACTGGGGTTTCGCTATGTTGCCCAGGCTGGTCTTAAATTCTTGGCATTGAGCCGCCCCACCTAATCCCATCAAGCTTGATTTTATTAGCAGAAATCCAGTGTTTTCCTCTTCGGGCCATCCTCCTTCAGAATTTCCAAGAACGCTTTATCCAGCTCTTCCATTGCAGCAGCCTCGCCTCTAATGGACCTCAAAGCTCCCATCTTCTCTCTAGTCCCTTCTCTTGAGAACATCCAGAGTGATCCGACCAAGTCATACCCTTGCTTAAAACCTTTCAGGGCTTTCATTGTTCTTAAAGCAAAGAGTGAACTCCTAACCACACCTTAGAGGCTGGTGTGAGGTGGCCCCTGCCCATTTTTCCAATCTGTGCTCTCCTCCTTCTTCATCTGTGTTCTATCAAGTGGTCTTCTTTCATCTCCTCAACCACACTAAGCCATTTAAAGCCTCAGGGCCTCTGGCCGGGCATGGTGGCTCGTGCCTGTAATTCCTGCACTTTGGGAGGCTGCGGTGGGTGGGTCACCTGAGGTGGAGTTCCAGACCAGCCTGGCCAACATGATGGAACCCTGTCTCTACCAAAATTACAAAAAATTAGTCGGGGGTGGTAGTGGGCACCTGTAATCCCAGCTACTCAGGAGGCTGAGGCAGGAGAATCGCTTGAACCCAAGAGGTGGAAATTGCAGTGAGCGCGCCACTGTGCTCCAGCCTGGGCAACAAGAGTGAAACTCTGAAACTCTGTCTCAAAAAAAAAAAAAAAAAAAAAAAAGACTCAGGTCCTCATTCCCTCAGTCTTGCATTCTCCTGCCCCCATTCTTTGCCTCATCATTTAGATCTCAGTCTCCAGGGAGGACCTCACCAATTACTCCATCAAAAATGTGTCTGCCTCTGCCTGCACACCACCACCTCTATGACCTTCATTATTCCCAGCACCCAGCCCCATATAAAGGAGACAGGAAACTTACTGTATTTTCTTGTCCCCTCTCTGCCCACATTTGCAATCAGGTCAACTGACTGGACTCCTCTTTCACTCAGGTGAGTCTCCCTCTGGTATTTTTAGTGTTCTTAAATGCCAGTGGACCTTGGTTGGAATCATCCCAATTCATCAGACAATTCAAAATAGAATAGGGTTGGGGTTGGAGATCTCTGCTTTTCCTCCTTGAGGGTCCCTCCATGCCCTACTTCATGGCAGCAGTGAAGGCAAGGTCTCAAATACAAGTCTGTTCTAATTTACCTACAAAGCTCCTTCTTATTCTTTTTTTTCAGACAGTGTCTTGCTATGTCACCCAGGCTGGAGTGCAGTGGCTATTCACAGGCACGATCATAGCTCACTGTAGCTGTGATCTCTCTGGCCCAAGTGATCCTCCTGTCTCAGCCTCCAGAGTAGCTGGGACCACAGGCACGAGCCAACTCCTTATTATTCTTTCTTTCTTTATTTTTTTTCTGAGATGGAGCCTTGCTCTGTTGCCCAGGCTGGAGTGCAATAGTGTGATCCTGGCTCACTGCAACCTCCACCTCCTGGGGTCAAGCAATTCTGCCTCAGCCTCCCAAGTAGCTGGGATTACAGGTGTGCACCATGCTTGGCTATTTTTTTTTTTTTTTTTTTGAGATGGAGTTTCGCTCTTGTTCAAGCGATTCTCCTGCCTCAACCTCCCAAGTAGCTGGGATTACAGGCGCCTGCCACTGTCACCAGCTAATTTTTGTATTTTTAGTAGAGATGGGGTTTCACCATGTTGGCCAGGCTAGTCTCAAACTCCTGACCTCGTGGTCCACCTGCCTTGGCCTCCCAAAGTGCTGGGATTACAGGCGTGAGCCAAGGTGCCTGGCCAATTCCTTATTACTCTAAAGCGATTTCTTTCTTTCCTCAATTTCTAATTATCTCTCTTACCTGAATGATGTGTAAGAACTTGGTTTTAATGTTGAGTGATTTTTGCAAGTGACTAAGTGGGGTGGGGTGAAGATTTGGCTGGGGTTTCAGCAGGAGATAGTGATGGTGACTTTGATGGTTTTGTACCATCAACTTTTTTGAAAATGTTGTCAAAGGAAAATCAAACCCCAGTATCTTCTCTTGATGAAAGGATCTGTAATAAGCTGTATTCTTATCAATAATTCCAAAGACTTGGCATGTGTGTCAATGCATTTGTTTAATTCTCAGTTTATAATTTACATGTAATCTTCATTTCTTCCTTAATTGTTAGACAAAAATCTTTGAAGATGTATCTCCAGCATTTTGCACAAGTTATTTCATTATGTTTTTTTCTTTCAGAACTAACATATAATAAGTTTGTTTACAGCCAATAAACATTTGTTTGAGGACAAAGATTAGCCATTTCCAGCATGTGTAATAATTTCCATCCTTATTTTAATTGTTTTTCCACCAAAACTGGCCTTTACAAATTGTATAGTTATTTACAAAATAATAAATGCAGTTACCACAAAATATTCAAAAGTTCCAAAAAATTGGCCAGGCACAGTGGCTCGTGCCTGTAATCCCAGGACTTTGGGAGGCTGAGGTGGGTGGATCACCTGAGGTCAGGAGTTCTAGACCAGCCTGGCCAACACAGTGAAATCCCATCTCTACTAAAACTACAAAAATTAGCTGGGCGTGGTGGCAGGTGCCTGTAATCCCAGCTACTTGGGAGGCTGAGGCTGGAGAATTGCTTGAACCTGGGAGGTGGAGGTTGCAGTGAGCTGAGATCACACCACTGCACTCCAGCCTGGACAACAGAGTGAGAATCCGTCTCAAAAAAAAAGAAAAAAAAAGAGTTACAAAAACTTAGAACCCCTGCTCTAAAGCGTCCTGGGCTTAGCTAAGAATTTTTGCCAGGTAAAAAACAACCACCTTAAGGACAGTTAATGCTAGAGGCTGTCACTCTTACTTGGTGTTTGCTCAGACCTTTTTCTGAAAATTAATGTCTGTGGGTAGAGCTGGGGAAACTGTAAATGTATGAGTTATCTGAGAAAGATTAGGAGGCAGATAGCACAAACATGGAAAGTAGACTGAAGAGCCAAGGACCCAGGATATTGCAGCTCCCACAATGACAAGCTTTTGGAGCTTCTGTCAATCACAGAGGACAGAGCCCGATGGTGGAGTGTCTGACCCTTAGTGGCATCTCTGTTGCACCACATTATGCAGCCCCTGATCCAGTGCATGGCATAAATAGTTGAGCCCTTTTCTTCATGCAGATCTCTCTCCAACTGAATGCTATTTGTTTATTTATTCAACAAGAATGTATTGAGGCTGGGTGCAGGGGCTCACACCTGTAGTCCCAGCACTTTGGGAGGCTGAGGCTGGAGGAGCCCTTGAGTCCAGGAGTTTAAGACCAGCCTGAGCAACATAGCAAGACTCCATCTCTAATTTTTTTTTTAATCAGCCAGATGTGGTGGTATGCCTGTAGTCTCAGCTGCTTAGGATCCTGAGGCAGGAGGATTGCTCAAGCCCAGGAGTTTGAGGCTGCAGTGAGTTGTGAGCATGCCTGTTGAATAGCCACTGCATTCCAGCCTGGGTGACATACCAAGACCATGTCTCTAAAAAAAAACAAAAAAGAATTTATTGAGCACCAACTATGTGCCAGAAAATATGCTAAATGCAAGTAAGGAATGTGAAAGCATGGAAATTATAGTCTAGTGGGAAGAAAGAAAATTAACAAGGAAACAGACAAACAATTAAAAAGAAGATAATTACCCATCTTGTTAAGCACTATAAAGAAAGAGATGGTGAGCTGGGGAAGGTGAACAGGAGTGCTTTAGAAAGAGCCATTAGGGGCCAGGAATGGTGGCTCACACTTGTAATCCCAGCACTTTGGGAGGCCGAAGCAGGTGGATCACTTGAGCCCAGGAGTTCGGGACCAGCCTGGACAACGTGGCAAAACCTCATCTCTACAAAAACAAATTTAGCCAGGTGGGGTGGCACACACCAGTGGTCCCAGCTACTTGGGAAGCTGAAGTGGGAGGATCGCTTGAGCTTAGAAGGTCATGGCTACAGAGAGCCATGATCATGCCACTGCATTCCAGCCTGGGTGATGGGGTGAGGCCCTATGTCAAAAAAAGAAAAGAAAGAGCCATTTGGCTGGCAACCAAGGCTGTCTCTGAGTAGGTGGCATGTAAGTGCTACCTAATGAGGAAGATGAGATCATAGGTGAGAAGGGCCAGGCCTCATTAAACTCCAGGAGGAGAGCATTCCAGGCAGAAGAAAAAAAGATTTAATGCCCAGGAGACAGGAAAGGGTTTTCTATTAACAAAAATTAGAGTAGTACAGCTGAAGAACAGTGGTGAGGAGGGGAGTTGTGTAGATAAGATTGGTAAATTAGTTGGAGACAGATCATGAAGGCCTTTATATTGATCATGGTTTAGCTGAAAGAAAGAAATACTCCCAGTTATTTTGTTTTAGTTTTTTTGAGACAGGGTCTCACTCTGGCCCAGGCTGGAGTGCAGTGATGTGATCAGGGTCTCATTGCAGCTCGCCCTTCTGTGCTCAACCAATCCTCCTGCCTCAGCCTCCTGAGTACCTGGGACTACAGGTATGCACCACCACACCTGGCTATTTTTTTCATATTTTTTGTGGAGATGGGGTTTTGCCATGTTGCCCAGCTTGGTCTCAAAATTCTGGGCTCAAGTGATCCACCTGTCTCGGCCTCCCAAAGTGCTAGGTTTACAGGTTTGAGCCACTGCCCCCAGCCCTTATTGTATTTTTTAAATGTATTTTTAGTGACAGAGTCTCACTCTGTTGCCCAGGCTGGAGTGCAGAGGCGCAATCATAGTTCACTGCAGCCTCAGATTCCTGAGTTCAAGTGCTCTTCCCACCTCAGCCTCCCACATAGCTGGGACTAGAGATATGTGCCACCATGCCCGGATAATTTTTTAATTTTTGTAGTAATGAGGGTCTCTCCATGTTGCCCAGGCTAGTCTTGAACTCCTGGCCTCAAATGATCCTCCCACACTGGCCTCCAAAATGTTGAGATTACAGGTGTGAGCCACTGCACCTAGCCACTGGTTAGTTTTAGTAGGAGCTTCATATGATTAGATTTATCTTTTGAGAATATCACTCCCGCTACTATGTATAATAGAAAGTAGAGAAGGGCAGGGGCAGAATTGAGAAGACCAATCAGGAGGCTCTAGCAGTGACTCAAATGAAACATGATGATGGCTTGAACTAGAGGGTTGGAGATGCAGGGGAGTGGCAAGCCTGGAGATGTAGAACTGACAGGACTTGCCTGTAGATTAGCTGTGGAGCCTGCAGGAAAGGGAGGAATGAAGGACACACCTGGGTTTGTGGGTGAATTGGATGCTAATGTCATTTATGGAGATAGGAAGTCTTGGAAGAGGAATTAAGAGAAGGGAATAAAGAATTCCATTTTGGACCACATTACATTTCAATATGCCCATCAGATAACCCCGGGAGCTATCATCAGGTAGTTTGATATGAGTTGGATTTCAAAGCTAAGGAAATGGCTGGGCCCCAGCACTGGAATTACTGAGATTACTCGGAAGATAAAGTATAGAAGAGATCCTGGAACCCAGAGCTGATGACAATATCTAATCCAGGCAGAATACTAGAGGAACCCCCTGGACTTGCTTTGTGGAATATTTTTGTTGTAAAACTGCAGGTGTTACATAGGCTCTTCCAGTTGCAGATAATAGACGTTCATTCAGATTGATTCAAATAATCAGTGTTTTCTTTTGTCATCATGCTCATGAAAATAAAGATGAGAAATTTAGCCCACAGCCTAACCTCATGAGAACCCGGGGACAGCCAAAGAGCTGTATTAGCTTAATGTAGTTTCGAAGAAATTTCGGTGGGTTGATGCTAGCTAAGCTGCAATTGCTTCTTATAACACTGCTTGGCTTAGGCCATAGAACATAGTACTAGAGCAGAGTTAACTGTGAAGAAACATAACTGTGAGGTCCAGGTATGTATGAATCTGAGAGTCTGCCTTAATCAAAAGAACAAAACTGGGTGCAGTGGTGGGCACCTGTAGTCCCAGCTACGCAGGAAGCTGAGGTGGGAGGAGCCCTTGAACCCAGAAGTTCAAGGCCAGCCTGGGCAACATACTGAGACCCTGTCTGAAAAATAACAAAAAACAATTCTAGATTAAGTAGGGAAATAATTTGACTACATATATTTCAGGCTATTCTGGTAAATATTATTTTTGCAATCAAACTTTTGATACGTAGTCTTAGAGGTTATTCTTTCCAAGTAATATCTGAATTGCCTGGCATATAGTTGTTCAGTAAATATTTCTTGAATGAGTGAGAGTTATTTTATGTTACTGATTAAGAACATACCTTTGTGCTTTAATGAGAGGTAGGCCACTTGAGTAAATTCAAGTCCAATGCACAAAGAAGGGCCAAGGGAGTGTTCACAGGCAAAACACATATTTTAGAAAATAGTTCTAAGTCTGTTCTGCATGGAACAAATGGATGATTGAAGTCCAAATTTCTATGTCATGAGACTTGGTAATGATGACTTTTGTTTAGATTTTAAAAATATGAGCATTAATAAATGCTTAAGCAAACACTATAGAGTCTCAGTAAAGTAGCCATAGAACATCTAAACAAAACTAATTGGCTATATATGTCCAGGTGAATTTCTAGATTCTATTCTGTTCCATTGATCTCTATATTTTATATAGGTCTGATATCTTTTATGACTTAATCTAGATTTATAGTAAATAATAAAATGTTGTAGTGTATGTCCTCTAACACATTTCTTATTCAACTTTTGATTATTCTAAAACTTTGCATTTCCTTATAAATTTTAGTATCAGCCTATCTGTGGGTTTTTTTTTTTTTTTTGAGATGGAGTCTTGCTCTGTCACCCAGATTGGAGTGTAGTGGCGCAACCTCAGCTCACTGCAACCTCCACCTCCCAGTTCAAGTGATTCTCCTGCCTCAGCCTCCTGAGTAGCTGGAAACAGGTGGCTGCCACCACACAGCTTTTTTTTTTTTCAGTAGAGTCAGGGTTTTACCATGTTGGCCAGGCTGGTCTCGAACTCCTGACCTCAAGTGATCTGCCCACCTCATCCTCCCAAAGTGCTGGGATTACAGGTGTGAGCCACTGTGCCTGACCCTGTCTGTTGGGATTTTAATTAGGATTCCACTGAATCTGTGGAGTAATTTGGGAGATAACTGACATTTTTAAATATATTGAATCTTTCAATCCATAGACAAATTATATCTCACTATTATTTAGATCTCCTTTAATTTATCTTAGCAATGTTTTGTTATAGAGGTCAGCTCATATTTTGTTAAATTTATCTGGTGGTGTACTGGTGAACCTGCTCTTTGGGGTGACGGTGGTTAGAAAGCCCTAATTTGCGCTATTTGCCAATTTCTGTGATGTAGATACACTATGATCAATTTCAGGCTATCAATGTAATGTCATTAATGAGTTTGGAAGAGATGACAATAAATTGTTGTGTGAGCCAGTTCCAATACACATTGGATATATTCCTAAATATTTCATGGTTTTGGGCACTATTTTAAATACCTAGTATTGTAAGTGTTATGTTTTGAGTGATTGGCTTTTACTGTCTTTTCTTTTCTTTTTTTGAGATAGGGTTTTGCTCTGTTGCCCAGGCTGGAGTACAGTGGCACAACCACAGCTCACTGCAGCCTTAACATCCTGGGCTGATTCTCCTGCCTCAGCCTCCTGAGTAGCTGAGACTATAGGCATGTGCCACAATACCCGGCTAATTTTTGATTTTTTTTTTTTTTGTAGATATCAGTTCTCACTATGTTGCTCAGGCTGGTACTATCTTCCTTTAAAGAGTATAAAACTTTGTTTTGTTAGGCACTTAAGTTACTTATAGAACAAGTTGATCCTCTTGAGTCTCTTTAAAACTTTGTTTTGGATGTGTGTGATGGCTCACGCCTTACCTATGGGTAAGACACAGAGTTCTAGCATGTCCCCCAGCGTCAACCCCAAGCAGGACAGGGGCAGGAGGTCAGTGGAACCCTTCTGCGGGTCTGAGATCTACGAGTAGGCAGCAGCCAGCAAGGGCCAAGGTGGCGGCAAAGAGGAGCAGATGCACATCATGGGTGTAAAAGGCTGACCACTTGTGTGTCTCCCAATGCCAGCCCCAAGCAGGACAGGCACAGAAGGTCGGGAGGGCCCTCTGACCTGTCTCAGAACTATGAGCCAGTGGCAGTGAGTGAAGGCACAGATGGCAGCAGAGAGGGGCAAAAGCACCCCATGCATAACACACTGACCTCTTGGTGACCGAGAGTGCCAACCCCAAGCAGGGCCAGTGCAGGAGGTCAGTGGACCCCTACTGCATATGTGAGATCAACAAGCAGATGGCAGCAAGAGAGGACACTGGCAGCAGTGGAGAGGAGCAGAGTCGCCCCATGGGTAGCAGGCTGAGCTCTCGTGTGTCCGAGTGGTGGTTCCAAGCAGGGCTGGCACAGAAAGTTGACGGAGTCCTACTAAGGGTGTGAGATCTCTGAGCAAGCTGCAATGAGCAAACACGCAGATGGCAGAGGAAAGGAGCAGAAGCACCGCATGGGCAAGACACTGACCTCTTGCATGTCCCCCAGTGCTGGCCCCAAGCAGTATTGCTGCAGGAGCTCAGAGAAGCCCTACTGCGAGTTTGAGATCTATAAGCAGGCTGCAGAGAGCAAACATGCAGATGGTAGAGGCGAGGAGAGAAGGAGCCCCATAGGTACCAGGCTGACCTCTTTCATGTCCCCTAATGCCAGCCCCAAAAGGGCCGGTGCAGGAGGACTGCAGAGTCTCACTTCAGTTCTGAAATCTACCAGCAGGCAAAAGCAAAAGATAGCGCAGGTAGCGACAGAGAGGAGTAGAGGCACACCTTGGGTAAGACATTGACCTCTTGCATGTCCCCCATTGCCAGCCCCAAGCAGGACAGGTGCAGGAGGTTGGCAGGGCCCTACTGTGGGTCTGAGATCTACGAGCAGGCAGCAGCCAGTGAGGACTCAGGCAGTAGTGACGATGAGCAGAAGCGCACCACGGGTAACAGGCTGACCCCTTGTGTCTTATGCCAGCCCCAAGCAGCACAAGCACAGGAAGTTGGCAGAGCCCTACCATGGGTCAGATCTACCAGCAGGCAGAAACAAAGAATGGTGCAGATGGCAGTGGAAAGGAGCAAAGGCACACCAAAGGTAACATGCTGACCTCTTCCGTGTCCTTCAGTGCCAGGCCCAAGCAGGACCAGTGTAGGAGGTAGGCAGAATCTTACTGCGAGGCTGAGACCTAGGAGCAGACAGCAGCTGCAAACATGCAGATGACAGAAGAAGTGGAGGTGCCCTGTGGATCACAGGCTAACTTCTCATGTCCTAGAGTGCCAGCCCCAACCAGGCTGACCCAAGACTTCGGCGGGAACACTACTGTGAGGCTGCATTCTCCAAGCAGCCTGCAGGAGGCATACAAGCAGATGGCAGAGGAGAGGAGTGGAGGCGCCCCATGGGTCACAGGCTAACCTCTTGCATGTCCCGGGGTTCCAGCTCCAAGCAATGTCAGTGCAGGAGATCGACAGAATTCTACTGTGGGTCTGAGATCTCCGAGCAGGCTGCAGAGAGCAAACATGCAGATGGTGGAAGAGAGGAACAGAGCTGCTCTATGGGTAACAGGCTGGCCTCTTGTATGTCCCAAAGTGCCAGCCCCGAGTGGGGTTGGCACAGGAGGTTGGTGGGGGACTACTGCAAATCTGAGATCAAGGAGCAGCCAGCAGCAAGCAAGGGCACAGGCAGCAGCAGAGAGGAGCAAAGATGCCCCATGGGTAACACTCTGATTTCTTGCATGTCCCCTAGTGCCAGCCCCAAACAGGACAGGCATAGGAAGTCGGTGGAGCCCTACTGTGAGTTTCAGATGTATGAGCAAGCGGCAGCGAGTGAAGGTGTAGGTGGTAGTGGAAAGAAACAAAGGCACCCCTTGGGTAATGCATTGGCGTCTTGCATGTTCCCCAAAACCAGTCACAACCAGAGCTGGTGCAGGAGGTCAGTGGAACTCTACCTCAGATCTGAGATCTACGAGCAGGCTGTAGTGAGCAAACATGCAGATGGCAGAGGAGAGGGGCAGAAGTGCCCCAAGAGTAATATGCTGATCATTTATGTGTCTTGAAATGCCAGCCATGAGCGGTGCTGGTACAAGAGGTTGGCGGAGCTCTACTGGGGGTCTGAGATTTATGAGGAACAGGAGGCAATGATCAAAGGTACAGATGGCAGTGGATAGGACTGGAAGAACCCTCTGGGGAACATGCTGACTACTTGTATGTCCCTCAATCCCAGCCCCAAGTAGGGCTGGCACAGGAGATTTGTGGAGCCCTATTGTGGGTCTGAGATCTATAAGCATGCAGCAGTGAGTAAAGGTGCAGGCCACGGTGGAGAGAAGTGCAGGTGCCACATGGGTAACATGATGACCTCTTGCGTGTCCCATGCTGCCAGCCCCCAATAGAGCTGGTGCAGGAGGTCAGTGGAGCCCTATTATGAGTTTGAGATCTATGAGCATGCAGCATTGAACAAAGGCACAGGCAGTGGTGGAGAGGAGTGGAGGTGCCCCATTGGTAACATGCTGAACTCTTGCATCTTCCCCAATGCCAGCCCTGTGTGGGGCTGCTGCACAGGGCTGGTGGAGCCCGATTGTAGGGCTGAGATCTATGAGCAGGTGGCAGCAAGCAAAAATGCAGGCAGTGGCAGAGAAGAGTGGAAGCTGGTCTGGCACAGGAGATCAGTGGAGCCCTACCCACAGGTCTGAGATCTGCAAGCAGGCAGCAGTGAGCAAAGGAACATATGGCAGTAGAGAAGAGCAGAAGTGCACCATGGGGACCATGCCGACCTATTGTGTGTCACCCAATGCTAGCACCAAACTGGGCTGGATCAGGGGGACAGCGGGGTCCTACTTCAGGTCTGAGATCTGTGAGCAGGCAGCAGCAAGCAAAGGTTGACATGGTGGTGAAGAGGAGCAGAACCACTCCATGGAAAGCATGCTGACTTGTGTGTCCCCCAATGCCAGCTCCAAGCTGGTCTGCCAAAGGACATCAGTCTGAGCCCTACAATTTATCATTCTATGAGACTTTTTCGAAGCTTTCTTCATATCTTCTTTGCCTTTTCTTAATGAGAACTCAAATACTCCAACTTCTGAGTACCCATCCCATTCTCCTTATCTATCTAGATGGTACCTAAATGAAGGAGCCAGGTAAGAGTCTGATTGTTCCCTTTCTCTTATGTGTTAAGGTAGCTGATACTTGGGAAAATTTAGACCCAATGTTTAGGGATTTCTTGCTTAAATTCAGAATAGAGGTTGGCGTATGGAGTTTTTAATAAGTTGTTTTAAGTCACCTCGATAGAAATGGCTTTATTCCTCCAACTATAATTTGAACACTGAAGGGAAGAAAATTGGAGAAGTGCTTAAAATGATTATGAATGGTGTAAAATGTTACTGCCAGGGCTGCAGAATAGTTGATGGTTTTTTAAACCCAAAGCTTACCCACAGTGTTTTGATTGCTTTAAGATTTCCTCTTTAACCCAAATATATCTTCAGATCTACTCTGGTGACTTACTGGACTTCATTTTCCTCCTTGTTCTAAAAGTGGAGGGGTGGTTCATAGTAAAAAAATTTCAAGAGCTGGAACATAAATTCAGAGTTACATTTGTGATGTAAAGGTTTGGGAGTTTAAAATGCCAGATGCTGCCTGTTCAAGTGTTTGTTTCCATAGCTCCCTCCTCATGTCAACAGAATTATGTTCAAAGATGAGAGTGTTAGAGTTCAAACTCTAATCTCTGATAGGGATGGAAAGGGGGGAGATGAAAGAAAATTTTTAATATTTTACCATCAGAAAAAGAACGAATTTAAGTAGAAATGGTTTTGAATAATATGGTTCTTGAATAAAAACTAAGTTCTTTGAAATAGAAAACATTGTATCATAAAGATAGTTAAATCTGGTTGTCTCATTTGTTTTAATAAATGCCAGATATTTCATTAGTATAGAGAAAATGTCTTATAGCTCTTCTGTTTAAACTTTGATTGGGCTCTTAATTTCTTTAAAAGTTAGAAAACTTAGGCCTAGCATGGTGGCTTACGCCTGTAATCACTGCACTTTGGGAGGCCAAAGCAGGTGGATCAGCTGAGGTCAGGAGTTTGAGACCAGCCTGGCCAACATGAGGAAACCCCATCACTAGTAAAAATACAAAAAATTATCTGGTCATGGTGGTGCATGCCTGTAATCTCAGCTACTCAGGAGACTGAGGCAGGAGAATCACTTGAACCTGGGAGGTGGAGGTTGTAGTGAGCCGAGATCGCGCCACTGCACTCCAAACTGGGCAACAAGAGCAAAACTCCGTCTCAAAAAAAAAAAAAAAAAAGAAGAAGAAGAATTAAAGCTCATGATGTATGTGCCTTTATAACTGGAAAGTACCATATTCAATTTTCAGAATATTCAATAATAGTGAAAGAACGAATAGATTGTGTTAATAGATTGTAACTTTATGCACAAAGTATGGAAGTACTTGTGAATATTTATGCTCTGTTTGGTGGTGTAAGGTAAACCTCAGTGACTTTACACACCAGTTGGTAGATGGGTAGTGCTGGATGAGATCCCAAAATAGGCTCTTCATGTCTTTTTTTAGTATGTACAACACATTTTAATGTACATCTTATTTGGCCCTTCCAAACACAAATAAGGCCTGTGTATATTCTCCCTGTATTGATGATGAAAAAACAAAGACTTTGAGATCTGAAATGACTATGTAAGACAGCTACTGAACAGAACTAAGGTTCTATAGTAAGTACCCTGAAACTGACATGGAGATGGTAGCGATGCCTAATTCAGTTCCTAAACTTTAAAACTGTGGAATACATTGTATGTTTTACCTATAAAGTAAACTTATCTCTTAGAACTTACTCCACCTTGATTAGTTCAATTAAAAGCTTATTTTATACAACTCAGAGGCAACATTTACCTGTCCATTTTTTTTTCTAAAGGGAAAGGGGTCTTAACTGTGTTGCCCATACTGGCCTCAGTCTTCTGGCCAGGGCTCAAGTGATCCTCCTGCCTCAGCCTCCTGAGTAGCTGGAATTACTGATATATTCCATCTTGCCTGGCTCCATCTTATGTCTATACATTAATTTCAACAGATACGGATAAAAGTAGAGGTAATAAAATTACCCAAATTTACCAATCAAGCAGGTTAATAATTTTTAAAGAGTTTTCTCTTGTCACTGTAAATTGAAGCTGAGAATTTCCTGGACAAGAGAAGCTGGAGACAGGAGAGGTAAGGTATCATGCCTTAAGCATAGAACAATAATAAGGAGTGTTAAATCAGAAAAGTTAAAAAAATAGTTTGTGAGCACAGAATTTAACATTTTATGTTTATTTGCATGACACTTAAATTTTCATTTCAATTTGCCTCTTGAAATTTATTTTTCTGGCATTCAATAAAGTGATAAGCGAAACCTCAATTTCAGCATTTGCCTACAATTCCTAAGTTTCCATAGAAACTGAGGCAGGACATTAACAATTTGCTGTTAATATCTTTAGTTTGGACAATTTTATATCAGTTTACTTGGAAACTGAGAAATTCCTACTTAGATGTAAAACATTTTAGTTTTACTACAATGAAGAATGGAATTATTTTGGTTACTTAGAAAAAAATCAGACGTAAATAGTGTACTTTGTTCTTCTGAATCATTTCAGAATAATGTGATTTCTCCAAGCCACTTCACAGAGATATTCCTAAGAACCTTTTTTCAGATAGTCCCACAGACATTTTCTACTACCTTGCCTTTATTTAAACAGTTATATGGTTTGGCTGTGTGTCCCCAGCCAAATCTCACGTTGGATTGCATAATTCCCAGTGTTGGGGGAGGGATCTCGTGGGAGGTGATTGGATCATGGGGGCGTATTCCCCCTTTGCTGTTCTCACAATAGTGAGTTCTTATTATATCTGATGCTTTGAAAGTGTGCAACACTTCCCCCCTTTGTTCTCTCTCTCCTGCTTCACCACTGCAAGACATGCTTGCTTTCCCTTCACTTTCCACCATAATTGTAAGTTTCCTGAGGCCACTGAGCCATGCTTCCTGTACAGCCTGTGGAACTGTGGGTCAATTAAACTTCTTTTCTTTATAAATTACCCAGTCTCAGGTAGTTCTTTATAGCAGTGTGAGAAAGAACTAATACAGAGAAGGGGGGCATTGCTGGAAAGATACTTGAAAATGTGGCAGCAGCTTTGGAACTGGGTAACAAACAGAGGTTGGAACAGTTTGGAGGGCTCAGAAGAAGATAGAAAGATGAGGGAAGGTTTAGAACTTCATAGAGACTTGTTGAATGGTTTTGACCACAATACTGATAGTGATATGGACAGTGAAGTCCAAGCTGAGCTGGTCTCAGATGGAGATGAGGAACTTATTGGGAACTGGAGTAAAGGTCACTCTTACTGTGCTTTAGCAAAAAGACTGGTGGCTTTGTGCCCCTGTTACAGAGATCTGTGGAACTTTGAACTTGAGAGAGATGATTTAGGGTATCTGGTGGAAGAAATTTCTAAGAAGCAAAGCATTCAAGATATGGCCTGGCTGCTTCTAAAAGCTTACATTCATTTTCATAAACAAAGAAATTACCTGAAACTAGAACTTACATTTAAAAGAGAAGAAGAGTGGAAAAGTTTGGAACATTTGCAGCTTACCCATGTGGTAGAAAAGAAAACCCGTTTTCTGGAGAGGAATTCAAGGCTGCAGAAATTTGCGTAAGTAAAGATTAACTGAATGTTAATAGCAAAGACAATGGGGAAAATGCCTCCAGGACATTTCAGAGACCTTTGTGGTAGCCCCCCCCACATCACAGGCCTGGAGGCCTAGGAGGGAAGAATAATTTCATGGGCCAGGCTCAGGGTCTTGCAGCTCTCTGCAGCCTCAGGACATGGCACCCTCTGTCCATGCTGCTCCAGCTCCAGCCATAGCTAAAAGGGGCCAAGGTACAGCTCAGACCATTGCTTCTGAGGGTGCAAGACCCAAGCCTTGGTGTTTTTCATGTAGTGTTGGGCCTGCAGGTGTGCATAAGGCAAGAGCTGAGGTTTTTGAGTCTCTGCCTAGATTTCACAGGATGTATGAAAATGCCTGGATGTTGAGGTAGAATTCTGCTGCAGGGGTGGAGCCCTTGTGGAGAACCTCTACTAGTACAGTTCAGAGGGGAAATGTGGTGTTGAAGCCCCTGTACAAAGTCCCCATTGGGGCACTGCCTAGTGGAGCCGTGAGAAGAGGGCCACCATCCTCCAGACCCCAGAATAGTAGATCCATTGACAGCTTGCACTGTGTACCTGGAAAGCTTCAGGCACTGAATGCCAGACTGTGAAAACAGCTATGGTGGCTCTACTCTGCAGAGCCATAGGGTCAGAGCTTCCCAAGGCCATGGGAGCCCACCCCTTGCATCAATATGGCCTGGATGTGAGCTATGGAGTCAAAGGAGATTATTTCAGAGCTTTGAGACTTAATGGCTGCCCTGCTGCATTTTAGACTTGTATGGGGCCTGTAGCCCCTTCATTTTGGCCAATGTCTCCCATTCGGAATGGGTTTATTCATCCAGTGACTCTACCCCCATTATATCTTGTAACTGTTTATTTGCAGGCTCATAGGTAAAAGGGATTTGCCTTGTCTCAGATGAGATGTTGGAGGTGGACTTTTGAGTTAATGCTGAAATTAGTTAAAACTTTGGGGGACCGCTGGGATAGCATGACTGTGTTTTGCAATGTTAGAAAGACATGAGATTTGGGAGGGTCCAGGGTAGGATGATATAGTTTGGCTCTGTGTCACCATCTAAATCTCATGTCAAATTGTAATTCCTAATGTTGGGGGAGGGATCTGGTAGGAGGTGATTGGATCATAGGGACATTTCTTCCTTGTTGTTCTCATGATATTGAATGAGTTCTCATGAAATCTAGTTATTTAAACGTGTGTAGCACTTCCCCCTTTACTCTCTCCCTCCTGCTTCACCATGTTAAGACGTGCTTGCTTCCCCTTCACCTTCTGCCATGATCGTAAGTTTCCTGAGGCCTCCCAGCCATGATTCCTGTACAGCATACAGAACTGTGAGTCAATTAAACCTCTTTTCTTCATAAATTACCCAGTCTCAAGTGGTTCTGTGGTTCTTTATAGCAGTGTGAGAACAGACTAATACAGTTGGGTTTTATTCCTTTCAACAGCAAGCCTATAGAAAAAGATCAACTGCTTGGGCTGGAGGAGAAGAACACTTAGGTCAATACATGATTTGTTAGCAACCAGCTAGAGTTTAGGAGAGAACACTTTTGCTGTGCACTTGAAAAGAAACCTGTCTATGGGCACTGGATAAGACACAGGCCTTTTCATGAAGCTTCAAGCCATTCAGAAAGCTTAGCACATGATGGAGGAAAACAGGAATGGTGTTTCCAGATGTAGAGAGATAGGTGATGCTGGAGGGAAAGCTGGATCAGAAGAGAAGGAGTTCATTGTAGATGAATTAGGTTTAATGTCCCTGTGAGATAGCAGAGTGGTAGTGTTCAGTCATCATGTGGATATACCGGACTGGAACCTGAATGTGAGCTAGAGGTAATGAATGAGCAGTATGAGTAGCTACTTAAATGTGGAGAAAGTGTGTAGAGTGAAAGTGGACATGCTGGGCATGGTAGCAAATGTCTCTAGTCCCAGCTGCTTGGGAGGCTGAGGTGGGAGGATTGCTTGAGCCCAGGAATTTTTGTGTGGCCTGTGCAACATGGTGAGACCCCATCTCTTAAAAAAAAAAAAGAGAGAGAAAGTGAATAGAAGATAGGCCTGTAAGGACTATCAGGATGTAAGGAACAAGCCCTCAGATATGTAGGTAGAATTGGAGGAGGAAAAGCAGGATAGGTTACTAAAAGAACAAAGAATTCAAGATAATAGAGGCTGTGATACAGTGCTAAATGCTGCCAGGAAGTTGTTCACTCTGTAAACACTGAATGCTGACTCTGCCACTCTTCTAAGTGCTGGAGTAGAGAGGACAGGTTGAACACAGTTTTTGCCTTTATGAGCTTATGGCCTAATGAAGAAGACATTTTTTTTTTTCAGGTAGTGGCAAATAGCAAGAAAAGAAATTGGGATAAAAGGAAACAGAGTGATTGGAGGAGTTCTTAATTTTAGATCGAATGAGAAGGAGCCTCTCTAGAGAAGTAACATTTGAAAAGTGACCTGACAAAAGTGAGGAAGGGAAGGAGCACGGACATTACAGGCACTGAGGTGAGTGCCAAGACTGGGACAGAAATGTGTTTCATATGTGTTCAGTGAACATATAGCAAGGGGGCCAGCATGGTCAGAGTGAGAAATGAGGGAAGTAATGGAGAAGATGAGATCACACAGGCAATGCCATAACTCACAGGGCCTTTTGTCTTGCAGGCCATGGGAAGAAGTCAAGTTTTTATTCCAGTTTTATGGGTAACTTTTGTCATATCTTGAGCAGGGGAGTGCAGTGCTCTCAATTTAAGAAGTTATGCTGACTGCTTTGGGGGGAGTAGACCATAGCAGGGAGGCAAAGTAGAGGCAGAGTAGAAAGTTAAGAAGCAACTAGGGGTGGCTGGCAAAATGGCCAAATAGGAACAGCCCTGGTCTGCAGCTCCCAACGAGACCAACAGAGAAGGTGGGTGATTTCTGCATTTCCAACTGAGGTACCTGGCTCATCTCATTGGGACTAGTTAGACAGTGGGTACAGCCCATGGAGAGCAAGCCAAAGGAGGGTGGGGTGTCACCTCACCTGGGAAGCACAAGAGGTTGGGGAACTCCCTCCCTTAGCCAAGGGAAGCCATGAGGAATTGTGCCATGAGGAATGGTGCACTCTGGCCTAGATACTATGCTTTTCCCATGGTCTTTGCAACCCACAGACTAGGAGATTCCCTTGGGTGCCTACACCACCAGGGACCTGGGTTTCAAGCACAAAACTGGGCAGCCATTTGGGCAGACATTGAGTTAGCTGCAGGAGTTTTTTTTTTCATACCCTAGTGGTACCTGGAATGCCAGCGAGACAGAGCTGTTCACTCCCCTGGAAAGGGGGCTGAAGCCAGGGAGCCAAGTGGTCTAGCTCAGCAGATCCCCCCACCCCCGCCACAGAGCCCAGCAAGCTAAGATCCACTGGCTTGAAATTCTCATTGCCAGCACAGCAGTCTGAAGTTGACCTGGGATGCTGGAGCTTGGTGGGGGGAGGGGCGTCTGCCATTACTGAGGCTTGAGTAGGCAGTTTTCCCATCACAGTGTAAACAAAGCCGCAGGGAAGTTTGAACTGGGCAGAGCCCACTGCAGCTCGGCAAAGCTGCTGTAGACAGACTGCCTCTCTAGATTCCTCCTCTCTGGGCAGGGCATCTCTGAAAGAAAGGCAGCAGTCCCAACCAGGGGCTTATAGATAAAACTCCCATCTCCCTGGGACAGAGCACCCGGGGGAATGGGTAGCTGTGGGCACAGCTTCAGCAGACTTAAACATTCCTGCCTGCCAGCTCTAAAGAGAGAAGCAGATCTCCCAGTACGGCACTCGAGCTCTACTAAGGGACAGATGCCTCCTTAAAGGGGTCCCTGATCCTTGTGCCTCCTGACTGGAAGACACCTCCCAGCAGAGGATGACAGACCCCTCTCATACAGGAGAGCTCTGGCTGGCATCTGGTAGGTGTCCCTCTGTGATGAAGCTTCCAGAGGAAGGAACAAGCAGCAATCTTTGCTGTTCTGCAGCCTCTGCTGGTGATATCCAGGCAAACAGGGTCTGGAGTGGACCTCCAGCAAACTCCAGCAGACCTGCAGCAGAGGGGACTGACTGTTAGAAAAAAGCTAAGAAATAGCATCAACATCAACAAAAAGGACATCCACACAGAAACCCCATCTGAAGGTCACCAACGTCAAAGACCAAACGTAGATACATCCAGGAAGATGAGGCAAAACTAGCACAAAAAAGCTGAAAATTCCAAACACAAGAACACCTCTTCTCCTCCAAAGGATCACAACTCCTCACCAGCAAGGGAGCAAAACTGGATGGAGAATGAGTTTGACAAACTGACAGAAGTAGGCTTCAGAAGTTAGGTAACAACAAACTCCTCCAAGCTAAAGGAGCATGTTCCAACCCAATGCAAGGAAGCTAAGAACCTTGAAAAAAGGTTAGATGAATTGCTAACTAGAATAATCAGTTTAGAGAAGAACAAAAATGGCCTGACGGAGGTGAAAAACACAGCAAGAGAACTTCATGAAGCATACACAAGTATCAACAGCTGAATCAATCAAGAGGAAGAAAGGATATCAGAGGTTGAGGATCAGCTTAATAAAATAAATTATGAAGACAAGATTAGAGAAAAAAAGAATGAAAAGGAACGAACAAAGGCTCCAAGAAATATAGAACTATGTGAAAAGACCAAATCTACATTTGACTGGTGTACCTGAAAGTGTCGGGAAGAATGAAGTGAAATCTTCTTCAGGATATTATACAGGAAAACTTCCCCAATCTAGCAAGACAGGCCAACATTCAAATTCAGGAAATACAGAGAACACCACAAAGATACTCCTCAAGAAGAGTAACTCCAAGACACATAATTGTCAGATTCGCCAAGGTTGAAATGAAGGAAAAAATGTTAAGGGCAGCCAGAGAGAAAGGTCGAGTTACCCACAAAGGGAAGCCCATCAGACTAACAGTGGATCTCTCTGCAGAAACCCTACAAGCCAGAAGAGAGTGAGGGCCAATATTCAACATTCTTAAAGAAAAGAATTTTCAACCCAGAACTGCATATCCAGCCAAACTAAGCTTCATAAGTGAAAAAGAAATAAAACCCTTTACAGACCAGTAAATGCTGAGAGATTTTGTCACCACCAGGCTTGCCTTACAAGAGTTCCTGAAGGAAGCACTAAATATGGAAAAAAAAAACTGGTACCAGCCACGGCAAAAACATACCAAATTGTAAAGACTGTTGACACTCTGTAGAAACTACATCAACTAATGGGCAAAATAACCAGCTAGCATCATGACAGGATCAAATTCACACATAACAATATTAATCTGAAACATAAACAGGCTAAATGCCCCAATTAAAAGACATAGACTGGCAAATTGGATAAAGAGTCAAGACCCATCGATGTGCTGTATTCAGGAGACCCATCTCACGTACAAAGAAACACATAGGCTCAAAATAAAGGGATGGAGGAATATTTACCAAGCAAATGAAAAAAAAAAAAAAAAAAGCAGGGGTTACAGTCCTAGTCTCTGATAAAACAGACTTTAAACCAACAAAGATTAAAACAACAACAACAACAACAAAAAGAAGGGGATCAATGCAACGAGAAGAGCTAACTATTCTAAATATATACTCACCCAATTCAGGAGCACCCAGATTCATAAATCAAGTTCTTAGAGACCTAAGAAGAGACTTAAAGTCTCCCAGTATTATTGTGTGGGAGTTTAACACCTCACTGTCAATATTAGATCAATGAGACAGAAAATTAACAAGGATATTCAGGACTTGAACTCAGCGCTGGACCAAGCAGACCTAATAGACATCTACAGAACTCTCCACCCCAAATCAACAGAGTATACATTCTTCTCAGCACCTCATTGCACTTATTCTAAGATTGACCACATAATTGGAAGTAAAACACTCCTCACCAAATGCAAAAGAACAGAAATCGTAACAAAAAGTCTCTCAGACCAAAGTGCAATAAAATTAGAACTCAGGATTAATAAACTCACTCAAAACCACACAACTACATGGAAACTGAACAATGTGCTCCTGAATGACTACTGGGTAAATAACGAAATTCAGGCAGAAATAAATAAGTTCTTTGAAACCAATGAGAACAAAGAAACAACATACCAGAATCTCTGGGACACAGCTACTGCAGTGTTTAGAGGGAAAATTATAGCATTAAATGCCCACAGGAGAAAGTGGGAAAGATCTAAAATCGACACCCTAACATCACAATTAAAAGAACTAGAGAATCAATAGCAAATGAATTCAAAAGTTAGCAGAAGACAAGAAATAACTAAGATCAGAGCAGAACTGAAGGAGATAGAGACACAAAAAACTCTTCAAAAAAATCAATGAATACAGGAGCTGGATTTTGAAAAGATTAACAATATAAATAGACCACTAACCAGGTTAATAAAGAAGAAAAGAGAGAAGACTGAAATAGACAAAATAAAAAATGATAAAGGGGATATCACCACTGATCCTACAGAAATACAAACTACCATCAGAGAATACTATCAACAGCTCTATGCAAATAAACTAGAAAATCTAGAAGAAATGGATAAATTCCTGGACACATACTAGTTTTATGTGTTTAGTCCCAAGACTAAACCAGGAAGAAGTTGAATCCTTGAATAGACCAATAATAAGTTATGAAATTGAGGCAGTAATTAATAGCCTACCAACCAAAAGAAGCCCAGGACCAGGCAGATTCACAGCCAAATTCTACCAGAGGTACAAAGAGAAGCTGGTATCCTTCTGAAACTATTCCAAACAACAGAAAAAGAGAGACTCCTCCCTAACTCATTTTATGAGGCCAGCATCATCCTGATACCAAAACCTAGCAGAGACACAACAACAACAACAACAACAACAAAGAAAATTTCAGGTCAATATCCCTGATGAACATCGATGCAAAAATCCTCAATAATATACTGGCAAACCGAATCCAGCAGCACATCAAAAAGCTTATTTACCATGATCAATTTGGCTTCATCCCTGGGATACAAGGCTGGTTCAACATACGCAAATCAATAAACGTAATCCATCACATAAACAGAACCGATGACAAAAACCACGATTATCTCAATAGATGCAGAAAAGGCCTTTGATAAAATTCAACACCCCTTCATGCTAAAAACTCTGAATAAACTAGGTATTGATGGAACATTTCTCAAAATAATAACTATTTATGACAAATCCATGGCCAATATCATACGAATGGGCAAAAGCTGGAAACATATTCCCTTTGAAAATCGGCACAAGACAAGGATGCCTTCACATAGTATTGCAAGTTCTGGCCAAGGCAATCAGGCAAGAGAAATAAATAAAGGGTATTCAAATAGAAAGAGAGGAAGTAAAATTATCTCTGTTTGCAGATAACATGATTGTATATTTAGAAAACCCCATCATCTCAGCCCAAAATCTCCTTAAGTTGACAAGCAACTTCAGCAAAGTCTCAGGATACAAAATCAATGTGCAAAAATTACAAGCATTCCTATACACCAATAATAGACAAACAGAGAGCCAAATCATGAGTGAACTCCCAATTACAATTGCTACAAAGAGAATAAAATACCTAGGAGTCCAACTTACAAGGGATGTGAAGGACCTCTTCAAGGAGAACGACAAACCACTGCTCAAGGAAATAAGGGAGGACACAAATAGAAAAACATTCCACGCTCATGGATAGGAAGAATAAATATCATGAAAATTGCTATACTGCCCCAAGTAATTTATGGATTCAATGTTATCCCCATCAAGATACCATTGACATTCTTCACAGAATTAGAAAAAACTACTTTAAATTTCATATGGAACCAAAAAGAGCCCATGTAGCCAAGACAATCCTAGGCAAAAAGATTGAAGCTGGAGGCATCATGCTACCTGACTTCAAACAATACTACAAGGCTACAGTAACCAAAACAGCATGGTACTGGTACCAAAACAGAGATATAGACCAAAGGAACAGAACAGAGACCTCAGAAATAATGCCACACATCTACAATCATCTGATCTTTGACAAACCTGACAAAAACCAGCAATGGGGAAAAGATTCCCTATTTAATAAATGGTGTTGGGAAAACTGGCTAGCCATATGCAGAAAACTGAAACTGGATCCCTTTCTTACACCTTATACAAAACTTAACTCAAGGTGGATTAAAGACCTAAACATAAGACCTAAAACCATAAAAACCCTAGAAGAAAACCTGGGCAATACCATTCAGCATAGGCATGGGCAAAGACTTCATGATAAAACACCAAAAGCAATGGCAAAAAAAAGCCAAAATTGACAAATGGGATCTGATTAAACTAAAGAGCTTCTGCACAGCAAAAGAAACTATCATCAGAGAGAACAGGCAACCTACAGAATGGGAGAAAATTTTTGCAATCTATCCATCTGACAAAGGGCTAACATCCAGAATCTACAAAAACTTAAACAAATTTACAAGAAAAAATCCCCATCAAAAAGTGGGCAAAGGATATGGACACTTCTCAAAAGAAGACATTTATGCAGCCAACAGACACATGAAAAAAAATCTCATCATCACTGGCCATCAGAGAAATGCAAATCAAAACCACAATGAGATACCATCTTATAGCAGTTAGAATGGTGATCGTTAAAAGGTCAGGAAACAACAGATGCTGGAGAGGATGTGGAGAAATAGGAACACTTTTACACTGTTGGTGGGAGTGCAAATTAGTTCAACCATTGTGGAAGACCGTGTGGCAATTCCTCAAGGATCCAGAACCAGAAATACCATTTGAACCCAGAAATCCCATTACTGGGTATATACCCAAAGGATTATAAATCATTCTATAAAGATACATGCACACATGTTTGTTGCAGCACTGTTCACAATAGCAAAGACTTGGAACCAACCCAAATGCCCATCAATGATAGACTGGATAAAGATAATGTGGCACATATACACCATGGAATACTATGCAGCCATAAAAAGGGATGATTTCATATCCTTTGCAGGGACATGGATGAAGGTGGAAACCATCATTCTCAGCAAACTAACACAGGAACAGAAAACCAAACACCGCATGTTCTCACTCATAAGTGGGAGTTGAACAATGAGATCACATGGACACAGGGAGGGGAACATCACACATCAGGGCCTGTCATGGGGTGGGGGGCTAGGGGAGGGATAGCATTAGGATAAATACCTGATGTAGATGACAAGTTGACGGGTGCAGCAAACCACCATGGCACGTGTATACCTATGTAACAAACCTGCACGTTCTGCACATGTATCCCAGAACTTAAAGTATAATAATAAAAAGAAGCAACTAGGATGATACAGGTGAGCAGTGAAAAATGGCAGCACAGAATCAAAAATATGCAGCCTACCAGTGAAAGTAGACATAGCAGGAGTTGCACACAGATTGGAACAAGCCAATTCAAATGTATGTATCTGGCCTCACAAGTGGGGAAAATAAAAATGCCCTGTACAAGATTAGGGAAGGCTTGGGGAGTGGAGCATTGGGATGAAGAGCTCTGGTTTGCAGATGTGAAGGTTGGGCACCTTGGCATGAGGAGTCTCTGGAAAGTGATGGTGGCAGGGGCCAGGTGGGTTTGGTTAAGGAGAGATGGGAGGTGAGAAGCGGGCACCAGGGCATGATGCTGTGAGCAAATGAGGACATCTCTGGGGGAGTTTTGGAGAGTGGGATGAGAATAAAGGAAACACAGTCATATTGGGGAAGATTTCGGGCAGAGGGAAAGTCTTCAAAAAGAGGTGATTGCGGGAACAGTGTTCTGCGGAAGTGGGACAGGATCAACCACACTGATAAGAGAGTTGGCATAGTGGGAAAAAGGAACTCTCTCTCATTGACCCAGGAAGGCAAGTGGTATCAATGAGTGTCCACAGGTTACCAGCTTAGCAGTAAAGGCAACAGGCAGTTGAGGGCTTGCCAGTGCTGTTTCAATGCTCTCTAATATCTATAGAACATTAACCTGGGGCAGGAGGTTCATTCTTAGGATACTTGAGAGTGTGGAGTTTGGGTGCAAGGGAGAAGAATCTAAGAATACATTGTGTTCAAGAGCCATTTTGTTTTTGAAAACACTGTTGAGTTTGGGGAACACTGCCGGATCTGAGTTGCCAACCTAACTTTCAGATACTAAACAAACTCTTAAAATGAACTGTTTTGAAAACACAGTTGGGTTTGGAGAACGTTGTCAGATCTGAGCTGCCAATCTGATAACCTTCAGACAATAAGCTCTCATAAAATGAACTGTTTTCCTTTTGTCTTGATACATAGTTCAAATGATATATAGACCATATGCTTCTGCAGAGCACCCTTTGAGGTAACAACACCTCACGGCTTACCTCCATAACCTTTACTCAACTGTTCACTTTACCAAATTCTTTGCAGGTAGATGTTTGATAGATGTAAAATACTTCATGAGATTTTCTCACAAACTGCTTGGCAAGTTTAGGGAATCCCAAGGATCAGAGACTGACAGCTGTTACTGCCTTTAAGCCAACAGAATTGACAATGTTGCAGATGATGTAAGACAGAAAATAAGCTGGGTGCAGTGGCTCACGCCTGTAATCCCAGCACTTTGGGAGGCTGAGGTGGGTGGATCACGAGGTGAGGAGATCAAGGCCATCCTGGCCAACAAGATGAAACCATGTCTCTGCTAAAAATACAAAAATTAGCTGGGCATGGTGGCACATGCCTGTAATCCCAGCTACTCGGGAGGCTGAGGCAGGAGAACCTCTTGAACCTGGGAGGCAGAGGTTGCAGTGAGCTGAGATCGCACCACTGCACTCCAGCCTGGAGACAGAGCTAGACTCCTTCTAAAGACAAAACAAAACAAATCAGAAAATAAATTTTCATGAAGTGATTGTGGGGATAGGAAAACTAGGGGCTGTGAGAAGGGCCCTTCTCTACGCGGGTGTTCCTTATCAAGGCACTGAATATGGAAACATCTTATGGCCCCAAAGACCTGAACGTGTCATGCTGTTCTGCACAGCAGCCACTGGGAGGCTCTCTTGGCTAGCTGTTCAAGCTAGCGCCACAGAAGGATTAGTTATTGTGAAAAGGAGAAGATAGCAATGTACTCAGTATCCCCTGGGTTTTATACAATCAAGCATGACATACCTGTGAAATTCCTATCTACCTGCAAACTAGATATAGCAACACATTGCACAAGGTGGGCACTGAAGTATTCATTTAACAACTTTAATGCACACTGGGCCTATGCATGTGCTGCCTTTTATGGGTGTGAAGGTAATGACTCCTTCTGTCTTCATGATACCCTTGGCTGAGATGTCCAGTCATTCCTGTGATCAAAATTGGACTGGAAATTTCTAAGGACAGAGTAGATGGCAGAGACATCTGACTTACAACTGTGATTTGATCTCTTGCTTTGGCTGACTAAGCAAAATCTGAAGAATATAAAAATAAAAGGCATTTATTTTCTGGCCAAAAACAGAAGTAATCTATCATTCATGCATTCTTATCACAGCAGCTAAATTGAACTAAAATAAAACATCAGTGCTCTCTTTGCAAATTTACCTGGAAAGGATCTTGACTTATGCTGAAATTGACATTTGTCCATCTAACTGGAAAAGGATTTCCTTGGGAGTCATTCTTTTTGCCTCCAAGATTATGCATGATCAAGCTGTACAAAGTGGAAAACTGTCAGATCTTCAAGGATATCCCAGTAAAAGACATGTGAGTTTATAAGGTTTTGTTAAACTTTCTAACCGTTTTCAAATACCTCATTTTTTCCCATAAAGTTAACACTTTAAAAATATTTTGAAAGGTAACATTGTACAGATAATGAAGATAGGTATAAAACTACCTAGTTTTTCTATCCAGATTCAGTATAACAATTCATATTTTTTCATTATTAATGAATAAGTCTTGATGTGTTACTGTTGCAGTAATCTGCTTGAGAAATTGAAAAGTATTTTCCAGTATTTATTTTTGGCAAGCATCTTACAAGTGTATTACCAGAACAACACAGTACAATAAAGATTTTTATGGCTTTCTACAAGCTGTCAGTTTTAGTCATTTTTTAAGGAGTACATGTCTGGCCTTTGAAATAATTGGCTACTGGAGAAGTTATAACTTCAATGAGTTATACCAAACTTACAGAGTGAAAAAGGATATAAGAGAGTACCATAAGCAACTGTACACCAAAAAAATTGAATAACCTAAATAAAATGAACAAATTTTTAGAAACAAAAAACCTACTAAGACAGAATCAGGAATAGAATAGCTTAATAAACCTATTCATCAAGGAGATTCAGTATGAACATTGCATCAGTAACCAAAAACCCAGCAACAAAGAAAAGCCCTAGACCAGATGGCTTCACTGTTGAATTCTACCCAACATTTAAAGCAGAATTAATACCAGTTTTTCTCAAACTCTTTCAAAAATTTGAAGAGGAGGTAACATTTTCTAACTCATTCTATGAGGCCAGTATTACCCAGACACCAAACACGAGAAAACTACAGACAAACATCACTTACAAATGCTGATGCGAAAATCCTCAACAAAATACTAGCAATTTAAATTTAGCAGTACATTAAAAGGATTATACAACATGAATGAGTATAATTGACTCCTGAAGTAAAAGTATGCTCCAACACATAAAAATCAATGTAATATCACATTAACGTAAAGAAGAAAAGAAAAAAACGTAAAGAAAAATGTGATTATTTTAACCAAAGCAGAAAAAAGTATTTATCAAAATTTAACCCACTTTCATAAAAAATACTCAAGAAACTATAAACAGAAAGGAAAGACCTTAACATGTTATACATTAAAAAAAAAAAACACACGGTTAACATAATGGTGAAAGCTTTTATCCTAAGAGCAAAAACAAGGATGCCTGCTTTTACCACTTCTATTTAACATAGTATGGAAGATTCTAGTTAGAGCAATAAGGCAAGAAAAAGAATAAAAAATTCCAACTAAAAAGAAAAGGTAAAAGTATCTGTTTGCAGATGATATAAACTTGTATATTAAAAATCCTATAGTTTTTGTGAAAGAAACTGTCAGAAGCAATAAATAAAATTCAACAAAGCTGCAGGATACAAAATTAATACATAAAATCATTTGTATTTCTACAATAACAATAAACTATATCATTTATGATACCATCAAAATAATACTTAGAAACCAACTTAACCAAGGTAATGAAAAACCTGTACAGTGAAAACTATAAACATTGCAGAAAGATATTAAAGATGACTCAAATGAAAAGACACTATGTGTTTATGGATTGGAAGACAAAACCTTGTCAAGATGTCATTGTTATCTATAGTCATCTACAGATTCAATGAAATTCCTTTAAAAATCCCAACATTTGCAAAAGTAGAAAAACCTATTCTAAAATTCAGACGAAATCTCAAAAAAACCCAAGAGTCCCAATCTATATTAAAATAAATGAAGTTAGAGGATTAACGCCTCGTGGTTTTGAACTTACTACAATGCTTCAGTACCCAAAAAATGTTGTACCAGCATAGAGACAGACATAAAGACCAAGGCAATATTGGTCATAATTTTCAACAAGGGAGCCAAAACTATTCAATGAGAAAGGACAGTATTTTTTAAATAGTGCTAGAAAAACTGGATATTTACATGGAAAAGAATGATGTTGAACCCTTACTTTACACCATGTACAAAACAATTAAAAATGGATCAAACATCTAATTGTAAGAGCTAAAACTATAAAACCCTTAGAAGAAAGCATAGGGAAAAAGTTTCATAACATAGAATCTGGCAACAATTTCTTGGATATGACAGTGAAAGTGCAGGCAACAACAACAAAATACATAAAAATAACTTTATTAAAGTTAAGACCTTTTGTGTGTCTGAAGATACAATCAATAGATTGAAAATACAATTCACAGAGGGGGAGAAAATATCCACACATTATATATCTGATAAGTAATTAATATCCAGGCTATATAAAGACCTCAGCAACAACAACAACAAAATCAAATTTAAAAATGAGCAAAGGTTTTAAAATACACATTTCTTTAAAGAAGATATACAAATGACCAGTAAGCACAGGTGAGGTGCTCAGCATCAATTATCATGAGAACAATGTAAATCAAAAGCACAATGCAATACCAACTGACACATATAAGTATAGCTACCATAAAAAAAACAACCAACAACAAACCAAAACAAACAACAAAAACCCAGAGAACAGCAAATGCTAGATGTGGAGAAGTCAGAACTCTTGCATACTACTGGTGGGAAAGTAAAATGGCAGAGCTACTATGGAAAACAGTAATCACCATATGATCTAGCAATTCTACTTCTGGGTATATACCTAAAAGAACTGAAAGCAGGAATTTGCACAGATATTTGCACACCCATGTTTATAGCAGCACTCACAATAGCCAAAGTGTAGAAACCACCAAAATGTCCATCTATAGATGAATGGGTAAGCAAATATAGTCAATACATACAATGATATATTATATTCAACCTTAAAAATAAATTTTGATAAATGCTACAACAAACCTTGAGAAGATTTTGCTAAGTAAAATAAGTCAGACAAAAAAGCAAATACTGTATGCTTCCACTTATATGAAGTACCTAGAGTAGTCAAATTTATAGACATAGAAAATAAAATAGTGGGGGTCAGGGGATGAGAAGAAGGGAAATGGGGAGTTATTGTTCCATGGATAGAGTTTCAGTTTGGGATGATAAAATAGTTTTGAAAATGGATAGTGGTGATGGTTGCACAACAATGTATTTGTACTTAATGCCACTAAATTATACACCTCAAAATAGTTAAAGTGGTCAACTTTGTTATGCCTATTTTACCACAGTAAAAAAATTAGCAAGTATTTAAAAATCTACATTTTTCTTTGAACTGTCTCTTTATATCTGATATGGTTTGGCTTGGTGTCCCCACCCAAATCGCATCTTGAATTGTACTCCCATATTTCCCACATGTTGTGGGAGTGACCTGGTGGGAGATTCTTGGATCATGGGGACAGTTTCCCCTCTGCTGTTCTCGTGGTAGTGAATAAGTCTCATCAGATCTGATGGTTTGATAAGGGGAAACCTGTTTCACTTGGCTATTATTCTCTCTCCTGCTGCCACCATGTGAGACGTGCCTTTCAATTTCCACCATGATTGTGAGGCCTCCTCAGCCTTGTGAAACTAAGTCCAGTAAACCTCTTTCTTGTAAATTGCTGAGTCTTGGGTATGTCTTTATCATCAGCATGAAAATGCACTAATACAACATTCTTTGTCCATTTTTCAATTTTGCTGCTGGTCTTTTAATAATTTATGATAGCTTTATATATACATTACCCAAATTAGCTCTTTGTCTGTTATATATGTTAGAGATTTCCCCAGTCTGTTGACTTTTGACTTTGAGGCATTTTTCTCTCATAGAAAGTTTTAATTTTTATGGAGTCAAATGCATCAGTCTTCTATTCAATGACTTCTTCATGGGGATGGTGTTTCATTTTAGGATAATAATAAAGTTGTAGATATGAATAAAGGAGATGGTCGTACAATAATGTGAGTATACTGAATGCCACTGAACTGTACATTTAAACATGATTAAAATGGTAAGATTAATGTTATATATATTTCACCACCAAAAAAGGGCCAGGCTTAGATGTTTATATGTTAGAGGTTTGGAGTAGCTTTGACACCTATTCCTCTCCAGGGCTCTAATTTATAAAGCACCCACACAATAAAAGTAGATATTAACTTCACAAATCTCCATGGCATCTTATAAGCCCCACACCAGGGACTGTCTTGGAAAGCTGATGTGGAAAAACTGGCATAAACTTGAGGTCAATATGAGACTTCTTGTCTCTTCTCATGCTGCTAATAAAGACATACTTGAAACTGGGTAATTTATAAGGGTAATTTATAAAGGAAAGAAGGTTTAATGGTTTCACAGTTCCACATGGCTAGGGAGGCCTCAAGATCACAATGGAAGGTAAAGAAGGAGCAAAGTCGTGTCTTACATTGTGGCAGGCAAGAGGGAAGTGAGAGCCAAGTTAAGTGGGAAGTCCCTTATAAAACCATCAGATCTCATGAGGACTCACTCAACATAATAACGGTATGGGGGAACCACCCCCCATGATTCATTTCTCTCCGCCTGGTCCCACCCTTGACACATAGGGAATATCACAATTCAAGGTGAGATGTGGGTGGGGACACAGAGCCAAACCATCTTATTCCATCCACAGCCCCTCCCAAATCTCATGTTCTCACATTTCAAAACCAATTTTGCTTTCCCAAAGTCTTAACTCATTTAAGCATTAACTCAAAAGTCCATACTCTAAAGTCTCATCTGAGACAAGTCCCTTCCACCTATGAGCCTGTAAAGTCAAAAGAAAGTTAGTTACTTCCTAGATACAGTGGGGGTACAGATATTGGATAAATACACCTGTTCCAAATGTGAGAAGCTGGCCAAAATGAAGGGGCTACAGGCCCCATGCAATTCCAAAATCCAGTGGGGCAGTCAATTCTTAAAGCTCTGAAATGATCTCCTTTGACTCCATGTCTCATGTCCAGGTCTTGCTGATGCAAGGCTGCCCACAGCCTGGGGCAGATCTGTCCCTGTGGCTTTGCAGGGTACAGCCTTGCCCCCTCAGCTGCTTTCACAGGCTGGCATTGTGTGTCTGGGGCTTTTTCAGGTGCACAGTGCAAGCTGTAGGTGGATCTACCATTCTGGGATCTGGAAGATAGTGGCCCTCTGCTCACAGCTCCACTAGGCAGTGCCCCAGTGGGGACTCTGTGTGGGGGCTCGAACCTCACATTTTCCTTCCACACTGCTCTAGCAGAGGTTATCCAGAAGGGCTGTACCCCTGCAGCAAATCTCTGCCTGGACATCCAGGCATTTCCATACATCCTCTGAAATCTAGGCACAGGTTCCTAAACCTCAATTCTTGACTTCTACACACCTGCAGGCCCAACACCATGTGTAAGCCACCAAGGCTTGAGGCTTGTACCTCTGAAGCAATGGCCTGAACTGTACCTTGGTCCCTTTTAGTCATGGTTGGAGTGACTGGGATGCAGGGCACCATGTCCCAAGGCTGCACACTGCAGGGGGCCTCTAGGCCTGGCCCAGGAAACCATTTTCTCCTCCCAGGCCTTTAGGCCTGTGATGGGAGGGGCTGCTGTGAAGGTCTCTGACATGCCTTGGAGACATTTTCCCCATTGTCTTGGTGATTAACATTCAGCTCCCTGTTGCTTATGCAAATTTCTGCTGTGGGCTTGAATTTCTTCCCAGAAAATGAGTTTTTTCTTTTCTACTGCATCATCAGGCTGCAAATTTTTCAAACTTTTATGCTCTGCTTCCTCTTTATTTTGAGATGGAGTTTCACTCTTGTCCCCCAGAATGGAGTACAATGGTGTGATCTCGGCTCACTGCAACCTCCGCCTCCTGGGTTTAAGTGATTCTCCTGCCTCAGCCTCCTGAGTAGCTGGGATTACAGGTGCCTGCCACCATGCCTGGCTAATTTTTATATTATTAGTAGAGACAGGGTTTCCCCTTGTTGGTGAAGCTGGTCTTGAACTCCTGACCTCAAGTAATCTGCCCACCTTGGCCTCCCAAAGTGCTAGGATTACAGGCATAAGCCACCGTGCCTGGTCCCTCTGTGTCCTCTTGAATGTTTTGCTGTTTAGAAATTTCTTCTGCAAGATACCCTAAATCATCTCTCTCATTAAAAGTTCCACAAATCTCTAGGGCAGGGGCAAAGTGCCACCAGTCTCTTTGCATAGCAAGAGTGACCTTTACTGCAGTTCCCAACAAGATCCTCATCTCCAACTCAGACCACTTCAGTCTGGACCTTATTGTTCACATCACTATCAGCAACTTGGTCAAAGCCATTCAACAAGTCTCTAGGAAGTTCCAAACCTTCCAACATCTTCCTGTTTTCTAAGCTCTCCAAACTGTTCCAACCTCTGCCTGTTACCCAACTCCAAAGTCACTTCCACATTTTGGGGTGTCTTTACAGCAGCACCCTACTCCTGGGACCAATTTACTGTATTAGTCTGTCCTCACACTGCTAATAAAGACAACCTGAGACTGGGTAATTTATAAAGGAAAGGAGGTTTAATGGACTCACAGTTCCACATGGCTGACGAGGCCCCACAATCATGGCAGAAGGTGAAAGAGGAGCAAAGTCACACCTTACATGGCAGCAGGCGTGAGAGAAGTGAGAGCCAAGTGAAGGGGGAAGCCCCTTATAAAATCATCAGCTCTTGGGACAACTCAGTCACTACCATGAGAACAGTATGGGGGAAACTGCCCCATGATTCAATTACCTCCACCTCGTCCCATCCTTGACACATGGGCTTTATCACAAATTAAGGTAAGATTTGTGTGGGGACACAGAGCCAAACCATATAACCCTATCCCCTATTCTGGAACTAGATGGAGGAACATACGCATGCAGGTTCACCTGGAGACATGAGATGGGGCAAGCAGAACAGTCTTGCCCAAATCATCCCATAAGCCTGGACCTTGAGCCCTCTCACATGCTGTCAGGCATGTATCATACCAAGAAAGGAGGCTAGGAGGGTACTGTATCTACCTGTATACAGGGAGCTATGAAATATCTGAGCTGAGAATGTGACACATGAGAGGTCAGAGGCAGTATGACCTTTACACAGTGACCTGGCTCAAAATTTCCGGCTTGCATTAACCAGGTGAGTTCCTCTTTCTCTCCGAGGTAGGTAAACTAGAGGGGTGAAGTGGGAGTTGGGGATAATTTTGGGTAGTATTTATTCTGTGTTCTAAATAAGAAAACCATAAATGCCCTCTTTCAGGGTCCAAATATTAGGTGAAAAAACCTCTTTGTCATCTCAGTCATGTACTGTGGACCCCAGCCGAGTAGTATACAAATGTTAATTTATACTTTCTGCATAGTGTGAGCTTTTTCAGTTTTATGATGTAGCTGATTAAGTCCTCTCATGTTACTAACTGGGGACCAGACTGCTGAATGTCACAACAGGTGGCTAGCATGTCTGTGAAGGGCAGAAACTGGAGGAACAAACAGCTGGCAGAGGCCAGCTAGTAAGGACGCAGTGCCCACTTCACAGAGGACTCAACACTTAAAAGACAAGATAAGCAAATGCCAGGCTGCCTCACTAGTCATGCCCCCAAATAGAAAGACAAAACTCCTCTACAGAATGTGTGTGTACACACCTAAATACACACACACAGCTACATGCGAAGGGAAAGGGCTTGGAAGAAACCAAATCCACCTCTGAACACCAGTTACTTCTGGGAAAGGGGCAGGTGAAGCCAACTGTCCCCATTACCTTTTAAACTGATGAGCCTATGGTAACTTTGCACGCTTTGGGTTATTACACAAGCCCTGCAGAACTGAACCACCAACAACCACTTGCACAGCTTTTCCTGACGCCAAATGATGACTTCCCTCAAAGTTCAGTCCCACCACCTGCCTCCCATGCAGGGGGCTACTGGCCTCCTAGGGTGCAGTCCTGGTCCCATGTAGGGGGCCACTGGCCTCCTGGGGTACAGGGTTCCAGGCTAAATCCACCCCACAGATTCCTGGTGAAACCAGCATGTGTCCAAGGGGTTTTCCCAAGCCTGGGCCATGTGCCTACCACAGAAATATGTCTGTGCTTGCTCCCCTAGGACAGGCTCCCTTTTCCTTCAGTTGGAATGAGGGGTAGGGAAGATTTCATGGTGTCTGGTAGAGGTTAGGTATGCTGAATCTGATGTGCTGTCAGAAAAGCTCCCCGGAGTCAGGTGCATTCTCAGCACGTGGTGTGTGCTGCCCCTTCAAGCTGCGAGAATCCCAGAAGGCGGGTGCTACTGCAACCCCCATTTATAGCTAAGCAGAGCTCAGGTGATCTACAGCAGGCCAAGAAGCTAAGAGGCCAACAGGCTGGATCTGCATTTCGCTTGCAGAGGCCCCTGCCTGGCTGCCTGAGGCTGCTCTTGAGACTCCTCCTGCCTCCTCCTCTTCCCTCTGCAGCTACACCAGCTTCTAACCACGGCTGTGCTCCAGGTGGGGAACATCTATGGGCACACCATGGCACAGCTGCTCAAAAACCGCAGCATGTAGTAGAGCCCCTGCTTCATGCTGTCTCCCATGTCCAAGCCCAAGTTCATCTAGGGCTTTAGCAAGACCAAGCTACACTGAATTCCCTGATAGTAGATAATCCCCTACAATCCCCTGTACATGGGTAAGCCACCAGGCCTTGGCCCTGCTCCCTCCTGGCCCCACCATTCTGCCTCAATTGCTTACATGCTACCCTGTCTGTACTGTTTTGAAACTCTACAAGGATGTTGAGATTCTGAGCTGACTCCCACTGAAGGAGGAAAACCACCAGCAGCCACTAGGTTCTGCTTTCTGGAAGCTTCATGCCCCTTCCCCTATGGCCCACCATGCTAGCCAGGCTGGAAGGGGGACTCCTGAGACTTGAGAAACCCAGACCTGCAGGTGGCATATGAAAAAAAGGCCCCTAAGAGGACCACTCCCAGCCATGAAGCCCCAGGTGGAACCAGGTGATTGGGAAATACACAGGAGCCAAGCCTGGGCCCCACTCAGACCCAGGTGGGAACTGCAGCAGTGACTTGCCCCTTCTGCCACTCTGGCTGTACCACTGCAGGAGGGAGGAACATCTGACACCACCCATGAGTGGAGACACTAGGTGTGGGCAGCTTCCAGTGGTTGCTGCAGCTGAACCTTCCCAACCGGATCCATGTAAGGCCATCTCAGGTGGGTGCAGGCCTGGGCTGCGCTGGGCAAGGACACCCCTCAGAGGGTGAGAGCCAGTGAGGAGAGCTGTCACAGAGGCCCATTTTCCTGCTCTGAGAACAGGTTGGGGCAGTAAGGGGGACTTCTCTCACTTCCTAGCTGCTTCCAGGAGCCCATCTTTTCTGAAGATGAGACACTCCCCTGCTTGCCTGTTCCAATTTGGCTTCAAGAGGCAGTTGCCAGCATTGAGGGAAATGAGCCTCACCTGCCTTCCCTGACGCATCTGAGGCAGGTGGGTAGGCCTAGGGGAAGGCCAAGGGGATCTGGGGTAGGACCTAAACATATGCCCAACCCCAGGCTATGCTGGCTTCATCCTCCCAATCCACTTGTGTGAGGGTGTGAGTTACCAAGAGGGTATCATACAGGCCATGGATGAGTTCTACAAGAGCCAGGTAGAAGAGCACTGTCCTGGGTGTGCTCCCGAGCACCCAGCTCACATCCATCTTATTTGACAGCTTCAGTGAGGCAGGCCTTGAAGTCCAGGCTCCCTGAGAGGCCTGGGAAAGAGGCTGTGGCTCAAGGGCCTGACCCCAAAGGTACGACTTCCACCTCTCTCATCCTGACAGCCTTGTATTCTCCCCCTGCTTTGAAGCAGGGGATAGGGGAGACAAGAGGCAGTGTACATTAATCACTTTTCCAGAGTGCCATCCCTCCAACCTGGGGCAGGACAGACCCCTGCATGGGCATTTTCCTCACTGGTTGCCAGATTCCCAGTTCCTGTTCAGAAACTGCACCTATGCCCTGGAGAGACTGCACTGAGCACACAGGCCCAGCAACCACATGTACAGCCCCCAGGGCCTAATTCCCTTCTATATGGGACCTAATTCCCTTCTGCATGCATGTGAGTACACAGTGGGCTTGATTCCTGCCAACTAGTATCCGACCCTGCCAGATATCCGTGTGCCAACATGATTAGGGGGAAGAGGTCACACTGACACACCCAGGCTATCATGGGGAAGGGGTAGCTGGGGCTCTATTTCACCACCCTTTATTGCTGGTTCAGGACCAGCTGTGTTACTACATTGTCTCCAAGGTCCCACCTTGGGGTAGAATTGCCCAACCCTTTTGGAAGTTGGGGGAGCGGTGGGCAGCACTGGCCACTTTTAAGTTACAGAGGTCAGCTGGTCCTGGGGAGGAGCAGCCAGGCTTTCCTTCAGGAAGCAGTTTCCCTACTAAGCAGATAACCAAGGCCCAGGGCAGCCTCAAGTTCCTGTGGAGCATGCCTGCCATGTCCATAATCCATACTGATCCCGCCAGGAACCACTGGAATGCTTGTTCCTTGGCATAGAAGCCCAAGTCAGCTGCAACCTTGCAGCACAATTACACACATCTGCCAGCAGTACCCAGAGGGCCTATAGAAAGTGCAGGTGAAAGCAGATGCTAAGAGAATGCTCCATTAGGCAAAACCGCATACTATGAAAAGGCTTTAAAACACAACAGGAGGAGATGTGAAGACACAAACAAGTGCCTAGTGACACATGGCTATCAGAACACACTATAAGAACCCACACCGCTTCCCCACTTTACCCAGAAAAGGCAGGCTCTAGGCCACCTCCTCCTCCTCGGCTGTGGCGTCCTGGTACTGCTGATACTCAGACAGCAGGTTGTTCATGTTGCTCTTGGCCTCGGTGAACTCCATCACGTCCATGCCCTCGCCCGTGTACCAGTGCAGGAAGGCCTGGAACACACTTGAACAGCTCCCGGATGGCCGTGTTGTTGCCAATGCAGGTGGCCATTTTTAGCCCCTTGGGTGGGATGGCACAGATAGCCATTTTCACATTGTGAGGGAGCCAATCAGCAGAGTACCTGCTGTTCTTATTTTGAATATTGAACATTTGCTCATCCACCTCCCTCATGGGCATGCAACCTCTGAAAACGGCAGCCACTGTCAGGTAGTGGCCATGACGGGGCTCACAGGCAACCATCATTCTTAGCATCAAACATCTGCTGGGTGAACTCAGCCATGGTCAGGGCCGAGTACTACTGGCTGGCTGCCCCGGCTGGACAGTGGAGCAAAGCGAAGCATGAAGAAGTGTAGCCAGGCAACTAGGATCACGTTCGTGGCCAGCCTTTGCAGATCAGTATTCAGCTGGCCTGGGAAGAACAGGCACGTGGTGACCCCACTTGTGGTAGCAGAAACCAGGTGATTCAGGTCACCGTAGGTGGGTGTGGGCAGTTTTAGGGTTCTGGAACAGATGTCACACAGAACTACAGAGCTTCACTATCAATGCAAAAGGTCTCATCTGCATTTTCCATGAGCTGGTGGACTGAGAGGGTGGCATTGTAGGGCTCCACCATGGTGTCTGACACCTTGGGCAAAGGCAGAACACTGAATGTGTTTATGATCCTGTCTGGGTACTCCTCCCAGATCTTACTGATGAGAAGAGTATCCATCAGAGACCCGGTACCCCCACCCAGGGAGTGGGTAAGCTGGAAACCCTGCAGGCAGTCACAGCTCTCAGATTCTTTTTCACAACATCCATCAGCGTCTCCTTCAGCTCTGCACCTTCTGTGTAGTGCCCCTTGGCCCAGTTGTTCCCGGCCCCACACTGACCTGTAAGACAACACAGCAAGTCGCTGGATGGCCAGATATACAGTCATCAGGGGTCACCACAATGCAAAAAAGGGCCAAGTGTCACGTGTGAGGTGAAAGCACCATTCACCCTGCAGGTGGAGCAGGTGGACCTCCCTCCCCCAAAGCTGAAGGACAGCAGCCTCCCCTGTTAGAAGTTAAGTCAGGAGCCGAACCTGAGACAGCCTAACACAACAGACCTGGCTGCAGGTGGCTCCTGCCCATCCCCAAGAAAAGCAGCAGCCACTGCCCCCAGCCCAGCTCCCTGCAGAAAGATTGCATCAGCAGCTCCTCTCAGGCAGACAGCTGGGCCTTCCTCCCAAAGCCCGTTTAGGAGAAGGAGATTGCGTGACTCAGGATGGGAGGGTGTTCAGGGGCCCTAGCTCCACAGTTCCCACAGCGATGACTTTGGGGCACTCCTTGAATTTGAGCGGCCCTGGCTAAGGAGCCTCACCCCAGTCCTCACCCGCAGCTCACCGAAGATGAAGTCGTCCGGCCTGAAGATCCTCCCGAATGGCGCTGAGCACACAGAGCCGATGGTGCCCGGCTCCACATCCACAAGCACAGGGCGGGGCACGTACCTGCCACCTGACGGGGGCGGGAGGACATCAGCGAGGAGAGGGCCGCCATTCCCAGGAGGGCGGCTGGGGAAGGACAGGGGTCTCACCGCTGGCCTCGTTGTAGTACATGTTGATGCGCTCCAGCTGCAGGTCCCTGTCCCCGTGGCAGGTGCCAGCAGAGTCGATGGCATGTTCATCAGAGATCACCTCCCAGAACTGCGAGAGACACGAGGGGCCAAACAGGCCAGGGCTGAGTCACGGAGGCCAGGGAGCCCGAGGCTCCCCAGCCCCTCTCCTATCCCCACCCCCAGGCCGCTGGATCCCTGGGGGTCCGCCCTGGCTGCCTAGCCAGCCACCCAGCTCCACCGCGTCCCAGGCGCGGAGACGGGGGGCCGCAATACAGCCCCAGCCGCTGCCAACATCTTCTCGGGCCACCCGGCAGGCCCGCGCTGGGCCCTCAGAGCCCCGGCCACCAACCTTGGCACCGATCTGGTTCCCGCACTGCCCGGTCTGCCATAGCACGATCTCCCTCATGGCCACTGCTGGACTAGGGCGGCAGGAGAAACGCGAGGAGGAGCAGGAGCGCAGCGACAGGGCCAGTGCTCCGCCAACGCTAAAATAACCCCGCGCCCACCTCCCCCAGCCTCAGATTGGGCTCCCAGAATAAGCAACAGCTTTACTTCCACACAGGTGTACCCACCTGTGAATCCCTTGGCGTTCAAGGTCTGTTGGAGAGCTCAGGTGGCCTTGCTGTGGTCCTTTCCACGTTGGGGAAAGCTGGTCAGCTGGAGAACTTCCTCCCATGTCTTTAGTAAGACTAAATCCCTAGCTGAGCTGAAATGGAATTTTCCTCCCGTGTGGAGGGGAAGCCTTTTGTTTCCGTGTTCACAGAGTGCCTTTGCACCTGTCCCACATTGATGACATATTTTTGTAATTGATGAGTCCTTTTCTATTAGGAGATCTGTGGTTAGGAGAGGCCTCCCCTATGTTAACTCGACAGGAAGTAATTGTAAGTTTTCCTTTGGAGCAGCTCAAACCCGGAGTAAGCTATGGGTGTTAGAGATAGTCAGGCCTCTGACTTAGCTAGGGTCTTCTTTAGAGTATGATTAACCCTTTCACCTTTCCAGAGGACTGCGGTCTCCATGCAGAGTGAAGGTGATATTGGATTCCTAAAGCTGAGGATAGCTGTTGGGAGACGCCTGCTGTGAAAGATGGGCCATTGTCACTTTGCAGGCCTTTGGATGACCCAAAAGGAGGAATTATTTCTTCTGGTAAACACTTGTCAGATAGGGTGGGGAATGCCTGGATCTAACCAGTGAATGTAACAGTAAGCATTAGCAAATACCTGAATCTCCTACAGAAAGGCATCTGAGTAAATTAGAGTTGCCAGTCCTCACCTGGATAGGTTCCTCAATGTTGGACAGGTTTAACTGGAGGAGGTGAAAATTGCTGGGTCTTTGGGTTATGTCAGACACAGCGCTCACAGGGCTGAGTCACCTGTTTTAGCGTCTTGAAAAGATTTATCCCCATAAACAAATGAGACATTAACTGAAGCAAAGAATCCCTTCTAGGGTGGAAAGAATCATGAAAGTGCTTAATTATTTTCCTACAATTGGTGCTCGGCATTAGTAACTTATTACCATCAGTCAGCCAGCCAGAGGGATCCTGGACTGAACTGCAATCCCTGGCCCATTTTTGTTCTCTTCAGAGTGTTCTGGCCCAGCTCTGTGTACGCTGAGCAGTATGCCCAGAAGCTTCACTGGCCCTTTCAGTGCAGTGGCCTTGGCTGACACATCTGTGAGGGCATTTCCTTTTACACGGTCAGTCTCTCTTTTGATGTCCTCTGCAATGAATTACAGCCACTTTTTTTTTTAATGGCGGCAAAGCAGCATTCTAACAAGCTCAAAATCTGAGTAATGTATGGAAAAGCCCTTCGTGGTCAGGAGTCCCTACCCATTCCAAATTGCAGCATAAGCATGAAGCACTAAGAAATCATACTTGGAATCAGTGTAAATGTTAACTTTTAAGTCCTTTCCCAACTGCAGGGCTCTGGTAAGTTTAATTGACTCAGCTTTTTGAGCTGAGGTAGAGGCCAGCAAGGCTTGTGCCTTGATTATCTTGTGCCGACTAATAATAGCATACCTACCCTTCCTGTTTTCCTGATGCATAAGACAACCTGCATCTCTTAACCACTCTTCCTTGGGATGGTCAAGGGGCTCATCTCTCTTAAGTCTGGCCTGCTAGAATAACTTTGTTTCATAACCCGTGATGCGGTTTGGCTGTTAAATCTTATCTTGAATTGTAGCTCCCATAATTCCCGTGTGTCGTGGGAGGGACCCAGTGGGAGGTAATTGAATCACGGGGCGGGTCTTTCCCATGCTGTTCTTGTGACGGTGAATAAGCCCATGAGATCTGATGGTTTTATTTTTATTTTTATTTTTTATTTTTTGAGACATAATCTTGCTCTGTTGCCCAGGCTGCACTGCAGTGGCGTGATCTCGGCTCACTGCAACCTCTGTCTCCTGGGTTCAAGCGATCCTCCTGTCTCAGCCTCCCGAGTAGCTGGGATTAGAGGCGCCCACCACCAAGCCTGGCTAATTTTTGTATTTTTAGTAGAGACGGGGTTTCACCATGTTGGCCAGGCTGGTCTCCAACTCCTGACCTCAGGCGATCCACCCGCCTCGGCCTCCCAATGTGCTGGGATTACAGCTGATGGTTTTATAAATGGGAGTTTCCCTACACAAGCTCTTTTTGCCTGCTGCCATGTAAGAGAAGTGATTTTGCTCCTCATTTGCCTTCTGCCATGATTGTGAGGCCTCCCTAGCCATGTGGAACTGTCAGTCAATTGAACCCCTTTCCTTTATAAATTACCCAGCCTCAGGCATGTCTTTGTTAGCAGCAGGAGAACAGACTAATACAACCTGTATGCCAGAAAGGTTGGGAGCACTTGTGGACCCTGGCAGATAAGTAACTGGGTTTATGGTTTGGCAGACTTTAAGGGTTATGTCTGGAGTGTCTAGCAATAAGGCCTGATACTTTAATAAATGTTCTCCTATTATCCACTGGTGCCCTTTAGCTTCTAGGACCACCTTCCCTTGATGTGGGGTCAAAAACCTTTAGGTGCTGTCCTCATGCTAGTTCATTAGCTTTGCCTACTAGAAAAGTTGCAGCAGCAACAGCTCTAAGACATCCAGGCCACCCTGAGGCCACCTGACCTATCTGCTTAGAAAAGTATGTTACAGCCCTTGGAACGTTCCCCAGTTTTGGGACAAGATTACCCAGGGCCTATGCCTTGCTTTTTGGCCACATAAAGATAAAATGATTCATCCAACTTGGGGACTCCCACAGCTGCAGCAGAGCCCAATTTCTCTTTGAGAGTATTGAAGATTTGCTTGCAGTTCTCATTACATTCAAGGAGCTCTAAATCTTTCCCTTTTAGTGCATCCCGTAAATGCTTGGCTACACGTCCAAATCTGGGCACCCGTAAGCAGCAGTACCCAGCCATCCCCTAAAAAGGCCCACAGTCATTTGTTGGACTGCGACTCTTGAATGACTAAAAGAGCTTTTTTACTTCTAGGGATGTTGATCAGTTCCAGAGGTGAATACAGATTCCAAATATTGGAGCCGTTGAGTCAAAATCTGAGCTCTGTATGGTGATACCCTATATCTGCTAGTTCCCAGGAAATTTATCAGTTTAACAGTATTATTATCCGAGTCTTCTTTAGTTGGGCTAGCAATGAGTAAGTCACCTAGATACTGAATAATGGTGCCTGTTTGCAACTGTAAATTTCTTAAGTCCTTAGCTAGGGCATTTTCAAATAAGTGGGGGCTATCCTAGAACCCTTCAGAGAGGACCATCCAGGTTAGTTTTGAGGTTGAATGAGTATCTGGATCAGTCCATTCAAAGGCAAACATATTGTGAATCTGGATACATTGAGATGCAGAAAAATGCATCTTTCAGAACTAAGAATGTAAACCAGCTTGGATCCCCTGGGACTTGGGTAAGGATTGGGGACAATGGGGTGTATGGAGACAACAGCTGCATTTATTAATGCTCTAAGGTTTCTGACAAATCTGTACTTGCCAGATTAGGCTTTTGATCTGGTAACATGGGAGTATTGTAAGGAGACTCTCATGGCCTTAACAAGTCATACGGCAAGAATTTGGCAATAAGGGGTTGAATTTCCCCTCATGCTTCTTGCCTTAAAGTGTATTGTCTCTTCCAAGGGCGAGGAGCACTAGGCCAAAGTTGGATTTGAATGGGGGAAGTGTTTAGTGTGTTTCCCAGAGCCTGTGTGGCCCAAACCTCAGGATTTACTTGTGAGAACACCTCAGGTGGTAAATGTGACAGCTCATCCTTAACTTCTTTTTTTCCCCGAGGGGTCAGGAATAAAAGTCACACTTTCTCTGCTTTATGATCTGTGAAGGTCACCATGGCTTGGTCACTGGAGTCAATAAAGCTCTCCCCAGTGAGAGGTCAGGCATTCAGACAATACTAGAAAGGCAGGTGAGAAGCCCAGAGGCCCTGGAGAACAACTTAGAAGATAAGAAAAGCAGTGTTTTCCGACTTGTCCATCATGGAAGACGGGAGCCCATCGTATAATTTAAGGCCATACAAGACATCTTCCATCCAGCCTTAAAAATGTATAAATGTCCTAGGAGTGCAGCATTTTTTCTTAAAGATAAATTTAATGAGCTAGCTTAGGTCAAAGGGTTAATGGTCATTGTTAAAACCAATAACCCCTGCCTTTAGTGAGTACATCTGCACCTTCCAAGTTTAATTGTAACTCTTTCTCTTTACAGTTACTTATAAGTAGAGACACTAACAAAAGACATTGCATTCCTGCTTTTGTTTTCTGAGGATGCCCAACTCTGTAATGGAGTCATTTCTAATAAACTTGCTTCTTGCACTGTGGTCTCTGACTCACCTCAGATGTTTTCCTGCACAAGATCTAAGAATCCTCCTTTGTGGTCTGTATCAGGACCCTCTTTTCCAGCAACATCTTTCAGTAACACCATGAAGGGACACCAAGACAAGATCCCCACTCCAAGGAAAACAATCCACACAGAATCAATCTGCTGACACTGATTGATTGGGCAAGTGGGCCATCTTTTAGAGTTGTGAAGCCATTCTGGTGGACAAGAATGATTATCCACTATTACTTAAGCGAGAGGCCCCAGGGTATAATGTTAGGGTGAGAGACTCAGCCCAAAAAGTTAGAGGCCCGGGGGTATCATACTCAGATTAGAGGCCAAGCTCACAGGGTTAGAGGCCCTGGGGTATATTGAGAAGAATGAATTTGACTAAACAAGATGTTTGCCACTTTGTCTTTTTGGGCTGTCCACCTTGTGCTCTCTGTCCCTCACCTGAGTGCTCTGCATCTTGTCGCCTGTCTGCTCACCACCTCTGTTTTGTAGCAGCCCGGAGGCTGCCACAGGAAGGAGGCCCAAGCAGTTAAGCTTTTGCCTTCCTCAACGATCCTGACTTTCAGTTGATGGCTTGTTTAATTTGCCACTGGTCCCAGGGTCACTGGAAAAAACAGATGTCTTGGAACCTAGTATTTTTGCACCTTAATTATCAGAAAAGATCAGCAATAACCTCTCCATCATATGATTAGAAGTTGAAATGTGGTATTTAACAGCCCTGCATGACAAGATCAGCTATACCTGTTTAGCGACAGCCTCTTTTCCAACAACCCCCTGGAAACAATTAGCCTCAAGATGAAGAACATGAGACTTTTCCTTAACAGTTTCCTGTCATTTCTTAACCAGAAGGTCATCTTTGATGGGCTGCTATAGGACAGTTGGACCCTACTTTCTAAAGCCAGCATGTCACTTTTTCCCTGAAAGAGTTTTGTCAGTTTTGTCATAGCTGTGAGAAAATGGGCTAATACATTACAATACACAAGTTACAGCCTTCCCATTTCCCCTGTTTGGTCTGACTCCTCTTTTTGCAGCTTAATTTGTCTTATAGAAGAGAAACTAAATGGGAGGAAATACACTATGTACAGGCTTCTCTGATGCTTAGTCAGGATAAAAAATTAAAATGGGCTTGTATTTGTTTGATGGAGGAAAAGACAAAAGAGGAACTGGACATAATTGATTACCCTTTAATGCAAGTGCCTCTTAATATTAGGCTTTTCTTAGCTGGGGCTGAACTCTCCCCTGCAAGTCCAAGCACCCCGTAAGAACACAGACTCCTTCCAGTTCCGGTGAGATGTGCAACATGTTAAGTCCTTCTGGTTTTCCAGGGTAATCTAGTGTCCGGTCATCATCTCCTCCCTGACCTTCGAGTCCTGTCTTACATACATACCCACTCTCAAAGACCCGAGCCTCACCAGAACAACTTGCAGTGGAGCCTCTTATCAGCTGGCAAAGTTGAATCTTTGCCTGCTCTGGGAAGTGGCAGATGATGATGGGGACACCATATAGGTATATGTACCTTTTTCTGTGTCTGAATTAGCCATATGCAAGGAAAAACTTAAACAGTTTTCAGAGGATCCAGAAAAATTCATAGACAAGTTGAAGAGGCTAACCTTGATGTATGATTTGACCAGGCAAAATTTGCATATATTTATGTCTACCTGCTGCATGGTAGAAAAGCAGTGTATTATGGGATTGGCAAGAGCACATGCTAATAGAGTGGCAGCCTGCATCCAGGGACATGACACCTATCAAGTAGGAGGCACAGCAGTGCCTGACCAGGACCCAAAAGAGAATTAGGACCTAGAAAAGAGGAATGAATTAGGAAGAGAGTAGGATATATAGAGAAAAAAATTATGATCACTTGACTCCTTGAAGGAATAAAAAAAGTGTGATGTGTGATGAAGCTTTTTAATTTTTATAAAGTCAGGAAAATTACTCAGAGAAAAGATGAAAACCTAGCCTTATTACAAGGGTGAATAATTTAGACTTTGAGGAAATACACTAACACTGCCCCTGACTCCAAGAAGGGACAGGCATTGCTAGGAGTTCATTTTATAATCCAGTCTGCTTCCGATATCTGCAGGAAGCTGCAAAAAGCAGCATTAGGCCTCCAGACTCCCAAGAATCCGCTTTTAGACTTGGCTTTTGCAGTCTTTAATCACAGGAATAGGGCAGAGAAAACATAAAATAAAACAAACCTCCCCAAAGGACCAGCTTCTAGCTGTAGCCTTGTGCTCTCCACCACTTCAGAGCCAGCCCCTTAACCCCTGGTCCTCACAGAGGAAGTGAGAAGGTTAAAGTCCCAGTCTGGGCCTCTGGGCCACTGTGCCTTGGGTATAAATCAATGTGCCCTCTGTAAGAAGGTCAGCCACTACCAAAGGGAATGCACTGTGCTTCTAAGAGAGCCATCATCAGAGCCCAGCAGACCCAAAAGTGGTAGGGCCTGATACTTCCTGCCTCCGCTCCCACTGGACTATTAGCCATTGAGAGGTGGAGGAAACTCAGGTTACTCTTGAAGTGGCAGGTAGGAGTATTAACTTCTTATTAGATATGGGGGCAGATGACTCTGTCCTGATTCAATACGATGGGCTCCCGTCTTCTCATGATGGACAAGTCGGAAAACACTGCTTTTCTTATCTTCTAAGTTGTTCTCCAGGGCCTCTGGGCTTCTCACCTGCCTTTCTAGTATTGTCTGAATGCCTGACCTCTCACTGGGGAGAGCTTTATTGACTCCAGTGACCAAGCCATGGTGACCTTCACAGATCATAAAGCAGAGAAAGTGTGACTTTTATTCCTGACCCCTCGGGGAAAAAAAGAAGTTAAGGATGAGCTGTCACATTTACCACCTGAGGTGTTCTCACAAGTAAATCCTGAGGTTTGGGCCACACAGGCTCTGGGAAACACACTAAACACTTCCCCCATTCAAATCCAACTTTGGCCTAGTGCTCCTCGCCCTTGGAAGAGACAATACACTTTAAGGCAAGAAGCATGAGGGGAAATTCAACCCCTTATTGCCAAATTCTTGCCGTATGACTTGTTAAGGCCATGAGAGTCTCCTTACAATACTCCCATGTTACCAGATCAAAAGCCTAATCTGGCAAGTACAGATTTGTCAGAAACCTTAGAGCATTAATAAATGCAGCTGTTGTCTCCATACACCCCATTGTCCCCAATCCTTACCCAAGTCCCAGGGGATCCAAGCTGGTTTACATTCTTAGTTCTGAAAGATGCATTTTTCTGCATCTCAATGTATCCAGATTCGCAATATGTTTGCCTTTGAATGGACTGATCCAGATACTCATTCAACCTCAAAACTAACCTGGATGGTCCTCTCTGAAGGGTTCTAGGATAGCCCCCACTTATTTGAAAATGCCCTAGCTAAGGACTTAAGAAATTTACAGTTGCAAACAGGCACCATTATTCAGTATCTAGGTGACTTACTCATTGCTAGCCCAACTAAAGAAGACTCGGATAATAATACTGTTAAACTGATAAATTTCCTGGGAACTAGCAGATATAGGGTATCACCATACAGAGCTCAGATTTTGACTCAACGGCTCCAATATTTGGAATCTGTATTCACCTCTGGAACTGATCAACATCCCTAGAAGTAAAAAAGCTCTTTTAGTCATTCAAGAGTCGCAGTCCAACAAATGACTGTGGGCCTTTTTAGGGGATGGCTGGGTACTGCTGCTTACGGGTGCCCAGATTTGGACGTGTAGCCAAGCATTTACGGGATGCACTAAAAGGGAAAGATTTAGAGCTCCTTGAATGTAATGAGAACTGCAAGCAAATCTTCAATACTCTCAAAGAGAAATTGGGCTCTGCTGCAGCTGTGGGAGTCCCCAAGTTGGATGAATCATTTTATCTTTATGTGGCCAAAAAGCAAGGCATAGGCCCTGGGTAATCTTGTCCCAAAACTGGGGAACGTTCCAAGGGCTGTAACATACTTTTCTAAGCAGATAGGTCAGGTGGCCTCAGGGTGGCCTGGATGTCTTAGAGCTGTTGCTGCTGCAACTTTTCTAGTAGGCAAAGCTAATGAACTAGCATGAGGACAGCACCTAAAGGTTTTTGACCCCACATCAAGGGAAGGTGGTCCTAGAAGCTAAAGGGCACCAGTGGATAATAGGAGAACATTTATTAAAGTATCAGGCCTTATTGCTAGACACTCCAGACATAACCCTTAAAGTCTGCCAAACCATAAACCCAGTTACTTATCTGCCAGGGTCCACAAGTGCTCCCAACCTTTCTGGCATACAGGTTGTATTAGTCTGTTCTCCTGCTGCTAACAAAGACATGCCTGAGGCTGGGTAACTTATAAAGGAAAGGGGTTCAATTGACTGACAGTTCCACATGGCTAGGGAGGCCTCACAATCATGGCAGAAGGCAAATGAGGAGCAAAATCACTTCTCTTACATGGCAGCAGGCAAAAAGAGCTTGTGTAGGGAAACTCCCATTTATAAAAACATCAGCTGTAATCCCAGCACATTGGGAGGCCGAGGCGGGTGGATCGCCTGAGGTCAGGAGTTGGAGACCAGCCTGGCCAACATGGTGAAACCCCGTCTCTACTAAAAATACAAAAATTAGCCAGGCTTGGTGGTGGGCGCCTCTAATCCCAGCTACTCGGGAGGCTGAGACAGGAGGATCGCTTGAACCCAGGAGACAGAGGTTGCAGTGAGCCGAGATCACGCCACTGCAGTGCAGCCTGGGCAACAGAGCAAGATTATGTCTCAAAAAATAAAAAATAAAAATAAAAATAAAACCATCAGATCTCATGGGCTTATTCACCGTCACAAGAACAGCATGGGAAAGACCCGCCCCCTGATTCAATTACCTCCCACTGGGTCCCTCCCACGACACACGGGAATTATGGGAGCTACAATTCAAGATAAGATTTAACAGCCAAACCGCATCACGGGTTATGAAACAAAGTTATTCTAGCAGGCCAGACTTAAGAGAGATGAGCCCCTTGACCATCCCAAGGAAGAGTGGTTAAGAGATGCAGGTTGTCTTATGCATCAGGAAAACAGGAAGGGTAGGTATGCTATTATTAGTCGGCACAAGATAATCAAGGCACAAGCCTTGCTGGCCTCTACCTCAGCTCCAAAAGCTGAGTCAATTAAACTTACCAGAGCCCTGCAGTTGGGAAAGGACTTAAAAGTTAACATTTACACTGATTCCAAGTATGATTTCTTAGTGCTTCATGCTTATGCTGCAATTTGGAATGGGTAGGGACTCCTGACCACGAAGGGCTTTTCCATACATTACTCAGATTTTGAGCTTGTTAGAATGCTGCTTTGCCGCCATTAAAAAAAAAAGTGGCTGTAATTCATTGCAGAGGACATCAAAAGAGAGACTGACCGTGTAAAAGGAAATGCCCTCACAGATGTGTCAGCCAAGGCCACTGCACTGAAAGGGCCAGTGAAGCTTCTGGGCATACTGCTCAGCGTACACAGAGCTGGGCCAGAACACTCTGAAGAGAACAAAAATGGGCCAGGGATTGCAGTTCAGTCCAGGATCCCTCTGGCTGGCTGGCTGATGGTAATAAGTTACTAATGCCGAGCACCCATTGTAGGAAAATAATTAAGCACTTTCATGATTCTTTCCACCCTAGAAGGGATTCTTTGCTTCAGTTAATGTCTCATTTGTTTATGGGGATAAATCTTTTCAAGACGCTAAAACAGGTGACTCAGCCCTGTGAGCGCTGTGTCTGACATAACCCAAAGACCCAGCAATTTTCACCTCCTCCAGTTAAACCTGTCCAACATTGAGGAACCTATCCAGGTGAGGACTGGCAACTCTAATTTACTCAGATGCCTTTCTGTAGGAGATTCAGGTATTTGCTAATGCTTACTGTTACATTCACTGGTTAGATCCAGGCATTCCCCACCCTATCTGACAAGTGTTTACCAGAAGAAATAATTCCTCCTTTTGGGTCATCCAAAGGCCTGCAAAGTGACAATGGCCCATCTTTCACAGCAGGCGTCTCCCAACAGCTATCCTCAGCTTTAGGAATCCAATATCACCTTCACTCTGCATGGAGACCGCAGTCCTCTGGAAAGGTGAAAGGGTTAATCATACTCTAAAGAAGACCCTAGCTAAGTCAGAGGCCTGACTATCTCTAACACCCATAGCTTACTCCGGGTTTGAGCTGCTCCAAAGGAAAACTTACAATTACTTCCTGTCGAGTTAACATAGGGGAGGCCTCTCCTAACCACAGATCTCCTAATAGAAAGGGACTCATCAATTACAAAAATATGTCATCAATGTGGGACAGGTGCAAAGGCACTCTGTGAACACGGAAACAAAAGGCTTCCCCTCCACACGGGAGGAAAATTCCATTTCAGCTCAGCTAGGGATTTAGTCTTACTAAAGACATGGGAGGAAGTTCTCCAGCTGACCAGCTTTCCCCAACGTGGAAAGGACCACAGCAAGGCCACCTGAGCTCTCCAACAGACCTTGAACGCCAAGGGATTCACAGGTGGGTACACCTGTGTGGAAGTAAAGCTGTTGCTTATTCTGGGAGCCCAATCTGAGGCTGGGGGAGGTGGGCGCGGGGTTATTTTAGCGTTGGCGGAGCACTGGCCCTGTCGCTGCGCTCCTGCTCCTCCTCGCGTTTCTCCTGCCGCCCTAGTCCAGCAGTGGCCATGAGGGAGATCGTGCTATGGCAGACCGGGCAGTGCGGGAACCAGATCGGTGCCAAGGTTGGTGGCCGGGGCTCTGAGGGCCCAGCGCGGGCCTGCCGGGTGGCCCGAGAAGATGTTGGCAGCGGCTGGGGCTGTATTGCGGCCCCCCGTCTCCGCGCCTGGGACGCGGTGGAGCTGGGTGGCTGGCTAGGCAGCCAGGGCGGACCCCCAGGGATCCAGCGGCCTGGGGGTGGGGATAGGAGAGGGGCTGGGGAGCCTCGGGCTCCCTGGCCTCCGTGACTCAGCCCTGGCCTGTTTGGCCCCTCGTGTCTCTCGCAGTTCTGGGAGGTGATCTCTGATGAACATGCCATCGACTCTGCTGGCACCTGCCACGGGGACAGGGACCTGCAGCTGGAGCGCATCAACATGTACTACAACGAGGCCAGCGGTGAGACCCCTGTCCTTCCCCAGCCGCCCTCCTGGGAATGGCGGCCCTCTCCTCGCTGATGCCCTCCCGCCCCCGTCAGGTGGCAGGTACGTGCCCCGCCCTGTGCTTGTGGATGTGGAGCCGGGCACCATCGGCTCTGTGTGCTCAGCGCCATTCGGGAGGATCTTCAGGCCGGACGACTTCATCTTCGGTGAGCTGCGGGTGAGGACTGGGGTGAGGCTCCTTAGCCAGGGCCGCTCAAATTCAAGGAGTGCCCCAAAGTCATCGCTGTGGGAACTGTGGAGCTAGGGCCCCTGAACACCCTCCCATCCTGAGTCACGCAATCTCCTTCTCCTAAACGGGCTTTGGGAGGAAGGCCCAGCTGTCTGCCTGAGAGGAGCTGCTGATGCAATCTTTCTGCAGGGAGCTGGGCTGGGGGCAGTGGCTGCTGCTTTTCTTGGGGATGGGCAGGAGCCACCTGCAGCCAGGTCTGTTGTGTTAGGCTGTCTCAGGTTCGGCTCCTGACTTAACTTCTAACAGGGGAGGCTGCTGTCCTTCAGCTTTGGGGGAGGGAGGTCCACCTGCTCCACCTGCAGGGTGAATGGTGCTTTCACCTCACACGTGACACTTGGCCCTTTTTTGCATTGTGGTGACCCCTGATGACTGTATATCTGGCCATCCAGCGACTTGCTGTGTTGTCTTACAGGTCAGTGTGGGGCCGGGAACAACTGGGCCAAGGGGCACTACACAGAAGGTGCAGAGCTGAAGGAGACGCTGATGGATGTTGTGAAAAAGAATCTGAGAGCTGTGACTGCCTGCAGGGTTTCCAGCTTACCCACTCCCTGGGTAGGGGTACCGGGTCTCTGATGGATACTCTTCTCATCAGTAAGATCTGGGAGTACCCAGACAGGATCATAAACACATTCAGTGTTCTGCCTTTGCCCAAGGTGTCAGACACCGTGGTGGAGCCCTACAATGCCACCCTCTCAGTCCACCAGCTCATGGAAAATGCAGATGAGACCTTTTGCATTGATAGTGAAGCTCTGTAGTTCTGTGTGACATCTGTTCCAGAACCCTAAAACTGCCCACACCCACCTACGGTGACCTGAATCACCTGGTTTCTGCTACCACAAGTGGGGTCACCACGTGCCTGTTCTTCCCAGGCCAGCTGAATACTGATCTGCAAAGGCTGGCCACGAACGTGATCCTAGTTGCCTGGCTACACTTCTTCATGCTTCGCTTTGCTCCACTGTCCAGCCGGGGCAGCCAGCCAGTAGTACTCGGCCCTGACCATGGCTGAGTTCACCCAGCAGATGTTTGATGCTAAGAATGATGGTTGCCTGTGAGCCCCGTCATGGCCACTACCTGACAGTGGCTGCCGTTTTCAGAGGTTGCATGCCCATGAGGGAGGTGGATGAGCAAATGTTCAATATTCAAAATAAGAACAGCAGGTACTCTGCTGATTGGCTCCCTCACAATGTGAAAATGGCTATCTGTGCCATCCCACCCAAGGGGCTAAAAATGGCCACCTGCATTGGCAACAACACGGCCATCCGGGAGCTGTTCAAGTGTGTTCCAGGCCTTCCTGCACTGGTACACGGGCGAGGGCATGGACGTGATGGAGTTCACCGAGGCGGAGAGCAACATGAACGACCTGCTGTCTGAGTATCAGCAGTACCAGGACGCCACAGCCGAGGAGGAGGAGGTGGCCTAAAGCCTGCCCTTTCTGGTTAAAGGGGGGAAGTGGTGTGGATTCTCTAATGTGTTCTGATAGCCATGTGTCACTAGGCACTTGTTTGTGTCTTCACATCTCCTTCTGTTGCATTTTAAAGCCTTTTTATAGTATGTGGTTTTGCCTGATAAAACATCCTAACAGCATCTGGTTTCACCTCCAACTTCTTTCTCTAGGCCCTCTGGGTGCTGCTGCCAGATGGGCATAGTGGTCCTGCAAGGCTGCAGCTATCTTGGTCTTATATGCCCAGGAACAAGCATTCCAGTGGCTCCAGGGTTGGGGGGGTCAGCATGGGCTTTGGACATGGCAGACAGGCTTCACACAAACTTGGGCGTGCCCTGGGCCTTGGGCATCTACTTGGTGGGAAACCTGTTCCTGAAGGCAAGCTGCAGCTTATCCCATGTACTGAACTCTGAGGGGACTAGCTGATCTTCTGTTTTTGGAACTTTAAAAGTGGCCAGTGATCCCGGTGGACAATGTCCCCAAAGTCCCACCTCTGGGTAGGGATATGGCCAGACAGCTGGCCCTGAACCAGCAATGAAGGGTAGGCAAGTAGAGCCTCAGCCACCCTCTCACCATGATGGGTTGAGTGTGTCCGTGTGGCCTCATTTTCTTCATGAGGAGGGCATGGGGTATCTGGCAGGGAGTAGTGGGCAGGAATCAAGCCCACCGTGTACTCACATGCAGTGAAACCCATGTAGAAAGGGATAGGCCCTGGGGGCTGTAGATGCGGTTGCTGGGTCTGTGTAATCTGGGCAGTCTCTAAAGGCACAGATGGGGTTTCTCAACAGGACCTGGGGAGACAGGCAGGTGCTCACAAGTGCTGCTTCCCCCAGCTGGCAACTAGTGAGGAGAAAAGTACCCGAGTGGAGGTCTGACCTGCCTCAGTCTGGAGGGCTGATACACACTGTCTTCTGTCTTCCCTGTCCCCTGCTCCAAAATTTCAGGGCAAAAATAATCCAAGATTGCCAGGATGAGACAAGCAAGGGTGGCACATTTGGTGATAGGCCCTTTAGCTCAGCCGAGTCTCCTCCGCAGCTTCTCAGGGAGGCTGGACTTCAAGACCTGCTTTGGGGAAGCTTCAAATAAGAGATGCGTGTGTGAGCTGGGTGCTGGGCAGCATGCCTGGACAGTTCTCTTCTACCTGGCTCTTGTAGAACTCGTCCATGGCCTGTGTGATGACCTCTTGGTATCTCCTCCCTGCATCACACAGATAGACAAGATGAAGCCAGCACAGCCTCGGGCTGGGCAGATGAACGGGTTCTATTCCAGGTCCCCTGGGCATACCCACCTGCCTCCGATGTGTCAGGGAAAACGGGTGAGGCTCCTTTCTTTTTGTTCTCTGAATGTTGGCAATGGCCTATTGGGGCCAAATGGGAACAGGGAGGCAGAGTGCCTCATCTTGAAAGACGTGGCTCCTGGAAGGAGTGGGAGAGGTCCCCCTACTCCCCGAACCTATTCTCAGAGCAGGAAAAGGGGCCTCTGTGACAGCCCTCCTCAGTGGCTCTTACCCTCTGAGGGGTGTCCTTGCCCAGCCCAGCCCAGGTGTGCACCCACCTGAGATGGCCTTGTGTGGTTGGTTGGGAAGGTTCACCTGCAGCAACCACTGGGACCTGCCCACACCTAGTGTCTCCACTTGTGCGTGGGGTCAGATGTTCCTCCCTCCTGCAATGGTAGAGCCGGAGTGGCAGAAGGGGCAAGTCACTGCTGCGGTTCCCACCTGAGTCTGAGTGGGGGTCAGGCATGGTACTCATGTATTTCATAATTACCTGGTTTCATCTGGGGGGCTTCATGGACAGGAGTGGTGCTCTTCCAGGCCTGTTTTCCATATGCCAGCTGTAAGCCTGGGTTTCCCAAGTTTCTGGAGTCCCCCTTCCAGCCTGGCAAGCATGGTGGGTAGTCAGGGAAGGACATTAAGCCTACAGGCAGCACAACCTATCTGGGTATGTTCTCTACCCCTGGTGGCTCCTGGTTGTTTACCACCCTGGGTGAGAGTCGGCTTAGGATCTTAACATTCTTGTAGGACTTCAGAACTGTACAGACAGGGGCCCAGGAGGGAGCAGGGGCTGGGACTGGCAGCTAACCAGTGTAGTAGTGTGGGTCACAGGGCTCAGTTTGGTCTCAGCAGGGAATTCAGGGAAGCTTGGGTTTGCTGAAGTCCTAGATGAGCTTGGGCTTGGATATGGGAACAACATGGAGCAGGGGCCCTTCTGCACACTGGAGTCTTTGAGTAGTTGCACCCTGGTGCATCCATAGGTATTCCCCACCTGGAGTGCAGCTGTGGATAGAAGCCAGCATAACTGTGGAGGGAAGAGGAGGAGGAGGCAGGGTGAGTCTCCAGGGCAGCCCCAGCAGCCAGGCAGGGCCTCTGCAAGTGAGATGCAGATCCAGCCTGTTGGCCACTTAGCAGCTGCTTGGCTGGCTGCAGGTCACCTGACCTCTGCTCACCAGTAAATGGGGGTTGTGGTAGCACCTACCTTCTGAGACTCCTGCAGCTTTGAAGGGGCAGCACATACCACGTGCTGAGAATGTGCCTGACTCAGGCAAGCTTCTCCAGCAGCACCACGTCAAATTAACATCCAACTTGTACAGGACACCATCAAATCTCCCCATCCCTCATTCCAACTGTAGGAAAAGGGAGCCTCTGTCCTAGGGGAGCAAGAACAGGCATATTTATGCAGTAGGCACATGGCCCAGGTTGGGGAAAGGCCATTGGATACATGTTGGTTTCACCAGGAATCTGTGGGGTGGGTTCAGCCTAGTCCCCTGTACCCCAGGATGTCAGTAGCCCTCTGCACGGGACCAGGACTGAAAAGTGCGTGGGAGGGCTGAGCTTCGAGGGAAGCCATTATTTGGCCTCATGGGAAGTGGTGCAGGTGGTTGTTGGTGGTTCAGTTTTGCAAGGCCTGTGTGATCACCCAAGGAGTACAAATTGCCTTTTTTAAAAAAAATTGCTAAAATTGATGCAGCTCATCAGTTGAAAAGGTGAATAAGGCTGAGAGTCGGCTTCACCTGCCCCTTCCCCAGAAGTAACTGCTGTTCAGCACCTGCTCCTTCCCCAGAAGTAACTGCTGTTCAGAGATGGGTTTGATTCCTTCCAAGCCTTTCCCCTTTGCATGCAGCTGTGTACACGTACTTAGGTGTAGACATACACCTGTTCCCTGGAGGGGTTACTTTTATTTTTTTATTTGGGGGATAACTAGTGAGGCAGCCTGGCATTTGCTCGTCTTGTCTTTTAAGTGTGGAGCCCTCTGTGGAGTGGGCACCAGGTACTTACTAGCTGGCCTCTGCCAGCTGTTTGGCTGACCCAGTTTCTGCCCTTCACAGACATGCTGGCCATCTGGTGTGACATTCAGCAGCCTTGTTCACAGCTAGTATAATGAAACAAATGGATCAGTTACCTTGTAAAATTGAAAAAGCATATAACATGCAGAGAGAAAAGAGTAAATGACCATGTGTATACTGCTCTGCTAAAGTCCATATTACATGACTGAGATGACAAAAATTTTTTTCACCTGACATTTGGGTCCTGAGAAAGGGCATTGATGTGTTACTTTTTTTTTTTTTTTTTTAGATAGAGTCTTGCTTTGTCACCCAGGCTGGAGTGCAGTGGTACAATATTGGCTCACTGCAACCTCCGCCTCCCAGGTTCAAGTGATTCTCTTGCTCAGCCTCCCAAGTAGCTGGGACTATAGGTGCATGCCACCAGGCCCAGCTAATTTTTTGCATTTTTAGTAGAGACGGGGTTTCATTGTGCTAGCCAGGATGGTCTTAATCTCCTGACCTCATGATCCACCTGCCTTGGCCTCCCAAAGTGCTGGGATTACAGGTGTGAGTCACCTTGCCTGGCCTTTTTATTTATGATAGAGTTAGAAGAAATGCTACCATGCTTTCTTTTCCATGATCCCCAACTCCCACTTCACCCCCTCTAGAGGAGCTCACCTGGTTAATGACAGCCTGGAATTATTTGAGCCAGGTCACTGTATAAAGGTCATACTGATTCTGTCCTCTTGTGCATCACTTGCTCAGCTCAGATATTTCATAGCTCCCTGTATACAGGTAGATGTGTTACCCTCTTAGCCTGCTTTCTTGGTTTGATACATGCCTGAGAGCATGTGAGAGCACTTAAGATCTGGGCTCATGGGAGGACTGTTCTGCCCACCCCATCTCTCCAGGTCAGCCTGCATGCATGCCTTCCTCCATCTGGTTCCAGAGTAGGGGAGGTCTCACATTGACCTCAAGTTTATGTGACTTTTTCTACCTCTACTTTCCCAGACAGCCCGTGCTGTGGGGCTTGTAAGGTGCCATGGGGATTTGTGAAGTCAATATCTACTTTTCTTGTTTGGGTGTTTTATAAATTAGAGCCCTGGAGGGGAATAAATATTACAGGTACTCCAAACCCCTAATATATAATAAACATCTAAGCCTGTCCTTTTTTTGGTGGTAAAATGTACATATCATAAAACTTACAATTTTAACCATGTTCAAATGTACAGTTCAGTCACATCCAGTATATTCACAGTGTTGTACAGCCATCTCCTTTATTCATATCTACAACTTTTTTATTCTAAACTGAAACACCATACCCATGAAGTCATTGTATAGAAGATTGATGCATTTGACTCTGTAAAAATTAAAACTTTCTATGAGAGAAAAATGCCTCAAAGTCAAAAGTCAACAGACTGGGGAAATAGATCTGCAACATACATGACAGACAAAAAGCTAATTTGGGTAATATATATATAAAGCTATCATAAATTATTAAAAGACCTGGCTGGGCGCAGTGGCTCACGCCTGTAATCCCAGCACTTTGGGAGGCTGAGGTGGGCGGATCACCTGAGGTCGGGAGTTCGAAACCAGCCTGATCAACATGGAGAAACCCATCTCTACTAAAAATACAAAATTAGCCGGGCGTGGTGGCACATGCCTATAATCCCAGCTGCTAGGGAGGCTGAGACAGGAGAATCGCTTGAACCTGGGAGGCGGAGGTTGTGGTGAGCTGAGATCATGCCATTGCACTCCAGCCTGGGCAACAAGAGTGAAACTCCAACTCAAAAAAAAAAAAAAAAAGAAAAGTGAGATTTAAAAGTAGACTAAATTGTCCATGGAATACCCAGCTATAAGACATGGAGCCACGATTAAAACTGGCATCTGATTCTAAAACCTGCGCTGGTAACTACTGTCATCGCAGAAAACCTTCCTTGATTGTTCTACATGAATTAACTTATCTGTCTCTTTCTCCTCTCACTCTTCATTTTTTTAATTAGTACTCATTACTACCTGGCGTATGTGTGTAGAATTTTTTTTGTAGAGATGGGGTCTTGCTCTGATAATCATACATGTATATTTTTAATTTGCTGTCTCTCTTGCTTTTTTGTTCACCGTTCTCCTAAAATAATTCCAGGCATTTGTATGTGATTTGTAGGTATTGGTTGATATTAAATGAATGAATGTAATTAGTGTATTCTGTACACCATCAGTACATATACTATTAAAGATGTGATAGGTTTCGTGTTTTCCTCTCTTTATATTGTTATTCCTATATTGCAGCAGTCCCCAGTCTTTTTGGCACCAGGGACTGGTTTTGTGAAAAACAACTTTTCCATGGACTGGACAGGGGGATGGTTTCAGGATGATTCAAGTACATTACATTTATTGCATATTTTATTTCCATTATTACTGTATTATAAAATGAAATAATTATACAACTCATCATAATATAGAATCAGTGGGAGACCTGAGCTTGTTTTCCTGCAACTAGACAGTTCCATCAGGGGATGATGGGAGACAGTGACACCCAAAATGTGGTGCTTATGTCCAATCTACTCTGTAACCTTGTTTTGGTTGCTGTCACTGCAAAAAACCCTGCTTCACAAAGACAGGATGTTGGAAATGGAAGCAGGCATTTCAGTGATACTATTGACAAGGAAATGTCAGTGCTCTGTGGAGAATAGCAATGGCTACACTGTCCTTAAGTTTTACATAACATTTGCTGTTATTGATCCTCCTCTGTGCTCTTTTTTTTTCTGATATATTTCCTCTCATCTTCCTCCTCTTAAATGGTACATATAATCCTGTTCTTTGATTTCTAAATTTTTTAATGCTTTTCAATGCCTGCAGGTCTTTACTGAATACCTCTATAATCATTTAACTCCAATTCTATTTCAATAGCTAAACTGCCCATCTGGTATTTCCATTGGTTATTATACTTATCACAAACTTGGTAAATCTGAAATTCGGTGCTATAGATAATTTTTTTGTGGTAGTTTAAAAATATGTTCAAAAATTATTTGAAAGTCTTCAAAAAGTATGAGGCATCTTCAAAAAGTTCATAGGAAGTGCATATTATGAAGAAACTATGCATAGATTTCAAAAATATTTTGCACCTAAATAAACTTGTACTAACTTCTTATAACATGTCTGAACAGGATCTAATTTGAGGAATTATAATAAGAAAACTAAGACACCAATTTGAAAAGAGGTCCCATTAGAGCAACATGAATTCTGCTAAAATTAAAGCAAGAATAAACATAAAATTTATAGCAATATGGCAATTTTGGGTGAATAGTAAAATCACTGATTCTTTTATGACAAGTTTATGAGAACACTGCCCCCCAACATTCACAAGTTTACAAATGAATAACTCATTTGAAGAAGGGATACGATGTTGAAGATAAAGCCTGCAGTGGCAGACAATTCACATTAATTCACCAGAAAAAAAAAAAAACTTGTTCATGCCCTGCTTTAGGAATGACAACAGCATAAACAACAGCTAACATCATAGCCATCTCAACTGGTTAAATATACACAATTTTGAAAACTTTTCCACTCAATAGATTAAAAAACTCTTGTTTCCACATCAGCTGCAGACAAGAGCAGGGCTTTCAACTGAAATTTTACATAAGTGGAATCAAGATCCTGAAGCATTTCTTCAAATAATTGTAAGAGGAGGTCAAACACAGCTGTTCTAGTGAAATCCTCAAGACAAAACACTATAAAAGCAATGGCTACCAAGAGGTAAAAGTGGTCCAGTCACAGCAAAAGGTGACTGTCTAGAACAAAGCTCATAGCAACAGTGTCTTAGGATGCTCAAGGCATTTTGTTTGTTGACTTTCTAGAGGACCAAAACCAAACCCCAATAACACGTGCTATTATGAGAGTATTTTGAGAAAGTTAAAGCTTTAGAAGAAAAACTTCCAGGAAATTTCACCAGAGAATTCTCCACCACAACAATGTTCTCCTCATTCCTCTCATCAAAAAAAAGACAATTTTGCCAGTTTCAATGGAATATTATTGGGCATCCACCTTTTAGCCCTGATTTGGCTCCTGCTAACTTCTTCATTTTCTTTTCTGATCTTAAAAAAATCAGAAAAAGACGGGGGGATGGTTTCAGGACACCCATTTTCTTCAGTTAATGATGTAAAAAAGACTATCTTGACATGGTTAAATTCCCAGGACCTTAGTTTTTGTAGGGATAGGTATTATTGCTTATAAAAGTGTCTTGCATTTGATGAAGCTTATGTTGAGAAATAAAGTATATATTTTGTTTTTGTGTTTTACTTTGTTTTTTTTTTTTTTTTTTTTACAAACTTATTGAAGTCCTTTCATTGATCCTAATTTTCTTCCTCTTGAAAGTATGTCAAGTTTAATAATCCTCTCTGGTGAATAGAATGTGACAGAAGTGAACAAGTGTGATTTCTGAGTCTAGAGCATAAAGATTTTGCCACTTATGCTTTGCTTTTTCCTAAGCACTCACTGTGGAAGAAACCAGCAATTATTTGGTGAGAACAGTCAAGCAACCTTACAAAAATATCCATGTGAAGAGAACCTGAGGCCTTCAATTACAAACCCCACCAACTTGTGGGCCGTGAATGTGAGCAAACTTGAAAGTGGATCTTCTAGTTTCGGTCAAGGCTTTGGATGACAGCCCCAGTTAAACTCTGTAACCACATGAGATATCCTGAGGCACAACCACCATGATAAATTGTTCTTGAATTCCTCATTTACAGAAACTCAATTAGGTAATAAATATTGTGATTTTATGCCACAAAGTTTTGGGGTTATATGTTATGAAATGATATATAGCAATTTCACACTTTCAACATCCATTTTATTTTTTATACAAACATACATTTTTAATAATGGAGATATATCTTGAGAAACGCACCACTGTGTAATATTGCTGCATGGACATCATAGAATGTACTTACACAAACCTAGGTGGTATAGCTATACCTAGGTGGTATAGCCATACCTAGGTGGTATAGCCTATCACACACCTAGACTATCTGGTATAGCTTATTGCTCCTAAACTACAAACCTGTATAGCATGTTACTGTGCTGAATACTGTAGGCAATTGTAACACAAGGGTCAGCATTTGTGTATATAAACATAGAAAAGGTACAGTAAAAATATGGTATAAAAGATTTAAAAATGATACACTTGAATGGGGCACTTACCTCAGGTGGTCTGCTAATTTTCATGGTCACATGAAGATTCCACTGAGATATATTCTGCACTACCCACTGCCATAGGTGACAGCCTTGACTATGTGCACCACCCATGAAGGTCCCCTTTGCCTTGCTTTTCCTGACTTGTCAAGTGCATGATGATGTGGTAAGCCAGCATAAGAGCTGAACTCTGTTCTTTTTCTATTGAGTTCTGCAGCTATTTATCCTGAGTTTGGTGCCTAGATTTTGTAGACTCCATTTCTTTGACATTCTTGGTAGAATCAGGCCATCTTCATCTCATTGCGCTATCCTTGTGTTACTGTTATGTGTTATGATGCCTAAAGTTATTTTTTGTAAGAATAACCCAAGGGTAGGCCATAGGCATAGGACCTTTGAGCCTATTGTTTGAGCCAACCTCACAGAGAGGACAGTTAGTGGTTTTCCCTGGATCAGCATCAATTTGGATAAATATTGCTGTCAGTTACTATGAAACTGGTTACATTCTCCTTTCACTTTTTTTGTCTTAAGAAAACATCTTTAATCCATAGAGCATGTTTTCTCTGGTTTTATACCCACCAGGATCACAGGCTTTTTTCTGCTTTAAGATATGGCCAACCATCACATTAGGGCCTAGACATTAGGTGCACAGAATTACATACAAACTGTCCTCTAAATACTCTTCATTTTAGGACAAAACTATTGGTACTTATATATACTTTTATTACAATTCTTACGCTTATTTCTCTGAATAGCATTACTTCATCAAGGATTATTTGAAACTTTAATGGCCACATTAATGATTGACTAGAGAAACATTGTTCCTTTGAAAGGCATGTTAGAAAAACCAAGATTCCTCGGGTCCAATGGGCAGTATTTTTAGTTGGTAGGCAAAGGAGTCCACATATAATTCTGAATTAAACATTGCTCCACTAAAATATTCTGTGGTTAAAGATGGCTAAAGATGAAAAATTTTACAATCAGAAGTAACAAAAACTAGATACATTTTTTAGTAAATCCTTCCCCTCCTTGTCTTTCCGTTGCTTCCTGGTGTGCAGCTCTCCCTCCTGCCCCTTAGGATTCTGATCTCTCTTCTCCTCTGCCCCACCACTGACTTCTCCTTCTTGCTTTTTGTTCTGAAATTATTTTCCCAACTGTCATAAATTCCCAACTTTCTTACATCTAAAGATCCACATTTACCATGACCCAGATATATAAGCGACTGCAGAATTTAAATCTAGCGCATGAGTTCAGAGTCTACATGAACTAACAAGTTATACATGAACTAACAAGTTATAATTAACAATTTTTAAAAACTAAACAAAGTCAAATATTCATCAAATAATTTAGAATTATTTAGGGCATACATGGCCCAGGGTTACTTGACATATCAACTTGTACACCTGTTAATTGGAACATCAGATGCTAAATCCTGGATGATGAAATGTCTGACCTGGTAGGAAATTTGTAGAATTCCTCTTTCCAGAATAAATATCAGGGTCAAAATCATTCATAAAAACATGAATAAAATTATTAAATTATAGAAGAATTTGGAGATAGACTATAAAACATTGTCAGAACTCAGAGTTAAAACGGGTTTTTATTAAAAATCTATGTAAAAGTTATAAAACTTAAAATCTTAACTGGGATAATTATATAATAAAAGCTATCATAAATGCTCAACAGGAAACTTCAGAAATTTTATTTTGTCATTTATGTTTTACTATCAACTATAATTACTGTGTTTCTTGTAAGAAATATACCATTATGAGGTGATCAGAATCAGGTAAGGAGGTTAGACATTCCCTCATTTATTCACCCAGCAACCCTGCCGCAGAACTAAACCTGTGCGAAGTGCCCTGGTGGGCCCAGCATGTGGTGCTGGGAAATGATTGAGTGGCCCTTTCCCCCACTCAAGGAGCCCACAGTCTGAGGATATATGGACAAAAACACTAAAGCAAGTGCATATAAAAGAAGAGTAAATGCTATAATTAAAGTAGGATGTTGGGAGGGAGGGCTGGGGAGCCATAGCATTTGAGGGACCCAAATGCCTCACTGAGGTGACATTTATGCCATGACTAGGATGACAACAGAGGGCTAGCCCTGCACAAGTCTGGGAACAGTGTATCAGGGAGATGCCACTCCTGGTGCAGAGACATGCAGGCAGAAGTGACTTTGGCAGAGGATGTGAGAAAGAGGCCAGTGGGGCTAGAGGGAGCCTGGGGAAGAGAAGTAGAGAGGCAAGGAGGACTCTGAGGCCTGGAAGAAGAAGATAGTGATCTGCTTCTCTCTGACGTCATTATCCCCAAACTTAGCACCTTCGAACAACAAATGCTTACTTATCTCATGACTTAGGTGGACTAGAATCTGGACACAGCTTTGCTGGCTGCCTGCAATGAGGCTGGGGCTGTGTTCTCAGCTGAAGCTGGGCTGTGGGAGGATTGGCTTCGAGGCACACTCATGTGGGTATCGGCTGGATTCAGTGTAGACTGAGAGCCTGAGAGTCTCCCCTGGCCTGGGCACTCCCTCATTCTCTGTTGTGTAGGCCTCTGCACAGGGCAGCTCATAACACTGGAGCTTGCTTTCTGAATTTGAGGAATGCAGTAGAAAGTCAGGAAGAAAAATACATATTGACAGAGAAAGAGAATGAGGGAGAAAACACTGGACAGAGTAAACAGAAGAGATGAGAGAGATTGAGGAAGAACACACAGAAGAAAGTGACTAGGAGAAAATGGCAGCTTTTTGGATAATAACATAATGAGAGTTGCAATAGACTAAACATTTCCCCACCAAAAATTGTATATGTTGAAATCCTGGTCCCCCGTATAACAGTACTAGGAAGTGGGGGGTAATTAGGTCCTGAAGGTGAAACCCTCATGAGCGGGATTACTGGCTCTATAAAAGAAACCCCAGAGAGCTCCTTCCTCCACTATCTGTCAGGTAAAAATACAATGTAAAGTCTACAGTCTGCAACTCAGAAGAGAGTTCTCACCAGACTCCATCCATGCTGGCGTTCTGATCTTCAACTTCTGTCCTCCAGAACTGTGAAGAAGAACATTCTGTTGTTGATAAGCGGCTCAGTCTATCTTTGCTATAACAGCGTGACCTAGGACAGAAGTGTTATCCCATCATTTTCGTTGCATTCTGTTGGTCAGAAGTGAGTCACTAACTCCTTAGTGTTGTGAGCCCTTCCTATAGGCTGCCCAACACATAGGCCAAAATGAAGGACATGGGTCTGATTCTGAATATAATGAGAAGGCACTGAAAGGAGTAATGTCAGAGGATGACAATATCTGAATTTCATTTCATCGGAAACTCTTACTGGTGCAGAATGAAAAATGGGGCTGAGAGGGGAAGTGACTTTCCAATAACACACTGCTGGACACAGGCTTGTTTGAATTGTATTTTATGCTACCTCCCATTCCTTATAATTCTTTTATCTCTAAGTGTGTGCGTTATCTACGTGGGATGCCACACCATGAGTTTTACAAGTTTTATCTCATACACACCTGATGAGTTCCCTAGGAAGGAGATGCTGGCATGTTACCCCATTGTACATGTTGAAAGGCCCCAAAACCCACAATAACTTTTCTGGTGTCACAGAACTAGTAAGAAAAAGTAGATTGTTACCTGGATCTGTGATCTCACACCTGAGGCCCTGGCTGCATTCAGGTCTTTCCAGGGAACTGAGAAGGGCTGTACTTGCATAACTGTGCACAGGTAAAGAGTTGACATGCAGGGATAGTGAGCAGTCAATAGCCCAGCAGGGCCTTTGGGTAGGTCTTATGGAAGCCAGGAGCCCAGAGGATGAAACTTTGAAAAAGCCATCTTACTACCTTGGTGACAGACCCCAACAAAACTTAGAACTCTGGTAGCCAAGCACCCACACCCTAGAGACAGCCCTGTATCCAGGTCACTTGGTGGGAAATGCTTAAGAGAGCATGATGTGCTCCTGCTCTATCCCAACTCTCTTAGGCTCTTGCTTCAGGAAGGCCTAAAGTGAAAACCTTTTCTGAGATGCTCACATTGGCTTATTCCTCACCCAAGATGCCTCTGGAGATTTTGCAGAGGTCACCCAGAGGTAACATACAGTAGGCCGAGGGCAGGCCCCTCCAGCCTAGGTCTCACCAGTGCTTTCATTTCCCTTTGCATTAGAATGTAAAGAAAAATCAGGAATTTAAAATAGCAAAAATTGACCAAAACTACATTTTTGTTAGATTGCCTAAGGTTCTGTGTTGTTGTTGTTTGTTCGTTTGAGACAGGACCTCACTCTGTCACTCAGGCTAGGGTTCAGTGGCACAATCATAGCTCACTGCAGCCTAGATTTCTTGAGCTCAAGCAGTTCTCTCACCTCAGCCTCCCAAGTAGCTTAGAGACTACAGGTGCACACCACCACATCTAGCTAATATGTATTTTTTATTTTTAGCAGAGATGAGGTCTCATTATGTTGCCCAGGCCTGTCTTGAACTCCTAAACTCAAGCAATCCTCAATTTTTGATACATAGCTTTGCTAGGTGTAGGATTCTTAGTTGACAGTTTTTTTTTTTTTCTGTGAGCACTGGCCAAGGAAATTTTAAAAGAAGAAATAGAGAAACTTCAAATAAGTCAATTAAATGAACAAATCAAGAGCTAAGAAACAACAAAGAATGAGTACTGAGGTTGTAGTTATGGCAGCTAATGATAGAATAGATCCAGTTAGAGAGTTCAGGCAGAATTGTATTTGTAGAGAGTAGAAGTCTGAGGGGTGAGGGTGTCCTGAATGAGGCCAATTGGAAGACTTGTTTGTTATAGAATCAAAGACAACGCGTGGGAACATACCATGCCAAACCCAAACAGGCTGAGCTGGTGCTCTGTGCTAAGATATATAGGTTTATGAAAAGAAAAGCTACCATTATAACATCGAGTGTTTTTCTTAATTAAAAGAATCACAAATGTGGCAGTTATAATCAGGGTTGAGTTATACTTCAGGTTTGGTTGGTGGGTGTCACAAAGCCAAAAGTTTATCTGTTGCCAAGAAGTCGGTGCTCTAGTTTGTGAAATAAAACATCCCCATGACTAGAAACAGTAGAGGAGAAAAAGGAATGGGATGGCAAACACAAGTTCCTGACCACAATCAGGCACAGCAGCTGTGCTGCGTTGTGGTGAACTGCCCCCCAGTCCCTGGTGCCAGCAGACTAGAGCGGCCAACTCAAACCACAGATATAGCGACTGCCCCTCCCCCCGGGAACGTGGTCCATCTCCGCCTCTCCAGCCTTCTGCCGCTGGCCAGCTGGAATTCCAAGTCAATGGGTCTTAACTTGTGAGGCGCTGTGGAAGTAGGGCCCACAGAATGATGCCACTTGGCTCCCTGGATTCAGCCCCCTTCCTAGGGGAATGCATGGATTTATCTCGTGCTTTGCCGGACTTCTGGGGGCAGAGAATGCAAAACTCCTGGGTTTCCAAGCACACCACAGTGAGCCAGCGAGTACTCCCCTGAGACTCCACACAGCTCTGTGCTTCAGACCCAAGGCCATGGTGACTGGGCTCACGAGGGAATCTTCTGATCTGCAGGTTGCAAATATCCCTGGCAGAAGCATGGTTTCCCCGGGTAGAGTCACACAATCACTCACCGCCTCCCTTGGCTGCGAGTGGGGCTCCCCTAGCTCTGTGCCACACCTGGGTGGGCCATCGCCCTACTTGCTTTTCCTCACTCTCTGTGGGTCGAGCTGTCTGCCTAGTCAGTCCCAATGCAAGAACCTGGATACCTCAATTGAAGGTGTAGAATTCACTCGCAGTTTTCATTGCTCTCCATGAGCGCCATGAGCCACAGCTGCTTCTAATCCACCAGCTTGGCCCCATCTAAATTAGGATTTCTTAATACATGAGGTGTTTTAAATATTTTACAATAATGACATTTATCACAAATAATATTTTGTCTCAATGTGTTATGAAAATTGCTAATAAATAAATTCTTTTTTGGTTACCACAAAACTATCTGGAAATGTAACTTCTGCCATTTATAAAATGTTTGTAGAGTTAATAGAACTTTACCTGAAGGGAGGCTTGCAATATACATCATGATTTCAAATATAGTATTAATTGTTTTGTAATTTTGTGTTTTTTTAAACTAAATTTATTAAATTGGTGATATATTACTTTAGGTAAGATTATTTGGTGATGAGAGAATAATAATTTGCAGAATATTAAGAATATAAGTTCCCTATTATAAAAATGTCCTCTGTTTTATATTACTACCACTTCCTCTGAAAGTTAAAAATTGTAATTTTCTAATTAAAATATATACGCACAAATGTGACTTGTAAATGTTAATATTTATAATTTTGGGTTTTTTTTGCATTTGGTAGGGATAGGATTTTCTGGTGTCTATTATTCTTCAAGATAAAAGATAATGGAATAAGGATAGGTTAAAACACAAAGGAACACAAGGATGATAATAGAGATTATTCATTTGCAGCCTGCCATGGCATAAAAATATCAAGAAGAAACATGAGCAATAGAAAACCTGCATGTCCCTGAACATTAGAGAATTTTTCATTTGTCTCTTTTTTATTCAAGAAAAGTGTAAACTTATTGAGAGATTATAACAATTGTAAATATATATGCACCCAACATCTGAGCACCTAACTATATAAAACAAATACTAACAGAACTGAAGGGATAAATAGACAGCAATACACTAATGCTAGGGGACTCCAATACTACACTTTCAACAATGGATTTATTATCCAGACAGAAAATCAGTAAAAGAATAGTGAACTGAAACAGCTATAGACCAAAAGGATCTAACAGTAATATTCAGTTCACGTTAAAAATCTCTGCAATTTGCACATTTAGGAGAGATAAAGTCAGAGTGCAGGGACCTCCCCTGATCCTGATCAGAGCACTCAAAGTACAAAGCATGTGTATTTATCTCCTCCCAACTCCACAGTGGAAGCAGTTGCTCTGGCTATCTTATTACAGTCATGCACAGAGACATGATGGTCAAAGAGCTTGCGTACTTTAAAAAAGAAATGTTCTATTATGTTGAGATTTAAAAAAAATGACATGATTTGTCTACAGATCTTCATAATCTGCCTCAATTATATTAAATTTATAAACAACTTACATAATAAAATAACATACTGGGCTTTTATTATTATTTTGATAATTTCTTTGTCAACATCATTTTCACCATATTGTATAAACAGCATTGTAAGACCTATGACTGGTCATTGACAATATATACAATACGTATATATTTGTACACAGGATCCAGCTCTGTCATTCTTGCTGGAGTGCAGTGGCACAATCATAGCTCACTCCAGATTCAAACACCTACCACCAGGCAGGATTTTTAGAGGTTTCCAAAAATTGTAAGATATGACTTGTGATCAAGCCCCTCCACTGTTTTTTGTCTTTGGTCTCTGCAGTAACACTTCTAGTACTTTTTTTCTCAACGAGCTAAGAATTAAATGTCTTGACATCATAAATGTCTATGTTAGTAAACATCGTGATTATGGCTGCACCCTGCATTAAGTTACATTGCCAGAGAAATTGAGATGTCTTTTAGTTATTTGGTTATTATCTTATAATTATTCTTTTGGCACTTCTGCATTTCACAAGATTATTTTCATGGAAATATCTAGTTAGAAAGAATAATACTTTTCTAAAATTGTGAGCTCAGTTTCTCAGGTTACCAACTATTGCCACTGAACCAACCAACCTTCCTTTATCTGTCACATGAAACTCTCATAATCACTTTGTGTTGTTGATAACCAGTCATAGGTCTTACTGTGCCATTTCTAGAATATGTTGAAAGTGGTGGGGACCAAGAAATAATAATAAAACAGCACAGTATTTTATTATATAAGTTGTATATACATTTAACTTAAGCCAGAGTACAAAGATCTATAGACAAATCATGTCATTTTTTAAAAATCTCAACAAATTTGACATTATTATAAAGATGAATAAACAGATTTATAGAGCTCTATTTTCTTCAAATTATTTTTCATTACACTCTCTTTCTTTGCTTCAGACATCTGATTTAAACACCTGCAGTATTTGTGATCAGTCTATTGTTTTGGTACATTTAATGATGTTATTTTTCCCACAATTATTGATTATATATACGCTTAGGGACTTATACAATTTTGAAGGTAAAGCAAGCACAATGAGAATGAACTTGATTTGCATTGTCTGTCTCTGAGAATGCTCAGAGACTTCACCCTCAGCCCAAGGACAATCTGGTTGCCACATTTCCTGGTGAGAGCTCAGATGTACATCCTGATTTATGTTTTCAAGGTATCATTTGAAACTCAGTTTTCTTTTATACTCTTACCAATCCATATGACCTTTTATTCTTTTTTCCCCACGTCTGTACAATGTTATTGTAAATCCTACGATACTTCCATAATGGATGTGTCAGATTCACCAAAAGAAAATATAAGAAACACAGTAAAGTTTAAAACTAGGATAAACAATGAATAACTTTTTAGCATAGCTATGAATATTTGCATATTTGTGTGTAATATGTTTAAGCAATTATTGGAAGATATTTATACAAAATAATAACATTACTTACCCCAAATTCAAATTGAGCCAAGAGTTTTATAATTTTTTAATTTTTGTGAGTACATAGGTATATATGTTTATAACATACATGAGATGTTTTGATACAGACATACAAAGTTAAATAATCACATCACAAAGAATGGGACATCCATCCCCTCAAGCATTTAGTTTTTGAGTTGCAAACAATCCAATTACACTCTAAGTTATTTTAAAATGTACAATTAAGTTATTGACTATAGTCACCCTATTGTGCTATCAAACAGCAGGTCTCATTCATTCTATTTTTTGTACCCATGAAAAATGCCCACATCCCTCTAGCCCCCCACTATCCTTCCCAGGCCCTGGTAATCATCCTTCTACTCTCTATATTCATGAGTTCAAGTGGGTTGATTTTGAGATCCCACAAATAAGTGAGAGCATGTGATATTTGTCTTTCAGTGCCTGGCTATTTCACTTAACATAATGATCTCCAGTTCCAACCATGGTCTTGCAAATGACTGGATCTCATTCTTTTTTAAAGCTGGATAGTACTCCATTGTGTATATGTACCACATTTTTTAACGCATTCTTGATGGACACTCAGGTTGCTTCCAAAGTTTAGCTATTGTAAATAGTGCTGCAACAAACATAGTACTACAGATATCTGAACATACTGATTTCCTTCCTTTTGGGTATATACCCAACAGTACAATTGCTGGATAACGTGGTAGCTCAATTTTTAGTTTTTTAAGGAACCTCCAAACTGTACTTTATAGTGGTTGTACTAATTTACATTCCCACCAACAGTATATGAGGGTTCCCTTTTCTCCAAATTCTCTCAAGCATTTGTTATTGCCTGTCATTTGAATATAAGCCATTTTAACTCCAGTGAGATGATATTGCACTGCAGTTTCAATTTGCATTTCTCCATTGACGTCGAGCACCTTTTCATGTGCCTGTTTGCCATTTGTATGTCTTCTTTTAAGAAATATATATTCAAATCTTTTTTGGCCATTTTTGATCAGATTATTAGATTTTTTCTTGTAGAGTTGTTTGAGCTTCTTATATATTGTGGTTATTAATCCTTTGTCAGATGGGTAGTTAATCCTTTGTCAGATGGGTAGTTTGCAATTATTTTTTCCCATTCTGTGGGTTGTCTCTTCACTTTCTTGGTGTGTTATATTTTATTGTTCATTTATTATTTTATTTTATTTTCCCATAAGTTATTGGGTTACAGATGGTATTTGGTTACATGAGTAAGTTCCTTAGTGGTGATTTGTGAGATTATGGTGCACCCATCACCCAAGCATACACTGCACCATATTCATTGTCTTTTATCTCTCACCTCCCTCCCACTCTTTCACCCAAGTCCCCAAAGTCCATTGCATCATTCTTATGCCTTTGAGTCCTCATAGCTTATCTCCCACATATCAGTGAAAACATATGATGTTGAATTTTCCATTCCTGAGTTACATCACTTAGAATAATAGTCTCCAATTTCATCCAGTTCACTTCAAATGCTGTTAACTAATTCCTCTCTATGGCTGCGTAGTATTCCATCATATATATTTCTTTATCCACTCGTTGATTAATGGGCATTTGGGTTGGTTGTATGATTTTGCAATTGTGAATTGTGCTGCTATAAACATGCATGTGCAAGTATCTTTTTTGAATAATGACTTATTTTCTTCTATGTGGGTGACTAGTAGTGGGATTGCTGGATCAAATGGTAGTTCTACTTTTAGTTCTTTAAGGAATCTCCACTCTGTTTTCCATAGTGGCTGTACTAGTTAACATTCCCACCAGCAGTGTAGAAGTGTTCCCTGTTTACCACATCCATGCCAACATCTACTGTCTTTTGATTTTTTTTTTTATTATGGCTTGCAGGAGGTAAGGTGGTATTGCATTGTGTGGTTTTGATTTGCATTTCCCTGATCATTAGTGATGTTGAGCATTTCTTCATGTTTGTTGGCCATTTGTATAACTTCTTTTGAGAACTGTCTATTCATGTCTTTAGCCCATTTTTTGATGGTTTTTTTTTTCTTACTGATTTGTTTGAGTTCGTTGTAGATTCTGGATATTAGTCATCTGTCAGATGTATAGATTATGAAGATTTTTCTCCCACTCTGTGGGTTGTCTATTTACTCTGCTGACTGTTCCCTTTGCCATGCAAAAGCTCTTAGTTTAATTAGGTCCCAGCTATTTATCTTTGTTTTTATTGCATTTGCTTTTGGGTTGTTGGTCATAAAACCCTTGCCTATGCCAATGTCTAGAAGGGTTTATCCAGTGTTATCTTCTAGAATTTTTAGAGTTTCAGGACTTAGGTTTAAGTCCTTAATCCATCTTGAATAGATTTTTGTATAAGGTGACAGATCAGGATCCAGTTTCATTCTCCTACATGAGGTTTGCCAATTATCCCAACACCATGTGTTGAAAATGGTGTCCTTTCCCCACTTTATGTTTTCGTTTGCTTTGTCGAAGATCATTTGGCTGTATTTGGGTTAATTTCTGGGTTCTCTATTCTGTTCCATTGGTCTATGTGCCTATTTCTATACCAGTACCATGCTGTTCTGGTAACTACGGCCTTATAGTACAGTTTGAAATCAGGTAGTGTGATGCCTATAGGTTTGTTCTTTTTGCTTAGTCTTGCTTTGGCTATGAGGCTCTCTTTTGGTTCCATATGAATTTTAGAATTGTTTTTGTAATTCTGTGAAGAATGATGGTGGTCTTCAGATGGGGATTGCGTTGAATTTGTAGATTGCCTTTGGCAGTATGGTCATTTTCACAACATTAATTCTACCCATCCATGAGCATGGGATGTGTTTTCACTTGTTTGTGTCATCTATGATTTCTTTTTCTTTTTTCTTTCTTTTTTTTTTTTTTTGGAGACAGGGTTTCGCTCTTGTCACTGAGGCTAGAGTGCAATGGTGCGATCTCAACTTACTGCAACCTCCGTCTCCTGGGTTCAAGTGATTCTCCTGCCTCCACCTCCTGAGTAGCTGGAATTATAGGCATGCACCACCACGCTCAGCTACATCTATGATTTCTTTCAGGAGTGTTTTATAATTTTCCTTGTAGAGGTCTTTTGATTCCTTTGTTAAGTATATTCCTAAGTATTTTCTTTTTTTGCAGCTATTGTAAAAGGGGTTGAGTTCTTGATTTGATTCTCTTCTTGGTTGCTGTTGGTGTACAGAAGAGCTACTGATTTGTGTAAATTAATCTTGTATCTGGAAACTTTGCTGAATTCTTTTATCAGTTCTAGGAGCTTTCCAGAGGAGTCTATAGGGTTTTCAAGGTAAAAGATCATATCATCCGCAACTAGTGACAGTTTGACTTCCCTTTTACTGATTTTGATGTCCTTTATTTCTTTCTTTTGTCTGATTGCTCTGGCTAGGACTTCCAGTACTACGTTGAAGAGGAGTGGTGAGAGTGGGCATCTTTGTCTTGTTCTAGTTCTCAGAGAGAATGCTTTCATATTTTCCCCATTCAGTATTATGTTGGCTGTGGGTTGGTCAAAGATGGCTTTTATTACATTAAGATATGTCCCTTGTATGCCTATTTTGCTGAGAGCTTTAATTGTAAAGGGATGCTAGATTTTGTCAAATGCTTTTTCTGCATCTATTGAGATGATCATGTGAGTTTTGTTTTAAATTCTGTTTATGTGGTGTATTCCATCCATTGATTTGCATATGTTAAACTATTCCTGCATCCCTGGTATGAAACCCACTTGATCGTGGTGGATTATCTTTTTGATATGTTGTTGGATTTGACTAGCTAGTATTTTATTGAGGATTTTGGCATCTATATTCATCAAGGATATCAGTCTTAGTTTTCTTTTTTTGTTATGTCCTTTCCTGGTTTTGGGATTAGGGTGATGCTGGCTTCATACAATGAACTGGGGAGGGTTCCTTCTTTCTCTATCTTGTGGAACAGTGTCAAAAGGATTGGTACAAATTCTTTGGATGTCTGGTAGAATTCTGCTGTGAATCTGTCTGGTCCTTGACTTTATTTTTTTGGTAATTTTAAAATTACCATTTCAATCTTGCTCCTTGTTATTGGCCTGTTCAGGGTATCTAATTCTTCTTGAGTTAAGCCAGGAGGGTTACATTTTTCCAGAAATGTATCCATCTCTTCTAGGTTTTCTAGTTTATATGCATAAAGGTGATCATAGTACCCTTGAATGATTTTTAGTATTTCAGTGGTGTCAGTTATCTCCTGTTTCATTTCTTAGTGAAATTATTTGGATTTTCTCTCTTCTTTTCTTGGTTAATCTTGCTAATGGTCTATCAGTTTTATTTATCTTTTCAAAGAACCAACTGTTTCATTTATATTTTGTACTTGTTGTTGTTGTTGTTGTTTTGATTTCATTTAGTTCTTCTCTGATCTTGGTTATTTCCTTTATTCTGCTGGGTTTGGGTTTGGTTTGTTCCTGTTTCTCTAGTTCCTTGAGGTATGACCTTAGATATTCTGTTCATGTTCTTTCAGACTTTTTGATGTAGGTGTTTAGGGCTATGAACTTTCCTCTTAGCACAGCCTTTGCTGTATCCCAGAGGTCTTGATAGGTTGTGTCATTATTGTCATTCAGTTAGAAGAATTTTTAAATTTCCATCTTGATTTTGTTTTTGATCCAATGCTCATTCAGGAGCAGGTTATTTAGTTTCCATGTATTTGCATGGTTTTGAAGATTTCTTTTGGAGCTGATTTTCAGTTTTATTCTACTGTGATCTGAGAGAGTGCGTGATATAATTTCAATTTTCTTAAATTTATTGAGGCTCATTTTATGGCCTATCATATGGTCTATCTTGGAGAAAGTTCCATGTGCTGTTGAATAGAATGTGTGTTCTGTGGTTGATGGATGAAATGTTCTCTATATATCTGTTAAGTCTGTTTGTTCCAAGGTATAGTTTAAATCCGCTGTTACTTTATTGACTTTCTATCTTGATGACCTGTCTAGTGCTGTCAGTGGAGTATTGAAGTCCTCCACTATTATTGTGTTGCTGCCTATCTCATTTCTTAGATCTCTCTCTATCTCAATTTCTTAGTAATTGTTTTATAAATTTGGGATCTCCAGTGTTAGGTGCGTATATGTCTAGGATTGTCGTATTTTCCTGTTGGATAAGGCCTTTTACCATTATATACTGTCCCTCTGTCACTTTTAACCACTGTTGCTTTAAAGTTTGTTTTGTCTCCTATGAGAATAGATACCACTGCTCACTTTTGGTGTCCACTTGCATGAAATGCCTTTTTCCACCACTTTCCTTAAGTTTATGTGAGTCCTTATGTGTTAGGTGAGTCTCCTGAAGGCAGCAAATAGTTGGTTGGTGAGTTCTTATCCATGCTGCAGCTCTGTATCTTTTAAGTGGAGCATTTAGGCCATTTACATTCAATGTTAGTATGAACGTGTGAGGTACCATTGCTTTTATCATGCTCTTTGTTGCCTGTGTACTTCGTTTTTGGTTTTTAACTTGTATTTTTGTTTTATAGGTCCTGTGTGAGTTATGCTTTAATGAGGTTCTGTTTTGATGTGTTTCCAGGATTTGTTTCAAGATTTATAGCTCCTTTTAGCAGTTCTTGTAGTGCTGGTTTGGTAATGGCGAATTCTGTCAGCATTTGTTTGTCTGAAAATGACTGTATCTTTTCTTCATATATGATGCTTAGTTTCACTGGATAGAAAATTCTTAGCTGATAATTGTTTTGTTTGAGGAGGCTAAAGATAGGGCCCCAATCCCTTCTAGCTTGTAGGGTTTCTGCTGATAAATCTGCTGTTAATCTTATAAGTTTCCCTTTATAGATTACCTAGTGCTTCTGTCTCACATCTCTTAAGATTCTTTCTTTCGTCTTAACTTCAGATAACCTGACGACAATGTGCCTAGGCTAAGATCTTTTGTGATGAATTTCCCAGGTGTTCTTTGTGCTTCTTGTATTTGGATGTCTAGGTCTCTCACAAGGCCAGGAAACTTTTCCTTGATTATTTCCCAAAATATGTTTTCCAGGCTTTTAGAATTGACTTCTTCCTCAGGTACACCGATTATTCTTAGGTTTCATTGTTTAACATAATCCCAGACTTCTTGAAGGCTTTCTTCATATTTTCTTATTCTTTTTTTCTTTCTCTTTATTGGATTGGGTTAATTTGAAAACCTTGTCTTCGAGCTCTGCGTTTCTTTCTTCTACTTGTTCAATTCTATTGCTGAGATTTTCCAGAGCATTTCACGTTTCTGAAAGTGTGTCCAAACTTTCCTGAATTTTTTACTGTGTTTTCTGTAAGCTATCTATTTCCTTGAATATTTCTCCCTTCACTTCTTGCATCATTTTTTGGATTTCCTTGCACTGGGCTTTGCCTTTCTCTGGCCCCTCCCTGATTAGCTTAATAACTAACCTGAATTCTTTTTCAGATAAATCAGGGATTTCTTCTTGGTTTGATCCATTGCTGGTGAACTAGTGTGATTTTTGGGGGGTATAGAAGAGCGTTGTTCTGTCATATTACCAGGGTTGGGTTGGTTTTCTGGTTCCTTCTCATTTGGGTAGGCTCTGTCAAACAAAAGGTCTAGGGCTGGAGACTGTTGTTCGGATTCTTTTGTCCCATGGGGTGTTCCCTTGATGTAGTACTCTCCCCCTTTTCCTATGGGTGTGGCTTCCTGTGAGCCAAACTGCAGTGATTGTTGTCTCTCTTCTGGGTCTAGCCACCCAGTTGGTCTACCCGGCTTCAGGCTGGTACTGGGGGTTGTCTGCACAGAGTCCTGTGATGTGAACCATCTTTGGGTATTGCAGCCATGGATACCAGCGCCTGTTCCAGTGGAGGTGGTGGAGGGTGCAATGGACTCTGTGAGGGTCCTTAGCTTTTGAGGTTTAATACTCATATTTGTGCAGGTTGGCCTCCTGCCAGGAGGTGGCACTTTCCAGAAAGTGTCAGCTGTGTAGTGTGGAGAGGGACCAGTAGTAGGCGGGGCCCCTAGAACTCCCAAGATTATATGTTCTTTGTATTCCACTACCAGGGTGGGTAGGGAAGGACCATCAGGTGGGGGCAGGGCTAGGCATGTCTGAGCTCAGACTCTCCTTGGGCAGGTCTTGCTGCAGCTGCTGTGGAGAATGGGGGTGGTTTCCAGGTCACTGGAGTTGTTTACCAAGGAAGATTATGGCCGCCTCTGCTGAGTCATGCAGGTTGTCAGGGAAGTGGGGGAAAGCCAGCAGTCACAGGGCTCACCCAGCTCCCACACAAACTGAAGGGCTGTTCTCACTCCCCTCACTCCCACCACCCACCACCCTGCCACCAACAGCCCTGAGTCTGTTTCCAGGTGGAGGGTTAGAGGGGCTTGAAAATTTGCCCAAGGATATCTGCCTCCCAGCTGTGAAAGAAAAGGGCTTTGGTAGTTCCCCTAACTGTGGAGTCTGCACACCAGATTCGCACCCTCCCCTGAGTTCTGGCCAGGAGAGGGTACGGTTCAAATTCTTACAAAGTTCTTGCCTGGTTCAAATTGTTACAAAGTTCAGCTAGAGAATTCCTTCTCCCTGTGGAGTTTTACCCCCTGCTTCTCTGGCCACCCTCCTGATGGATCCCTGTGGTGCCAGGCAGGAATGGGCTGCCTGGGGACCCAGCAAGCTCCCAGGATCTTTCTGCTGCTTCTTCTACCCCTGTATTTTGCTCACCTCTCTAATTTGACTCAGCTCCAGGTAAACTTGGAAACTTCTCCTGCAAACAGAACTTCAGCTTCTCCAGTGGGGGTATGTGTTCAGGAGAGGAGGGTCTCCCTTTCCCACTTCCACAGTTGGGGCATTCACAGTATTTGGGGTATCTCCTGGGTCCTGCAGGGGCAGTCCACTTCCTTCAGAGGGTCTGTGGATCCTCTTGGAATTGATGGTTTGTTCTTGCAGTTGACCTGGAGCTAAAATTCACAGTGCAAGCCTCTGCATGTTGCTCTGTCCGAAGCTGCAATTTAGTCTTGCCTCCCATCCACTATGATCCCCTGAATCCCCTTATATTTTATTTTTCAATTCTAGTTTATGAAAACCACTTTTCTTTCCTCAAGACGTAGCATAAATGCCCTCAAAAACCTCATTAAAAACACGTTTGATAATTCACCAGATACGTTGTTTTGCAATATGTGGTAAACATTTAGAGACTGTGTAACATGAATTAGAGTGTATGATCTGGTTACCCCATGGGGAGAGGAAAAAAATAGAATTTTTACCTATGTTATTTTATCTAATTTCATTATTTCTTTATGGGATATGACTTATACACAGTGTGTGTGTGTGTGTATATATATATGAATCTATATGAATTCACCATATATTATTCACTTTCCTAAAATACTTTACTTACGTGAATGTATCCGTGACAATAACATGAGAGAGTAATTGCAAAATTATTCAGTGAAATTGTATGTCTATAAAGGGTTCTGATACAGAGATATCTTGCTTAAGATGTGGAGAATTATCTTTACTGTTAGAGAAATTAGTATTTTTCCCAGGCATGAGAAAGTATTCCTGTATAAAGTCTTAAGAAAAGGAATGCCATGGAATTAATTTAATGCAAATTCATTGATGTCATAAAGCAGAAAAAGGTAGTCTGTGTCCTCTAACATTGAGAGCTGGATTTTAGCAATTTCCTCCTGAGATTAAAAAAAAAATTTTTTTACATACTTCTCTGGGATAGAAACAAAACTCAAAAAGAGCCAGGATTATTTTAAGGAGATGTAGTTAATTAGCCCTGTGGAAAGTGAAATAATGCCATAAAAGATGCCTATGTCTCACCCCCAGGGCCTAGCAATATATCATGGTATGTGACAAAGCAGAATTAAGGCTGCAGGTGAAATAAAGTTTGACAATCAGCTGACTCAAAAATAAGAATATTAACTTGAATTGGAAGTTTGGCCTAATGCAATTACAAGGGTCCTTAAACCTTTGTAAAAGAGAGACTAAGAAGAGAAGCAGTCTGGGTGCTGTGATGTGAGGGAGTCTGTTTGTTTTTAAATTTTTTTTCCATTTAGTGACTCTCTTCTTTAAAATAAAATTTAGTTTAGATATACAAACACTCATGAGGTATTTTTATATGACTATCACTCTTCTAGTTGATAAATATTAGGCAAGAGATCTAGAACTACAAAAAGTGTTTTCTAAATACTGAGCCCCATACTATGGTAGTATAGATAATGGGCATTCTATATGGGTGATTATGAATGTGCTGGTGTGCTGTGTGTGTGTGTGTTTGTGTGTGTGTGTATCTATATATGTATATATAATTTGGTGTACAAAATAATGTGACTATTTTTAAAATTTCATGATAGAATTAATCAAGAAAACATTTTGAGTGTTTGACATCTTGTAAACTAAAAATTAAAAAATAGAAAAGTGTAAAAAATCAAGAAAACATTGAATGGAATAAAAAAGATATCATATGTGATAATTTTGACCATATAGTAAATAACATTTATGATGTAAAATCTATTTTTTTCAGATATATATTTCTGTAGTTTTCCCTTCCTTTTTTTTACTATGCAGTAGTAGTTTATTATTTCTGCATCAATATTTATATTTATTTATCTCTTTTTGAACACTATGCATGTCTGAATTAAAAGATTTGTATCTGGTTTTTAATTTTATCTTATAAAATTATTACTTTCTGATTGTTGTGTTTTATTCCTTTTATATATGCCAGTGAAGTAATTGTATATGTTCTACCCCTTCCTATTCTAGTCTTTATTTATCTATATTTATGTTTTATGTCAGTTTACCTTTTTCACTATAAATTTGTTCTGCTTAATCTCCCAGTGCACTATTCCTCTCAGCAGCTCCTACAAAGTTAATACAATGTATATTCATAAGATGAATATTCAAATATGATGTATATTCAAATTCTATACCTTATTTTTCAGCTATTCAATTTATCCTTGGCTCTTTTCACATATGCTCTTCAAATTTAAAGATTTTTGATTTTTCAACATTATTTTGGTTTCATATTTTCCCACTGTATTGACTTAAATATTTGTGACTATTTCAATATCAGAAATGTATGTGTAATCTATTCTGGTAGCTTAAATTCTGGTAGCTTATTTTCTTGTATGCTTCAATATTTATAATTTAGTTCTCACAACACAGAGATCTAATACTGTAAATATTTTCAATCTGTATGTTTATGTATTTATTCTAGTTGGCCTGGCACAAGACTTTCAGTGTTGCTGTGTGACCAGCCATTGGCTTTTCACATTCACAACTCCTCTGAATTTTTTCTTGCCTCATTTCTGGTCCTGGGGAACTCTGATATTTTCTCCTCATCTCCATTGTACATTTTAGGTATTCTCAAAACTTTTATTGCACAAACATCAACACTGTCCACATAAGGTAAATATTTTACTTAGATATTTTCTAGCAGACATTGAGTACTCATGAGAAATCCTCAGTTTCTTTATTTGGAACACCCCCTCCCCAGTATTCCATATGGAGTAGTTATGTGTAGAATGTGATTACTTCATTAATATGTCAAAGTAGGGATATATTTTGAACACATTTCTGAAGTTCTAATTCCTTTCTTCATGAATAGCACCTGCACATGAACATAATCGATATTTTCTCTGTAGCAGGAAGTTAGCACTGGTAGAATCTGTTCTGCAATACGAGGTCCTTGGGCTCCAGTGTCAATGCTTCCTCCTTAGATCCTCACTGACCCTGTAAATTTACCTCAGTCTCTATTTCTTAATCCAATAGTTATTTAAATTGATCTTCAATTACTTTGTATGTGGCTAGATATTATTTATGGGTTATATTCTAATTCACATTTTCTGATGTAATTTCACAGAGCCTAGAAAATGTCACCTATTGAATATCTACTTCCACAAAATCAGTGATACATTTTTAGGTCTTAAACTTCAATATTTAAAATGTTTGTCTCTGGAATTTGAAAATAATGTGTATGCCTTGTTTCCTGGCTAAAAAGGCTAATCACTTGTTCATCTGATTAGTAATCAAACTTTCTAAAGTTTATTTCATACTTGATGTTAATTTATTTGTTTTATAGAAAAGTATATTTCTATGACAGTTTTAGTGTCACCTAATATTATTTTCAATGTTGTAATTTTTATTTATATGAATCTTTGTGTTATACATTTTAAAGTCATTGGTATTAAAACTGTATGTGCAAATAGCTTGAAATAGCGCCTAACACATCATGGATTCTATGTAAATATTCACCACTCTGTTTCATCACATTTTAACCCATTCATACCATTCTTCATTTGCTAACATTTTGTTTGTCCTTATTCAAATTTATGTTGGTGTTCTGTCTACATATTAATAAAAGAGAGGAGGTAGGCTCAGACTTCCATCTTGATTAAATACTATGACAAATGGCACATTTTCCTAGTTCTATTTAGATACAGCATTACATTTGTCTCACACTATAAATGTGAGTATTAAGTACAGCAAGAAAAACAATCTTCTCCTTCCTATAACAGATGTTGGGTTATTCATGGATTGTCCACAGCTTTCTTCTCCCAACATTATTTTTATTCTTACATCTCAATTGCCATGAAAACCTAGAAGCATGAAATACTACAAATTAGAAACAAATTTGCTGCTATATACAAACTGGAAAAGTAAACTCAAGAAGAAATAGAATATATGCATACTCATACAACAGGTAAATAGATGAAGCTAATGAAAACTCTTCACACAGAGAAAAGCCCAGGCTCAGATAGCTTCACTAGTGAATTCGATTAAACACTTAATGAATAACCAATCCTTAATAAACACTTGCAAAACAGAGAAGGAAAACATCGATTCATTTTTGAGGCCAGTATTACCCAGATAACAAATCAGACAAAAGCATCACAAGATAATAAATGTGCAGACCATTATTCCTCATGAATGACGACAGAAAGCTTCAAAAACTCTAGCAAACTGGATTCAGCAACACATAAAAATGTTAGACAAGCCTGGCATGGTGGTGCACACCTGTACTCCCAGCTACTTAAGTGGCTGAGGTGGCAGGATAACTTGAGCTTAGGAGTTTGAGACTATAGTGAGCTATGACTGCCACTCCACCCCAACCTGGTGACATAGTAAGGCCTCAACTCTGATAAAAATTAAAGAAAATTAGAAAAGAATGTTAGACAATATAACCAAGTGGAATTATCTTACAAATACAAATTTAAAAATCAATCAATGTAATACACCATATTAATAGAATAAAGGAAAAAACCATGATTATTTCAATGGACATCTGACAAAGTCTGACACTCATTCCTGATAAATCTCCCAGAAATCTAGCAATAGAAATAACTTCCTCAACCTCCTACAGGATATCCATGAAAATTTAATAAATTCCACTAAGGTATATTGAAAGACATATTGATACTTCCAACTCTATGCTTTTAAAAATTAATAAAATGATAACTAATAACAGTAATATATCCATCTGGAAAACATTAAACACTTCTCTAAAAATATTTCTTTTGCATGTGATAAAGGTAAAAGTTCAAATTTAATAAGAGGAGTGCTCTTGAGAAGACTGAAACTTGGTGTTCCTAATTTTTCTGACTCATTAGCAATTACGGTCAAATTATCAATAATTCCAACAAGACAGGAGTATTCTCCTCAGCCAAAAGGCATGATCACGTAAAATCCTTATGTTAGGCATAACAGCATTTCATATTTGAATTGTTTAATAACATTATCATCATTGCTATATTCTCCTGGAAATAACACACAATACAGACTTCAAAAAATCAGAGCTTTTGCTGGGGATATATGCTCCTTCCAAAGGCGGTTGTGTGCAGTATTCTGAGAAATAATTCCTCCAAAGGTAAAGTGTGGCTATCTGGGCTTTTGGAGGAAATATTCCAAAAATCCACATATTCTAAAAATCTTTTCCACTACAAACCACCATAAATGCTGGACAACAGAATATGTGCTCAACTGGGCAAATTATTCCTAAGTGGGGAATGAAAGTGAAGAAGCAGAGGTGGCAGGAAGGAGGGAGGATGACAGCAAAGCTGGCAGGGTGGGGCTGCCCATGATGGTGCAGTCATAATAGGGGCATCCTTTGTTGGGTTTTAACAGCATTTGGGTGTGGATACAATGCTACAGCAACACCAGTGAAGGGGAGAAGAAACTGACCAGCCTAACTAAAGGAAAAGCCTCAAAGTTCCACAAGTCTAAGAAAAATGGCCTAGAATACTCAGACTGCAGTCAAAGGAAGATAAACAGTGAAGCTCCTCAGGCTATGCCTTGGCTGATTCAGGAAGGAAGGCAGCCCATTGTTACTTTGGGGCTTCTGTACACAGTTTTTGCACAGAAATATTTAAGTGACTATAAATTAATTCAAATGTTTTCCAGGTGGATATTGAGGGAGAAACAGAAAAATCCAAGACAGTCTCCTGTGGAAGAAAATTCTCCAACCCAAAACTCAACCGAACCCAAAGCTCAACCCAAAGCACTGAACGGCACATCAGTTAAGACCTGTCAAATATAATCACACAATCTAATATTTTTAAACATGCAAAATGAAGACCACCGAAGTCAATGTCATTCAGAAATAACAACAACAAAACCAGAGCACCCTATACAATTAGGCCTCAAGGAATTCCAAAGTAGTGTATTAGGTATAGAAAATATATATGTAATTAGAAACATTTACAGATTAGAGGGATACAGGCAATGTAAAAAATATGAGCTAAAATATGAGTAAAAGAATGAACTGAAATCTATACTTAGGTGTCAGGACAAGAAGAAAAATGAATAGAAAATATAAAATAGAGGTGAAAATAAATTGAAAATGGAATGAAAGGGCTATTTCTAATGAATTTTCAAAACAGACATTTAAATAAACAGAGAAAATAGTAGAAAATAAGACATGTTTAAACATTTTAAAGAATGATGAAATACAGGCTCATCAAATATCAACCAAGAAAAGCACAAAAGGTATACATATCTAAAAACATCATAAATGAAAATGTTAACACCAAAATAAAAGAAATGAATTAAACTCATTGAAATATAAAATGCAAATTATGGAACAATAGATTTTAATCTTGTCTCTCAACTTCTTCATGAAATTGATATATCAATAGATATTAAGCTTGAAGTTGTAGGTTAAATATGTGTTAATCTGGAATTGCATACCTAGCTAAAATATTTTTCAAGATTGTGGAAAAATGTAAATTAATTCATACAAGTAATATAAAGTCTTTAATGCAATTATTCACATCTTTAAAAAGTATAGGCTGGGTGCGGGGGCTCACGCCTGTAATCCCAGCACTTTGGGAGGCCGAGGTGGGCGGATCACGAGGTCAGAGTTCGAGACCAGCCTGCCCAATATGGTGAAACCCTGTCTCTACTAAAAATACAAAAATTAGCCGGGCATGGTGGTGAGCACCTGTAATCCCAGCTACTTGGGAGGCTGAGGCAGAAGAATTGCTTGAACCTGGGAGGCAGTGGTTGCAGTGAGCCAAGATTGGGCCAGTGCACTCCAGCCTGGGTGACAGAGCGAGACTGTCTCAAAAAAAAAAAAAAAAAAGAAAGAAAAAAGTATAATAACATTATAAATAAATTCCTACATTTTATTAATGTTTGTGAAGTATGATTTTTTTTTAAAAAAAATTGGCCTCTAAAACGGTTAACAATTTCAGTAAAGAAGAAAATAAAAATTCAATGTTTGATATACATATATAAAAATAAATTTCAGGAAAATGAAAGGTCCATGTGATGACAGAATCCAAATTATATAAAAGATAGAAATTTCAATATTTGTTTTTACACATTTTAAGGAAAAAACCCTGAAAGCAGGGTTTTTATTTTTATTTTTTTTATTTTTCTGCACTTTACCAGAAAATAATGTTAATAAGTCTTGAGTTTTCAAGTCCCTCTCACTGACTTGGCACTTAGAGAACAGCCAGCACAGGCTCAGGACACCCTGCTGGGCATTCTATCAAGGAGACCATCCTCATGGAAATGCAGCAGAAAGCTACATGCAGAAGATGGATGGATGCTCTCCTCCCAGAGACCAGCAGGTGCAAGTGTAGAGGGAGTGGGCCAGGGAGGAGCTGTGAACACCAAGCTGGGAGAGGTGCCTGGACCTCCATTGGACCCTCCTGCCTGCAGGGGCCTCACAGGGTTCCAGCAGAGGCGAATCCTAGGTTCCCTGTCCTATGGCTGGCCCCTGAGACTTGCTCCACCTGCCAGCTCTTTCCACAAAGACATCAGGATGGCAAACCCAATCCAGCCCCCTCACAGAGAAAGGGGATTAATGTCAGGGCCCATGCCCATCCTGGCCTGTTCAGTAACTAATTGAGTAGTGAATAGGTTAGGCCAGAACGTGCTGCTGTGGCCCCTGGGATCACATCCCTGAAGGGAACTTGCCTGGGGCTGTGACCTAAAGTGGGAGGCCCACTTGGGGTTCAGTGAGCTGGGACTTAGTTCCCAGCTCAGTTCCCTCTGCCACTCCTGGGGGACTTGGGCTTGTCTAGAGCAGGCATTGAGGATGGCATATAGCAGACATGCTGAGCTGTCAGGTGGGTGCCAAGGGGTGAGCATGAGGCATCCTGAGGGTTGCAACCATCAGAAGGCCCTGAGGTCAGCCCAGAACCAGCCCAGCCTCTGTACCTGGAGCTGCAGGTGCACAGGCTGTACCTGGAGCTGCAGGGTGGGCGCTGTGCAATGGGCTGGTCAGAGTGGAGTGAGAAGCCAGTCAGGGAGGGGCTTTCATTGCCCTTTATCCTGTGGTGCAAATCAAGTCCCCAAGGCCACAAACCAGGCGGGGCAGAAACAATGGGCTAAAGCATCGCCTTCTCTCCTCTTTGGCTCACATAGGCCCCTGACTTTCCTGGGCTTGCCTGAAAGTGAGAGAAAATCCCTCTTCTTGTGAGGATGAACACAGAAGTCACCAGTCAAGTTTGGTGAGGGGGGGCCCAGGCACCCCCAGAGTCTTTGCAGGGCAGCACCCACTACTTGCTAGCTGGACCAGGAGGCCAGGCTGGGACATTCTGGGAACTGAGGTCACCAGTCCCTACTATGCCTCGAATCTGTCCCCACCATGCAACCTCGGGCCAGCTCAGGCTCTGCCACCAGCTCCCCACATCGTCGTCCCTCAAGAGGCCTAGGGTGGGTTCCCCCTGCTTGGTGTCTCTGGCCCCTGCTCTCCATTCTGAGGCCTGACAAGCACCCAACCTCCAAAGCTGTGTTTTCCTGGGGGAGTGGGTGTTGGGACCACTGGCACAGAACTCGCAGCTTAGCTACATGTTTGTTCCAGACTTGGTTAATCAATGCAGCAGTAAACCCGCTGCTTCTGGGGTACAGTCTCCTACATTTCACGGGTCAGGTAGACAGACTGCGTCCCCTTCACCCCCCAGGTGTGCGAAAACACAGTTGACTCCACCTGCAATTCGGTCCTGCCCTCTTCCACCTGAAGAAGACCTGCTCACACCCCAGGGGTCAGCTCCGCGGCTTCTTCTTGGTGAAGCCTCCCTGACATCGCCTCTGGCACTGATACCACCCTCTGAGCCCCAGCACAGTCCCAGCAAAAGCCGCGCACTGTGCAACAGAGGCCTGCGCTCGACCTCGCGGTGCACTCAGCAGGGGCTGCCCTCGGTCCCACCGTCTCCCTTAACGCCCCTGCCTCCCAGTCCCACGGCCCCCAGGAGGAGCCAGTACCCTAGCCCAGGGAGCCGGGTTGGGCGCGGCCTGGGGACCGGGCGTGGGAAGCTGGCCCACAGGGTCGCCCCTAGCAAGGAACCACCAGAGCGCGCATGCGGGAGCCGAGGCCGCAGCACTGGGTGGGCAGCTAGCTCACCGAAGACCCACGCAGCGGGCCAGGCGCCAGCGGCCGCTAGGTCTGGGCGCGGGGCCGGGCCGGCGAGAGAAGGGTCCGGGGCACCCAGTGGGCTCGGATCTCGAGCGGTCCCCGTGACGGCCCCGCGACTGCGCGACTTCCCGCTCTAGAGAGTTTATGGACCCTGTCCCAGGAGGGCTCCGCAGCCGCCAGGGAGGTACCGGAGGGACCGCGGCGCTGGGAGAGGGTGGCGCCAGGCGGCCCTGGAGCCCTGGGCGACGCGGCCGGGCCGGCCAGAGGGCGGAGAAGTCCAAAGCAGCAGCCCGGACAGCCGCTTCCGCCCCTGCGCCGCCCTCCCGGCCCAGGTGACCGGTCGCCCTACCCGGGGAGCAGCGCCCTCCTCCTCCTGGGCCGGAGCCGGGCGTGGGGGTCGCAGGCTGGTGCCACAGCCTGAGGACACCGCGGCCTCTGCCCCGGGGAGCACGCCAAATGCCGGACGGAGCGGCTGTTGCAGACGGTGAGGCCGCAGCCCCGCTTGAGGGTAGGGTCGGGCGGGGTGTCGGGGTCCTGGCAGAGGCCGCGGCGAGGGCAGGAGCCGGTGCGCTGGCCGCTGCACATGCGCCGCCCGGCACCGGGACCCTGCGGGCGCGCCCCCTGGTGGCAGCCAGCGGGAGGTGGCGTCCCTGTCCCCAGCCAGGCGGCAGCGCGAAGCTGCCTCCCCGCGGGGGGAGCGGAAGTGGCCCAGCTGCTCGAGTGACTTACTAGTTAAAAAGCTGGGGTTGGAGCTGCCACGCGGGGAAGTGTGGAGGCCTGCGGGGCTCCGCCTAGACTTTCTGGGTGTCCTCCTGGGACCTCAGGTTCCTCACCTGTCGCAGAGGACTGATGGGCTGCTATGGCAGGGTTGTTTGGAGGATTAGGCCAAATAGTCCCAGTAAAGCCCCATTAGCCTCCCTGGCCTCTGGATTTTTTTTTTTTTTTCTGGCTTGGGTAACTGCGGAATGTGGCCAGGTGCTGAAGCGGGAAGGCTGGACTCTCCCTAGGCGTCGGGGTTCCTTCCTGGCGCCCCCTCTTCTTAGGCTCTTTTCAAGCACATACCCGGCAACGTGTGCTCTACCCAAGAGCGCTTCACAGATCTTCCTGTGGGCCTAAAACCAGAACGCTTTGTTCCCTGACCCCGGCTCTCATATCACCCCAAAGCCAAGTCTTTTGGCGGAGCTGGCTTCAGATTCGAGTCTCAGTTTAATGCTTGTTCTCTAAGGTCTGCCCAGGGCTCTTATGATGGGGCGTTGTTCCACTCCACCCGACCCTGTGCCTCCCAATGCGCTGGGGGCCTCAACTGCAGGGACTTGGAACTGGGAGCCCTCCCTGACAGGCTGGCCTGGCCATGGACTGGTGGATCTCAGTCCCAGGGCGAGATACCCCGGGCAGGGACTCTCATCCCGGCTTTTGTACACTCCAGCCATTTAACCTGGTGTGGTGGCCTCGCTGAGACCCCAGGTCTGTGGGGCAGGATTTCTTCCTTGTGTCATAGTGGAGGAAACTGAGGCAGAGGGCCGGTGAATGACAAAGTCAGGGAAATGCTCTGATTGTGAAATGCCCCCTAGGCCTCACAGGTCCCTTCAAGACACAGCATCCCTCGGGTTGCTGCATCAATGGGCTGTTGGCTTGGGCACCCCAAGCTCAGCGCCATGTGGGGATGAAGCTGGGGAATGTGGGGGCAGGGAAATTCGTCCCCCATATCGGCACAGCAGGAATTTCATTCTCTGATATGTGTGGACACCACTGCATGTGTGGGTGTGGGTGGGGCCCCCATTGTGTTGATTAAGAAAGAGCCCTTCCTGGGGCCTCTGGGGAAGTGAGGGGCACCATGTGTGCCTGGCAGCTGGTTGGGGTGTGGAGGGGCTCGTCTGGACTCTGTCCTGTTGTCACCTTTTCAGGGCCAGCTAGACCCTGAAGTCTTAGTGCCAGTCATGCCCAGTTGCATGCTGCCCTTTACTTGCCTTCCCCCCCCCCGCCCCTGCCTGACTCCCCCAGCTCAGCCCCTGCCAGGATTTCTCAGGCCTCTGTGGACCCTGGATGGGATCCCAGGAGATGGCAACTCCACTGCCTGCCTCTGCCTGAAGTCTGGGGTCCCTGTGCAGGGTGGGTGAACAGGTCAGGGGTCAACTTTTGGCTGAGTGCGGGGCCTTTCCCTGATCCCCACCCCACACTGCTGGAACCACTGTGCACGGCTGGTCCCGGGGCTGCACTGGGTCCCCCAGCCTACTGCTGGACCGGATAGAGGAGAATACTTGTGCACATGGCTTGACCTGTTGTTAATGCTCAGTCCAAATCAGAACTAACCAGCTGTTTCCCTGGGGTCAGGGCCCAGGCCTGAGGCTGCCATGACCAGCCCATTCTCTGCCTTCTTGGGGGCCATCGGCGGCCAGTGTTTGGTGGTCCCCAAAAGACATGATGGCTAGGACTGGAGAGCTGGGGGTTAGGTCAGGAGACCCCCTGACCATGGGGGTCCACAGGGGCTGTCCCTGAGCTGTGGGTCCCTATGGGATGCAGGTACATGTGGATGCTTTAGGAGGTGAGCATGGGTCCTTCTGGCTGGCAGGATCTTGGTGGGCACTGGACATGTGGGGCCAGGTTAGGTGGGATGGGCAGAATTGGGCCTGGCTGGGGAGTGTGACTGGTGTGGCCAGAGTCTGCAGTGAGCCCCTCACATCTAGGTTGCACATTGACAGAATGACAAGTGGCGGGTCAACCATCCCAGCTGGGTCTGGGGAAGCAGGCCTACCCAGTGGGACCCCCACCCTTGTCCTGGCCCCAAGCCCAGACTGCCTGCCTCCACTGAGCATTGTCTAGCCTTGGCAGGGAAGCCCGGGTGTGATGATCAGGTGTTATGTCTCTGGGTCTCAGGCCTTGGTGGGCCCTAGGGAGATGGGCAGGCACTGGGCAGGGGGAGGGTCTGGGAGCCACCTGAGTGCATCTGCCCCTGGGTGTGTGCCCCCACCCCAGCTCCTCAGCCCTCAGGGCAAAATGACCAGGGCTCCTCACCTGCTGTGTGGCTCCAGCTCTGACCCCCTTGCCTAATGACTGACAGACTCTCCCCTGAGCCTGTGGGAACTTTATGTGGGTCATTTGTGAGTTGGGGGTCCCAACCTCCCTATAGGAAGGAGCCCACCACCAACCACCCTAGTAGGCCCACCTGGGCCTCCTCACTCCACTGGCCTGTGAGACCCAACTGGCCAGACCTGCTGTCCTATTTATATTTTGCTCTTTTTCTCAGTGTGTGTTTTCTGTAATGGTTGTTGCATGGCATTTCCAGATAAGCTGCAGGGTAGAGACTGCTCCCTGCCCCAGAGAACCCCCATACCAAATAGCCCTCACCACGATCTCCTGGGCTGGTTGTGTCTGTGCTCAGCTTGGTGTAAATGGCGCCTGCAGTGTGCACCATTGAGTGGATCTGTCCACACGGCTGCCTGAGCTGGCATCTCTGTCCTTGTTGCTGAGGCCCATTCTCTTCCCCCACTCTCCACCTGAGCTGCTCTTGAAGCCAAGAGGAGGGATGGAGAGGGACCCCACCCCTCCTGGGGTAAATCTCCACCATGAGGGGGCTGAGCTTGCCCACCCTGTCATCCACTCCTCTGAGCTCCATCTCAGCCAGAGGTCAGCCAACTGTAGCCTGTCCCCACCTGCTTTTGTGCCGCCCGTGAGTTAAGAGTGGATTTTACATTTCCAAATGTTCAAACAAATCAAAACAATTATACTTCACGATGCTGTGAAATTTGAATGTTGCTGGTTCATGAATAAAACTGTACAGGAATCCAGCCATGCCTGTTTATTTACAGGTGGCCTGGGGAAGGCTGCTGTCTGGCTACAATGGCACAGTTAAGTCCTTGGCACAGAAAATGGTTGCCAAAGCTGATAATACTGACCCCTTTAGAGAAACAGTTTCCAGCCCAGGGTTTGAGGTTGTCTGGCAGGACCCCAGACTCTGGGTCAGATCCTTCCCCACTCACAGCTGTGATGGCCTCCACTGGTATGCCTGTAAAGAAGGGGTGCCAGGGGCCTCCCAAGGGGATGTTGAGGCCTTGTGTGCCAGGTTTCAGTGTGTGTGCTTCACAGTCACTCATCTCACCCGCTGAGGTCCCGGGCCTGAGGTGGGCCTGCCTGCAGGAACAACTGGTCCTTGGCAGTGGGAACTCTGTGGAGCTGAGCTGCCACCCACCTGGCAGAGGTCCCATGGAGCTCACTGTTGGGGTCAAGGGTAGTGCAGGGCTGGTGTCCTGGACTGCATGGGCCCCAACTACTGCAGGCGCTGACTTCCTCCCATGAAGAAATCAGAGCCAACAGCTGCAGCAGCTCACCCAGTGCGTGCTGTGCCCCTTCCGTGTGCATGTGACAGAGGGTGCCTGCTGGATCTGCACCAGTCTGTGGGTAGGAGGCCTTGGTGGCTATGTTCACTGAGTGGCTACCTGGCCCAGGAGTGGCCAAAGGGTCTCAGGAGGTATGGCCACAGCATCCTCTCCGTGAGGGTCTGTCTGATGATTGGTAGAGAGGAGGGCACCCCCAGGGGGTGAGGGGCTCCAACCCCATCAGTGAGGGACAGCTGGGGTCCTCCTGGGGAAAGTCAAAGGCTGAGCCCCAGGACAGAAGGACGCTGCCCTCAGCTGAGTAGCAGCAGGCACTTGGACGTGGGCCATCACGGGGCCGCAGCGCACACACCCTGTCTCCTGCATTGCACCTCGAGAGGTGAGGAAGTTGGGATGCCAAGGCTGAAGACACAGATGAGACCAGACTCCAGGCACTTGGGGCTGGTCTGGGGTAACGCCTGCTTCCCACTCACCAAGTCTTGCCCTCCACAGGCAGATGAGGGACCAAGGACTTGGGGACAACCTCCCTAGGGTCACACTGACAGTCAGGGTTCCCTTAGGGTGCAGGAGGGGCTGGGCCACTGACATGGCTCTGGATGCCTGGCCCATGGAGCTCACTGTCTGGGTGAGCTGGCTCTGGGGTTCAGGCTGGGGGTGGGAAGGGAGCACCCACGCTGCAGATGGGGAGACTGAGACACAGGGCTCTAGGGGTTCCAGGGTTGGAAGGAGGCCAGGGCTGGCCTGTGAGGACTTTGGTGTTGGCTCTTGGTGAGGTAGGCCATCACAGATGTGAGTGCAACAGGTCACAGGGGCTCAGGAGGCTGCCTGCTGGACCAAGGCCTTGTGGGCAGCAGAAGGCAACTGTCACATCCCAGTGGAAGGGGAGGTTGGTGATGGGGGTGGCAAAGGGAGAGCCCACAGTGTTTTTCTGACAGATGGGCTGTGGGTGTGAGAGAGCAGTCAGGGAGACAATGCCTGGGTGATTTGGCCCGGAACAGTGGCAGGGGGACTTTGCCCAGCTGTGGAGGGGTTTTGCTGGGAGGTGTGGCTTCTGGTTCTGGAAATGCTGAGAGACGTGCAAATGTTGTTGAGGGTCATCAAGGGACAGATGTGTGGAGACAGTTACAATTTGGCGACAGATGGTGTGTTGGCTGAGCCCCTGGGCCCTCTGGCATGGAGGAGACAAGGAGGTGAGGAGAAACCAGCCAGGGGGACAGGGCTCAGGGAAAACCAAGCAAGCTGATCCCAAGAGTTGATCGAATCTGGGATGGGATGAACATTTTCCAGCTTCCTGTTCAGCCCCTGCCCCTCGTCTCCCCTGCACCCACCTGGTTCCCTTGCCCTGAGTCCCTGCTTGTCCTGAGTCACTTCATGTCCCTGCTTACCTGGCTGTCCTAGGCAGGCGTTTGATGTTTCCACCCCACGTGGGCTGGGGCTGTGAGGGTCACTGGAGGCCACCTTTCAGAAGGCACCATCTGGCAGTGGGCAGATGTGGCCTCCCAGTCCTGTGAAACAGCCCCCACCACAGCCTGCTGGGCTCTCTCCACCACCCACCCCAAGAGGCCTAGGAGGGCCACTCACAGCTCTGGGAGGTGCCTCTTTTCAGCTTCTGTTCACAGTTTCCACCTGGACCTAAGCTTCCTCCTCCAAGAGACGGGTGTGTCTCTGTGGATGGATGGCCAGGAGGTCACTTTGAGAGGGCACTGCCTCCCTCCTGGGAGCCCTGCCTCAGAAAGGCAGGCCAAATCTCAGGTCCTGGGAAAGAAAACAGTTGGGCTGTGAGGAAGTGGGTGATAACAGCTCTGGACATCAGAAGGAGGAGGTGGCAGGGCCTCAGGCACCTGTCAGGCCACAGAGCTCTGCAGAGGGTGGTGTAGGGTCTCAGATTCTAGTGAACTACAGCCACCTGGCTGCACATCATCTTGCCTGGCTCATCATTTTTTATTGTTGAAAAGTGGACATGTTGAATACTATACTGTAGTCAATCTGGATAGCAAATTCTCCTCCCTCCCTAGGCTTTGTGGCTGTTTCTTGTGAGTTGCAGTTGCTTATTTAGTGACCATTTCAGTTTATTTTTAAAGCTGTATTATTTGTCATAAGTGCTCACTGATACCTATGTTTCATTAGTTGTTGGCTCTTGATTTGAGAGAGGATTTTTTACATGTCTAGAGAATACACATTTTCTATCTTTGCAATTGTACTCTGCCTCTGTAATAAACCATGCCTTTAACACAGCCACGCAGTTTACAACTCGACTTTTGTCTTCACTTCCTGTTACTCAGAGAATAAATTTCAAGAATACATGAGATCTTAACCTTTCCCAAAACTTTTGTTGGGGCATGAGCGTAGCATTCTAGATTTTTAGAAATATATGGAAGCTTTTCAAAATGCTTCCTTATTTTCCAAATTATCACATCATACTGACTTTCTTTTCAGGCTTTTTAGTGTGTCTATTGTTTTGACATGTTTTGCTTCATAAGGCAGCAAGATTACTCTTTTTCCCTAGGCATGGATAATTATTCAAGCCAGAGTGGCCCAGCCCTTTGATTCCAGTTGATGGTCCCTAGGACAGCCTTAATCTTATACAGTAAAGAAAGGAAAATGAAGGTCACCTCTCAAAAGTAGCTGAAGCTGAATTTTGTAAAATTCAGACTCTATACATGGAATCTTTTCCCTATACATGGAATCTTTTCCATATGTTCTTTTTAATGTTCACACTCAGCTACATTGTTCTTTGATATCTTTCTTCCTCTTCATTGTGTTGATTTCCAGCAGTAAAATTATCAAATCAGAGTTGTCCTGTCATGTCACATGCATTTCTACGTCGATTTTAACATAATCACGTGTTCAGCTTATCTGGGACTGCATATATGAGACACTATACATACGCCCCATGGCAGTGACAGATTCCATTATTTCACTTTTCATAAAGTGTCAAGTTGGGTCTTCTATCCTGTAATTTTCCTCTAACTATTTAACCATGCCTAAGAAAATGTCTATGTGACCTGTAATGAAAACATAAATAGCCACCAGCATAAACAGTCACCAATAGAATAAGTAAGTCTGGGGCAAAAAAGTGCTTCTAACAAAGCAACTCCAACTACGTCTACAGGATCTTTGAGAATTTTTTTTCTATTTCTAACATTTTTGTTTAATGTATACTTTCTCAGTTTGCCTGATTTCTCCAAAAAATTAATTTATATATTCACTTATTAGCCATTTAAGGTTCATAAATATGTATTACTTAAATTCATTTTTTTCTACTTAATTGGCACTAAATTTACCCAATGATACTAATGTTTCTAGCTGTGCTAGCTTTGGCACTTGCAATAGTTTTGCTGCAGTGACCATGCATATTCAACTGGGATGTCCACGAGCCTATGTTTATATAACAGATCTAGACAAAAAATGATTAACTGGCCATCTCCTTGTCATGGATGCAGGCTCTGTCTCCTTTCTCATCTTCTACTACTCTACAGTCTTAAATCACATTTTCAAGTAAAACATAATAGAAAAAATTTGTGTCTTTTTTATCAAGCAAGTAATTCAAATTCTAGGTCCTAGTCTCAAGTCTCTCTCAGAGTGACTCCTGTTCTGTTATTGCTTTTGTCAGACTTCTGTACCTTCCTCTAGGCCCATCTATAAACTTTCTTGTAAAATTCAGTTGTAGCAACAGTGTAAACAAAGTCACCAGGAAGTTTGAACTGGGAAGAGCTCACTGCAGCTTAGCAAGGCCTCTGTGGCCAGACTATCTCTCTAGATTCCTCCTCTCTGGGCAGGGCATCTCTGCGAAAAAGGCAGCAGCCCATCAGGGACTTATAGATAAAACCCCCATCTCCCTGGGACAGAGCACCTGGGGGAAGGGGCGGCTATGGGCACAGCTTCAGCAGACTTAAACGTCCCTGCCTGATGGCTCCGAAGAGAGCAGCGTACCTCCCAGCACAGCGTTCAAGCTCTGCTAAGGATCAAACTGCCTCCTTAAGTGGGTCCCTGATCCCAGTGTATCCTGATTGGGAGACACCTCCCAGTAGGGGCCGACAGACACCTCATATGGCAGAGATCTAGCTAGTATCTGGCAGGTGCTCCTCTGGGACGAAGCTTCCAGAGGAAAGAACAGTCAGCAATCTTTGCTGTTCTGCAGCCTCCTTTACCCAGGCAAACAGGGCCTGGAGTGGACCTCCAGCAAATTCCAGCATACCAGCAACAGAGGGCACTGACTATTAGAAGGAAAACTAACAAACAGAAAGGAGAGCATGTCCACTCAGAGACCACATTCGAAGGTCACCAACATCAAAGACCAAAGGTAGATAAATCCATGAAGATGGGGAGAAACCAGGGCAAAAAGGCTGAAAATTCCAAAAACCAGAACACCCCTTCTCATCCGAAGGATCAAAACTCCTCACCAGCAAGGGAACAAAACTGGACTGAGAATGAGTTTGACAAATTGACAGAAGTAGGCTTCAGAAGTTGGGTAATCACAAACTCCTTCGAGCTAAAGGAGCATGTTCTAACCCAATGCAAGGAAGCTAAGAACCTTGAAAAAAGATTAGACAAATTGCTAACTAGAATAAACAGTTTGGAGAAGAATATAAATGACCTGATGGAGCTGAAAAACACAGCAAGAGAACTTTGTGAAGCATACACAAGTTATCAATAGCCAAATCGATTAAGCAGAAGAAAGGATATCAGAGATTGAAGATCAACTTAATGAAATAAAGCAAGAAGACAAGATTAGAGAAAAAAGAATGAAAAGGAATGAGCAGAGCCTCCAAGAAATATGGGACAATGTGAAAAGACCAAATTTACATTTGATTGGTGTACCTGAAAGTGACAGGGAGAATGGAACCAAGTTGGAAAACACTCTTCAGGATATTATCTAGGAAAACTTCCCCAACCTAGCAAGACAGGGTGACATTCAAATTCAGGAAATACAGAGAACACCACAAAGATACCCCTCAAGAAGAACAACCCCAAGACACATAATTATCAGATTCAGCAAGGTTGAAATGAAGGGGAAAATGTTAAGGGCAGCCAGAGAGAAAGGTTGGGTTAACTCACAAAGGGAAGCCCATCAGAATAACAGCAGATCTCTCGGCAGAAACCCTACAAACCAGAAGAGAGTGGGGGCCAATATTCAGCATTCTTAAGGAAAAGAATTTTCAACCCAGAATTTTTCTTTCTTTTTTTTTTTTTATTATTATACTTTAAGTTGTAGGGTACATGTGCACAACATGCAGGTTTGTGACATATGTATACATGTGCCATGTTGGTTTGCTGCACCCATTAACTCATCATTTACATTAAGTATTTCTCCTAATGCTATCCCTCTCCCATCCCCCCACCCCACAACAGGCCCCTTCAACCCAGAATTTCATACCCAGCCAAACTAAGCTTCATAATCAAAGGAGAAATAACATCCTTTACAGACAAGCAAATGCTGAGAGATTTTGTCACCACCAGGCCTGCCTTACAAGAGCTCCTGAAGGAAGCACTAAACATGGAAAGAAACAACAGGTACCAGCCGCTGCAAAAACATACCAAATTGTAAAGATCATCATCACTAAGAAGAAACTGCATCAACTAATAGGCAAAATAACCAGCTAGTGTCAAAATGACAGGATCAAATTCACACATAAGAATATTAACCTTAAATGTAAATGGCCTAAATTCCCCAATTAAAAGACACAGACTGGCAGGAGGCTCAAAATAAAGGGATAGAGGAATACTTACCAAGAAAATGGAAAGCAAAAAAAATTAAAAAATAAAAAAAAGTAGGAGTTGCAATTTTAATCTGTGATAAAACAGACTTCAAACCAACAAAGATCAAAAGAGACAAGGCCATCACATAATGGTAAAGGTATCAATGCACCAAGAAGAGCTAACTATCCTGAATATATATGCACCCACTATAGGAGGATTCAGATTAATAAAATAAGTTCTTAGAGACCTAAGAAGAGACTTAGACTCCCACACAATAATAGTGGGAGACTTTAACACCCCACTGTCAATATTACACAGATCAATGAGACAGAAAATTAACAAGGATATTCAGGACTTGAACTCAGCTCTGAACCAAGTGGATCTAATAGACTTCTACAGAACTCTCCACCCCAAATCGACAGAATAAACATTCTTCTCAGCACCTCATCGCACTTGTTCTAAAATTGACCACATGAAGTAAAACACTCCTCAGCAAATACAAAAGAACAGAAATCATAACCAACAGTCTCTCAGACCACAGTGCAATCATATTAGAACTCAGGATTAAGAAACTCACTCAAAACCACCCAACTATCTGGAAACTGAACAACCTGCTCCTGAATGACTACTGGGTAAATAATGAAACAAAGACAGAAATAAAGATGTTCTTTGAAACCAATGAGAATAAAGACACAACATATCAGAATCTCTGGAACACATTTAAAGCAGTGTGTAGAGAGAAATGTATAGCACTAAATGCTTACAAGAGAAAGCAGGAAAGATCTAAAATCGACATCCTAACATCAAAATTCAAAGAACTAAAAAAGCAGAACAAAAAAATTCAAAAGCCAGCAGAAGACAAGAAATAACTAAGATCAGAGCAGAACTGAAGGAGATAGAGACACAAAAAAACCTCAAAAAAATCAATGAATCCAGGAGCTGGTTTTTTTAAAAAGATCAACAAAATAGATAGACCACCATCCAGACTAATAAAGAAGAAAATACTGAAGAATCAAATAGATGCAATAAAAAATGATAAAGGGGATATCACCACTGATCCTACAGAAATACAAGCTACCATCAGATAATATTATAAACACCTCTATGCAAATAAAATAGAAAATCTAGAAGAAATGGGTAAATTCCTGGACACATACACCCTCCCAACTCTAAACCAGGAAGAAGTTGAATCCCTGAATAGACCAATAACAAGTTCTGAAATTGAGGCAGTAATTAATAGCCTACCAAATAAAAAAAGTCCAGGACCAGATGGATTCACAGCCGAATTCTACCAGAGGTACAGTACAAAGAGGAGCTGGTACCATTCCTTCTGAAATTATTCCAAACAACAGAAAAATAGGGAATCCTCTCTACATCATTTTATGAGGCCAGCAGCATTCTGACACCAAAACCTGGCTGAGATACAACGAAAAAAGAAAATTTCAGGCCAATATCCCTGATGACTATCAATGGGAAAACCCTCAGTAAAATATTGGCAAACTGAATCCAGCAGCACATCAAAAAGCTTATCCACCACAATCAAGCTGGCTTCATACCTGGGATGCAAGACTGGTTCAATATACACAAATCAACAAATATAATCCATCATATAAACAGAACCAATGACAAAAACTACATAATTATCTCAATAGATGCAGAAAAGGCCTTCCACAAAGTTCAACACCCCTTCATGCTAAAAACTCTCAATAAACTAGGTATTGATTGAATGTATCTCAAAATAATAAGAGCTATTTATGACAAACCCACAGCCAATATCATACTGAATGAGCAAAAACTGGAAGCATTCCCTTTGAAAACCAGCACAAGACAAAGATGCTGTCTCTTACCACTCCTATTCCACATAGTATTGGAAGTTCTGGCCAGGACAATCAGGCAAGAGAAAGAAATAAAGGGTATTCAAATAGGAAAAGAGGAAGTCAAATTGTCTCTGTTTGCAGATGACATGACTGTATATTTAGAAAACCCCACCATCTCAGCCTAAAATCTCGTTAAGCTGATGAGCAACTTCAGCAAAGTCTCAGGATACAAAATCAATGTGCAAAAATCCCAAGCATTCCTATACATCATTAACAGACAAACAGAGAGCCAAATCACAAGTGAACTCCCAATCGCAATTGCTACAAAGAGAATAAAATACCTAGGAATACAACTTACAAGGGATGTGAAGGACCTCTTCAAGGAGAACTACAAACCACTGCTCAAGGAAATAAGAGAGGACACAAGCAAATGGAGAAACATTCCATGCTCATGGATAGGAAGAATCAGTATCATGAAAATGGCCATACTACCCAAAGTAATTTAAAGATTCAACGCTATCCCCATCAAACTACCATTGACTTTCTTCACAGAATTGGAAAACACTACTTTAGGCTTCATATGGAACCAAAAAAGGGCCTGCATAGCCAAGACAATACTAAGCAAAAAGAACAAAGCTGGAAGCATCATGCTACCTGACTTCAAACTATACTACAAGGCTACAGTAACCAAAACAGCATGGAACTGGCACTAAAACAAATATATAGACCAATGGAACAGAACAGAGGCCTCAGAAATAACGCCACACATCTACAACCATATAATCTTTGACAAACCTGACACAAACAAGCAATGGGGAAAGGATTCTCTATTTAATAAATGGTGTTGGGAAAACTGACTAGCTATACGCAGAAAACTGAAACTGGACTCCTTCCCTACACCTTATACAAAACTTAACTCAAGATGGAATAAGACTTAATCGTAAGACCTAAAATGATAAAAATCCTAGAAGAAAACCCAGGCAATACCATTCAGGACATAGGCATGGGCAAATACTTCATGTCTAAAACACCAAAAGCAATAGCAACAAAAGCCAAAATAGACAAATGGGATCTAATTAAACTAAAGAGCTTCTGCACAGCAAAAGAAACCACCGTCAGAGTGAACAGGCAACCTACAGAATGGGAGAAAATTTTTGCAACCTACTCATCTGACAAAGGGCTAATATCCAGAATCTACAATGAACTCAAACACATTTACAAGAAAAAAACAAATAACCCCATCAAAAAGTGGGCAAAGGATGTGAATAGACACTTCTCAAAAGAAGACATTTATGCAGCCAAAAAACGCATGAAAAAATGCTCATCATCACTGGCCATCAGAGAAATGCAAATCAAAACCACAATGAGATACCATCTCACACCAGTTAGAATGGCGATCATTAAAAAGTCAGGAAACAACAGGTGCTGGAGAGGATGTGGAGAAATAGGAGCACTTTTACACTGTTGGTGGGACTGTAAACTAGTTCAACCATTGTGGAAGTCGGTGTGGCGATTCCTCAGGGATCTAGAACTAGAAATACCATTTGACCCAGCCATCCCATTACTGGGTATATACCCAAAGGATTATAAATCATGCTGCTATAAAGACACATGCACACGTATGTTTATTGCAGCACTATTCACAATAGCAAAGACTTGGAACCAACCCAAATGTCCAACAATGATAGACTGGATTAAGAAAATGTGGCACATATACACCATGGAATACTATGCAGCCATAAAAAATGATGAGTTCATGTCCTCTGTAGGGACATGGATGAAGCTGGAAACCATCATTCTCAGCAAACTGTCCCAAGGACAAAAAAACCAAACACCGCATGTTCTCACTCATAGGTGGGAATTGAACAATGAGAACACATGGACACAGGAAGGGGAACATCACACACCAGGGACTGTTGTGGGGTGGGGGGAGGGATAGCATTAGGAGATATACCTAATGTTAAATGACGAGTTAATGGGTGCAGCACACCAACATGGCGCATGTATACATATGTAACAAACCTGCATGTTGTGCACATGTACCCTAAAACTTAAAGTATAATAATAATAATATAAGAAAGATACTATAGAAATGACTACAAATACATATGCATATCAAGAATAACGCCACTTTGTTCCCCTGGGACCACAGAAAAAGACTGTAGATATTGTATATCACGGCACCCTAGCACACAACAGAGGCCAATTATGCTTACTAAAATGCCTTACTAAATTATGCTTACTAAAATTATGCTTACTAAATGGTAAAACCAGATTGTGAAACAAAAACCTGTACCCCTATAAACTTTACCATTCTAAAGCCAGGCTTACCCACGTGGACTTCAGGTTACCCCATACATGTCTACATAAGAAAGTACCCAGCAACCTACCTATATGTTATCATATACCCTACCTATATGTTATCAAAAAAGGAACCCAGACCCGTCCGGCCCAGCAACAATTCCAGGTCTTTAAGTCATTCTATAAGCATGTAGACCAGAAGTTACCAGGGCCTCCTCCTTTAGCTGAGAAACTGTTTGCTCAGCTGGCTGAAAACACTGCCAGCAGCCTAGGCGTTTCCGCATGTTATGTTTGTGGAGGAACTAACATAGGAGACCAATGGACTTAGAAAGCAAAAGAGTTAATGCCACAAGATAACTTTGACTGACTCTTCCCCCGAACCGATGCCCACAGGTTCAAGCGTCTGGCTCTTAAAAACTTATTTCATCAGGGGATACTGTGTTGCTCGCTGAGGAAAAGCTTTTACAGACCCAGTAGGAGAATTAATATGTTTAGCACTGCAATATTATAATGAAACACTAAGAAAAACTTTCTTGCGAGGTAAAAATAGTTCCAAATTACCTCATCCAAATCCATTCTCCTGTTTCTCTTCTCTAAATCATACCTGGTATCAGCTTGAAGCTCCAAATACCTGGCAGGCACCCTCTGGTCTCTATTGGATTTGTGGGCCACAGGCCTACCAACAGTTACCAGCCAAATGGACAGGGGCTTGTGTACTCAGAACAATTAGGCCATCTTTCTTTTTGCTTCCACTGCAACACAAGGAAACCTTAGGGTATCCTGTCTATGATGAAATTAAAGGAAGAAACGAAAGAAATGTAGACATAAAAAAGACATAAAACAGGAGATTAGAAAGACACAGATTGGCCACCTGAAAGAATAATTCAATACTGTGGACCAGCTACCTGGGCACAAGATAGGTCATGGGGGTACCGCACCCCAATTTACATGCTTAACTGCATCATAAGTTTGCAAGCAGTCCTTGAAATTATCACTAATGAAACAGCAAATGCATTAGACTTATTGGCCCAGCAGACCACAAAAGTTAGAAACTCCATTTATCAAAATAGACTGGCTTTAGATTATCTCCTAGCCCAGGAAGGAGGAGTATGTGCAAAGTTTAATCTAACTAACTGCTGCCTAGAAATCGATGACAATAGAAAAGCTATTATCCAAATAACTGCAAGAATGAGAAAATTAGCCCATGTTCCAGTCCAGACCTGGAAAGGGTGGACTCCTGATTCCATCGTTGGAGGCTGGTTCACCTCTTTTGGTAGACTCAAAACCTTAATAGGAGTAGTTCCAGCCATACTAGGAGGTTGCTTGATACTTCCTTGCCTTTTACCCCTCCTTGTTAAGAGCATTAAATCAACTATAGAGGCAATTGTAGCTAGGCAGACCACCACTCAGCTAATGGCTCTGTGTAAATATCAGCCTGTGCCTAAAAAAGAAAAACTGTTCTTTCAAAAAGAATCAAGTAATAGTGATGCTTTCTATTAAAATCTTGTTTATAAAAGCATCAAATGGGAAAACTGAGGCAGAAATTTGAAAATAATGACAATAAGTACGGCATTCATTCACTCCAAGAAAAGTAACAGACAAGGCTATAAGAAGGTTGTGGTGACCTAGTCTGAGAAGTAAAAGCCAAGGCCCAGAATGTGACAAGGCAAAGCTTAAAAAAAAAAAAAAAAGAACAAGTTTTCTTCTGCCTAGCAAGCTCACTTCAAAGACAGTTATAAGGTAATGCTGTCCCTGAAGTCAAAACCAACGGAATAGGCTCCAGACACCCCTCCTCTGGAGCAAGCGTGAAGGAAAAAAAAAAAAAAGACAAATGTCTGTATTTAGACAGTTCTTGTTTTTTCTTTCGAAGCAGCTACAAAGCCGCAAGTTATATGAAGTCATCAGTTATGCTATAGATTACGTGACCTGTCAATATATGATTTACTGCCTTTGTTTTGCTCTTGTATGCTAGCCTTTATAAACCAAACTCTTGTTTTTGTTCAAAGCTCATTTTTTTGAATGGGAATCCACTGAATCAGTGTGTACCTTAATATAAACATCCTCCTGTTTTCCCATGTAGGTCTCTCTCGTCCTCAGTTTCCCACAACAGAAATACCGGGTGCTGAAGGCTTTTTGGCTTCCTGCTCCCTCCCTGTTTACCCCTTTCATCGCCCTGCTTCCCAACCGCCCCCTGACTCTGCTCCCCATTTTCTGCACGCCTGCGCCCCCGCTGCAGCCCGGGACCTCCTCGTGGGGGTCCACGATTGTAGCACCACCAGGTAGCGGCATCCCACCTCTTCCACCTCGCCGCCGCCACAGCACCAGGAGCCTGGCTTGCTGTGCGGGGAGCGGCGGGCCAGGGCCTGACCTCAAAGACGCAGGGGCGGGTTCCCTGCAGTCCTGAGAGGTTTCCGCTCCCGGAACCTCCAGGTAATTCAATTCACTCATCCGGCGCTGCCTCCACCGTCCAAGCTGGGGGAAGGGGCGGGCAGGGGCAGCGGGCTGCTTTCCCGGGGGGAAGGACATTGCCTTCGCCAGTCACCAGGAAAACCGTAACTGTACACCCGGAATCCCATTGCCAACAACTTCATGTAAACTCCAGTCCCAAGGACACAAGAGAGACCCAGGCCTCAGGCCCCATGGGCACTCTCGGCGTCAGGGCTCTCGCCAGACAGACTGGGGCAGTCTACAAATCTCGGGGCCCACCGCAACAAGTGGACAGGAAGGAGCAAATTAAGGGAAAACCCTACGAAACACACCTCCAACGCAACCAACCAATCCAAGAAAAAACACGTTTCAGGGCTCCATTGGCCCACCCTCGTGGGCGGCCCTGCCGCCCTGTTCTGGCTCAGCTCAAGCACCCTCCACCCTACCCCAGCCTGCTCAAAGGGGCCCTGTGTACTGGAGCAGAACGCTTCCTCTCCAAGGCTCTATGGCTCTCGCTTTCTAGGTTCCTCACCCTCTCTCTTTCTCTTCTTCCCCCTTTACCTCGCGCTCTTTCTGTCACCTTTTCTCTCTCTCTCTCTCTCTCACCCTTCTGTCTTCACCCTCACCCTGCCTCTCTCTCTACTGCTGTCTCTCTCTTCCGCCGTTTCTATCTCTCCATCTCTCATTCTTTGCTCTCCTTCAAGCTGTCTCTGTATGTGTCTTTGTCTGTGTGTCTGTGTGTGTGTTTGCCCACGCGCGTGCACCCTTTGTGGGGGGGGGGGGTGCGGTGGTTTAGCTCGTGGTGGTCATTAGTTGTGCCTGGGTGGGCCTCACCCCCTGTCTCACGGGATCAGACTGCCGGCTTTGGTGCCAGCGCGGGGCAAACAGTGCCCCTCCGCCGGACCCCTTGTTGCCCACAGGCAGGGTCCTCCTCGGGAAAGGCAACGGTGGTGAAGGCTTTGTGAGAAAGAGGGCCCGCGGGGCTGGGTCGGCTTATCGCCCTTGGGCAGCCCTGGCGGCTCTGATTGGGTGGGGCAAGAGGGGGCCTTGCAGGAGGGGCAGCGAGGGATCCAAAACAATCCCTCAGCGCTAAGGCGGACGACCAGAGGGGATCCCAGGACCCAGGACCGTGGGCCCTGGGCCCTGACGCCTCGGAGCACACCCCGTCCTGAGCGGGCCCGATGTGGTTTCGGGAGCTCGGGAGCCGGGGGAAGGCCTGGAGCTTCAGCGGAAGGGAGGCTGCCTGGAGAGCCCAAAGCCTGTTCTGGCCCAGCCCAAGCACCCTCCACCTACCCAGGCCTGCTCAAAGGGGCCCTATCTACCAGAGCAGAGCGCTCCCTCTCCAAAGCTCTATTGCTCTCGCTCTCTAGGTCTCTCACCCTCTCTTTCTCTTCTTCCCCTCCACCTCGCGCTTTTTTTGTCGCCTTTTCTCTCTCTCTCTCTCTTTCTCTCTCTCCTCCCTCACCCTGTCTCTCTCTCTATGGCTTGGAGAGCGCTCTCTCTCCAGGGCTCTATCGCTTTCGCTCTCTAGTTCCCTCACCCTCTCTCTTTCTCTTTTTCCCCCTCCACCTTGCGCTCTTTCTGTCGCCTTCTCTCTCTCTGTCTTTCTCTCTTCCCTCACTATGTTTCTCTATCGCTGTCTCTCTCTCCCTCCGTTTCTATCTCTCCATCCCTCTTGCTCTTGCTCTCCTTCAAGCTGTGTGTGTGTGTGTGTGTGTGTGTGGCCGCAAGCTTGCGCCCCTGTGTGAATGGGTGGTTTTGCTCATGGTGGTCGTGAGTTGTGTCTGGGTGTGCCTCAGCCCCTCTCTCCCAGGATCAGGCTGCCGGCTTTGGTGCCAGCGCGGGGCAAAGCAGAACCCACCCGGCCCCCTTGTTGCCCACGGGCTGGGTCCTCGTCGGGACAGGGGACAGGGTTGAAGGCGTTTTGAGAAAGAGGGCCCGCAGGACTGGGTCGGCTGATCGCCCTTGGCCAGCCCTAGAGGCTCTGGGTGGGTGGGGCAAGAGGGGACCTTGCAGAGGGATCCAAAACAATCCCTCACTGCTAAGACAGAAGACCGGCGGGGATACCAGGACCGTGGGCCCTGGGCCCTGACGTCTCGGAGCACACCCGGTCCTGAGCGGGCCCGATGTAGTGGAAGCTCGGGAGCTCGGGAGCTGGGGAAAGGCCTGGAGCTTCGGCGGAAGGGAGGCCACCTCGAGAGCCCGAAGCCTGTGCAGGAGACAGAGGCCTCTGGCGCCCACGCCCGGCAGCAGGGCGGCGCTGTGGCTGTCCCACGCTTGGCCTGGCCACCAGCTACTGCGGGAGGCTCTGGGAGGCCAGCGGAAGGCGCAGCGCGCGGTGGACGGTGCTCGGGCGTAGAGGGGGAGAGCGGCCGGTAGAGGGGGAGAGCAGACCAGCCCGGCCGCCGGCGAGCAGCTCAGGGGTACTTGATCCGAGCCCCGTGGACCCGGGGTTGCCGGGATGCCTGGAGTCGGGCGCGCAAGACTGAGCGGAGCTCTTAGGGCTGCCAGGCGTCTATGGCCATACCACCCTGAACGCGTCCAATCTCGTCTGATCTCTCGAGGCTAAGTAGGGTCAGGCCTGGTTAGTACTTAACTGGGAGACCGCCTGGGAATAACGGGTGCTGTAGGCTTTTTGGTTTCCCGGTCCCTCCCACTTTCCTCCTTTTATCGCGATGCCTCCCAACCGCACCCTGACTCTGCTCCTCCTTTTCCGCCCGCCTGCGCCCTCGCGGTACCCTGGGACCTCCTCGTGGGGCGTCCGCCACTGCAGCACCGCCAGTTAGCAGCTTCCCAGCTCTTCCGCCTGGCAGCCACCCCATCAGTAGCCCAGCTCGCTGCCCGGGGCGGGGCGGGGAGGGCCGGGCCGGGGCCAACCTCGAAGGCTCAGGGGCGGGTTCCCTGCCGTCCAGGGTGTCTTCCCTCTCCCGGGACGCCCAGGGAATTTAATTCACTCATCCAGCGCCGCTGGCACTGTCCAAGCCGGGGGAAGGGGCGGGCAGGGGAAGCGGGCCCCACAAGACACCAGCCAAGACCTCCGCTCCAGAACGCATGGGCTACTTTCCCCAGGGGAAGGACATTGCCTTCTCCAGCCACCAGGAAAACCGTCCCTGTGCACTCGGAATCCCATTGCCACCAACTTCGTATAAACTCCATTCCGGAGGACACGAGACAGACCCAGGCCTCTGCCCCGTGGGCATGCTCGGTGCCACAGCTCTCGCTAGAGGGACGGTTGCACTCTACAAATCTCGGGGCCCACCGCACCAAGAGGACAGGGAGGAGCCAACAAAGGAAAAGTCCTATGAAACGCACCACCAAAGCAACCAATCCAACAAAAAATACGTCTCAGGGCTCTGTTGGGTCACTCCGTTAGCCCTTCCACCCTGTTCTGGCCCAGCCCAAGCACCCTCCACCCTACCCTGTCCTGCTCAAAGGGGCCCTGTCTACCGGAGCAGAACACTCCCTCTCCAAGGCTCTATGGCTCTGTAAGTCCCTCATCCTCTCTCTTCTTCTTCCCCCTCCACCTCGTGCTCTTTCTGTAGCCTTCTCTCTCTCTCTCTCTCTCTCAATCCTGACTCACTCTGCCTCTCTATCACTGTCTTTCTCTCCCTCCGTTTCTATGTCTCCATCCCTCTCTCTTGCTCTCCTTCAAGCTGCCTGTGTCTGTGTCTTTGTCTGTGTGTCTGTGTGTGGGTGTATGTTTGCAGGAGGGGCAGCGAGGTGTGTCTGGGTGCGTCTCAGCCCCTCTCTCCCGGGATCCAGGGTGTGTGTGTTGGGGGGAAGCTGTGGAAAGGGTGTTGAAGGAAAGTGACAATCAGCTTCCTGAAGGGCACTGACAGGCCATTATTCCTGTGGCTTGGCAAATTTTCTGTTTGAACTTATTTCTTGTTAAGGGTCCAAGTGTACTGACTATGGAGATAAGAAAAGAATAGCTCTAAGTAGCTGAAGCTCTGTGAGGTACGGAAGATTTTTCTGGCCCAGAGAGACTTGAGTATGGGATTTGAGACACATCTCCACACCCTTTCCCAGGGGCAATTGTTTAAAGGTATGTTGTTCCTAACTAGCTGTCTCATCTGGAATTTGTGATACAAAGAACAATGTATAGCCAGTCAGTGACTTCTGGATTTTAATGTAAATTTTTGATGAAAATTTTAGGAACTGCCTCTTTTCTTAAAACCCACTTGTAATGGTTACTAGTTGGAATGTATAATCAGGGCAACTTTAGTCTATGCTCTCAGGTAGGTATCCTAAACATATGCTTTTGAATATACTTTTGAAAATAGATTCTGACTTTTTTATTATGATGGGTTGACAGGGGACTGGCCTGGGACACCTGCCTGGGTGTAAATACCCCAACCATGCGCTGCCCTGCCCAGCAGAAGAGGCGGGTGGACAGCAGGCCCCCTTTGGTCAGAAACACATGCATTGCATAGCTGTTCTGGACCTGGGTCCTGCTTGCAAGGACAGTTCCACAGGCGCACCGGAATGCGCCTCCCCTTTCCACCCGCCAGCATTCCCAAGCACGCCTCGGCTTCTGACTGTTCTGTGCTTTGGGAGGAAAACTCATCTTCAGGTTTTTCTCCAACAGAAGATGATGATGACGTTGTTTAGACACTCAGGAACAGAGATTGCAGATTGGCTTAAGAGTGCGCCCTTTATTAAAGATGGTATGCATGGAAAGACATGGAACAATTTTGGAAGGATACAAAAAAAATTGCCCATTTTGTTAATAGTCTCATTCAACCCCTTTGCTGACCTCATCTCCTGTCACTCATAACCAAAGGAGGCGGGTCCTGGAGCCCTGTCCAATCAGGGACATTGACGTGGGAACTGTCCAATCAGGAGCGCAGCTTGAGAGGCGGAGGGGGTTTCCGGGATCTGGCGGGGCCTTTGTCTTGTGCTCCAGCTGGAGCTTTGGTCCCGTATTCTCGGCTATTTATCCCCAGCTGCGGGAGGCCCTGGTGACTCTGCTGCTGCAGTGTCTGGTTTCCCTGTGACCTGCAGGTACTGGGAGTTACATAGCTAAGATGCCAGGACACCCCGAAAGCCGGAAAACGGTGAGAGTTCCCGGGAGGGTGTTCCAAGATGGCGGTCCGGCCTCCCGGCGTCAGCACTAGAGTCCGCGGCCCGGAGTCCCGGCTGGCACCTGTGGGATCTGTCACCTCTGGGTAGGGGCGGGGCCAGGCCGCCGCGGGATTCTCCTCCCATCACTGCGCCGCGGCTTCCGCCCCGGCCTCTCTGGGCGGCTATGAAGCCGCAGCCCCGCGGGTCCCCCAGACTGTGTGCTTTGTCCAGAGGGGAGGGTCATCGGGGAGAAGCCAAATCGGTGTGCGAAACATGCGTGGGAAGAGCTGTTCCATGGGGCTTATCTTAGCTGTGCAGTCCATCCTTTTTCCTGTGAAAAATGGAGTCACTTTTAAAGCTTTGAAGAGTTTGAGGAAAGGGAGTTTCATGAATGGGAGAGCGCCCAGCTATGGTGTGTGGCTTGTGGGTTTATGGAGGAGGTGCTTGAAGGAAAAACTTTTTTGTAAGGTGCATGAGGAAGCAAGCCAAATTTAATAATTGACGACAGTTACAGTCACCTTATTTGGACTGTCCAGGTGGAAATTTCCTGGTTATTTAATTACTGATTAATTGGAGTTTTGTGATTGGTTGAACTTGGATTTTGTTTCTACTTAAGGCAGTCATTAACAAGAAATGCATTTGAGCTATTAATATTCTTTTTCATGTAGAAACGCAAGACACTAGAGCCACCTCAGTCTAATTGCCTGCTAATTATTTTAACACTGCACAAGAGACTGCTTTTCCCCTGCATTTTCCAAATAACATGGAAAGCAGGGTCTTAAATCCACTCCTCTGTTCTCCCAGCCTGACTCTGGCCTGCAATAAAATACTAAATTTTCAGTTTCTTTCCAAAATTCATAAAAACCACCATCACCTCTTCAGTTCACAACACTGTCAGCTATTTGTCTTTTATTGCGTACTCCAGGCACAATATTTTAATTAATCATTTTTTCACAGAACATTGGAGGGCACTCTTTGTTGTTGCTGTTGTTGTTTTGTTTGTTTTTGTTTTTTCTTTAAGAAGGAGTCTCGCTCTGTAGCCCAGGCTGTAGTGCAGTGGCGCGATCTTGGCTCACTGCAACCTCTGCCTCCCGGGTTCAAGCGATTCTCCTGCCTCAGCCTCCTGAGTAGCTGGGATTACAGACCCGCGCCACCACCCCCGGCTAATTTTTGTATTTTTAGTATTTTGTATTTTAGTTTCACCATGTTGGTCAGGCTGGTCTCCAACTCCTGACCTCGTGATCCCCCGCCTTGGCCTCCCAAAGTGCTGGGATTACAGGCGTGAGCCACCACGCCTGGCCTGTTGTTTTTTCCCTACCCGGCTTTTTTTTTTTTTTTTTTTTTTTTTTGGTTGAGTTGGAGTCTCGCTCTGTTGCCAGGCTGGAGTGCAGTGGCGTGATCTCGGCTCACTGCAGCCTCCGCCTCCTGGGTTCAAGCGATTCTCCTGCCTCAGCATCCCAAGTAGCTGGGACTACAGGCGTGCGCCACTACACCTGGCTAATTTTTGTATTTATAGTAGAGACGGGGTTTCACCATGTTGGCCAGGATTGTCTTGATCTCTTGACCTCGTGATCTACCCGCCTCTCCCTCCCAAAGCGTTGGGATTACAGGGGCGAGCCACCACGCCTGACTTGTTGTTTTTAAGAGGATCTTGCTCTGTCATCCAGGCTGCTGGAATGCAGTGACATTGTCATAGCTCACTGAAGCCTCCAACTCCTGGACTCAAGTGATTTTTCTGCCTCAGCCTCCTGAGTGGCTAGGCTTAAATGTGTGTGCTGCCATGCCCAGCTAATTCTTTTTATTTTATTTTTTTGTAGAGATTGGGTTTCGCTAGTTACCCATGTTTGTGGAACTCTTTAAAGATTTGTTATCTGTTTGTGAAGGCAGAGAATAACCTCTTGGCACTCTATTGTAAAGAAATATTTGTGCCACTCTGCTTTTTATCTTTCCTAGGCACAGACGCCTTGTACAAAATCTTTGAAAACTTTGGAAACTTTACAGCTGGTTGTATCCTCAGCCACTCTTTTTTATTTTTATTTATTTTTTGAGACGGAGTCTCGCTCTGTCGCCCAGGCTGGAGCGCAGTGGCCTGATCTTGGCTCACTGCAAGCTCCGCCTCCCGTGTTCACGCCATTCTGCCTCAGCCTCCCGAGTAGCTGGGACTGCAGGAGCCCGCCACCATGCCCGGCTAGCTAATTTTTTTGTATTTTTAGTAGAGACGGGGTTTCACCGTGTTGGCCAGGATGGTCTTGATCTCCTGACCTCGTGATCCGCCCACCTCAGCCTCCCAAAGTGCTGGGATTACAGGCGTGAGCCACCGCGCCCGGCTCCTCAGCCACTCTTATCCTAGTCCTGAATTTCAGAATTGTCTGGGAATGGCCCAAGATGCCCACAGTGGCTATGTCTCTTGGAGTATCTAGTGAATTTTGGTTCCTGGGTTTTTTCCTCCCAGAGGACAGCCTATGGCATGGAGATGGAGCCTCTCAGTGAAGCAGCTGGATGTCCTGGGGCTGAGAGAAGTCTTCTGGTACACCCTTCACCTAAAAAGCTAACCCCTTAGACATTCTCCCCCAACCCCCAATTTCATTGCCTGGAGACACATCAGTGGTGTTGGGAAAAGACAGAAATAATTCCTGCCCTCTGGATTCTCAGACTTGTGAAGGGAGAAAAACTAGTCCAAAGGACAAGCAATAACTACTCCAGTGAGCTGGTGCGAGAACATGCAAAGCAAAACATCCCTGGGGCACACCGTGAGGCACAGTGCAGTGTCTCCAGACAGAATGGTCAGTGAGCACTTCAGTGAGCAGAATGAGGGGTGGGAGAATGTCCCAAATTATAGGATAGCCTGACTTGACGCTTGAGTCGGATGTGTCTGTGTTCCAGGTAGTACTGCTTCTCCCTGAGTTTGTCACCTTAAAAAGATTTGTTCACTTATTTCATCATCAGTTTTTTATTAAGTATATATTACACTTTATCAGTAGAGCTTGAAAGGTTAGAAAATATTTACAAAGGGTATGAACGTGGTGAATTCTAGGAAAAAAATATGTAGTCATATACTTCATTTGTTAAAAAACTCATTTACCTTTTTCTTCATCAGAGTGAGTGTAGTAAGTTTCTTAGTTCTGTTCTATTTTAAGGGTGATTTCAAACAGAATCTCAGGGCTTAAGTTTGGGAATTCTATCGGGGAGAAAAATAGGAAACGTCTCTTTTTCATTATGCCTATAGGAAACTCACTTTCACAAGACAGTATGGTAGATTAATTGGTAAATTATATAGATTCATGAAACATCAGTTCCTCTTTTTTACAGGGTGGATAATTTGTGACATTAAATGTTCTGTATTTAATTATCTGGACATCCAAATTCAATGCTAAGTTTTAGGAGATGGGACATGGCTCCTCTTAGAAGGGTTCACATTTAGTAAGTGTTTCCTAAATGATCTGTTATAGAAATATTTAATTGACGTTTTTGTTATCTGAAAGGAATAGACACTTTTGCCTTTCCTTTTGAAATATAAAATGTAAGTGTCTTACAATTTTATTCCCTTTTATAAACACTGTCTTTGAGTGATTTTGCTGAATTCTTCAAACTGGGCATTTTCTCATTTAAAACTAAATGAATAGCCCTGACTGGAAAGTAGAAGTCTGAGCCCAGTGACTCTAAGTTAAGGCCAATCTTGAGCCTGCAAAAGAAGGTCATTGAAGGCCCGGTTCTTCCTGAGGAGCCTCCTCTGCAGGTGTCCCAGCCTGCTCACACAAGCACGGAAGAGCCCTTTACATTGAGAGAAGCTACGGATCTCCTGGAAAGTGGGAGATCCATAGGCAGATGCAAATGTAGTTGGGTTGGAAGACGGGTTCAGAAGCTCTTTCTGAGGATAAATTTCATTGTCCTGGGCTGTTTCTAGACTTTGTCAAATAAAGCTAATTTATATTTACATAAAAAGTTACTTAATTCTTTTTTTTTTGATTTTTTATTTTTATTTTTTTATTTTTTTTCCTCCAGAATTTTTCTTTATTTTCCATTGTAGTTTGGGTGATTTTTTTAAAATTATTATTATACTTTAAGTTTTAGGGTACATGTGCACAATGTGCAGGTTAGTTACATATGTATACATGAAAAGTTACTTAATTCTAAAGGAATATTGCAACGGGAAAAATACCAACTATATCTGCAGTCATCTGAAATGTTAGGCAGAAAAGGGCTTTATTTAAAGAGGAACACACAAAACTAGAAAGAATGTGGGAAGGGGAGGACAGGATGAAAGGTGCCAAAATTAGATCCTAGATCAGAGAATGTTTCACCCTGAGGTCAGCCTGTGTTTAGGAGGGGCATAAAGAGGAATTATTTGTTGGCTCAGGCTGAGTGTGTGTCAAAGTTCAGGGGCCTGTTGGAAAGAGAGAAGCTAACCCATTTATGCCTAGTGTTCCATTATTGGAGCACTAAGCTTGTGGGAGTTATTTATACTTCCTACTGCTAGATGACCCTACTGCTCAGGGTCATCACCATGGTCTGATTTTTCACACACAAAAAAATTTGCCACCTCCAGCATAAATGGGTTAAGTGGTGGTTGGTGAACAAGTACTTTTTTTTTTTACCACTAAAGAGAATTGTTCAGGTGATTGTTTATGAGACAAAAATGGGAATTTGCAATCCGTGTCTGGCTTTGTAATAGGTTAAAAAAAAAGGGAGCATCATCTAAGTCAAAATGAGAAGAGTGTTTCTTTTCATTCAGCTGTTCTTTGAGAACATAAAGGATGGGGAATTTCTTCAATCACATGCATTTACCAGGATTGCCTACGCACCCAATCTTCTCCTGCCACTTTCCTTTGCTGTATACAGATCTTTCATTTGGCTGTTTTGAGATGTACTTTCATGACAAACTGGTACATGTTTTGCTGAGTTCTGTGAGGAGTTCTGTCAAATTATTGAACTTGAGTATGCGGTTATGGGAGTCCCAGAGTTACAGGCAGTCACTCAAGAAGTATAGGTGGGTCCCTGGTGCATGTGACTGGCCTTTGAAGTGTGGGCAGTGATGTGGGACTGAGGCCTGGCCTTGCAAGGTCTGTGCAAACTGAGTGGTGTCAGTATTGAATTATTGAGCAACCAGTGGTGTTGGAGAACTGGTTGGTGATCAGGAAACTCCACACATCTGGTGTCAGAAGTTTTGTCAAAAGTGCAGGAGCGGCAGCTGGAGGCAGATGCCCTTTCTTAGCGAAGGGAGGCTCTGTTCTGTACACAGGCTGTCACACTGCACTGTCCTGTGATTCCAGGTGTCCTCCCAAGATGAGAGGGGACTGAGGACTTAGAGGTGTTGCTGGAGTGCAATCATAGCTAACTGCAACCTGGAAATCTTGGGCTCAAGGACTTCCTGCCTCACCCTCTGGAATAACTAGGACTACAGGCATATACTACCATGCCTGGCTAATTTGTAAAGTTTTTGTAGAGACAGGGTCTCAGTATGTTGTCCAGACTGGTCTTGAACTCCTGGCCTCAAGGTTGCTTTCTACCTCAGCCTGCCAAGGTGCTAAGATTATAGGTGTGAACCCCCATGCCTGATCGGGACAACTTAATATGTATTTTTTCTTCTGCTTCTTGAAATATATGCAAATTTTTTTTACCAGCTAAATAAATTTGAATCATTCTTTTTAACTCATGGTTGTCTTTATCTAAGACCTGGATTCTGTTGCATTGTTTTTTGTTTGTTTTTTGATTTGGCAGAAATTTATTGTTTTTAAAATTTTTAAAGTTGATTAAGAGCACGCAAAAGTTGAGCCCAAAGAATAGATCTTTCACCACATTGGTTGAATTTATTGCTAAGAAATCTATTATTTTGTTGCTATTGTAAATTAGTTTTTTTTACTGGTTTATTGCTACTCTGTATAAACAAAACTGATATTTGTATGTTAATTGTATATTCTGCTACTTTACTGAATGCATTTATTAGTTTAAGCTATTTCTTGGTGGACTATTTATGATTTTACATATATAAGATTATGCCATCTACAAACAGTGACTTTTTTTCTTCTTTTCAATTTTGATCTTCTACGTTTTCTTGCTTAATTATCCTACGTAGGACTTCCAGTTCTATGTTCAAATAGAACCATTAGAATGGTCATAATATAGACTTGCATTGGTGTTTGTGCATTTGGAGGAGCAAACACCTCTTTTCATTTTTATGAACTGGTTTCAGTAGGTAAAGATCTTCATCTTTTGGGTCTCAAGCCTGATGAGATCTTTTCTGGGCTTGCAGTAAAAAGGGTTGTAGCTGGGTCACAAAGTTGCTGCCAAATCTGGAGTGGGTTTTACCTTTAGTGGGCTTATTACCAGGAGCACATGTGGTTGTGAGTCCTATCATGTTTTTGGGCAGACTGGATTGTCTTCAGGGCTTTCTGTGGAGCAGGCACTAGGGCAGGGTTCTGCTATATGGTGGGCCTAATACCAGATGCGTGGATGAGTGTGGCTCCCACTGAGTACCTAGCAAGGTTTCCCCAGGTTATCTACAAACAGTGACTTTTGAACTGTTTTGTGTGGGTCACTAGTATGATGCCCTCAGCTTTTTTCTTATTCCTCATGATTGGTTTAGCCATTCAGTATTTCTTGTAGTTCTATGTACATTGTAGGCTTGCCTTTTCTGTTACTATGAAAAGTGGCACAGGAGTTGTGATAGGGATTTGAGTTAACTTACAGATTGCTTTGGATAATATGACACTTCATTAATCAAAGGGCCTGTCTTCTCAAAGTGACTCTTCTTGATCTTGGGTTTTAGCACAGTTTCCTAATGCCCTGTATCCCAAAGCTCACTATACTGTCCAGGCTGTTCTTGAACTCCTGGCCTGAAGCAGCCCTCCTGCCTCAGTCTTCTGAATGGAGGGGATTACTGTCATGAGCCACTGTGCCTGGCTCTCTCATAAAGTTACTTTGGTTAATGGATGGCTGACTAGTTTTTTTTTTTTTACTGCAAGGGAATATAAAAGTAGGGAACTCCTATTCCATCATCTTGATAATGTCACTGTCTCCATACATTTCTGCCTTATTTTGTTCTCCTGTATGTTTGTGTGTTATTTTAGGTTCAAACATTAAGAACAACATGGTAGAATTTATACATTGTGTAAAAAGTAAATTAGATAGCTAGTAGGTACTCTATATATATTATAATATTCACCTGTAAGATTAAGTTTAGTGCAGACAAAAGGGCTCATTAAGATTTTCATCCACTTTTTTCAACCTCTGTCCAAACTATAATATAGTTTATGCCCAAATTTTTATTTTATCAGTTACTCTTAACCATATTTCACAAAATTTGTATTTTTTAAATTTAGAAATGTGAGGCTATTATTTGCTTTTAAAGGCTGTATTACAGGTTATTTATTTTGTAAAATAATAGTATCAATGTATTAGTAATATAAATAGTTATTTGTAGTGTAAATACTTATTCATTAAAATTTTGACATTAGAGAATTTTATTAATTATTGTAGCACATTTTCTGTAAAATTGTACTGCCATACACCACAGGGCAATGATTCAGAATGCCTGGTCTTCATAGATGCACAGTCACATATGAACATGGTAGTTATTTAGAAAAATTCTTTTCTAGTGTTGTATCCATGTTCCAAACAAGATTTTATGGGTAAATGTTTCTCTCATTCTAGTTTTACAGTTCCATGTTGACTGTATTTTTATTTTAGGGTAGGTTCCTTGACATCGGTTTATTGTATTCTTGGTTTTACCTAAGCATTATTTTGGATGACAATGTGCAGCTTTTTATGTACAGTTTATGTCAATTTGCAGTTTAATTGCAATATGAATTAGCCATATGTGTATTCACAATTCAATTTAAGTTCAACAGAGTTAATGAAAACTAAGCAAACTAATGTTACATGATAAAGCCCCAGTCAGCTGTCTTATACTTAAGCAAATACACCGAATAATAGTTTGTAGCTTTATTGCTGCTTTTGTTCAAACTATGTTTTATATCCTCTGTGACCAAGGAAATTTCTGATATTGTCCTATCAGGCTAAAGAAACAAAAAGCCGGGCGCGGTGGCTCATGCCTGTAATCCCAGCACTTTGAGAGGCCGAGGCAGGTGGATCACAAGGTCAGGAGATCGAGACCATCCTGGCTAACATGGTGAAACCCCGTCTCTACTAAAAATACAAAAAATTAGCTGGATGTGGTGGCGGGTGCCTGTAGTCCCAGCTACTCAGGAGGCTGAGGCAGGAGAATGGCGTGAACCTGGGAGGCAGAGCTTGCAGTGAGCCAAGATCGCACCACTGCACTCCAGCGTGGGCAACAGAGCGAGACTCCGTCTCAAAAACAAACAAACAGACAGTGATTATACTTTCAAGTGGCAGTTTATCCCAGATACTCCATATGTAGACAACTATGCTCATATTTGTTTGTTTTAATAAGGCTGTGGTCCAAAACCTTACGTTTTTATAGAAATTAAAGCTTTTCAGTTCCATTCTAAAGAAAGGACAGCCCCATGATCTAAATCCAAAGGTGATGGCTTAGAGTGAGGACCATTTCTTGTTGACATGGAGATGGTTGAGATGGTCTACAATAAATCTATGGGAGAAGCAGGTTGTGATGACTTGGAAGTGTTGGCTGCCTTCATGGTCTCAAAGTTCTTTGCCAAGTTCACCTCAGCAGTGCTGTACTGTTCTGCTGTCAGATTGGGAATGCTTGGCCAGTAGTGGTTCTCTGCATGGTCCAAAACTGCGGATGCTTCCTTGATACACTGCCTGCCAGAAATGCAATTGTAGCAAAGGAGGTCGGTAAGGGGACAGAAACTAGCTGGCCACTGCCTGGTGGGGAAGAGCGATGGGCACCCAATCCTAGCTCACATGCCAAGTGCCATCATCATCCCGGTACCCAGGGGTGTCTCCCATAATGTGCACTGCCTGGCCTTATGTAAATAGAGAGCTCAGCTAAGGCCTAAAGTTGTAAAGGGGCCTTTCCGGAGCCCCAAGTGTGCTGGACAACTCACTAGCCATGGAAAGAGCCTGGTTCCTTGTGGCCACAGAGAGGCAATGATTGCTGCATGCCCACATGGCAAGGCCTTCTGGAGTCTTCATGTGAGAGTTCAGCTCTGGCAACAGAGGACATTTCCGGTGTTAGAGATTCTCAGTGTCTGGCAGGTGGGAAACTGATTGATGGCATCTGCTGGCTTCTAGAGCACTGCCTGGCGGTCCTTATCTGTGGGCCCCAGCCAAGGCACTTCAGAAAGCTTGATCTCCGGCTAGCATTCTGGACTGCGAGACAGCCTGGCTACAGCTAGCGCTGGATGGAGAGAGTAGAGTGTGGTGAGGTGGGAACAGTGTGCATTCTGCCACGTGGCATGGGGTTTCTTGTGATTCTGAACTACCCAGGTGCGGTGACAAGAAGGCAATCAGGGAGTGGAAACAGTCCAACTCACACACATGGTTATTTATTGTCAGTAGAGAGAAGTTCATTGAAGGAGATACAGCGTGGGGGTGGTGCATTAACGTAATTCTCAGGGCTGAAAATGCCACCTTTTAATAATTTTTTTTGTAGGACCCCACAAGTGTGTCATTGTCTGTTTTTAATTCCATGTACAAACATAGTGCTCTCCTCAAATAATGAAAGTAGCACTATTATTATATTGGGAAGAGTGCGGCAGCACTTACGAATAAAAGCCCATTGACAGATTGAGCTCATAATGCATACACTAATTTATTCATGATATGATTTCAGGTCATGCATAATGTGTGCTTGTTAATAAAAATATGAATTTAAAAAATTAAACAGTTTCTCTTAAAATGCAGCTATTTTAGCATTGCTCTTTACATTATACCTAACATATATAAGGGTTTTTGACTCACACAAATGGTCCACAGTTTTAGTAAATGTCTATTTTTTCCCAGTAAACCATATTCTTAATACAAATGTTAGCACTCAGTACTGCTTTTTATTTTTATTTTTTATTTGTAACTTTTAAGTTCAGGGGTACATGTGCAGGTTTGTTACATAGGTAAGCTTGTGTCATGGGAGCTTGTTGTACAGATTATTTCATCATCCAGGTATTAAGCCTAGTATTCATTAGTTATTTTTTCTGATTCTCTCCCTCCTCCCACTTCTACCATCAGATAAGTCCCAGTGTCTTTTGTTCCTTTCCATGTGTCCATGTGTTCTCATCATTTAGCTTCCACTTACAAGTGAGAATATGCAGTATTTGTTTTTCTGTTCCTGTGTTATTTTGCTAAGGATAATGGCCTTCACCTCCAATCAGGTTCCTGCAAAGGGCATGATCTCATTCTTTTTTATGGCTGCCTAGGATTTCATGGTGTATATGTACCACACTTTCTTTATTCAGGCTATTATTGATGGGCATTTAGGTTGACTCCATGTCTTTGCAATTGTGAATAGTGCTGCAGTGAACATATACATGCATTTGTCTTTATAATAGAATGATTTATATTCCTTCAGGTAATACCCAGTAATGAGATAGCTGGGTCAAATGGTATTTCTGTTTTTAGTTCTTTGAGGAAGCACCACACTGTCTTCCACAATAGCTGAACTAATTTACACTCCCACCAACAGTGTATAAGGATCTTTTTCTCTGCAACCGTGCCAGCATTTGTTACTTTTTGACTTTTTGATAATAGCCATTCTGACTGGTGTGAGATGGTATGTCATTGTGGTTTTCATTTGCATTTCTCTAATGATCAGTTATGTTGAGCATTTTGAAATATGATTTTTGGTTGCATGGATGTTTTCTTTTGAAAAGCGTCTGTTCATTTCCTTTGCCCACTTTTTAATGGAGTTGTGTTTTGGTTTTTTTTAAGTTCCTTATAGATGCTGGATATTAGACCTTTGCCAGGTGCGTAGTTTGCAACAGTTTTCTCCCATTCTGTAGGTTGTCTGTTCCTCTGTTGATATTTTTCTTTTCTGGGTAGAAGCTCTTTAGTTTAATCAAATCCCATTTGCCAATTTTGCTTTTGTTGAAATTGCTTTTGGCGCCTTTGTCATGAATTCTTGGCCCATTTTTATGTCCTGAATGATACTGCCTAGGTTGTCTTCTGGGGTTTTTATAGTTTTGGGTTTTACATGTAAGTGTTCTATCCATCTTAAGTTAATTTTTGTGCATGATGTAAGGAAGGGGTCCAATTTCAATCTTCTGCAAACGGCTAGCCAGTTATCCCAGTAACATTTATTAAATAGGGAATCTTTTCCCCATTGCTTATGGGGTTTTTTGTTGTTGTTGTTGTTGTGATATAGTCTCACTCTGTTGCCCAGACTGGAGTGCAGTGGCACCCATTGCTTATTTTTATCAGGTTTGTCGAAGATCAAATAGTTGTATAGTTGTAGGTGTGCAGCCTTATTTCTAGGTTTTCTGTTCTATTCCATTGGTATATGTGTTTGTTCCAATACCATGCTGTTTTGGTTATTGTAGCCCTGTAGTATAGTTTGAAGTTGGGTAGCATGATGCCTCCAGCTTTGTTCTTTTTGCAAGGGATTGCCTTGGCTATTCAGGCTATTTTTTTGGTCTATATGAATTTTAAAATAGTTTTCTCTAGTTCTGTGAAGCATCTCATTGGTAGTTTAATAGAAATAGCATTGAATCTATAAATTGTTTTTGGGCAGTATGGCCATTTTTACAATACTGATTTTTTTTCTATCTTAAGCATGGAATGTTTTTCCGTTTGTTTGTGTTGTCTAATTTTTTGAGCAGCATTTTATAGTTCTCCTTGTAGAGATCTTTCACCTTCCTAGTTAGCTGTATTTCTAGGGATGTTACTCTTTTTTGTGGCAGTTGTGAGTGGGATTGTGTTCTTTATTTGGCTCTCGGCTTGGCTGTTGTTGGTATATGGCAATGTTAGTTATATTCACACGTTGATTTTGTATCCTGAGACTTTACTGAAGTTGTTTGTCAGCATAGGGAGATTTTGGGGCGAGACCGTGAGATTTGTTAAGTATAAGATCATGTCATCTGCAAACAGGTATAGTTTGACTTCCTGTCTTCCTATTTGCATGCCCATTATTTTTTTCTCTTGCCTGATTGCCCTGGCCAGGACTTCCATTACTATGTTGAATAGGAGTGGTGAGAGAAGGCATCCTTGTCTTGTGCCAGTTTTCAAGGGGAATGCTTCAAGCTTTTGCCCATTCAGTATGATATTGGCTGTGGGTTTCTTGTATATGGCTCTTATTATTTTGAGGTATGTTCCTTCAATATCTAGTTTATTGAGAGTTTTAATCATGAAGCATTGTTGAATTTTATTGAAGGCCTTTTCTGCATCTATTGAGATAATCATGTTATTTTTGTCTATAGTTCTGTTTATGTGATAGATCACATTTGTTGATTTCCATATGTTGAACTAAACTTGCATCCCGGGGATAAAGCCTACTTGATCATGGTGGATAAGCTTTTTGATGTGCTGCTGGATTCAGTTTGCCAGTATTTTGTTGAGGCTGAGGTTTTTGCATTGATGTTCATCAAAAGTATCAGCCTGAAGTTTTCTTCTTTTGTTCTGCCTCTGCCAGGTTTTGGTATCAGGATGATGCTGGCTTCAGAGAATGTGTTAGGGAGCAGTCCCTTCTCCTCAAGCTTTTGGAAGAGTTTCAGCAGGAATGGAACCAGCTGTTCTTTGTACATCTGGTAGAATTCAGCTGTTAATTTGTCTTGTCCTGTGCTGCTTTTTGGTTGGGAAGATATTACTCAATTTCAGAGCTCACTATTTGTCTGTTCAGGGTTTGAATTTATTCCTAGTTCAGTCTGGGGAGGGTGTGTGTGTCCAGGAATGTATCCATTTCCTCTAGATTTTCTAGTTTATGTGCATAGAGGCATACATAATATTTTCTAATGATTGGTTGTATTTCTGTGGCATCAGTGGTAATATCCCCCTTGTCGTTTTCTATTATATTTATTTGAATCTTCTCTCTTTTTTACTTTATTAGGCTAGCTCATGGTCTATTTTATTAATTAAAAAGAAAATGCCTCCAGGATTTGCTGATCTTTTGAATTGTTTTTCATGTCTCAGATTTCTTCAGTTCAGCTCTGATTTTGGTTATGTCTTGCCTTCTGCTAGCTTTGGGATTTGTACTTGGTTCTCTAGTCATTTTAGTTGTGATGTTAGGTTGTTAATTTGAGATCTTTCTAACTTTTTGATGTTGGCATTTAGTGTTATAATTTTCCATCTTAGCACTGCCTTAGCTGTGTCTTAGAGATTCTGGTATGTTGTATCTTTATTCTCATTAGTTTCAAAGAACTTCCTGACTTCCACCTTAATTTTATTATTTGCCCAAAAGTCATTCAGAAGCAGATTATTAAATTTCCATGTAATTATATGGTTTTGAATGGTTTTGAGTGAATTTCTTAGTCTTGATTTTTAGTTTGATTGTGTTGTGGTCTGAGAGATTGTTATGATTTCAGTTGTTTTGCATTTCCTAAGGAATGTCTTTCTTCTGATTATGTGATTGATTTTACAGTATGTGCCATGTGGCTATGAGAAGAATATGTATTTTGTTGGTTTTGGGTGTACAGTTCTGTGGATATCTATCAGGTCCATGTGATCCAGTGCTGAGTTCAAGTCCTGAATATCTTTGTTTATTTTCTGTCTCAATGATCTAATACTGTCAGTGGGGTATTAAAGCCCCCTACTATTACTGTGTGGGAGTCTAAATTTCTTTGAAGGTCTCTAAGAACTTGCTTTATGAATCTGTGTGCTTCTGTGCTGGGTGCATGTGTATTTAGGATAGTTAGATATTCTTATTGAATTGAATCTTTTACTATTATGTAATGCCCTTCTTTGTCTTTTTTGATCTTTGTTGGTTTAAAATCTGTTTTGTCAGGAACTAGGATTGCAAACCTTGCTTTTTTCTGTGTTTTATTTGCTTGGTAGATTTTCCTCCATCCCTTTATTTTTAGCCTAAATGTATCATTGTGTGTGAGATGGGTCTCTTGAAGACAGCATACCAGTGGGTCTTGGTTCTTTATCTATCTTGACATTCTGTGTCTTTTTATTGGGGCATTTAGTCCATTTCCATTTAAGGTTAGTATTAAAATGTATGGTTTTGATCCTGCCATCATGATGGTAGCTGTTTATTTTGCAGACTTGTTCATGTGGTTGCTTTATAGTGTCACTGGTCTGTGTACTTCAGTGTGTTTTTGTAGTGGCTGGTAACAGTCTTTTCTCTCCATATTAAGTGCTTTTTTCAGGAGTTTTTGTAAGGCAGATCTGGTGGTAATCAATTCCCTCAGCATTTGCTTGTCTTAAAAGGATCTTATTTCTTTTTTGCTTATGAATCTTAATTTGGCCGAATATGAAATTCTGGGATGGAATTTCTTTTCCTTAAGAATGTCGAATATTGGTCCCCAGTCTCTTCCGGCTTTTAAGGTTTCCGTTGAGAGGTCCACTTTTAGTCTGATGGGCTTCCCTTTGTAGGTTACCTGACCTTTCTCTCCAGCTGTCTTTAACATTTTTCCTTTTATTTCAACCTCAGAGAATCTGATGATTATATGTCTTAAAGATGATCTTGTTTTGATGTGTCTTACTGGTGCGTTCTGCATTTTTTGAATTTGAATGTTGGCCTCTCTAGCTATGTTGGGAAAGTTCTCGTGGATGACATCCTGAAATACGTTTTCCAACTTGCTTTCATTCTCCCCATTTCCTTCAGGGACACCAGTGAGTCTTAGATTCATTCTCTTTACATAACATGATATATCTTGGATGTTTTATTTGTTCCTTTTAACTCTTTTTTTTACACTATTCTTGTCTGATTGTCTTATTTTAGAAAGTCAGTCTTCAAGCACTGAGATTCTTTTCTCCATTTGGTGTATTCTGCTATTAATACTTGTCATTGCATTACAAAATTCTTGGAATGGGTTTTTTAGTTCTGTCACAGTTATGTTCTTTTCTATACTGGCTATTTTGTCTGACAGCTCTTGCATTGTTTTGTCATGATTTTTAGCTTTCTTGCATTAGGTTTCAATGTATGCCCATAGCTCAGATGATCTTCATTTCTATCCATATTCTGAATCCTATTTCTGTCATTTCAGTGATCTCAGCTTGGTTCAGAACCCTTCTTGGAGAGGTGACACAGCCGTTTGGAGGAAAGAAAGCACTCTAGCTTTTTGGGCATTCAGGGTTCTTGCACTGATTGTTTCTCATCTTTGTTAGTTTATCTACCTTCAATCTTTGAGGTAGCTGGCCTTTGGATGCGCTTTCTTCTTCTTCTTTTATTGTATTTGATTGCCTTGAGAATTTGATTGTGGTAAAATGTGGATTCAGCCAACTGGTTTTGTTTCTGGCAGATTTTAGGGGGCCAGCACTCAGTTCCCAAATCTTGGACTTTGTGCTCTCTGGGAGACTTGTATTGAACCTTGTTTGTTTTCTGGCTCCTGGAGGTTTGGAATCCACTGCACTGTATATATGGTGGGGGGTGAGGTGCAGCAGCTGCAGCAGAGTGCTAGTGGGTGCTGGGGTGCTTGCCATGCTACAGGCGTTCATTGGAATGGTGAAGGCAATACAGCTGGGGTTAGGAGTGGTGGGAGTCCCTGTTGCAGAGTGTGTGTGCCATTGTGCTGGAGGTGGTGTTGGCTTAGGGCCAGGGTGCTAGTGGTGCAGGTCTGGGTGCTTAATCTGTGCCCTACAAGCACAGATTGCTCAGGAGTGTTGCTCAGGGGAAGACCCACTGTTCTCTGTGCAGTGTTAGTGCAAGGGTGGGGTGCTAGTGTGGGTAGGGCTTGCTGGCTCTGTGCCTGCCAAGGCTGAATCTGCAATGGTGGTTGGTGGGGGGGTCCACCAGCACAGGTGGACAATTAAAGTAAAACCTGCCCATATAGACATGCACCAGCAAAGTGATGTGGGAAGTTACCATGGCCCTGGGGGAAGCTGCAGTATGGGGAGGGAACAGACAGGCTTGTGCATGGTCATAGGGGTCATCTCGCTGGAGGTCTTCACCAGTCGGGCATAGTGCATCAGTGCAAAAGCTACAGTGTGGGCCCCCAGGACACCCAAGACTGCCCTGCAAGCAGACATGGCCAGGCTGGGGCCCCAGGACAGGCCAGCAGACCAAGGGATGCTCAGGTCAGACCAGCGCCATCTGATAGGCAAGACAGCCCTGTGGAGATCAGATCTGACAGTTCCCCTGGGCTGCTAAAGTCTCCTACTGGAGCAAGTTGAGCCTGTGGGGATGGTTGGCCAAGTCCACACTTCACTACAGATGCTTCTTTATCAAACCCTTTGGGCTCTGCATCAGCTGGCTTGCTATCTCTACCAAGTAGGGGTTGCAGCTCTAAGGGACAGCAGCTCTCCCTGCTAACTCAAGTGTCTCTGGTGGTCGAGGGGTCTCTTCCTGCTCGGGGTTCCAGAGGCCTGTGAGAGTGGATTGCTTCTTGACAGTTCAACTTGTTCTCCTGGAGCTATTGTGGTCCAAAAATGAGTCCCGGTGTACAGTAGCCCCATGCATTGTTTCCAGCTTTCTGCTGCTTCAGACCAGCTTCTGTGTCTTCCCTCTGTCCACTCTCAGCGCCTTTCCTCTGAAGATCTGTTAAAAGCATACCTGTCATCTCAGTCCCTCTGTGAGAGCTGTTCTACCTGGCTGCATCTAGTTGGCTATCTTGCCCTCCCCTGCTGCTTTTTAAAATAAAGCAAAATTGACTTTCATTAGTCATACTTTCACCTTTAATACTAAAGCAAATGATATAAAATTGAAGTTATTCAAACCTAAATATTTTTGACAGAAATTATATCCATATTTCTGGAAAAGCTGTTAATGTCCTGATACACAGTGAATTTTTGTTTTCATTACTTTTGATGCCTTTATGAAACTAAGGGCTTCCTTGAGTCTCTAGTCTTTCTGTCAAGAACATTAACATCATTCTTTTATGAGGAATGAAAGTACATGATAATTTATCTAACTTCTAAGTCTATTTTGGCCAAAAATTACCACAAAAGGCCAGGCACGGTGGCTAATGCCTGTAATCTCAGCACTTTGGGAGGCCAAGGCAGGCGGATCATCTGAGGTCGGGAGTTCTAGACCAGCCTGACCAACTACTAAAAATACCCGTCTCTACTAAAAATACAGAATTAGCCAGGCGTGGTGGTGCATGTCTGTAATCCCAGCTACTTGGGAGGCTGAGGCAGGAGAATTGCTTGAACTTGGGAAGCGGAGGTTGCAGTGAGCTGAGATCCCGCCTTTGCACTCCAGCCTCAAGAACGAAACTCCCTCTCAAAAAAAAAAAAAAATTTTACCACAGAAAATTGATAAATTAATATTGCAAGAGTGATACATTTAGAGTATGGACTTCTATATAAAGGTCATGTACAATTTTCACTGGATAATTTTCAAAGTCTTCAATATGAATGCTGAAATGAAAAAGGTTTAATAAATATGAAGAAAAGGAGGAAAAAGAATAGAAAATGTAGTATGGTTTCTTAGAAATATAAAATCCTTATATTTATTTATAATTTGTATCCTGTCAATTGCTAAGAAAAGTATTAGGGCTTGTCATTAAAATTATATTGAAGTATATTATACATATATAAATATACATAAGTTATAAGTATATAGCTTGATAAATGTTAGAAAATTCTGCAACATACCTAGGTAACTAGCCCTCAGTTCAAGAAGGAGAGCATTAAAAAGAGGAATAAAGAAAGAAAAGAAGGAAGGAAGGAAGAGAGGAAAAGAAAGAAAGGAAAAATTAAAGGAAGCATGGATTACTAGAAATCTAGATGCCCTCTTGTAGTTTCTGCCTATCCACCAAGTGCAAACATTACCCTGATTTCTAAAACCATTAAGTAGTTTTGTCTATTTATGAACTTTATGGTCATAAAATGTGTACTCTTTATGATTGGCTTCGTTCACTCAACATTCTTAGTGGCGCATTGCTTCTTTTTCATCCATAATCTAATCTATCTATACTTATTGCTGTATTGTATTCCATTGTATAAAATCAACTTGTATTGTTGATAAAATTTCGATTGTGTCTAGTTTGGGACTATTATGAATACTCTTGCTTTGAACTTTTTAGTGCATGTCTTTGTTGCCAAGGTAGTCACATTGCTGTATGCTAGAGACCTAGAAAAAGTGCTAGATTATAGGTTATGCGTATGTTCAGCTTTAGTATATACTGCCAAATGGTTTTCTAATGTGGTCCTTACAATTTACATTTCCACCAGCAGCGCATGAGAGTTTCATTTGTTGTACACCTTGGCAAACATTTCGTATGTTTTCTTTTTTCATGTTAATTATTTTGGTGGCTATGTAACTGAACTGCATTGAGATATAATTTGCATTTCCTTGATAACTAATAAAGTTGATGTCATTTTATATGTTTAATGGCCATCTGAAGGTAATTTTTCTTAAGTATCAGTTTAAGACTTTTGCATTGTTATATTGCATTGTCTACCTTTTTCTTATTAATTTGCAAATACTCTATACATTCTGGATACAAGTATATTGTCAGATATATACACACGCACACACACACACACGAATATCTTCTTCCACTCTAGTTTTTTATTTTCTTAATTTTGATAATAATTTCTTAAATTGAATGTAGTCACATCAATTTTTCTTTTTTTCTGGTTATTTTTGTTAATTAATTTGTTATTATATATGTATATATGTGTGTATGAGATAGGTTTTACTCTGTCACCCTTGGTGAAGTGCATTGACATTGTCATAGCTGACTGTAGCCGCAAACTTCTGGACTTAAGCAATCCTTCAATCCTTCCATCTCAGCTTCCCAGGTAGCTAGGACCACAGGGGCATGCCACTTGCCCAGCTAATTTTTTTTTTTTTTTTTTTTTTGTAGAGACGCATTCTCACTATGTTGCCCAGGCTGGTCTTGAACTCCTTCCCTCAAGTGATTCTTCTGCCTAATCCTCCCAAAGTTCTTAGATTACAGGTATGAGACACCACACCTGGTCCTGGTTTCTATTTTTAAAAGTTTTGCCAATTATAATACATATGTCACTCTTATGTTTTCTTCTAAGAGCTTTATAATTTTAACTTTTGCATTCAGAGCTACAGTCATCTATAATCAATTTATGTGTGTGGCCTGAGATAAGAATCAAGATCTTTTCTGTGTGTGTGTGTGAATGTCTAATAGGCTTGGCACCACTAGTGCCAGTATAAGACATTATTTACTTACTGCACTGTCAACTTTGTCATTAATAAGTTGGTCATATATATTTTGTAAAAGTAGTTCTTAAAAGGATTATATTTTAGTTGAAGGTTAATTGGCAATTTCTGATAGGTAAAGTCCCTAGTTTTGTTTGTTCTGTTTATATTGCATTCTGGCTTTCTTACTTAGAAACCTAAAGCACTGGAACTGCCACTATAATAGCCTCCCTGTTAAGATTTTTAAACACTTGTTTTTATTTATTTTACTTATTATGTATCCGTTGCTCTGACTCCTTAGAAATAATAGATCCGTTGGGTCTATTATTTCTAAGTTCTATTGGTAACCTTTACATCTAATAACTGTTCACAGCATACCTGATGTCTTATTCCATGTATGATTCAGTAGACATCCAGGCAACAAATATTATATTTATGAACCCCTACTATTAATTCTTCCTTTTCTATAATGATAACTTTGCAACAATTCAATAAGTCCATTTTAGAAAATTTCTTTTTTTTTCTTTTTTCTTTTTTTTTTTTTTTTTGAGACAGAGTCTTGCCTTGTCGCCCAGGCTGGAGTGCAGTGGCACAATCACAGCTCCCTGCAACGTCCACCTCCCAGGTTCAAGCAATTCTCATACCTTGGCCTCCCAAGTAGCTGGGATTACAGGCAATTCCACTTTTGATTTAACTTTGTCAGGAGTTCCTTGACCACTGTCAGAATTGATGACTCATTAGAAAAACTAAAAACACTTAGAAAAACTGTTACATTTATGGCTACAATTTATTAAATAGAAAAGATACAGATTATATTTAGGGAAAAAAAAATAGGAGGTAGGAAAGCTTTCAAAGGAGACCAAGTGCATGCCTCCAGTTGTCCTGTCACAGTGGAGTCACACAAGCAGTACATAATTTTCCCAGTCATAATGTGACATGTGCAAAGTTTTGCCAAGTAGAGAAACCAACCAGAGTCTTGGTGTCCAAAGTATTTTGTTGGGATTCAATTGCATAGGCATGCATTGGGCACATGATTGGCTCTAGCTACTCAATCACCATTTCTACTGTAGAGATCAAACTAATACAGCATGGCCCAGAGACCCATGCATCCAAAAACAAGAGATTCACTTCCACTTATATGGTTAGAATCATATATCTGTTGCTGCCCAAGACCTCAAGTGAGCTAAGACAATCTTTCTTATCAGGTAGAATTTTCCAAGGTTGTGGAGGTTACCTTCTAGGGGCAAGTCTAGAGCCAGTTCTGAAGACCTTTAAAATGTACATTGTTGGGGAAGTCCACACCAATTGAATTAACATTTTGTTGCAGAGCTTTATACTGTCATTGGGGCAGGATATTTTATATTGAATTATTTGTTCATTTGTCACAAGGCCTAAAGCAGTCAACAGCTCACTGTTGAATGAATACATGATTTCCAGGTACCTGTTCTCAGGCATGAAAATGTTCAAGGCTTAAATAGGAAAATTAATGACTACCTTGGTGATACAAGAACTTCCTTAAACGAACCGTTTATCCACTCTCCTCTCAAACCATTAATATTTAAAATATGCATAAATAAGCAAATATGACTATTAATTGAGATGAGCTAACAACTGAGAATTCTGAAAAAAACTACAGCTAGGTATTTACCTTGCTCTATCTCCAGCTAAGGCTGATCACTTTTGGCTGTCCATGTGTGAGGAACACTATTTACAAATTACATGTCAAACATGTTAAAAAATATTCCATGATACTTGTTAAAGCATAATGAGAAACACTTTATTCAGAATAATAAGATGGGTATAGACACCACTGCAGTAAGATTTTGTAGTTGGGGAGAAAGATTGTGCTCAACTCTAAATACAGACAGTATGGATAAGTAAGAACTTATAGGCAAGGAGCAGGCTAAGGGTTGATGGGTGAAAACTTACTAAGAGGAAACAAGGATGAGGGGTATTCTGGTTAAAGTGACCAAACCAATTCTTGCTGGGGACAGCCAGGGTGATCAGACTTGTGCGATGGCGGACAGTGAGAAACCTTATGAAACATTGAGGCTGATCAGATATTAAGGATGAAGTGTTCTTGCTAAACTGACTTTTCAAGGTAATTTGCTACAACTGAATTTTACAAGAAAGTTTATAGATGGGCCTAGAGTAAGGTACAGAAGTCTGACAACAGCAATAACAGAACAGGAGTCACTCTGAGAGAGACTTGAAACTAGGACCTAGAATTTGAATTACTTGCTTGATAAAGAAGAGACAAATTTTTTCTATTATGTTTTACTTGAAAATGTGATTTAAGACTGTAGAGTAGTAGAAGATGAGAAAAGGAGACAGAGCCTGCATCCATGACAAGGAGATGGCCAGTTAATCGTTTTCTGTCTAGATCTGTTATGTTAAACATGGGCTCGTGGACATCTGAGCTGAATTATGCATGGTCAGTGGAGCAAAACTATTGGAGGTGCCAAAGGTAGCATAGCTGAAAACACAGGTATCTTTGGGTAAATTTAGTCCCAATTAAGTAGGAAACGAATTAAAGTAATACATATCTATGAACCTTAAATGGCTAATAAGTGAATATATAAATTAATTTTGTGGAGAAATCAGGCAAACTGAGAAAGTATACATTAAACAGAAAATGTTAGAAATAGAAAACAAAATGCTTAAAGATCTTGGCCGGGCACGGTGGCACACACCTGTAATCCCAGCACTTTGGGAAGCTGAGGTGGGCAGATCACGAGGTCAAGAGATCGAGACCATACTGGCCAACATGTTGAAACCCCGTCTCTACTAAAAATTCAAAAATTAGCTGGATGTGGTGGCACATGCCTTTAGTCCTAGCTACTCAGGAGGCTGAGGCAAGAGAATCGCTTGAACCTGGGAGGTGGTTGGTGGTTGCAGTGAGCTGAGATCACACCACTGCACTCCAGCCTGGTGACAGAGTGAGATTCAGTCCCCCCAAAAAAAAACAAAAATGTGTATTCTCTAGACGTTTAAAAAATCCTCTCTCAAATCTAGAGCCAACAACTAATGAAACATAGGTTTCAGTGACCACTTAAGACAAAGAATAGAGCTTTAAAAATAAACAGAAATGATCACTAAATAAGTTACCACAACTCACAGCAAACAGCCACAAAGCCTAGGGAGGGAGGAGAATTTGATTTCCAGATTTACTACAGTATGGTATTCAACATGTCCACTTTTCAGCAATAAAAAATGATGAGCCAGGCAAGATGATTTGCGCTACAGGTCCCAGATAACTCAGGAGGCTGAGATGGAAGAATTGTTTAAGCCTAGGCATTTCAGTGCCCTATGATTGAGTCTGTGAATAACCACTGTACTGCAGACTGGGCAACATAGGAAGACCCCATCTCCAAAAAATAAAATAAATAAGCAAATAAAAAAATAATTAGTCATTCAAATGAACAACAAAATATTATTCACAGGAAAATACTAATGAATTAACAGAAACTGTCTTAGGAAGCACAGACGTAATATTTATTAAACTAAGCCTTTAAATCAACTTTCATAAGCATGTTTTAAAAGCCTAAAGAAAAATGAACAAAAAGTAAAGCAAGTGAGTAAAACAATGTTCCACCAAATAGAATATATCACTAAACAAATAGGGATTTTAAAAAAGTCAACCAAATAGAAATTCTAGAACAAAAGTATCCTAACTGAAATAAAAAATTTACTAGAGGGCTTTAACGGAGCACTTGAGCAAGCAGATAAACGAATTGATAAACTTAAAAATAAGTAACTAAGAGTCTGCTAAAAAGTAAGCACAAAAGAAAAAGGTAAGGCAGAAGTTTAGAAACAAAACTTTCAAAATCTCTGATTATCACCAACATTTAAACTCTGCTTGCAAGCACCACTCCCTCTGTGATTCTGTGTGGTGTCCAAGGTGTTTCTTCCTTGGCATGTGAGAATATGTAGTTAATAAGCTAAAGTCAGTTTTACCAGTGCCAGGCATCATGTGTTTGGTCATATTCTTAACCCTAATAGGCAATTTTTCCCTCATCAAGGTGGTGATCAGGAGGTAGATGAAACAAAGCATTCCCTAATTACTGTGGGGCAGGAATGTAAGGGAGAGCTCCACTTACAGTCTCCCTGAATGCAAAGCCCATGGGGGTGGGGTGATAGGCTGCACCTAAATGGCAGGATGAGAATGGAAGACAGAGCCCTGTTCAGTATTTGCTTTAACAGTGCATTCAATTCAATTTGGGTTGGGAGAAGCTAGGCCTCAATATTGCAGGGTGAGGATGAAAGAGTTCTGCTCCTAGTTTTTGTAACACTAGCACTGTGGAAAGAGAAGTGTTATGTCTTACTTGTGTGTGATGTTTGCCAGAATATGAAAAAGTGTCGTCAAGTAATCACTTTCTGCATAGGCCATCTTTATCCCATGCTTCTTTGGCTAGAGAGAGCATGTTAGATTTTTTTTTTTTTTAATTCTTTTTCAGTTGCCTTTTCCAGGTTACTGTGTTCTCTGCTACTGAACCAGGATATATAGGAGGCAAAACAAAACAAAACAAAACAAAACAAAAGACATACCCAGGGCAGTAGCCGTTAAACCACTCCTGCTGTTCCAAGTTAGTCTGCCTTCTTTTCTGTACTTTCAGAGTCTTTAGACTGATGCTTTATAAGTTTTTACAAGCCCATTGCTATAATTTTTGAGAATAGAATAGAGTTTGCTTATCCTATCTTGTCTAGAACCAAAAGTTTCAACTTTTGGTGTGTCAAGAACATTTTGAGATATTTAAATCCATTTTATCTTGTATTTCCTGCATTAAGCAGTAGCCTGTCAGTTCTTACACCTTCTAAACTGCTGCAGACTCCTGAAATTTTGGGTATCATCACTGCATTTACAAAGTGCATGATGCAGCCAAAGATGTTAGGGGAAGTTATGGGTAAAATTTGGAGCTTCTCCTCCATGCCTTCTTATCTGGAACATCTCTCTACATTTTAGCCACTGTGGAAACCCTGAAATTCACCCTTTCCTTTTTTTTTTTTTTTTTCAAGACTTTAAAAAAAATTCAGGGGTACATGTGCAGGATGTGTAGGTTTGTTGCATAGATGTGTGCCATAGTGGTTTACTGCACAGATCATCCCATCACTTAGGTATTAAGCCCAGCATCCATTAGCTATTCTTTCTGATGTTTTCCCTCCCCCCAGCCCCCCAACAGGTGCCCAGTGTGTGTTGTTCCCCCAACATGTTCATGTTTTCTCATCAATTAGCTCCCACTTATAAGTGAGAACCTGCAATGTTTGGTTTTCTGTTTCTACATTAGTTTGCTGAGAATAATGGTTTCCAACTCCATCCGTGTCCCTGCAAAGGACATGATCTCATTCCTTTTTATGGCTGCATAGTATTCCATGGTGTGCATGTACTATATTTTCTTTATCCAGTCTATCATTGATGGGCATTTAGGTTGATTCTATGACTTTGCTATTGTAAATAGTACTACAGTGAACATACATGTGCATGTATCTTTATAAAAGAATGATTTATATTCTTTTGGGTGTACATCTGGTAATGGGATTGTTGAGTCAAGTGGTATTTCTGCCCCTGGGTCTTTGAGGAATCGCCACACTGTATTCCACAATGGTTGAACTAATTACACTCCCACCAACAGTGTAAAAGTGCTTCTTTTTCTCCACAACCTCACCAGCATCTGTTGTTTTTTTTACTTTTTTTTTTTGGAAACACAGTCTCACTCTGTCACCAGGCTGGAATATAATGGCATGATGTCAACTCAATGCAACCTCCACCTCCTGTGTTCAAGTGATTTTCATGCCTCAACCTCCTGAGTAGCTGGGATTACATGGTGGCATGCACCACCATGCCCAGCTATTTTTTTCTATTTTTTAATAGAGGCAAGGTTTCACTTGTTGGCCAGGCTGGTCTTGAACTCCTGGCCTCAAGTGATCCACCTGCCTCGGCCTCCCAAAGTGCTGGGATTACAGGTGTAAGCCACTGCCCCCAGACTGTTTTTTGACTTTTTAATAGCCATTTTGATTGGCATGAGATGGTATCTCACTGTGGTTTTCATTTGCATTTTTCTCATGATCAGTGATGTTAAGCTTTTTTTTTTTTCATATGTTTATTGGCTGCATGTATGTCTTCTTTTGAGAAGTGTCTGTTCATGTCCTTTGCCCACTTTTTAATAGGGTTGTTTTTTTCTTGTAGATTTGTTTACATTCCTTGTAGACTCTGAATATTGGACCTTTGTCAGATGGATAGATTTCAAAAATTTTCTCCCATTCTGTAGGTTGTCTGTTCACTCTGATGATCATTTCTTTTGCCGTGCAGAAGCTCTTTAGTTTAATTAGATCCCATTTGCCAATTTTTGCTTTTGTTGCAATTGCTTTTGGCATTTTCATCATGAAAACTTTGCCTGTGCCTATGTGCTGAATGGTACTACCTAGATTTTCTTCTAGGGTTTTTATAGTTTTGGGTTTTACAAATGTAAAAGTCTTTAATCCATCTTGAGTTAATTTTTGTGTATGGTATAAGGAAGGGATCCAGTTTCAACTTTCTGCATATGGCTAGCCAGTTATCTTAGCCCCATTTATTAAATAGGGAATCTTTTCCCAATTGCTTGATTTTGTTAGGTTTGTCGAGGATCAAATGGCTGTGTAGCAGGACGAGCTGCAGACAAAACTCCTCAGACACTGAGTTAAAGAAGGAAGAGGTTTATTCAGCTGGGAGCATTGGCAAGACTCCTGTCTCAAGAGCCAAGCTCCCCGAGTGAGCAATTCCTGTCCCTTTTAAGGGCTCACAACTCTAAGGGGGTCCACGTGAGAGGGCTGTGATCAATTGAGCAAGCAGGGGGTGCATGACTGGGGACTGCATGCACCAGTAATCAGAACGAAACATAACAGGACAGGGATTTTTACAATGCTCTTCCATACAATGTCTGGAATCTATAGATAACATAACAGGTTAGGTCAGGGGTCGATCTTTAACTATCACGCCCAGAGCACGGGGCCGGGCTTTCTGCCTGTGGATTTCATTTCTGCCTTTTAGTTTTTACTTCTTCTTTCTTTGGAAGCAGAAATTGGGCATAAGACAATATGAGGGGCAGTCTCCTCCTTTATTCCCCCACTTTGAGACTCTCACTCATTTTATTAGTGGGAGTTCTCACTTTTATCTTTACCATCTGTGTCTCCCTGCATGACAGATAGTGATTTATTGTAATACACTTCTGCTGAAGCATTCTGGTGAACTAGAGTAGCGATGAAACCTTTTACCATTTGAATGAGTGCAGGTAGTAAATAAGGGATCAGTAAGCAGGTTCCTATTACTACTATAATTTTTATTATAAGAGTTTTAAATCCTCCTAGCACTGGGAACCATTTTTAAACATGGCCTCAGGGTCAAATCCGTGCCACACTTGTACAGGCACTTGCCAGTTTCATCATGTCTTTAACTGTATCTTCGACTACTTGCCCCTGATCATCTATGTGCAGGCAGCAGTTGGTAAGGTTAAATTTTCTACAGACTTCTCTTTCAGCTGCTAGCAAGTAGTCGAGAGTCAGTTTATTTTGATAGATAACATTTCTCATCTGAGTTTCTTGCCGGGCCAGAACAGTCAAGGTTTTACCAGTTTTATTAGTGATAATCTCCAAGACAGCAACTACATGATTTGGTTGAGCATGTTAATGGGGGTTGGGTATCCCCACGAGCCGTCTTGTGCCCAAGCGGCAGGCCCATAGTATTGTATAATTTTTTCAGGAGGCCGTTTATCATCTTTTTAATTATCTATGGCTATGCTTCTCTTTTCGCAGGAAGCATAGACAGGGAAGCCCAGGAGTTCGCCTGTTTTTATGGGCAGTAGGAAGAAAGATGGTTTAATAGTGCCAATAACACAACTACCTGTCCACTGATCAGGCAGCTTAGTGTAGGCTCTATGTCCACATATCCATTATAGCCCGGTGGGGGCCGTCCAGTCCCAGTGGAATTCTGGGTAGGCCTAAATGGTCTGCAGCTTTGGAAATTTACTCTGTGTCGTTTGAACTCCACCATGTGGTCTTCCTACAGGAAGGGTGAACTCCTTCCCCACTCTTGCTATACAGTATTGCCTAATCATTGAGGCTTTTAGGACCTAGAAGTGATCAGGGTGATTCTTTTGGGCCGGGAATTCATTCAGGAACTGGGTCTGTAGGTACTAATTCTCGGGCTTCCTATGGCCATTGATCTCCTATTACAGTTCCTCCACATACATAACATGAAGTGACATTGAGAGACTGCGCTACATGCTCGGCTAATTGCAAAAACAAATTTCTTGTTTTTCTTGGAATTTTTGGTACTGGCACATTTAGTTTATTGTAGAAGGTTTGAAATACTGGCTCAGGAGAGCGTTTATAAACTTTTTCTCAAACCACGATATTTACTTGAAGATCCAGTCCAGCTCTATCAATTTTTAGGGTTACACGTTCCCCTTTTTTCTAACGAGGATTAAGGGTTATTACTAGTTCTAAGGGGTTACACTGACCACTGGTACAGGAAGGGCCACTTTTCCCTTGCTGAAGGTAGACAGGATTTTTTTCATTTTTTTAAATTTAAGTAGCCTAAATGACACAAGACCAGTATCTACATTTATTTTCACACAGTCCTAATTCATGATAAATGTACTTATTTTCTGCCATATAGCCTCTTTCCTAATTAAGAGAACCACATCCTATTTTTAACTTATTAATGACAGCACAGGCATCAAATTTTAAGGTGACTTGTTTGGGCACCTCTTTTTTTTCTGTTTTGGCTCACACTTTACTCGTATCATTTATGAGCCCCCACCAGTCTTCAGTTCTTAATCTTATTTTAAAAACTGTGGTCATGGGAGGCTCAGATGGGTCATAACACACATCAGGTTGGTCATTTCCTGGGCTAAATACCTTGTATAGAATAACATTGTACAAACAAGTTCTTTTTAGAGTTCCAGTACACTTATAATAACCATAAAATAATAGGACCATAGCAACCTTTTCTCCTACCTCAGTGACTTGATGTATACACTGCGAACAGCCCTCAGTCTGAGGAAGGTCAGTTGAAGTCCTTACTGTACAAGTCCAAATTTTAAGGAAAATGAGTCCCGCGATGAGTTTCCTCATGCTTCAGCCGTGCGTGGACCAGTCAGTTTCCGCGTGTGACTGGAGGAGGGCTTGTCTTCTTCAGAGTCACTTTGCAGGGGTTTGCAAAGCTGCTCCCATCCACGTACAGCTCCCAGTCTACTGGATGTTTAAGGATGGTCTCAGAGGTTGGGCCCACTAGAATAAACTGAGTCCAATACCTCTACATAGTTATGTTCAACTGGGCTCTCTGATACCGGGAGCAAGGTGGCGGGGTTTAGGGTGTTGTAAACTTCAGTGGTTATGCGGGGATTTTCACAGAGCAAGCTTTGGTATCTAGTTAGTCTAGCATTTGTCAGCTAATGATGTCCTTTGGTATTTATTAAAGTCACCACAGCATGGGGGGATTTTAGGTTTAGGTTTTGCCTAAGAGTTAGCTTATCTGCTTCTTGTGCTAACAGGGCCATTGCTGCCAGGGCCCTTAGACATGGGGGCCAGACTTTGGAAACCCCATCTAGTTGTTTTGAGAGATAGGCCACTGGCCTTGGCCAGGGCCCTACAGTCTGGGTTAAAACTTCAACTGCCATTTTTCTTTTTCTGACACATAGGGTGTAAAGGGATTTGTCAGGTCAGGAAGCCCCAGGGCTGGGGCCGACATGAGTTTTTCTTTAACTCATGAAAAGCTTGTTGCTGTTGGTTGTAATAGATGTAGTTTATCTAATCTACATTTTTATTAACTGTCACCCACTAAAATATTGACTTAAATCCTGTAGGTATTTGATTTCAAGCTTTAAATTGATCTGGTATTCCTTGCGGGGCTCCAGTTGCATCTAAATAGATGTGAGAGTTGAAAGACCTATAAGGGGCTTCTCTTGCTTTACGATGTCTTATTTCTTCTCCCTCTGGTTGATGAAATGCCAGGGTGAAAGGGATAGCCAAATGGACTAAAGCACAAGTGCCACTCCAGTTATTCGGCAGAGTGCCCAGTAAAGGTCCACCACAGTACCACCACACATCCACTCGGGGATGAACAAGGGCTGACTGATTCATAAGCTCTTGAAAATTCTTAAGCTCATCACATCCCTTCAGGTCTCCAAGGAATGGTAAGTTTTCTCCTTGTCGTGAGAGACACAAAGTGAACTTAGTGTTGGGAGACGGAAGCTGGATGGCCCTTGGGGGCTGACCCGCAGGGTGCCGGACTTCAGGATATGGCAGAGAGAGCTTGGCATGACTTACTACTCCAGGCTGTAGAATCCTGGAAAAGAGCTACCATGCAGCCTACGCCTGGTCTACTGGAGGACCACATTAGTGGAAGGGGGACAGTTTGGGCCTCTGGCCTGCCATGTGCACAAGTATAACAATTGCCTTTGTTTAATGTGCAGATGGATTATTTGATCCATTTTAACCAGGCATTTGCATCTTGGTATCCTGTCTTTATTGCTAAAGTTTGTTTTAAGTCTTTAACTTCGATGACCCTCTAGTAAAATGAAGGTATGATTTTAGGAAATTACAAAAACCGGTTGGGGCAGTCCATCCTTGCCCTTTAGTGGTCCACAGAATGTTGGACCAGCTATGGCATGAAAGCTCTACATTGGGGGGCAAGACTCCTGGTTGGCACTGGGGTCTTTATCGAAATCTCCCTGGATTAATGGTCCTAGTTTACTAATGCCCAGTCTGAGGAGGGTCAGGAGGGACAGAAGTACTTTTCTGAAGTAGAAAGCTGTCTTTGACTTGCAAGTCTCCACAGGGTATAACAAGGCAAGCATTAAATGCAATAGTTTGAGGTGAAATTAACATGGTTATGTTAATAACTAGATGGTCAGCAATAGAATGAGGAAAGAAGAAAGAGTAATAGAATAGATGAAAAGAGTTACATTTTTCTTAGCTTTGGTAGGGTTTTCCCCTGGGACCATGGCCCACAACTCTGGATGGGGTGGTGCTTTCTTGACTCTGGTGTTATGAGTCCATCCCCCCCCCCCCTTTTTTTTTTTTTTGATGTACGAACAGCAGTCTTGGTGGTTAGCAGCACAAGGTAGGGTACTTCCAGGCTGGCTCAAGTTTTTCTTCTTTCCACCCTTTGATGAGAACGTGATCTTCAAACTGGTGCTGATTTGCCGGAAATTCTAGGGGTGGTACATGTGCTAAAAGACTGAGTTTTTGAGGGAAAGGAAAGTGGAAGATAAATGAAGTATATAATTTTAAAGAAATTGACCTTTTGTTTTAAATGTGGGGACCTTGGCAGTGGACTTCATAGTCCTAAGTGCCTTTTTACTGAGAAAATTCCTTTAGCACCTATTTTTATTAGTTTTTAAACCAAAGAAAGCCAGATACCATTTTACATTTAACAATGCTTTTTGTATGATTTTTATACCAGATAAGCTAAATTTTACCTTTGTATTAGTGTGTTATTAATGTTAAACCTAATTTTAATAAAACCTGATAGACGTATTTATCCAATTGTTAATGTTTGACCATAAGGTAAGATTTTATGGACTCTTTTTAACCTTTCATAATTTTTGTTAAAGAGCAGGTTGGTGCTTTAAGAAAAACCTGCTGTGCTTTTATTTTAATGTCCAGTTTACAGAAAAACTGGATGATACCTCTTTAACTTTAGCCAGTGTTTACACACAGAATTTTCTTTCCAATTAACATTTTAAAACTTGATTAAACCTTTAAAACAAAGTATACATATTTTTAACCTTTTGATGTAGGTAAAAATTTATAGTCTTATGCCTCCTTATAATTCTTTTACCAGAGGTATATTTTACTTTCCTTATACATCTTGCACATAAAGTGTTTTTCTATAACATTTTCCTCTTTCACGACTTTTGCAGACAATTCTTTGACATGCCTCAACTTTCTGACTTATTACAAATATTTGTTTCTTTAAACAGCTAGTTAATTTATTTCAGGACAAGAGTTTACCATATAATACTCTTTTTACATAAATTCCGCCCCCCCCTTTTTTCCTTAGGTTACTTCTGAACTGGTGAGGTGTGCTCACAATGAGGTTTCCTCTAAAAGTTATTTTTTTTACTGTTTTTCTGTTAGCAAAGCAGTTGCTGCTACAGATCGAATGCATTTGGGCCATCTGTGGATTACTGGGTTAAGGACTTTTGATAGGAAAGCCTCAGTGCTTTCGGGATACGCCCTTGTTTACAGTGACAACAAAGTGGTATTGGAGTGTTATAGGGTTACGGAGAATACCTTCAATTATCAATTACAGGTTTTAAATTTACCTTTGCTTTTAAAGGAATAAGGTACGCTGTTTTTTTTTTTCTTAGCTACTTGTATATATCTCTCTCTCTTTCTTTCTGTCTTTGACTTTGTCTCTCTCTCTTTGACTTTCCTTTTGCCTCTGTCTCTTCCTCTCTCTTCTCTGTCTCTCTCTCTCTCTCTCTCAGCCTGGCTTATGCTGCAGTTCTCTCAACCACTGTGGAGAGATCTAAAACCAGCTGTAACCAAGCATCTGTGTAAGGGAACTGGTCTGGGTGCCCTGGCTTTACAGGTTACCTTGTGCCATACCTTTGAAACAAGGGACCTATCCAGGCTTCTTTCTGATGGCCAATCCACCTCTAATGCTGGCCAGTCTGTTTTACACAAAGTTTTACATTTTCCTGGTGTCATAGTACTCCATAGTCTCCTTTAAATCCTTTTTTGAAATTTTTTAACATAGTTCCTAGTAGGGTGGGCTTATTTGTGCCTGACCCATGCTTCTTCGAGACAAAACACCATGCTCAAACCACACGCACACCACAAAACAAAGAACGGGTAAAAAGGGCACACACACACTTTTGCAGTTTACACCAAACCAAAATCAAAACCAAAATCAGAGTATCCAGAAATCCAAGCCAGGTCAAAACCAAAACCAAAGTATCAAACAATCCAAGTCAAGTCAAAAACAAAAACCAGAGTGCTGGTACAGGCACACCGTGGGTGATCAGGCCACGCTTCCACTCAAATGGAGTAGGCAAGTTCCCAAGACCAGTCCTGTCAAGCAATTTAAACCAAGTCAAAACCAAAACCAAAACCAAAGTGCAGATAAAGGCACGCTGTGGGTGATCAGTCCATGCTTCCACTCAAATGGAGTGGGCAAGTTCTCGAGACTAGTCTTACCAAGTTTCAGATGTCCGGACTCCAAGTACTAGTTCCTTCCCGGTGTTTAGCCACTGCATTGATCCTCCATGGGAGCCTGCCACACACTGCTCTGGTGAGGCATCCCACCAGGGCAAATGCCTACCCGGGAGCACTCTCAGGATCTGCGTTGCTTGGGCTGGTTGGAGTCCCCCGCAGGGATGTTCCACAGGGCAGGCTTAAGCTGCATAAGGAGCTGCCGCAACCATCCGCCAATCACCTCACTTCCCAGTCAGGGAACCAAGAAATATAGCAGGACGAACCTAAGACAAAACTCCTCAGACACTGAGTTAAAGAAGGAAGAGGTTTATTCAACCAGGAGCATTGGCAAGACTCCTGTCTGAAGAGCCGAGCTCCCTGAGTGAGCAATTCCTGTCCCTTTTAAGGGCTCACCAGTAATCAGAACGAAACAGAACAGGACAGGGATTTTTACAATGCTCTTCCATACAATGTCTGGAATCTATAGATAACATAACCAGTTGGGTCAGGTGTCTATCTTTAACTACCACACCCAGAGCCTGGTGCCGGGCTGTCTGCCTGTGGATTTCATTTCTGCCTTTTAGTTTTTACTTCTTCTTTCTTTGGAGGCAGAAATTGGGCATAAGACAATAAGAGGGGTGGTCTCCTCCCTTAGCTGTAGGTGTGCAGTCTTATTTCTGCTGAATTCTTTACTAGGAATGTTAAAATAAATTAATAATTCATTTTCATTTTACATTTTTATACAATCAGGTAACATGAAATATAACTTGATGTACAATTTTGCCTGTTACAAAGGATGTGCTAAATATAGTGGTATATGCACAGAACATATTGGCATGACAACAGGCTGAATAAATAGCTATTTTACTTAATAAAAATGAAAAAAGAAAATTATAAAATAAGGAATATCAAACACAAAGTCCAAATTCAACAGCACATAATAAAAGTTTTTTCTAAAATCTAGTTTTTTCTTTGAATTCCTGAAATTAATACCCTTCTGAAAACATCTACTGTATTTAGACATAATTAAGATATAACTGAAATTAAAGAATAAAATTCTCCTACCACTTCATTGAGAAAATCCTGCCTCATTCTGATTACTGGTGTCAGTGATAAGCTTTGTTTCTATAGATTATAGATTAACTAAAATTATTCCTTATTGGAAACAAAGGGGTGGGCCAAAATGGATGGGTTTGGCTAGTTATCTGCAGCAGGAGCATGTCCTTAAGGCACAGATAGCTCGTGCTATTGTTTGTGGTTTAAGAAGGCGTTTAAGTGGTTTTCTGCCCTGGGTGGGCCAGGTGTTCCTTGCCCTCATTCCGGTAAACCCACAACCTTCCAGCGTGGGCGTCATAGCCATCACGAACGTGTCACAGTGTTGCAGAGAGTTTATTTTTGGCCAGTTTTGGGGCCAGTTTATGGCCAGATTTTGGGGGTCCTATTCCCAACATAAAACTTAGTATAAAACATGCGTTTTAGAATCTTCAGCTATCAAGTTCAAAAAGTACCAGTGTCTATTTAAAATAATTCCTCTCCCAAGCCAAAGTGTAATCAAAATTAATTCAAATGACATAGCACATTCTAATGCTAAAAAATATTCATTATTATTGAAGTGGAGGTAAATCCCAGAGCTTTTGGGGCTTTCTCATGCTGCAAATGGCTGTTTCTCTGGTTCACTCAAAGCAGCATATGACAGAACATATTGGCATGACAACAGGCTGAATAAATAGCTATTTTACTTAATAAAAATAAAAAAGAAAATTAAAGGATGACACTAAGCTCAGTAAAGGATGACACTAAGCTCAGTAAAGGGCAAGACTGCTGGTACCCAGCTCTGACCTCTCAGTGAAGTGTGGCTACTATGTCCACAATACAGGATGTGTGAGGATCAAAGGCACACTATTCTGCTAGCTAAAGAGATAGCAAACCAGCTCCGCAACCCTAAAAGCTCCTTCCCCAGGTAAATAAAAGTATACGAGGGGAAAAAATTAAAATATGCTTCTCTACAGAGTAAGGGTTTTGAAATATTAATGTAATCCCTCCTCCAAAAATTTTAACTAGAGTCATCTGGTCATTTCTGACTACATCTCAAAGATGTATCCAGATTCAATTTCTGTTGGTTTATCCTAGGACACTTCTAGCTAAAAGTATTAATTTTATTCCCAAATAACCACTAGTCTGACTGCAGAGTATTATCTCCCAGAATTATCAAGCACTGGAAGAGAAAAAAACAGATGTTCAAGCGGCAGGCAACATTTGTGGCCCTTTCACACAGTGGCATCTGAGTGGCTACTGAATAGTCCAGGAATAATTCTAAACACAAGAAAATTCGTGGATTTTAGTAAATATGTTGTAGTTTTCACAGTTGAAATTTCCTCAGACATTGCACTTTCTTTATAAGGGAATCCTGATTTTTCTTAATGTTATGGTGAGTCAGGACTTGAACTAGCAGCCTTCTTTTTCTTCTTACTATGTTTCTTATGCTTCTTTTTCTTTTTTTGTTTTTTTTCTGTTGCTTTTTCTCATTTTTCACTGCTTTTCTTCTTTTTTGCTCGTACCTCCTCAGTAAACTGTGATTCTGACAAGGACTTGGATGATAAAGGTTTATCTTAAGAATTTATCGTTCTCTTTTTGCTGAGCCCTTTAATGTCCTTTTCTTTCTCCGTTGCATCTTTTGACTTCTTTTTCTTTTTTAAACTATCCTTACTGTCTGATTCAGATTATGACATGGAGCTTTCAGAAGATTTATGTCAACGGTTCTTTTTCTTTCTCTGTTTTCCTTGTTTCTTATCCTCATTTTCACAATCAGAAGAACTGCTGGAAGAATTAGAGCTTAATGAAGAAGAAGATGAATACCTACCAAATTTATTCTTTTCTTTTTTTGTTTTGATGAGCTCTCACTTCCACTTAACAATTTCTCCCTGTCTCTTTCTAGTTCTTTCTTCCAGTTCTCATTCATTTTTTTCTTCAAATTCAGCCAAAACCTTGGAGCCTTTCTTTTCTCCTCTTCTAGTTGCTCTTTTACTTCTTCCCAGGTAGGCCTTGGTCGATTCAAATAATCCTGTATTGTTGGCCCTGAAGACTGGATTGGACCCCTTGATCTCGCCATTGCTATTGGGTTTATATAGGCCAGGATGTAGAACATATTCCTCCAGTTCTAGAATCATTTTCTTGTTCAAATAACCTTTGTTAAATTTAACTGGTTTCAGGTTTTTGTTTTTGTTTTTAACAGTATTGATCACATTCTAATTCCGTTGGTATCATGTCATAATTTTGGCAGTACCACGCGGTTGTCCCACTTCCCCATGGTGCTGGGCTGAGTGCACAGTCGCACGCTGAGGGAAACCAGGCCAGAGAGAAGGCCGAAGCAGGCCCACTGCAGGTCCTCCTGCCGCCTCCCCTATAATTTTCTTTTAAATACTGTATGTAATTAGGTGAAATTTTATCTTTGAAAGCAACAGATATCTAAATTCAGAATGACTGAGTTATACTTTTTTTTAAGTTTGGAGGCACTTTAGTGTATTTATAATATTTTAAGACTGATTAAAATTATGTCATAAAATATGAGATTATTTTACATTTTGTATTAATTAGATTTTAGATTACTATGAAGACCATTTAGTTTTATTATGCCATAGTAGTTGCTATTAGAGAATTTTTTTTTCCCGGCTACCATATAATATCTGAAAATAGAACTTTCTGTTGTTTATCAAATCTTTGAAGAATTAATAAACACCGTACATGAATGTTGCTTTAATATTCAGCGTGATTGTATACACCTTCTTAAAAATAAATTCAGCTTTATTATTTTTTCTTTATTTTTTTATTTCAAGCACGGGGTACATGTGCAGGTTTGTTATATAGGTAAACTCGTGTAATGGGGGTTGGTTGGTTGTACAGATTATTTCATTACCCAGGTATTAAGCTTAGTACGCATTAGTTATTTTTCTGATTCTCTCCATCCTTTTGCTGTCTACCCTCCAGTAGGCACCCCATGTCTGTTGTTCCCTTCTATGTGTCCGTGTGTTCTCATTTAGTTCTCCCTTAGGGAAATGCAATATTTGGTTTTCTGTTCCTGCATTAGTAGCTAATAATAATGGCCTCCCACTCCACCCATGCTTCTGTGAAGGACATGATCTCATTTTTTTTTAATGGCTGCATAGTATTACATGGCATATAGGTACCTAATTTTCTTTATCCAGTCTACCATTTATGGGCATTTAGGTTGATTCTATGTCTTTGCTATTGTAAATAGTGCTGCAGTGAACATAAGTGTGCATGTGTCTTTATGATAGAATGATTTATATTTCTTTGGGTATTTACCCAGTAATGGGATTGCTGGGTCAAATGGCAGTTCTTTTTTTCAGTCTTTGTGAAATCACCACACTGTGTTCCACAATGTTTGAACAAATTTACAGTCCTACCAACAGTGTATAAGCGTTTTGTTTTGTTTTGTTATTTTCTGACTTTTTAGTAATAGCCATTCCAACTGGTGTGAGATGATATCTCATTGTGGTTTTGATTTGCATTTCTCTAATCAGTTATGTTGAGCTTTTTAAAAATGATTGTTGGCTGCATGTATATCTTTTTTTTGAAAAGTGTTCTTGTCCTTTGCCCACTTTTTAATGGAGTTGTTTTTTTCTTTTAGATTTGTTTAAGTTCCATATAGATGTTGAATATGAGACGTTTGTCAGATACATAGTTTGCAGAAATTCTCTCCCATTCTGTATGTTGTCTGTTTACTCTGTCAGTAGTATCTTTTGCTGTACAGAAGCTCTTTAGTTTAATTAGACCCCATTTGCCAGTTTTTCCTTTCAGTGCAATTGCTTTTGGCATCTTCGTCATGAAATCTTTGCCTGTCTGTATGTCCAGGATGGTACTAGGTTGTATACCAGGGTTTAGTTATGGATTTTACATTTTAGTCTTTGATTCATCTTGAGTTTTGTGTATGGTTTAAAGAAGGGGTCCCGTTTCAATCTTCTGCATATGGCTAGCCAGTTCTCCCAGCATCATTTATTAAATTGGAAGTTCTTTATTCATTGCATGTTTTTTTAAGCTTTGTCAAAGATCAGATGGTTGTGGGTGTCTGGGCTCTCTATGCTGTTTCATGTGTCTATGTTTCTGTTTTTGTATCAGTACCATGCCACTTTGGTTACTGTAGCCCTGTAGTATAGTTTGAAGTCAGGTAGTGTGATACTTCCAGCATTGTTATTTTTGCTTTGGATTTTCATGGCTATTCAGTCTTTTTTAAAAAAAAGTTCTGTGAAGAATGTCATTGCTAGTTTGTTAGGAATAGCATTGAATCTGTAAATTGCTTCGGGCAGTATGACCATTTTAATAATACTGATTTTTTTAAATGCATGACCTTGGAATTTTTAAAATTTGTTTGTGTCATCTCTGATTTTTATTTGAGCAGTGTTTGTAGTTCTCATTGTAGAGCTCTTTGACCTTCTTGGTTAGCTGTATTTCTAGGTTTTTCTTTTTTTTTTTCTTTTTCTTGTGACAATTGTGAATGGGATTCCATTCCTGATTTGGCTGTTGGCTTTATAATTTTATTTATTTATTTTTATTTTATTTTTTTTGAGACGGAGTCTCACTCTGCTGGCCAGGCTGAAGTGCAGTGGTGCAATCTTGGCTCATTGCAACCTCCACCTCCCAGGTTCAAGCGATTCTCCTGCCTCAGCCTCCCGAGTAGCTGGGATTACAGGCATGTGCCAACACGCCTGGCTAATTTTTGTATTTTTAGTAGAGACGGGGTTTCACCATGTTGGTCAGGCTGGTCTTGAACTTCTGACCTCGTGACCTGCCTGCCTCAGCCTCCCAAAGTGCTGGGATTACAGGTGTGAGCCACCATGCCTGGCTTGGCTTTATAATTTTTGGTGTATAGAAATGCTAGTAATTTTTGTACATTGATTTTGTGTTTTGAGACTTTGCTGAAGTTGTTTATAACCTTAAGGAGCTTCTGAGTCAAGGCTATGGGGTTTTCTAGATATAGAATCATATCATCTGCAAACAGGGATAACATGACTTCCTCTCTTCTTACTTGGATGTCCTTTATTTCTTTCTCTTGCTTAATGTTCTGGCCAGGACTTCCAATACTATGTTGAATAGGAGTGGTTAGAGAGCATCTTTGTCTTCTGCTGGTTTTCAATAACAAAACAAAAACTTATATAAAGTTTTCTGCTTATCAGTTTGGCAGAGACAGATTAGTAATGAGATAATAATTGCTGAATTTGATAATTTGCCAGATTATTAAAATAAAAATCCTGCTGTTTTCTCTGAAAGTTTCAAATTACTTATCAGTTAAAATTTATGTTTACTGTGACAAGTAAAATTTTTGAGAATTTTTAGTTGTATGCATTAAAAATTTGTGTAATATACAGTACTTTTCAGAAGCACAAATATCCACATTGTACACATAAGTAAAATATTTCACAATTTTTTTTGGACAGACAGTAGTGTTTCATCAGAGATTTCAAGTCTCTTATTTGGACCACACACCCTATCCTATATACCATAAGATAACAGTAATTCGTAGAGTGCAATTATTTTTAGTACTTGAAAATTTATGTTTTGTGTAAATTGTTGAAATAATAGTGCTTCACTGCAGAAATAGTATCTGAATATAGCCAGAATTACTGTTTGTTTATAACAAAGGCTAGAATTGGTAGAATTATTTTAGGTATTGGGCTCTAAGCATCCTTCCTCCTCCTAGCACTTTCCTGACTGTGCAAAAATATCAGTTTGAATATTTCATTTAAACCAGGTGTTAACTTAAAAAGGTCTTAAATGAAGTTTGCATATGGCTGAATAGTACTTGTTGGTTACACTTTAAAGAATGCTTTTTGATCCAGGCAGAGTTGCATGTACCTGTAATTCCAGCTTCTTTAGAGGCTGAGGTATGAGAATTGCTTGAGCTCAGGAGTTCAAGGCTATAATGTGTGATGATTGTACCTGTAAGTAGCCACTGTGCCCCAGCCTGGGCAACATACCAAGATCTCCTGGAGGGGAGGAAAGTAAAACATAACTTGTGACCCATACAAGCATGTGCATCTTCCTGGAATGGGCTGCTGCTGGTTGTGCCGGGTTCCCTCTTGCAGGTACTGCCTGGCTGCCTCAGCATCTCCACGTGTGAATGAAGTCTCAGGCTTTGTGAGGAGAAAGAGCAGCTCCACAGGCAGCTAATTGTCTCCAGAGCTCCAAATCTGTTCCTCCCACGTCATGATGGGCATGGGGCGGGGGGAATGTTGCATTGTTTTCAGAGGAATCAGGTACAATCCCTGGAAGGATGAATCTATTTTGCTACTTTCTGTTGCCAGGTTGGGGGAAGTGCTAGGTGGTTCGCCTTTATTTGTATGGGGTACTCAGATGCCCTGCCACTGTGTTACTTGTTTTACTACCATAGAATGAGGGTTCACTTTCAAACTTGGCATGTAGATGCTATTTGCCACCAGCACAGAGGAGGACTGCTGACTTGGGACAGTGTACTTGGCAGCCTCAGGTGTATCTGGCCACCCCAGTGTGACCCACTGGGCCCGACTCCAGGTGCTGTAGTCCTGCTAGTATGTAGGGAGTCATCTGATTCCTCACCCGCCATTGCTCATGGGCTCCAGGGTCTTGGCACCCCAACCCAGCCCCCTTCTGCTGCTTCATGCCAGCTGTGGGAAGATGTGGACTGGTGCCTTGTCCACTTGAGCTCTTGTGGGTGCTCCAGGTCTGTTGACAAAGCAGTAAGTGGCAGCCACTAACCTTGAGCTTCTAGGATGTATTCAGTGGACTTCAAGTGCCTCTTAGAAGCCTGATTCCATTAACTCCCCCAAAACTTAATGCAATTTGAGGCTACTTCTCATTCTCATCTTAGTGTTACACAACCATTAATCTCCATTCTATCTGTAGACATTCACTTTCTGGACATGTCTTGTATAATTGGAACCATACATTATCAGTCTTTTGCTTCTGGTTTCTATTAGTTTGTTTGAGGTTCATATCTGTTGTAGCATGTAGCATTATTTAATTCATTTTGATGGCCAAATAGGATTCCAATATAAAATGTACTTAACTGTTTTTCCTTATATTAACTGGTTGACATTTTGACATTTGAGTATTTCCATTTTTCATATTTGGTTATAACAAACAATGTTCCAGTGAGTCTTTGTGTGAACCAACATTTTCATCTCTTTTGGGCACATGAGTGAGAGTGGAGCTGATGCACCAATATGGTAATTCCATGTTAAACATTTCGAGAAACTACCAAATTGTTTTGTAAAGCGGCTGTGCTGTTTTACAGTTTTATCAGCAGTTTGTGAGGGTTCTATGTTTACATCTCTGCCAATGCTTACTTTTGTTTGTTGTTAAATCATTCTACTGCATAAGAAGGGATATCTCCCTGAGGGTTATTTTTTTGAGACAGGGCTTCACTTGGGGACCCAGGCTGGAGTGCAATGGCATGCTTATGGCTCACTGCTGCCTCCACCTCCCAATCTCAAATGATCTTCCTGCCTCAGCCACCTGAGTAGCTGGGACTACAGGATGTACCACCCACCATGCTTGGCTAATTTTTGTATTTTTTAGTAGAGATGGGATTTCACCATGTTGCACAGCTGATCTCAAACTCCCGGGCTCAAGTGATCCACCCACCTCTGCCTCTCAAAGTGCTGGGCTTACACGCATGAATCACTGCACCCGGCCTCCCTGAAGTTTTGATTAGCATTTTTCTAATGACTAATGTTAAGTGTAGTTTTATATACTTACTTACAATTTATATATATTTTTGACAGTGACAAAATGTTCATTAAAATTACCTTTTAAAAAATGTGTTTTTATCTTTTTATTACCTTCTTTTTCAGTTAGCACTTTTATTTTATTTTATTTTTTAGATGGAATTTCGTTTTGTCGCCCAGGCTGAAGTGCAGTGGTGCAATCTCCGCTCACTGCAAGCTCCGCCTCCCAGGTTCATGCCATTCTCCTGGCTCAGCCTCCCAATTAGCTGGGACTACAGGGGCCCACCACCACGCCCAACTAATTTTTTGTATTTTTAGTAGAGACCGGGTTTCACCATGTTAGCCAGGATGGTTTCGAGCTCCTGACCTTGGGATCCGCCCGCCTCGGCCTCCCAAAGTGCTGGGATTACAGGCGTGAGCCACTGCGCCTGGCCCAGTTAGCACTTTTTTAAAAGGTTTTTCTCTTTAGAGTTTTTATTTGGTTTTATTTTGAATGATATAGTTTTCTTTGTTGTATTTTCAGAAAGTTCATAGCTAGTGTACAGAAATACAGTTAATATTTGTATCTTCACCTCATAGTCTGCAACATTGCTAAACTTATTTCTTTGAGGTTTTAGACAGCTCCTCAGGATTTCTTTTATATATGAAATAATGTCTCAGAAATTAAAAGAATTTTACTCAGACAATGTAGAGTCACTTTCTTTATCTTTTCGTATATGACTTTTAAAGCAAAATTTTCCAGGACAATATTTAATAGATGTGGCAAAAGTGAATATTTGTCTTGTTCCCAATGTTATGGAGGAAACATTTTTTTCACTAAGTAATATTTACCGTACATTTTATATAGGTGCCCTTTAACAGGTTGTGGAAGTTCTCCTCAATTCCTAGTTTGTTTAGGATTACAATCATAAAGTACATTTAGCCAAAATTTTTTTCTGTCAATGATGTTATCACATCTTGATCTTTATTTTATTATGATACATTTTATGGATATTATTAACAGCTTTATTAAAATATTTGATAAACAAAAAATGTCAAGCTCAATATACTCAATTTCATGAGACTGGATATATTCCTGTGACACTTCACCACTATGAGAATAATAAATATAGCCATGTTAAGTGTACTTATAAAACACACACACACAAATTGGGGAAACTTGTGGAAGTATAAGCATAAATGGATAAATTAATTGTTCTCTAGATGTTATAACTACATGTTTTTGAAACAATCCCACTTGGTCAAGGTGTATAACTCTTTTTATATGTTATTTATTATCTCCTTTTTATTGAAAGTGAAGGGGGCCTGCCCCTCCACACCGGTGGGTATTTCTCATCTCACCGGTGGGACAAGAGACTGAGAAAAGAAATAAGACACAGAGACAAAGTATAGAGAAAGAACAGGGGGCCCAGGGGACTGGCACACTCAGCATGCAAGGACCTGCACCGGTGCCGGTCTCCGAGTTCCCTCAGTATTTATTGATTACCATTTTCACTATCTCTCCAAGGGGAGTGTGGCAGGAGAACGGGGTGAATAGGGTGATGGTGGGGAGAAGGTCAGCAGGAAAACATGTGAGTAAAGGAATCTGCATCATAAATAAGTTCAAGGGAACGTACTGTGCCCGGATGTACACATAGGCTAGATTTGTGTTTCTCTTTACCCAAACATCTCAGTGTAGCAAAGAGTAACAGAGCAGTATCACCACTAGCATATCTTGCCTCCAGCCACAGGGCGGTTTTCTCCTATCTCAGAATAGAACAAATGGTCGGCTTTACACGGAGACATTCCATTCCCAGGGACATGCCGGAATCAGAGGCCTTCCTCTTATTTCAGCCGCAAAGAGGCCTTCCTCTTTTACTAATCCTCCTCAGCACAGACCCTTTACGGGTGTTGGGCTGGGGAACAGTAAGGTCTTTCCCTTCCCACGAGGCCATATCTCAGGCTGTCTCAGTGGCGGGGAAACCTTGGACAATACCCAGCCTTTCTTGGGCAGAGGTCCCTGCGGCTTTCTGCAGTGCATCGTGTCCCTGGTTAATAGAGAATGGAGAATGGCAATGACTTTTACCAAGCATACTGTCTGCAGACATATTGTTAACAAGGCACACCCTGCACAGCCCCAAATCCCTTAAACCTTGATTCAGTACAGCACATGTTTCTGTGAGCACGGGGTTGGGGCTAAAGTTACAGATTAACAGCATCTCAAAGCAGAACAATTTTTCTTTGTACAGATAAAAATGAAGTTTCTTATGTCTTCCTTTTCTACATAGACACAGTAACAATCTGATCTTTCTTTTCCCCACAGAAAGTATTTGGGAAGGGTTGATATTAATTCTCCAAAAAATTTGGCAGAATTATCAGTGATGCCATCCAGATCTGAGATACTCTATACATGATGATTTTTAATTGATTTAATCTCTTTATTTATTAGAAGTCTATTAACACATCCTGTTTTGTCTAGAATTTGTTTTTATAATTTTTGTCTTCATATACGTTTGTCTATAGTTTCTAATGTTCTGTGTCTCTAGATTCTCATGGCAGTTGATATTTTAAAATAATGTGAAAAAATGAGGCTTTGAGGCTGTCTGTTAATACCCTCTTTCTGAGGGTCTTTGTAGAAAATAAAACAAGGCTACAACTTCATACCTACCACTCAGACATGTCATTTTGCATAAGACAAAAATGCACCTAAAATAAACTAGAAGATTATGTCATTTGACTTTAAGTTTTATCAAATGATGGCTGGCAGCCTACTGTCCTCTTTGGTGTCAGTATTTAGATAACACAGGAAATGTAACTTGTAATGAGAAAAATACAAAATAACATTGTAAGTAAAGAATGATATCAGTGGTTGATCATTTGACGAATCAGTGGTTAACACTTACATAGCACAGAGTATGTATATTTCCAAGCCACTTACATGTACGTCTTAAATATATAGCTATTTAAAATAACTATATATAATTTTAAATAGTTATATATTTAAATATATTTATATTTTATAATATGTATTTTATATATTTATTTTATAATATACATTTATTATATATTGTATATGTATTAATTTATAATATATGCTATATTATTTAGTTATATATTCAAATATATATTTAGTTATATATAGCACATACGTTCATTCAGAAAATAAATTGGCACAGTTATAGTTTTCATAGGGGACATTAAAACTATTATAAAATAATTTGTTTTAGTATATAGGAAAAATTGACACAACAAATGTTAACTAACTTTATTAGAAACATTGATTAGTTAGAAAGATAGACACATGAACAACAATTATTGTGGTAACCAGAGTATACAGATTATTTTTGATTACTTAAAAAAAAATCTTTAAAACTTTAAAGTTTAAGGCTCCAAAAGTATAAATAATATTATGAAAGCAGAACTCCTACAGGTTGCATTTTCTGTGAATAACAATAAAATGTACCAGTTAAAATTGTAAATTGTAACCAAAAAGTATTATCTAGCCATCTAGCCACATACACATATAATTTGAGGTTACTTAAAATAGCATTTGGGTTAAGTAGAAAATTCCAACTGATTTTTTTTTTAAGGATTAGGTGAGTACTAAGAAGGAAGCATGGTGATTGGAATCCAGTTAATTCAACAAAGCTATCTTAAAATAGGTAAATAAATACTCATTTGGGTCATATTCAGTAAAGTAGAGAATGATGTCTTTACAAATTTATTCAACACATAAAATTATTTTTTGAATATTGAAAATTATTTGGCAAATGATACGTATAGAAATTTCTTAAACACATAAAATTATTTACATATTAAAAATCATCACATTCTACAAATTATTACTAATATATGGTACACTGTTGGGTTCAGAAGCTATTCTTGAATAAGAAACTTGAGATTTCTCATGAGGCTCTATTGTCAGCCACAAAATATCTATCTGAAATATTTTACTTATGTATTTTTTGGGAATAATATTCTATATAACAGCAAGTTTCTTCTAAGGCAACAACCGAAAATGCTCAGGATGTTATAAGAGCACTTAAAATGCCCGGTAGAGTTGAAGGAAAAATGCAGAAACTTCAAGAAGGAAAAGTAAATCTAGAGAAGGATCTAGAAAAGGAATCAAACAGAGATGCAGTTACTGCCCTCAGGACAGTTGATGATCTTGTGATCATCAAACCTGTATGAGTCCTCAGACTTGCCCTCAGGTAAATTTGAATAAAACAAAGACACGTAAAAACTGGACTCTTGACAAGAATTAAGGTATTCCAAATTAGAATTTATAAGCCACATAGGAAATCAACCACCAGAATAAAGGTTCAGAAAAACTAGATATTTCCAAAACGTCAAATACTAAAATTTTTAAAATATTTAAATGTATATAAAGGAAAAAATGGGAAATTGAAGTGATATGTAAAGATCAAGGAGCAACAAACTTTATAAGCCATACTTGGAAAAGAACTAAACCAAATATAAACATTTGAAAAATAAAATAAAGTTAATATACAATGCACAGTCAAAACATTAATGCATAAAGATCAAGGAAAAACAAACTTTATAAGCCATATTTGGAAAAGAACTAAACCAAATATAAACATTTGAAAAATATAATAAAGTTAATATACAATGCACAGGCAAAACATAAAAATAAGTTAATGAGAGGATTAGTGAACTGTAAGATTTAGCTGCCAAAATGCATTACAGAGGAACGATGAAATAGAAATATGAATACAGATGGCTAGTACCTATTAGTTATTTATTTAAATCCTCTCGCTCCTCCAATTCTCCACCCTCCAATAGGCCCCAATGTGTGTTGCTCCCCTCTGTTTTAAAATACGTAGATACTTCATAACAATAGGTTTATTGAATGCTGATTTTACCATAAAATTTGTGACGATTCAATAACTACATTAAAATTTACTTGTAACTTTTTGTGAATATATATTTTAATCCAACATCAATATTTGAAACCTTTAAACAGCAAAAATACTAACAGGATTATCTTTGAAAATGGAACACCATTTCCTTCACTTTTTTTTTTTTCTCTTTGAGACAGAGCCTCACTCCGTCACCCAGGCTGGAGTGCAGTGGCAAGATCTCGGCTCACTGCAACCTCTGCCTCCCAGGTTCAAGCGATTTTCCTGCCTCAGCCTCCTGAGTAGCTGGGACTACAGGCGCGTGCCACCACGCCCAGCTAATTTTTTGTATTTTTAGTACAGACAGGGTTTCACCTTGTTAGCCAGGATGGTCTCGATTTCCTGACCTCGTGATCTGCCCGCCTCCGCTTCCCAAAGTGCTCAGATTACAGGTGTGAGCCACCGCGCTCGACCCTCCTTCACTTTTTAAAAAGTTTTTCTCTCATTAGAAAACAAATCTCACACAAAGTAACATACAGAGTGTTCTAATAAGTATGAGTTTATACAGAAGACCTAGGGAGCTCTTATTCTACTTTTTCAAATGGAGACTGTCCCCTAAAAATAGAAAACCTGACGTACTACTAATAAATATGTTTAAGCTCATGGTGAATATTTCCAGCCCCTATCATCACTAAGTTAGTCAATAACGTTACAAGGATTTAATAAATAGCAGAGAATAATATTTCCACATACTTTCGTGGTAGCCAGAAAACAAGATAAACAAAAACCTACATATATAGTAGTTCAATACCTTACTTGTTTTGATTACTATAGCTTTGTTAGTGTAGTTTTAAATCCGGAAGTGTGTGCCCTAAAACCCATGGGCATTTATGGCCTAATTTCACACTGATCATAGGTTACTCTGATTTCCACATACCCAGTGTAGTTCACCAGTCTTGTTGTGCCCATGAATGGACTTGGAGGAGAACAAGCCTTTAGAATACCTGCCAGGGTCATCATTAAGGGAGGACCCATCATTTTTTCACAAGCTCTGGTGTTACTTCCAGTCACCTCTCAGTGACTATTTCCTGTCATTGGCCTGGACATTCTGGTGCCTTGGATCCCCACCTGGACCAAGCCCAAGTCTTTTGTACTGATGACTGTACAATCCAACAAGAAACCGGTACAGCTTTCCAACCCCCCTAAGGTGATCAACACCCTATAATATCCACTCAAGTAGGGCATAGAAGGGATTCATCCTGTTACATATGACATGATAGAAGGGGGGTTTTCTGAAACCACTTTCTTAACCTTTTAACTTCCCAGTCTGGCCCTTTTTCAAGGCCAGGGAAAGGAATGGAGGCTCACTGCTGATTACCACAACCTCATCAATGCTATACTTAAATCTCCTTACATCAGACATTGTCACCATCTTGGAAGAAGTTCAGAATTCCTCTGCAACTTGGTTTACTGTTACTGACCTGGCAGACATGTTTTGTTTTGTCTCAATTTGTAGAGAAATTCAGGTGCAGTTCACTTTTACTTTTAAAGGCCAAAGATACATTTTTATGAAGCTTCCAATGGGCTACCTCGGTAGTCCTCCACTGGCTCATGATCTGTGTAGAGAGGACCTAGCTGCCCTCTGACTTCCACCTGTGGCATTATGTGGGTGGTGTCCTGGGTGATAACCCAAAGGAAGAGGTAAAATTGACCCTTACGTTGAGAACCAACCCTTGACCCATGGGGATGGGCCATCACCCTATCTATACAAGATTCAAGGACCTGCCATCTCCATCAATTTTGGGGGCTATATTTAGAGTAAGGAAGGCAGGCAGACTTCACAATCAGCCTCCCTCACTCACTCACAGAGTTCTTTTCTTGGCTAAAGAGGCCCAGCATGTTGGCATTTGTGTCTTATTGAGATAACACATTGATCACCTCTAATGCGTTCTAAGATGCATTTATCAGGCCACTCACAAGACATTCACCTTCATCTGTGTTCTTCTCAAGAAGAAGCTATAAGAGCTGCCCAGTGGTTAGTCCAGGAGGCTCTTCCACTAGTCCCATGGGGAAAGGACTTGCAATGGTAGGTAATAGGTTTCAATAATAATACTGCTTGACTCATGGAGTCTTTAGACTACTCACTCTGGATCTTGACTCACAGTGGGCTTTTGGTGTATGCCTGTGGTTAATATATGCTTCTCAAGACACAGTTGGTTGCAGTTTATCTAGTTCTGTCTGAGACCAAGACACTGACAGGATTTGAATTCATCTACTGAAAACAGAGATCTCCACTGTGCCTTGGATCTGAGAACCCTATTCTAGCAAACCAGGTGCTGCTACCAAGCATCTCTTGTCAAATGGAAGGGATACTTGCAGGACTGAGACAGGCCTGGAGTTTCAGGTGTTTCTGTACTTCACAAGACTGTCAGTTTCTGTCCCTCCAGCATGCCAGAAGATGATCGACAACCAGAGACCATTTTGCCTTTAGCTAGCTGGGTCCTTTCCAACAGCTGGAAAGCTATTGCACTGCTGCAGCAGGGGTGTACCTACTTTAGTGATGGACATGCAGAGGTGCCCAAGTCACATCTGGATGGGCAACATCTATCATCTGGCATCAGATAAACCCTTCCAGCTGCAGAAAAAGGACCACTCAGTATGCAGAACTGATGGCCCATTTCCACTAGGTCATGAGGTTGGTTCTCAAAGTGAGGGCCCTTCTTATCTCTTCCTCTTGGTTATCTTTTCATCCTCCTGGCTGTTGAGCAGTCTGCCATGCAAGGCCAGTCTGAAACCCACATCTTCACCAATTCTGGGGCCATCACTAATGGGTAATCAGTGGTGGTCACAAACTGGAAAAATCATGGTCAGGTACTGTGGGGTGCCTCCCTTTGGTGGAACGGTGCTGATTTCTGTGCCACATGGTCTATTTTTATTCACCGTGTCTAGACTCACACCAGTAAGATCCTGCCTCTCAATATGACAAGGCAAATTACCTTACCTACATCCTTACTCTCATAGACCAGACTTTGGTACCTGGGATAGCTTTCTACTCCTGGGCACACCTGACTTTGAGACATCTTATCAACTTGGATTTTATTGTGGGGCTTCTCTGTTTTATTCAACTCAGTTGCTTAAGCCATCCAGAACTGGCTGCTCTGGTAAGAAGACTTCTTGTCTCTTACTGTCTTTTGGTGACATAATTACCCACATGTCAACCAGAAAGTTCATTTTATTGCCCACCCCAACAAAGAGCACGCCTCACCAAATATGCCCCCACTGTGGGTGACACCTACAACCTACACTGCACTGCCTCCTGTTCTTTGTTGTTGATTAGCAGCCCAAAAACATCATCAGTGTCTGACTGTGTCAGTCCTGGCCCCTTTTGGGAACCTCCATGTTACTCAGTCTGAGCAGGGTGTCCATTTTTCACCTAAGGTCACCCAAAATTGGGCACTGGGGAATGGCATTACCTGAGCCTTTCACCTTTAATACCAGCAGACAGCGATGGGCTAAGTGAAAGTATGAATGGGCTGATGAAGACTTTGAAAAACAGCCTCCCTTTGGACTCCTTCTTGTCACCAATATCTGCCTCTGGTACTAGCTCATATTTACAGCTACTCACTACCTCTACTCCTCATCTCCATTCCCAGTGGCCAACCCACCTTTCAACTTTTCTGCATTATTCTTCAGGCCAAGCTGCCTACCCTGACTTGGGACCACAGGATTTTGACACTGCCGCAGCTATTGCCCTGGCCCCAGGACAGCAATTCTCAGATTACGTTTTCCTCTTATTTATCCTCCCAGAGATGCTACCCACAACTTTGGGCAACACCACATGGGCATTGGTGTCTCATTAAGGTCTCTGCACTTCTCTTTTTCCAGTTACTGTTACAGGGGTGGATGTGCCACCAGCCACTGTGCATTTGATTTCACCTCGAGATGTGGCAGTTACGACATTGCTGCCTCACTAGGTCTTTTGAAAAATGACTCCAGAATCAACCCTGGTTGAAAGTGAGCCAGCAGCTTGAAGACTAGCAATAAGTTAATGTTGGCTGAATAAGATTTCAAACTCACAAACAGATATACCCCACCCTTGTTATTGCAACCTCTGCCTTTGCTTTCTGTTAGCACTTCTCATTCAGGGCCTCATCTTTGATAGCCTGTGCAAACCCCTCCCATGGTGACTCCCTTGCAAAACTCTGTACTGGGAGCCTTCCTGTTGGAGTCCTCTACTGTGTGTCCTGTGTGTTTACTGTGTACCTTGCCTGCCACAAGCCCCACGCCCAAAACTGTTTCTCTGGTGCCAACAAGTACTGCTGGAGTCAATTCTACCCAAAACAATTGATTATTGAGAATAGGACTCTGCTCATCCTGCTGAAATATCAACATGATTAGCATCTCCAGTCTTTGAAGGAGTGCCTTGACATTTGCTCCTGCTATTGCTATCAGAAAGCTAGTGAGCTGTGATCTGATTGAGACTTATGGTCTCTATTAGAAATTCTTGAATGGCACCATCATGTTCCTCATGTAGAGGCCATCTGCTGGGCCCAGTTAGACCTCCTGCAGACTAAACTCCTTATGGTCTTCTGGACTGGGCTGACTCAGAGTCCTATTGTCAGCCCCACACTTGATTGATTTTTACTATGCTATCCATAAGAGTTACTTCTAGATTTGACTGCTGCTTTTTATTTTGATTTTATCCCTTTGTTGCTTCCACTGCTTTATTGCCAGAATTCTGACAATTAATAGCAGGATACCTACTGCAACATAAACCTTATGACACCTTTACCCTGGCACTCATGTCTTTCCTCGTATTAAATGAAAACGGACTTTGCTGCCACTTGACTCCTATCCTGCTGGCTCTGCCATCTTGCATGTGACAAGGCTATTAGCTAATATCACTGCTTGCTTGACCACAGGTGATGTTCTTGTGTCACAGACCTTCTTCCCTATTTATAAAAAAATCACCTTTCTTCCAACAAATGGCAAAGCCTCCCTTCTAGATCGGCTTCCATAAATACCTTCTCACCTTTTTTCTTAGCTTTTGTTCAGACCCCTCTTTTTGTATGACAGAGATAAAGGCTAGCGCTTATTCAGCGCTCCTCTAGCCCTTGACCCCAGCTCAGATCTTCCCAGTCTGCAAGGTGCTGCCTCATACACATGACTGTGTGCCTTATTTCCCTGGTGGTTGCTTTATGTCCTTCCAGACCATGTATCAGTTATTCCACCTGCTGAAAGATACCCTCACAGTTACCATCTCTGTCCTGCACCCAGAATGCCCACACAGACTGTCCCACCAACCCTGACCACATTGCTACCCAGCAAAACCTTTACTTGTGTTTTTTCACTAGTTTTTTAAATAAGAAAAATCTTAGAAAAAGTTAACAGCGTTTAATTGAACAAAGACTGATTTACACATTACGCAGCCTTCAGCACCAGAAGAGGCAAGAGCTCTGCTCCACAGTGTGGGCAGGAGGATTTATACAGAAAACAGAAACGGAACTATAGTACAGAAACATCTTAATTATTAGTTACAGCTTGGAATTTGCCATTTTTTGTGAGAAAAGGTCTGACTGATTGTCAGCCTGTGATTTACTGAATCTCAACTACTGTTATTGGATGAAACTTAGCTATTTGTTACAAAAAGATACTCCTAAGTTAGGCCTCCAGTTGGTTTACATACTCAGGATGTAGTTCCTCACATAGAGGCTCAGTGCAGAGGTAGTTTCAGGTCATGTTTAGTTTAACAGTTTCTTAGGCCACCTCCTTCACTGTTCCTACAGCCTACGCCTTTTGGAAACACTTGGTACCTCAGTTGTATTTGGCAGCCATTTGGATGGACAAGACCCAAAACTCAGGCTTGATCGGGCCACCTCCAAAATCAAGCTTTTGTACCTATGATATCACCTCCAGCACACACAGTGCCTCTAGACTTAACTGCTTAGTTCTGAGTCCTCCTGGTCCTCCTGTCCCACTCCAGCCTGCCATTGCTCACAGTCAAGCAACTCCGAACCTACTACCAAGTCCATTTAACTCATTTTACTTCCCCATGCAATTGTTTTTTCAAGACCCAGTGTACTTACAGGTTTTTGTTTCCCCAGATGGCCTGATGTCCCTCCTCAAATTGCAGCTTCTCTAGATTTATTCACAGATTACTCAGCATTGATGTCACTGACAATTTCCATCACAGGGTCATTTCAGTGACATGTCAGGCAGGCAGCCTTTCAACTTGCTGGTCATGCCTTTGCTGATATTCTGCTACTAGTTTACTTTTGGTAGTCCAGCCCTGGTTACCATCTGTTGACTGTTCTTTTCTCACCATTGGTAAGTCTGCCCTTGGACAGCTGACCCTCGGTCTTGTGATCTCCCCTAATTTTTCAGGCAACACGGGACCTATAATGCCCTCTCTGCTGATGATGCAGTTCAGTCCCCACCAGACTGTTCTGAGGATGCCACCAATTCCTGTCTTACCATCACAAGGTGCCCTTCTAGAGGATACTCTCATACTTATCAGGGCACCTGCACTGGCTGGTTGGGCACCTCTCACCTGACCTCCCCCAAGAGGCCGTGGTGGTCCTGTTTCAGGAACACCTGTTTACCTATTTTCTTACCCACCTCTTTCTTGTATTCCTTTACCTTCACCAAAGGAGAGATAGGACCCTTTGGGAATCTGGTCAACTAGGACAGTCCTAAACCATCAAGCACAATACACTGTAAGAAAAATAACACCTTAAAATAGAAATAAAGGCATATATATAGGGTGAACATTTTGCCTCTGGCCTCAGGCTCAGGGTGACTCCGCAGGTGCTGGCCCATTCCCGACATTCCCTGATACTGTCCCAGTGCTGTTTCTCAGTAATTCTTCTTTTTCTGTGCCAGAATTTTTCCCCAGAAACAAATCTGACATTTGGGTGTCAGAGAGTAGGAAATAAATCTGACTGAACTTTTGAGGCCTTCTACCTCAGGGAAATTTGTAGGAGTTAAGTGGCTGAAGCATGTTGAAAAAATTTTTCTAAGGTGAAAGGTGTTTTTGCCTTTGGCCCCTTCTACAAACCAGAAAGAGGCACAATACCTTTTGTGTTTGGGGGAGGCAGCATATTCCTCATTTGAGTGTGTTACTGCATTTCTCTTCACCACTGTCCGGGGGTGTCTCAGAAAGGGGTTGGAGTGCTGCAGCTGTCCATTTTTTGGTGGTGCATTCATATTATGCAGAAAAAATCTATAAGCTAGGCCCTAACCTTCTCTTCCTCTGAGAGCTGATTATAGGGTACCCCCATGAGGCCATAGGTGCCAGCTTGAAGAGATAAAGTGGTTTTGCTGAATGACATGAAAAGCTGTTCCCAGTGGGGTCCAGAGCAAGAGAAGTCTCTGCAGCAGGTCCAGGCTGCTGTACAAGGTGCTCTGCCACTTGGGCCATGTGATAGCAGATCCCATGGTGCTTGAGGTGTCATGGCAGATAAGGATGCCTTTTGGATCCTTTGCAAGGCTTCTATTAGTGAATGACATGCTAACCTTTAGGATTGTGAAGCTAGCCCTGCCATCATCCATAGAACACTACTTTTCTTTTGATAGAAAGTTCTTGGCCTATTAGGCCTTGGTAGAAAATGAATGCTTGACCATGTGCCACCAGGTTATCATGCAATGTGACCTGACCATGATGACCTGGTTGTTGTCTAACCCATCAAGCCATTAAGTTGGGCATGCATAGCAGCACTCCATTATCAAATGAGAGTAGCATGTGTGTGATTAGGTCCAAGCAGATGCTGAAAAACAACAAAGTTAAGAAGTGGCCCAAATACAGATGGTTTCTTCTCTTGCTAAACCACTGTCTCTCTCCAAGGCAGTACCTATACCGTCATGGGGAGTACCTTATGAACAGTTGACAGAGGAAGAGAGGGATAGGGCCTGGTTTAACAAATGGTTCGGCACAATATGCCTATACCACCCCAAAATGGGCAGTTGCAGCACTACAACCCCTTTCTGGGATATCCCTGGACAGTGGTGAAAAGAAATCTCAGTGGGCAGAAGTTTGGGTTGTGCGCCTACCTCATTATGCACTTTGCTTCAAAGTAGAAATGGCCATACATACTATGGCGTATCAGTTCATTGGCCATGACCAATGTGGTTTGCCTGGATGGTCAGTGATTTGGAAGGAACATGATTGAAAAATTGATGAAAGGGAATTCTGGAGAAAAGGTACATAAATAGATGTCTTTAAAATATCCTCCAAAATGAAGCTACCCATCTTCTATGTCAGTGTGAACCAAAGTGTGATCCCAGCAGGGGACGGTTTAAATCACGTGGCTAGGATGACCCATTTTGTGGATACTGGTCAGCGTCTCTCTCCAGCCACCCCTGTCTTTAGCTAATGGAGTCATGAACAAAGTGGCCATGGTCTCTGGGAAGGAGGTTATGCATGGACACAGCAGAATAAATGTCCGCCCACCAAGGCCAACCTGACTATAGCCACCCCTGAGTGTCCAGTCTGTCAGCAGCAGAGAACAACACTTCGCCCCTAATATAACTCCATTCCACAGGATGATAGCCAGCTACCTGGCGCCTGCCCTGAGTTGCCTTGTGTTACCTTTGGGTGCCTCTTGCCAAACTGCTTAAGCATGGGGCTGGGGGAATTGAGGGTGAAGCCAACATCAGCATCTTCACAAAAGGCTCTCACTCTGGGTGCCGCTCAGTCCAGTGCATAGCTGTGGTCCCATCTGGGCAATCCTTCACTCCCCATCACCATTGTGTTTGGGTAGTGGGGGAATTGGGAGATGAGAGGAGCCCTCTGTAGACTGGCATAGGTTGTTAGGTGTTGGAACTTTGGTGGGTCTGTCATGTTCACACCCAGATCACGGTTGGCAGGATGAGTGTTGGGAATCAAGCTTGTCTGTCATTTAATTCTGAGACCTCAAGCTTTCATCTTATTTTCTCCCAGGCTGCAGGTCTATGGAGAGGCTCCTCTGTGCCTGATCTTGAGAGCAGAATTTCTAATGGTGGTCTCCTCTTGTGGGGACAGCCAGGCAGGCCACTGTCATTCTTTGACCAGGCTTCATCTAATTGTCTTAAGAAGCAAAAATGGAGAGTATGTGTCTGGCTTTTTGCTAGGTAAAAAAATCAAGTATCATCCAACTTACAAAGGAAAGGGTGGTTTTTTGTTTTTGTTGTTTTTGTTTTTGTTTTTTTGTTTGTTTTAGTAAGCTGCTCCTGATGAACACAAAGGATGGGAGATTTAATTGCAGCTATTTGCCAGGATTACCTGGGCACCTATATTAGTTTGTTCTCACACTGCTATAAAGAAATACCTGAGACTGGGTAATTTATAAAGAAAAGGTTTAATTGACTGACTTTCCCATGGCTGGGGGGGCCTCAGGAAACTTACAATCATGGCAAGGGGCAAAGGGGAAGCAAAGACCTTCTTCACCTGGTGGCAGGAGACAGAGTGAGGGGGGACCTGCCAAACACTTTAAAACAATCAGATCTCATGAGAACTCACTCACCATCACAAGAACAGCATGGGGGAAACCATCCCCATGATTTAATTATCCCCACCAGACCCTTCCCTAGACACATGGGGATTACAACTTGACGTGAGATTTGGGTGGGGACACAGAGCCAAACCATATCATCACCCATCTTCCCCTGCTACTTTCTCTTGCCCTACACATCTCTTCCATTTGGCTGTTTATAAGTTGTACCCATTTTAATAAATTGATAAACAGTAAAATGTTTCTGTTGAATTGCTTGAGTAGTTGTATCAATTATTTTAAGCTTGTGGAGAAGGTTATGGGAGCCCCTGATTTATAGGCAGTTGCTCGAAAGTATAGTTGGGCCCCTGAGTCTTGCAGCTGGCATCTGCACTGTGGGAAATGTTGTGGGACGGAGCCTCGAACTTATGGAGTCTGTGCTGACTCTGGGTTGTGTCATAGTTAACCCTTTTATGCCTGAGGTTGCAATTTTTTTTTTGTTTTTCGACGGAGTCTTGCTCTGTTGCCCAGGCTGGAGTGCAGTGGCATGATCTCGGCTCACTGCAAGCTCTGCCTCCTGGGTTCACGCCATTCTCCTGCCTCAGCCTCCTGAGTAGCTGTGACTACAGGTGCCGCCCACCACGACTGGCTAATTTTTTGTATTTTTAGTAGAGATGGGGTTTCACCGTGTTAGCCAGGATGGTCTCGATCTCTTGACCTCATGATCCGCCCGCCTTGGCCTCCCAAAGTGCCTGAGGTTGCAATTTTTTGAATTTTTGCAATCAGACCTTGGTGATGACCTTGAGCAGTTGGATATAAATAACTCCCACATGCTAAGCATTCCAATAATGGAACACTACGCATAAATAAGCTAAAATCTTAGACAACCAGTTGGTGTTGGAGAATTGATTTTTTTCAGCAAACCCCACACATTTGATGCCCGAGGTGTTTTCAGAAAAAATAAATAAATCACAGGTCAGAACCTTTACCTTACTCCAGGTAATTGGTCACTTGTGAGAGTTGAGACTCTGGAGGAGCATCTCCATATGGTGAAAGGGAATAGTAGAGTGTATGGAGCTCCCAGAATTAAATTCCTGAGCTTCTCATGTTTCTCTCATTCAGTACCTAGGAGTGAGCCACCCTGGGCTACATTTCCATAGTGAGAGCAAACTGCAAGCTTGAAATCCTATTTAACATACAAAGTATGGAGTAAACTGTAGATAAAACAGGCTGGTTACCCAAGTTGCTCCTTTTTCCCCCCTTCCTCCCCTCCATTTTTCCTTTTTTGAGTTTTCAGTAAGTTAACGTTACCATTAATATTCCACTTACATTGTGCTGAAAAAGTTTGTGTGTGTGTGTGTTGCCTTCGTCTTTTGCACACGTTCTTTCTCAGGCTGTGGGTCACCCAGTGTACTCACCCTTTTCACTGCTTAAGGGACTTGCGTTGTTTCACGTCTGTTTTATTATGACAATATTATTGTTGATTTTAACAAATGAAATTGAGGCACAAAATATACTTGTAAAGTTTACTGGAGCCAAGTGAAGACTGCTGTGTGAAAGACTCAGATCCAAGTAAATGTAAATATGAGTTCCATTTGGTCTTTGTTAAAAGCAGGTTTTTAAAGATAAAAGGGGCAACACAGAGTGAGATGGTAAAAAGTTTGTTGGAAATTCTCATTGGTTTTCAAAAATAATATTTATTAATGATTGGTTATACATTGTTGGGCTGTAGGGTATGAGTAATAGCGTACAGTGTGTGGCATTATTAGGTTAATCTATAGCTACTTGTGCTGTTAGTCTAGAGTGCACATAGCAAGCAGCTTTAAGAAATAATTACTTAGCTTAATAGTCAAGGTGTAGGGAATGGGACATGTTTGCTTCTTCCTGTGTCCTTTTGGGTCTGATCATTAGAGGTAGATCACATTACTCAGATTAAAAAGTTTCTTGCCAGGTGCCATGGGTCACACCTGGAATCCCAGTATTTGGGAGGCTGAGGCAGAAGGATTGCTTAATCTCAGGAGTTTGAGACCAGTCTGGGCACCATACTGAGACCTCATCTCTATTGAAAAAGTCAACCAGATGTAGTGGTATGTGCCCGTAGTCCCAGCTATTCTGGAGAGTGAGGTTAGAGAATTGCTTGAGCCTGAGAGATCGAGGTTGCAGTCAGCTGTGATCGCACCACTGCACTCCAACCTGGACAACAGAGCAAGATTCTGCCTTAAAAAAAAGTTTCTATTTTTTCTCATTGTTAATAAACTATGTATTCCCAGTATGGGGCTTAGTGAGGGAGCTTTCCTATAACAATGTAGGCATAAGTACCCCAAGCATGAGCTGCCAGGCTCAGTGGAGGAGGTAAATGACAGTAGGGTTCAGCATGGGCAGTGACTCATGCAGTGAGTAGCTCTTTTGGAGCTGGCCCGTCTTACAAGGAAGTTCATATATGTCTCCTTAGATACACAGGCAGCTTTCTTTTGATGCCCACCTGTGTCTGGAAGCACATCTCAGTATCTGATTTGTGCTCTAAGCAGAAAACTTATCTTTAGGTTTGTCTTCAGCTGCAGAGAATGATGAGGTTGTGTAGAACCTCAGAAAGAGAGACTGTAGATTAGTGTGAGTGTGCCTTTTACTAAAAAAATGATAGGCATTCAAAGGCATTTAGCAATTTTGGAATATAAGCCAGTAATGCAATTCTAAGCCCCCCAACTGAATGAATGGACTTTTGGCCAAGGGAATCCCAATGAAACCTGAAAAACTAATTTAGGCTATGACAAGAAGGGAGAGAGTTAGATATGCCTCATTATAGCTTCTCCCTTTGGAGTTTAGGTACCACTGACCACCATCAACATTAATTAAAATAGAGATCATAAAACTGACAAAACAGACTCTGTAGCAATAGCACGTCCAATTCTAACCTAATTCTGGTATAGCATCACATGACAGACAGCAGGCCCTGAAGGAAATAAAAGTATTTTACCCCAAACTATATTTTGTTGTACATATTTTTAAATGGCCCTGCAAAACCATCTCTTGTGGAAGAAATTTGCATTCTGTAGAGAATCTGTGTCCCTTACTAGGTCTTTTCTGGAAAGTCTGACATCTTTTAAGTTCCCATAAGAAACATTTACCATCTATTCTCTCTGAAGCGTGGTACTTAGAGACTTCATCAACATAACAAGAACTTTGGTGTCCACAACTTGCCTTGTCTTATTCACACATTTCTTTCTTCTGACTTTATAGGCAAAGCTAAATTCTTTCCAACAATTGCCAATACAAAGTCTTTGCATCCACCTATGATTTGTCAGCACCCACATATTCCACCTTTGTAGGCCAAACCAATGCATACTTTACATGTATTGATTTATGTTTATGCCTGGAATTCATTCTCTTTAAAATGTATAAAACCAAGCTGCATCCCAACCACCTTGGGCATATGTTCTCAGAACCACTTGAGGCTGTGTCTTGAACCATGATCACTCGCGTTTGGCTCAGAATAAACTTCAAATATTTTATAGAGTTTGATAGAGTTTGGCTTCTTTCATCAACAGGAGGCATACAAAAATATTTGTCATAATTACTTATGGTAGTGAGACTTGGGTGGGGAAAGAGTTTTATTTGTATGCCTTTATTTTTTTACTATTTATTTGTGCCATATAATGTACTATTTTTACATTTTAAAAGCCAAGAGAGCCCCTCCTGCCTCCATTGAGGTGGGGGTTAAGGCTGAAACCCTCTAATCACATTGCTGGTTTCCCTGGCAACCAGCCCCCATCCTGAATTCTCTAGGAGCCCCCAGCCATCAGTCATCTCTTTAGCATACAAAAGACATTTGTCACTTCAGACATCCTGTGGGTTTTAGGGGCTGCATTCCAGGAAACCGGGACAGATCAATACATGCTTCTTACTATTAATATAATCACATTCTTGCAATGAGGGAACCTCCAGGCTTGGCTCAGGTATGGTTCACCCTATCTATGGAGCTTTACTACACCTTCCTCCTTCCAATTAGAACCAGCCCCTCTATGTACTACAGCTCTCCTGAGCCTTCACACACATTCATAATAGTGGCAGCATGTTCTGACACTTAAAAATTCCTGAAATAATCTTAGTGTTTATTGTTTACTTCTTTATATATTTGCTCCTATGGGTTCTGTGTACTTCACCACTATATTCCCAATACCAAGCATAGTGATGCCCTTGGCAGGTGCTCAGTAAGTAACTATTTAATCAGTGAATAATAGCACTGTCTATGGAAGGAATGCAGAAAGTAGTAGGTTAGAGCAAACCTTAGCTCAGCCATTCACTATTAAGGTGACCTTGGGCAAGTCCCTGATTTTTTCTCCCTTCAGTTACCTCATCTGTGACATGGGGAATAACTAAACTTACCTGACAGGTTTGTTGGCAAGAACTTAATAAGTAAAAATTACCAAAGAGCTTCAAAGCACTGGCTGGTATAGTGAAAATGTTCCATACATGTGAACTATTGACAGTATCATTTCACTGGTCGTTGAAATTTTTTTTATCCTTCCTTTCACTCAACATTAAGCCCTGAATTTTCTCTCACTTTGTTGCATATACATAAACCATTTTTGAGTTATGTTCAATATTTTATACTAAAATTATTTAAAATGTTAATAATTAAATACTATTAGTTGATAATTACTTTTCCTATATGCTGCATAACTTTTGTAGTACAGAAATGTTTATTTTTGAGGTAATCTACTTTATTAACCTTTTTCAATCATACTTTTTGTACTTTTTATCCAGTTTATAAAGAGCTTTTATTCTCCGTGGAAATGAACATAGTCTTACTGTCAGGTAATAATACTAACTGCAGCATTCTTTTGCATATTCTCTCCAATCATCTGGAAGATTTGAGGTAATAATCTCATTTTATATATTTTGAATGGATAGACACATTTCTGGACTCTATGTTTCCTAACTTTTATTAAACATTTTAAATGTATCCATTATCAGACACTCCCACTTACTTGAAATACATCTTTTTTTATATGTACTATAAGTAGTAGGTAGATGATAGGCAGAGAGATCACATGTATAGATACAGATACAGATTTAGGTAAAGGTATAGATAAAAATACTTATCTGTTTGGACAATGCTCTTTCTACAGTCATGGACAACAATCACTTTTTACTACTTTAATTCAATACATTGAAATATTTTACATCTTATGTCTTCAAGTATATTTGCATTTCAATAACAAATACATATACAGCTGGAGGGGCAGAGCATGATGGCTGAATAGAAATCTCCACTGATGATCCCTCCACAAAGACCCCAATTTAACAACTATCTACATAAAAAAGCACCTTCATAAGAACCAGAAATTAGGTGCATACTCAGAGTACCTGGTTTTAACTTCATATCGCTGAAAGAGATACTGAGAAATCCATTCTTGATTCAAGCATTGCCACCTCCTTCCTCATCCCCACTGAAGGCATGGCAGAGAGCATTTTTGTGCACTGCAGATGTTACCGGCAGGTCTTTGTTCTTAGAGCTCCCGAGATGGTGGTGGACCACTCCCAACATGGCAGCAAGCCTTTTGTTCTCTGACCTGGGGTTGTTGGCCTCACGGATTCCAAGGAATGGAACCTTGGGCCATGCAGTGAGTGTTATAGCTCTATTAGAAGCCATGGGTCACAGAAGAGAACTGTGGAACCCAGCGACTAGTGTTCAGTTCAGTTAGGACAAACCCGGGCACTTACCCACGCAGGAACAATAGTGAGCCTCTAGCCTGATTGGGAGCGGCAGTGGGCACCTCGCTGGATCAGAAGTGCAGCAGACACCCTGCCAGATCCAGAGGGATGGAAGTCAGCAGTGGGTCTGGCACAGCAGCGATCAGCAGTGGTGGACGGCAAGTGAAAGCTCAGCTCGAGCCGCAACAAACGCGGACCGGAAGAGTGTGCAGTTGCAAAATTTAATAGAGTGAAAACAGGGTTCCCATACAGTGGGAAGGGACCCAAAGGGGGTTGCCACTGCTGGCTTGAATGCCTGGGTTTATATCCCAATCATTGTCCCTCCCCCTGTGCTCTCAGGCAATAGATGATTGACTATTTCTTTATCTCCCACTTTTAGCCTAATTGATATTTTAGTGAGCTCTCTTTACTACCTAATTGGTTGGGTGTGAGCTGAGTTACAAGCCCCGTGTTTAAAGGTGGGTGCGGTCACCCTCCCTAGCTAGGCTTAGGAATTCTTCGTCGGCCTAGGAAATCCAGCCAGTCCTGTCTCTCAGTACCCCCTCTCAACAGGAAAACCGAAGTGCTGTTGGGGAGGTTGGCCGACGATCGCTCTAACTGCTTCCTGCTGAATTGGGGCCTGGTAGGGGTTGTGCAGTTGAGATTTCCTCAGGAGGGGTTCCTTCAATGTCATCAACATTGGAGCATGGGCTAGCAGGCCGGTCCAGGGGTCCGTGGTAGATCTTAGTCATGGACTGCATCTGGGACTCCATTTGAAGAACTATTTGTAGTTTTACAGCTTTGATTTTGGAAGAGACAAACTTAACAAGGAGGTTAAAGATACAGGGATTGAAATGTATGGCCTGAAGTGCAGGGGGATGTACATCCAACAGTTAGTAGGGTTTCGGGCCAAGGCTTCATGGAGCCCAGTGAGGGTGGTATTAAATAGGCTTACCGGGTGAGTATAGGTATGGAGGATTTCATGTAGTTTTGAGAGGTCTAGTCCTTTGTAGGGGCTAGGGGTGCTTTGTACCCTGGTCAGTTGGGAGATTGCTTCCTTTACGTGTTTTTCTCTTGCCTGATCTTGAACTCCACCCCCATCAGACATACCGGTATGGGTGAAGTAAGTCCAATAGACAGTGGCTCCAAGCCCTCCAGGACAAGTAGGATTATTTTCCCTGTCCAATAATGAGTATTTGCATGCATGCAAAGAGTGGTAGAGTTATAGTAGTTGTGGGGCATATGGGTGTGGGTGGTGAAAGTGGGGTTTCCTTTAGAAAAACTCCTATACGATGGGGCATCAATATTTCTGGGAAGCTGCATTCTCCCTAGAAGCTCTTCCTGCTGGTAGTACAGCAGTATGGAGCTACTGGTAGTACAGCAGCATGGAGGAGGTGCAGTGAGAGTGAAAGGGGGTAAGAGAACAGTAAAGAGAAAAATATGACAAGGGAGGGCCATGGCGATCTACGATTGTAGTTACTTTCCTCACGGTTGTCGCTTAAAGAGCAGGCACAGATCCTCTAGAAGTTCACAGGAATAACTAGTGTTGTCTCCTGGATTTTCTGGTTCCTTTGGCAGTATCTAGGGTTTGACTCGAATGTGATGTATCCAAGATTCTACTCCAGCCATTTTAACCGCGGTTGGGATAGATAAAATGACTGAGTAGGGTCCTTCCCAGGATGTATCCAGGGATGGGGAGTTGGAGGGAAGGGACTTCACTAATACCATGTCACCAGGTTGGAATAATTCCTTTCCCTCCTCTCAGGGACAGGTTCCCTGTGATGTTTTAAGAACTTGTTGATATTTGGCTAAGGAGGGATATCTGCAACTAAGTTGGCCATCTCTAGGTCAAGCACAAGGTCATTGGTTAGGAAGGGCCGTCCATACAGCATTTCGTATGGGCTGAGTCCCGCTTTTTGGGGAGAGTTTCGGATTCTTACTAAGGCTATAGGCAACAGAGCAAACCATGCGAGGTGGGTTTCTTAGGTTAGCTTTTTTAGATGTCATTTGAGCGTTTCATTCATTTTCTCAACTTTCCTGAGGATTGTGGCCTCCGGGCTCAGTGTAAGTGATATTGTATGTCTAATGTCTGGGATACTCCCTGGGTTACTGTAGCCTTGAAAGTGGGGCCGTTATCACTCTGTAAGCCTTGGGGAAGTCCAAATCTGGGAATTATTTCATGAATTAGTGCCTTTATTACCTCATGGGCCTGTTCTGTCCTACAAGGGAAGGCCTCCGCCCAACCAGTGAAAGTATCTACCCAGACTAGTAGATACTGAAATCCCTGAGATTTGGGCATGTGGGTAAAATCTAGTTGCCAGTCTTCTCCTGGGTAATGGCCTGTTCTTTTTTCTCCTGAAGGAGCTTGGCGATAAGGCAGGGGATTATTTCTTTGGCACACTTCACAGGCCCTAACTGTCTGCTTGATAGTTTTGAAAAGGTGTGGTCTAGTAAATAATGATTTGGCCATCTGATGGGTGCTATCAATGCCTAAGCGAAAGGTTTGGTGAAGGGTTTTAAGTAATTTCCATTGGTTAGCTGCAGGCAAAAGTATTTTTCCTTCTTTGGTGGCTAGCCATCCTGAGGGGAGGAAACTATGTCCTCATGAGGTTCCCCATTCCATTTCTTCTGCTGAGTATTGGGGCTTGGTTTCCTGAAGGGGATTACCCTGTACTAGGGGTCCTTCTATAAGCATTTCTAATGGAGGGTCCCGCCTTGCAGCTCTTTTGGCTTCAATATCCACTTGGCAGTTCCCTTCTATTTCCCTTTCTTTTCCTTTCTGATGATCTCGGCCATGTAAGACTGCCACCTCTAGGTTTCTGTACAGCCAGTAATAATCTCCTAATGGCTTCCTGATGTTTGATAGGTGTTCCCTCAGAAGTTAGGAATTCCCTTTCTCTCTATATTGCTGCATGGGCATGGAGGACTAGGTAAGCATACTTGGAGTCTGTATATATATTTACTCCTTTTCCTTCTCCTGTGTTCTAGTGCCCAAGTGAGGGCTATTAATTCTGCCAGCTGAGTGCTAGTTTCTGGAGTGAGGGGATTACTTTCAAGTATTCCATTATCACTGGCCACTGCATACCCCGCCTTTCGAAGTCCTTTTTCTACAAAGGAACTTCCATCAGTATACAAGTTGAGCTCAGGATCCGTCAAGGGAACCTCTAGAAGGTCCCCTCGAGCGGTGTAGGTTTGAACAATCACTTGTTGACAGTTATGTTCTATCTTTTCTTCATTGTCTGGAAGAAATGTGGGTGGGTTAAGAGTTGCACAAGTGCACAGTGGCAGCACTGGCCCTTCAAGTGATAGAGCCTGATATTTAAGCAAATGGTTGTCTGACAGCCACAGTCTCCTTTAGCAGTGAGTATGCCGTTCACATCATGAGATGTCCACACAGTAAGATCTCTTCCCTGTATCATTTTAACTGCTTCAGATGCTAAGACTGCTACTGCTGCCACTACCTGTAAACAATGAGTCCAACCCTTTGCCACTACATCAGTTTCCTTACTCAGGTATGCCATGTGTTGTAAGCTGGTCCCTCGGACCTGTGTAAGGACTTCTAGAGCTATTCCTGTTTTTTTTTCTGTGACATATAAAGAAAAGTCTTGCTCCATTGGCAAGCTTAACACTGGGGCTTGGATTAGGGCCTTCTTTAGGGCCTGGAAAGCCGCTTCTGCTTCAGGTGTCCATTCTACTAAATGGGTATTGGCTTTCTGAGTTCCCGTAATTAGTGTGTATAATGGCCTGGCTATTTCATTGTACCTGGGAATCCATATTCAACAGCAGCCTTTTATGCCAAGGAACCCTCTTAATTGCTTCAGGGTTTTGGGATGAGGATAAGCCAGTATAGGCTGGATACGTTCCTCACTGAGGGCCCTGGTGCCTTTGGATAATTTTAGCCCTAAGTATTTAACCTGCTGTAAGCAGAGCTGAGCCTCTGGTTTGGAAACCTTGTAGCCACAGGTGGCGAGGAAGTTTAAGAGCACTTGGTTGGCTTGATGGCACAAGGTTTCTGAACAGGTGGCTAAAAGTAAATCATCCACATACCAAAGGACAAGAGTGTCCAAGTATGAGAACTGGCTCAAGTCTTGGGCTAATACCTGGCCAAATAGATGGGGGCTATCCCAACAGTCCAGGTGAGTTGAGATATTGGGTTTGAAGGATCTTCAAAGGCAAACAAGAATTGAGAGTCAGGATGTACAGGGATGCAGAAAAAGGCAACCTTAAGGTCCAGGACTGTAAACCACTCTGCTTCCTTTGGTATTTGGAAAAGCAAAGTGTAAGGGTTAGGTGCAGCTGGGTATAGAGGGACAACAGCCTCATTGATGATCCTGAGATCTTGCACTAACCTCCACTGTCCATTGGGTTTCTGTACATTGGAGTATTGCAGGGGCTATTGCATGGTTTTACTAGGCCTTGGGCTTTTAGGTCCTTAACAATCTTTTGGAGTCCTTCTTGTGCCTCGGGTCTAAGGGGGTACTGCCTTTGGTAGGGAAAGGAGGTGGAATCCTTCAGTTTAACTTGAAGGGAATGGGCATTCTTTACTCGTCCATATTGTCCTTCTGTTGCCCAGACTTCAGGATTAATTCCTTCCTCAAGTAGGGGACAACAAATGGGTGTTCCTTCTCCTATGTTCAGGTGTATAATGGCCCCTGCTTTTGCTAGAATGTCTCTCCCTAACAAAGGAGTGGGCCTTTCAGGCATAATTAGAAAGGCATGTGAAAAGAGTAAAGTTACCCAGTCACAACTTAGTGACTGGGAGAAGTATCTAGTGACTGCATGTCCTAGGACCCCTTGGATAGTGACAGATCTGGAGGACAGTTGTCTGGGACAGGAGAGTAAGACTGAGAAGGCCGTGCCAGTGTCCAGGAGACAGTTAACCTCCAGGCCTTCAATGGTTAAGCATACCTGGGGCTCTGTGAGGGTGATGGCATGGGCCGGCGCTTGCCCCGGGAACCCTCATTCCTGCTGCTGGATCATCTGGTTAGTGGCTTCTGACTCAGAGGACCTTCATACCCTGGGGTGCGGTGGGCCTTCCAGTGATTCCCTTGACATAAGGGGCATGGACAAGGGGGTGGCTTATTTTTATTCGGACAATCTTTTTAATATGTCCTTGCAGACCGCACTGGAAGCAAGCCCTATTAGGCATTCAATTTGCCCAGCCTTTCCCTTTTCCAGAGCCACCAAAGTCCACTTGCCTGAGGGCCATGACTAAAGTGATGGCCTTTTTTTTTTTTAATCCCATTCGTCCCATTCCACCTTTTTTCTCCTGATCTCTATTATAAAAAACTGAGTTTGCCAAGTTCACTAGGGTTTCTAAGTTTTGCTCCGGGTCTAAGGCAAACTTTTGAAGTTTTTTTCTAATGTCTGCAGCTGACTGAGTGATAAACTTATCCTTTAAGATTAGTTGGCCTTCAATAGAGTCAGGTGACAGAGAGGTATGCTTCCTCAATGCCTCCCTTAGTCTCTCCAGAAAGGCAGTAGGATTTTGTTCCTTTCCCTGTGTTATAGTGGACATCATTGAATAATTCTTAGGCTTCTTCCTAGTTTTCCTTAGTCCTTCTAGCTTGCAAGTTAGCAAATGTCTGCAGCACCAATCTCCATGTTCTGATTCTGCATCCCAATGGGGGTCTACACTGGAAACTGCCTGCTGGCCTGTGGGGGAATTGTTCTCTTTCCTCTGTTGTCATCCTGTCATTGACCTGACTGAGATACCGGAGATCACCAAACTCTTGGGCTGCAGTTATGGCAGCACTTCTCTCATTTGGGGTTAGCATCTGATCTAGCAATAACATTATATCTCTCCATGTCAGATCAAAGGATTGCCCTAACCCTTGTAAAACATCAGTATAGCCATCAGGGTTATCTGAGAATTTACCTGGGTCTATTTTAATTTGCTTCAAGTCTGAGAGGGAAAAAGGTACATGCACTCTGACTGGGCCAAATTCTCCTCCTCCCACTGCTTGGAGGGGACATAATCAGGGAATACTGGCACACTTTGGTTCATTGTTTACACCTTTATCTATCTGCTTTTGGACCATTTGGGTTGAAGGGGGGTCCTTATTAGTTGGGGAAGGAGCCAGGGGAATGCTGAGGTAAGGAGGTAGACTCTGAGAGCTTCCTGTAGGGCATAAATTACACTTTTTACATAATTGTGAGTTGTCTCTTAATGAAAAGAAAGTTTGAACATATGGCACTTCACTCCATTTGCCCTCTTCTACAAAAGAGGTCTAGCTGTAAGATGGTGTTACAATTTATACTTCCCTCAGGAGGCCAGGTTTCTCCCCTTGAAGAGGATATTGTGGTCAGGCAGTGCTGCAGAGGAATATAAGTTGTTTCTTTCTTAGCGTCTGAGGGTCAAATTGGCCCAATTCTCCAGAATACATCTTAGGGGCGTTTTTGCCTTGGAGGGAACGTTTCCCATCTGAAAAAAGGACATAGGGATGCCAGTACCCCTAGTCATTTTCCGATGAGCATTAGTCCTAGAGCATCCTCTATGGTCTTAATGCTTATTCATTTCCAGGGTGCGTAACCACCCATGGACCTCTGCTTATCGGATTAGTTATGCTCACCAATATAACAGTCCTGCACCCATTTTCCCACCTTTCTTGACCACAAAGAAAGGGGTCTGGGCTACTGGATTCTAGTGATCCTTTACCAGTGTGCCCAACATTGCCTTTGCACTCAGGGATGAGTTCTAGAGTTGGGCTGTGTTCCTGAGTATTTCATAACAACCCAATTGCCCCATCAAGGTGCATTCCCATAAACAACAGTTCCTATGCAAATTCGTTTCAGAGAGGGTGTAGGTAACCTTTTGAGTCAGGATTGAGCTAGAGTTTTTGCCCACTAGGGCCTTTGTCCTTCTTTTCCTTTGTAGGAATATGCCCTAATTATTGATCTTAAACTTTTTGTTGCCCCAGATTAAGTCCTTTTGGGTATGAAATATGACAGATGGATCCTACTTATCCTATGTGCCTTTTTCCTGCGAGAAGGAGAATGAGGAGAAAAAGATGGGCTTGCTGGTTTTTATGTGCTAAAGTCCAGTTGTTAAACTTCTGGGCGCCATGTTGTCCTTCCAGTGGTATTGACTTATGTAGGATCACTAGGCAAAGCTGTGAGAGAGATAATTCCTCTCTTGGCAGATGGATTTTGGGAACACAGTGGAAGGACGTTTGCTCATTGCCCCCATTTGCCACTATAGGAGTATGCACCTCACTTTAGACCTAGTTCCAGTTGTTAAAGTACTGGGTCATCAGTTCTAAGGCCCTGGCCAAGGAGCCAAGGCTTGGAGATTGTATTGCAGAGGGGTAAGCTGGGTAGAAATTGGGGGAGTAGAGCACCTTACACAATGGGAGAGCAATCTTCCTAGCCATTTACAAACTTTGGGCCCTGGCAAGGGTGGTGGGGAATGGGTCCCACATAACTGCCTATGTCAAGAGCTGTGTACCTAAATTGGGAGGGACACCAGGGGAAAGACTCCCTGGGTTCATAGCCTAGTGCCTAAGGATGCAGTGTAGAGCTTCCTTAGATCCCTTTGAAGTTACAAATTGCTCTAATACTTGGGAGAGGAAGTGAAAGTCTGACGCATTAGTACCTAGGAGGCAGGGGTCGGAGGAAGTAGATTCAGAGGTAAGGAGAATTTTGGGGCTACGCTTTCAAGAAAGTCGTGGCTGGGACCTAGGAGGTATGGGTCAAAAGGAGAGGTAGGGGCACATGCATGGGCGACTGTTGAGTAGAGGCTTCTGGCTTTGCCATGATCTCGACCGGCCAATGCTGTGAGTTCGGGACAACAGCTTTCTGCCTCTAGTCGGCCCTCGGCTTCCCCCAGGAATATTGTGAAAGTGGAAGCTAGTTCCAGGGAGATCAACGCTCCCAACCCAGAAGGGTTGGGAGTTAGAAAGCCTTTTCCCAGAAAGCCTAACACTGAGTCTTGAGTCTGGCAGCCACGCTGATCGTTTTTAACCAGCTGACAGGTGCCTGGTATTTTCCTCCGATTCTAAGGAAGGATAGGACAGAATAGCAAGCGAAAATCGTCCAATATTACTCACTGCTTTGGAGAATCCCTGTATGGGCTACCAAATATTACCGGCGGGTCTTTGTTCTTAGAGTTCCCAAGATGGTGGCGGGCCGCTCCCAAATGGCAGCAAGCCTTTTGTTCTCTGACCTGGGGTTCTTGGCCTCATGGATTCCTTGGAATGGAACCTTGGGCTATGTGGTGAGTGTTATAGCTCTATTAGAAGCCATGGGTCACAGAAGAGAACCGTGGAACCCAGAAACTAGTGTTCAGCTTGATTAGGACAAACCCAGGCACTTAGCCATGCAGGAACAATGACAAGACTCTAGCCCAATCAGGAGTGGCAATGGGCACCTCACTGGATCAGAATTGTGGTGGACACCCTGCCGGATCCGGAGGGGTGGAAGTCATTGGTGGGCCTGGCATGGCGGCAATCAGCAATGGTGGACAGCAAGTGAAAGCTCAGCTCAAGTCGGAACAAACAGACCAGAAGAGTGTGCAGTTGCAAGACTTAATAGAGTGAAAACAGAGCTCCCATACAACGGGAGAAGACCCAAAGTGGGTTGCCACTGCCGGCTCAAAATGCCTGGGTTTATATCGCAATCATTGTCCCTCTCCCTGTGCTCTCAGGCAACAGATGATTGACTATTTCTTTACCTCCAGCTTTTAGCCTAATTGGTATTTTAGTGAGCTCTCTTTACTACCTGATTGGTCGGGTGTGAGCTGAGTTACAAGCCCCGTGTTTAAAGGTGGGTGCAGTCACCTTCTCCAGGTAGGCTTAGGAATTGTTAGTCGGCCTAGGAAATCCAGCTAATCCTGTTTCTCACAGAGAGGAAGAGTACAGCAGTTGTGAGGCATTGAACTCAGTGCTGCCCTGTTACAGCAGAAAACAAAACTGAACCAAACTCAGCTGACACCCACCCAGGGAGTGAGCATTTAAACAAGCCCTAGCCAGAAGGGAATTTCTGATCCCATTAGTCAGAACTTGAGTTCCCAGAAGCCTTGCAGCTGTGGGCTAAAGTGCTCTGGAACCCTAAACAAATTTGAAAGACAGTCTAGGCCACAAAGACTGCAACTCCTAGGTGAGTTATAGTGCTGAACTGGGCCCAGAGCCAGTGGACTAGTGGGGCACATGGCCCACTGATACATGAGCTAGGGCAGCTAAGGGAATGCTGACATCACCCCTCCCCTAACCCCAGGCTTCACAGCTCATGTCTCCAAAAAGAGACCCCTTCCTTCCACTTGAGGTGAGGAGAAGGAAGAGCGGGGAGGACTGTGTCTTGCATTTTTGTATACCAGCTCAGCCACAGCAGAATAGGGCAGTGGTCATAGTCAGGAGGCTCCCTTTCCAAACCCTAGCTCTGTCATGACATTTCTATACACCCGCTGGGCCAGAGGGAAACCCACTGCCTTGAAGGGAAAGACCCAGTCCTTGCAGAATTTACCTGCTAACTAAAGAGCCCTTGGGTCCTGAATAACTAGCAGTGATTCCCAGTTACTACACTCAGGACTTCAGGTGACACTTTGAGACTTGCTGGCTTCAGGTGAGACTCAGCACATTCCCAGGTGTGGTGGCTACAGGGTGATACTTCTGCTTGAGAAAAGCAGAGGAAAAGGTAAAGAGGGTTTTGTCTTGCATGTGAGGCACCAGCTTGGCCACAGGGAGGTATAGCACCAAGTGAGCTTTTGAGGTCCCTGATACCAGACTTGATTCTTTTATGGCATTTCTGGACCTTCCCTTGGGAAAAGGGAAACACACTGCCCTGAAGAATGAGTCCCAGTTTGGGCAGCATTAACCACAAGCTGATTGAAGAGTCTGAAGGGAACAGTGGTGGTATTATGGAAGTACTCTCCATGGTCTGTGATCGTGGTAGCCACAGAGTGAGGCTCTTCTGCCTTTGGAACAAAATGAGGAGAGAGAGAAGGACTGCATTTTTTGTTTGAGTACCACCTCAGCCACAATACAATAGAATGCCAGATAGATTTCTAAAGGACTTGACTGTAGTCCCTGGCTTGTGAACAGCACCTCTGGACCTCTCTGGGGCCTAGGAGAACTTACTGCCCTGAAGGGAAGAACACAGGCCTGGCTGGCTATGGTACCTGCTAATTTTAGAACCCCAGGGCTTTGAGAAAACATAGGTGGTAGTAGCCAGGGAGTGGTTCCGGCAGACTTTGGGTAAGACTCAGTGCTTTGCTGGCTTCATGTCTGATCCACTGCAATTCTAGTCATTTTGGCCACAGGGGTGCTTGTGTCACCCTTCCTCCAGCTCCAGGCAGCTCAGCCCAGAGGCAGAGACTCTGTTTGTTTTGGAGAAAGTGAGGGAAGAGAACAAGAGTCTCTGCCTGGTAATCAAAAAAAAAAAAAATCTTAATTCTCCAAGTTGAATACGTAAGTGAAGAGATTATGCTTTTCTCCCTTTTTATAAACCACTTAATTTAGAAAACTTTTATATGTATTTTCTTTGAAATGTATGCACATCTTTTAAAAAGCTAAATATGTCTTTTGTCATTTCATTTGACTCAGGTGTACCTTTATTTTAAACCTGGAAATCATTGTTTTGATATACCAATAGCAAAAGGTAGAGCATCCTATTCCAGAATTTCTTTTGGAGAGAAGAGCCTACCTTCAGCAGGACCTGGCTCCAAGTTCCAAAACTATCTTATGTCATGAAGAAATAGAAAATTTGTATTTCTTTTGAATATAGGCAGTTCAGTTTTTTGTTGACTATAGCCAAAACACAGATGACCTCCCCAGTTACCAGGTGAATTTAGGGTGAACATTTGTGTGTGTGTGTGTGTGTGTGTGTGTGTGTGTGTGTGTGTGTGTGTGTAGCAACATGCTGTTTTAATGAGCACCTGAGTGCCGGCAGGCTGAGGCCTAAAATGGCGTCAGCACCAAGTGAGGACGGGGCAAAGGTTTTATGGTCTCCTGCAAGCTGGAAGTGTCCTAGTCTGATGTAACTGCTACATTGTTGTACCCGGATGGCCTCTTTCTCAATCTTCAGGGGTACGTGTCTTCTGGCAGGCTCTCTTGCTGCTTCTGCTATCTTGCCGGCACATGCTGCTGGTGCAGGTAGCCTTGCACCGTGGGACTGGGCCTGAGAAGGGAGGAGTTATTCATCTCCTTAAGCTTTCAGGCCCAGGGAAAGAATCTTACATTCCTGTCTATTTGGTTATAGAAAAGGGAAAACAGATGACTTTCTCAATAACTACTTCAGGCGTGACATGGGGTGGCGTGGGCATCTTGGGCAAAGAAAAACTGAATTTTGGGGGTATTCTTAAGAGACGGGATGGTATCCATCGTGTCGTTGTAGCAGGAGCATCGTCTGGATTGTCTGGCGGTTAACTGTAGTTTTAACAAGAGTTTTAATGGCTTTTATTATCAGTGGGATAACACACCGGAGAAACAGGAGGGGCCCGATGATGAAGATTACTGCCCCTACCAGTGTTTTAAATCCTCCTAAATTAGACAACCACCCTCCTAGAAGGTTTGTTCGGTCCCATCCCTTCCAGGTTTGGGCTGGTACATGGGCTACTTTTCTGATGTTTGAAGCGATTTCTAGAACCGTTTTTCTGTTATCATCTATGTTAAGACAGCAGTTTAGAGATATTAAACTTACCACAGACTCCACCCTCTTCTTCTAATAAGTAGTTTAGTGCTAGCCTGTTTTGATAAATTGCTACACGCATTTGGTTTTGTTGCGCCGAGCATTTCCAGGGCTGAGGCAGTTTGGTTAGTGATTATCTCTAGAACAGCCTGTAGTCTAGTTATTCTATTTAGCATATATATAGAAGTGCAATAACCCCATGAATCATCCTCAGCCCAAGTGGCAGGACCATAATATTGGATGATCCGTTGTGGAGGCTATTTGTCCCTTTGCCATCTTTTGGCTTCCTCCTACCTTTAAGGATAGTTTTTTTCTTTGTTTAGGTTATTATATACAGGGACTCCGAGGGTGCTGCCCACTGTTAATGTTTTGGAGGAAGGAGTAGCCTTGGGGGTGAGCTTGACCCTGGTGCAGTAGACCCAGTGGGGGAGTCCTTGGACTCTCACTGCAGTTGGCCTGCTGAGTATCACAGTGTAGGGGCCTGTCCATTTTGGTTGTAGCTTTTGGTGAGGGTCAAATTGGCAGATAAACCCCATTCTTTCCAGACGGATGAGTGTGAATGCACTATGTGGAACGCATAACGAGAATTTGAATATATGTTGATCTGTTTTCTGGCTGCTAGAGTCAGAGCTCAAGTGAGGGCGATGAGTTCAGCTTTTTGAGAGGTGGTGCCTAGAAGTAGTGGATTGGCTTTAATAGTGTGTGTTTGTAGGTGACACTATAGCATAGCCAGCATTCCAGTATCCTTGATGTAGGAAGGAGCTGCCATTTACAAACCAAGTAGAGGAGGCATCTGGAAGGGGTTGGTCTTAGGTTTGGAAGAGGTATAAGTAAGGTTTGAACAGTGTTCACACAGAAGTGTATAGGGTCTTGGGCAGTTGTAGCTTCAGGTAAGAGCATGGCTGTGTTTAGACGGGAGCTGGTTAGCACAGTGCTTTGGGGGGTTTCTATGAATAGAGAATACAGTTGGAGGAGCCGTGAGGCAGAGATGAGACTTAGTACATTGCGGTGAGCTAGCATGTCTTTGATCTTATGGGTTGAATAAACTGTTAGGTTGGCATGGAGAGATAGTTTTAGGCTTTCAAGGGTGAGGACAGCAGCTGCTGCCAATGCTCAGAGGCAGGCAGGCCATCTGAGAACTGTGGCTTCAAGCTGTTTAGAGAGGTAGGCAACAACCTGGAGGGTGAGTCCCTTAGACTAGGTTAGAACACCTAATGCAACTCCATGCTGTTCATCGGTATAGTTGGAGAAAGGTTTGGTGAGGTCTGGGAGAGTGAGGACGGGGGCCTGAAATGAGAGCCTTTTGGAGTAGATGGAAAGGTCGGGTAATAGGCTGTGCAGGTTTTAAGGGCTCATGGAGAGGGCCTTTAGCAGCTTCGTATAACGGTTTGGCAAGTAAAGCGAAGGAGAGAACCCAGAGCCTAAAATATCCCACTAGTTCTAGAAAAGAGAAAATTTCTTGCTTGGTTTGCGGAGGCAGGAGAGACTGGAGGAGGGATGTGCGGTCAGTTGTGAGCCCTCGGGTTCACGGGCTAAGAGCTAGGCCTAGATAGGTGACTGAGGGGGTGCATATTTTTGCTTTCTTAGGGGAGACCCAATACCCCTGTTCTGTCAAGAAGTTTAAAAGAGATAGTATGGGTGTCGAAGTCTCTTTGGGAGGGGCTACACAGGAGCAGATTGTTAACATATTGAAGGAGAGTGGACGGTTTTAGGGATAAGGTAGAGAGGTCGTGAGCAAGGGCCTGTCCAAAAAGGTGGGGGCTGTCTCTGAAACATTGAGGTGGTAGTACACACCAGGTGAGCTGACGTGAAAGGTGGGTGTCGGGGTTTTCCCAAGTAAAGGCAAAGAGGTTTGGGGAATTAGAGTGTAAAGGAATTGTGAAAAAAAGCATCTTTTATGTTTAGAATAGAAAAATGGGTGGTATTGGAGGGAATTGCGGAAAGTGAAGTATATGGGTCAGGAACTACTAGACAGCTTGGTTAATGAGCCTGAGGTCCTGAACTAAGCGATAAGTTCCTGGCTTTTTAACAGATAGAACTGGTGTGTTAAAAGGGGATTTTGTTGGGCAGAGTAGGTGACTAGCAAGGAGGTGAGAAACGATAGGCTTTAGGCCTACAAGAGCTGCTTGGGGGATGGGATACTGCTTCTGTGATAGAAACTGGGTGGGCTCTTTAAGGGTAATGCAGACGGTGGTGTGGTGTTTTGCGCCTAAACAGCGGGGTTGACTACAGATGGGGGATAAGGAAAAGTTGCATGTTTTAAGGTGGGAGGTTGGAGGAGTAGAAGAAAGTTAGAAGTACCACAGGGGTCTAGGTGGATGTCTTGGGTACTATGGGAAATGTGGAAGTAGGGAGTAATGTGGAGTTTTGAAAGGATGTCTCTGCTTAGGAGCAGAGTTGGGCATGAGGGCAGAACTAAGAAAGAGTGAGTGAAGGAAAAGGTTACGTGTAGGGAGCAGAAGAGTGGAGCAGGGGCTTGGGGTTTGGAGAGTTGTCCATCAATTCCCACAACAGAGACTTGGGAGGACTGGGTGGGTCCTGAAAAATTAGGTAAAGCAGAGTAGCTTGCCTGGTATTAATTTAAAAAAACATACTGGCCTACTTGCCACCATCAGGGTTACCACTTGGCTCGGATGAAGCGATGGTAGTTGCCAGGGTGTCCTTTCCAGGGCACCGTCAGTCTTCAGTGGCAAGGCCAATGAGATCCAAGTATGAGGTTTTGGCCTGCTCGGGAAGGGATGGGGGCGGTCCTTGCTGGGGGCGGTCCTTGCTGGGGCCGCTCATAGTCCAACTTCCAGTGGGGTCCTCTGCAGAGGGGCACAGCCTGGTGGGCTTACCTGGGTTTGGGCATTGTCTGGGCCATTGGCCTTCATTGCCGCACTTGAAACAGGTGCCAGCCAGGTGGAGGTGGATTGCTAGGAGGCTTCTGTGTGGAGCTGCCACCCAGTGGGCCAGCAGGGGGCCCCTGATGGCAGAGGCAAGCATTTGAAACTCTGCCTGTTTTTGCCTTTTACTTTCCCCATCACGATTGTTAAAGACTTTGAAGGGTAAATTAAGAAAGTCTCACCGTGGGGTTTGAGGGCCGTCATCAAGCTTCTGAAGCTTGCACCAAATATCAGGGTTGGATTGGGAGATGAACCGAAGGTTTAAAATAGTGGTTCCTTCTGGCCTGATTGGGTCTAGGTTGGTATATTTTCTCATGGCTTCAGTTAAATGAGGGAGAAAAAGGGTTGGGTTTTCCTCAGGACCTTGGGTGATTTCTAAAAATGGGCACTCTTTTTGAGTGCTGCAAGGAGACACACAATCATGTGGTCTCAAAAGCGGTGTCCAGAGGCCCCGTCTTGATAATCCCAGTGGGGGTCCTGGTTGGGGACTGCCTCTGCACCAGTAGGCTGGGCAGGAGCTTGGTGATGAATTGTATCAGCATGTGCCTGAGCTAGGGTGCAGATACAGTCCCGGTCTTCTGGGGTGAGGCTGGAAGAGAGGATAACATAGAGGTCATGCCAGGTTACTTCGTAAGACTGGGTAAGGTCCTGAAACTCCCTAATATAAGAGGCAGGGTCTTCTGGAAATGAACTGAGTCTTTTGTTAATTTGAGAGAGATCAGTGAGGGAGAAGGGAACATGAACTCTAACAATATCTTTGGTTCCTGCTACTTCCTGAAGGGGGCACTCTAGCACAGGTGCTGAAATAAGGGTGGGGCATGGGCCAAAGATGGTGCCTGAGCGAGTATGGGCAGGAGAGAAGGAAGAACCTGGAAGTGGTTCCTGCTGAGGATGTGAAGGGGGAAAGGGGATTGAGTTAATAGGCAGTGGAGGATAGATCGGGGCATAAGGTGGTGGGATGAGTTTACAGGCTTCAGGAGAGGGTGGTGAGGAAGGAGAATGAGTACAGGCAATGCTAGAGTTGTCCTGAGGAGAGGATGGTGTAGGAAAAGAAGTGGATACAGTTGACTGGGAAGATGGCAGCTGGGAAGATGGCTGAGAAGACAACAAGGAGGCTTGGGGGGTTAAAGAAGATGGTTGAGAGGAAGAGGTAGGGACTGGGAGGGGTGGGCAGCAGTCTGCTGGATCTAATGAGGAAAAAGAGGTAGGGTTGGGAGGAGAAAGGTGATCAGGGCAGCGAGAATGGAGGAGAAGGGAATGGAGGAGAAGGATTTGAACAGGTGAGCAAAAATTGCAGAGGTCGGGGTGTAATCTGAGTGCAAAAAGGCCCAGACATAAGGAATTTCTCCTCATTTTTCCAGTTGTCGACAATAATTGCTTATGTCAGTTAAAATTGTAAAGTCGAATGTTCTATTTGTGGGCCATTTGGACCCGTTATCTAATTCGTACTGCGGCCAGGCTGTATCGCAAAAAAAGACAAGGTGTTTAGGGTGGATATCTTGCCTGAGGCCTAAGGTTTGCAGGTTTTTTATGGGGCAGCCTAGAGGGCTGTTTTTTGGAATGGAGGACCGGGAGTTTCCCATAACGGAGGGTAGGCTTGGGAGAACAGGGAAAAGGAGACCATCCTGGATGGCTGGAGGGAGATGATAAAAGGAGCGATCATCACTGCTGCCTTTTTCCTCCCCAAACGGAATCAAATGGCTTGGAGGCGTCCTCCTAAGACCAGATGATCATTGAGTACCTGGCACACGCCAGAGCCTTCTTGGACCAACGTTGGATTTTCAGACCGGAGAAATCAAGAGAGGCCGTGTGGATTTTCCCCTGCTAACCAGGCTCCCGGGAAACTTACCAGTAGGCGAGATCAGTGACCGATGTGCATGCAGAGAGAGGCGACTGGAGGCTGAGGAGTTTCCTTTGTCTGGCTGCTATGGCCTGCTCTCCGGAGTGGAGGGGTAGGTCCACAGGTGCAGATCTGAGCCCCTCCTGGGTCTCAGCACCAGATGTAAGGTTCTTGTATTGGTTCAAACCCCAAGAGAGTGCCAACACACAAGGCAGTGTGGAGCAACATGCTGTTTTAATGAGCGCCTGGATGCAGGTGGGCTGAGGCCTAAAATGGGGTCAGCCTGAACAATATATTTTTTAAAAAGATTCTGTCTTCTACTTTTTTCATTACTTTTCATTACTTTTATTTTTGTTTTTGCAGTCTCTTAGCAGATGACGTGATATATGTCACATTGTGGTTCAATTTTATAAAAAAAAGCAACAGTTTTCTCTCTGTTCTACCATTGTGGAGAGTTTTTCTGGAGTTGAAAATAATTTTGTTTTTAGTTGCTTTTTAAACACTGTCCAGAATTACCAAACATGATATAAACATATGTTACCCACAAGGTTTCACTGTAAAGGGGCCTTTCTTTTTTGGGGCGTCCAGTCACATCTCACAATTGTACAGCAAAATATTGCACAATTTTTAGATAGAAAGGTCTCTCTATTTGGAATCTACAGTTCTTTGAGAGGAATTAGACCATATTTCTACAAAAAAAAAAAAACTTCACAAAACAGCAAACAGACCTTCCAGCTCTTTCTTTTAATGCCCCGGCATCTTCAGACCCAAAACTGAGTCAGAGATAGTGGGACCCAGAAACAACTGGGCTCACATCTGTGTATTGAGTAGGCGTTAAGACTCTCAACTTTCATTCCTTCTCCTGTTGGAATCTGCAGAGGGCACCTGTCACATTCCTGCCCCTCAAAGACCTAAATCTGCAGCTTAAACTTTTGAATCTAGGTCCTGGGGTTCTTCAGCATCTGTTAGAGAAGGCTTCATGAGGGCTATCTCTCCTCCAGATTTTCTCCCCATTCTGTAGCTCCACGAAATAGTAAACCAGGTTGACTCTGCCTACAGTCCATACAGAGGGGCTGGCATTTGCCTAAGATTCAAAATAAAGGGCTAGACTTTGAACTGAGGATGGATAGAAAACTCAGGGGAGACATCTACCGTGTGAGACATCAACATAGACTTTGTAAAGTCCCTCTTTTGGAGTGGGTTTCTCCATGTTTTGTAGATTTTGTCCAGTGACCTGCTGCAGTTGTGCGAATAGCAAAAGGTAGAGCACCCTGTCTCAGAGTTTCTTTTGGAGAGTAAAGCCTACCTTCAGCAGGACCTGGAAGAATCTTTAAGTGTAAACAAGTACCTTAGCAATGAGAGGTCAGCACCACAAAAATGCCCAGAGTCATGACCACAACTACACCTCACATGTGAACTCTTACTAGAGTAGGATAGTTTTGTCTTTCCTCTTACCCAAGAGTTAGCTGATCAGGGACAGGTAGTATCCCACATGGATCCAGGGTCAGCTGCTTTACAAGGGCAGTTTAATTTACTTTCCTGGCCTCATAGGAATACCTTGAATTGGTCCTGCCTGATTCATCATGGGGATATCAGCCTAGGCTTACTGGAACCCCTCTCATCAGCATCCGAGATTCTGTGAGACATTTAGGGATGTCCTGTGAAGACTGTTGATGGGGTTGTATTCTGCTTTCATCTCAGTGGAAGAGAAATAAGGCATCTGGGGTTTGTTTCTCCCCTCACAGAATGAATCTTCTTGGTTGGTACCTAGATGGGAGTTTCTTCAGTTTCCTGGTACTTGGATGAAGAACCAAGAGGAGATCTGGAGATGCAAACTAATATATAGACCAATTGCCTCCATTTGATGTGGCTATTAGAAAAGCAAATGGAGCTGTCATGGCTCCATCATCCGGGAACTTTCAGTCTAGAAAATGTAGATAAATGCTTGAATTTGGAAGTATGTGGCCTGTTTTTTTAAAAAGTAGAGAGAGAGGTGCACAGGGAACTTGGGCTTCATTTGAGCTTCTTACTTCCCTAATGTTATTGTGAGTTCTGATGTCACTACCTGAATGGCCATTCCTGAACAGAATTATTAGTAGTAGGAGGAGGAGGAGGAGGAGGAGTTAGTAGTAGTGGTAGTAGTACAGCAATGGTGGTGGCAGTAAATGCTTTTACCTTCTTAGGAATAAAATATTTAGCTTCTAATATATTAGTGCCAGAAAATTCTAAAGGTTTATATTATATTTATTATTAGGTTACAGAATAGAGAATTGTCTTAATTGAAATCACACAAACTGTGAAAGTCAGGTTTCTCATGGGCAGCCTTAGGAAAGACGTAACTGAAAATAAGCCAGTGGTATAAAGATGTGAAGCCCAAGGTCCCAGCCCTGCCCAGATTCACCCTCTTCGAAACCTTGTCTAAATATGTTTCCACCCTGGCATTTCCCCTCACGCAACTGATTAGGGGAGATCAGAGGTTTGAGTAGCTGCTCTTGCTGCCTCCCCAAAGCTGGTACCCACAATTTTCCCAAATCCAAACAGATAAATGGGAGCCGAAGACTATATTTTGGTGCCTTAATTTTTATTTTTTAATTAAAATCTGTGTTTCTAAAAACATTTTGCTCAGTAACCTGTTCTCTATTTCCTCAGATTCAGTAGTTGCTCTCCAAGTTATAAAACAGTAAATATAAATATATAACAATAAAAAGTTCCTCTGACCTATATGCCACACTTATTTCTGTGTCTCTTCCATCTATATTTAGCTTTTATTTTATATATTTTCTTTTCTTTTCTTTTCTTTTTTTTTTTTTTTTTTGAGATGGAGTCTCGCTCTGTCACCCAGGCTGGAGTGCAGTGGCATGATCTCGGCTCACTGCAATCCCCGCCCTCCGGGTTCAAGTGATTCTCCTGCGTCAGCCTCCCGAGTGGCTGGGATTATAGGCTGCCACCATGACGCCCAGCTAATTTTTTGTATTTTTAGTAGAGGCGGGGTTTCGCCATGTTGGCCAAGTTGGTCTCGAACTCTGGACCTTAGGTGATCCGCCCGCCTCAGCCTCCCAAAGTACTGGGATTACAGGCGTGAGCCACCACGCCTGGCCTATACATTTTATTTTTAAAATCAGTGATAGAGAAATGGAAAAAGAAATAGAAAGGATATGCCCTGTATTTACATCCTGGCAATTATGAGACACTTCGCACCTACCTCTCGGGGTTTTATGAAGATTAACTCACATAATGTGAGGTTCCCTGTGTAATGCTTTGTAGTGTACTTCCGAGCACATAGTACATGCTCCATAAACATGGCATTAATGTTTGTGCACAAGTTGTTTCCCAAATGGAGATTTGCCCAGACATTGTGGTCCTCTTTAAACTTTAAAGGGCTAGCAGACAATGCCATGTTTCAGAATTGTGATTGGTGGTCTTCACTTTGGATCATAAATATTTGTATTGGGCTAAGAGTATTGTGTAAAGGGACTCTGTTTGTTGTGCCTGTTTTTTTCTAGCTAAGTGCTACTCATGATGGGCCTAGGAGGATCAACATTAACACGAACAGGGACTTCTTACAGAAGCCAGTTAATAGACCTCTTCCAAACCTACAGAATCACATTACTTAAATTGGGGCTCAGAATAGCAAATGATATATGCACATTGAAGTTCCAGAAGCAATGCTTAGCTAAGTGGCTCTCAGCCCAAGCTTCCAATTAGGATCACATGGCCAGTTTAAAGAAATACTCCCACTTCTACCCTCCCCACAGGTTCTGTCTGTTGGTCTGGGTAAGAACATCGGTGTTGTTTTAGTTTAGTACCCCATGTGATCCTAAGGTAAGGTCAGGGTCAAGCATGAGGGCCCTTAGATACATTTGTGAGAGTTGAGTTCAGCCTTTGTTCCAGAGGAAGGTCACAGGGCCTGCTCTCTTTTGGTTTGGTGTGGTCAAGTCAGTGCAGCCAGTATTTTTATTGTCGTAGCCAAAATTGCTGGCTTCCATGGCAGAGAAGGGCACTTGATAGCAGGAAAATGAAAACTCACATTCTGACCTTTACGTAGGAGCTCATTGTTCCTGTCCTGTATGATGAAGAAACAGGAGAGTAGCTTTTTCTGCATTTCAAGGTCCTTCTGCCTGTGTGTATGGTCATAGCAGGTGAAGGAGTTGTGCTGACATCTCTAAAGGCATATTCTCAAGATGTGTGATTTGTCCAGATAATCTCATCTGAACAGAAATCAGAAAAAGAGGAAGAAATGGCTGGTTCTCGGGTAAATGAGTACTAGGTCAAGGGCTGGGTCAGCTGTTTCTCCAGAAATGTCATGTGTTTAAAACTTGCAGACTTTTATTTATATATTTGTAATGTTTCTGCCTAATAAATTTATTTCAAGTACTTTTAAAATTTTTCTTCTTATGATAGTCAGGGGGCTCTGAAAAATATTTCTTTCCTATATATCAATGTTTTATATCCATTCAGGCTTTTTAAGTGCCATAAGCAATCTTTACTATAAATTTTGACCTGCAAAATGAATGTTTCTTTTGTATCTGTTGAACATAGGCAGGTGTGGATGCCCAAGATTCCCATTGGAGATGGATTTGGGTCCTTGGATTAGTTAAAGGAAAGTTGATGGAGCTTCGCATGAAACTGATGTTTCTTTATGATTAGATTCAGATTTTGCCTTCTTGACCTATGCTATCATAGCAATGATGTTGTAACCTCCTCCTGTGCATTTTTACACGTGATACCAGTTTTTTTCTGTTACAGTTGATGTTAATTTTATTCACTAGGTTAAGGTGCTCTCTGACAGATTTCTGCACTATAAAGCAAATTAGTTTTCTCTGTATTATTAAGTACATTGGGGAGATTTAATAACTGATGGGCATAAACCATCACATTTAATTTGGAAGTTCTCCTTCTTAAATTATTTGGCCTATATTTTGCTTTGGAAAATGAAGGCTCTTGTTTAATGGTCAAATGAACTGAGATAAAAGCCCTGCCACTTAATGTTTGGCAGAATATTCTTCTTGGTTCAGAAGCATTGGCATCACAGGTGAACTTGTTCAAAATTCAAAAAGTCAGGTTTCAGCCCAGACCTTCTGAATCAAAATCTACATTTTAAACAGATTTCCAATTTCTTGTTGTATGCGTTAAAATCTGAGAGGCACTTCAGATGATTTTTCCATCTGAGAAATTTATCCAGCTTATCCTGTGTAATGTAAATATAGCTGTCCAATATGTAATGCATGTATTGGCGCCCTTAGTTTTATACTACAACACTTATAAAAATATAGCATCTACACTGGTTTTGTAAATCTTATGCCATCCTCTTTCCTTAGAGTTACAGAATGCATTCGAGAATCTTTGTGTTTTAAACAATGTCTTACTGGACAGTTTCTGCCAGAACAAGTTCACTTTACTCTCTTCAGTTGGAGTCAAATTAAGAACTCTGCCCATGGCACATTTTGTAAATACGTGTGTATTTTTCCCCCCCCCAGGGACTACTGGCATTCAGTGATGTGGTCATAGAATTCTCTCCAGAGGAGTGGGCATGCCTGGACCCTGCCCAGCGAAATTTGTATAGGGATGTGATGTTCGAGAACTACAGAAACCTGGTCTCCCTGGGTGAGGATAACTTCAATACACAATTTATGTATTTCATACTACGGATTCCATATTTTTCACTCCTGAAATGTTACCTGAGAGTTTGTCATTTGCATGAATGAGTTTTTGATCTCTGCTTCTAAGGAAAACTTGGGAATTTGTTGGTGTAGAAAATAAAATCTTCAAAATGTTTCATCTTGACATAAATTTTAAGGTGGTCTAAATTCTTCACTCTAGATGACTGGTAATTCCAGAACTTTAGTGGCATAAGATATTGTTGCCCACACCTCAAAATCTAATTACAGTACCAAGTTTTGATTCAGTAGTATTGGGTAGTGGAGCTGAGAACCTATATGTTTTTGGGAGGCCGAGGTGGGCAGATCACCTGAAGTCAGGAGTTCGAGACCAGCCTGGCTAACATGGTGAAACCCCATTTCTACTAAAAATACAAAAAAAAATTAGATGGGCGTGGTGGCATGTGCCTGTAATCCCAGCTACTTGGGAGGCTGAGGCAGGAGAATCACTTGAACCTGAGAGGCAGAGGTTGCAGTGAGCTGAGATCATGCCATTGCACTCCAGCTTGGGCAACAAAAGCAAAACTCCGTCTCAACAAACAAACAAAAAGAACCTATACATTTAAAATCCTTTCTAAATATTGTATAGTTAATGTCAGAAAATAGTATTTTTGGATTAATTTTCTAGAACCTTCTAAAAATTTTTTTTCCTACTGAGCACCATACCAGGTTGGTAACTGGAGCATGCCAGCAAGAGTCATGTTATTTTTTCTAATGAAACAGGTCTTGCTGTGTCTAATCCAGACCTGATCACCTTTCCAGAGCAAAGAAAACAGCCTGGAAGTTTAAAGAGACAGGTGATAGTAGCCAAATTTCAAGGCAGGTAGGAGTAAATAAAGCAGATGACACAGGTTAGAGGCCCAAATGTCAAGGAGAAAGCCAGAAATGAAAATGTGGTTTGGGCAGCTCTGCTTCAGAAAAGCCTGGTTTTGTTTGTCTTCCCCTCACAGGAGCATCTTCTGCCCCATGCTCTTAAGTTCTCTAAGGATTCCACTACCCATGAAGTGATTTTCCTTTGAGGCAAAGTCCTCTTCATGGTTTATAAGGCACTATATAATCTGACTGCTTTTCCATTGCTTTGTGGAACATAGGAATATCTACATATTTTTGAGGAACTCTATTTTACACAATTTAATTCTCTTTTTGCATCTTGTCTGAAATTTGCAAGAGTAGTGGTATATTGGCATTTGGTTCAGAAATCCCAGGAACACCACAAACATGTTGTATTTTCAGCTTTATGATTTTCTATCCTATGGAGGTTTCAAATGTGATTTTACAGAAGCTCATACTCAGTGATTTTATCAGAACACTAAATATAAGAAAATCTAAACTTATTTTACTTCAAAATTTTATTTTCTAAGTAAAAACTGAGATTGGTAATTTAAACTCTATGCCCACATTGTTACAATATCAACAGTAATATAATTTAATATATCTACTCCCTACATTTAAAAAAAATACTATTTTATTAGGGAGCTTGGAAGATTGCTGAGCGTATATTAAACTCCCACCTTTTACCTTATTTTTAAATAACTGTATTTTAAATTTGTTTTTATTTACTATAAAGCTTACTGGGGCATACACACATACGCATGCATGCATATATATTTATTTGTGTGTGTAACAACTCTTTTACAAATAAAAATTATGTATGTCCAACATAAAAATTTGATGTGTACACATTGTACTATAATTAACACACTCAAATTGATTTGGAGTGAGAATTCCTAATGTCTACTGCCTTAGCAAATTTTAAGCATACAAGACATTATTATTAACTGTATTCATAAAATTACACATTCGATCTTTTAAATTTATTCATCTTAAAACCAAACAGCAATTCCAGCACTTTGGGAGGCCAAGGTGCGCAGATCACTTGTGGTTAGGAGTTCGATACCAGCCTGGCCAACATAATGAAACCCCATCTGTACTAAAAAAAACAAAAATTAGCTGGGCATGGTGGCAGGTGCCTGTAATCCCAGCTACTCAGGAAGCAGAGGCGGGAGAATTTGCTTGAATCTGGGAAGTGGAGGCTGCAGCAAGCAGCCACTGCACTCCAGATCCTGCCATTGCACTCCATCCTGGGTGACAGAGCGAGACTCCATCCCAAAAAAAAACAAAAAAACTGAAAAACACCTTCCCAATTTATTAACTTCTAGGTCCTGCCAACTCCCTCTGTACTCTCTGCTTCTGTGAGTTTCACCATTTTGGATTCTTTGTATAAGTGAGATCATACAGTATCTGCCTTTTGGTGTCTGGTTTATTTTACTTAGCATAATGTCTTTCCAGTCCATCCATGTTGTTTAAATAGCAGAATTACATTATTTTTATGACCGAATAATATTTTATTGTGTATGTAAACCATATTTATCCATTTACTGTCTAAAAACATTTAGGTTATTGTCATATCTTGGCAATTGTGAATGATACTGTAATAAATATGAGGATGCAGCTATTTCTTTGAGATACTGATTTCATTTCCTTTGGTTATATACACAGAACTGGGATTGCTGAATTTTATGATACTTGTATCTTTTTCTAAGAGCCTTCATACTAATTTTTATAACGACTTCACCAATTTACAACTTTTAAAGTATACAGTACAGGATTTCTGTTTCTTCACATTGTGTGCTGTGTTGTGTTTGAGATGGAGTTTTGCTCTTGTTGCCCAAGCTGGAGTGCAATAGCATGATCTCAGCTCACTATGACCTCCACCTCCCAGGTTCAAGCAATTCTCCTGCCTCAGCCTCCCAGGTAGCCAAGATTACAGGCATGCACCACCACACTCAGCTAATTTTGTATTTTTAGAAGAGACGAGGTTTCACCATGTTGGCCAGGCTGGTCTCAAACTCCTGACCTCAGGTGATCTGCCCACCTCAGCCTCCCAAAGTGCTGGGATTATAGACATGAGCCACTGCGCTTAGCCGGTTTCTTCACATTATTGTCAAACTGTTACCTCACTTTTTAATGTATATGTATTAGTCATCTTAAGTGTGAAGTGATATTTCATCATGGTTTTGATTTGTGATTGCCTGATGATTGGTGATAGTCAGCCCTCTGATATATCTGTTGGCATTTGTATGTCTTCATTGGAAAAATATCTATTGGGTCTTTTGCCTGTTTTTCAATTTTATTATTATTATCATTATTATTGTGTTCCTTTTGATTTCTGAGTTCCTCATATATTGTTGATATCTACCTTTTATTTGATATATGGATTGCAAATATTTTCTCCCATCCTTCAGGTTTTCTTATTTTATTGTTTTTCTTGCTGTGCAGATGCTTTTTAGTTTCATGCAGTCCAACTTGTTAATATTTGCTTTTGTTGCCTGTACTTTTGATGTCATATTCAAAAAATCATTACCACAACCATATCAAGTAGTTTTTAAAATATATTTTCTTCTAAGATTTTTAAGGATTTCTGCCTGACATTTAAGTCTTTATTTTGAGTTAATTTCTTGATGTCATGTAAGAAAAAATTGTCTAATTTCACTTGCATGTAGATATTCTTTTTGCCCAGCATCAATTACTGAAGCAACTATCTTTTGTGCATTGTGTATTCTTGACGCCCTTGTTAAAGATTCATTGAACTTATATGCATGGGTTTATTTCTGAGCTCTCTATTTTGTTCCCTTTTTTTGTATCTATTTTGTTCCATCCTACTCTTATTACCATAGTTTTCAAATAGAGCTTTAAATCAGAAAGTGTGATGCCCCCAGCTTTGTTCTTATTTCTCAACTATTCAATGTCTTGTAATGCTATATAAATTTTAAAATTTTATTCCATTATTTTAAAAATGGCCATTGGAATTTTGATAGGAAGTTTATTGAATCTATTGATTGCTTTGGATAATATGACACTTTACAATAATTAGTCTTCTAATTCATAAACATTGGGTATCTTTACATTTATTTGTTTTCTCTTGTTTCTTTTATCAATATTTTATTTCCCAATGTAAAGATTTTTCACTTGTTTAAGTTTTTGCTATGAAATTTATTTAGATGTTACCGTAAATGAGTTTTTTTTATTAAGTGGTTTGTAGTTAGTGTATTAGAACAAAACTGATATTTGTATAACCTTTTATATTCTGCCAATTTACTGAGATTTTTGATTTATTTGTTATGGCTTTCTACATATAAGATAATGTCATCAACAAACAGCAGTATTTTTACTTCTTTCTTTTCAATTTTTATGGCTTTTAAAAAATTTTCTTGCCTAATTGTTCTGTCTAGGACTTCCAGGACTATGTTAAAATAGAAGCATTGATAATGGGCACAATATCACTTTGCATTGGTGTCTGTGCATTTGAAGGAGCAAACACCTCTACCAGTTTTTATAAACTGGTTTATACAGGTAAAGATTTTATCCTATTGGGTCTCCAGGCTGATGAGATCTTTTCTGGGTTCATAGTAGAGAGGGGATATACCTGAGTCCTAAGGTTGTTGGCAGGGTCCACAATGGGGTCTGTCTTTGGTGGGCTTATTACCAGGGGCTTGTGTGCTTGTGAATTCTGTCTTATTCCTTGGCCAACTGAGTTGCCTTCAGCACTTTGATCTATAGGGCAGACACTTGGCCTAATACCAAGTGTTTGTATGTGTGTGGCTCTCACCCAGTACTTGTGAGGTTTTTACCAAGTCACAGGTCTCTAGGTTGGCAAGACTGTCCACAGAATGTAGCTTAAAGGTCTAGAACTGAGTTATTCACCTGCTTCAGAGACCACAGTAAATGTCAAGGTCTGCAGTTCTGCATCTATGGCCGTGAATGAGCATCTGACCCCAGCTCTCTGACTGGGTAGGACCTCTTCTTGACTATGGCTGGGAGGAGTTAATGACAGTTACAGTGTTACTTCAGAATTCTAAGTGGAATCATGTTAAATGGGCCATTTCCTCGTCTGTAGCCAAGACCAGCGTCCTCAAGTTTGCCACCTGAAGGAAGACTTGCTTTCTGAAAAAGGCTTTCCTTGGTCTTGTGCTTTTAGCAGGGTATTACAACCCCCTGCCTGAATCACAAAGCAATCATAAATGTACTTTTTGTGTGACAGGGTCTTGCTATGTTACCCAGGCTGGTCTCAAACACCTGGCCTGAAGTAATCCTTCTGCCTCACCCTCTCAAATAGCTGGAATTACAAATATGAGGTATGGTGCCCGGCTCTGTCACAAAGGCACTTATGTCCATAGATGACTGATAAATTTTTGTTGCTTTGGGAGATATACAAGAAGAGGACCTCCTGTTCCAACAACTTGCTGATTTTACTCTTCCTATATGGTTTCACTTTCCATTTAGTTTTCTCTTTGCATTTCAAATTTGTGTGGAATTTTTTAATAAACATATATATTTGGGAAACCTAGTGGGGAAGGTATGTTCTTAGTAAATCTTATATGTATTCATGAGTGCTTATAAATTATATATGTTCCCAATAAATGAACACTTTTATTATTACTTGATGCTCATATTTTCTCTTGTGACAATTTTGGCTTAAAGTATACTTTGTGAAATATAACAGTTGTTGACATATAATGTACTTTTCCCAGTATAATTGTTACCTTTCCAACTATCATTTGGTTACTATTTGCATGGAATCTTCTTTCTTCCTGCCGCTTTGTCTATTATGCCAGTCGTCTAAAGTTAGTGTCTTGGAGACAAGACATAGTTTGTGGTTTTTAAAATTTTTTCCAAATCTCTTTATTCAGTCTTTTGATTGGGATGTTTTGTTGATGAATATTTGAATAGCTGTCTAAAACATAATTACTTACTATTGTCATTTATTGTTTTATTGGATTCTTGTAGCCATTGCTTCTACTCTCTTCTTCTGTGTGTGTTTATGTGTACTCTGTAGGTATTTTCTTTGTGGTTACCATGAGAATCACTAAAACCCCCAAAGTTACAACATATAATAAACTGGTAATAGCTTAACTTCAGTTGCATACAGAAATTTTTTTCATTATTTTTACCCTAAACTTCATATTATTGATGTCACTAATTATATATTTCATATTATAGAGACATCAACAGATGTTTATTGTTGTTCTTATGCATATTTCAAATTGTAGAGCATAAGTAAAAGTGTTTTCAGCACCATCATTCTAAAACTACAGAATTTTATTTTTGTATATGTGTACATCTTTCCCAGACAGTTATGTATTTGTATATAATTTTTTGTTTAATGACACATTTTATTTTCAATGGGCTGGAGTCCATTTTACATTTTCTGTAGGACAGTTGTACTGGTGATGTAGTTTTTCTGCATTTGGTTATCTTGGAAAATCTTCATCTTCTCTTAATTGTGAAGGACAGTTTTACTGTTAATAGTATTCTTGCTTTAAAGTTTTTGTTTTTTCTTTCAATACCCTGATTATATCACTCAACTCCATTTTGCCCTGCAAGGTTTCTGTTGATAAATTCACAGGTAATCCCATAGGAGAATGCTTATAAATGACACATCCCTTTTCTGTTGCTGCTTTCAACATCTTATTCCTCTCTGTGATTTCAAAATCTTGCTTATAATGTGTCTTGTTATGGTTCTTTTTGTGTTTATTCTTGATTTTTTTTTACATCTTATGTATAAACATTTCTGTTATTTTCTTGTATTCTTCAGTCCCACACTTTGTTTCTTGTTATATATTTTATTATTTTGTTGATACTCACATTTCCTGATTTTATTTAGTTGTCTTCATTCCCATTTCACTTATTGAGCATCATTCAGATGAGTCATTTGAATTTTTTAGATAATTTATACATATTTATTTTCTTAGAATTAATTTTTTATTTATTTTGTTTCCTTGATTGGACCATGTTACCCTGATAACTTTGCATATGTTGTAATCTTTGGTTCATATTTGGGCATTAATAAAATGCCACCTGTCACAGTCTTTATAAGTGGCTTTGTCCTGGAGGAGGCTAATAGCTATTTGCCAGGCTGGAGATTCTTATAGCCTCTCAAACCTCTTCTTATGATCTGTCTTCTCTGGAATTGTGTGTTTACTGTTCAGCTAAAGAGATTTGTTCATGTTTCTTTGTAAAAACCTGTAATCATGTGCTACACCTGATGTCTGTCTGTGGCACTGTGATCTCTCTGCTGCAGTAGCAATTATTTACCTTTTTCTTAGCAGACCAAAGCTGTCATTCAGAGCATACCACCATTTCTTTCAGCAGTCTTTGTTATGGGAAACAGAAACCAGTCTTTGGAAAGCCCCTAAAAGCCAGAAGTATGGGCACATGTGCAATGTATTGTTTTTTTGTTTTTGTTTTTTTGTTCTTTGCTTTGAGGGAGAAGCCAGGAGTTTGAAGTTTACTCTTAAAGGCACCATGCTGTATTGGGGTGGAAGAAAGGCTGTATGTATAAATGTAACAAACTTTACTTTCTATTCTACATGGATTTTGCAATTGTGCTCACCTAGGGTGTTGCAAACTCTTAACTAGATTTTATTTTCAAAAAGGCATTTTGGTCAGTATATTTTTGTTAAGTTTATATGTTCAAAAAGGAATCATGGCATGTGATATTTTATTATGCCATCTTGTTAATGTCTCTGATATAATTATATTTATTAGATTTGTAAAGTATATTTACTGGAGATTAGTAAGAAGAATAACTTTTTATTTTTATTTCTTTCAGCTATTTTATCTTATTCCATTCAAGACCTTTTGCCAGAGCAGGATATGAAAGATTTATGCCAAAAAGTGACACTGACAAGACATAGAAGCTGGGGCCTTGACAATTTGCACTTAGTGAAAGACTGGAGAACTGTGAATGAAGGTAAGGGGCAGAAAGAATATTGCAATAGACTTACTCAATGTTCATCAACTAAAAGCAAAATCTTTCAATGTATTGAATGTGGCAGAAATTTTAGCTGGAGGTCAATCCTTACTGAACATAAGAGAATTCATACTGGAGAGAAGCCATACAAATGTGAAGAATGTGGCAAAGTTTTCAATCGATGTTCAAACCTAACAAAACATAAAAGAATTCATACTGGAGAGAAACCCTACAAATGTGACGAATGTGGCAAAGTTTTTAATTGGTGGTCACAACTAACTAACCATAAGAAAATTCATACTGGAGAGAAACCCTACAAATGTGATGAATGTGACAAAGTTTTTAATTGGTGGTCACAACTAACTAGCCATAAGAAAATTCATAGTGGAGAGAAACCATACCCATGTGAAGAATGTGGCAAAGCCTTTACCCAGTTCTCAAACCTTACACAACATAAGAGAATTCATACTGGAGAGAAACCCTACAAATGCAAAGAATGTTGCAAAGCCTTTAACAAGTTCTCAAACCTTACTCAACATAAGAGAATTCATACTGGAGAGAAACCTTACAAGTGTGAAGAATGTGGCAACGTTTTTAATGAGTGCTCACACCTAACTAGACATAGGAGAATTCATACTGGAGAGAAACCCTACAAATGTGAAGAATGTGGCAAAGCCTTTACACAGTTTGCAAGCCTTACTCGTCATAAAAGAATTCATACTGGAGAAAAACCCTACCAATGTGAAGAATGTGGCAAAACTTTTAATCGGTGTTCACACCTAAGTAGCCATAAGAGAATTCATACTGGAGAGAAACCCTACAAATGTGAAGAATGTGGCAGAACCTTTACTCAATTCTCAAACCTCACTCAGCATAAAAGAATTCATACTGGAGAGAAACCCTACAAATGCAAAGAATGTGGCAAAGCGTTTAACAAGTTCTCAAGCCTTACTCAACATAGGAGAATTCATACTGGAGTGAAACCCTACAAATGTGAAGAATGTGGGAAAGTTTTTAAACAGTGCTCTCACCTAACTAGCCATAAGAGAATTCATACTGGAGAGAAACCCTACAAATGTAAAGAATGTGGCAAAGCTTTTTACCAATCCTCAATCCTTAGTAAGCATAAGAGAATTCATACTGAAGAGAAACCCTACAAATGTGAAGAATGTGGCAAAGCCTTTAACCAGTTCTCAAGCCTTACTCGTCATAAAAGAATTCATACTGGAGAGAAACGCTACAAATGTAAAGAATGTGGAAAAGGTTTTTACCAATCCTCAATCCATAGTAAGTATAAGAGAATTTATACTGGAGAGGAACCTGACAAATGTAAAAAATGTGGCAGTCTTTAAAAACTGCTTCATTATACATGGCTTCACTAATTTCATACTGAATAAAAGTGGTATGAGCATAATGACTGTTTAAGGATGTTTCACAAAATGTAAGCTTCAGAGTGCACAACACTATACTGAATGAAATTTATAAATATAAAAGATTACAATATCTTTATTTCAAAGATCTTCCTGTAAACAGAATCTGTACTAGAGGAAAAACCCTTAAACAATTATTCAGACTTTATTCAACTTTAGAGGATTTTACGGGGGCAAAAAACCTCCTACAAATGTGGAAAAACATTTTTTCAAGATATATGCCTTAGAAAACACCAGAGTTTATAGTATAGTAGAATATATTTTACAGATACAGTGAATACAAACAAATGTCCAAAATTAAGTCTAAATAAAACATTACATAATTTACTGTAGAAAGTACTAAGGCACTAACAGTTTCAGATGTTACTTTAAAGCAGTGTTGATTGTCGAGAATAATTCAAAGTTAAAATAGATAATTTAGTTGTATGTAAATTTAAATGAATCAAGAGATGATGTCTTTTTGAAGCACAGTTACATTCATGTTATACTTTTTTGCATTAAAAGTTTTTATATTTTTGATTATATATTTTAATATTGATATAATTCATATCTCAAATAACTTGATTTTTATTATATTTATTGTTTATGTTAAAGTATGTGGTCAGTTGTTGCTGCATAAGAGCTATGAGAAGTTCTTCTATATTAGATGACCATCATTTATATGCTTTTTCATGAATGATTAAGGGCACCGAAATGTAACATTTATAAGGAAAATCTAAGTAGAAATGCTTTTTGTTGATGTATAACAGTGTTTTAAGTAACACATTAGGTATTCAGAGAAGTATTTTGCATTATAGTAATAGGGAAACATTTTGAATTTCAGTAGTAAATTGTTTTATGAGTTGCACATTAAGATAATACAGTAGCTTTTGAAATGTTATTTTTAGAATGCAATTTCTTTTCATAAAACAAAATTATTTTTAATGTGTTAAGAATATTTTGCATTGAATGAAGTATATCTTGCCACAATAATTAACCTATACCACCTTACCCAAAGTTGTAGGTAACAGATAGTAACAATACACTACTGGGTAACAGTGAAAGGACACCTCTAGTAATCTCTTTTCCCAGTGGCTTTTAATTTCAAACAACTTGGGGAGGTTTTTTTTATGTGATATGCTTTGGTTTTTTTGTGCCTTACCTCATGTTGAAATGTGTTCCCCCATGTTGGAGGCGGGGTCTAGTGGAAGGTGTTTAGGTCATGGGTGTAGATTACTCATGAATGGATTGGTGTTCTTACCACTGCAGTTAGTGTGTTCTCTGTTAGTTCATGTGAAAGCTGGTTGTTAAAAACAAAAACAAACAAACAAAAAACTGATATTCCTCTTGCTTTGTCTTTTGCCATGATACCCCTTTGCCTTTTATTATGCATAAAAGCTTCCTGAGGCCTCATCAGAAGTTAAGCAGATGTTGATGTCATGCTTGTATAGCCAACAGAACTGAGGCTAATAAACCTCTTTTCTGTATTAATTTGCCAGTGTTAAGTATTCCCTTCTAGCAGCACAAAATGGACTAACATCCCATAGGTTATATTTTTATTTTTTTCTTTTGTAAATACTGGACAATGATACTCTTATATAATCTTCAGTATAACCATTATAATTGCCCACTATAAAGGAGTATAATGAAAGGCCATGTATTTTGAATCACGAATGACTATTTACAAAATGTCATACTACGTTTTTCTTTGAGCCTGTGACCCCTCTGGCCTGTAAAAACACATACATACATTTAGTTTTGATTAACATGGAGTTAATTTTATAAGTCTGTCACTCTAAACATAAGTGTTAGCTTTAAGAGAATTACAGAGCATGTAATTGTGTTTGAGTGTAGGTGTGTACTTTTTTGAGAAGAAAACAAAAATATTGGAACAAAATATAATTTAAAAAGTATTGGTAATTTACTAGCAAACTAGGAATCTCAAAGATTCTGAAAGTAAATATTTATTCTCTGCTTTGTATTGAATTTACTTCTGTAAAATCTTATGGCTGCTGGCTCAGAATCTTCTCATGCAAATCCTGTTTTTTTCTTGTCTGTTGATCATACTAAACCTAATGTATAGTTTTCTCATTCCAAAGTTCATGAAATTTTCTCTATATTCCTGAGAAATTCTAAGAATAACTTTCATAAAATGTATTGATGTTCACAAGATAATTTTAAGATGTAATTCTACAATATGTGTGTTACTACATTTTATTTAATTAGTATATTTTATTTTTGTATTTCAATTGGAGAACCCTATTTTGGCCAATTTTTACTTGGTTTTTGTTTCCATTTTAATATTTTACATAATTGAATTTTTTTCACTTTATTGAGCCATTTTGTTTAGATGTACACTGGGAAGGCTTCATAATTCACAAAGTTGTTTTGACATATAAATGAGGTGAACAAACACAGGAAAGTGCTAGGTTTCCTGGGGGTATAATAGATGCTCTATAATTAGCAGTAAATATTCTTGTTTAAGTCACTTTTTGGCTACAAGTAAGAGATTAGAAATATTCAGCATAAAGAGATGGCATTAACTCTGCATGTAAAGAAAACACATGTATACCCAGGCTGTACAACTGCCTCTGAAATTAAGAGGAATTGTGTTTATTTCATAGTTATCTCTGGTACTTCACTGTTATTTTATTTTCACCCCCAACTATGCGTCAATCATAGCCCTTTCCCTTCTTTGCTTATTATGGCTACAGATTTCTCACTGTTCTCTGCAGCCCATGTAATTTCATACAGTATTTTGTAGGTTGTGATAAGGAATTTGAAATTTTTAATATAGTGAAAAATTGGATTTAACTGGAGAGTTTGAGGACATTTTTAAGTTAGAAATGCACCATTTGAATCATTTAATTGGCATAATTGGGATGTACTCTACACAGTTTATAGGATTAAATTACTGAGTTAGTAATGTTTGTATGAAAGAAATGTTATTAGATTCTACCACAAAATATAGTAAACATGAAATCAGTTAGAATAGGTAAAGCATTAATAATGGTAGGCTATATATCATAATCACTATATAAAGAAACATCAGAATTTGGAAACCCCTTAAGCAAAAATATATCTTAGAAATCTTAAGGACACTTAATGGCAAGCAAAAAAGTTTAAATTTAGTTTTTTATAAATTACATATAGCACAATTTATGTGTACATGTAGAATCTTTTAGTTTTTAGTGTTTATGTAATATATTAGACAATAATAAACATTTACATTTATGTTTACATTTATATTTAATTTTTCAAATTTAATTTAAATTTCTAAATGCTTCTGTGGATTTAAATTTTGGAATAATCTTTTCTTCCCCATTGATACTGGAATCTTGGGAAGTTTCTTACTCATATCACAATATGTTTTATTTAAATGGATGCAGCTTACATTGCAGAGTTTATATAAATAATCACATAACAAGCCAATTCCTTAGTCATTTTCTGTATTAAAAAACTCAGAGATCTAGAGAGCTTTTGGATTGAAATATTTCCTTGGTGATTTTGGATGCAAACCTGATTTCTGTGTTCACACCATGGCCAGAGATGGGACTGTTAGCACCACCTGCTTCTTTAATGTCGTCCATATGATCAGCATCAGCACCAGAAACTCCAGGTGTCCCAAACTTAAAGTGAAAGCCATAGAGTCCTTTGGTGACTCCCATGTTCTGTGCTGGTTCTAGAACATGCTGGTAAATATCAGAGTTTCTATGCTTATGGCTGATAAGTAGACATTTTTAAAAATCATAAAAACTGTATTTTCTATATAGTTCAGCTAAGTTTATGAAAAAGATGCAGACTCAGTATTTGGAGCATTGCTATCGCTCCATGATGTGTTTAAAAATTATTTTTAAATTGACAAAATTTTATATCTACATATATATATATCTTGTAACACATGATGTTTGAAATGCTTAATTCTAGCCAATTAAAAATGCTTTACCTCAATAGTTATTTTTATTGTGAGAAAGGTCAACATGGTCTTGGCACTTAAAAAAAAAAAAACAATATATTCTCAATAACTGTATTCACTCTGCACTACAATAGGTCTCTTGAACTAATTCCTCCTAGCTAACAGGCATTGTTTATCATTTAACAGATAATTCTCTAAGCCCCCTTCTCCTAAAACTTCAGCATCTCTTAACCTTCTTTCTAGTCTCTACTTTTATGAGATCAACTTGTTTAGATTCCACGTGAGTGAGACCATGAGGTATTCATCTTTCTGTGTTCTGCTCCATTGGTCTATTTATCTGTTTTTAATGCCAGTATTGGACTGTTTCAGTTACTGTAGCTTTGCAGTATATTTGACTGTCAAGTAGTGCAGTGCTTCCAACCTTCAGAGTCTTTTACTGTACTATATGAATTTTTGTGTTTTTTTTGTGAAAAATTTTATTGATATTTTGATAGACATTATGTTAAATATATACATCATTTTGTGTAACATAGACTTTTTAGCAATATTAATTTGGCCAATTTATGAATAAGGGATAACTTTTCATTTATTTATGTTTAATTTTATACCTCAGTTTTCTTTAGCTTTTAATGTAGAGATCTTTAACATTTTTGAATAATTTTATTTGGAAGTAAACTTTCTGTAACTATTGCAGGTGTCAATTGTTTTCTTTATTTCTTTTTCAGATAGTTTGTTGTTAGTGTATAGAAATGCTACTGACCCTTATATCTTGATTTTGTATCCTGCAACTTTAGTGAATTTATTCTAAGTATTTTTAAAGTTTTCTATTTATAAGACTATGATATCTGCAAACAGGGACAATTATTTTCTTTCTTTCCAATTTGGTTGTCTTTGGTTTTGTTTTCTAATTTCTCTGGCCTGGAAATTCAGTAGCATGTTAAATAAGAGTGATGAAGTTAGATATATTTGCCTTACTATAACTCTTAGAAAAAAGGCTTACAACTTTTGAAGGTTTAGCATGATGTCAGATGTCCATTTGTCATATATGGCCTTTATTGGCTTGAGGTATGTATGTTCTATATGTAATTTGTTTTGAGATTTTGTCATAAAGTAATGTTGAATTTTCTAAAATTCTTTTTCTGCATTCACTTAAAAGTTATAATTGGTTCTGAGATCCTTCATCTTTCTCAGAATCTAGGAGGATGCATCTGTACCTAGAGGAGGACACAAAGGCATCATATGTTACATTCTCGTGACATATAATGTCTACTGCTTATAATGTCTACTGTGAGTTTCTGACTCCCCAAATGAAATTGAGGCCCAGAAACTTTCAACTGCTTTGTTCGTTGAATAATGCCAAGTGTCTGGAAATGTGACTATTCAGATTAAATGCTTAATGTGTGTGTGTTGACTAAATAAATCTCAACCAGAACCTTCTCAGATATTTTGTTGAACGTGGGACCTTTGTTTTTTTTTGTTGTTTTGTTTTGTTTTGTTTTTGTTGTTGTTGTTGTTGTTGTTTACCAGCAGGGGACCCCTGTTTTGTCTATGTCAAGAACAAAGACCAGGCAAAAGAAATGTCAAGCCGCATTTACAAATGCAAAAATGGACTTGTTTTTGATATGCTTTTCCCAACAATAAGGGACATGAGTCATTGGGGCATGTTACAGAGAGTTTCAGTAAAATTCAGAAAAAAATAATAAATATGAACAGCCACAGCATGCCCAGAAGCCTTTTTATGGAGCCAGGCATGGTTGACCTGCTTTCCATGTCTCAAAACATTAGTCCCTACAAGAACCCTATGAGGTTTATCTTCTTTTCACCCATTTTGAGAGAAGAAAAGTTCAGCTCAGAGAGCTGCAGGAACATTGGGGACATCTCCAAGTCACAGCCAATAGGTGGCAGTCATCAGTGTGTCTTGGAAGGGACAAACATTGAGCTTCTGAACAGCTACTCCAGAAACTATGGTGCTGTGGTGAAGTCCTGGTTAGGAGCCTAGGAAAATGGTGAAGGAAAAGATGGTCCCAGCCTGCAAAGCTGAAGTCAGGAACCCACCAGGATCTCCCTTCTCCCTAGCCTGGTGGTCCACATCATGCAGATTTACTCTAGATTCAGCTTAGACTCATTTTTATACTACTCGGGGGACAAGGAGGGAACTACAGTCAGTAACAGCAGCATGAGCCTCAGGTGCTTTGGGGATTGAAATTCAGACCAGGAAATTCCAATACATCAGTGCATGTGGAGGACATGAGTATTTAAGGAGAAGGTTCTAGGCTTCCGAAGTAAAATTGGATGTGGAGGTTGGGGATTGATTCAAACATTAATACTTTCAAGCGTTTCTATGGTATTTGTCAGCTGTGGAGCAACAGCACACATCTGTATTAATAGCCTGTGTTAAGAGATTACTGTGAATCCTGAAAAACATCCTCATTGTAGAGATGAGAAAACACAGGCTTTTGCACATCCAATGTCTCCTTAAAGCATGTGGTTCAGAATTGAGAACGTGCAGAGTGAGAGTGGTATGAATTTTCCTGTAAGCTACCTGAAGTTCTGTTTGCTGTCATGTGGAAGAAAAGAGCCTTGGAGAAGTTTTATTTTTTTCTGTTTGGAAAGAATACACAGAGCAAGATGATTTACAATAAACCTTTTGACCTAACGCACATACTTGTTTTCTTTAACATTAAGGGGAGTCTTAAGAAACAGCTACAGCAGTTTCTCACCTGGCAAAGACAAATGCTGGGAAACTGCAGGGCCAAGGATGTGAGCAGATGACGCAGGGAAGAGAAACCCCAAATAAGTATTAAATGACTGAAAGGTGACTCAAACTTATCTGTTAAACAACTGGAAATGCAAGGAATTACATGAGTTTCTTTGTCACACAGACACCAGATTGGCAAAAAATTAAGTCTTAACATTCAAGGGAGGCTGGATGTAGGGAACCAGCGATATTGAGAGACTGCTGGGGACACTATACTTGCCACAGCCCTTTTGGAAAGTAATCTGGCTATACCTATTAAAGTTTTACCCATGCATATTCTTTCACCAAGTTACCCCTTTCTGCAGGTGATTACTATATATTATGGGCTGAATTGCATTTTCTCCCAAAAATGTATGTGTTCCCATGTTTTAATAGTCAGTGCCTCAGAATGGGAATATATTTGGACATATGATTTTTATAGAGGTAATTAAGGTTAAGTGAGTTTATTGGAGTGAGCCCTAATCCAATATGACTGGGGTCTTTATAAGAAGTGATGGTAAAGATACAGAAACAGAAGATCCTGTGAACACAGCAATGGAAGACAGCAATCTACTAGTCAAGGAAAATGGCCTCAGAAAAAACACCCCAGCCATAGCTTGATGTCAGGTTCCTAGCCTCCAAAATTGTGAGAAAAAATATCTGTTATTAAAGCCTTGAGTTTGTGATGCTGTATTATGACAGCGTAGCAAACTGTTATAGTTTGTTAAGACACATACAATATGTTTCCTGCAGCACGACTGAAGTGGAAATAAAATGTCTTCATGCCAGTTTCCACCAGCATTGAAAGGCTGAACCACTGTGGGAAACAGCTTTGATTATGAAATAACATAAAGACGTGATATCAAGACATGTAAGGTCAGAGCTCCTGCCCTGATGGGACTATAGGCATGAGTTCTCTAAGATGACACATTGCAGAGAAATGCGTAGGATACCTTAACCTTTTTGGGTTAACCCCCGGCTCCCCTTTTGTAAACACTTCCCTCATAAAAATACTCGTGTGTAAGGTATGGAGAAGGAGCTGTCTGCTATAAGAGATACCTGGGTGCAGTTATTTAATAAAAACAGCAACATGCAAAGATACTCAGGGCCTAGTGTGAAGTAAAAGCAACAGAAAAATGTCTTCTCTGATATTTCTATAAGTATGTGAACAGGGATTTGCGCCTAACCATTTGCCATTTAGGACTCATGAAAGCCAGACTCCTTTGGGAAAGAATGGTGAGTTACCCTAGTGGAAAAGCCCTAGGACAGATCCCAGGGTGTCTACATATTCAGGTCTTTGTCCTCGGCCCACTTTTGTCTCCTCTGATCCCTGTCTGCAAAGACCTCTCTGTGCCCACTCCCACCCAAGCCCAGTGCTAGATATGCTCGGTGGCATGGTATACCTGCCCTTCATCCAAAGAGATGGAGTAGTTGGACCCATCAAACAGCTTTTTATTGATCTCCTGCATGGAGCTCTGCAAAGAGAGTGCCTTGCAGCTAGGCCAAGAGGCATCAGTGGTTGCCTGGTTGTCATCACGGGGACACTTCCATTAAAAGTTCTCCAAAGGTTGAGGCTTCATTGAGCCATGATTACACCACTGCACTTCAGCCTGTGAGACAAAAGTGAGACCCTATTTAAAAAAAATAATTATCCCTATATCAGGCATAAAAGAGAATTCCCATAGACCTTCAGCCAGGGAGGAAACCAGATCACGGTTTGAAGTCTTGGGGTTCACATCCAAGAAGACAAAATTGTTTTTCAACACTCACCTCCCTGTCCTGTCATGCCCTGTGGTATGAACCTGACCATCTCACTAAGGCTTCCGACACTTGATAATCTGCTTGTGTCCAGAAATAGCCTCCTCAGCACTTGCTTTCCCCAACACACGGTGTCAGAAAGACATGTGAGCCTTATTTAATAGGATCACAGATGAGGCCTTACCTGCATGGGCCTCTCCTGAGATGCCCTGTGTTAACTTTGCATGCCCCCTGCCAAATGGCCAGAGGCATCAGTGGTGAGAGTTGAGCCAATGCCTGCATTGTTGGAAAGCATTCTCACGTCAGGCCTTACTAAATCAAGAGCCTTGGAAAAGTCAGGATATAGCAAAAGAACATCTTGCTCTCTTGAGCATTTCCTACTGAGTAAGTTGACTACTGGGGCTGTCTCTAGAATGTAGGTGCCTGGTTACCAGGGTTCTAAATTATCTTGGGGTCTGTCACCGAGAAAGTAAGGTCACTTCAGGGTTCTATCCCCAGGACCCCTTCCTTCCATATGACCTACCCAAAGGCCCTGGTGGGCTACTGATTTCTCACGCTCCCCACCATGTCAGCTCCTTGCCTATACACAGTTATGCAAGCACAGCCTCTCTCAGTCCCCTACGGAGACTGGACGCAGTCAGGGCCCCAGGTTTGTGGTGACACAGCTGGATCAGAACTACTTTTTTCTAACCAGTTCTGTGACCCTAGAAGTCATTGTGTATTTTGGTGCCTACCCAGCCTCCTAACCTACCCAATGGGGATTATACCAGCATCTTCCTAGAAAATTCTTCGGGTACAAATGAGACAAAACTCATGGCATAGTGTCACATGAAGATAAAGCACAAATTTAGAGATGAAAGAATTACAAGAAGGGGTGGGAGGTAGCGTGGACTACAGCTCAAACAGGCCTGGGCCCAGCAGTGTGGTTTTGGAAAGTCACTTCTCTGGGCCTCATTTTTCATTCTGAATTAGAGGTTAAAATCCAAATATTGCCATCTTCCAGCTAATTACACATTCCAGTGACTTTCCATTATATGTAAAATCAGACGCTTGTGCTGCATATCAGGTGGTGTGCAGCATCCACAAAAACTCAGAGCACTGTGGGGCTAATGACTCACTTTTGACCAACAGAATTCAACAAAGACAATGGGATATCACTTATATTTCACCTCAGGCTGGAGATCAGCGTCTGGCATAATTGGGCTTTGGCAAGGGCTCTCAGGTTGTAGGCCGGAGGCTTAAGGTTGTACACTTACCTGGCAAAGAGAGAGCTTTTTAAGAACTATTTCATAAAGCCAGTAAATCCAATTATGAGGGCTTCAGCCTTAGAATATAATTGCTTTCCATTTCCTCAGCTTTAAGATGTCAAAATATGAATTAGACAATTATGTCATGACTAAGCCTGAGCATATTTTGTGTATGTAAAGCTATTAATATTTTTTGTGAACTACAACATATCTTTTGCCAATTTTTCTATTTTGTGGATTATCTTTTTCTAGTCAATAATCTTGTGATTATTATTTAATCCAGGGTCCCGTTATCCTCTAGGCAACTGCTCTCTCCTGGGAGGGTGTGCCTGGTCAGGTTTGCCTCACCTTTTGTAGCTACCCTATCCTGTATGCCGTTTGGCTGTGGTTTTCTTCTTCAATCCAATCCTATCTACATTTCATGTTTTAATGATTTTTCCTGACTTCTAGTTTAGTGAGGATACATCTTAATTTTCAGAGTGAGTTATTCTTTCTAAGAATTTGTGGTAAAGAAAGGTTGCCACAGATGACCTGTCAGCCATCTTAAATCAAAAGATCAGAAGTTATCTGACGTATATTGCATTATTTAGTCTGATACTTCTGAAATGGTAAATGCTTCTCTTTGGCAAGAGAGAACACAGGAATATTGGAGGATTTGCCTCATTAATGTATACTCATCTTGGCATAATTGTGCTAGACTGATTATTAAGCTAAAGAGGGTAAACAAAAAAGGGAGCCCAAACAGGTAAAAAGTCTACCTTCAAATCACTGACAGTATTATCTAATGGAATTTTACTAAAGGCCCCATCCTGGCTTTTGAGCTGCATTAATCTATTGTGTCTGGATACTATTTACATATTCATATGAGTCATTTTTTAAGTTGTGAAACTTCTATAGTCAGCGTTCACTAATGAGTCCTCTGGGAACTAAACTGTTTTTTAACAAGCTTAACTGAGGTAACTGGAATCAAACAGGCCATAAATTACACAGGGTAGCCTTGACTTGTGGCTTAGGGGAAGTATTTTTCTAAGTTTCTTATGCTCAGTGACAGATATGTGCCCTTGCAGCTTCTCCTTGAGTAGGCCTTGCTGCAGTTCGACAGGGGATATCCTGCTCATGAACTGTGGGGTTGAAAAGCATCCCTTGCTCACTGTAAAGGGTCCACGCTCTCTCCTTTTTCTTTTCTTTTCTTTCTTGCTTTTTTTTTTTTTTTTTTTTGAGGTAGAGTTTTGCTGTTTTTGCCCAGGCTGGAGTGCAATGGCAGGATCTTGGCTCACTCCAACCTCCGCCTCCCGGGTTCAAGCAAATCTCCTCCCTCAGCATCCCAAGTAGCTGGGATTACGGGCATGCGCCACCACAGCCGGCTAATTTTTTGTATTTTTAGTAGAGATGGGGTTTCACCATATTGGTCAGCTGGTCTTGAACTCCAGACCTCAGATGATTCACCCACCTCGGCCTCCCAAAGTGCTGGGATTACAGGCGTGAGCTACCGCACCCGGCCTCTCCTCTTTTTTTTTTTAAACAGAAACTCATTTCATCACTCAGGCTGGGGTGCAGTGGAGTGATTTTGGCTCACTGCAGCCTCGACCTCCTGGGGTCAAGCGATCCTCCTTCCTCAGCCCCCCAAGTAGCTGGGACTACAGGTGCACGCCAGCACACCCAGCTAATTTTTTGTAGAGACAGGGTTTTGCCATGTTGCCCAGGCTGGTCTCAATTTCCTGACCTCAAGCGATCCGCCCGCCTTGGCCTCTCAAACTGCTAGGATTTCAGACATGAGACACCACACCCCACTGAGAACAGAAAAAGATAAAAAAGGTCTACTCTATATCTCAGTCGATGTGTTATTTGATTCTGAGATAATAGCTACTGGGCCTTGCTCTTTCCCCCTGCTGATATATAAATACCTTGGAAAAACTTGGTTCACAGGCTACAGATGAGCCACTACAATTAAAAGTAGAACTGGCATCTACAATTTTGCTGAGAAGACGAGGAGATTGGTGACCCCAGCTTCTATTAATCTCCTCTCCAGGAATTTTCTCCTGGGAATGTTGATAGCTGTTTTCTCACATAATTAGATAAAGAAAGTAAGCAAGATCAAATATTTCTTAGAACGATGACTTATCAGTTCTTGTTTAAGGGATACTTTAATAACTTGCAGCAGAAAATATAAGTTAATTGTATTTAATGTAGTCAGAGAAGTTTACTGTCAATTATTTTGGGAAATAAATATACCCCGAACTTATTTATCAGGCTCCTAATGGATCAGAGAATTTTATGTCTTCAATAATGTGATGAAACATATGAACACATTAACCATGAAATTATAGGGAAGAAAAAAGGATATCTAATTTATTGAGAAAAGCTAAGGTATTCAGATTCAAATGGGTGTATTTTTCTTTATCCCACTGCCCTGAGTTTATTGAAAATACAGATTTATGGAACATTTAGATATTTTATGGAACAGAAGTCACAGTATCAGAAGAAACTCCCAATTTATTTTTTAAAGTTTCTGTTGCAGCTCTTGAAATGGAAACCTCAGGAGATTCAGAACACCAAACAGTAGCTCTAACAATGTAGATATTTGAGTAAAAGTGTTTTGTATCCCCCAGGAAGAAGTCATATCCCTGAAGTTTTGGGACAATAATATACCTACTAGACTAAATTGTGAATATATCCATAGGTTTCATAATAGTTTAGCCTGTTGATACCAGTTCTATAATTAGCGATTTAATTTCTATAATTAAACATAATTCAGCCAAGTTGAATTAAAACTAGTATCAGGCTCATAAAGGTTCTGCAGATATTACATTTATTAAAATGTCTTTTGATCTGCTTTGGTATTGGAGCTAAAAAAATCCATAATTCTGGCTAGCAAGCAGATTCTCAGTAAAATTTATAACAGTCCACACACATATATGGTCCATCATTGTAAACATAAAATGCCAAGCTGGATAGAGTGTCTTCAGATGTTTTCTGATTCATGGCTGGTCTCTTGTGTTCAAATACATTCATGGTTTTGGCAGGAGAACCTTTATTCTGAGTTGGGCATGAGTATATGAACCTGTGGCTTACGTAAGCCACTGGGGTCTACAAGTGTTCACATTTGGCATCACACACTTGACTGTGTTCACAGTTTTAAAAATATGTTTAAAATATAATTTGAATTTTTAATCTACTTTGAGTTAAATTTTTTATATGATGAAAGGTAAGGATCTATTTGTATTCTTCTGCATATTGCCAGCCAGTTATGCCAACACCATTTATTGAATAGGAAGTCGTTTCTTCATTGCTTGTTTTTGTCAGCCTTCTTAAAGATCAGATGGTTGTAGGTGTATGGCCTTATTTCCAAGTTTCCTATTCTGTTCTATTATGTGGATTAAAGATTTAAATGTAAGATTGCAAAATATAAAAATCCTGAAAGCAAACCTAGAATTTACCCTCCTCAACATCGACTTTGGCAAGGAATTTAAGACCAAGCCCCCAAAAGCAATTGCAACAAAACCACAAGTTAACAAATGGGACCTAATTAAACTAAAGATTTTCTGCAAAGTGGAAAAAAAAAAAACCACTAACAGAGTAAACAAACAACCTACACAATGGGAAAAAAATATTCACAAACTGCATCCAACAAAGGTCTAATACCCTGAATCTGTAAGAAACTTAAGTCAACAAGTAGAGAATGAATAGTGCCATACAAAAGTGAGCAAAAGACATGAACAGACACTTTTCAAAGTAAGACATACAAGTGGCCAATGAACATATCAAAAAATACTCATCACAAATCACCAGAGAAATGCAAATTAAAACCACAATGAAATACCATCTCCCCACGCCTGTAATCCCAGCACTTTGGGAGGCCGAGGCGGGTGGATCACGAGGTCAGGAGATCAAGACCATCCTGGCTAACACGGTGAAACCCCGTCTCTACTAAAAATATATATATATCTAAAAAAAAATTAGCCAGGTGCGGTGGCGTGCGCCTGTAGTCCCAGCTACTCAGGAGGCTGAGGCAGGAGAATGGCGGGAACCCGGGAGGCGGAGCTTGTAGTGAGCTGAAATCGTGCCACTGCGCGCCAGCCTGGGAGACAGAGCGAGACCGTCTCAAAAAAAAAAAAAATACCATCTCCCACCGGTCAGAATAGCTATTATCAAAAATACAACACATGCTATCAAGGCTGCAGATAAAAAAAACCCATACCCCGTTGGTGAGAATGTAAATTAGTTCAGCCACTGTGGAAAGCAGTTTGGAGATTTCTCAAAGAACTTAAAACAGAGTTACCATTTGACCCAGCAATTCCATAACTGGGTATATCCCAAAATGAAAATAAATTATTATACCAATAAGACACATGCACTCATATACTCATCACTGCAGTACTCACAGTAGCAGAGAAGTGGAATCAATCTAGGTGCCCGACAATGCTGGATTGTATTAAGAAAACGTACATTTACACCATGGAATAATATGAAGCTATAAAAAAATAAAATCATGTTCTCAGCAGCAACATAGATGAAGCTGGAAGCCATAATCTAAAGCAGATTAACTCTGGAACAGAAAACCAAATACCACGTGTTCTCACTTAGAAGTGGAAGATAAACAAATAGGCACTGTGGATTCCTAGGAGAGTAGGAAGAGAGACGGGCATGTGTTGAAAGACTACCTGTGGGTGCCATGCTTACTATACCCAAAATACCCATGTAACAGTCCTACACATGTATCCCCCGATTTAATAAAAGCTGAAATTTTAAAAATCACATTGTACACCACAAGTATATATAATTGTAATTTGTCAATTATACCTTAATAAATCTGAATAAAGAATAAAGTGTAATTTGAACCAAACATTTGTAGAACCATTTAAACGAGTAGTTTGGCCTCCATTGTATTGGAGTAAAGTGTAAGATTATTATGGTCTCAGGTAGGACCTTTACCAGGGTGGGCTTCAGAGGGCCTCCCTGCTTTGATCAGGTAAATGTCTGCCTGGCTGAGGGCTTTTTGCCTCCCAGGAGCTCAGCTTTTGTCTGCCCAGAATTAAATTTAGCTGACACAGAGCAGGTCCTGCATGTCTGTGGCAGTAGCTTCCCCTGGTCAGGAATGATCAGAAAGGTCTCAAGTGGAAGCTGCTCACTGTCCCAAGATTCTACACAGTTCCTATCCAGTAAGGATTGCACACCCCTCACCTAGAACTTTTCTATCCAGCTCTGTGAAGGGCTGCCCTAGTCTTTCAGGTTCCCTGTAGTCAGGATTTTTAAGCCCCCATTCAACCCCTGTTTACTGCCTCAGAGTCTCTATGCTTATACTCTGGTTTTAATAATTATGTTCAACTTTAAAATAACTTTTGGGACTGGGAGGCCAACACAAAATCAGACCACCAGGAATCCTTCTCATTCCCATTTGTGTGTTCCTTCATGTGAGGCCTTTTATTTTTTTTTTTTTTATGTCCAGCATTTTCATATTTGTAGATGTCTCAGGTTTACTGGGCTTGGGAGGCTCCATTTGTTAGGAAAATTATGGCAATGAGTGGATCACCTTTTTTTTTTTTTTTTTCTTAAGACAGGATCTCACTCTGTTGCTCAGACTGGAGTGCGGTGGTGCCATCATAGTTCACTGGAGCCTCAAACTCCTGGGCTTAAGCAATCCTCTTGCCTTAGGCTCCCAACTAGCTGATACTGCAGGCACATGCCACCATGCTCTACAAATTAAAAAAAAAAAAATTGTAGAGACAGGACCTTGCCATGTTGCCCATGCTAGAATCAATTTTTCTAATGTTCTGAATTAAGGGTTTATAAGTCTGTCAGGATGTCCCGCCATATTTGCAATTCTGCCCTATTTGCAATTCTAGAGAAAAAAAAACACACATTTTCGTCAGACTTATCCATGCACATATTGGTGTGACGGACCAATAGGGCTGAATTTTTTTTCATGCCCAGTGTAGTATGAATATTGTGACTGTCTTTTATCCTACACAATCATTGTTTGCCAGTCTCCATAAGGGATTCTTCATTCTCCATCCAACACTTGCAGGGTGATGTTCCCTGAACTTCCAGCCATAGATCTTTTCCTTTCATATTTGATATTCTTTCTCAGGGTTACCACATCTATTGTTATACTTCTGCTGATTATTCCCAACCACCTTTAGCTATGACTCTGGAGTCACAATATGACTCCAATCTACCTTTTCAAAGTTATTCCACCAAACTTCTTTACATTTCTTACAAACTGGCCAAATTCAATGTTCTTGGCTCTCCCTATGCCTCCATAAAGGTGAATTTGATGTAAGGCCCTTATTTCCAAGGAGCTTATCACTTAATGAAAAAATATTAAAAAGCATATCCTTTTTTTAAAATGTAAAAAAATAGGACATGTGGTTCCAGGAGTCCAAAAGAGGTGCTTGCAGAGGAAAATCAGAGAACATTCACGCAGGAGCTGATCTTGAAGGATGGGTAAGATTCAGAAATGCAGTGATGCAGAGAAATGCATTCCATGCAGAGCAAAATGCAAAGGTAGAATGGAGTAAAAAGTGTACAGAGAAGAGAGTGGTTTTGTTTGCCTGACATTGGAAAGGTAGATTGAAAAAAACTCAGGAAGGGCTTTGATGTACAGGCTTAATTTGAATTTTATTCCAGGTGATGTAAATACTTCTATGATTTTAGAACAGAGCAATGACATTATTAGAACCCTGTTCCTGAATATTCAGCCTGCCACCACCATATGAGATTAGGGAACAGTAGGGGGAAGAAAAGGGAGAAATTTCTGAGTTAGGGGAGTGACAGTGGGTATGGAGAGTTAGAAAGGATATGAGGTAGAATTTTCAGGGCAGGGAAGACGAAGGGCCCATAATAAGCTTCAGGTTTGAGCCTGAGTGATTGGGAGGCTCAGGGTACTATAAACAGTATAGAGAAAAGAAAACAGAGGGGCAGAGGGAATAAATTTAGGGCATGTTGGAGCTGATGCGATCTCTGGGAAACTCAGGTGGAGACTCCTACTCACATCATCATCTCAACCTTAGTGTTTTGAACTCCAGGGTCAGGTCGGTCTGGTTCCCTTCCCTACTCCTCTCAGCTAGGAAAAGCCTACTTTGGTGCCCAGGCTTGTGTGACTTGAGGGAGTAAATACTTCAGCAGCTCCCCCTGACCTTCATGCTGTGGGTCGGTCGGTCTAGGGATGATTATGAGAACCTTGCAGGCTCACTCTGGCTTCTGTGCTCTACCTCACAGGACTAGCTTTTGATTGTCTCCGAAAATTATTGTCCCCTTTCTGAGGCTCTGACACAGTCACCTGGGACAAAAACCCCTGCCCAAAGTCTTGTGCTGGGGTCCTAATATCTATGGACAAAACCTAGAGGATGAAAACTCATCCTTAAAGATAACTGTGGTTTTCTAACTGTTCCATCAGCCTAGGTGACACCTTGTGGTTTCTGATTATTGACCATTTTTAAGCCCAGTAGGGTTGGCTCAACTCTTCTTCCTGCAAGGCCCAGTCCCCATGCCTGTATCATCCTCATAAATGGACCCTGGCCCTCTCTCCACTTCCAAGTGCTACCTCAGGTTCAACACCACACTATGCCAGGAACTCAGAAAGTGAGCTGACCAGCAGGTGGTCACACTCCACCTTGCACTTACTTGGGGTTTTTGATGGAAGCATCTTGCATCCTGCCTCTTGGGTTTTCAACAATCCCATAATTTTTCACCTCTGAGCCTACCCTGGTTGTAGATAACCCACCACTGGACACCTGACCTTTTTGCTACACTGGAGGGCTCAAGACTGCTGCTGTTCATATCTCCTGTCTTAGATGACGTTTCTGCTAGTTGCATCTTGGTTCTAACAGTGCCATCATCTAATTCCATGAGAGCTTCCTTTGCATTTATGGTTTGAGGTTTGCAGAAATAAAACAAAATTGGAGGGAGGTCTGGGAGAATCCAGGTCCTCCATGACTGATTTAGTCAAACATCTTTAGTCACCTTCTTCTCATTCTGAAGACTTCACATAATTAAAACTTTTCCCGGCCAAACACTAAATAAATTTTACACATGCTGCTTGAATCACTGTGCAAGCATTCTATGAATTACTGTGGATTTCTCAGAGATTAATGTCTCTCTAAAACTATTCCTCTGGGTAGGCTGAAGCCAGCAGCTGTGGAAACTGAAGATTTGCCTTATCCAATGAAGCTTTAGGACAGGGCTGCCTTTCACATTTCTCAGATATACTGCCTATTTGGAAAATATTAACACTCTTGGCAACTATGAGCTCCTCAAATATTCCAGTTTTTCAAAAATTTGAAATGGAAAAGGTAATTGTACATATTTAGATCAGAAATTGCTTGGAGTTGCTGGGATTTATTATAAAGGCTTTTATTCATATGTTTTAATTAAACTTACATTTTTAAAACACATACAAATATATTATTATGAAGTATATGAGAAAAAAAGAAAAGCTTTCTCTCTACAATTTATTTTTAAGACCAGAACTTAAGAAATGAGAGGCACACCACCGAGGTGGCTGCCAGTGTCAGGCAAGGGTTTGGCAGAGAACAACCTAAGACAGGACCAACCACTGACAGATTCTACTATAGGAGCAAGAGGAAGTTTCAGGGAAGAGAAGGCAATGACCTACAGAATCATGACCTAAATAAATGGTGGTGGTTTAAGCCTTTAGATTATAGGTTAGTTTATTTTGTTCCAAATGGTAATTGATACGTAAGTAGAGTTAGATCCTTTTAGAAATCTTTCCCAGCAAACTTTCAAGTAAAGATGGTGGATTGAGCAAACACATCTGCTTTCATCTTCTCTTTGTCCCCAGTAAACTCAGAGTAAATGATAATTTTAGAAGTGCATAAATCCACAAGGATAGGAATCAAGTATAAGAAGGATAGACAAGATAAAAAATGTTGGAAGCTGGAAAGCAAATAGTATAGGACAAAAGATTGAAACAGGTATATATATTTGTCACACCTCATGAAACTGTGAACTTAAAAGATGAGCATTTTCTTTATGTAAATTATTTAAGTTTATTTGGAAAAAAAATCATAGTGATATTAAATATAATTTTTCTTTTTTTTTTTTTCTTTTTTTTTTTGAGGCAGAGTTTAACTCTTGTTGCCCAGCCTGGAGTGCAATGGCATGATCTTGGCTCACTGCAAACTCTGCCTCCCGGGTTCAAGCGATTCTCCTGCCTCAGCCTTCCGAGTAGCTAGGATTACAGGCGCCTGCCATCACGCCCAGCTAATTTTTCTATTTTTAGTAGAGACGGGGTTTCACCATGTTGGCCAGGCTGGTCCCTCAGGTGATCCACCCACCCCAGCCTCCCAAAGTGCTGGGATTATAGGCGTGAGCCACTGCACGCAGCCTATTTTTCTATTTCTATCTACAATTGAAATTCTTTTATTGTTTTGGTATTAAACATGATGTTGACATTTGTTTTGAGATAAATACATTGTATTAAGAAAGTATTTTTCTAGTCTTATTTAATAAGAAGTATATGTTGAACTTATGACATTCATTTGAACATTGCTATGGTCTGAATTGTATTTCCCTAAAATTTACATATTGAAGCCGTAACCTGAAGTGTAACAATATTTGGATATCGGGCCTTTGGGAGATAATAAGGTTTAGATGAGGTTTGAGGGTAGGGCCAACATGATGGAATTAGTGCCCTTATAAGAAGATGCACCAGAGAACTTTCTCACTCCCCTCCACTCCTGCCCATCCTGTGAGAACACAGTGAGAAGGTGGCCATCTGCAATCCAGAAGACAGCCCAGAAATAAACTATGCTAGCACCTTGATTTTGGACTTCTAGACTTCAGAACTGTGGGAAAGTTAATTTCTATTGTTTAAGCCACCAAGTTATGGTCTTTTGTGGCAGCCCAAGATGACTAAGATAAAAATCTAAAGGGCTAATTATTTGAACTTTATTATTTGATTAATTATATATATTTATATGTTGCCCAAAATGAACTATTTCTAAATTCTTTGCAATATGTGAAAATAGATTGTGTTTATTCAAACTAGAGGGAAAAGTACATCATGTTTTGTTGAACTGCAAAGAAAATTCAGGAAATTTTTCCTGATGACTGTGAACATTCACTTAAAATACATTTTTTTTTTTACATCTTTAAAATTATACATATAGTTACTTTCATTTCTGGCAACATGGTACACACTCCATATCCTGGGGGGGTGGGGAAAGGCCCCATAAAAAACACCTATTATGCTGGATAAAATGAAGTGAACAACAATCATCTAAACTTGTAAAAAAGTAATTGTAACTCTCAGGATTCAAAAAACAAAAATGCAGCTGAAAGCCAAAGTGGTAAACTCATGTTAAGAATGCAACATCTGCAAGGTGTTTGCCAGTACTGATAATCTCAAGACGGTATTTAATGGTAACAGGGAAAAGGAGAGATAAGCTGTGCATTCAGGTTTTAGGTCAAGATAAAATCCCATCCCACTATAATGCTGAGATCCTAAAAAGATTAGGTTCAAAATGAAATTGGAGACTGGAAATAATCTATCTTTGACAAAAGTTGGTGCTTGGGACATTTAACAATTTTGGAGTAATTGCTGGCTAGGAAAAGCATTCCCCTTAAGAGTTGATAACCACAATTCTTCCCTCAAGTTTGAAGTTTAGACTTAAATCACCTGCCTATCCAGAAAATACTAAGGCAACAAACCAATCTAAAACAAGCCTTTGATTGATAGCATCCCAGAGTACCTCGAAGAAGCAAACACAAATGCTGTCAGGAGGGACTCACCCTTAAACTAGGAGTTACAAGATTTTAACAGTGTAAGACTACCAAATGTAAGCTCATGATTTCAAATCCCAGAAACATACAGGGAAACAAGAGCCATGAATGGGAAACAGGAGAAACCACAATAGCAGAACTAGACTTCCAAAAACCTTAAGACAGTGATTTCTCAGATAAAGTAAACTATGTAAATCCCCAAAACATTTTTTTTTATTTCTTACTATAATTTTTTTAATTTTATTATTATTATACTTTAAGTTTTGGGGTACATGTGCACAACGTGCAGGTTTGTTGCATATGTATACATGTGCCATGTTGGTGTGCTGCACCCAGTAACTCGTCATTTAACATTAGGTATATCTCCTAATGCTATCCCTCCCCCCTCCCCCTCCCCACAACAGGCCCCGGTGTGTGATGTTCCCCTTCCTGTGTCCATGTGTTCTCATTGTTCAATTCCCACCTATAAGAGAGAACATGCGGTGTTTGGTTTTCTGTCCTTGCGATAGTTTGCTGAGAATGATGGTTTCCAGCTTCATCCATGTCCCTACAAAGGACATGAACTCATCATTTTTTATGGTTGCATAGTATTCCATGGTGTATATGTGCCACATTTTCTTAATCCAGTCTATCATTGTTGGACATTTGGGTTGGTTCCAAGTCTTTGCTATTGTGAATAGTGCCGCAATAAATATACTTGTGCATGTGTCTTTATAGCAGCATGTTTTATAATCCTTTGGGTATATACCCAGTAATGGGATGGCTGGGTCAAATGGTATTTCTAGTTCTAGATCCCTGAGGAATCGCCACACTGACTTCCACAATGGTTGAACTAGAATCAATTCTTAAGTAATTATTTACTGGCCATATCCTCCACCCTGTCATCTCTTAGGTTAAAAGGACTACTGACTCAAACTCTGCCTCTTGAGTTCATGGTTCACCACTTCCAGCCTGGTGACTTGGTGCTGATTAAAACTTGGAAAGAAGACAAGCTCCACCCAAGTTGGGAAGCTCCCTATCAAGTGCTCCTGACCACTAAGATGGCTGGATGTGCAAACAGCTGAACAAAGGTGGACTCACTACACTCAAGTCAAGGGACTGGTAAAAGGGACCCCAGAAGGCAAGGAAAAAGACCAGTGGAAAGTGCATGGGTCACCTGAGGAACCCTTAAAGTTAACTCTTGGAAAAATCTAAAAGGAAAACATGGGCTGGCCCCATTTCTGGAAGTTAATATGGCTGGGATGGGCTACTATACAAAGAGCAGAAGGTCAAAATGGAAACTGGCAGGGGACTCTTCCCTACCCAATCAGGTTGGCAATTAATGTGACCAAGACGATGGCACCTCAGAATATAAGATTTGATACCTGCCAGGTTTTAACTTGTGGGAATTTAGAAAATCAGAGACAGTTCTCACAGGCAGATAAATATCTTTTCCCTGAACCAAATACAGTTTACAGTAGGGCATCACCCTGCCCCAGCTGGGATAATGTATGGTGGACTACCCAATTTCAGGGTTGAACAGTAAACATAGAATAGGTAACTCTGAGCTGGAGACCCTTAAAGAATAAACTACATCTGTCCAAGGGCTCCCTGCCAAATAACTGCCAGAATTTAAAATGCAATTCTATACTCATCACCATTGACAATCCAGCCATTGTAGACCAAGAACCAAAAGTAGAATCTGGGATATATGCATTAGGGGCAGAAATCACAGGGAAAGACCCCCTAGGGTGATTTGTTCTCAAACTAATCAAGAACTCAACCTCCCATTTGCCTGGGACTACAACCCCAGACCCTAATAAACACTTTAGTCCACCAAATAATGACCCTAAAAGGGAAAAATATGGTAAAGGATCTAAGGCAAACCTTAGAAATTGAGACAGGGTATGGGGATATAAACGCCTGGGTCGAATTGGTCAAATTTTTGGTACAAGCCCTCAACAAGAGTAACTGCTGTGGGATGACCTTGGGCACAGGTGGTTCCATTTCCCCTAGGATGGAATACCCCTCCTAAGGGACTACACTGTATGTTGGTTCTATACCAGGACAAGGATGCATGCGGAAGTAAGACTTGTAAGAGTCTGTGATCGCTCTTTCCCACATTCCAGAGCTCAGATCCCAGAGCAATATCCTTGTTCTCTATAGGGAATATGAACCACTTCTCTTGCCTCTCTAGGCAGGAGGAAGAGTTCAATAATCCTGTGGGAGAACTCTCAACTTCTGCCTACATCCTAAACATCACTGGTGAGTCAAGCAATGGCAATTACTCAGCTCTCCATACACCCCGGGCTGATGTCTGGTGGTATTGTGGGAAATGGAACCTCTGTAACCTGTTACCATCCAATGGGACTAGGACTTGTGCTTTAGTCCAATTGGCCATTCCCTTCACCCTGGCATTCCATAAGATACCCAAAAATACACATGGCCACTGACACCAGAGAGATTTGACAAATTCTTTTAATCCCAATACATATGTTAACTCAATTGGAGTCCCTAGAGGTGTGCCTAATGAATTTAGGCCTAAAACCAAATAGCTGCTGGGTTTTAGGACTCTTCTGATGGTCAACTATTAATAAGAATGTGAAAATGGAAAATGGAAAAAATGGAAAGGCATGGTAGCTTTAATCCTTACATCTCTCATAATTGTGGCAGGAGTCTTAACAGCAGTGGGATGTTGTATTACCCCTTGTGTGAGGGGACTAGCACAAAGATTAATTAAAACAGCTGTTAATAAACAAATGCCCATAACTTACCAGCAAGATAACCTACTACTATTAGAAACTGAATTAAACTCACTCTCCTATGGAAAAAAAAAGTAAATGACTTCTAGAACAATTCAAGGACCAAAAAGGCTTAAATGAAAATGAGACCAAAGGAAGTAAATAGAAAAGAGTTAATAGAAAAAAAAAGAGTTAATAGTAAATAGAAAAAATAGAAAAGGGCAAAGTTATATGTCACCATTTTAAGGGAAGAGACCACCCCTCATATTGTCTTATGCCCAATTTCTGCCCCCAAAGAAAGAAGAAGTAAAAACTAAAAGGCAGAAATGAAATCCACAGGCAGACAGCCCAGCGCTGTGCCCTGGGCCTGGTAGTTAAAAGATCGACCCTGGCCTAACTGGTTATGTTATCTATAGATTCCAGACATTGTATGGAAAAGCATTGTAAAAATCCCTGTCCTGTTCTGTTTCATTCTGATTACCAGTGCATGCAGCCCCCACTCACGTACCCCCTGCTTGCTCAATTGATCATGACCCCCTCATGCAGACCCCCTTAGAGTTGTGAGCCCTTAAAAGGGACAGGAATTGCTCACTCAGGGAGCTCAGCTCTTGAGACAGGAGACTTGCCGATGCTCCCAGCCAAATAAACCCCTTCCTTCTTTAACTCGGTGTCTGAGGAGTTTTGTCTGCGGCTCATCCTGCTATATTTCTTGGTTCCCTGACTGGCAAATGAGGTGATGTCAGATGGTCAAGGCAGCTTCTTAAGTGGCTTAAGCCTGCCTTGTGGAACATCCCTGCGGGGGACTTCAACCAGCCCAAGAAATGCAGATCCTGAGAGCGCTCCCGGGTAGGCATTTGCCCCAGTGGGACGCCTCACAAGAGCATTGTGTGGCAGGCACCCGTGGGGGATCAACGCAGTGGCTGAACACCAGGAAGGAACTGGTACTTGGAGTCCGGACATCTGAAACTTGGTAAAACTAGTCTTTGGAACTCACCTACTCTGTTTTAGTGGAAGTGTGGCCTCATCACCCACAGTGTGCCTTTATCGGCACTTTGGTTTCATTTTGGTTTTGGTTTTGACTTGGTTTGAATTTCTTGATAGGACTGGTCTTGGGAAGTTGCCCACTCCATTTGAGTGGAAGCGTGGCCTGATCACCCACGGCATGTCTTTATCAGCACTTTGGTTTTGGTTTTTGTTTTGACTTGGTTTGAATTGCTTGACAGGACTGGTCTTGGGAACCGTGTGCCCTTTTTACCTGTTCTTTGTTTTGTGGTGTGTGTGTGATGTGAGCGTGGTGTTTTGTCTCGAAGAAGCATGAGTCAGGCACAAATAAGCCCACCCTACTAGGAACTATGTTGAAAAATTTCAAAAAAGGATTTAAGGGAAACTGTGGAGTACTATGACACCAGGAAAACTTAAAACTTTGTGTAAGATAGACTGGCCAGCATTAGAGGTGGGTTGGCCTTCAAAAGGGAGCCTGGACAGGTCCCTTGTTTCAAAGGTATGGCACAAGGTAACCTGTAAGGCAGGGCACCCAGACCAGTTCCTGTACATAGACACTTGGTTACAGCTGGTTTTAGACCCCCCACCCCGAACACACAGTGGTTGAGAGAACAGCAGCATAAGCAGCTGGCAGAGGCTAGGAAAGACCAGCAGAGAGAGAGAAAGGAAAGAGACAGAGAGGAAAAGAGGCAAAGAGAGAGAGGAAGAGTCAGAGAGGAAGAGACAGACAAAGAGGGAGTCGAGGAGAGAGAGAGAAAAAAAAAGAAACAGAAAGACAGAGAGAGAGAGGAAGAGACGGGCAAAAGGAAAGTCAAAGAGAGACAAAGAGAAAAAAAAAGAGAGAGATATACAAGTAGTTAAGAAAAGAACAGTGTACCCTATTCCTTTAAAAGCCAAGGTAAATTTAAAACCTGTAATTGATAATTGAAGGTATTCTCTGTAACCCTATAACACTCCAATACCACTTTGTTGTCAGTGTAAACAAGGGCATATCCTGAAAGCACTGAGGCCTTCCTATCAAAAATCCTTAACCCAGTAACCCACAGATGGCCCAAATCCATTCAATCTGTAGCGGCAACTACTTTGCTAACAAAAAAGAGTAAAAAAAAAAAAAAAACTTTTAGAGGAAACCTCATTGTGAGCATGCCTCACCAGTTCAGAAATATCCTAAAAAAAAAAAAAAAAAAAAAAAAAGGGGGAGGGAGAAATTTATGTAAAAAGAGTATTATATGGTAAATTCTTGTCCTGAAATAAATTAACTGGTTCTTTAAAGAAAGAAATATTTGTAATAAGTCAGAAAGTTGAGGCATGTCGAAGAATTGTCTGAGAAAGTCGTGAAAGAAAAAAACGTTATAAAAAAAGAATTAATGCAAGAAATGTTGTATAATTTAAAAGTAACTAGGCCTCCTGAATGTAAAACTAAAAAAACAACAGCAGCAACAAAAACACTTTATGTGCAAGGTGTATTAAGAAAGTAAAATATACCTTTGGCAAAAGAATTATAAGGGCATAAGAATATAAATTTTTACCTACATTAAAAGGTTAAAAATATGTATACTTTGTTTTAAAGGTTTAATCAAGTTTTAAAATGTTAATTGAAAAGAAAATTCTGTGTGTAAACATTGGCTAAAATTAAAGAGGTATCATCCAGATTTTCTGTAAACTGGACATTAAAATAAAAGCATAGCAGGTTTTTCTTAAAACACCAACCTGCTGTTTAGCAAAAATTATAAAAGTTAAAAAGAGTCTATAAAATCTTACCTTATGGTCAAACATTAAAAATTAGATAAATATCTCTACAATGTTTTCTTAAAATTAGGTTTAACATTAATAACACACTAATATAAAGGTAAAATTTAGCTTATCTGGTATAAAAATCATACAAAGAGCATTGTTAGATGTAAAATGGTATTTGGCTTTCTTTGATTTAAAAACTAATAAAAATAGGTGCTGAAGGAAATTTCTCAGTAAAAAGGCACTAAGGACTATAGATTCCACTGCCAAGGTCCCCACATTTAAAACAAAAGGTCAATTTCTTTAAAATTATATACCTGGTTTATCTTCCACTTTCCTTTCCCTCAAAAACTAAAAGTCTTTTAGCACATGTATCACCCCTAGAATTTCCGGTAAACCAGCACCAGCCTGAAAATCACATTCTTATCAAAAGGTGAAAAGAAAGAAAACTCAAGCCAGCCTAGGAAGGACCCTACTTTGTGCTGCTAACCTCTGAGACTGCTGTTCATACAGTGAAAACAGGATGGACTCATCACAACCGAGTCAAGAAAGCGCCATCCCCTCCAGAGTCGTGGGCCATAGTCCCAGGGGAAAACCCTACCAAACTAAAGCTAAGAAAAATGTAACTCTTTTCATCTATTCTATTAGTCTTTCTTCTTTCCTCATTCTATTGCTGACCCTCTAGTTATTAACATAACCAAGTCAATTTTGCCTCAAACTATTGCATTTAATGCTTGCCTTGTTATACCCTGTGGAGACTTGCAAGTCAAAGACAGCTTTCTACTTCAGAAAAGTACTTCTGTCCCTCCTGACCCTCCTCAGACTGGGCATTAGTAAACTAGGACCATTTAATCTGGGGAGATTTCGATAAAGACCCCAGTGCCAACCAGGAGTCTTGCCCCCGATGTAGAGCTTTCATGCCATAGTTGGTCCAACATTCTGTGGACGACTAAAGAGCAAGGATGGACTGCCCCAACTGGTTTTTGTAATTTCCTAAAACCATACATTCATTTTACTAGAGGATCATAGAAGTTAAAGACTTAAAACAAACTTTAGCAATTAAGACAGGATACCAAGATGCAAATGCCTGGTTAAAATGGATCAAATATTCCATCTGCACATTAAACAAAAGCAATTGTTACGCTTGTGCACATGGCAGGCCAGAGGCCCAGATTGTCCCCCTTCCACTAAGGTGGTCCTCCAGTCGACCAGGCGTAGGCTGCATGGTAGCTCTTTTCCAGGATTCTACAGCCTGGAGTAAAGTCATGCCAAGCTCTCTCTGCTATATCCTGAAGTCCAGCACCCTGCAGGTCAGCCCCCCGAGGGCCAACCAGCTTCCATCTCCCAACACTAAGTTCACTTTGTGTCTCTTACAACAAGGAGAAAACTTAGCATTCCTTGGAGACCTGAAGGAATGCGATGAGCTTAAGAATGTTCAAGAGCTTATCAATCAGTCTGCCCTTGTTCATCCCCGAGTGGATGTGTGGTGGTATTGTGGTGGACCTTTACTGGGCACTCTGCCAAATAACTAGAGTGGCACTTGTGCTTTAGTCCATTTGGCTATCCCTTTCACCCTGGCATTTCCTCAACCAGAGGGAGAAGAAATAAGACATCGTAAAGCGAGAGAAGCCCCTTATGCGTCTTTCAACTCTCACATCTATTTGGATGCAATTGGAGCCCCACAAAGAAAGCCAGATCAATTTAAAGCTTGAAATCAAATAGCTACAGGATTTAGGTCAATATTTTAGTGGGTGACAGTTAATAAAAATTAGATTAGATAAACTACATCTATTACAACCCACAGCAACAAGCGTTTCATGAGTTAAAAGAAAAACTCATGTCGGCCCCAGCCCTGGGGCTACCTGACCTAACAAAACCCTTTACACTCTATGTGTAGAAAGAGAAAATATGGCAGTTGGAATTTTAACCCAGACCGTATAGCCCTGGCCAAGGCCAGTGGCCTATCTCTCAAAACAACTAGATGGGGTTTCCAAAGTCTGGCCCCCATGTCTAAGGGCCCTGGCAGCAATGGCCCTGTTAGCACAAGAAGCAGATAAACTAACTCTTAGGCAAAACCTAAACACAAAATCCCCCCATGTTGTGGTGACTTTAATAAATACCAAATGACATCATTAGCTAATGAATACTAGACTAACTAGATACCAAAGTTTGCTCTGTGAAAATCCCTGCGTAACCATTGAAGTTTACAACACCCTAAACCCTGCCACCTTGCTCCCGGTATCAGAGAGCCCAGTTGAACATAACTGTATAGAGGTAATGGACTCAGTTTATTCTAGTGAGCCCAACCTCTGAGACCATCCTTAAACATCAGTAGACTGGGAGCTGTACGTGGATGGGAGCAGCTTCGCCAACCCCTGCAAAGTGACTCTGAAGAAGATGACAAGCCCTGCTCCAGTCACACCCAAAAGCTGACTGGTCCACGCACGGCTGAAGCATGAGGAAACTCATCACGGGACTCATTTTCCTTAAAATTTGGACTTGCACAGTAAAGACTTCAACTGACCTTCCTCAGACTGAGGGCTGTTCCCAGTGTATACATCAAGTCACTGAGGTAGGACAAAAGGTCGCTATGGTCCTGTTATTTTAGGGTTATTATAAGTGTACTGGAACTCAAAAAAAAAAAAACAACTTGTTTATATAATGTTATTCTACACAAGGTATTTAGCCCAGGAAATGACCAACCTGATGTGTGTTATGACCCATCTGAGCCTCCCATGACCACAGTTTTTAAGAGTGTGCCAGTACCAGAAATTCCAGGAAAAACAGGAAATTTGTTTTTGCAATTAGCAAAGCATATAGCGCAGTCTCTCAATGTCACTTCATGTTATGTATGTGGAGGAACTGTAATAGGAGATCAGTGGCCATAGGAAGCCAGAGGATTAGTACCTACAGACCCAGTTCCTGATGAATTCCCAGCTCAAAAAAAAATCACCCTGATAACTTCTAGGTCGTAAAAGCCTCAATCATTAGACAATACTGTATAGCAAGAGTGGGGAAGGACTTCACCCTTCCTGTAGGAAGACTTAGCTGCCTTAGGCCAAAACTATATAATAGTACTACAAAAACAGCGACCTAGTGGAGTTCAAACCATACTGGAAAAAAATCCATTTACTAGATTCCCAAAGTTGCAAACTGTGTAGACCCACCTGGAGTCCCACTGGGACTGGACAGCCCCCACTGGATTATACTGGATATGTAGGCATAGACCTTACACCAAATTACCCGACCAGTAGGCAGGTAGTTGTGTTATTGGCATTATTAAACCATCTTTCTTCCTACTGCCCATAAAGACAGGCGAACTCCTGGGCTTCCCTGTCTATGCTTCCTGCAAAAAGAGAAGCATAGCTATGAAAAAAATAAAAAAGATAATAAATGGCCCCCTGAGAGAATCATACAATATTATAGGCCTGCTACTTAGGCACAAGAGGGCTCGTGGGGATACTGGACTCCCATTTACATGCTCAACTGAATCATACGGTTACAAGCTGTCTTAGAAATCATCACTAGTAAGACCAACAGAGCCTTGACTATTCTGGCCTGGCAAGAAACTCAGATGAGAAATGCTATCTATCAAAATAGGTTGACTCTTGACTACTTACTAGCAGCTGAGAGAGAAGTCTGTAAAAAATTTAACCATACCAATTGCTGCCTGCACATAGATGATCGGGGCAAGTAGTCGAAGATATAGTTAAAGATATGATGAAATTGGCACATGTGCCTGTACAAGTGTGGCACAGATTTGACCCTGAGGCCATGTTTAAAAATGGTTCCCAGTGCTAGGAGGATTTAAAACTCTTATAATAAAAATTATAGTAGTAATAGAAACCTGCTTACTGATCCCTTATTTACTACCTGCACTCATTCAAATGGTAAAAGGTTTCATCGCTACTCTAGTTCACCAGAATCCTTCAGCACAAGTGTATTACAATAAATCACTATCGATCTGTCATGCAGGAAGACATAGATGGTAAAGATAAAAGTGAGAACTCCCACTAATAAAATGAGTGAGAGTCTCAAAGTGGGGGGAATGAGGGAGAAGACCACCCCTCATATTGTCTTATGCCGAATTTCTGCCTTCAAAGAAAGAAGAAGTAAAAACTGAAAGGCAGAAATGAAATCCACAGGCAGACAGCCCGGCACCACGCCCTGGGCCTGGTAGTTAAAGATTGACCCCTGACCTAACTGGTTATGTTATCTATAGATTCCAGACATTGTACAGAAAAACATTGTAAAAATCCCTGTCCTGTTTCGTTCTGATTGCCGGTGCATGAAGCCCCCAGTCACATACCCGCTGCTTGCTCAATCAATCATGAACCTCTCACGCAGACCCCCTTAGAGTCATGAGCCCTTAAAAGGGACAGGAATTGCTCACTCAGGGAGCATGGCTCTTGAGACAGGAGTCTTGCTGATGGTCCCAGCCGAATAAACCCCTTCCTTCTTTTTTTTTTTTTTTTTTTTTTTTTGAGCCAGAGTCTCACTCTCGCCCAGGCTGGAGTGCAGTGGCACGATCTCGGTTCACTGCAAGCTCCGCCTCCCAGGTTCATGCCATTCTCCTGCCTCAGCCTCCTGAGTAGCTGGGACTACAGGCGCCTGCCACCATGCCCAGCTAATTTTTTTTTTTTTTTGTATTTTTAGTGAAGATGGGGTTTCACCATATTAGCCAGGATGGTCTCAATCTCCTGACTTCGTGATGCACCCGCCGCAGCCTCCCAAAGTGCTGGGATTATAGGTGTGAGCCACTGCACCCGGCCAACCCCTTCCTTCTTTAACTCGGTGTGTGAGGAGTTTTGTCTGTGGCTCGTCCTGCTACAATTTCACCTGTGGACTGGATAGAAGTATAAGATTCACGATTTCAACTTTTGACTGCCTACAGATGTGAGATTAAGAATCTCCAGTTGCCCCTGGAGGTAATCTGCAGGTGGTATTTCATATGTGCATGTTTTCAAAAGAAATACATAGAATGAGAAGATAAAAATTAACAGAGGGACATAAAAGACATTATGAGTGTAGGTAAACAAAACTCACCATTTCAAAGATAATCATTTTCCCCAAAATTAATCTATAAATACATTGCTATGACATCAAAAGGTCAATATGCTTTGTTTTTGGAAGAAGAGATCAAAACAAAAAATACTATAATGCATCTGAAAGGTTAAATATACATATAAAATCAGCCAAGACATTTGTGAATTATAAAAGCAACAGGAATAACTATCATTACCTGGCACTAATGTATATTATGAAACTCTAATATTGTAATAATTGACAAAGATCAAGAACCAGAATATGCACAAAATCCACAGATGGATCCAAATAAATGTAAAAATAATTTGTATGTTGCAAGTGGCTTTTAAGAGCAATAAAGAGACAGATATATATCCAAGCACATCATAAATAACACTAAATGCAAATGTGTTAACCCAATTCAAAGGTTAATGTTAAAAGGAGGCAACAGCCACGTGGCCAAAGACAAAGCTCCCAACTCTCCTTCTGCCCACGAATACAATGAATACACATCTATTCAGGCTCAATTCCCTCTGGGAGAAAGTCATAAATAAGTTAAGACTCCTAAGCAGTGGAAATCTGGAAAAAAAAACCATACATGAGTAGAAAATACCAAAACACAATTGGGCACTGTAGTGCCTGCCCTAGGCACTACAACATACAATTGGAAAGGAACCCCCAACACTCTTTCAACACACTGAGAAATGTAGGGTATGGACCATATATATGGGAGCCAACCTGTAAAGTTCCCCGTGGTTCAGCTCTTAATTTATCTAGCTCTGGGAGTATAAGAGACTAAGATCCATGAGTCTATATAGAAAACAGAACAAAATGGCAGTTTTCTATGATCACACAAGTGCTTGAAAGGCTTTATCTCCCAAGATATGGGCAATGAAGGGCTTAAAACTCAAAGGCATCAGTTTCTCCCTAGAAGGGATGTTCAAGCTTGCTGATGCTGACAAATGAGCTTCTACCTATTCTGCATTAGGAAGACAATGGGGCCAACAAATAGTAACCTCTGGCAGCCTGAGTAGGAGCTTACCACTTCTTGAGCCCTGCTCCCCAGCTCACCTCACTAATAACTTCAGATCTCCCAGTTCCTCCTGGATGGTATTTTACATGTGCTTCAATATTTACATTTTCCATTTCAGGAACTATATGCTAAACCTCCAAACTCTGAAAGTGCAGGAGACAGGGCAAGTGTGAGTCTTACTAGATCACAAAAGGAGTGGAATCAAATTGGTATGCAAGCACTTCCAAGGGCTACAACCCTCATAAGTAGTGCAGAGAAGGGGCTAACAGGCACAGCTCCATTTCTCCTGGGAAGGGATTAACAACAAACTCTTCCAGTGGCTACCTGATGGCCTGGCTTCTAACTAATTTGCATCACAGGGTCAAAGGGGCAAAGAGTAGACTTCTAGCAGCCTGAGCAGACACTGAAATCTTTCTGAGCCTTCCCTCATAGCTCACCACAGTGATAAATAAAGTTCTACTACTTATTCTTTCTGTAGTTTTTCCACACACCAAGTGCTACAACTTCTTTGGCTCCCCTAAGAGACTGTAGCCTTAATCACCTATCATTGGCAGTGAATTGGCTTTGCATTCTTGAGTTTCCCTGTGCAAAAGAAAGCAGAGGTGGCCACACAACAGGCTCATTTTCTACAACTCTCTCCCCAGGATCACAAGGTGTCATGTGAATTTAGCTGCATAAATTGTAGAAACATTACTGTCTTGGGGGTAATGATAGAATGTGATACATCTTATTCTCCTGGCAGCCAACAAACATAGAGACAAGCACAAATATGAAAGATACCTTAGAATCTCTGGCCACATAAACTGCTGAAATTTTTCTGTCATGTCAGTGTGACAAGAGAGGGTGGAGCAGTTTCCTTATATAATGTGCAGAAACCAACACAGAGAGTCAAAGAAAATAAAGGAACAAGAAAATATGTTCCAAAAAAGGAACAAGACAAAAATGTCCTATAACCAACCCTAGTGAAAGGAAACTATGTAATTTACACAATACGGAATTAAAACAATGGTCTCAAAGATGTTCAACAAGATCAGGAGAGCAATGCAAGAAGAAACTGAGAATTTCACACAAAAAAAGATAGAAAGTATAAAAATAGTACAAAGAGAAATTATAGAGCTGAAGAATACTGTCACTAAATTGAAAAATTTAATAGACATGTTTTACAGCAGACTAATTCAAAGACAGGATGAGTAACTCAAAGGCTGGTCACTGGAAATCATGCAATCTGAGGAGCAAACACTTTTTAAAATGAAAGAGTAAAGGTAGGTTAAGGGACTCATGGCATGCTATCAAGTTGAAAAACTTATACATTATTCATATGATAGAAGAGAGAGAAAAAGATAGTAAAGATATTCAGAGAAATAATGGCAGAAAATTTCTTAACCTTGGGAAAGTAAATAGAAATCCACATCCAGGGAGCCTGAAGGGCATCAAATAAGATGAATCCACAGAGACCAACCCAACCAAGACATATCATAGTCAGATTGTTAAAAGTGAAGACAAAGTGAAAATTTGAAAGCATTGAGAAGGTGGCTTGTTGTTTATAAGTGAACCCCTAGAAGGCTACAGCATATTTTTCAGCAAAAATCTTGAAGATCAGAGGGAGTGGGATGATATAAAAAAAAAAAACCAACCAAGAATAATATTTTCAGCAATCTTGTCTTTCAAAAATGAAGGGGAGAGAAACTTTCTCAGCAAAATAAAAGGTGGGGAAGTGTATTGCCACTGGACCTGCCTGGCAAAAAATGCTGAAGGGATTCTTCAAGCTGAAGAAAGAGGACAATAATTAGTAACATGAAAATATATGAAAGTATATAACTCACTGGAAAAGGAAGTAAATGGTCAAAATTAAAATTCTACCATTACACAATATTAGTGTTTTCATAGCAGTGAGTATCACAATTATTCCTCTTGTACAAGTGTTAAAAGACAAAACAAATTCAGTAAAAATGAATGATATAAAATCAAAATACAGAACTTATGTCTATACATTAACAAGCTACATAAAAAAGAAATTAAGAAAACAACTCCATTTACAACAGCATTAAAAAACACTCACGTGAAAATTTAAGAAAATGAACAATGTCCTTGTTGAACTCTATACAACATAGATTTAAAAAATTAAAGGTGACACAAATAATGGAATGACATCCCATGTTCATGGGTTGCAAGAATTAGCATTGTTAAAATATCCATACTATGCACAACAATATATAGATTTTATGCAATTCCAATGAAAATTCCAATGCTACTCCTTATAGAAATAGAAAAAGTAGAAAAAATAGAAACAAAGTCCTAAAATTTGCATAAAACCAAAATAAATAAAAAATAACCAAAGCAACATTGAGCAAAAAGAACAAAGCTGGAGGCATCATCCTACATGTTTCAAAATATATTAAAAAGCTATCGTGATCAAAATGGTATGGTACTGGTATAAAAACAAACACAATGTCCAACACAATAAAAAGATTACATAGAAATAAATCCACATAGGCCAGGCATGAAAGCTCATGCCTATAATCCCAGAACTTTGAAAGGCCAAGGCAGGTGGAGTCCAGCTTGGGCAACATGGAGAAATCCTGTCTCTACAAAAAAAAAATACAAAAATTAGCCAGGCATGTTGGTAAATGCCTGTAGGCCCAGCTACTTTGGAGGCTGAGGAAAGAGGATCATTTGAGCCCAGGATGCAGAGGTTGCAGTGACCCAAGATCATGCCACTGCACTCCAGCATGGTGTGACACTCTGGGTGACAGAGTGAGATCCTGTTTCAAAAAAAAAAAAAAAGAGAGAGAGAAAGAAATCCACGTGTCTGGAACCAACTGATTTTTTAACAAGGTTACAAAGAACACAAAATAAGGTTGGAGGTGGGGGCGGTTTCTTCAATAAACCAAGTTACAAAAACTGGCTATTCACATGCAGAAGAAATTCTATCCTTATATCAATGCTTACACAAGAATCAACTCTGGCTGGGCATGGTGGTGTCCGCCTATAGTCCCAGCTACTTGGGAGGCTGAGGTGAGAGAATCTCTTGAACCCAGGAGGCAGAAGTTGCAGTAAGCCCAGATTGTGCCACTGCACTCCATTCTGGGTGACAAAGCCAGAACTTGTTTCAAGAAATATTTTTTTAAAAAAAAATCAACTCAAAATGGATTAAAAACTTAAAAGTAAGACATGAAACTATAAAATGACTAAGCAAAAAAAAAAAAAGGGGGGGGTGGGCAGAGAAAGCTCCAACACAATGGCCAGGGCAATAATTTTCTGAATATGACCTCAAAAGCACAGGCAACAAGAGCAATAATAAATGCAATTTCTGTCACTTATAAGCATCTAAAAGACAAGGGTCTTTTAAATAAGTGTTGTCTCCTTAACTCCACAGGTCTATTTATTCATCTCAGTGCTAGGTCTACACTACAGGATTGGATCTGAGGTGTTCTGTGCACACACTGATAGTTCCAGATCTAAGAGAGGAAGTGCATGCCAGCACAACCCTGAAGAAAGAAAAACTAGAGCCCATGCCCAACCTCTTGTGACCCTTCACTGTAAGGCAGGCTTTGACTGAGATGTTTATCCTCACCAGGTGCCTATCTTTAATGTCATGGCTATATTGTATTCTTCTTTCAATATACTGTAGATTCCTCAATGTATTTATTTTGGGTTCTCTGCCCTGATATCAAGACATAAAGTTGATTTTTAAAATATTGACCTACATTTAGTAAGCTTTTATTCTCATTTAGCCATTCTGCAAATTATCTGTAGATTATATTAACTGCATAATCATAAATTTTATACCTTTATCTATTTCACAGTCTAAAACTTAAAGTATGATGGTCTGTTATATCTGAATATGCTAGGCATACTTGAATTGTTCCCAGCCAAAAATGCTTTAAACATTTCATCTATATGTATGAAGGAAGCTATCTTCTATTTCTAGTTTTCATGAGTTCCTACAATTATGAGTAGTTGGTTGAATTTTTATGAAGGCATCTTATTCATCAATTGAACTAATCATTTATTGTTTTTCTTGTATCATAATGAATAAACCAAGGCTATAAATTACTTCTAATCATGGGTTAGCTGAAATGCACTTTTTAAATATATCTTAGTAGCCTTTATATTTATATATTTTCTAATTTCCACTTGATATATTTTTGTAGCTTATTGCCAGTTCATTTATAACACAGAAATGATTAACGCCACATCATAGTTAGAAAGCTGAAAGGTTAAGTTTTAGGTTTGTTGCCTAATATCCCAGAGTGACTGAAGAAGTTTCCATCCTTGCCACATTCTTACTTTTCTGTGGAAACGGTTATCTCCAGGGACTCTTGTCTCCAATTCCATGGTGTAACCAGCCTACCTACTGTGGAAGCCTATCAAGGGAAGACACCTCTTTGGTGTTAATTTAATGTATCAAGATGCATAAACACAGAATTTGGAGCACATCATGACCTTAATTATGTCAACGCATTTCCATGGATTTATAATATGCCTCAAATGTACACAATTTTAAGTTAGTTGAATGACTAAGCTAGTTGAATGACTCCCTGCACACTGAGGATTTCTCACATATTAGGTTTGACAAGTGTCTGTTACCTAATGTGTGTCCATGAGAACACACACTACATGCAGTCTCAAATTACAGTTTCTCAGTGAACCAGAAGGGACCACAGCATGGAACTTATTGGCTTTGAATCCCAGCTCCCTGATTTTATTTTAAAAAGTAATAATACTGGGAGTCTGTGCAGGAATGGAAGGAGTCATCACTGCTCCAAACATCCTGGGCCCATTGTTAGAGGGTCTCAGGACTGCATCCCTATGCTTGGGGGCCCAGAACAGCCTGTTAGGTCCTAGAAATGAGTAGTGTAGAGACCTGGGGTGTAGGTAAGCATTTATTGAGCACTTGCAGTGATAACTTTGTCCAGGACAAGAGGCAGTCAGCCCATTTCATTCTGTTCAGAGGCCTGCATATAGGACCTGTGCTTAACACCTACTCCACCACAAACAGGCTCAGATGAGGTAGGTTGTGGCAAAATACTGCCTTTTTTCCCAAAGGGCAAGGCATGATGTGTCTTCTCAGCTTAGGAGGGAATCAGGCCCTGCTCAATGGGCAACACTAGGTTTCTCCTCAGAAATTCTTAGGGGCTGGGGACTGACTTTCATTAGATCAGCATCAGGGTTGAGGGTCGCCACATATTTCCCTACCCTCACCATACCCTTCTGCCCCATCAGCTCCCTGCCTCAACACCTTTTTCTTGGCTGCGTCTCTATAGAACCATCCCTCCATGCAGCCCATTCTCTGAGGAACCTCCTTGCCCTCTTGCCTCCAGTCCCCTTCAGGAGCTCGGTTCTCTGCTCACTCCTTCTGGGCCATCCTTACCTCTTGCATGCTCTGGACTTGGGCAGGTCTTGACCTACACTTTTCTAGTTCCTGCTTCAGTCTGTGTAGGAAGGGATGAGGTAGAAGGGTGGGATGGGAAAATGAAGAGTGGGAAGAAATGGAGAAGCATCAGTGGGTGTGCAGACACACAGAATGTGGAGCAGGAGGAAGAGACCTCTTTGGGGCACATTCCTGGGGAGGGATGGCATGTGAGGGTTCCTCACCCACCTCTGCTGCAGCTGCGGCTGGTGCTGGGTGGTGGCTGACAGGTGCTCAGCCTTTTTATCCTCTTGGAACAGCTCCCTGGGGCTCCAGTAGATTGTCAGTACCTGTTACTTCCTAATTGCTCCCTCCTACCACTGAATCTTTAACAGGGGCAGTCTCCTGGCTGAGAAAGTCACTCAGAAATCCTGTGATCACTCTTGATCTTAGTTTTGAGGACTGGCTGATTTCTTTGTAGTTTCTGTCTTCTACTGAGTGAAATACACCTCTTACTAACTGGTGTTTCTATAATCTCTTGTGCTATGTGATTGTGGTGGGGTTGCAAGCTTGGCGTCCCGTCCTTCCCTTTCTGACTTGCAGGGGCCTGATCGCTAGCTGGGGATCACAGCTGTGGTTTGAAAATATTCAACATTCTTTGACAATAAAAACTTTCAGCTAAGTATAGAAAAGGATACAGTCAAATTGGTAAAGAATACATGAAAAACCCACAGCTAACATCATTCTTAATGGTGAAAGCCTGTGTAAGTATTTCCTAAGATAAAAAAACAATATATCCACTGTCACATCTACTTATCATTGTACAAAATTGAGGTGCTAGTCAGGACAATTTGGCAACAAGCAAAATTGAAATGCATCTATTTTGAAAAGGATTATTATACTTTTTTGTTTGTTTGTTTGTTTTGTTTTGTTTTGTTTTTTGAGACAGAGTCTTACTCTGTCACCCAGGCTGGAGTGCAATGGCATGATCTCGGCTCACTGCAACCTACATCTCCTGGGTTCAAGCGATTCTTGTGCCTCAGCCTCTGAGTAGCTGGGAGTACAGGTGCACGCCACCATGCGCAGCTAATTTTTGTATTTTTAGTAGAGACAAAGTTGGCCAGGCTGGTCTTGAACATCTGGCCTCAAGTGATCCACCTGCCTCGGCCTCCTAAAGTGCTGGGATTACAGGTGTGAGCCACTGCGCCTGGCCAGTATTACGTACACTTATTTTTATTTGCACTTGACCTGATCTTGTATTTAGAAAATCATAAGGAATTCACAACCTTAGAATAAAAAAGTTCAGTATGGTAACAGGATACAAGATCAGTATACAAAATTAATTGTATTTCTTGACATAAAAAATGAACAATACATAAAAGAAACAATTTTAGTTGCAATAGTATCAAAAGCCAAACAAAAATAATTTTAACAAAAGCAGTGAAAACTGGAACACTGAACATTACAATTCAAGGCTAGTGTTGTAAACACCTAAGACTCATCTCTGAGCCTCCTCCTCTTGGCTCTGACCACTTTACTTTCTTAGGGGGAGAAAAGTAATTGCACTTTTTGCGTTTATATTCGAGGTGGACTTAACACTTGGAAATGTGTATTAAACTCTCCCTTTTTATAGAAAGAACACTGAGACCCATCAAGACAGATTTTAGCAATCCTTATCAAAGAGGGCAAAATACAAAGCCTCTCAGCCTCAACCTATTACTGCACCAAAGTCAAGATCACATAAACCTGGATGACTCCACCTCAGCATTTTTCCTTCCTTCCTTTCCTTCCTTCCTTCCTTCCCTCCTTCTGTCCTTTAGTTCCTTCCCTCCCTCCCTATCCCTCTTTCTTTTTTCTTTTCTTTTTCTTTTTCATTTTTTTTTTTTAGATAGGTTCTCACTCTGTTGCCCAGGCTAGAGTACACTGGTGTGATCATAGCTCACTGCAGTCTCCAATTCCTGGGCTCAAGTGATTCTCCCACCTCAGCCTCCAGAGTAGCTAGGACTACAGGCAGGCACCACCATGCCTAATTGTTTGTTTGTTTGTTTTGTAAAGACAGAGTCACTATGTTGTTAGGTTGGTCTCAAACTCCCAACCTCAAGGGATCCTCCCAACTCAGCCTCCCAAAGTGCTGAAATTACAGGAGTAAGTCACCACACCTAGCCAGCATTTCCCTTTGAACAGGAAAAGTGGTAGTGGAAACTATGAGAAACCCGTGTGGAACTTCTTGTCTAAAGCAGGGAAGGAAAAGCAAAGTTCAAGTCTGTCTCATAAAAGAACTAAGTAAAGCTTGGGTGAAATGGGACCAATGGAATTTCAAAGTATGGATAAAAATTTATCAGATACATGGAGTATGAACTGGCTGAAGAATTATGGGGTAGATTTACCTCCATGACTCTGCCTTTGCCTCTGCTATTTTGCCCCATGATATACACTAGAGCAGTTTTTCCAGCTAAGATAATCCATTGAAGACACCCAAATTAGTTTACTGGGTAAGAACAAAATCTTTTTAATGGATTCAAAGACGGTTAACACATTAATTTCTGCTTCAATAAACTTACAAAAATACAGACAATTCTTCATGCATTAGGGTGCACCTGTTGTAAACAGACATCTGGTCTATAACCATAATACCTTTAATATATTAAAGCTAATTATTAATATTAATATCAACCACTTGGTCTACATTCAAATCTCCTAATTCTTGCCATAATATCACGGGTTATCAATCCAGGATTTAATAAATAAACAAAATTCCACAGCACTGTCATATGGACAAAGAGCAGTCTTGATCCATCAGGTCCTGATCTACAGGGAGCAAGACAGACTCTCTGGTTCAGTTCAAATCCCACCATCTTTCCTTTGGAAGTCCAGAAATCTGTCCTCTCCCACTGCTTCTCTGCAGGTGTAGAGTTGGATTCTGTGTCCCTGAAGGTCGCTATGCATAGGTGAAAGAGGAGCCACTGGGGATTCAGGGGAGCCTGGATATTGGAACAGGTGTGCCACCACTTGGTGGGAGTAGAAGCACAGCTGGATCTCAGACAAGATGGGGCCTGATTAGCAGGTGCAAACCATAGACCTGGGCCAGGGCTGAGGAAAGGGTGACTCCATCGGTGCTACAATGGCTGCTTTGCCAGAAGACAGTAACTTCTCTCAGAAAGTTCCTAAATTATTAGAGTGGGCTGTAGTGTAAAGCAAACAAATCACACATACAATGGCTTGAGAGATCAGGTATTTAAAGCACAAAGGGGAATTTCTTGGGAGTGGAGGTGGAAAGATCTCTACACTATTTAATTCCTCCTTTCTTAAATCAGTGACCAGGTCCAAACTAATGGCTCCCCGGTCACTCTGGAGGTCAGCTGAACTTCAGTCCTACAAGGCATAATAAATCAGGAAGGACCATCAAGACTATTGTTGTGAAGCCTGTAAATAATGTTCATCACTTCTATCCACATTATCCTATACAACTCTGTTTTACATGGTCCCAACCACAACACTGGAATGCCCAGAAATGTAGACAAAGTCTGTGTCCTAGATAAAAGGGAATGCTTTTTGAAGAATAATATCTGATGTCTTTCCTCTGTGACTTCTCTACTGTCTGCTAAGCTGTGACTTCAAGCAAAAGGTTTTTTCCACATTTATTACACAGGGTTTTCTCTATGTGAGTTCTCTGTGTCCAGTGATGACTGACCTTAGGCAAAATATTTTCCTACATTCATTACTTTCATAGGTTTTACTACCCTATGTGAGATCTCTGATGTTGGCTGAGCCTTGACTTCCAGCCAAAGGATTTTCCACACTCATTACATTCATAGGGATTTTCCCCAGTGTGAATTCTTTCATGTTTAGTGAGGTCTGACTTCTGGTGGAAGCTTTTACTACATACATTACATCCATAGGTTTTCTGCCCTCTGTGAATACTCTGATGCGACCTAAGGCTTGACTTCCAGCCAAAGGGTTTTCCACATTGATTACATTCATAGGGTTTTTCCCCCGTGTGATTTCTCTGATGGCTAGTGAGGATTCCTTTCTCATAGGTTTTCCCACATTCGTTACATTCATAGGGTTTCTTGCCTATATGAAAACCCTGATGCACCCTGAGGTATGACTTGTGATGAAACTTTTTTCCACATTCATTATGTTCATAGGGTTTTTTCCCCTATGTGAGTTCTTTGATGTACATTGAGATTTGCCTTCTCATAGAAAGTTTTCCTACATTCTTTACATTCATACGGTTGTTCACCTGTGTGAGTTCTTTGACATACTGGGAGGGCTGACTTCCGGCAGAATGTTTTCCTACATTATTTACATTCAAATGGCTTCTTACCTGTGTGAGTTCTTTGATGGATAGTGAGGGTTGACTTATGGTAGAAGGTCAACCCACATCCATTACATTCATAGGGTTTTTCCCCTGTGTGAGTTCTCTGATGCACCCTGAGTGCTGACTGCTGCCAAAATGTTTTTAGCAAAATAGGATTTTCCCTCTGTGTGGATTCTCTGATAAACGCTTAGATTTGATTTCTGACAGAAGGATTTCTCACATATGGCACATGGATAGGGTTTCTCTTCTGTATGTGTTCTCTGATGTTTTGTAACACATGATTGGCTAATGAAGGCTTTCTCATATTCACTATATTTATAAGGTTTCTTTCCTGAGTGTATTTTCTTATGTTCAGTGACTTTATGCTTCTTACTGAATATTTTCCCACATACATGACGTTCAAAAGTTTTCCTCCCTACCTGAGTTAGCTCTTGAGCAATAGTAGCTGACTCATTACAGGCTTTCCCACATTTATTAGATTTACAAGAGGTCTTTCCCATAGAAGCACTCTTATGTGTTAATATAGCCTCCACGTTGAAGGCATTCCTCCGTCCACTATATTCAAAACACTGTAGTCCAATTTGAATCTTGTGATCCTAAGATGCTCATGACCTCTAAGAAATGTTCCATTTAAATCATAAGCATCAGATCTCACTCAAGCTTCCATCTCATCAGGATCACCAGAAAGAAGTATGTTCTGAAATACATTAAACTCCTCAGATCTCTTTCCTGAATAGTTTCCATTATTTCTAATCAGTTCTGGTACATGGTTTGAAGTCAAACTACATGTTTTTCCTGATTCCACTCCCTTCTCAATTGATGGTTTACTTTTGGTAATTACAACTTGCCACAAATGTCTACTGTGACTTTCTTGGCTCCTCTCAATTATGTCATCAACTATCTGGACAGCTGAAGTAAGAAAAAAAATCATATGTATGAACCACACATAAGTATTTCCTATGAGATGCTCATGTAAAGGTAAATAACTTTCTTTCTTCCTTTTTTTTTTTTTTTTTTTGAGATGGCATCTCGCTCTGTTGCCCAGACTGGAGTGCAATGGTGTGATCTCGGCTCACTACAACCTCTGCCTCCTGGGTTCAAGTGATTCTCCTGCCTCAGCCTCCCAAGTAGCTGGGACTACAGACACCCACTACCATGCCCATCTAATTTTTATATTTTTAATAGAGACGGGGTTTCACCATGTTGGCCAGGATGGTGTCAATCTCTTGACCTTGTGATCCGCCTGCCTCGGCCTCCCAAAGTGCTGGGATTACAGGCATGAGCCACCGCACCCAGCTAAGGTAAATAACTTTCTATCCTAGTGCCATAAGATTTCATAAAAATCAATGGGTACTCTTTTTATAAGTATGTGGATTCTTTTTCTATTGAGTTAATTACACTAATAGATTATCTAATGCTAAATTGTTTTTCTTGCTTTTTTTTTTTTTAAAAAAGAGAGAAACAGACAGAGTCTTGCTGTGTTGCTCAGACTGGAGTGCAGTGGTGAGATCATAGTTCACTACAACCTCAATCTCCTGGGCTCAAGCAATCCTCACACCTTAGCCTCCCAAGTAGATGGGCCTACAGGCGTACACCACGACACTTGGTTTTTGGTGTTGGATTTTTTTGTAGAGATGGGGTCTTGCTATCTTACTAGGCTGATCTCAAACCCCTGGCCTCTAATGATATTTCTGACTCCATCCCCCAAAGTACTGGGACTACAGTCATGAGCCACTGATCCTGGCCTTTTAAATTCATGTAGAAATATTTAGTAAAAAATTCACTTAGTGTCTTGTATTTTTCAACTAAGTGCTCTTGACCTGCCATTTGCATTACCTATTCATTTTACCTATTTTCTTCTTATAACACTGGACCTCTCATGCTGGTATTTTTCTCATTCTTCTGCTTTAAAGATGAGAAGGTTTTCCTAGATCGGCTACTTGTAGGAGCAGGAGAGGGTTATTTGCCTCTCAACTAAGCAGGTAAAATGTGATACCCAGAAATCCCTTGTTCTCCTCCCAACTTCAGGACCACCCCCTTTGCATACCCCTATACTGGGTCCTCCTCACTTTCATGATTTCTGATGCTGTATACACAATTCTAACTGCTGGACTTCTCAGATTCTTATCAATTCCCTAGGTGACCTCATTCATAAGTGTGGCTTTAAATACCAACTTTCACCTCCTGAGACTCAAATTTGTATCTCCAATAGTGATGTCCACTCTCTAAAATTATATATCTACCTACACATTATATGTTAAATTTGGAAAACAGCTTCTCAAATATAAGCTATACCAAAGTGAAGTGTACTCAGGGTTTTATGTCAAAGGACTCAGATTTCCATTTGAAACTGAAGTTCAAAGTTAACATTTTTTTATCTCTTCATGAAAGCACTTCAAAAACACCAGACTGCTGTGCTGTCCAGCACAGCAGTCTGAAATAGACCTGGGACACTTGAGCTTGATGTGGGGAGGGGTGTCCGCCATTACTGAGGCTTGAGTAGTGGTCGTCCCCTAACAGTGTAAACAAAGCCTCCAGGAAGTTCAAACTGGGCGGAGCCCACCGCAGCACCACAGAGCTGCTGTAGCCAGACTGCCTCTCTAGATTCCTCCTCTCTGGGCAGGACATCTCTGAAAGAAAGGCAGCAGCCCCAGTGAGGGGTTTCTAGATAAAACTCCCACATCTCTGGGACAGAGCACCTGGGGGAAGGGGCGGCTGTGGCACAACATCAGCAGACTTAAACGTTCCTGCCTGCTAGCTCTGAAGAGACCAGCAGATCTCCCAGCACAGTGCTTGAGCTCTGCTAAGGGACAGCCTGCCTCCTCAAGTGGGTCCCTGACCCCTGTGCCTCCTGATGGGGAGACACCTCCCAGCAGGGGTTGACAGACACCTCATACAGGAGAGTTCCAGCTGGCATCTGGCAGGTGCCTCTCTGGGATGAAGCTTCCAGAGGAAGGAGCAAGCAGCAATCTTTGCTGTTGTGCAGCTTCCGCTGGTGATACACAGGCAAAAAGGGTCTGGAGTGGACCCCCAGCAAACTCCAGCAGACCTACAGCAAAGGGACCTGACTTTTAGAAGGAAAACTAACAAACAGAAAGCAATAGTATCAACATGAACAAAAAGAACAAACACACAAAAACTCCACCTGAAGGTCACCAACAGCAAAGACCAAAGGTAAATAAATCCATGAAGATGAGGAAAAACCAGCGCTGAAAATTCCAAAAACCAGAATGGCTCTTCTCATCCAAAGCATCACAACTCCTCACCAGCAAGGGAACAAAACTGGATGGAGAATGAGTTTGATGAATAGACAGAAGTAGGCTTCTGAAGGTGGGTAATAACAAACTCCTCTGAGCTAAAGGAGCATGTTCTAACCCAATGCAAGGAAGCTAAGAACCTTGATAAAAGATTAGAGGAATTGCTAACTAGAATAACCAGTTTAGAGAAGAACATAAATGACCTGGTGGAGCTGAAGAACACAGCACGAGAACTTTGTGAAGCATACACAAGTATCAATAGCCAAATCAATGAAGCAGAAGAAAGAATATCAGAGATTGTGGATCAACTTAATAAAATAAAGCGTGAAGACAAGATTAGAGAAAAAAGAAGGAAAAGGAATGAATAAAACCTCTAAGAAATATGGGACTAAGTGAAATGGCCAAACGTATGTTTGACTGGCGTACCTGAAAGTGATGCGGAGAATGAAACCAAGTTGGAAAACACACTTCAGAATATTATCCAGGAGAACTTCCCCAACAAACAAAGACAGGCCAACATTCAAATTCAGGAAATAACAGAGAACACCAGAAAGATAATCCTTGAGAAGAAAACCCCTAGACACATAATCATCAGATTCACTAAGGTTGAAATGAAGGAAAAAATGTTAAGGGCAGGCAGAGACAAAGGTCAGGTTATTCACAAAGGGAAGCCCATCACACTAACAGTGGATGTCTCTGCAGAAAGCCTACAAGCCAGAAGATAGTGGGAGCCAATACTCAACATTCTTAAAGAAAAGAATTTTCAACCCAGAATTTCATATCCAGCCAAACTAAGCTTCACAAGTGAAGGAGAAATAAAAGCCTTTACAGACAAGCAAATGCTAAGGGATTCTGTCACCACTGGGCCTGCCTTACAAGAACTCCTGAAGGAAGCATTAAATATAAAAAGGAAAAACTGGTACCAGCCACTGCAAAACAAACCAAAATGTAAAGACCATCGACACTATGAAAAAACTGCATCAACTAATGGGTAAAATAACCAGCTAGCATCATAATGACTAGTGAATTTAGGATCAAATTCACACATAACAATGTTAACCTTAAATGTAAATGGGCTAAATGCACCAATTAAAAGGCACAGACTGGCAAATTGGATAAAGAGTCAAGACCCACTGGTGTGCTGTATTCTGTAGACCCATCTCATGTGCAAAGGCACTCATAGGCTCAAAATAAAAGAATGAAGGAAGATTTACCAAGCAAATGAAAAGCAAAAAAAGCAGGGGTTACAATACTAGTCTCTGATAAAACAGACTTTAAACCAACAAAAATAAAAAAAGACAAAGAAGGGAATTACATAATGGTAAAGGGATCAATGCAACAAGAAGAGCTAACTATCCTAAATATATATGCACCCAATACAGGAGCACCCAGATTCATAAAGCAAGTTCTTAGAGACCTACAAAGAGACTTAGACTCCCACACAATAATAGTGGGAGACTTTAACACCCCACTGTCAATATTAGATCAATGAGACAGAAAATTAACAAGGATATTCAGGACTTGAACTCTGCTCTGGACCAAAAGAACCTAATAGACATCTACATAACTCTTCACCCCAAATCAACAGAATATACATTCTTCTCAGCACCACACAGCACTTATTCTAAAATCAACCACATAAGTAAAACACTCCTCAGCAAATGCAAAATAATGGAAATCATAACAAACAGTCTTCTCAGACCACAGTGCAATCAAATTAGAACTCAGGATTAAGAAACTCACTCAAAACTGCACAACTACATGGAAACTGAACAATCTGCTCCTGAATGACTACTGGGTAAATAATGAAATTAAGGCAGAAATTAATAAGTTATTAGAAACCAATGAGAACAAAGACACAATGTACCAGAATCTCTGGGACACAGCTAATGCAGTGTTTAGAGGGAAATTTATACCACTAAATGCCCACAGGAGAAAGCAGGAAAGATCCAAATTGAAACCCTAACATTGCAATTAAAAGAACAAGAGAAGCAAGGGCAGACAAATTCAAAAGCTAGCAGAAGACAAGAAATCACTAAGATCAGAGCAGAACTGAAGGAGATAGAGACACAAAAAAATACCTTAAAAAAAAATCAATGAATCCAAGAGCTAGGTTTTGAAAAGATTAACAAAATAGACTGCTAGCCAGACTAATAAAGAAGAAAAGAGAGAAGAATTAAATAGACACAATAAAAAATGATAAAGACAAGATCACCACTGATCCCACAGAAATACAAACCACCATCAAAGAATACTATAAACACCTCCATGCAAATAAACTAGAAAATCTAGAAGAAATGATAAATTCCTGGACACATACACTCTTCCAAGACTAAACCAGGAAGAAGTTGAATCCCTGAATAGACCAATAATAAGTTCTGAAATTGAGGCAGTAATTTATAGCCTACCAACCAAAAAAAGCCCAGGACCAGATGGATTCACAACTGAATTCTACCAAATGGAGCTGGTACCATTACTTCTGAAACTATTTCAAACAATAGAAAAAGAGGGACTCCTCCCTAACTCATTTTATGAGGCCAGCATCATCCTGATACCAAAACCTGGCAGAGACACAACAACAAAAAAGAAAATTTCAGGCCAATATCCCTGATGAACATCAGCATGAATATCCTCAATAAAATACTGGCAAACCAAATCAAAAAGCTTATCCACCATGATCAAGTCAGATTCATCCATGGGATGCAAGGCTGGTTCAACACATGCAAATCAATAAATGTAACCCATCACATAAACAGAACCAACAACAAAAACCACATGACTATCTCAATAGATGCAGAAAAAGCCTTTGATAAAATTCAACACTCCTTCGTGCTAAAAACACTCAGTAAACTAGGTATTGATGAAACACATCTCAAAATAATAAGAGCTATTTATGACAAACCCACAGCCAATATCATACTGAATGGCTAAAAGCTGGAAGCATTCCCTTTGAAAATCGGCACAAGACAAAGATGGCCTCTCTCACCACTCCTATTCAACATAGTATTGGAAGTTCTGCCCAGGGCAATCAGGCAAGAGAAAGAAATAAAGCATATTCAAATAGGAAGAGAGGAAGTCAAATTATCTCTGTTTGCAGATGACATGACTGTATATTTAGAAAACCCCATCATCTCAGCACAAAAACTCCTTAAGCCCAGAAACTCCTTAAGCAACTTCGGCAAAGTCTCAGGATACAAAATCAATGTGCAAAAATCACAAGCATTCCTATACACCAAAAACAGACAGTCAAATCAAGAGCAAACTCCCATTCACGATTGCTACAAAAAGAATAAAATACCTAGGAATACAACTTACAAGGGATATGAAGGGCCTCTTCAAGGAGAACTACAAACTACTGCTCAAGGAAATAAGAGAGGACACAAACAAATGGAAAAACATTCCATGCTCATGGATAGGAAGAATCAATATTGTGAAAATAGCCATAGTGCCCAAAGTAATTTATAAATTCAGTGTTATCCCCATTAAGCTATCATTGACTTTCTTCACAGAATTAGAAAAAACTACTTTAAATTTCATATGAAACCAAGAAAGAGCCCATATAGCCAAGACAAAGGTCCTAAGCAAAAAGAACAAACCCGGAGGCATCACACGACCTGACTTCAAACTATACCACAAGGCTACAGTAACCAAAACAGTATGGTACTGGTACCAAAACAGATATATAGACCAATGGAACAGAACACAGTCCTCAGAAATAACACCACACATCTACAACAATCTGATCTTTCACAAACCTGACAAAAACAAGCAATGAGGAAAGGATTCCCTATTTAATAAATGGTGTTGGGAAAACTGGCTAGCCATATGCATAAAACTGAAACTGGACCCTTAAACCTTATACCAAAATTAACTCAAGATGGATAAAAGATTTAAATGTAAGACCTAAAACCGTAAAATCCCTAGAAGAAAAGCTAGGGAATACCATTCAGGACATAGGCATGAGCGAAGACTTCATGACTAAAACACCAAAAACAATGGCAACAAAGCCCAAATTGACAAATGGGATCTAATTAAACTAAAGAGCTTCTGCACAGCAAAAGAAACTATTATCAGAGTGAACAGGCAACCTACAGAATGGGAGAAAATTTTTCCAATCTATCCATCTGACAAAGGGCTAATATCCAGAACTTAAAACAAATTTACAAGAACTTAAAAGAAATTTACAAGGAAAAAAACAAAAAACCCCATCAAAATGTGGGTAAAGGATATGAACAGACACTTTTCAAAAGAAGATATTTGTGTGGCCAACAAACATATGAAAAAAAGATCATCATCATTGGTCGTTAGAGAAATGCAAATCAAAACCACAATGAGATACCATCTCACGCCAGTTAGAATGGTGATCATTAAAAAGTCAGGAAACAACAGATGCTGGAGAGGATGTGGAGAAATAGAAACTCTTTTACACTGTTGGTGAGAGTATAAATTACTTCAACCATTGTAGAAGGCCATGTGGTGATTCCTCAAGGATCTAGAACTAGAAATACCATTTGACTCAGCAATCCCATTACTGGGTATATACCCAAAGGATTATAAAGCATTCTACTATAAAGACACATGCACATGTATGTTTATTGTGGCACTATTCACAATAGCAAAGACTTGGAACCAACCCAAATGCCCATTAATGTTAGACTGGATAAAGAAAATGTGGCACATATACACCATGGAATAATATGCAGCCATAAAAATGAGTTCATGTCCTTTGTAGGGACATGGATGAAGCTGGAAACCATCATTCTCAGCACACTAACACAGAAACAGAAAAGCAAACACTGCATGTTCTCACTCATAAGTGGGAGTTGAACAATGAGAACATATGGGCACAGGGAGGGGAACATCACACACCAGGGCCTGTCGCGGGGTCGGGGGCAAGGGGAGGGATAGCCTTAGGAGAAATACCTAATGTAGATGATGGGTTGATGAGTGCAGCAAACCACCATGGCACATGTATACCTATGTAACAAACCTGCACGTTCTGCCCATGGAATCCCAGAACTTAAAGTATTAAAAAAAAAATTCTCCAAAAAAGAAAAAAAAAATTAGCCAGGCATGGTGGCAGGTGTCTGTAATCCCAGCTACTCAGGAGGCTGAGGCAGGAGAATCGCTTGAGTCCAGGAGGTGGGGGTTGCAGTGAGCCGAGATCATGTCACTGCGCTCCAGCCTGGGTGACAGAGCAAGGCCCTGTCTTAAAAAAAAAAAAAAAAAAAAAACCTTTAAAAAGTCAACATCTGCTGGGTTTTCCTCTTCTCCATCTCCCTGCACTATATGTAATCACTAACCTGGGAGGCTCTGGTGTCCTCTACCATCCAAGGTTCTCCTTGCTCCAGGTTGAAGATCACCTCAGGTTTGGTAATGTGGTACCCTGTTAATAAAAAATGTGAGACTAGGCCAGGCGCAGTGGCTCACACCTGTAATCCCAGCACTTTGGGAGGCTGAGGCGGGCAGATCATGAGGTCAGGAGATCGAGACCATCCTGGCTGACACAGTGAAACCTCATCTCTACTAAAAATACAAAAAATTAGCCGGGCATGGTGGCAGGCACCTGTAGTCCCAGCTACTCGGGAGGTTGAGGCAGGAGAATGGTGTGAACCTGGGAACTGCAAAATCAGGTCCTTTGAAGAATGACAACAGCTTGGATTCAGGAGCTGTGCAGTGAAAGGGCCAGTTTGAACCTTTCATTAGAGGGGGCTGACACGTTACTCATGATCTGGAATATTAAATAACATTAAACTGTATACGTGTCCATATACTTACTAGCAGAGAAGAAAGCACTTGCTCCTGGGAGTTATTGTGATATTCACTCACCCAAGGACACCAAGCTGCTGTAGGTCTCCAGCATCATGTCCCTGTACAGAGTCCTTTGAGCATCATCCAAGTCCTGCCACTCTTCCCAGGTGAAGCCCACAGCCACATCCTCAAAGGACACCAACTCCTGTAATGGCATATTTCTCCTCAGGTCACCAGCCCTGGGTCACAAGAACAAGAATCATGGAGACCACTCTTCTCTGTGTGTCTTATATACATGTCATATAAGATGGAGTTTGCTTTGTAGTCTATATGGTGTGAGAAAGAAAAATCATGGTAGAAATATCCTCAAGTGTAATCATTTAATTACAGCTGACTCTTGAACAACATGGATTTGAACCACATGGGTCCATGTACATGCAGATTTTCTTCTGTCTCTGCCACCCTAGAGTCAGCAAGACCAGTATCTCCAGTGAACATATGTTCTCTCATAATTTTCTTGATAACACTTTCTTTCCTCTAGATTATTTTAAGAATACAAGGCACATTTATCCTCACATCACCGCTGCATCATGAGAACACAAAGTCTTGGTGTTGTTCACTCGTGTGTGTGCATGTGTCTTACGTGAGATATAGCTTGCTTTTTACTCTATGATGGGAAAAAGAAAAATAACAGTAGAAGCATCCTGCTACTAATTTACTAATTATGAAAAGTTCTACTAAACACTTTCCCTTACAGATCTGGAATTGTCCCTGCTGCTAGGGATAAAGTCAAGATAAAAATTCTGGTCCTCCGGCTGTGTGCAGTGGCTCACACCTGTAATCCCAGCACTTTGGGAGGCTAAGGTGGGAGATCACGAGGTCAGGAGATCAAGACCATCCTGGCTAAAACGGTGAAACCCCGTCTCTACTAAAAATATAAAAAAAATAGCTGGGCGTGGTGGCGGGCCCCTGTGGTCCCAGCTACTTGGGAGGCTGAGGCAGGAGAATGGCGTAAACCTGGGAGGCAGAGCTTGCAGTGAGCCGAGATTGCACCACTGCACTCCAGCCTGGGTGACACAGTGAGACTCCGTCTCAAAAAGAAAAAAAGAAAGAAAGAAAAAAGTCATAAGTATAAATGGAACTACAAAGAGTACCATGCTTGAGTGAGTGTTTCCCAGCTGTGACAAGAGACGAAGATATGCAAGGCATGATTATCAAGTGATTCTGCATTTCAATACTTGACCTAATTCCAACAAAAGAAACTTCATGTGCTCACTGATTTTAAAAAATTACTTAGAAAGTATGTTCACAGGCATCCTTATGTTTCCCTACTACATTAAAAAAAACTGCTAAATGTTCACATAAAAGTAATCACCCACTTCCTAAAACACAGGATACAAGTAATAAAGGAAAATAAAATGTGGTAAGGTGCTTGCTCAGATTTGCATTTCCACAGTCATTCCTTGCCAGGAGACAGGGCAAGGACTAAAGGGAGAGTCAGAGGGGAAGAAACCAGGGTGAGACATGACCATCTATATCAGGATACAGGCCAATAAAAGTACAGAATAGGAAACTAATCTTGAAAAAAAGAAAACGAAAGCAAAAGCAGAATAGAATTCTGACCTAATTTGTTGTGCTGAGGGTGAAAAGTGGAGTTCAATTCCATGCTGTCTCATCACCAGCTAGGTAGATACTGATGTTGTAAACTGAAATTGAGAAAAGAACAAAGAATATGATAAGGAAAAGCAAAAAATGATCTTGGATACACAATCTGAAATTTCTGCAGTCAGATATGTGGGGATGTTCATCTGGAAATGATTCACAATCTAGAGCTCAGGAGAGAGATCTAAGCTCAAGGTAAAGATTTGAAAAGCAAACAGAATTTCAGTGGTAGCTGAAGCCAGCAGCTTGAATAAAATAGCTCAAAGAGAACCTAAGAGATTGGAAGGACAAAAGGAGCAAGTACAGAATCTGAGGAAACACTGATATTTACCAATGGAGGAAGAGAAATAGACCATGACAACTGAGAAGAAATAAAATCTATAAATATATTTCATAATATTCACAGGTTTATGAAAAAAGTCCTGTGATCACACAGACATCGAGAAGATATATTTAAATATATCATCCCATTTGTAATAAAAAGTCAATAAAAAAGGACACATGACATTCTTCAACGTGTTAAAATCAACATATCTTGGCCCAAAGAGCAGCTTCGTAGTTAATGAGGAAATACTGGAAGATACATATGCCCCATCTCTACAAATATTTACCACTGTACAAGAGGTACTGTTCAATTCAAATGAAGAGAAACAAAAATGAGAAAGACTATGATTTGCATGTAATTTAAACCTAGAAAACCCACGAGGATCTTCTTAAAACTATTCCAAATAAGAAAGCTCAATATGCTGGGCACGGTGGCTCACACCTGTAATCCCAGCACTTTGGGAGGCCGAGGCAGGCGGATCACCTGAGGTCAGGAGTTTGAGACCAGCCTGACCAACATGGAAAATCCCCATCTCTACTAAACAAAAATTAACCGCGCATGGTGGCACATGCCTGTAATCCCAGCTACTTGGGAGGCTGAGGCAGGAGAATTGCTTGAACCTAGGAGGTGGAGGTTGCGGTGAGCCGAGATCACGCCATTGCACTCCAGTCTGGCAACAAGAGTGAAATTTCATCTCAATAAAATAGAAAGAAAGAAAGAAAGCTCAATGTATAAACAGACTACAAGTGTCTTCATACATGTAATAACATTCCTATTACAACCACAGGACAACACACCTAGCAGTACATTTAACAAAATTAGTATAGAGCTATATGGTGGCAGGGGGAAAAGTGAGGGATACGAAAGATAATTAAGCAAATAAAAAGATATATTATGTTTATGAACAGGAAGAGTCTACATCACAAAGATGCCAATTTTCCCTAAGTCAGTGAAGTACTTTAATATCATCCTATGAAAATAACACATTCTTAGATATTGATAAGCCAGAAGAACACTTATGTGGAAAATTAAACAAGAATAGACAGTGTGTGGTAGGTTATATTTCTGTTCACCTAAAACCTGGTCCTTCCTCCCTGTATTAGTCAGCTGTGTCTGCCATAACACATTCCACGGACTGGGTGACTTAAACAACAGAAATTTTGTTGCTCACAATTCTGGAGGCTGAAAAGTCCAAGATCCAGATGCCAGACAAATCACTTCCTAATGAGGTCTCTCCTCCTGGTTTACATATGACACAGCCTTCTTGATGTGTACTCACATAACAGAAATAGCTAGATCTCTCTCTTCCTCTTCTTATAAGACCATCAATCCTACTGGATTAAAGGTCTCAACTCTTATGACCTCACAAGAGGTCACATGGGTGCCCTCCTAAGAGGGTACCTTCATAAAAAGGCAGCCACATTGGTAGTCAACATAACCAAAATCTAGACATGTAGTCAGCAAGTCTACATAACCAAACTGTAATAAAAACTTTGTTTTTTTTTTGTTTTTTTTTTGAGGCCAACATTTCTTTTTTTTTTTTTTTTTTTTTATTGATCATTCTTGGGTGTTTCTCGCAGAGGGGAATTTGGCAGGGTCACAGGACAATAGTGGAGGGAAGGTCAGCAGATAAACAAGTGAACAAAGGTCTCTGGTTTTCCTAGGCAGAGGACCCTGCGGCCTTCCGCAGTGTTTGTGTCCCTGGGTACTTGAGATTAGGGAGTGGTGATGACTCTTAACGAGCATGCTGCCTTCAAGCATCTGTTTAACAAAGGACATCTTGCACCACCCTTAATCCATTCAACCCTGAGTGGACACAGCACATGTTTCAGAGAGCACAGGGTTGGGGGTAAGGTCACAGATCAACAGGATCCCAAGGCAGAAGAATTTTTCTTAGTACAGAACAAAATGAAAAGTCTCCCATGTCTACCTCCTTCTACACAGACACGGCAACCATCCGATTTCTCAGTCTTTTCCCCACCTTTCCCCCCTTTCTATTCCACAAAACCGCCATTGTCATCATGGCCCGTTCTGAATGAGCTGTTGAGTACACCTCCCAGACGGGGTGGTGGCCGGGCAGAGAGGCTCCTCACTTCCCAGTAGGGGCGGCCGGGCAGAGGCGCCCCTCACCTCCCGGATGGGGCGGCTGGCCGGGCGGGGGGCTGACCCTCCCACCTCCCTCCCGGAAGGGGCAGCTGGCCAGGCAGAGGGGCTCCTCACTTCCCAGTAGGGGCGGCGGGGCAGAGGCGCCCCTCACCTCCCAGATGGGGCGGCTGGCCGGGTGGGGGGGCTGACCCCCCACCTCCCTCCCGGAGGGGGCGGCTGGCCAGGCGGGGGGCTGACCCCCCCACCTCCCTCCCGGACGGGGCGGCTGGCCGGGCAGAGGGGCTCCTCACTTCCCAGTAGGGGCGGCCGGGCAGAGGCGCCCCTCACCTGCCGGACGGGGCGGCTGGCCGGGCGGGGGGCTGACCCCCCCACCTCCCTCCCGGACAGGGCGGCTGGCCGGGCGGGGGGCTGTCCCCCCCACCTCCTTCCCGGACAGGGTGGCTGGCCAGGCGGGGGGTGACCCCCACCTCCCTCCCGGACAGGGTGGCTGCCGGGCGGAGACGCTCCTCACTTCCCAGACGGGGTGGCTGCCGGGCGGAGGGGCTCCTCACTTCTCAGACGGTGTGGCTGCCGGGCGGAGGGGCTCCTCACTTCTCAGACGGGGCAGTTGCCAGGCAGAGGGTCTCCTCACTTCTCAGACGGGGCGGCCGGGCAGAGACGCTCCTCACATCCCAGATGGGGCGGCAGGGCAGAGGCGCTCCCCACGTCTCAGACGATGGGCGGCCTGGCAGAGACGCTCCTCACTTCCTAGATGGGATGGCGGCCGGGCAGAGACGCTCCTCACTTTCCAGACTGGGCAGCCAGGCAGAGAGGCTCCTCACATCCCAGACGATGGGCGGCCAGGCAGAGACGCTCCTCACTTCCCAGACGGGGTGGCGGCCGGGCAGAGGCTGCAATCTCGGCACTTTGGGGGGCCAAGGCAGGCAGCTGGGAGGTGGAGGTTGTAGCGAGCAGAGATCACGCCACTGCACTCCAGCCTGGGCACCATTGAGCACTGAGTGAACGCGACTCCGTCTGCCATCCCGGCACCTCGGGAGGCCGAGGCTGGCGGATCACTCGCAGTTAGGAGCTGGAGACCAGCCCGGCCAACACAGCGAAACCCCGTCTCCACCAAAAAATACGAAAACCAGTCAGGTGTGGCGGCGCGCACCTGCAATCGCAGGCACTCGGCAGGCTGAGGCAGGAGAATCAGGCAGGGAGGTTGCAGTGAGCCGAGATGGCAGCAGTACAGTCCAGCTTTGGCTCGGCATCAGAGGGACGAGGCCAACATTTCTGAGACTGGGCAGTTTACAAAGGAAAGAGCCAAACTGTAATAAAAACTTTGAACACAGACTCGAATGAGATCCTTGTGTTGTCAATGTCCTGTGGGTACTGATATGTATTGTTGGCAGAAATAGACAATGACCACAAGGCTCCACAAAGAGCAAACAACTAGAAACTTGTGCCAGGTGGTTCACAGATCCTGTGCTATGCACCCTGTTCCTTGGTTAATTTTATTTGAGCTTTTCATAGTAATAAATCATAACTGTGAATATAAAGCCTTTTCTAAGTTCTTAATTCCTTCTAGGATTACTGAACCTGTGGGTTTTCTTGGGGACACCCAAATTTGCAGCTGTTATCAGAAGAATCATAGGCTTGGGGACATCTAAACCTCTTACAGAAAAAAACAACATAGAGATAAGCACGCCAAGGGTATACAATGATAAAATTGTCACACACAAAAAAAGATAACAGAAATCTGGGTAAATACAAATAAACAAAACAATGGAAATGGTAGATATGTGAGTAAACATATATATTAATCTTATTTCTGAACTCATTGAAAAGTCACTGACCCTTTGAAGCAAGAAAATAATGTATTGTGGAGTTTATAACATGTAGGAGTAAAAAGTATGATAAGCATGGAAGCTGGGAAGAGCTAAAGGGAAGCATCTTATAAAGTTTGTATATTATACATGAGATGGCATAATACTACTTGAAGGTAGCCTGTAAGTCAAACATGAATATGATGAACCATAAAACAACCATCAGGCCAGGTGCAGTGGCTCATGCCTGTAATCCCAGCACTTTGGGAGGCCAAGGAGGGAGGATCACTTGAGGCCAGGAGTTGGAGACAAGCCTGAGCAACACAGTGAGATCCTGTCTCCACAAAAAAATTTAAAAATCAAAACAAAAAAAATCAAAAAAGTTACAACCAATAATCCAAGAAAGGCACTCATAGGTCATATAGAAAGAGAAAGTGGTCTAAATCTGGCATGGTAGCCATAATTTGCATATTTCTATTCAGTATGAGTTGCTTCTGTGGAAGAAAGACTTGACTTGGTGTAGTTAAAAAGAGAGAGAGAGAGAATGAGATGGACAATCTGAAGCAAAGTCTAGAGTACAGGAAATGTACATGTGACACAGATAGAAAATATTAAGTAGAGACAATAGACTTTATTTTTTTTTTAAGACAGGGTCTCACTCTGTCACCCCAAGCTGGAGTACAGTGGTGTTATCTTGGCTCACTGCAACCTCCACCTCCCAGGTTCAAGCGTTTCTCCTGCCTCAGCCTCTCAAGTAGCTGGGACTACAGGCATGCATCACCATACCCAGCTAATTTTTGTATTTTTTGGTAGAGACAGGTTTTACCATGTTGGCCAGGCTGGTCTCAAACTCCTGGCCTCAAGTGATCCACCCGCCTTGGCCTCCCAAAGTGCTGGAATTACAGGCGTGAACCACCATGCCCAGTCAGATTTTATAATATAAAATACTTAAAAGGGGGGGGGGGGGTGCCAAGATGGCCAACTAGAAGCAGTGGCAATTGGAGGCTCCCATTGAAAAGATCCAAAATGGCACGAAAATCCTGCACCAGCAACCGAGATATCCAGATTCTGTCATTAGGACTGACTAGGTGGTTGGCATGACCCAATCAGAGAAAAGAAGAGCAGTGTGGTGCGGCAGCCCACCTGAGAGTGACAAGGGGCAGAGGAGCCCCCACTCCCAGCCAAGGGAGGTGGTGAGTGAGAGTGCTACCCTCACTCATGCTTTTTCCACAAAACTGTGCAACCCACGGATCGGAAGATCCCACTCGGGAGCCCACGCCACTGGGGCCTTGGGTCTCAATCAGGGAGCTGCGCAGATTCTCAACAGCCACTTGGCTAGAATCGGCCTAAGCCTGCTGAGTTCCCAGGGAGAGGGGCAGCCATCACCACTGCTGTGGCTGTCTGCCATCTAAGCCATCTGAGATCCTTGGTGGAGGGGCAGCTGCCAACACTGAAGCTGCAGGACCTCCCTGCGGGAACTCCAACTCCACTCAGGGGCTTAGGTACAGAACTCTGATCTCCCTGGACCTGAGCCCCTAGGCGGAGGGGTGCCCATAGTCTCCGCGGACCAGCAGACTTATTCTTTCCTCCTTCTAGCTCTGAGGAATCCGGGCAGCCCAGACGAGTGGGTTTCCCCCAAATGCAGCAAACCTCCTTCACCAAGGGACAGCCAAAGTGCTATGTTAAATGGGTCCTGCTTCCTGTGCCACCCAACTGGGTCAGACCCCCCAGCAGGAGCTGTCAGATATCCTATACAGGAGCGTTCCTACTGGCATCAGGTTGGTGTCCCTCAAGGTCAGAGATTCCAGAGAAAGGAGCAGGCCTTGGCTGTTCTCCAGGCTCGAGTGACATCTCCAGGTGTGGGAGCAAACCAGATGAATAGTGACTGAAGTGAACCCCCAGCAAACTGCAGTAGCCCTACAGAAGAGGAATCTGACTATTGAAAGAAAAACAAAAAAACAAAAAGCAACGACAGCATCAACAAAACAAGTACCCACGAAAACCTCATCCAAGGGTCAGCAGCCTCAAAGATTGAAACTAGATAAACTCATGAAGATGAGAAAGAGTCAACAAAAAAAAATCTAACTCAGCGTTAGAGAAGAGGACAGACTGCCTCTTCTCTAAATGATTGCAACATCTCTCCAGCAAGGGCACAGAACTGGACAGAGGATGAGATGGACGAATTCACAGAAGTAGGCTTCAGAAGGAGGGTAATAACAAACTTCACTGAGGTAAAGGAGCATGTTCTAACTCAATGCAAAGAAGTTACAAACCTTAAAAAAAGGTTAGAGGAGCTGCTACCTAGAATAACCAGTTTAGAGATGTACATAAATGACCGGATGGAGCTGAAAAACACAGCAAGAGAACTTCGTGGAGCATATACAAGTATCAATAGCCCAATCAATCAAGTAGAAGAAAAAATATCAGAGATGGAAGACTATCTTGCTGAAATAAGGCAGGCAGACAAGATTAGAGAAAAAAGAATAAAAAGGAATGAACAAAACCTCCAAGAAATGTGGAACTATTAAAAAAATGAACCTAAAACTGATTGGAGTACCTGAAAAAGACAAGGATAATGGAATCAAGTTGGAAAACTTGATATTATCCAGGAGAACTTCCCCAACTGAGAAAACAGGCCAACATTCAAATTCAGGAATTACAGAGAACCCCACTAAGATAGTCCACAAGAAGATCAACCTCAAGACAGATAATCATTAGATTCTCCAAGGTCGAAATGAAGGAAAAAATGTTACGGGCAGCCAGAGAGAAAGTTCAGGTTACTTACAAAGGGAAGCCCATCAGACTAACAGGAGATTCCTCAGCAGAAACCCTTACAAACCAGAAGACAGTGGAGGCCAATATTCAACATTCTTAACAAAAAGACTTTTTTCAACCAAGAATTTCATGTCCAGCCAAACTAAGCTTCATAAGCAAAGGAGAAATTGAATCCTTTTCAGAAAAGCAAATGCTGAGGGACTTCCTCACCACCAGGCATGCCTTGCAAGAGCTCCTAAAGGAAACACTTAATATGAAAAAGAAAAACCGGTACCAGCCATGGCAAAACACACAAAAATGTAAAGACCAATGACACTATGAAGAAATGGCATCAACTAGTGTGAAAAATAACCAGCTAGCATCATGATGACAGGATCAAATTCACACATAACAACATTAACCCTAAATGTAAATAGACTAAATGCCCAAATTAAAAGACAAAAACTGGCAAATTGGATAGAGTCAAGACCCATCAGTGTGCTGTATTCAAGAGACCCAGCTCGTGTGCAAAGACACACATAGGTTCAAAATAAAGGGATGGAGGAAAATTTACAAAGCAAATGGAAAGCAGAAAAAAGCAGGGGTTGCAATCCCAGTCTCTGACAAAACAGACTTTAAACTAACAAAGATCAAAAAAGACAAAGAAGGACATTATATAATGGTAAAGGGATAAATTCAACAAGAAGAAAAGCTAACTATCCTAAATATACATGTAACTAATATGGGAGCACCCAGATTCATAAAATGAGTTCCTACAAACCTACAAAGAGATTTAGACTCCCACACAATAATACTGGGAGATTTAACATCCCACTGTCACTATTAGACAGATCAATGACACAAAACTAAAAGGATATGGCCTGGTGCAGTGGCTCATGCCTGTAATCCCAGCACTTTGGAAGGCTGAGGCAGGTGGATCATGAGGTCAGGAGTTCGAGACCAGCTTGACCAACATGGTGAAATGCTGTCTCTACTAAAAATACAACAATTAGCCGGATGTGGTGGCAGGCGCCTGTAATCCCAGCTACTCAGGGGGCAGAGGCAGGAGAATCACTTTAACTCAGGAGATGGAGGCTGCAGTGGGCCGAGTTTGTGCCACTGCACTCCAGCCTGGGCAACAGAGTGAGACTCTGTCTCAAAAAAAAAAAAAAAAAGGAAAAAAAAATTAAAAGGATATAAGGATATTCAGGACTTGAACTCAACTCTGGATCAAGTGGACCTAATAGATATCTACAGAACTCCCCACCCCAAAACAACAGAATATATATTATTCGCAGTGTCACATGGCACTTACTCTAAAATTGGCCACATAATTGGAAGTAAAACACTCCTCAGCAAATGCAAAAGAACTGAAATTACAACAGTCTGTCAGACCACAGTGTAATCAAATTAGAACTCAGGATTAAGAAACTCACTCAAAACCACACAACTACATGGAAATTGAACAGCCTGCTCCTGAATGATTCCTGGGCAAATTATGAAATTAAGGCAGAAATCAAGAAGTTATTTGAAACCAGTGAGAACAAAGAGACAACATACCAGAATCTCTGGGACACAGCTAAAGCAGTGTTAAGAGGGAAATTTATAGCATTAAATGCCCACATCAGAAAGCTAGAAAGATCTCAAATCAACACCCTAATATCCCAATTAAAAGAACTAGAGAAGCAAGAGCAAACAAACCCAAAAGTAGCAGAAGACAAGAAATAACTAAGATCAGAGTACAATTGAAAGAGGGAGAGACAAGAAAAACCCTTCAGAAAAATCAATGAATCCAGGAGGTGGTTTTTTGAAAAGATTAACAAAATAGATAGACCATTAGCTAAACTAATATAGAAGAAAAGAGAGAAGAATCAAATAGACATAATAAAAAAAGATAAAGGGAATATCACCACTGACCCCAAGAAAATGCAAACTACCATCAGAGAATACTATAAACACTTCTATACAAATAAACTAGAAAATCTAGAAGGAATTGGTAAATTCCTGGACACATACACCCTCTCAAGACTAAACCAGGAAGAAGTTGAATCCCTGAATAGACCAATAACAAGTTCTGAAATTGAGACAGTCATAAATCACCTACCAAGCAAAAAAAGCCCAGGACCAGATGGATTCACAGCTGAATTCTACCACAGGTACAAAAAATCAGTAACTTTCCTTCAGAAACTTTCAAACAATTGAAAAAGAGGGACTCCTCCCTAACTCATTTTATGAGGCTAGCATCATCCTGATACTAAAACCTGGCAGAGACACAACAAAAAAAGAAAATTTCAGGCCAATATCCCTGATGAACAATGACGCAAAAAATCCTCAATAAAATACTGGCAAACCGAATACAGCAGCACATCAAAAAGCTTATCCACCATGATCAAGTTGGGTCCATCTCTGGGATGCAAGGCTGGTTCAACATACGCAAATCAATAAATGTAATCCATCACATAAACATAACCAATGACAATAACCACATGATTATCTCAAAAGATGCAGAAAAGGCCTTCAATAAAATTCAACATCCCTTCATGTTAAAAACTCTCAGTAAACTAGGTATTGATGGAACATATCTCAAAATAATAATAACTATTTATGACAAACCCACAGTCAATATCATACTGAATGGGCAAAAGCTGGAAGCATTCTAAATACCAAAGGACATCATTAGTTAACAAATGCTAGACTAACTAGATACCAAAGCTTGCTCTGTGAAAAATCCCCACATAACCATTGAAGTTTACAACACCCTAAACCCTGCCACCTTGCTCCCAGTATCAGAGAGCCCAGTTAAACATAACTATGTAGAGGTATTAGACTCAGTTTATTCTAGTAGGCCCAACCTCCAAGACCATCGTTGAACATCAGTAGACTGGGAGCTGTACGTGGATGGGAGCAGCTTTGCCAACCCCTGCAAAGTGACTCTGAAGAAGACCACAAACCCTGCTCCAGTCACATCTGGAAGCTGACTAGTCCACGCATGGCTGAAGCATGAGGAAACTCATCACAGGACTCATTTTCCTTAAAATTTAGACTTGTACAGTAAAGACTTCAACTGACCTTCCTCAGACTGAGGGCTGTTCCCAGAGTATACATCAAGTCACTGAGGTAGGACAAAAGGTTGCTACAGTCCTATTATTTTACAGTTATTATAAGTGTACTGGAACTCTAAAAAGAACTTGTTTTTATAATGTTATTCTATACAATTATTTATAATACAATATACAAATAATGTATTTAGCCCAGGAAATGACCAACCTGATGTGTGTTATGACCCATCTGAGCCTCCCATGACCACAGTTTTTAAAATAAGATTAAGAACTGAAGACTGGTGGGGGCTCATAAACAATATGAGTAAAGTGTTAGCCAAAATAAAACAAAAAAAAGAGATGCCCAAACAAGTCACCTTAAAATTTGATGCCTGTGCTGTCATTAATAATAATAAATTAAAAATAGGATGTGGTTCTCTTAATTAGAAAATAGACTATATGGCAAAAAATAAGTACGTTTATCATGAATTAAGACTGTGTGAAAATAAATGTAGATACTGGTCTTGTGTCATTTAGGCTACTTGAATAAAAAAAAAATGAAAAAATCCTGTCCACCTTCAGCAAGGGAAAACTGGCCCTTCCTATACCAGTGGTCAGTGTAATCCCTTAGAACTAGTTATAACCAACCCCCTTAATCCTTGCTAGATAAAAGAGAATGTATAACCCTGAAATTGATGGAGCTGGACTGGATCTTCAAGTAAATATCGTGGTTTGAGAAAAAGTTTATAAACACTCTCCTGAGCCAGTATTTCAAACCTTCTATGATGAACTGAATATGCCAGTACCAGAAATTCCAGGAAAAACAAGAAATTTGTTCTTGCAATTAGCCGAGCATATAGCCCAGTCTGTTAATGTCACTTCATGTTATGTATCAGCACAAGTGTACTATATGAATCATTATCAACCTATTGCACAGGAAGACATAAGTAGTGAAAATAAGAGTGAGAACTCCCACTAATAAAAAGTGAGAGTCTCAAAGGGGGGAAATGAGAGAAGAGAGACAGACCCTCTCATATTGTTTTATATTATTTTATACTCAGAAAAGAAAAGAAAAACAAATGGCAGGTAGCCCAGCGCCTAGGAACCAGACCTGAAACCAAGGAACCAGACCTGAAATGAGGCCTGGGCCTGCCTGACCTAAGCCTCGTAGTTAAAAGTTGACCCCTGACTTAACTGGTTATGTTATCTATATATTCCAGACATTGTATAGAAAAGACACTGTGAAACTTCCCAGTCTGTTCTGTTTCACTCTGACCACTGGTGCATGCAGCCCCTGTCACGTACCCACTCCTTGCTCAATCGATCACGACCCACTTATGCAGACCCCCTTAGAGTTGTGAGCCCTTAAAAGCGACAGGAATTGCTCACTCAGGGAGCTTGGCTCTTGAGACAGGAGCCTTGCCGATGTTCCCGGCCAAATAAACCCCTTCCTTCTTTAACTCGGTGTCTGAGGAGTTTTGTCTGCAGCTCGTCCTGCTATATCTTCTTCTCCTTTGTCCCTCTTTTTCTCCTCTGTCTCTCTTTTTCTCCTCTGTCTCTCTCTCTCTCCTCACTGTCTCTCTCTCTCTCCTCTCTGTCTCTCTCTATCCTATCTCCCTCTCTCTCCTCTCTATCTCTCTCTCTTTCTCTCTTCCCCTAGGGTAGGGACCTACAGGAGTTGAGCTACTCTTTCTTCCCCTGAGAAGAAAGGAAGCGGGGGGTTGTTTCAGGTTCAACCCTTGAAATTAGCAGAATTCTCAACCCCTCAACACGAGGGATGTCTTGCCTTGCCTGTCCCAGAAGGCTCAACCCCTCAAACCAGGGGGTGTCTTGCCTTGCCTGTCCGGGAAGGCTCAACCCCTCAAATCAGGGGGCGTCTAACCTTTCCTGTCCTGGAAGGCTCAACCCCTCAAACCATGGGGTGTCTTGCCTGTCCTGGAAGACTCAATCACTCAAACCAGGGGGCATCTTGCCTTGCTTGCCCTGGAAGGCTCAACCTCTCAAACCAGGGGGTATCTTGCCTGTCCTGGAAGGTTCAACCCCTCAAACCAGGGAGTGTTTTGCCTGTCCTGGAAGGTTGACCTGTTTCTCCCCTTTCCTCCTCTGAAGGTCCTTTGCACACTTCCCACTCATGCCCTCCTCTCTGGCTGCTCCCCCAAGGTAGAATCAGGCCCTTTTTAGTGTTGGCATACCAGTATAAATCCTATGGCAGGATCCGCCCTAAGCCATATGAAGTAGCTATGGAACCACAGAGAGGACCCACTCACCCCATCCAGCAGGACTTGTCACCATCCACATGAACAACACCGCAAGCAGGGTTGTTTGTGATCATTCACGCACACACACATTTAGCCCTCCAGAATTTGACCACCAAGGAAGTGCTTTACCGGCTCCCGCAGCTTCGCCTTCCTTGGTCAGTGCACAGAGTTGTCGCCACAGTATGTGAGGATCCTTTAAGCTAGGTTGCTGGCCAGTTTTTTTTTTTTTTCTGCATTGCTGAGAGCTCGAGTTATTCCTTGCACTGGGTGGGTCTTGATTTCTCACCCCTGAGGCCGCCACAATAGGGCAGGGTGCACCTCCTCATGAGAGAGAACCAGAGACCATCCTCGGAGGGGGATGTAATCCTAGACAAGCCCCCAAATTGTTATATATAAAGTTTTGGTGACACAAAAGAAATAGCACTCAAATATAAAATTTTCTTTTTAATTCTCAGCAAGGCAAGTTACTTCTATATAGAAGGGTGCGCCCTTACAGATGGAACAATGGTGAGCGCACACTTGGACAAGGGAGAGGAAGGGGTTCTTATCCCTGACGCACGTGGCCTCTGCTGCTGTGTCATTCCCTTATTGGCTAGGGTTAGACCGCACAGGCAAAACTAATTCCAGTTGGCTAATTTAAAGAGAATGACAAGGTGAGTGCTTTGGCAGGAGTCAGGGCAGAGCAGATAGCAGGTAATTGGAATGAGTTAGGGTGGAGCAGGTGATTGGAATGTAGGGTGGAGCAGGTGATCAGAATGAGTCAGGGTGGAGTAGGTAATCGAAAAAGGTTGCTTTACGAGAAAGTTAAGTTTAAAAGTAGAAGGCAAAGAATAGAACATACTGACATATTCTTTGAAAAGAAATTTAGAACTCATATCTAACAACTCTAAGCCCCCAGGCCTCCCCCAACCATCTGAATGGACTTCTCTGCCAGGGCATTCCAAAGTTAACCAGAAAGACTGGTTCTGGCAGTGATGGGAAGTGAGGGTCAGACATGCCTCATTATAACCTCCAGCATTAACATTAACACAGACCTTAAGTCTGACAGAAAACATTTACGATCTATTCTCTCCAAAGACTGCTACCTGGAGGCTTCATCTGCATGATCAAACTTTGGTCTCCACAACCTCTTATCATAACCCAGACATTCCTTTCTATTAATAATAACTCTTTCAACCAATTGCCAATTAGAAAACTTCTGAATCTACCTAGAACCTGGAAGCCCCACTTCAAATTGTCCCGCCATTCTGGACCAAACTAATGTATATCTTAAATGCATTTGATTGATGTCTCATATCTCCCCAAATATATAAAACCAAGCTGTGCTCCAACCATTTTGGGCACATGTTCTCAGGGTCTCCTGAGGGCTGTGTCACAGGCAATGGACACTCATATTTGGCTCAGAATAAATCTCTTCAAATATTTTACAGGGTTTGACTCTTTTCATTGACAAGAGTGTGTGTGTGGTGGATCTGAACTAGGAAAGAGGTCCTTCACAGGGTTTTCTTGGAGCCCCTGCCATTACTGCCCTTCCTCTTCAAACAGCAAAATGTGGAGTTTGAGTCATCGACTTGGTCCGGCCTTGAGTGGTGAAATGGAGGGTGGAGCAAAGTGGGGGTAGAGTTTGGGGGGTGGTGGGTAGGGGTGTGAGAGATTTCACTCTTGTCCAAGACCTCCTTCTGGTTTTCTGTTTTCCTAATGCATGCTCTGCCTTGTTCAGATTCCATTATCCTGTTAGAAATGCTTGTTCCCCAGTGCCACAAAGAAATCACACTCGAACATAAACTTAATTCTCTCAGCAAGGCCATTTTTACTTTCTGCAGAAAGGGTGCTCCTCGTGTTGTGGGAAGTCAGGAACCCTGAACGGAGGGACCAGCTGAAGCCATGGCAGAAGAACATGGATTGTGAAGATTTCATGGACATTTATTAGTCCCCCAAATTAATACTTGTATAATTTCTTATGTCTGTCTTTACTGCAGTCTCTGAACATAAATTGTGAAGATTTCATGGACACTTATCACTTCCCCAATCAATACCCTTGTGATTTCCTATGTGTGTCTTTAATCTATTAATCCTGTCATCTCATAAGCTGAGGAGGATGTATGTCGCCTCAGGACCCTGTGATGATTGCATTAACTGCACAAATTGTAGAACCATGTGTGTTTGAAAAATATGAAATCTGGGCACGTTGAAAAAGGAACAGGATAACAGCAATGTTCAGGGAACAAGAGAGATAACCTTAAACTCTGACCGCCGGTGAGCCAGGCAGAACAGAGCCATATTTCTCTTCTTTCAAAAGCAAATAGGAGAAATATTGCTGAATTCTTTTTCTCAGCAAGGAACATCCCTGAGAAAGAGAATGAATCCCTGAGGGTAGGCCTCTGAAATGGCCGCTTCGGTGGGCGGCCGTCTTTTATGGTCGAGCTGTAGGGATGAAACAAGCCCCAGTCTCCCATAGCGCTCCCAGGCTTATTAGGACAAGGAAATTCCCGCCTAATAAATTTTGGTCAGACCAGTTGTCTGCTCTCAAACCCTGTCTCCTTAAAGATGTTATCAATGACAATGCATGCCTGAAACTTCATTAGCAATTTTAATTTTGCCCCAGTCCTGTGGTCCTGTGATCTCGCCCTGCCTCCATTTGCCTTGTGATAGTCTATTACCTTGTGAAGCATGTGATCTCTGTGACCCACACCCTATTCATACACTCCCTCCCTTTTTGAAAATCACTAATAAAAACTTGCTAGTTTTGCGGCTCAGGGGGCATCACAGAACCTGCTGACATGTGATGTCTCCCCCTGACTCCCAGCTTTAAAATTTCTCTCTTTTGTACTCTGTCCCTTTATTTCTCAGACCAGTTGACACTTAGGGAATATAGAAAAGAACCTACGTGAAATATTGGGGGTGAATTTCACCCAATATCTGGCTGAATTTTGCCCGATATCTGGCTGAATTTCCCCTGATATCCTCGCAGATGGAACAATGATGAGAGTACACTTGAACAAATGAAAAGCAGACATATTTATCCCTTATGCATTTGGGTCATCCTTCTGCTGTGTCCTGCATCCATTGGCTGGACCTGGACCTCACAATCTTAAACTGATACCTGATTTGCTAACAACCTGAAACTTTCCTAAATAGGTAAGTGCAAGGGAGAACAAAAAAGGAGAGGAAATTGCTTATGAAAGGTTTAAAGAAGCAATAACATTTCCAAATAAGGAAGGGGCATGAGCTATGAACTAAGACTTGCTGGGGCCTGTCCAGACATGCCTGAGTAAGGCAAAGCAACTAAGTGGGCTAAAGTGTAAGAACTAATAGTTGATAGGGGGCTTTAGAGCAAGAAGCTATTATCTCTAGTGTCTATTATTTTATTTTTAAACTAAGACGAGCTCTGAAGAGGAACTTTTCTACTTTCCACACTCTCTTATTCTACAATTGCCCCTCAGTGACTCCATTCTGTGGAACCTGGACGCTCAGCCTTGATCTTCCCAGGGCCCTCTTGCCCCTGTGAAAGGAAAATAAATCTCAAGACCCTAAACTAAATAAGCCAAACGGAAAAGTCAGTCTGGGAACTGGGTCACACAAACCTGCCTCCCATTTCGTGTCTACATAAGATAGCTACAAAGATTTAAAAAAAAAAAAAAGCATCGCACCTCTCTCACAATTTGCCCACAAATTGTGGGCTCCAAGATTTTTACCCTAAAACAGTTCTGTTTCATTTCACCCTGACAATGTAAATTGATAGCTTATATTCACAGGTATGGAACAAAGAACAGAACTCAAAGTCATCCCTCTGCCTGAGATATATGCATATCTGATTGCTTCCTGTGCCCTATGTTTATTTTATCTTATGCAAAAATGCAGATTCACCAAGCTAGATAAATGTGTGACTATTTCTCTACCCACCCCCCCAACGTAAATTGTGTATTCATTGAATGGCTGATCAAAGACTCAAAAGGATGCAACCGCTTGCCTCTTATTTACCCACACCCTTTTCACAATTCCTTCCTCAATCCCCAATACCCACCCTTTTCATTTTAAATGTTGAGGTCCCCAGATCCTCCTTGGAGAAACCATGGGCCACAGTTTTTCCCGTGGTTCTGTATTCTTTTCTATTCCACATCCTTAACCTTGGAAAATAAACCTCTTAAAGTGATTGAGACTTGCCTTGGTCATTTTTTTTTTTTTTTTTTACACCTCAGACTTGGAATCCCTAATCCCCCTTCCTCAGACTCCCGGATCCCAGGGCTTTCTCTTAAACACCCATTGGTATCACATCTGGGGGTACCTTAAATACAGGACAGTGGGGAGGGGCTGGGTAGAGGGAAATGTTGCCTGATATTCTGCCCTCTGGGATATGGATCATCATTTCCTCCCTTTGTGGGCCTCAGGCTTCTATCCATAAAAATGGAAATAGGAACACTCATTTGGTTGTGTAGACCTTACCCAGAGCCCACCTCTAATAATATAAAGGCCAAGAATGCAATCCCCTTTTTTCCCCAAGAAGGTAAAGTCCTCAGAGCCAAGGAGAGAAGGCTCAAGGATGATAACCATGTATTGTAGTGTAGAGAGCACCCTTGACTTAAGTAACCCCATCTTAGAAAAAAGACTCCATTTTACATTTCTTAGGACACTTTGACAACAAGGATAAGATATTTTGCTTAATAAATTTTAAAAAAAGGCCTGCATCCAACCATATAAGGATATAAACAAGCATACTCATCCACTATCAGTTCTCACCAGTGGACTCTGTTGTCATAAAAATAGCAGGCCATCAGCAGCTCAAAACAGCTGTCTTAACTAACACCATCTTGCTGGCACTCATAATAAGAACTCGACATCTGCTGCCAAAGCCTCTGTCTGCCCCATCAAAGATTCTTTCTTGCAAGATTGATGGACTGCCTGGCCCAGACCAGAAGATTCTCTTTGTCTTCATTTAAGTTCTCCTCGAACTGGTTCTTTAACATTTTCTCCTATCTCTTCTCTTGATGTTAATGTTACTTTGTTGTCAAATGTTTAATCTATAACATTTACATATTAAGTATACTATTAGGTAGTGTTTGCAATATTTACTGACTTGTGGAGTGGCTTGAGCCTGTGTGCCTGTGGCTCTGACTACCTAGTGAACGGGAACTACTAAGGAGAATTGCCTCCTCGGGAACTCCATGTAGCTTGTGGCTTTTGTGATTGAATAGAATCAATAAAAGCCTGACATTGTGGAAAGACACATATATCCATGGGCTTCCTTGTCTCTGACCTTGCACCACACTTGAGATACAGTTTTCAGTGTTCCAGTTTACATGTCTGTCATTAAAGTTATTTCTAATTATTTTGCTTTTGAGTTTATTGTAAATAGAAGGCTTTTTAAATTTCATTTTCAATGCTCATTTCTTAAGTGCAAAAATATAACCAATTTTTTGCATCTGTTAAGTTTGCTGAATTCCTTTATTCTAATATGTTTTAGTGAATTTCTTACATTTTTCTAAATATAAGATCATATCATTTGTGAACAAAGATCATCGTACTTCTTCCTTTCCAATCTAGATGGCTTTTATTCATTTCTGTTGCCAAATTGTCCTGGTTAGCACCTCCAGTACAATGATAAACAGATGTCATTAGAGTGGATGTATATATCTTGTTCCTGATCTTAGGACATTAGTATACAGGCTTCCACCACGAAGCATGGTGTTAGCTGCAGGGTTTTCTTTCCTTTTTCTTTTTTTTTTTTTTTTTTTTTTTGAGACAGAGTTTCACTCTTGTGGCCTGGGCTGGAGTGCAATGGCACAATCTTGGCTCACTGCAACCTCTGCCTCCCGGGTTCAAGCGTTTCTCCTGCCTCAGCCTCCCAAGTAGCTGGGATTACAGACATGTACCACCATGTCCAGCTAATTTTGTATTTTAAGTAGAGATGGGGTTTCACCATGTTGGTCAGGCTGGTCTCGAACTCCTGACCTCAAATGATCCACCCATCTTGGCCTCCCAAAGTACTGGGATTACAGGCGTGAGCCACTGCAGGGTTTTCATGTGCCCTTTAGCAGTCTGAGCATATTCCCTCCTGTTCTTATCTCGTTGAATGTTTTCATCATAAAGATGCTGGATTTTGTCAAATTTATTTTCTGCATTTGTTAAGATGGTCATGTGGTTTTGTTTATGATTGTATTGATATGGCATATTATATTAAATGATTTTTGGCTGTTAACCAATCTTGTATTGGGAGGAATCCAACTTTGGCATGGAAGATAATTATTTCTATATGTTGCTGGATTCTGTCTTCTTGTACTTTTTTGAAAAATGTTCCATCTTTAGTATGGGGACAAGAGTCACTCCTCTTAGATTCTAATCTGCCACACTGATGCCTAACTAAGCATGAGTCTGGGAGTGCCTCCAAGATGTCTAGTTGAAGTCGTACTCTATGTAGAAACACCTATCTACCGTAAGTCTCGCCATTCCTCCAAAACAACCCTCGATGCTACAGCATACATCATAAACTGTGATGCCCATAGCACTATTTCAGTTGCCTGCACATTCCTTCCAGGACACATATACTTTTTCCCCAAAAATATATAAGCCCTGAGTCTAGGGGGTAACAGTGCAGAGATCTACCCGTCTTGTGGCTGCCCAAGACCATGCTTCTGTGAGTTCCCCAAAAAATCACCTCCAAGTGACAAACTGGATTTGTCTGCCTCATTCTTTGGTTTCTCAGTTCCTTCTGTGTTTGGGAGTCACTTTGCATATATGGCCTCTTCAGAAAACATAGTCTCAAAACCTCACACCAAAGACCAATGACTAGCAGAAATTCTTGAGCTTGCAGGATGGCACATAAGAAAATAAACAACTTGCTGAAACCCTGAAACTCCCCCATGTTATGATATCAAGAAAAAAAATTGAGGGAGAAAAAAACAGGGAGACACTGTCCCTACAAAAAGTAAAAATAAGTCTAGCGTGGTCGGGCATGCTGTGGTCCCAGCTGTTAGGGAGGCTGAGGTGGGTGGGTCGCTTGAGCCCAGGAGTTCCAGGCCACTGTGCCCCAGCCTGGGCAACATGGAGGGAGGCTGTCTCTTAAAAAAGAAAAAACTGCCTGAAACCAATTGGAACCAATATGGCCAGCCGGAATTTCCACAGAATGAGCTTGTTGACTTCATGGCCTGAATTTCGATGCATGTTTCATACTAACTCCCCCTCAGTTTGCACATGGGACCCATGAGGTGACGTGAAGAGATAACTGCACATACCTGGGAACTTCTCAGACCTCCTCGTTTTCTTTTTCTTTAGAGACAGTCTCACTCCGTTGCCCAGGCTGGAGTGCAGTGGCACAGTCTTGGCTCACTGCAACCTCCGCCTCCCAGGTTCAAGCGAATCTCCTGCCTCAGCCTCCCAAGTAGCTGGGATTACAGGCCTGCGCTACCACGCCCGGCTAACTTTTCTATTTTTAGTAGAGACGGGGGTTTCATCGTGTTGGTTAGGCTGATCTCGAACTCCTGACCTCAGGTGATCCACCCACCTCGGCCTCCCAAAGTGCTGGGATTATAGGCCTGAGCCACCACGCCCGGCCATTCAGTGTATTTTCTAATGTCCCTTTTCATTTCTTCTTCGACCTTTTCATAAGTTTGAAGTGCACTGATTGATTCCACATATTTAAGTTGCCTGGAGTTCCTTCTGAACAGACAGCAGCCTGCCGGGCTGGGAGAACAAGGACCTGGGGTTGTACAGTCTGTGGCGCACAGAGTCCCTGCTGGAACCACAGGCGGTGAGTCAACGGGCACCTCCGGGCTAGGAGGTTTTCCCAGGCTCGCCTCATTGCTCCTGCACCTGCAGGGTTCGCTGGACCCTGGGCGTCCCGCTGCCCGGAACACAAGGGTAGGGAAGGGTTGTTACTGGGTTTCTTGGCTGGGGCTGCAGGGCCGGTGCTTGCCACCGGAGCGGGGGGGGCGGGCCCCGCTGTGCTCAGAAGGGACCTGAAGCCAGGGAAGCCCCAGGGTCGTCCTGGGCCCCGCCGCCCGCCCTGCCTGCCCCGCCTGCCCCTCCCATCCCGTCCTCTCCCCGCCTCCCTCCCAGCCCCGCCCCACCTGGCTCTCCCGCCCCGGTCCCGCCTCCTTCCTCCCGCCCCTGCCCTCTCGATCCAGCCTCCCGCCCCCTCCCCGCCTGTCCCTCCCGGCCCCGCCCCGCCTCCCGCCCCAACCTAGTGCCCGACAGGAAACCTCCCACCTGGCACTGCCCCCAACCAAAGTCATGAGGGCAAGGCTCCGGTTCCTGCCCTCACAGGGTCCCAGAAGCAAGGGCAGTGAGGACCTGGCCCACGTCCCTGGCACGGGCTGTCTGATTCTCCTTCGCTGTGGCGGGAAGATGGCCGGATTTGAAGGTAATACCCAAGACCCCGATTCCCGACAGGAGAGGCGAGGGGAACGGTCTCGGGAGCAGGCAGGCCCTGCCGCGGAGCCGAAGGCCTCCGATGGGAGCAGGCACGCATCTCTGAGTGGGGCCGCGGGGGTGGACACTCTGGTGCCTTCACGCAGGGGAGGGGGGCGGCAGGCTGCAGAGGAAGGCCAGGATCCACGAGCTGCGGCTCTCTAGGTGGGGCGAGGGGTCCAGGCGGGGTCTGATTAGGGCGTGGGGCCCCAGGTGGGGTCTATCTGGGGTGTGCGTCTGCAGGATTCTGCCCGTGGATTTTCCTCTAGCTTCAGGACAGGGTTTGGCTCTCCCAGAGGAACAGGGTAGGAGCCCAGCTCCAGCTGTTTTCCTGTAGGTCAGAGCCTGCAGTGGGAGGGTAACTGGGGCCTGTGGAAGGGGACTTCTGGGGTCAGACCCCAGGCAGGAGTGAGAGGCCCAGGTCCCTGGAGTTCCTGCCTCCAGGGCTGCTGACTTTGGGGGTACAGACAACAGGACACTGGACATCTTGGTCCCTACCCTTGGCTTCTAGGCCAGTGGAACAAGTCACTGACTTGGAAACCAGGGCCTGCCTTCTTTCTGCCTGGGGACCCAAGGTGCAGCTGGTAGTTGCAGTTCTGTGGGACGCTGGCACAATCACCTGCCAAAACCACCCACAGTGGTGGATGGGGGACAGGGCTGAGGTTGACACTCTGGAGCATGGATGAGCAAAGGGAAGGATGTGGCCTTGGATGTGGCTCTCAGGGATGCCCCAGACCTGGGATGTGGGCTTCAGGGTAGCTGGCCAAGGAGCTGCCCCTTCGGCTGGGTCAGCAGGCGGAAAGGCACAAGCATGAGGATGGTCTTGGTCCCTGGGGGAGGCACCTTCTCCGGAGGCCACAGCCCCCAGGATGCAGGGAGCCTGGTTTTGCCACAGCCAGCAACAACTTGACCTGGGGCTCCTGTCTCCACCTCCATGGATTCCAGCCAATCACAATTGCAAGCCCAGGGCAGGGCAGGCACGTGCTGGAGGAGCCCCTAGGCCCCATCATGTTCCCTCACTCTGTGTCCTCCCAGGCTAGAGTCTGTGCAGACAGCAGGGCCTGACTTTTCCAGCCTTCCTATGGGGGCCCACAGGTCCCACTCCCCAAGGAATCTGGGCCACTGCACGCCCTCACCCAGGCATGGTGGGGTGCACAGCCATTGTCCCCACACTTGCAAGTATATCCATCTATGTGCAGCTCCCACGTAGCCTTAGGTCTTGAGCATCTGCATTGTTTCTCTGACCCCTTTCCTCAGGAACACTAGTTAGCTGCAGCCTGCCTGTCCTTTCTCACACTTGATAGGGATGACACGCAAAGGGCAGGGGCTAACCACCGCACATCTGCAGCTCCTCACCTCGTACCCCAGGAGGTTGGTTCCCAGGGAGACGTGGCCTGTCAGGCCTCTTGCAGAGGTGAAATTCCCTTTGCGAAGGCCCTCACATGTGCTGACAGCATGCCTCCCCAACCCCGGACAGGATCCCAGGGCGGCATACTTGGGAAAGGGGCATCCTGCCTGACACTTCAAACTGCTGTCTAGCCACACTCTGCACAGCGGCTGCCCCACAACCCACCTGGCCCTGGTGTCAGCATTTTTTTTTTTTTTGCCAATCTGGAGTGAGGTATGCAAAAGGAGTCATGGTCATTGACTATGGAGTCATCGATGCCGGCTGCAGTTCAGCCGTTGCCCTGTGGAGGGCTCTATCTCCCCCCACAGAGCTTCTGGCATTTGCTGTTTTTGCTGCATCTGTAACAGCCCCAGCCTGAGATTCTCAATGCCTGCTTTAACCAAGAAAAAGTGACTGAGGCTAGCAGGGCTCTCGGGAGCGTCTGTGCACTGCCTCCTGACTGCGGAAGCATGAGGGTCTTCACATACAGTTCAGGAGCGCAGGACCAAGCAGCCTGGATGGTAATGGGCTGCGACCTGTGCTACCTTGTGCTGCCAGTTCGCACTGGGCCCTGGCTGCCCTGGGGTCCACAGTGCTGCCCTCATCATGACAGAAGCTGAAGGACAGGTCACCTCAGCTGCCTGCTGGCAGTGTCCGAGGCACATACCCCCACTCTTGGCCTCAGGTGTGCCTGTGTGGCAGGGTGCCAAGAGGCCCAAGCTCAGAGGTTACCGGAGGGGCTAAATGGGTGAGCCACGCCCACACTCAGCCTGGGCCTGGTCCTGGCAAGGCTGCAGCCGTGCATGTTTGCTACCTCCCCCTCCTCCCCGACAAAGCACCTTTGCTGCCCGTGGTTTGGGCAGCGCCAGCTCCATCTGTAGGAGGCCGGATGTCTCAGGGCATTCCCGTACAGACCAGGGGTCCCCGGGAGCTAGCAGGGGGGCCCAGCATACAGGTCCCTGGAAAGCTGTTGGCTGGAGCGCATTCATTCGACAGACACATATGAAGCACCTACTGTGTAAAGCTGCCTTTGCAAGCACTTCACATGATTCACTGAACAGAGCAGACAGAAACCCCTGCCCTTCTTGGGGGCTTCCATCCTAGACAAGTGCCAGCGGCCCCAGTTGATGCCACGGGCAGGCAATGTGCATAGCCATGGCACGTGCCGTCCCTGTGGATTCGGATGCCTCCTCCCCTGCTGGGGTGAGGCAGCCAACCAGGGGCCAACTGAAAAAATGCTGGACTCTCGGTCAAGGACAGGGCTGGGAGAGTGCCAGTCTCCACAAACTGTGGATCCACTAGAGGGTTCAGGCCTGGGGCATCCTCTGCAAGAGGATCCCACGAGAGTCCATTCCCCACCACAGGCCTCCGCTGCTCACTGCTGTGCCTTGATCGGCCTGGACGAGCCCGCCCACACCTCCATCATACCCAGTGTGAAGAGGGGCTGGGGACCCACCACTCCTGAGAACAGCATCCTTGGGAAGACCCAGCTGTGAGTGCACAGCAGGCACAGTCCCTCAGGCCCAGGTGAGGATTCAGCAGCAGATGGGATTCCACCCCATCTGTGGCCTCTCCAGCTGTCCACAGGCCCTGCAAAGGCAGGGAGGTGGCAAAGGCCAGCCCAACCCAGCCCTCCACTCTGGGTACCCAGAGGAAGGCGCAGGCCGCTGGTTCCACAGCCCATCACCTGGAGGTGATGGAGGCCAACCCCAGCCCTGCCTGGAGGCCCTGGTGAGCTTGCCCAGCACTGCTCCAACCCCTCCCTGAACCCACAGGGCAGAGCCAGGGGTGGTCCAATGGCCTGAGACGAGGGGACAGGGCTGGCCTATTAAGAGGAGCCACCAGAGAAGGCACACCAGACACAGACTCCTGTCAGCTCAGGCGTCCTGGCCTAAGGAGGCAGGGCCCCCAAAAGAGCCAGGTCCTGGCACCATCTCCGAGCTCCCAGCAGGCCTGCTGCAGGTCAGAAGGGCCACATCCCATCTTGGGTCCCTGACCTCATTGGGCCTCACCTGAAAACAGGCACCCAGGCAGTGGCCATGAACAGCCAGGCCACAAGCCTCGACAGGGGTGGGCCCCAGGTCACAGGGAGGGCGGTCTTTATTTCTGGAAGGGCCCCGGAGCAGGAGGCTGCCTCTCTTCCACCCGTCCTTCTATCCTCACGACAGGTGCTATGGGGCCGCAGCAGCATCAACAGCCTCTCTCAGCTGCTGCAGCAGCTCTTTGGGCTGTGGTGAGAACGCGCTGGTGTCCACTCTCTGGAAGTCGGGGTGCGCAACCAAGGAGGCCAGCACCTCTGTGATGCGCCCAACATCAAAGGCTGCCTGTTCGAAACCCAACCCAGCACCGTCCTCAGCGGCTGCCTCCCTCAGGACCAGGAGCCTCTTCTCAGCGATGACCTTGAGGAAGTGGTAAAACTCTTCAAAGTTGATGCCCGAGCAGGACCTCATGATGACCTGGGCAGAGGGAAGAGGCCAGTGAGCTAACACCATGGACACAGTCCAAGCTGCAAAGGACCCGACATGCGCCCAGTCCCCAAGGACGAAGAAGGGACCATTAAGACAGAGGCACTGAGAAGCTGCGCGGTGACCAAGGGAGTCTGAGCCATGCAGCCTAAAAGCCTCCCCCAGGAGGGTAGCCTCCATGCGTAGCCACCCCACCTGGCAGTGGTGGTGCCAGTCGGGCATGGAGTCCCTCCACTCGCTGACCTCCTCCTGCACGGCGCATAGCTCCTGCTGCAAGAAGCGCCACATGTTGGCCAGGTTGAAGCCATTGACCCAGTTGTGGTTGATGGAGATGGTGTCATCCTGGAAGGGGCACAGTGCAGGCAGGCCTGAGCCCATGGCAGGTGCCCCCTGACCAACCCACATCTCCTGCGCCAGGAACCCACTGTGGGGTCCAGCCCTCTGCAGCCAAGAGGGCCCTCCTGTCTCCCAGCAGGGCTTGCTCAGCAGGGAAGTGGGTGGCGGGCTCGGACCACCTCAGGCCACAGTGAACCCAGAGCAAGTAGACCCAGGGACCGGCAGTGGGTGAAACAGAGGCTAGGCCTCAGCGACACCACCTTGTGAAGGGGTCAGCCTCACCCATGAGCCACCCCATTCCAGCCCAGCTCTGGCTGGGAGAGTGGGGAGGTGGTGCTGCCGTCTTCCTGCAGGAAGGCCCCTGATAGGGGGCAGGAGAAGCAGCACATTACCAGGTTGTGCACCTGGTGGTGCCAGCCACTGGGCACAAACACCATCTCGCCCGCTTCCTGCGTGATCTCCAAGGGTGGGCCAGCAAGCTGGTTCCGTGGGTGCAGGTGTGTGTCGCAGAGTGCTGGGGAGGTCACGTCGTAGGGCAGGTTGCCGTGGCGGTCCCGCAGGGCCTCTTCCTGCCCTGGGGGGAAGAGGAGCCACTTCTTCCTCCCACAGACATTGACAGACCAGCTGAAGGAGCGGAAGATGTCAGCATGGAACGGGGACCTGCGGCAGCAAGAGCGCCTGGTTCATGCCTGTAGGGGCTGGTATGGGCTTTGCTTGGCACCCCAGAGGCCTGGTCCAACTGAAGGAGGGGTGGCCCCTTGGTCTCAAGGGATGGCACCCACTGTGAGGCCTGTGCCAAGCAGCCCCCCTCCTGCCACCCTGGGCCTCCCAGTCCGTTCTGTCACCAGGCCCCTTCGGGTTCCACTCCCACATCCGTGGCCTCACCAGCTGCCCGCAGGCCCCGCGTAGACAAAGCGGTAGTCATCCACATCCAGTGCATCCCAGAACTCATTCAGCCAGTCGGACGAGAAGTACACAGGCAGGGTGAAAACGTCCTCCACCGGAAAGTCCCTGTGAGGAGGGCGCAAGGGCACCACCGACAGCACGTGAGGCACGAGGAGACTAGGGCAGCACGAGTGGGGCAACTGAGACCAATCGGCTCCAGTGGAGCTTCCAGATGGCTGCAGCCCCCAAAGAGCCCCAGACCCTCCTCTGAGCCAGACGCTGCTGGCGGGGGAGGGGGCGGGGCAGTCTGACTACAATGGTTCTGCTTATTAGAAAGTACTGATCATGCCTATAATCCCAGTGCTTTGAGATGCTGAGGTGGATGCATCACCTGAGCTCAGGAGTTCAAGACCAGCCTGGGCAACATGGTGAAACCTAGTCTCTTTAAAAAAAAAAAAAAAAAAAAAAAAAGCCGGGAGTGGAGACGCCTTCCTGTAATCCCAGGTACTAGGGAGGCTGAGGAGATCTCTCTCAAAAAAAAAGGAAAAAAAACCATATTGACCTCCCAAAGAACAACACTTGCAGCCATGCGGAAGACAATCCAGTTTCTTTTAAACTGATTAAAGTGCCTCACGGGGAAAAATAGCTCCGTTGTGCACCCAGGGGCCACCTTCATCAGAAAGGCCTCTGGGTTCACGCAGCGCTAGGGAAGGCAGCGCCTCGGTGCGTCCCAAGCCCCATTACCTGCACAAGTGCCAGTCTTTGAGGTAGAGACAGCCCCTGGGAGAGGAGTAGCCCGCCTGTATGTACTCTTTCCAGTAGGTGATGTAGTCTCTGAGAGTCATGTGCTCTTTGGGGTTCGAGTTGTATTCCTGGACCCCACAGTTTGCAACTGGTACAACCACGTCTCCTGAAATGAAAGGCACGGTCCATGCCATCTCCCTGGGCCCCGTCCTCACTCCAAACCGTCTGCAGAGGAACTCTCCAGGGGCCACGCGCCTGGCCTCCCTCACCCTCCCTGGTGCCCCTCTCTAGGCGGGGGCCTCCCGGGCCTGGGTCCCGCCGGCCTTTCCTCCCCGCCCGGGGTCTGCGGCCGCCGCCCCACCGTAGGTCCGTAGCAGGTGGTCGAAGTCGGGCCTCCCCGCGGGCGTCACCCAGCGCCGCCGGCTGCCCCAGCCCTGCGTGAAGGCGCTGGAAAACACGCAGGGCAGGTTGGGCAGCAAGAAGCCCCGCACAAAGTCGGCGTAGGAGAAGGCGCCCGGCTCCGAGACGAAGGCTACCCGGCCCGGAGCCTGGCCGACGCCGGGGACATCGACCCCCAGGCCTCGGAAGTGGCTGTCGGCGAGGGCGCGCGTCTCGCGGTCCATCCAGCTCAGCACGGGTCGAAGGACCCTCCTCCTCACTTCCGCCGGAGCGGAAACGGTGAGGACCAGCCTCGGAACCAGAAGACGCAGGGCGCCGCGTTTCTGCCCCGCCAGCGCCTGGGGCTCCGGGCCTGCACGCATGCGCGCGGCTCGCCGCGGTCTTCACTGCGCAGGCGCCGAGCGGCCGAGGCGCCGCGGTCGGCTCTGGGACTCGTCTGGCGTCCCTCAGGTGAGCGACGGTGTTGGTCTGTTGGGCGCCCGGCCCAAGCCAAGCCGTAGCGTCCGCCCTCGGCTCAGTCCGCGCGCTGTGGCTGACACAGCCCGAGCCCTCCTTCCCGCATCCCCGGGGGGTGGGGGGTATGCGGGCTGCGCTGGGAGAGGGGCGGGGACAGAGGCGGTTCTGGGGGCGGGAGTGCGGCGGTGCGGGGGCGCCCAGGGATGATGGGACCCGGAGAGAACGGTGGGACCCAGAGGGAGAGCTGGGGGGCCCTGGGATGGTGGGATCTAGCGGAGATGGTAGGGTCCTGGAGGAGATGGTGGGGACCTGGAGAGGACGGTGGCACTTGGAGGGGATGGAGACGGGATCTGGAGGGGACGGTGGGACCTGGAGGGGATGGGGACAGTGGGGACCTGGAGAGGACGGTGGGATCTGGAGGGGATGGGTACAGTGGGGACCTGGAGAGGACGGTGGGGACCTGGAGAGGACGGTGGCACTTGGAGGAGATGGGGACATTGAGGACCTGGAGGGGACAGTGGGGATTTGGAGGGGACGGTAGCACTTGGAAGGGATGGGGACAGTGGGTTCCTGGAGGGATCAGTGGCACCTGGAGGGGACATGGGATCTAGAGAGGATGGTGGGGACCTGGAGGAAAATGGTGGGAGGGCTGGAGGGGGCAGGGTAACCTAGATGGGCGAATGGGGCCCACAGGGGACCTGGAGGGCATGGCAAGGGGCCCCAGGGGATGACGGGTGTCTGGAGAAGATGGTGGGGAATGAGGGAGGGTGTGAAATGAAGGTGTGGTGGGAGTGTGGGTAGGGATTTGGGGCTGTGTACACATGAGCAGGGCTGAAGTGGGAGGACATCGGAGTAGTGACATGAGGAGTGTTTTGCCAAACTTGCAACTGGAGTTACCCCAAAAGTGGCGGCAAGGGAGTTCCCCACACTATCCTCAGGTGGGACCAGTTGGGATACCAAAGAAAGAAGTGCTAAATGCATGGTAAGCCCAGAGCAGTTTTTTTTTTTTTTTTTTTTTTTTTTTTTTTTTTTGAGACAGTATGCAGTGGCACCATCACAGCTTACTGCAGCTTCCACCTCCTGGGCTTGATGAATTCTTTAATTCTGCTTCAGCCTCCCAAGTAGCTGGGACTACAGGCATGAGCCACTATGCCCAGCTTAGTTTTGTTTTTTTGTTTTTGTTTTTTTTTTTTTTTTTTGTAGAGACAGGGTCTCTGTGTTGCCCAAGCCGGTGTTGAACGTTTGGGCTCAAGCAATCCTTCTGCCTTGGCCTCCCTAAGTGCTGGGATTACAGGTGTGAGCCACTGCGCCAGGCCCTGCCTAGAGGTTTTGTTAGGGGAACTTTCATATAGAGTGGGCTGCGGTAGTCCTCGAGACGGGCAGTAAGGGAAAAGGGATGTCCTCCCTAGGTATGTCTCTTGGAAGGGGTGTGGGTTATGGAGTTTATAGGAAGGTTTCAGGAATTTGGCTCAGGGCCAAGGCCGTTTTCTTTGTAGTAAACCTAGATACTTTCTTCCATGCCTGGAAATGTTAAAGGCCCTGGATTGGGTTGAAGCCTGGTGGGGAAAACCTGTGGTTGGGGCACAGAGGGATCAGGGTACTCTGTGATTTTCGGCCAGGACACGAAAGTGGGGCCATGGGGGACCCTATGTGATGTATGTCTTGGTGTGCTGGAGAAATCAGCTCAAAGCTACCCACATGGATGCAGAAGGAAAGATAGCAGATTTATTGCCCCCGAAGCCTGGCAGGCTGTGTGCACATAGGTGCTCTGCGAGAGAGTGCAGAGTCTGGGCAGCATTTCCCAGGCGTCTTGACAGGGAGGTGGAAGGAGGAACAGTTAGAACCGCTCATCTCTCCCAGAGAAATGAGAGGCAGCTTGTGCTGGTTTGCACACAGTGCGAGGCCTTTGAGTTAGGTTTGGAGGTCTGATGACATTCTAGGGGCCATCAGACCATGACTGTGTCTTGTAAAATCTGGACACTGGGCTATCTCATTCCAGACCAAACAGAGGCATCCTAAGCGGGAGAGGGGCACCTGCCTTCCCTTTATGAAGCAATGGAAATGTTGTTTTATTTACTCTTATAAGTGGGGATATGGGAGGTTCTAGGAGTGCTGGGGCTCTGAGCCTTGCTGGAAGACTCTTTCCAAGGGGTGTGAGGTTTACCCAGGAGAACAGGGAGGAGCAGAAGAGGGAGGACCAAGGTCTGAGGAGTTGGAGGGAGGACTAGGAGGAAAGTGAGTTTTGGGAGTCTGAGTCCAGGTAAAGGTGGGATATGAGGGCAGGGACAGGAGGCGGAGAGTTGTTTTGGGGATTGTGTGATTCAGTGCGTGCTATGGTCCCTTCCTAGTCAGCCCTATTGTGGCTTGTGTGATCACGGTATGCAATTGTTTATTGGGGTTTTTTTTACACTAGAGAATCAGAATGTCTGGAGAAGTTACAGTTGCAGAGAAAGAATCACCTCCAGTTCCGTCCAGAGATGACTGGGGTTTTTTTGCTTTGGTTTTTTTTGGTTTTTTTGTTTTTTGTTTTTTGTTTTGTTGTTTTTGCTGTTTTGAGACCGCGTCTTATTCTGTCACCCAGGCTGGAGTGCAATGGCATGATCTTGGCTCACTGCAACCTCCGCCTCCCAGGTTCAAGTGATTCTCCTGCCTCAGCCTCCTGAGTAGCGAAGATTACAGGCGCGCACCACCACGCCCAGCTAATTTTTGTATTTTTAGTAGAGACGGGGTTTCACCATGTTGGTCAGGCTGGTCTCGAACTCCTGACCTTGTGATCTGCCCGACTCGGCCTCCCAAAGTGCTGGGATTACAGGCGTGAGCCACCGCACACCCAGCCGAGATGACCGTTTTTTATTCCTGGTGTAGAGCCGGCTTTTCTACATTCCTTCACACATACATTCATTCATTCATTCATTCTCTCTCTCCACTCTTCTCTCCCCCCAGTCCTTGCCTATACGTTCACGCACATGTATGCACACACACTCACACATACACAGTCTCTTTCTCCATCGTGTATAATATACATATATAAACTTTTGCTGCTTTTAGTCTTTTGTTTTTTATTTAACAATATGCTGTAACATCTTGCCACATATTGACCTCAATATTGACAATTAATTGACCTTAATTGATCTTGCCACATATTGTTCCTTAATTGCTAGTAGTCATTTGATTTTGGTTGTGGTGCATGCAGATCATGGGAGGCCAATGGGGAAGATGTGGGGAGCAGAGTGTTTATAATTGTCTCAAGATCTTGGAATATGGTTCCGAGTTTGCCTCATGGGGAAACTGAAATTCAGGTGGGCATTGCCTGGAAGGAGTTCCTGCAGCTCCGTGGTTGAGCCTGTTTCCTAAGAAAGGAGCATTTGGGCTAGCAGGTCCACAGCTCCCTGAGATCACTGAGCCCCTAGGACTTGGTGGGAGATGGAGCTCTCGTTCTTGAGATGGAACTCTGTGGTTTAGTTCGCTGGTCCGCAGGGTGCCCCCTCGGGTCAGTGTCACCACTGTATACGCAGGAGGCCTGGAGTGTTATCAGCTCTCATGGGACTGGAACATAGGCTTGTGTCACCCAGAGCCCGCTAGATCAGCCCTGGCATCGCTTGGGAATGGCAAGAAATCCACATTCTTGGGCCCCACACAATACTCCATTAGGATGGTTTTTTGTTTTTGTTTTAAAACGGGGTCTTCCTCTGTCACTCAGGCTGGAATGCAATAGCGCTATCTTGGCTCACTGCAACCTCTGCCTTCTGGGCTGAAGTGATCCTCCACCTCAGCCTCCCAGAGTGCTGAGATTACAGGTATGAGCCACTGTGCCTGGCCAGGACGGGTTTTAAGTCAGCACTTTGGAGAAAATGCAGTACGCTTTGTGCCGAATATGTGCTCCTCTGTCACTGTGTTGCATGCAAACAGCCCCAGTGAGGGTGTCTGCACTTTGTGGCTAGAGTTGGGAACCTCTGAGGGAGTGGAAAGAGGGTCTGAGGAGCAGGGGAGGGGAGCCTGGAAAGATTGGCCGCACCCTACCGCCCCTGTGGGCACACACAGCCACCACTGTTCTCACTTAGCTTCTTGGTTGCGAGGTAGTGGAAGGTGTGCAAGATGTTTGTTCTGTGACTGCGGAAATTAACTAAAAATAAGTTGTTTACTGGGTACTGAGCCTCACTCAGGGGACCCTTGAGTGATGGAAATGCTGAAAGAGACCCATTGTACAGATCGCCCTGCGTGCTGAGCCATCCCTGTGCTGCAGACTTCCTCCCCAAGAGCGTCACTTGTGTGGGTTGGCTGCAGACACCCTTGGGCCCCTGGCCATGACCTCCCTCGAGGATTCAGCTGTGTGTTCTCAGGGTCAGCGCGGGTCCCCAGGCCCACACCTGCACTGGAGGAAGGAGGTTGCAGATTGCAACAGGCAGGGACACCGTGAGGGCTCCAGGACCTGGACTGATTGCAGAACTATGTGGTACAGGAGGGCATAGGCACAGCTCTGTTTCCATGTGGTGTGGTTGTGGTCAACTCAGCACAAATTCATTGGGTGCCCATGGTGTGTAGCGGGCCTTGCGGCCCTCCCATGATAGTGCCTTCTGTAGTGCGACAGTCATGAAAGCACCAACTCTCTGGAGTTTTGCTTGGGCCATGGTTGGTGACAGTGCCTTAGGAAGGCGAGGAAGCCCTCCGAACAGAGACCTGCGGAGTGGAGCCACCAATGAGACTCCCTGGTGTGGAAAGGCTGCTGGGAGCAGAGGGCAGGGGAAGGCCAGGGCAGGGAGGCCGCAGGTCCTGCAGAGTCCATGAGGCTGCGGTAAGGAACTTGGATCTCATTCCAAGTACACAGGGAAAGGCTTTGGGCAGAGAAGTGACATATTCTAATTCTGTTCAATGACTATCTCATTGACTGCTGGAGGGGGAATGGGTGATGGGGACAGGATGAGGTCAGGAGGTTGCCTGAGATGTTGTCCAGGTGTGGAGGGAGGGAGGACTGCCTTGGATGGTGGAACTGTGGAAAGTAACTAAAAGTAGATTGTTTCCTGGAGATTGAGTCTCATTCAGGGGGCACACATATAATGGAAAGACTGAGAGAGACCCATTGTACAGATTGCAGTGTGTGATGAGTGAGTCCCTGTGACTACAACACCTTCCCCCAAGTGTGTTGCTTGTGCTGGTTGGCCCAGACAATGCCTGTGCCAGGTCAGTGATGTGGTCTTGGGGTGGAGGGTGGGGACACAGCTGCCAGGACATGCTCATGGCATGTTTCTTGAGGGGGAGGAAGAGAGGAGTCAGAAGTCCTGGGCCCGTGGTGACTTTACTGAGAGAGGAACTGACTCTGGTGCTGCTACACTGGGGTGCCCATTAGGGGTGGGAGGAGGTGCCCAGCAGGTGATAGGGGAGGAGCTGAAAGCTGAAGGAGGGGCTGTGAAGTTGGGGTGCCCGTTAGGGGTGGGGGCAGATGCCCAGCGGGTGACAGGAGGGGCTGTGAAATTGGGGTGCCTGTTAGGGTCAGGGACAGATGCCCAGCGGGTGATAGGGGAGGGCCTGTGAAGTTGGGTTGCCCGTTAGGGATGGGGGCAGATACCCAGCAGGTGATAGGGGAGGAGCTGATGGAAGGAATGTGAAGTTCAAGTGCCTGTTAGGGGTGGGGGCAGATCAGCGAGTGATCAGATGTCCAAGTTTGAAGCGTGAGGGAGTCTGGCTGGAGTGGGTGTTTGGGAGGCAACGGCTTGGGGGTGATGTTGAGTTTCTGGCCTGTGTTGTCTCACCTGGAAAAAGAGGGTGCAAGGAGGAGAGGTTGTGCCCTGTGCAGTCAGGTGCATGAGGAGGCTATGGCCAAGGAGAGTGGACGCAGGCACTCATGGAAGTGGGGCTGGAGACCTGGAGAGGGTAGTGGCCAGGGAGCCAGGGTGCAGTGACTCTCAGCAAGGCCCCTTGGCTCATGGGCCAGGTCCAGCTACCACATTTTTGTAAGTGAGGTCCTGTGGGGTGGCACACCCCATGTTGATGTCTTGTGTGTGGCCACTTTCATTCCACCCCAGCAGAGCTGTGTAGTGGTGACGGAGACCATGCGTGGTCCTTCACGGAGAGTGCAGTGCCTGGCATGGGAGGGCCGGAGAGGTCTGGGGGCTGAGAGAGAGAGGGTGGGATCAGGGCCCCGGGAGGAGGGTCTGGCCTTGGAGGTGAAAAGGGACCACGTTCTCCTGTGGCCTCTGTGTGGGGCCAGGCGTGTCGTCGGGTAGGGGAATGGCTGGCCGGCGTGGGGGCCGTGTTCAAGATTGGGCTGCTTCTGATGTTCCATGGGGTGTCTTCACTTCCGTCCTTGCACTGCATCTCCGTTGACTAAGGTTTTCTGGGAAAGAAGCCCTGGAAACCTGCAGTTGGAAAAGGGTGGCTACAAGTTTCTCTTCTTGCTTCTTCCTGGGCTGTTGTCAAACTTGAATACTTTCCTTATATTTATTGTTTAAAATGTGATAATGAGAAGAGCCTTGGTTATTCATGTCCTAATTTTTTGGTCTTTTTTTTCTTTTTTTTCTTTTTTTATTTTATTTTATTATTATTATACTTTAAGTTTTAGGGTACGTGTGCACAATGTGCAGGTTAGTTACATATGTATACATGTGCCATGCTGGTGTGCTGCACCCACTAACTCGTCATTTAGCATTAGGTATATCTCCTAATGCTATCCCTCCCCCCTGCCCCTAGCCCACAACAGTCCCCAGAGTGTGATGTTCTCCTTCCTGTGTCCATGTGTTCTCATTGTTCAATTAGACGGAATTTCACTCTGTTGCCCAGGCTGGAGTGCAGTGGTACAATCACGACTCACTGCAGCCTGGACCTCCCAGGCTCAAGTGATCCTCCTACCTCAGCCTCCTGAGTAGCTGGGACCACAGGTGCACACCAGCATGCCCAGCTTTCTTTTTGAATTTGAAAGATTTTAGAGCTGGTGACCTTAGGTCTTTTAGTTATTTTGACGGTGGGTAAAAAGGTCCAGAAGGTGAGGTGATGTTTCCAGAGCTGTAAACTGTGCTGCAACACCAGTAACAGGACTTCTCCGGGGAGGTTGTGCATAATTTCCCTCCACACTCCTGAAATACCTCCCAACCATGCCTGCTTAGCAATGGTTAGCACACATTCACTGTCCACACCGTGTCTAGCTCTCTGTATAGAGGTGGTGGTGGTGAGGCGTGGTCCCTCCCCTCGAAGGCCAGGTATGGCTGAGGTCTGGGCAGCCTCTTCAGCCAGGAGCATGGGCACAGCAACTCCAGGGCTGAGCAGGGAGGGCCACAGCCCCTCCTGTGGGTACTGGCTTGCCTGACTTTGAGGAGCATGACTGAGTTGGTGTAGTTTATCCTCCTCCTAATTCTGAGAAGCAGACATCTTTGTGTCCCCATAGTCCAGAGCCTGCTGGGTGGCCTTGCAGCTGCTGTGGCAGAACGGCATCATGGGTCCTGTGTGTGGCCTGCCGACCCTCGCCATGGCCCTGGTGGGGAGTGGGTGGCCCTGGAGGGGGTGGGTCCTGTGTATGGCCCACTGGGCCCTTGCTGTGACCCTGGGGGTGTAGCTAGGTTGACCATGGTACTGAAGGTCTTGGCGCCCTCTTCTGTGTCTCCTGAGGGGCCATGTGGGGTGCTCAGGTGAGTATTCCCCGGTTGCAGAGGAAGGTGCAGTGAGATACCTGCTGCCTAGGGCTCCCTCTGGCCTCCTCCTGGTGGTGAGAGATGGTGTCGCCTAGGAAGGGCGGCTCTGGCCCACCCACGGATCTGCTTGGCCTTGGTGTGTGCTGCAAACCCACCTGTCAGGCCCTCCCCAGAAGAGGAGGCCAGCCTTAAATCTCCTAGAGCCTTCCTGGGCAGGGAGAGTGCGAGGTGCTTTGTGTTTGTTGATGTTGGGGTTCCCTGCAGTCTGGCTGAGACAGGTTCTCACAAGGCCTCCCGTGGGCTCCGGCCTCCCATGGGCTCCAGCCTCCCTGAGCCCCGCCTCTCCTCTGTGACTGGGTGCTGTAGTCACTGCTGGCCTCGGCCCCTTGCTGCCTCTGCATTGCGTGTTCGAGACTACAGAAGGCTCACCTTCCCGGCAGTCCCAGGCCTTGCAGGCTCTTCTAGAAGGTTCTCTGACACCTGCTCCCTTCACTGCTCAGTGGCAGTCACAGGCCGTGTCATCGTTGCTGGTCTTTGAATGTCACTATCTGTCTGCTCCCCTGGACCTCCCTTGGTGCCTGGACTGTGTCCTTTGTCTCCTTAGATACCCATACCCTAAGAGCTGCTTTCTTGGAGTTGGGAGACGGGGTCAGCCAAGGTGCCCTGGGTTCCTTGAGCTTTCACCACAATAAGCTGTCTACAGCATCCCTCGAACCCTGACATTTTTATTATTTGTAAGTCTCGTATCTTATTGTGTGTTGATGATAGAATTCTCTTACTTAATATAGCAGCTTCCTTTTCAGCTTCTCCTAATCTCAGGTACAGCCGACCTTCAGTACCTGTGGTTTGGTCCCAGGACCTCCTGCAGACGCCGAGGTCCCTGGTGTGAAGTGGCGTGGTATCACGTGTCCTCTCTGTGCGTCCTGCCATCAGCCTTATGTCATCTCTGTCACTTACAAGCCTGCCACGGTGGCGTGCTGTGGTTGGTGCTGTGTTGCTTAGGGAATAAAGACAGGAAAAACAGTCTGTGTATGTTCAGTGCAGGGACAGCTTTTTTTTTTTTTTTTTAGTATTTTTTGACCTGTGGGTTGTTGAATCCACGGATGTGGAGCCCAAGGATGTGGCGGGCTGGCTGTACTGGTGATTAGTGATCAGTTCACACGAGCAATGAGAGCTGGTGATCTGGACTGATCTACAGAGTGGACACCAACAGCTGATTGGCATGTATGCATGTCTGGGAAATTCAGTCCTGACCTTTCTACGGAGATTTAAGAGGAATACTGGGAGGTATTTGTGGAATACTTAAGCCACATCAGCGTAGAAGTTAAATTCATTGTGCTGTGAAGGAGTCGGGTCATTTCGCTTTAATGTGGCCCCTTACTTTTGTATATATTGAGCACATTGCAAGTGAAGTTTCCTCCCCCTCCTCTCTTCCCCTTCTCCCTCCCTCCCCCTCCTCTCCTTCCTCCTCATCCTTCTGTGTGTGAGCTTTTGTGGTTAGGTGTTGTCTATGGCCAGCTCTGTTCAGATACTAAAAACAGAGAGACCAATGGCAGATCCTGGGTGTGGCAACGCCCTGGCAGTCATGAAACAGGTGGATTCAAGAAAACGGCAGGCCCTAGGCGCTCCTGCCTGCCAGGCCAAGCTAGTGCTTGTGGGTGCTCCTGGGTGCTCCCAGGGATAGTCCTGCCTCGGGGAGTGGCTGTGCTGTGCCAAGCACCTGGGAGCGCCCTGCTGACCTCATGAGGCTGTGGGGCCACACAACTGTCAGCCCCACTCAGGGATAGGGGCAGGAGGGAGGGGCTCGCTCACTTGCCTGAGCCCACAGCCTTGGGTGGAGCTGGTTGCCCTGACTCTGCACCTGTATTGTCGGTGAGAGGAAGCGTGCCAGGATCTGTGTGGCCTGTGTGGCTGTGCTCTTCTCCCTGGGCTTTTGCCTGAGGCAGTGGTTTCAAATGCTCTTGGAATTGTAGCACCCAGCTGAAATTTAGTTCTGGTACACCTGTCATGCATGCGTTTATTAATTTTAATGTGATTTTCTATTGTTTGTTATAAACATCCAATAAACCTTTAATTGAACCATTATGTACAGAAATACCAACGAATCAAAACAGAGCATGCAAAATCACAAGTGCACCCAGGGCAAGGGGTGGACAGAAGCAGCCCCACAGAGGCCCCTGCAGGGCCTTCCCCTCTCCCCAGGTGCAGCCATCTTCCTGACCTCCTAATGTTGAACTTTTCATATGCTTACTTTCCAAACGAAATAAAATTTGTAGAAAGTCTTGATGTCCCCGAATAGAAACATCTTAGGGTGTTGTGAGCTGAGAGCGGGTGTGTGGCATTTGCTGCCTAAATACTTAGTGGCATCAGAGAGCAGTCTGGTGTGAAGGACCCACACCCCAGAATAGAGTGGCCTTGCAGATGTCATACACATCACCCAGGGGCTACATGGGTCTGAGACGGCTTCTACCTTCCTGTAGGAGGCCCCAGCCTTGATGGTCTCAGCTGTCTCGGCACAGCGGGCTTCCTGTCTGCCTGGGTCCCAGGTGGATGCTACACACATGGTGGATCAGTGTCACAGCTGGAGAGCCCCGGGTTCAGGAACTCCCCCATGCTGTAATGGGCATGTCAGCAAGACAAGCCTGCTTACCTCTGCCCCCAGAGGAGACGGCATCCTTAGTACCCGGCTCACATCCTCTCTCTGGCCAAGAGGGAGAAACCAGTCGCAGCCCCAGGCTGCTCGCCACGCAGGCATTCTGGAAAACAGTCTGGGCCAAAGCTGCCACGGACACTCAGGGATGTGAGGAGAGGTGCATCCCATCCACATCCACCCAGTCTCATCCTGTCTAGGCTTCCAGCGGGATTTCTCATTGATTAGCCTGGCTGGGACCAAATCTGTCCAGTCACAGGGCATTCAGTCAAGGCTGCCACCTCAGCCATGCCCCAGGGGCCCAGCTGCACAGACATCTGAAAGCCCCAAACATCCATCCCATTCACTCAGTGACAGGTTGTTGCCAAGGAGGGTAATTAATGAAATGGGGCCCTTCCCCTCTCATGACTTCCAGCCAGATGAGCAGGCGGCACCCTCCATGTGCTGAGTGCCATGCCCCAGAAGGAGGACAGGTGTGGGAGAAGGTGGGTGGGGCTCCATCTGTGGCCACATGGGTATTCTGTGGACTGGGGACCTAGCCAGGCAGCCCCCACAGTCCAGCCACACCTCCTTCCCTGCAGTGGTTGCACACCCTGTGGTCTGCGTGTGACGACATATTGTGCGTTCTCAGATGGCTGTGTCCTCATACAATTAAGGTCCCATTTGATGCAAGCTCTTCCAATGCAGGTGTGGCTTTTCAGTGTGTCTTGTCTAGACTTGTGTTGGGGGCATGGTGTCCAGTGCAGCAGTTACATGAAAGACCTGGCTCTTAAGAGTGTAACTGCATGAGCTGCAGGAACCAGGGACGGATCAGGGTAGGTGGTGCCCAGCAGATAATTTGGCACATAGCAGGACTCATGAACGTGCTGCCAGAATGAGGAGGACCCCACAGCCTCTAGCTGTGCCATGGAAAGCCCACACTTTTTGATGTCTGGGGGGATTACACTGGCTGGCTGTCCTGTTTGTATAAGTAAAGTCACGTTACAGTGAAATTCTGTGAGAGAAGTGGGAGAAATGCCACCCTACCCTTGGACCTTTCTCTGCTGTCAGAACCTTGGTGAGGCATCCCCGGCCTGGCTCTGGCCCTGGCAGAGTCCTGCACTCGTGCCTGGATCTTGCACAAGGCCCTCTTGTTTTCTTAACCTTACATTATCTGTACGATGAGACAGTTGGGCTGCATGTTCCATGAGGATTCGTTCAAATCTATCATCCAAGACTTTCCAAACTGTACTGATAAATGTAGATGTGAAAACATGATAGGACACCTTCATTGCTTGCAGCTATGTAAAACTACATACGCACAATAAGTTAGTACGCGTACGTGTTACTACTCAGTTCTGTAGAACGCTATAAGGTTAGGTGGGGTTATGAGAAGGGAAAACGCTTGTCTGCAGGATTGTTTTCTCTATGCAATGAAGTTGATGAATGGAAGTTTCCAAAGGGGAATGTGCATCTAGAGGGAACATTATGGCCAAAAGACAGCGCTCCTTGGAACGGTCTGAGAGTACGTCCTGGGACTGAGGTCCGAGGCCCAGGGCCCTGGCAAAGTCTCCAGTGATGTCCTCCTCAAGTCTCGTCCAGCAGTGGACACTGATCCAAGCAGGGTGGCTTTGCTGGGTGCAGGGGCACAGAGTGTGGTGAGGGGGATGACAGTGTGAACCCTCTGCCTGGGGGATGGGCATAAGTCTGGGACTCAGGGGTCCTGGTTCCAAACCAGCCCTCCTGCTCTGGCTGCTCTTCCTTCACCTGCTGAGAGGGTACATGGGCTTCGTCATGCAGCCACAGGTGGATCGAGAGTCAGCCACGTGCTGCAGCCTGTGTGAGCCCAGAGCCGCAGGGGAGGCAGCATCCTTGTGGGGTTGCTTGTGTCTCCAGTCCATGGGTGACGGCAGAACGTTACTGTCTCTTCTCCTTCAGAGGCAGAAGAGGCCTGGACCTTGGCGCACACAGACCCAGGAACAGATGAGCAGGGATGTCTGCATCCACACCTGGCCGTGCACCTACTACCTGGAGCCCAAGAGGCGATGGGTTACTGGACAGCTGTCCTTAACATCGCTGTCGCTCAGGTTCATGACTGACAGCACTGGAGAGATTCTGGTCAGCTTCCCCCTCTCCAGCATAGTTGAGATCAAGAAGGAGGCTTCACATTTTATCTTCAGCTCCATCACCATCCTGGAGAAGGGCCATGCCAAGCACTGGTTCAGCTCCCTGCGGCCAAGTCGAAATGTGGTCTTCAGCATCATCGAGCATTTCTGGAGGGAGCTGCTGCTGTCTCAGCCTGGAGCCGTGGCAGACGCATCTGTCCCAAGGACCCGGGGCGAGGAGCTGACGGGACTCATGGCTGGATCCCAGAAACGCCTGGAGGACACGGCGAGGGTCCTGCACCACCAGGGCCAGCAGCTGGACAGCGTCATGAGAGGCCTGGACAAGATGGAGTCAGACCTGGAGGTGGCGGACAGGTGGGCTTGCTGTGTACACTTTGCAAGGCACACACAGAGTAAGATGCACATGTGTGGAGGCTCACAGGCACTGTTCCAGGCCACTGCACCATATTTGCACACATCCAGCATTCTGAGATCCTGGCTGTGCACCTGCTGTACATGCTTAGTGGGTACGCACATTAAGATCCAGCACTCGGAAAGCGAGGCTGTGAATACACGGTACACTCTGCTGGAAACACACCGTGAGATCTGAGTGAGTGCTGGCTCACTGGGTGCCTGGCACCACTGCCGTCCACTGCACCATGCTGAGTCCACACCCAGCAAGCAGAGACTGTGCTGTGACCTCCTGTACACATTCCTCTGTTTCTGGCTCCTATGTGGTGATGGGGACAGGCCCTGGCCTCTGAGGTCACAGAGGATGGAGTGAGGTCTGTCTTGATGACGGCCTCTGTTAGTGAGGTGTCTCCTGTCAGCATCTGTGGCTCCTATGTGGTAATGGGGATGGGCCCTGGCCTCTGAGGTCACAGAGGGTGGAGTGAGGTCTGTCTTGGTGACAGTCTCTGTGAGTGAGGTGTCTCCTGTCAGCATTGGCCATTTGTTCATGAGCTATGTTCTTCTGTTATGTTTCTTAGTATGAAAATCCTAGTGTATGTCCAGAAAATTTCTTCAGTTTGTTTAAGAATGCTTTTCTTTTTCCAAGTCCGATTTTTGCTTTCTGAGTCCTGCTATCTTCTGTTTGGGTACTCCTTTCGTATTTGGCTTTCTTTTAGTGTTGCTATTCTAGTGTGTGTTTCTGGTTTTTATCTTCCTACCATTTATCATTTGTACTTGTAATTTCTTAGAACTCTTTTGTGTTCCTCCAGTTTCCTGGAAAAACCTTCGGGTCTTGCGTCATGGCCCGAGCATCTTCTGTGTTTGGATATTATTAATAGCCTTGTTTTGCTTATGGTTTCTGGGTTTTCAAGGTGCTTGTTTATTGCCTTTTTTGTCGCGGTCGTTTTTCCTAAGATGGTGTGTGTGGGGCTGAGGTATCACCCATGGGCTGTTTACTGGGACCCTCAGTTCCTCGTCCTGGGGTCCTGTCTGGAGCGTGAGTCTTGGGGGGCTGCTTTCTGGCTCAGGTAGAAAGTTTACTCCCTCTGCCCTCAGGTTCCATCCAGTCCCTCTTCTGGGATCCGGGGGTGCCCACTTGGGTGGGTCCATCTGGGAGCCGAGGATCTCCCAGTGCAGTGCCACATGGACTTGTGCCTGCGTGTTGCTGGTTCTTCCTACCTCTGCTGGGAGGGTGCTGGTACTCCCTCCTCATCACCCCATAGGGCTCTGGCACCCTAATTGCATGGTCTCTCAGCATGCCGCTGCTGGCATACTATCCACCTTCCTGGATTTGCCAGTCTGCCCGCTTTTCAGTGTCAGGCTGCCACTATATTTGTCTGTTTCCTTTGTCTTTGGAGAAGTGTGTGTTGAGTTTGCCGTCCTTCTCTATTGCTCTCTACCCCTTTTTTAAGGACACGTCCTTGAGAGCCTGTGTGTGTGTCTGTGTGTGTCTGTGTGTCGTCTGTATGTGTATGTGTGTCTGTGTGTTTCTGTTTGTGTCTGTGTGTATTTGTGTGTGTCATCTGTGTGTGTGTGTTTCAGTACACATAGCTCAGGTTTTTACATGCTTTCAATTACTTTTATTATTTCTTGAAAAGTCATTTTGAAGCGTGTTGTTTCTCGTTTTGTGATTGTTCGGAGGAAAGTGAGAACTTCCTCCTAGCACCCACAGCTGCAGTGGGCAGAACCTCTGTGTCCCTGGAATCCCGCCTTGGCATTGGCCACTGTCCCTCAGCCCTAAGCTGGGGTCATATTGGTGCATCAGTATTGCATGCAGGTTAGTTGGACTGAGGTCACATCTTGTACTTGACTAAGAGGAGATCCTTTCAGTCAGAGCTTTGCTGGCACAAGGCCGGAGCCGGAAGATGACAGAGCCCCCGACAATCCCAGCTCTTCTGTGTAGATGGCAGGTGTGTGTTTTGCCCTAGTCAGAGTCTGCAGGGGGCCAGCAGCTGGAGCCCCACGGACAGTTGCAGGCCGAAGGCCATGACTCTGTTTCTCGGATCAGTTCTTGTTCTTTTAAGGCCTTCAGCAGGTTGCACGGGGCCTGCCCACATTACAGGCCGAGCTGCTTTCCTGGGAGTCCGCCAATTTCTATTTAATCTCATGGACACACACCATCACAGACACGTGCAGAGTAGTGCTTGACGACTGGGCCTTGTGGCCCTGCTATGTGGACACTAATGTGACCATCACAGCCTCCTGGGAGGCACATGCCCTGGCAAGCTGGGACTGGCCCTCTGCCCTCCCGCCTGTGGGGTTCTGGAGCCCTCCCCATGGTGCCTCCGTCCTGGCTTCTCCCTGCCCTGGCTCGCTGCTGAGGGGTGTCCCTGGGCTGGACCCTGACAGTGTCTGCAGGGGGAGGCCTGGGGATATTCGCAGAGGACTGAGCCCTGGCCATAGGCGAGGGTGCTGCGGTCCTGGAGGGGAGGCTGTGGGTGCACAATGTGGCTTTCCCTGCTTCCTGGGGTGTCATCCTCCTCCCAGTCACAGAAAAAACAAATGCCATGGAGAAGGAGCATCTTTTTCTGTGCCCAGCCGAGTTTCTGTGTGGCCACATGGCATCAGTGCCAGCGTTGGGTGCACCCAGAGACTGTGTAGAGGGAGATTGGGAGGAGGCTGCCAAGGCACACGATTATCCATGGCATGGACCCAGAGCCCCCATGTTTGCTATGGACTCCTGCTGGGAAATGAGCCGGGCACCAAGCGATGGGCCTGTCCCTTCTTCTGGAAATGTAGTGGGTGACCCAAAGACTGGCCGAGCCAGAGAAACAAGAGTTCCACCCACAGTGCCGGCATCTGACCCAGCCCCTGGGCCCCTTTAGTGCTCCCTGAACACTGTGGCTTTGATTGTGCGGTGAAGAAGAGCCCGCCCTGTGTCGCCCACTCTCCTGGGACAGGCCGTCCTATGTTCACCTGCGTCGGCCTGCACCGCCACGTCTCTCTCCTGCTCAGCAGCTGTCTCCCAGAGGTAGCCTGCCACCCTGCGCCAGCCCCACCACCTGTCCCACTACCTGTCCTGGCCACCGCAGGCCCCACCGCCGGCCAGGTGCACTCTCAGCTGATCCTCAGCACCCCCATTCTTGTGTGCTGAGGAGCACAGCAGAGTGAGGCCCTGTGCCTGCCTGTATTCATGTCCAGTTCCTTCTTAGTGCTGGTGCTCAGAGTTCTTTCCCGCCAGGCAGGAGGATTGAGGTCGTCAGCCTGGCAGGACTGCAGGTCGCAGTGTCGGAGACCACCTGGCCTTTGCCCACGCCGGTCCCTTCAGGTGCAGGCAGCCTTGGTGCCTTCCCCAGGCCCACAGGCAGGGCGCCCAGCCTCCAGGACATGCAAGAAACAGAACAGACACAAGAAAAAGACAAATCTGACACAGGATTTTGAAAAGCAGGTCAGAAAAACAATGCGAAGGAATGGGGCCAATTACATAAAGACTTGGTTTTTTTTTTTTTTTTTTTTTTTTTTTTTTTTTTTTTGAGACGGAGTCTCGCTCTGTCTCCCAGGCTGGAGTGCAGTGGCGCGATCTCTGCTCACTGCAAACTCCGCCTCCCGGGTTCCTGCCATTCTCCTGCCTCAGCCTCCCAAGTAGCTGGGACTGCAGGTGCCCGCTACCGCGCCTGGCTAATTTTTTTGTATTTTTTAGTAGAGATGGGGTTTCACCGTGTTAACCAGGATGGTTTCAATCTCCTGACCTCGTGATCCACCCGCCTCAGCCTCCCAAAGTGCTGGGATTACAGGCGTGAACCACCGCGCCCGGCCAAGACTTTGTTTTTAAGTATAATTATTTTTTGCAGCTTTATTGAGGTATTGCTGAGAAAACCTGTGTATATTTCAGGCATGTGGCTTGGTGATGCAGTGTTTGTACCCACTGTGAAGTCACCACCACAGTCATACGCACGAACACATCTCTCACCTCACATGCCTGTCATTTTGTTCCCTTTTTCTTTTTTTCCTTGAGAATGTTAAGAACACCTAAGATCTGTGTTCTTGGCAGATTTCAAGTGTACTATTAGTATGGAGAGCTGCAGCTACCATGTCATTACTGCCCAGAGCTCATTCATCCCGTAACTGAAGCTGGTGCCCTTGGCCACTCTCTCCCCGCTTCCCCACCCGCCCCACACCTGCCCTTCTCTCTGTTTCTGTGAGTTTGGCTTCTTTAGGTCCCACATGCGTCATGCAGGGTTTTTCTCTCTATCTGGTGCCTTTCACTCAGCATAATGTGCTCCAGGTCTGTCCATCTTGGTGAAATGGCAGGATTTCCTTCTTTTTTGTGGCTGAATAAAATTCCATGGCATATAGACACTGTATTTTTGTACCCGAACTCAGGTCTCGGCCACTCATTGCTTGAAAGCCAAAATCCAAGAGATGAGCTTTGGTGAAAGGAAAGTTAGCTTTATTAAGGAAGCCAGCAACCTCTGGGTGGTAGACTTGTTTTCAAAGATCACCTCCCCTGGAGTTGTGACTCCAGATCAGGGGTTTTTAAGGGAAATTAAGGGAGATGATTAAAGCACCCTTGTGAAACCTGCAGAGTCTCAGATGGGCAGTTAATCCTTGCTTTCTTGGTCAATGCCTTGTGGCCTTCTGCAGGCACCATCAGCCTATTCTTAGGCTGGCCAGCCCATTCCCAGAGCTGTTGGTTCCCAGAGCTGTTGAGTCCCAGAGTGAGTTGTTGGTTCTCAGAGTTGTTGGTTGGTGTATTTTCTTTTATTTCTGTTGAAGGTCCTGTTTTCCCAAGGCATTTTTAATAATCTGCAGACTCAAGCAAAGCAATAATTGTGTTCAAGTAAACAAGCTTTTCTCTAACTTGGAGTCAGTACTGTTCCATTTTCTCAATCCATCCGTCTGTGGATGGACACGTGGTTTCCATGCCTTGGCTATAGTGAAGCATGCTGCAGTGAACTTGGGAGTGCCGGTGTCACTTTGAGATACTGGTTTTATTTCCTTTGGCTATTGTGGAGGCTAAAGCAACTCCATCTTGGATACTAATAGGCCTTGTTAACATCTGATTAACCCCATTTCTGGGGATGCCTCTAAGATTTCTACCTCACTTATTGTTCCTTGTGTAAGAGCAGGTACTTAACCACATACTCTGCCCTTGGGCAGGTTCACGGGGCATTCTTATCTTTTCCTGCCGGGTCTGTCCTACACATATGTCCCCTGTGGTGCAGAAACCCTGGGTCTGGGGGCCATGGCATGGGATCCACTGCCTCATCTCACTGCTGCCTAAGACACAGACCTGCCTCCCTGTCCATAAGTCGCTGTTAGATGCTTCCTTCTGAGAAGCGGGGTCTGTCATCCTCTTTCTGCAGCCTCTCAGCTTCCTCACATCGGAGGCAGTTTTACATAGGCCTGCTCACCATGGAACAGGTGTAAACCCACAAGCAGGATTGCAAAATCATGGTGGTTCTGAAATAGGAAAGGTTCCCTTGTCCCCCTCACAGGGCATTCAACAGGGCACTGAAGCCAGCCACTGAAGCCACGGCTGGCTTCAGTGCCCTGCTGCCCAAACCTCCTAGGGGAGCATACAGACAGGCAGGCTATGGGTCTCCAACCCCACGACAGCATCTAGGGGTGGATGTTTACTGCTCCTGGAGCCCCAGTGGGTGTGTGCTACCATGTGCTCTTTTAGTTTAGCCATCTGTAGGTGGCTTGTGTTAACCAGCTCAATTAGACTCTCTACCCTGTTGCAAGGACAGAGGGCTTTCTGTATCCTGGGATTCTTGCCTTGGTGTACCAGAAGAATCAGATTGCACATGGGCTTGGAAAATAAGTGCAAGGTTTTATTGAGTGGAAGTAGCTCTCAGCAGATGGGGAAGCCCGAAGGGAGATGGTTTTCCCCTGGAGTTGGGCCACTCAGTGGCCTGGGCTCTCCTCCAACTGCCCCAGCCAAACTCTGCATCATTCTGCCAGTTGGTGGCCTACAGCCGTGCTGGTGCCTGTGTGCATTCCTCTTGACATCCAGCTGCCCTTGTGTCCCTTTACTGATGTGCTCCTCTTGAGGTCTGGCCACCTGTGTGTCTGCCTGCTAGGGTCTCAGGGTGTTTATAGGCACAGGATGGGGGTGTGGCAGGCCAGGGTGGTCTTGGGAAGTGCATTTGGGCAGGAAAACAAAAATGCCTGTCTTTACCTTCCTCCATCTGTCCATCCGTAAGGGTGGAGCCCTAGCCAGGGACCACGCCCTCCTCTACCCAGCATTTCCCTTCCCCTCTTCCATATCATTTAAAGGGACCACGCCCTTCCCTTTCCAGCACTTCCAAAACGGTTCCTCCTTGATTTTTTGAGGAGCCTCCATGCTGTTTTCCTCAGTGGCTGTATAGAGATTTTTAAAGTGTGTGCACCCATGTCATTGTGTGCTTGGCAGGTCACCTCACGGCACTGTGATCAGAGCTGGTGGCCTGCCCTGCTCCTTCAGGAGGCACAGGAGCATTGCAGGCCTTTGAGGGGAACACTGAGGAAATGAGGGGGTCACAGGAAATTGAGAGGACTAAAACCAGGACCTGTGAGAGGGAATCAAAAGTGTTTTGCCTGGAGAGGAAAGCTGACCAAGACTGCCTAAAATAACTGATGGCTGTCACTTGAGACCTTTTTCTTTAGAACGCTAAACTAGGTCCTTTAGTTGTATAAACCAAAAGTAAAATCCTAAGCACCCCAGCCAACTGAATGGATCCCATCTTGGCCAAGGGGATTCCAAAGTAATCCTGAAAAACTAGTTCAGACCATGAAAAGAAGGAGGGGGTCAGACATGCCTCATTATGCCCTCCTCCTCCTGAAGGTTGGAATAGGAAACACTTGCCATCTGTCATCTCTAAGTGCGGCCACCTATAAGACCTAATCTTCATAACAACCTTGGCCTCCCCTTATCTCCAGCCCAGACACTCCTTTCAGTTGATTCCAGGTTTTTATTTATTTACTTTTTGAGACAGGATCTTACTCCGTCACTTGGGCTGGAGTGCAGTGGCGCGATCACAGCTCATTCCAGCCTCCAACTCCTGGGCTTAAGTGATCCTCCCACCTCAGCCTCCCATGTAGCTGGACCACAGGCATGCATTACCATGTCTGGCTAGTTTTGTTTTCTTTTTTTTCTTTTTTTCTTTTATTTGAGATGGAGTCTCGCTCTGTCACCCAGGCAGGAATGCAGTGGCGTGATCTCGGCTCACTGCAACATCTGCCTTCCGGGTTCAATCAATTCTCCCACCTCAGCCTCCTGAGTAGCTGGGATAACAGGTGCACACCACCATGCCCAGCTAATTTTTGAATTTTTAATAGAGACAGGGTTTTGCCATGTTGGCCGGGCTGGTCTTGAACTCCTGGGCCTCAAGTAATCCACCTCGGCCTCCTGAAGTGCTGGGATTATAGGCGTGAGCCACCATACCCAGCCTAGTTTTTTTATTTTTTTGTAGAGATGGAGTCTCACTTTGTGCCCATGCTGGGAGTCCAGGTTTTTAGATAATAACTCTTAACTAAAGGTGACAGGAATGCACCCACAGGCACTGGCTCACCTGCAGGCCACCAACCAGCAGAATGACGTGGAGTTTGTCTGGGACAATTGGAGGAGAACCTGGGCCACTGAGTGGCCCAACGCCAGGGGGCCACTTTTAACCAATTGCCATCTTTTAACCAATCTTTTAACCAATTGCCAATCAGAAAATCTTTGAATCTACCTGTAACATGTAAGCATCTGCTTTGCGTTGTCCTGTCTTTCCAGACTGAACCAATGCATTGATTGATGTCTTATGTCCCACTAAAACATATAAACCCAAGCTGTAACCCAACTACCTTGGGCACATGTTCGCAGGACCTCCTGAGGCTGTGTCACTGGTCATGGTCCTCACATTTGGCTCAGAATAAATCTCTTAAAATATATTACAGAGTGTGGCTTTTTAAATCAACAGTGGTAAAGTAATAGGAAAGAAAATTTGGCTTAATAAAAGCAACACTTCTGACTATATACAGTTGTTGAAAGCCTAGTAAGTTGTCACATGAGCAGTGCGTCTCTCATCTCTTTTGGATTGTGTAACGCGACTCACATTGGACCCCAGCCCAGAGGACCTTCAGTCCCCTTTCAGTTTTGAGATTCCTAGGTATGAGTATGATTTTTCTTCTTTCTTTGTCAATATCAGTTTCCTTTAAGATCTAATTTGCAAATTAGTCACCTTTAAGAAAATCCCCTGTGCGTGACCAGGTGCCACTTTGATACACAGAATATTTCTGGACCCGGCCCCGGCCATTTAGATCAGGCTCCTGCCTGTCCTTCTGCCTGCTCAGAAGCATCCTACCATCCTCAGCAGTGCCCCGATGGTGGTGGCTCTGCCCACGTGTATTTCCAGCAAACAGTTAGGGTGCTGCCTGTCTGAAATGGGGTAGATCTTGGAGGGGATGTCCCAATCATGTGGAGAGGCTGGCGAGGGACTTTTGCCTGGGGTCCTGGGGATTGCACCTCCCATGGCGTGTTGCTGCCCAACAGCAGCTCTAGGTGTCTGCTTAGGCCAAGTTACCGTGCACAGCACCCAGGGCTGAGCGTCCTGGTCCTGCCATGCCCCACTGTTTCTGGCTGTGCTCAGGGACGTTTCTCCCTTGGCAGTGCTTCCCATGGGTTGAGGTGGGAGCAGGCCTCCTGCCAGGGAGCCCAAGAGGCAGGGAAGCAGGTTGTTCACCTCGATCTCACTTTTTCCAGGTTAGAGACTGTGAGTCAGGGGAACTTTCTCCAGATGAGGGACGTCTCAGATGTGGAAGTTCAATTCCCTTAGTCTCTCTAGGAATTGTTCCTTTCTCTGTGGCTCCAGGGGCCATCCCATTCTCACATTTGAGTTCTGGGATATTGCTGGTGCTGTGCCTTTGTTTCTGGTTTTCAGCTGAAGGAGTGGAGCCAGCTTGTGTCTATGGCATGATTTTGGAACCAGAAGTCTCCACGTTCATCCCTAGAGCTTCACTATAGGGCTAGGAGTCATCACTGTAAAAGAAAACCTAAAGTCATCACTGTAAAAGAAAACGTGTGAGTGTGGCTCTTGGCAACTAAAACAGACCATCTTGGGTGCAGCCAGCACAGGGCACCATTTTGACATTTCACATCCATCTACTGCATCAAAAATCTTACAGTCACTTAGAGATAAGTCAGGGCAAGGAAGCCACGGAGTGCTCACTCATCTACCTTCATCAAAATCCCAAACGCCAGTCAGCAAACTGTGCACCTTTTGTTTTAATTTGGATAATGATACATAATCTTGACTAAGAATGGCCTATAAGAAATGCAGGATGTGTACTGTAAACTCTTGCTGAGGTCATATAATGTCTTCCCATTGATGTATGGGATACTGAAGCCAACGGCAGGTCTAGTAACTGCAGTTATTTTAAAGCAGGGGTTAATGTGATATATTGAGATCTGCAATAACTAATGTGATGAGACTTCTGTTGGTGACAGTCAAAGGTTCAACTAATACTGAAGCTGTCTACAGTCAGGATGGAAGGAAATGCCACATTCAACTGGAAGTTAGTGAAAGTAGCCATGATTTTCCCCATGTAATCTTGCTAATAATTCTAATAGGCTGGCCCATGGCAGTTAGCTTAGGTGCAGTGCCACAACCATGGCAGCCATTCCTTCAAATAAGCCCCTCCTTCTCTCCCCCCAGCATACCCACTGATTCTGTTCTCTGGAGAACCTGACTGACGCAGTCACCCTGCTGGGCAGCATGGGGAAAGAAACAAATGAGCTCAGGGTGCTCCAGGAACAGCCTGGACGTTTCTGGATCTGCCCCAAGGGAAGCCCTTAGCTCCTGTAGCTGCAGGACAGAGCTTTGTGAAAACAGAATCTGGAGTCTCCTGCTGCAGATGGCTGAATTCTAACTGTGCATGGCATCTGCTGTGACATTGAGGGCATGACCGAGAAGGAATGGGACCCTGAGAACCCCAGTGTAGACGCATGGCTGCAGTCTGCAGAAGCTGGGGACGCTGAGTCCCTGAAGGCCACAGAAACTTCCTGGCCAGTAGAGGTAGCCCTTCCTCCCAGTCTAGGGAGATTCATCCTGCAAGACGTGCCGGGTTCTCCTCAGCTTCTGTCCCCACACCTGTAGATGCTCAACTAGACTCCAATCCCAGCAGAGGCTGAAAGACAGGGTGCAGAGTGTACTCTGAGGAGGAGGTGCAGTCGGCACCAACAGGAATCTGGAGCATGCGGACGAGAGTGGGTGTTGAGAGTGTGGGTGGTGGGGAAGCATCTAATGCTGAGTCTGGCTGAGGCTGGGGGAAGGGGCCTGCTAGGCAGAGCTTCAGTTGTCACGTGTGCCTGCTACAGTATGGACAGCGCAGACGTAGAACATTCCATCACTGCAGAAAGGTCTGTTAGATAGCTCCCTAGACAGTAAGTACAGGTTTCATTTTGAATCAAGATGACCCAGATCAAGGCAGCAGGGTGTGGGCAGAGTGATATTCTAGGCAGAAGGTGTGCATTTTTGCTGTCTTTTTGCTGGTTGGCTTTGCATCTAGATGAATGTTCTCACTGCTGGCCCCCAGCTTTCTCTTCTCACACTGGAGATAAAAGTCCCTGTGCCTCCTGCTTCATGGAGTGCTTGTGGAAATGAAGTAGAGTAAAATGGCAACATGCTTTACAAAGGTTAAAACCGTTTTCCAAAAAAAAAGGTATTACTCCTTAAAAATGAACTGATCCAGTTTTCCATGTTTTGTTTGCTTTTTCAGATTGCTGACAGAACTGGAATCTCCTGCTTGGTGGCCCTTTAGCTCCAAGCTTTGGAAGACACCACCGGAAACAAAGCCCAGGGAAGATGTCTCCATGACCAGTTGTGAACCCTTTGGGAAAGAAGGGATACTGATAAAAATTCCTGCTGTTATTTCCCACAGAACAGAGTCTCACGTTAAACCAGGGAGGCTCACCGTCCTTGTGTCTGGGTTGGAAATACATGACTCCAGTTCTTTGCTCATGCACAGGTTTGAAAGAGAAGACGTGGACGACATCAAGGTCCACTCACCTTACGAAATTAGCATCCGCCAGCGGTTTATTGGAAAGCCAGACATGGCCTATCGTTTGATATCTGCCAAGATGCCAGAGGTTATCCCCATTTTAGAAGTGCAGTTCAGCAAGAAGATGGAGCTGTTAGAAGATGCATTGGTGCTCAGAAGCGCAAGAACCTCTTCCCCCGCAGAGAAGAGCTGCTCAGTCTGGCATGCAGGTTAGTGACCGACAAGGCAGTGAGCGCGTGCACAGACTTCTAAAATTACAGGCAGACTCAGCACGCCTGTGGGAAATGCCTAACAGATGCGTCACCTAGAGCAGCTGCTGGCCTCCAGCTTGCTAGAGACAGCTCGTTTGTTTATACATAAAAACAATTCCAGACCATTTTCCTTGTACTTGACATCTGTGAATCTGAAATCACTGAGAGTTAACTGTACACTTGATAGGTGCGTGAATTCCAAAGCGGTTGGTACCATGCTTTGGATACAGTTTATCCTCACCAAAGCTCATGTGGAAATTTGGTCGCCAGTGTGGCAGGGCTGGGAGGTGTTTGGTCACAAGGACTCTGCCCTCTGGGTGGCTCAGTGATGTTCTCATGGTAGTGAGTGAGTGCTCCCTCTGGGAAGCCTGGATGAATTCTGGGAATGCATTAGTTCCCAAGAGTGGGTTGTTAGGAGGCAGGATGCCCCTCTGATTCTGTCTCTTTGCCTGTGTCCGCTTCCCCCTTGAGTGTCTCTGCCACAACACGAGAGCCCTTGGTGGAAGCCAGGGCATGCCCTTGGACTTCCCAGCCCACAGAACTGTCAGTTGACTAAAGGTCTGTTCTTCGTAAATTACCCAGTCTCAGGTGCTCAGTTATGGTGATGCAGAACCTGCTACGACACAGAAAGGGCTTTCAGAATGAGTGCATCAGAGCAAAAGGAAGCTCCTGCTGTTGTCTCTGTCATCTCCCCTCATTTTGATGTGGGAACCAGCACCTCAGGATTGTTACTGGCACCATCTCCACTTCCCCTGGTGGGGCCATTCCCATCACCCCTACTTTGCCCACTCTTGTTTCCCTGGGCATTTAATCTAGGTTTTCCTAGCCTGGCGCCCAAACATGCTATTAGGGATCTGTGTGTTGGAGAACTGTGCAGCGTGGTTCTGTGTGTTTGTGGCATTCTCAGATGTGTGTGGAGTGGCCATGGTACCTTCCCGCAGACTCCATTGTAGATTGTGAATGCTCAGCTGGCCTGTCCTGGGGGCCGGGCTGAGGGGCAGACACCCTGGGTCTTGGCACGTCCACCACGTTTGGCCTACCTCCTCCCTAGCACAGGACCGAGGCTTATGTGCTAGGAGCCGCCATGGTCCTGCCCGTCTGATGGGAGGCTGGTGGCCTCTTGGTGTTATTCTTGCCTTTACCCTTTCCTTGGTTAGGAGGTGGGGCCTCTGATGCGTTGTATTTGTTTTGGCCCTGCAGGTTTTGCTCTATGGATGGCCTGTTCTGTTTTCTTCTTTCCTCATGTGCTTTCTTCCCCCACAGATGTGCACGACTTTCCTACTATCCTAGTCCATCAGCCTTGGCTGGCTTTAGAGGCTATAGCCACTTCCTCTAGAGTCTCTTCCTCCCTTACAGAAATCTTTTATCTTGCCATGGTAAAATCCACCGATTTTCCCCTGCAGTTTGTCTTCGAGCTCTGATTAAGAAATCTGAATGTCATAAAAGACTCCATTTTCTAATATTAGCATTATAGCTAATACGCATGCATGTATACATATGTACACATGTGTATCAATGCCTATGTATTGTGCATGTATGTGACATGTACGTCCACACTATAATGCGTGTCTATACGTACAGCATGTAAAGCTGTATTCTTCAGGATTTTAAATGCCAGGTGTCTGTTAAAAGTAAGAGATATTTGCTACCCTTTCGGTTTCTCTAATTTTTCTCTTAAGAGAAAGATTTCAGTTCCTATAACCTGTTTCTCTAACATGAAAATGTTTTGCTTGCTATTCCAGATGGCTTCAAGTTTCGGAAAGAAATACACATAATAATAGATTGAGTCCCATGAGCCCCAGGGCTGAATACACACCCTAAAAATGAAAGGTGCACACCTTAGATATGCAGCACGTAGTTGAATCACAGAAAACCTACCACCTTTCTGTATATGTCTTAAAGTCAGGGGTTGCAAAGAGAGGCATTGACCCCTATGGAATGGAGCATGTGGTGTGAAATGTAATGAAATCCATTGATCAAGATGAGATCAAAGGTCACCATGAGCTGCTGTCACTAAAGTGCAGGCCTGAACCCGAGTGTCCTAGTGGGAGACAGGCTACAGAAGCATAGGAAGCAGAGGTCTTCACCCACATTCAAGGTAAATGGTACAGGCGTACTCCTGCACGTGGCTTCAGGGAGGAGGTATGTGACGTGCTGTGGACTGGTGGTGTGGGGACTGAAGAGGGGTCCCTGGGTATGTGTGGCGTCAGGCAGGAAGTTTGTGACATTCTGTGGAGTTCAGGACTGCTCTCCAGGGTCCCAGTAGAGAAGCACTCAGTGTGTTTAGTGGCCCTGCCATGTTGCCGACCTGGCTGCACCGTGGTGGCGAGCACTCCTGTGTTCCGCAGGCTGGTGTTTGTAAGTGGGTTCCTGCAATCTGTGCCGTTTGAGGTCAGAGGGCTATCACCTTTTCTGGGGGCCTCAACGTGCATTCAGGATTCAGGACTGATGGCGTCACCCTCCCTGCTCGGCTAGGAGGGCCCCCTTAGTTCAGGTCACCTGAGTGTGGGTTGTAGCCACAGCGAGCACCGTCTTTTCACTTGCACAGCTGCACCCGGCCCGTGGTGTTTTGAGTACCTGGGGCAGCCATCTTGCCATGTGGCACACACAGCACACAGTCCCACAGGGACCTGCTGCATGTGTGAGATGGACTGTTGCTCCTGTGGGGGACTGTTGTGCCACCTTTCCGTGCTCACTTTCACCCCCATGGGCAACCTGGCCTGTCCAGGTAAGTGCTGGTCTCATGGGGGCAGCTGTGCCTCCAGAGGGTGTTCTTGAAGAGGCTCCATGCAGGGGTTGGAGCGTGTGGTGCCCTGCCTGGTGCTATGTTAGCAAGAAGGCGGCGCCCCGTTTGATGGGAGCTCAGTAGTCTGTGGGGCACTTGTGGCTCTGAGGCCTTGCCTCTGCCTGCCGCCTGCTGCTGTTGTCCATGCGTAGGCACAGGGACTCTGTGCCAGCTTCCCTGTGTTTACTGCTCTCAGCTGGAAACTGTGGGCTCCCTGGAGGTGGAAACCATGACGGATGTCTCAGAAATCCCTGCCTCTGGGACGAGCGCTGGTGCACGTGTGGCCACAGGGTGGCAGCCTCGCGACACCGGATGGGCGCTTGTCAGGGAGGGACACCCGGGGCGGGGAGCCTTTCCAGAGACCTCTGCAGGGCTGCGTGCCAAGTGCACGTTTTATTTTATTCTAGACACTCGTCCTTGCGTTGAGGAGCACCCAGGACCGCACAATCACCCTCCTCACATGTCTCTGGGCCCTGTGGCTTCTGACAGCCTTCTGGAGGCTGGGCCAGGGCTTGCACAGCAGCCTCTGTCTCAGATTTTCTTGCAGTCGGCCTGGGCTGTGGTTTGGGAGGAAGGCCACAGGGTGAGGTTTCCTTCCCACACATCCTACCAAGGGACATGCACAGTATTTTCTTTTTCTTTTTATTTATTTTTTTCTTTTAGAGACAGGGCCTTGCCCTGTCATCCAGGCTGGAGTGCAGAGGTGCAATCATAGCTCACTGTAACTTCAATCTCCTGGGCCCAAGACATCCTCCTGCCTTGGCCTCTCAAGTAGCTGGGACTATAGGCACATATCACCATGCCCAGCTAATTTTTTTTTTTTTTAATTATGGGGTCTTGCCGTGTTGCCTAGGCTGGTCTTGAACTCCTGGGCTCAAGTGATCCTCTCACCTCAGCCTCCCAGAGTGCTGGGATTTCAGGCGTGAGCCTCTACCCTGCTGTGCACAGCGTATTTGAAGGCTGTTTGATCACTGAGATTTTTCTTTGTCACTCACTGCCTGTCTTGGGGGTAAGGCCTGCCTGGGCTTCCAGCTCCCTGATGACAGCCTTGCCTGTACCTCTGCTTCCCCGGGCCGTGTGTCTGTCTGCACAGCAGCACCAGCAGCAGGACAGGGCAGGAGGCAGGCGGATGCAGTGGGCAGTTAGTAAAGGACCAGAGCATTGGGGTGGCTGAGGTTGTCTCTGCAGTTCGTTAGTGCCAGGCGTCTTTTGAGGCAGGGAAGTTCCCACTGGAGCTGAAGCACCCAGGAGCCTGCTGTGGCACCGCGGGCTCGGGTTGGGCTGACTGGGGAGCCTGGGGGTACTGCATCAGCTGGCCTGGAGCCTATCAGAGGATGCCGCTCAGCCCCCACCTGCGCGTGCGTATTGGTTGAGTGGGAGATGGAGCACACAAGCTGCTGTCTCCTCCATTCAGCTCCCTACGCTGTCCTTACCTGTGCGCTAGCTTCACAGGCCCACTAGGCCCAGCAGAGGCCTTTCCTGGGTGACAGGTGAGTGTTGGAGGCCAGGGCTGAGGGAAGGGGCTTGCTGGAGACAGACAGGCTGGTGGCCCAGGTCCCCGCTCCCAGGCAGGTGCAGGCAGCCCCTCCTCAGCACTGGCAGTGAAGACAGAGCTGTGTCTTGCACAGGGGCCTGTGGCCTCAGGGCACTCTCTTTCCAGATGACCAAGACATTCTGCAGCCAGCAGTGTGCCCTGGGCTCTTCCTGGGCTGGCTTCCTGCACCCCCAGGCCAGCAAGGCTGTGCATAGGTGTCTGGAACACTTCCTACTCCCGGACAGTCGAGTCACCCCACCCTTCTTGCTGTGAACCACCTGTGATGCTTTTGTTTAATTGCAGTCACTCATGACCCCAAGGCAGAAACCATCCTTACAGAACCAAATTAAGCTTTCCTGGAAGAAATGTTAAAAAGAGTGACTCAGCAGCTCCACGAGCACTGTGGCTCTGGAGATGGCAGCATGCAGCCTCACCAGGATCCCAGCCACCGCGCCCAGCAGAAACATCCATGGCTTGAGGCGTAAGAATTCTGTCCAGCCTTCTGAGTGTTTAAGCAAAGTCCTATTTGTTAAAATTCCAGAACGGCCTGAGTGTCTCTGTCACGCAGCCTCAGGTGCTGAAATGAAAGCCATGTCGTAGGTAGGGAGGCCCAGGGGCTCTGCCCTGAAGAGCCTGTGTCGGCTGGGCACGGTGGTTCATGCCTGCAGCCCAGCACTTTGGGAAGCCAATGTGGGAGGATCACTTGGGTGCAGGAGGACGAGACCAGCCTGGGTAACATATTAAGACCCCCGTCTCTATAAAAAAATACAAAAATTAAGCCAGGCGCGGTGGCTCACACCTGCAATCCCAGCAGTTGGGGAGGCAGAGGCGGGCGAATCACGAGGTCAGGAGTTCAAGACCAGCCTGACCGATATGGTGAAGCCCCATGTTACTAAAAATAAAAAAAATTAGCCGGGTGTGGTGGTGTGCACCTGTACTCCCAGCTGCTCGGGAGGCTGAGGCAGGAGAATCCCTTGAACCTGGGAGGCGGAGGTTGTGGTGAGCCGCGATCACACCACTGCACTCCAGCCTGGGCGACAGAGCAAGACTCTGTCTCAAAACAAACAAAAACACAAAAATTAGCAGGTCGTAGTGCTGCATGCCTGTGTTCTCAGCTACTCGGGAGGCTGAAGCAAGAGGATCACTCGAGCCAGGAGTTTGAGACCAACCTAGGTGACATGCTATCTCTACAAAATAAATAGTTGTTGTTTTTTAAAGCCCACATTGTAGCCAAGGAATTGCAGCTTGAGAAGATGCTGAGGAAAGCACACAGTCCTTCAGCTCCCAACACCCAGCAAGTCAAAGGGCACCAGCACATAGCAGGCTTATAGACCATCACACAGCACATTGCAGACAGCACACTGCAGACCAGACTACGAGAGCCTTGGGCAGGGCGGGGTGGGGTATGGGGCTCTTGGAGGAAGGAGGCACTGGTGCAGCGCAGGCTGGGCAGTTTGTGCCCCTCCATTCCTGTGGCCTAGGCTGTGCTGGTGCTGCGAGGTGGACGGGGGCCACCCTGTGATCTCAGGTCACCAGAGGCACACATCCTCTGAGTTTGTGGCTGTGTCTTCCAGCCTAGCTTGGCCTGTGCACTGTGGCTCAGTGTTTCAGAGAAGGGCTCCTCAGTGAGCAGCTTCATGTGAGGGCCTGCAGGCTCCTATGGGTAATGCACAAATTCAGAGAAGCACAGTAGTGGGCCGCAGCTTCCCAGAGAGCACCCACATACAGCTTGGGTGTTGCAAACCTAGGTTGTGAAATTGTTGTTGGTTGTAACCAGAGTTTGTTTCTGAAGAGTGGGATAGGAAAACAGCCCACTGGGCAATCTGTCCCGCTGGTGCTATCTGTGAAGGGAGCCCCTTACTTCCCACCTGAGTCTCACCCCACTTCCCCACTTGCACTCGCACCCATCTGCTGGGCCTGGAGCTGCTCCCTCTTTAGGGCCATCCCTGTGCTCAGTCCCCTGTGGCCCTGGGCAAGGCTGGTCCTTCTCTGCTCAGCCGGGTGCTGTCAGGGAGGGTGAGCTTGTCAGGATCATTTGGGGGTTGATAGGCTGGCGGGGGTGGCATCTTGGAGGTGGCATCTCTCCTGTGGAGGGTGGGGTTGGAAGGTGAGCTTGTCAAGATCATTTAGGGAGTGATAGGCTAGAGGGGGTATGCCCTTGGCCCCAGCAAGAGTGCACCCCCAGGTATCCCCCCTTTCCTCTCCTTTTCTGATGTCACGCTCAGCCACTGCTCCCGGGCTGCATCCATCAGGATTGAGGAGGGTACGGGCTCTGCTGGCTGAGGTAGGAACCTGGGAGGGATGCTGAGGCCACCCACCTGCCTGCCTGCCCCATCAGGAGCTGGCACTGCAGCTGCACTCTCCCTGCCTGTTTCCTGACATCCTCGTAAATGACGGCTGCACCAGACGTAGGGGAGCTGCGTGTGCTGCAGAAGAGCAAACAACATTGCGCCCTTATCTGGGCCCCGGGGTGTCAAGGCTGCTGTTGAAGCTGCTCTGTAAATAAAGGGCAGGTGGCCTCTGCAGGAGGCACACTGGGCCACCTTCTGCGGAGCGAGACTGCCTCTGGCAGGTGGCTTGGAGCCCTGAGGCTCACCACAGGGTGGAAACACCCAGGTCCTCTCTGAGCCTGACCACGGGCAGCTCTGACTCACCTCCCACCTCGGTGGCGCAGACGTGTGGCAGTGCTTGGCCTGGGCTGTGGGCCACTTCCTGTGCTCTCCAGAACCTCAGCCTTCTGCAGAGTAGCTCAGATGTCGCTGCAGTTCCCCAGTCGTGTGTGATGTGCATTTCACCAGAGTTCAATGATTCTTGTGTTTTTTACTCCAAATCTTCAGCCTTTCTCAAAAATAAAATAAAATAAAACCACTTGGGATGTAGGGCTTTTACTCTGAGAGGTACAGAGTGGCCACCGTCTGTTTGCAGTGTTGCAGACCCTAATCCTTCGGGGCCGGGTGGCAAGGCAAGGCTCACAGAGGTCGAGAGAGGAAGCAGTCCTGCGTGTGGTGGCGGGAGGAACACCGCCTCAAAGACCACGCTCTGCCATCCAGAGCACACGAGGGTTGTTGCAACTCCGAGAGATGTCACTGCTGACCATCTGCTCTCCTTGCAGCATCTGGGCTGATGGGCCGTACCCTGCACCGTGAGCCACCCGCAGGAGACCAGGAGGGCACAGCACTGCACCTGCAGACAAGCCTGCCAGCCCTTTCTGAGGCAGATACCCAGGAACTAACCCAGGTAAGATGTCCCCAGTGCCATGCCAGCCAGCGCTGTGTCCCAGTCTTCCCGCAGGCTGCTCCTCTTGCCTTTCTGATCACAAACAAGCTCTGGGTCATCCATCCGTATTGGCCTCGCACCAAGGAGGAGCTGCTGGCCTCCACTCGGCAGCTGCAGGGAGGGAGGAAGGGCAGTGTCCGTCCCAGGTCCACACACTTCCTGGAACACAACATGCACCACATTCAGACACATTCCTATGCACACACAGCTGCCCTGGCTACCACCTGCACCCATTGTACATGTCCGTGTGTGTGTGTGCACAGGTGTGTATGTTTACCGTGCATGTACATGTGCATGCTGTGTGTAGTGTGCATGTACTGTACACATTGTGCATTTGTGTGTAGTATGTGTGCTATGTGTACATATGTTATGCATGTACTTGTACTGTGTATGTGCATGTGCATGTGTGTGTACTTGTGAGTACATGTGTGTGTTGTGTGTGTTGTGTGTGTATGCACATGTGTGTGCTGTGCATGTGGTGTATGTGTTGCATGTACTATGCATGTATATGTGCTGTATGTGTACCTTGTGTGTACTGTGCATGGGCATGTGTATATGTGCATGTCTTGTGTGTGGAGCGTGCATGTACTGTACATGTATGTGTACTCTGTGTGTGCTGTGCATGTGCGTGCATGTGTGCTCTGTATACTGTGCATGCATGCAGGTACATGCCTGCTGTGTGTTGCGTGTTCTGTGTGTGCACTGTATGCATGCACAGTCGGGTGCATGGCTCACTCAGCCCTCATGTGCTGAGCACTGGTTCTTAAGGAGGCTCAGCACTTTGTGCCTGGGAGGCTGGAATTTTAATGTTCAGTGTAAATACTCCTATCTTGTCCAGAGGTTGTTGCCTAACATGCTGGCTTTCCAAGTAATTTTTGAAGCTGTACTCAGTCATCATATCACTTCATTTGTAAATATCTCCATATGTATCATTAAAGGATAAGAGCCATTCAGAAAGAACCGTACTGCCACTGTCGCCTTAGGAAACAGGAAGTCATTCCTCAGCACCATCCAGTATCCAGGCAGTGCTCCCACCTTCTGAGCCCTTGCTGAAGGGTGTGTCCCACAGGGTATGTGGCGCACATGCAGTCTCCAGGTGCAGCTTCCGTCTCGTCTTCCCCTACAGTTGATTCCTGGAAAAAGCAAAGCTGTCTGTTGGGCTGAGACTGTGCACTTTGGATCTTGCAGTTCTGTGTCCACGCAGGGCATGGGCTCCCCGTCCCTGAGCCTCTGAGTCGGCAGGTGGGTCTGGGGCTCTGTCAGGCCCGGCCCTGTTTTTGTAGGGAGTGTTTTGTGGATGGCTCTGCCCATGTCCACCAGGAGGTGGATAAAGACACTCTGTCTCTTATGCCTGTTTTTAAAAACCAATTCTTACTTTACGTGTCTGTGTAGGCATAAACTCCTTTGAGGCCAGCTTGTTTGGGGAAAAAGGTGTTCATATTTGCTCTGGGGTAATTCAAGTGGACACAGCCTGTCACTTTTTCCTCCCGGCCTCACTTAGTCATGTCTGGTAATGGCACACACAGCACTGCCTGGTAGGTGTAGCCAGCTCACTCTGCAGGTTCCTAGTCACCTTCAGATACACTCACTGCCTCCAGAACATTCTTGGCCTGGGTCTCGTTTGCTCAGGGTTTTTGAGAAATCCCAATACTGTAAAGATAGACTTACCTGATTCTTTCCCAGCCATCCTCCTGAGAGTGCCTCGGCACGTGGCTGAGACTGGCAGGATCTGAGCACACCCCACTCCCACACCCCACAAAGGTGTCCACGGCCGAGATACTCACTGTATCCCACGGTTGTGTTTAGACTGAAGTAGGAGCAAAGCTTTAAGATGAAAAAATAGGAATTTTACCTGTTAATTGCAATGGTGGCCATGTAGTTGGAGAGGCCCTCAAGTGTCCACACATCAGACTCTCCTGTCACGTGTGGCGTGTTCTTCACCTCAAAGCCCGGGAGCGTTGGGGAGGTGGTCAGGTGACTGCACGGAGCTGAGGGTGAGTGGGGCTCCCCACCAGCCATCCAGGCTGTGTCTCCCCTGGGGCTGCATGGGCACTGCCATCATTAAAGATCCAGCAAGCCCAGTGGCTCAACACCGGGAGGAACAGGCTTCACATTCACGACTGTGGCATCAAGGCCAGTGGCAGAGCGGGAGGAAGCAGTCACCCAAGGTATGGGGTTGGGAGGGCCCAGGAAGGCCTGGTGTGCCTTGGGGGCAAGGGCAGCACGTTGGTCAGATGCGGGCCCCCTTCCTTGCAGGAGGAGCCTAGTTTCACAGGAGACTGTCTTTTTGAGGCAATACATGTGTTTCCTATTTAGAGAATTCCTAGTGCACAGTTGAAGCTCAAGCAGAAGCCAGAGTGAGTTACATTTCTGGGGAAAATAAAAATGCACGAAACCCCCCTTCATCCAGCTGTGGTTTTTGTTGCAGATGCTATTAAAGCCATCATGCTGAAACGTGTCCCAGTGGTGTGGGTTGCAACTGGGGGTGCTCAGGAGAGGGTGGCTGTGATCACACAGGACAGGCAGGGGTGACACGGCGAGCCCTTCTGTCTCTGGGGCCCTGGCCACTGTGTCACTGTGGTTGTGGAGGGTGGAGGGCCGGGGGCTGTAGGAGGTGGATTTGACAGAGCCCCTGACTTGCTTCTGTTGTCCGCTTCTCTTTGCGGCTGTGGAATCCACTAGGGCCCACGCCATGGACGCGGTGCCTGGACACAGTAGAACTGGAGGTGGTCTAGGGCAGTTCCCTGGGACACTCCAGCTCATGCAGCCTCATCTGTCTTGTCCTGCTTTGGGGTTGCTGTGTCCACGTCCCTCTGTCTCCAGGGAGGAACCAGGTGGACACTCAGTGTCGACAGACACTGGGTCTGGCGGGAGAGTGGGTGGGAGCCTCGCTGGTGCCTGATGGTGGGAAAGAAGCCTGCTGCACTCCTGCCGTGGTTCCTGATAGGAACAGATGTGCCATGGCCGGTCCCTGTGGGCACAGGTCCCAGGGGTTGCTTGGGTGACGCCTCAGCCTCCTGCCTTATGGCATGGGGCGACCAGCGTACCACTGCCTGTGACGTCTCCATAAACAACAAATGCAAACACACATGGTAACAGGAAAGCCATGCAACTCATTCCATTCAGAGTCAAAGGGTTCCCAGGGAGCCGAGCCTGGTGCTGGGACGGGGGTGAGACTGAGGGTGCGGTCAGGCTCACTTGGGGCTCAGGTAGGGCTCACGTGGAGGTGTGGGACTGCAGCTTCTGGGCATGTGGGGAGCCAGGTGTTTCTGTCCTCACGTCTTTGTTTGGCAGAAACCCTCTGCCCACTCCACAGCGTCATGTCCCATGTGGACCAGTTCTGGTGATTTGCTGGAACATTCTGAAGTCATTCTGGGGCTCCCTGCCTTCTATGAAACTATTTTCAGAAGGTAACATCCCTTTCTTTCCTTTTGTTTCTCTTTTTTAGGAACTGGAGAATGCATTGCATCTTCCTCAGGGACCCCCGTTCCTGGTCTGGCTTCCCTCACTTCCCTATCCCTGATGTCTCTAATCTAAACTTTCCTCAATTAATCTGTGTCCTCTCCTAGTCAGGGGAAAAAACATGTGTGTGTACCTAATGAATGTAAGATAATCATATTCACAGAGTGTCTCCCTAGTACTTGAAATAAGGGTCTTAATCAGTGTATGACCGCCCTGGCTTCTTTGAGCTCACCGACCATGTCGGGGCCAACAGCCCCATGTGACTTTGGGCGCCTGCAGTCCCCGGGGGCTGGAGAAGCTGCATGGACACCATGCTCTGTCCTGAGCGCACCTGACACAAGTGTCGCTCTCCTGCCTGGGCCCACTGGGAGTGTGTGGAGCAGGCGAGTTGGAGAACAGGTTATGGCCAGAGGGGATGGTGGGACTGGCCACCCCCAAGGTGACTGGGCTCTGCGGGGGCACTGAACGCAGCACCCACCCTCCGAGGCTAGCCAGGCAGGAGTGGGCCTTGCTTGTGAGTGAGGAGGGGTGGGGAGGCCAGGCTCCTTCTCCACTCAGGCTCTCAGCGTCCCGTACTTTCCTGCTTTTCCAGGCTGTTCATGTCAAGTGTTCATCACGACACAGGCAGGAGGTCAATATTTTGGGGGGCTGTGAGGTTTTGTGATGCTGTTTTTATTTATGGCCTTGACAGCAGTCAGATAGAAGCGCTGAGCTAAGCCGCCATGTTTGGGGATCTGTGCCTTTACTATGAGTTCCTATTACTCATGCCCCTGACACCACATTGCATGCACTTTCTAAATGCTGATCCATAAGAAGAGGCTGGGAATGGGGACAGGGTGCCCTGCAGCCCAACATGCACACAGCAGGAGGCCATGTCCCAGGGGCGCCCTGGACCAGGTGTGGGGGCCCTGCATGCACGTAGCTTGAGGGTGCCCTGTAACTCAGACTTATGGCAGCTGAGTGGAGGCGGCATCACAGGGGAACACCACGCCTTCCCTTTTAACCTGTATGCTCTTTGGCTAATGGGTTTGTGACAGTGAACGCCTGCTCACCCGCCTCTGTGCACCCCGCCCACCCCCACCCCCACCCCCACCCTCTGCTTTTGCGGGTGAGCCACTCCTGTGCCCATGCCCCCCAAACTCCCATTGTGCTGGGCATGACTGCAGAGGACCCAGGACCCTGGGCTGAGCAGGGCCCATGGCTTCAGAGTGATGGGGACAGGAGGCCATGCCAGGCACAGCCCTTGGGGTCCCAGATGCTCACACCAACCAGTACCCAGAAACCACCTGGGAAACTACCGGTGCAAAGGGCCTGGCAGGAGAGAGTGTGGGACCTGTGCTGAGGGCCGGAGGCCAGCACCTGACAAGCCCTCCCAAGGCCACTACCAGGCTGCACCAGCTGAACAGGTCAAGCAGAGACCGAGTGCTTGACCGAGTGCTGAGTGGGACTTCAGGCTTGGAGGACTCACCCCACCCCAAGCCTTTCCTGTCCTCCCAGTTGTCGCTTTAATGAAGGCCAAGTGTGCGGGGCAAGTGCTGGGTGTCATGGAGGCCCTGGCTGTGGAAGGTAATACGTGTTATAGCAGTGGGGAGTTTCTCATTATTCACTTTTTAAAAATTGTGGTGAAATATATAAAACACAAATTTTGCCATTTTAACCATTTTTAAGTGTACAATTCAGTGGAGTTAATGAAATTCACCACCATCATCCTGCACAGAAACAGTTTCTGTGAGACACGAACCCACGTTTCTGCCCCAGCCCCCCGCCCACCACTCTGCCTTCCCTCTCTGCCAGCCTGCCACTCTGGGTTCCTTACAGCAGGGGAGTCACGCAGCCCTTGTCCTTTTGTGCCTGCCTTATTTCACTTGGCATACGGTTTTCAGGGCCCATGCACTGAAAACCCCTCTGTTGGTGGATGTACGAGCTGTTTCCTCCTTTGGGCTGCTATGGAGAATGCCGCTGTAAGCGTTCACGTGAGCATCTGTTTGAGGCCCTGCTCTCAAGTCTTTGGGGTACACAGTGGTCCTCTTATTATCAAGGGAAATGCTCTAAGACCCCTAGATCATAAAGCTTTACCCCCATGTTTTCTTAGGAGTTCTGTGGTTTTGGTTTCCTCTTTAGGTTGTGAGCCCATTCTGAGTTAATGTTTGTGTGCGGAGTGAGGTGAGGACCCAGATTTATTCTTCTGTGTGTCCAGATCGAGTTTTCCCAACACCATCTGGTAAACCAGCTGTTCTTTCCCCATTGAATGGTCTTGACACCCTTGTTGAAAATCCGTTAGCCATAGATAATATGAGTTTATCTCTGGTTTCTCACTTAATTCCATTTTGCAGTCTAATGTCACTGTTTTGATTACTGTAGCTTTGTCATAAGGTTTTTTGTATTTTTTATTTTGAGACAGGGTCTCACTCTGTCTCCCAGGCTGGAGTGCAGTGGCATGATCTCGGTTCACTGCAATCTCCGCCTCCCAGGCTCAGGTGATTCTCCCACCTCAGCCTCCCAAGTAATTGGGACTATAGGTGTGCACCACCACGTCCAGCTAATTTTTTTTTTTTTTTTTTTTTTTTGTAGACATGGAGTCTCCCTATGTTGCCCAGGCTGGTCTTGAACTCCTGGGCTCAAGCAGCCTTCCCTTCTCAGCCTCCCAAAGTGCTGAGATTATGGGCATGAGCCACTGTGCCTGGCCAAAAAAAAGTTTCAAAAGTAAAAAATAAAATAAGTTAAAAAGAGAAAACAGCATATAGGATAAGAATATAAAGAAAAATTATTCTGGCACGGCTATATAGTGTTTGTGTTTGAAATTTTATTACAGAAGAGTCAGAGTTAAAGAAAATCGTAGTTTGTAATATACAAAAGTTACAGGAAGCTAAGGCTCACCTGTTATTGAAGAAAGACTTTTTAAAATAAATTTAGTGGAGCCTTAGTGCGCAGTGTTGATAAAGTCCACAGTAGTGTTCAGTCATGCCTAAGCCTTCACGCTCACTCACCACACACCCAGGGCCGCGTCCAGTCCTGCCAGCCCTGCTCACGGGAAGCGCTCTACACTGCGTGCCATTTCGTATCTTTATGCTGCACATTTACGGCACCTTCTCCACGTTTAGATGTGCAGGTAGTTAGCGTGGTGCTCCAGCTACTTGTGCTGCTTGGTGCTGTGGTGTGCCATGCAGGCCTGCAGCTTGGGGGGGTGTGCCCCGCTACACAGCCGGCCACCACAGGCCCTGCCCCCTCAGTGTGTGTATGTGTACTCTAGCGTTGTCCCACGATGAGACCCCGAGCCATGGTTCCTCAGGATGCATCCACATCATTAGGCAGCACATGACTATTTTAGTATATCATGATTTTGTTTTCATTCATCTCAAATAATTTACTAATTTCCCTTCCATCACCTGTTGGTTGTTTAATTTGTAAACACTTCAGTTTGCCGTGTTGCTAGCTTCCCTCTGCTGTGGTTGGAGGAGACACCTGCTGTGGATCCATCTCTCTAGGCTTGTTGAGGGCTGCCTCCCAGTCCGTGGCCCATCTCCCAGCCTGTGGCCCATGGAGGCATCTGGTACAGAGGAGAATGGGCTCCTGCGGTTGTAGGTGGAGCTCTCTGCACTGGTCTCCTGGGCCATGGGTTTATAGTGCTGTGCAGGCTGCCTGTTCCTGTTTCTGTATGGATCCTCTGCTTAGCTGTTCTGTTCATTTTGACACGTTTGCTAGCCTTTAAATGTGGTCAGCAGGTATTACGCAGTCTTGGTTCAGGCTGGGAAGTGGGTTTGTGCAGCTGTTGACACCATGTGTTGAAGGATGAAAGAGCAATGCCGGAGGTAGGTTCACTGGGCCAGGTGTCACCCACCGGGAGAGTGAGGCTGCAGAGTGGCCCTCAATGGCAGGGGTCAGCACTGTGGCTGCTGCTGAGCTGTGTGTCACAGCCCTGAGTGTTGGGCCCTGTTCCTGTCCCCTCCATGCACAGCAGTGTCCCGCCTCGAGGTGTAGGTGAGAGGCAAGGGGGACCGGGCCGCAGCGCGCAGGGCAGAGCATGAGGTGCCTGGCAAGTTGGGAGCAGACTCATTGGCCACAGCTCTGGCCGTGTTGGTTCAGGCTGGGAAGTGGGTTTTGTGGGGCTGTGGCCAACCTCTTGAAAGAGCCACATTTTAGTGCATTTTCAGTTTGTTTCCTATTTTGAGGGTACCACTGAGGTTCTTCCACGTGTGCGATGCACCTTCAGTGGCACTCAGTTCACATTCACTGAACACTTTAGTGAGGGTTCATCGTCCCTCAAGCACTCGGGTCTCTTAATGGGAATCTCCATCCCTGGTCTAGGAGCAGGGAGCGCTCTTGGGCAGGACAATCCAGTCCAGGCCCAGCTCCTTGCTCTGCATGGCGTTTCCTGTGCACGCCTGGAGTGAGCTCAGCTGGCCCGGCTGAATCAAAGTCCCCTCTGAGCAGCGAGGCCGCCGTGCTCATTGCCTCGACCCACCGCCGCGGGGGCGTCCTGAGGAGGGGGGCCCTGCATCTGCCCCCCCGGCTAGTGCACAGACCACCTTGGCCTCCAGGAATGCAGCGGAGGGGACTTGGGCGGGCCGCAGGGTGGTCTGCGAGTGCCGAGTGTGACAGATCGCAGCAGAGAGTGTTCTTTACGGCCTCCAGAGCTTGGCTGCGGTGAGAGCCAATTTTCCCCCTTTACATTCTCTGCAGCATATTAATGGCCCCAACTGGTAGAACTATTTTGAGTTGTAGACAGCTTGATTTATCCCAGCTCTGTTCTTAAATGGTTGCTAATTTCTCACTGCAAGAAAATTCACAGTTCCTCAGTGAGTCAGCTTAATGACACGGCCAGGGCAGCCCAGCTAACAGCAGACTGCTCTCGGTGCTTGGCTTGGTACGGTGATGTGCCGCACTCCGGCGTCGCGAGGCGAGCCAGAGCAGACATGTCCCATGGGACACAAGAGCCGATGTCCCGCAGAGTTTGGAGGCCAAGGCCGTGCGTGCCTCTGGAGCACTGTCTTCCCGGGCTGCTGGTGGCAGCGAACGCACAAGGCTGGGACGTCTTCAGGCCCCCAGCACTCAGCCTTGCCCTAATGGTGCGCGCATGGACACACAGCTGCTTTGTAGGTGGGCCCACCCTACTTCATTAGGCTATTTTTCTATATTTATTTTTTGCCTTTATAAACAAAATGGAAATGGTGAGAATGCTAAATTCTCTTGTTTTTGCTCTGCAGGGCTTCCGGCCTATGTCGCTGTCAACCCAGACAGTGTTGGTGATGCTTTGCTCCGAGTCTGCAGGAGCTTTGTGGAGACAGAGACTTTCCTAGCAGGGCAGCAAGCGGAAGCTTTTCTTCCAGAACAGCCTTTGCTCAGGGCATGAGGGAGCCGGCCAGGCCCACAGCGCCCAGGGCATCCTCCTCACGGATGTGTTGGAGGAAAGTGGCTTTGGTGCTATCCTGGGGGACCATGGCCATAAGCTGGCAGTGTCAGCCACGCATCAGTTGCGTTTCTTTGTTCAGGTTGTGCCTCTTGCTGCCTGCCTGAGTCACCCAGGGCTGCTCCCCTTCCTGGCTCTGACGCCCTCAGCGGGTCCCACAAGCCGCTCAGGACCACAGAGTCTGGCCATGGGTCTGGCCAGGCATCCACTGATGCTCTAAGCTGCAGCTTCTCTTAGGAACACTTCTATCAGGTCTGGCTCGCAGGCATGCCCCAGGGCCAGCCTGGATTGTACTGTCCTTCAAGCACTCCTTGCTCTATTTCTTTGAAGTTTATAAAAGTTTGTTTCCCCCAAAACCCAAAGCACTTTTAATCAGGTAGTTTCTGTGGAGGTCGAACTGGCTGGAAGGAAGGCTGGTTCCTGGATTTCTTTACTCATGTAGCAGGGACTCAAGGAAGTCTGATTTGCGCCTCGCCTCTGACTCAGAGCCCATGAAGGTTCCTGTGTGAGGCCACTGGCTGCCTCGGAGCTGACAGCATCCTGCACAATGGCTAGATGGCTTGTCACCCCAGGCCGCAGAGGAACAACTGTTTCTAGGGTTTGGCCAGACTTCACATTCTCCATTCTTTCCATCCCTGTTATGTGGAATGCACACGATGCCATGTAATTACTTCAGTCCCTTCTCAAAGGAAAAAGAATCTGGACCTGCACTCCAGGACACTAGCAGTTTGAAGGTTCGCTCAGGAATGTTCTTTGTCTGCAGACCTAGCAGCTGTACAGATCGCTCTTGTGTTTTTGCACTATTAATTAACTTCAAGTGCAATTTTGGCAGGCAGGCCAAGGGTCTCAACAGGCTATTTGGAATGAGTTCTCTTTTAAGGCCTTCAACGTAGTGAGACATTTTCAAATCAAAAAGTACAGCAGGAGCCAGCCTTTATTTTGTCTGTGTACACAATAAAATATTCCGCTTCTATAGGCAGATCAGCTGGTCTTAGTCACAAATAAATTGTGCATATTATTACTGTGCTTAATAGGCAAAACCCTAAACTATAGAAATTTTTGCTATTCCCACTGCTTTCTTATGCACTAGAAAAAGGCATGAATTTGATGTCTTTTTTAAAAAAAAAAGTTATTTTATTTTCTTCTTTATATTCTGGGGAGATGTCATAGACAATATTTTTAGGTTGAGAATAATTGTACATACTCATGGGTTACGTAGTGAAGTTTTCCATACATGAAACATAAAGTGATCACATCACAACCAGGGTCACTAGCACGGCCAGTATCTTGGGCACGCACCACTCAGCCTTGCAGGGAAGGTGGCGCACAGGGGTGCCGGGCTGCCTGGGTCTGTTGGAGATGACCCTGGGGGACAGGCGTCTTGTGGGGAAGATAGTGAACGGGAGTGTGGGGCTGTTGGGGTCTGTGTGGAGGTGGCCCCAGGTGGACGGGCTTCATGCCTCCCTGTGGTCCTGATCTCCATGTGGCTCCTGATCCCTGAGTTGTTGCGGGTCTCTGCTGGGCCTTGCCGTAGGTAGTGTAACCTTCATGGCGGCTTGCTAGGACTGTATATAAAAGAAGAATATGATGTATGTTTAATAATTATTGGCATTGATGTATGTCAAATGGTACTCTATGTCTATTGGGTTCAGTACAGTATTTTATTTGTTTTCCCTATCATTTTTACCTTTGAACATCTGGGTCAGGGTTAGACAGATTTAATACAGCTTATTCAGCTACTCTTAGTGTCATCCTGCCAAAGACACTCCAGTCAGAGAGCCAGAGCAGGTCCTGGCCCAGCCTCCCTTGGATGTCCCAGGGCCCTGCCACCATCTGTAAGGGGTATAGGACTTCTGGCGGTGACCCGGGATGTGGTCTGGGTCATGCCCCACAGCATCTCTATGTGCAATGAGTGTATCCTCAGGACCGGGGGCAGGTCACCCTCTCTGTGAAACAGATAAAATGTGCCACGTTCTTAGAACAATGTCAGCTTACATTGCATATCCAATAACTCAGCTTTCATTCAGGATAGCTATAGGATGGTAAAAACAGAAGACAAAGTTGTGTATGTACTTTAATCCCAAATTTGAGTTATTCGCAAGAGTGTATGGACATAGCGACGGGGGAAAAAGCCAGATAGGAGTGTGCTTGTGTCACTGATGGTGCCAGCCTAACAGTGGTCTGTATTATGGGCAGATTTTGTTTTATTCCTTAACTTCTCTCATGTTTCCTGGTTTTCTACATGCAGTTATTAACAGAAAAGACAAATAGTGGTGTCTCCTGATAGCACTGCACGCCATGGTCATGGAGAGGGCAGAGCTGATGCAGGGGCTAGTGGGAGGCATTGGAGCTGTGGGTCCTGGCAGGGGCCTTGGGCCATCTCCCCAGCCGTCAGCTCATGGGAGCCCTGTGGCCCTGAAGGACATTTAAATTCTAAATACACTTAAATCACATTTTAGTATGGTTGACGAGGGACATAGGGACTGAGACCAGATCCCGAGCGGATCCATGTCCCTGGCTTCCAGGAGGCCTCCTCACAGGATGTGGGCACAGGGACAGTGTGAGTGTGCAGCCCAGCCATCCCTTCCAAGGGCTGTGCCTGCTGGTTCCAGCAATGCCCTCAGGATCACACTGACAGCAGGGGCAGGTGAGAAGGGAGCAGGTTAGCAGAGCCAGCAAGGGGTGGGCTGAGGCTTTCTTCCCTGTCACAGCACAATTTGGGTGTGGGCCACGTGAGATCATGGGCCAGGCGGTGGAAAAGACCTCCTGTGTGAGGTCATCTGCCCGTCCTCCTGGAGCCACTGACCCCACCATATACTTTCCAGAGCCCCATCCAGCGATCTAAGTCATGACTCAACAGATGGAGTTTCTGCCAGCTCCCGAGGGTGTAGAAGCCCTGCTGTCTGGGACTGGGGCTCTAGTCAGGCATTTATTCATCTGTCTTATGACAAATATCTCAGCAGGAAGGCCAGGTTTGGAAAGGGACATGTGGCTCATTTCACCTCTGCCGTGTGCCTGTGAGTGACCTCAGCCCCCAACTCCCTGTGCCATCTGCAGAGGGGCTGGGCAGCTGGCCGGGGAAGGGCTCCTTCTGCAGCATGGCAGCCACCCTGGCTGGGCCCATTCCGGTTTTCACAGCTTGTTCGCATTTGTGATCTCATGTGAGCCACACCGTTCAGTGGAGGGAGCTGGATCTGACCAGCTGGCCCTCTGTCCTGGCCGCCTTCATACTGTTTCTCATGGGTCAGATGAAGGCCGGACCATAGGCGGGGGCATTGCTTGTGACCCTGAATCCCAAGCTGCATGTGTCCCACTGCTGGCCACCCTGCTGGGGAGCACTGAATCACCTGCCCTGGCTGCCCAACCCCACAGGATGCTGAGCCTCCCGCCATGTCACTGGGCGGAGCGTGGGGAGGCTGCTCCCCCAGGGCTCAGGAGTGCTGTTCCTAGAGGCAACCAGAGGAGCTGTAGGGGCCCCCCTCAAGATCACCACGCCCTAGACCTTGGATGGTCACTGCTGTCCAACTGGTGGGTACACAGCACTGAGGGTTCCTTCTCCTGACCTAAGCAGTGATCCAGAACTTTCCCTGAAAGAGGACATGGACATTTATTGCAAGTGGTGGGTCACTCAAGTTTCCTTTCCAGTGTATTCTTCTCCATTGTCAGGTGGGCATATGAGGCTTCTAGACCTAGGCTGAGTGTGTAAAGCAGCGCTTCACAGTGTGGTTCACCTTCCTAGATTCCTCATAGAACACAGCTCATTAAGCCACAGACACAGCACCAGCTCAGCCCTTAGCTCATCGCCCCTGCTGCAACCAGGGGACACATCTCTGTGCTAGCATTCCTGGGGCGGCCCACCCCATCCAGCCTTCCCTATCCACACCTGCCTGGCCCTGCGTGCCTCCACCTTCTGCATCTGCTGGGCCGGGGACCATCTCCCACACCCCCACGGTGCTGGCTGCCCTCCACCGTATGGAGAGTTTCATTCTGTCATTTGCATTGTGCATGAAACATCTCACACTTAGAGACAAGAGAAGGGGTTTGTGTTTCTTTTTAATCCTGCTTTCCCACTCCAGTCTGCAGTTAGGGACCCACATGCAGACAGGTCTCACCCAGCATAGTGGCTGGGTGAGAGCTGGGACTCAAATCCGAGCTGCGTGCCCAGGTCCCCAGCTGCCCCACTGTGGGCAGGAATTCCACACCCACATGCAACGCTCCCACAAGGTCAGCCAAACAGAGCACTCCGCAGCCTGGAGATGGCAGGCCAGGGTGTGGCCACTGCACCAGGCAGGAGGTGCGGGCAGGCAGCTGGCAGGAGGTGGGGCAGGCACCTCATCTCATCAGGCCTGTACTGGCAGAGGCAGAGCCATGACCTGACCCTGGTGCTGGGCTGCCGGCTCCCTCCTGCTGGCTCGCAGATGGCATCACCCAGGTGGTAACGCAAAGGCTCTTGGGTGTGTGAGAGGGGGAGATGTTGTCTGTGCTAGAGTTTGCAGAGATGGCAGCCTCTGCTGTGATCTTGTGCTTCTCCCCAGATCCTGAGGAGGATGAAGGGGCTGGCCCTGGAGGCCGAGAGTGAGCTGGAGAGACAAGACGAAGCCCTGGATGGCGTTGCAGCAGCTGTGGACAGGGCAACCTTGACCATCGACAAGCACAACAGGCGGATGAAGAGGCTGACCTAGGGGCAGAACGTCCCTGCATTCCTGTCTCACCCTGCACATCCCGCTGAGATGGAGGGCTGGGCGGCAGTGCCAGGGCTGCAGAGGCCTGTGGCCCTCCGGAGTGGTCTTCCTCTGGATGGGGCTGCTACTGTGGGGCTGCTTCTGCACCAGGGGCCTCCCCAGGTGTGCACCATGCCTGCCTCCCACTTGGCTGTCCCTGCTGCTGGGCAGGACCCGGCCACATGTTCTGCGGATGCTGCAGAAGTGTGGACCATGGCGGGACCCCAAGGACACTTGGCACAGGCCTGGAAGAGGCCGCCCTCGTCTTGTCTCGGCTCCCTTTCATGGACAGACTGGCCTTCTTAGCTGTACTATAAATTTGTGAGTGAAGTTAGAGCCCAGCTCACTTAGCCAGCTCACTTTGAGGGCATCCTATAAACACCCAACTGTTCTTTTATCGTCTCGGTTTTAGCCAAAAGTGAAATTAGCATGACTGCATCTTTCAAACAAAAATATTGATTTCTGCTTTTAGGGCCCCGTTTCCATCCAGAAATAAAGGGAAATGCTGGCTTCAGAGTGGTTTTTGAAGATGGGTGCCAGTGTTTCCACCTGGTGCCTTGTGTCTGGGTCAGTGGCCACTCCCTCAGAGGCCCTGGGGTAGGTGAGCATGGCCTCTGGCGGGACTGCGCGTCACATTGCGGGTGGTGCCCCTTTGCCATGCTGCTTTCAGATGCCCCGTGCAGGGCTGCAAGGAAGGGTGCGGGCACATGGGAGGCGAGTCCCAGGATGGTGCCACGGCCCAGCCTGTGGGGCCTCCACGCTGGTGCACCCAATGCCCAGTGGTGCTGCCTTCCCAGGGCTGCTCAGTGAGCCTCACACACAGGGGCCCTCGCAGCTTTGCAGCCAGAAGCCCCACGTTGAGATATCCTGGGCGTGCTCCCTCCAAAGGTTCTGGGGAGGACCCTGCACGGCCGCCTGCCACAGGTCCAGGGCCCAACCTAATCCAGGATGGCCTGGTCTTGATGTCACTCACTGAGAATGTCTGCTAAGACCCCAGTTCCACAGGAGGTCCTGCTCTGAGGCTCCAGCTGGACTAGGGGCTGCAATGCCAGTCGCCAGAGCCAGTGCAGGTGCCTGGCAGGAAAACTGGGAAGCAGCCTCTCTAGAAAGCCACAGCCCAGGGAGCTCTGATTTTTTTTTTTTTTTTTTTTTTTTGAGAGGGAGTTTCACTCTTGTTGCCCAGGCTGGAGTGCAATGGCATGATCTCAGCTCACCACAACCTCCGCCTCCCAGGTTCAAGCGATTCTCCTGCCTCAGCCTCCCGAGTAGCTGGGATTACAGGCATGCGCCACCACACCTGGCTAACTTTGTATTTTTAGTAGAGATGGGGTTTCTCCATGTTGGTCAGCCTGGTCTCAACCTCTCGACCTCAAGTGATCCGCCCGCCTCAGCCTCCCACAGTGCTGAGATTACAGGCGTGAGCCACTGCACCCAGCACTCTGATGTTATTTTTTGTTTGATCTGGGAAATTGTTTTCTGCTTTTTCTTATTTGGTTTATACTTAGCAGCCTGCAGAAGGAGACCTTGCCCTGTCCCCTCTGGGGTCCTTCCACTAAGGCCACAGGTGAGTGAGTGCTCCCAGCCTGTCTGGACACCCCAAGGAGGCCAGTGTTGGCCCTCAAGCCTAGCCCAAGGCATGCGGACACCATGGCCCCCCCTCCTGTCAGTGCTGGGAGCCGGCAGCAAGGGCTCACCATGCCTGCAGCCACCGTGCAGACCCCCATCAAGCCTGGAAGAGGCTGCACCCTGTCCTCAGGACCTCACAGTGTGAGTGGGGTCTCCTCTGTCCCTGACCCCTCGCTGTTCTCAGGACTTCACAGTGTGGGTGGGGTCTCCCCTGTCCCTGACCTCTCACTGTCAGCAAGTCCTTGCAATATCAGGTGAGGCCTTTTGTGTCACTTGACCATTCCTTGTCCACTGGACCTCAAAACTAACATGATATACAGTAGTAAGAATGTAGAAACTTTCCCACTAAAATCACGACCAAGGCCCATACATCCGCTCTCACCATCTCCTTTCAGCACTTTAAGCTCTAACAGATGGAACAAGGCAAGAAAAGGAAGTTAAAGTTTAATGATACTGAAAGAAGAAACAAACTCTCTTTGTTCACAAATGACATTTTCCAGGTAGAAAGTGTAAAAAGGGATCAAGAAAATCCCCTAGAATAATGAACAACTATTCAAGATTTCAAAATATACAAAAGTTAATCACTTTCCTATATACCAACAATGGATGAGTGGATTTGAAGTTAAAAACAAAGTACTTCTACTTTAGCACCCCCAAACAATAAAATACTTAGGTACAAGTCTAAAAAAAGTGTACTCTTTCTATATATATGAGAAAAACTACAAAACCCTGATGAACAAAAGAAGAACCAAATAAATGGAGAAAAATTCCATGTTTATGGATAAGAAGACTCAGTATTTTCAACATGTTTGTTCCTTCCAGCTTGATCTATAGATTCAATGCAATTTCAATCAAAATCCCTGCAAGTTATTTTGTGGATATTAACAGATGATCCTAAAGTTTTTATGGAGAGGCAAAAGACCCAGAATAATCAATTCAATACTGAAGGAGAGGAGCAGAGTTGGAGGACTGACGCTACCTGACTAGAAGACTTACTACAAAGCTGCAGTTACCAAACCAGTGTGTTATTGGTAAAAGGAGAGACAAATAATAGAACAGATTAGGGGACCCAGAAATAGACCCATATAAATATAGTCAACTCATCTTCTGAGAAGATTCAAAGGCACCACAATGCAGAAAATGGTCCCACAATGGTGCTGGGACAACTAGATGTCCGCATGTGCAAAAGAAATCAAACAGACCCTACACCCTAAACAGAAATTAATGAAAAGGAGCTGGGCGCGGTGGCTCATGCCTGTAATCCCAGCACTTTGGGAAGCCAAGGCAGGTGGATCACTTGAGGTCAGGAGTTCGAGACCAGCCTGGCCAACATGGTGAAACCCTGTCTCTACTAAAAATACAAAATTAGCTGGGCATGATGGCGAGCACCTGTGATCCCAGCTACTCGGGAGGCTGAGGCAGGAGAATTGCTTGAACCTGGGAGGCGGAGGTGAGACAAGATCACGCCACTGCACTCCAGCCTGGGTGACAGGGTGAGATTCTGTCTCAAAAAAAAAAAAAAAATTATTCAAAGGGATCATAGACCTAAAAGTAAAATGCAAACTAGAAATGTCCTGGAATATATCATAGGAGAAAATGTAGGTTACCTTAGGTACGATGATAGCTTATAAATTTTTTTCACTCATTTAATTGTTAATATCTGTGGGTACATAATAGGTATTTATGGGGCACATGAGATGTTTTGATACAGACATGCAATGTCTGTATTTTTAGTAGAGACAGGGTTTCTATGCTTTTTTACAAACAATCCAATTATACTCTTTTAGTAATTTTTAATGTACAATTTATTGACTATAGTCACCCTGTTGTACTGTCAAATCAAAGGGCATATTTCATCTTTCTAACTGTATTTTTGTACCCATTAACCATCCTTGCCTCCTCCCCAAACCTCCACTTACCCTTCCCAGCCTCTGGTAACGATCCTTCTACTCTGTATCTCCATGAATTTGATTGTTTTAATTTTCCACAAAGAAGTGAGAACATGTGAAGTTTCTCTTTCTGTATTTGGTTTATTTCACTTTATAACATAATGATCTCCAGTTCCATCTATATTGTTGCAAATGAGAGGATCTCATTCTTTTTATGGCCAAATAGTGCTCCATTGTGTGAATGTGTATATACTTTCTTATCCATTGGTCTGTTGATGGACCCTTGGGTTGCTTCCAAATCTTGGCTATTGTGAACACTGCTGCAACAAACATGGGAGTGCAGATACCTCTTTGATATACTGACTTCCTTTCTTTTGGGTATATACCCAGCAGTGGGACTGTTGGATAATATGGTAGCTCTCTTTTTAGTTTTTTGAGGAACCTCCAAACTGTTTTCCCTAGTGGTTAATTGGTGGCTAATTTACATTCCCTTGGTAATGGCTTTTTAGATATAGCATAATAACAAAGCCATGATCCATGAAACAATAAATTGACAAGCTGGACTTTATTAAAATTTAAAACTTAATGCTCTGCAAATGACACTGTCAAGAGAATGAAATGACAAGCCACAGACTGGGAGAAAATATTTGCAAAAGATGTCTGACACAGGACTTCATCCAAAATAGAAAAAGAACTCTTGAAGCCAGGCATGGCTCCCAACAACTCAGGGGGCTGAGACGGGGGAGGATCCTTTGAGGCCATAAGTTTGAGACCAGCCTGGGCAACCAAGCCAGACCCCCATCTCTAATAACAATGCTAAAATCTAAAAAAAAACTTTTCTGAACTCTTAAAACTCAGCAAAAATTAAAACCCAAGTAAAAGTGGTACCCAAAGACCATAACAAACACCTCACCAAAAGATATACAGATGGCAAATAAGCATCTGAAGAGATGTTTCACATCGCATGCCATTAGGGAACTGCAAATTAAAACAAGGAGGTACAACTACACACCTGCTAGAATGGGCAGAATCCAAAACACTAACACCACCAGTTGCTGGGGAGGACATGGAGCAACAGGAACTCGCATCCATTGCTGGTGGAAATGCAAAATGGTGCAGCCACTTTGGAAGACAGGGTTTCACCATGTTGATCAGGCTGGTCTCGAACTCCTGACCTCGTGATCTGCTCGCCTCGGCCTCCCAAAGTGCTAGGATTACAGGCATGAGCCACCGCACCTGGTCTAAGAAATACCTGAGACTAGGTAATTTATTAAAAAAAAAAAAAAAGGTTTAATTGACTCTGTTCTGCATGGCCGGGGAGGCCTCAAGAAACTTACAATCATAGCGGAAGGCAAAGCAGAAGTAGGCACCTTCACAGGGCGGCAGGAAGAAGTGAGTGAGTGCAAGCAGGGGAATTTCCAGATGCTTATAAAACCATCAGATCTCATAAGAACTCACTATCACAAGAACAGCATAGGAGAAACTGTCCCCATGATCCAGTCACTTGCCACCAGGTCCCTCCCAGCGACCTGGGATTACGGAGATTACAATTCAAAATGAGATTTGGGCGGGGACACAGCCAACCCCTATCATTGGGCCTTAATGACACCTGCAGAATCCTTTCCAGCCCTTAATTAGTGTTTGACTGAGGGGTTGAGAGAAGCTGCAGTGCACCAGGGCCAGGAGTCTCAGGCATCTTGGGATCCACCGCCCAGCGTTTCCTCCATCCAGAAGTCCATGGGCCAGCCCTCCCTTCTCGCTTACCTGGTCGGGGTGGATGCTTCATCCCTCCATGTACTGTGTGCCAGGCCTCAGGAAAGTACTTCCCGTCTCTGAATGTCTGTCTCTGAATCAATAACGTGGGGATGTCCACACATCCCACGCACAGTTCTGAAGACACAGTGTCCCACCCACTGGGAACCTCACCCCAACCCCGCACGCAGGTCCCAGTGAGTAGGCATTGCCACCTCTCTGCAATTTCTTGTCCCACTCACAGCACATGTCACCACCCGCCACTGCTGCCCTCCTCCCTCAGCTCAGGGGCTGATGGAGATGTACTGATGCCTCTCCTGATGGTCACTTGTGTTCAGACGTCCCACAGAGGTGGTGAGCCTGGGAGACATCCCCTCCTTTCCCCTCCCTTGATGTCTTTGAGGGAGGTGGAAGGCACGCAGCGCACTGTGGAGAGACCTTGCTGCTGAGAAGCACGTGGCACCTGTCATAGGCCCCTCTGGCTGCTACAAGTTCCCGGGCATGGCGGCTGCAGGGTGGCAGCCAGCCCGGAAAGCCAGGATGGGCCAGGGAGGTGTGGCGGCCCACAGCAACTGCAAGCCCCAGGAAAAGAAGGGCTGCTTCTGCTCTGTTGACTTGCTGTGAAAAAGGCCAGCTGGATACAAGCCTCCGACATGGAGATGTTAGAATTTGCTCCACATGTTTTAATTCAGTGGTTTCTATCGGTGGAGTATTTACAGCAGTGAGGTCAGGAGTCCTGTCCAGTACACGGGGCACTGCTGCCGGCCAGCCCGAGAGGGGACGTCATAGTTTGCCCACTGGTCACGAATACGGAACGCTTGATGGGCACCTCAGTCCCAGGGAGGAGACCGCGGGAGAGGCGGCGGGACCAGGGTCCCGGCCTTCAGCGGCTTGCTCCGCACACTCAGGGTTCCCCGGCCCTCTGGCGCTGGGGGAGTTGGGTCGGTTGTGCATGCTGCATGGCCGGAGGCTCGGGGCCAAGGCCACCCTTCCGCACCCACCACTCTGGGAGGCTCCAGAGCGCGGCCCTGAGATAGTGCCACACTCACCCCCTGGAAAGGAGGCAAGGCCGCCCTGGACGGAGGCGACTCGGAGTCCCGGGAGGAAGGAACGGACACACCGGCCTCCCTGCGGAGGAGGGAGAACGTGGTCCCCAGTGGTATCAGGAAGAGGTAAGGCCACTGGTGGGGAGAACTGGGAGCCTTCACTGTGACTCCGAGCAGGGGACCAGGGCCAGAGGTGGGTGTGTGTGGTGTCTCAGGAGGGCGCAGGGCACAGCTAGTCTGAGGGAACCAGGGTGTGGGGCAGGGCCAGCCTGGCAGGCCGCGGTGCCTCTGACTGAAATGCAGTAGACAGAGCAAGACACTGCAGCTTTGCAGCTGCGGAGAGGTGGGCGCTGTTAATAGGCACAGAGAGACGCTGATACTGGCGTGTCCCCAGAAAAGCCAGGGTGCCCGACCTCCACAGAGTCTCTGGGAGCCGGAGAAGGTAGGGGTCTCGGTGTGGCCGGAGCGATTCACTGTCTGGCACCCACGATACCGGTCTCCTTTGCTTTCTTTCCATTTTGCAGCATGAGTGGGAAGGAATCAGAGCGCAGGAGGGAGGAGGGGGGCCCCGCAGAGCCGGGCCGGGACAGGCAGGGCGAGCCCAGCAGAAGCGCGGTCCTGAGGCCGCCGGATTCCGATCCAAGGCCCAGAGTGTCCGCGACAGAGCCGGGCTTCACCGAAAGCACACGCTCAGCGGCCTTCCCGGCGAGCGCGCAGCCCCAGTGAACCTATGGCTCAGCATTTTCAGAAGAAAGCCTGTCGGCATAGACTTTCCGTGATTTCAAAGGAGACGCTTCCAAAACCAAGGTCTTGACCTAGATTTGGAAGCGATCCCTCCAGAGCTTACATTTGGAGACCGGTAGAGACCGGGCCTGTTGGGACAACAGCTCCGAGGGCTACGCTGCGTGGACTAGGTTCCAGACGCGCTCTGAGGAGGCGCCTCCCGGCTAGTTCCTGAGCGCGCTCGAGAGGAGCGTGCCCCGCAGGTGCAGGCGCCGGGACTAGCCAGGGCAGAGCTAGCAGTTCGCCGCGGGCGAGGGAGGGGCTGTGGGTGTGGCCAGGCGGGGGCGGGGTTAGGGCGCGGCCTGGGTGGGCCGTGACGGTGAGCGTGAGCTGGGGTATGCGTAGGGCACGGCCTAGGGGTGAGCACGACACAGGGGCGGGCCTTGGGTGGACGCAGAAGGCGTGGGATGGGAGGGGAGGGAGTGGGTGGGGAGAAGGGCGGGGCCATGGTATGGGTGGCAGGGTGGGCGGGGTCCTGGGTGGGTAGGGGCGGGCGGAGGGCGTGGGAAGCGATGGTTAGGTCCTAGGTGCGGGCGTGATAGTGGGGCTGGGACGAAGTGGGCGGGCCGTGGGTGGGCGCAGAAGGCGTGGGGTGGGGACAGAGGGCGTGTCCGGGCGAAGTGGTCGGCCTGGGACTGGGGTCTGTAGACACCCGCGTTGGGATCTGGGCGGGGCGATCGGCGCGGAAGGAGTGTCGGGCCCGGGGGCGGGAGCAGGGCGTCCAGCGGAGAAGGCAGAGGAGGGGAGATGCGGGCTCCTCCAGGTAGCGCAGGAGCCCCTCCGGCTGCCGGAGCCCCGCGAGGGCGCGAGTGGAGGGCAGGAGCCCGGGCGGCGGAGGAGCGGAAGGGATGCTGCGTTGCCTTGGAGTGTCAGGGTGGGGGAGGAAAGACCAAGGGACCCACGTCCTTCGCCCCCGCCGCGGAGTCCCGGGCCGGCGAGACTTCCGCAGCCTGCCCAGCGCCGGGGACCTAGGGCTTTGCAGGAGTCCGCCCGGGAGCTCTATCAGAGCGGGCGTCCTCCCCGCCGCTCCAAAGGTGGCTTGGGGCAGGTGGGGCGTCCCGGAGGGAATGGAGGGACCCTGCCTAGGGAAGGTGAGTCGTGTGTGGTCGGGTGTGTGTGCACTGCGTGGTGTGTGTACACTCAGGTGTGTGAGTGTAAGTGTGTGCACTGCGTGGTGTGTGTGCGCTCGGGTTTGCTTGTCTGTGGGGGCGGGGCCGTATCCACTGGACACTAAGAACTCTGTTGCTTTCAAGCCCCCATTTGGGGACCATTCTGGATTTTTCACATTTCTTCCAGTCTGGCACATTCCTCCCCAAACACCGGCGTCTTCCCATGGCAGGAGGGATTTCGCTGCCTGTGGGGCTTCAGTGCTGAACCAGGCAGCCCTGAGCAGACCAGGACCGAGCTTCCCAAACCTGACCGGGAAGGAGCCCTGGTTGCATCTGGGATCCACGTGGTCGACAGAGAATCAGCTCGCAGCTCACCACCCCAGTGACTTCAGGGCAGCCCACCTTCCCCTGGCGCTCCTCAAACGAGCCAGGGAGTGGCCCCTGCTCAGACTCCCCTCCTGCCTCCCGGACCCTGCAGGCCTACCCGCCCCAGTTGCCCTTTGCCCTCCTGCAGCCTTCTGGGGGTGCTACATGTCTGAGGCCCGGTCTTCTGTCCTGCTCCTCCTGATGGGGGGTCTGGGCACTCTCCCTAATTCATCGCGAAGACTCTGACACCCAATGCCCGTCTTCAGGCCCCGGCAGATGCAGAGAAGTGGGCTTCACACCCACATCTGCCTGACCTCAGGTGCTGGCTCCTGCAGTCACAGCCCTGAGCCCCGGCCCCTCCAGGCTGTCTCCTGCTTGTCCAGGTGGGCATGAGCTGGTCAGTTCCTGGCCACTGCCCTTCAGACCCCATGCCAGGACTTTGGGTTGGGCTCTGGGCATGGCACTAGCCAGGCCTGGGTGCCTCCTTGAGCAGCTGAGGGCTGGGAGGGATGACAATGTAAGCGGCTATCTGGCTTCAGGCCCAGGCTGGCCATCTGGTGGCCATAGCTCTCACAGGCTGGGCCCCTGCTTCTCCTGGCTCCCCTCTTAGGGGCAGGAGACCCTCAGTGGCCTCACTGCGGACTGCTGGACAGGCCCTGTGTGGAGGCACCATCCGGGTCCGCCATGCCTCGTGGGTCAGAACATCCCTGTGAAGTGCATGGTGTTTTCTGTGGCTGCCACAGGAGGCTCTGGCCAGGGTTGCCCCCCACTGTGGCTCTCATTTTTTTCAAAGCCCAGCTCACCTCCTTCCTGAGCAGCCAATGCCTGCACAGAGCACAGAGCCAGGTGGATTAGGAACCCAGTTGATGAGAAGCAGAGGCCCTTGGTTTAAGCCTGATCTTGTGACAGACAGGAAGCAGAGACCCTCTAAGGGAGCTCAGGCTGCCCAAGGCCACCTGCCCAGCAGGCCCCACAAAGTTCTTCCACTCTAGGAGCACTGCAGCAAGGTTCCCTCTTAGAAACCAAAACAGATGGCTTGACCCCACTCAGGACCTCGAGTGGTCAACCCCTGAGTAGCCCCACTGGGCAAAACCATCTCTGCCCAAGGAAGGCGTCCTTAACTCAATTTTTGCCTTTCCAGGTCTTCTCTGAAAGAGGCCAAACAAGTTTTTAAAAGTTTAAGAAAATCGAACAGAGGAGGAGAAAAATAAAGCCACAAATATGGAATCATGGAATAATGATTCCGTAATAATGGCCCACCATAATTGACGGGCCAATCCCTTTATCCAAGGCATGTGTTGTTTGTTTGTTTGTTTGTTTTGAGATGGAATCTCACTCTGTTGCCCAGGCTGGAGTGCAATGACATGATCTCGGCTCACTGCAACCTCCACCTCCCAGGTTCAAGTGATTCTCCTGCCTCAGCCTCCCAAATAGCTGGGATTACAGACACCCGCCACCACACATGGCTAATTTTTGTATTTTTAGTAGAGACTGGGTTTCACCATGTTGGCTAGGCTGGTCTTGAACTCCTGACCTCAGGTGATCCACCCACCTCAGCCTCCCAGAGTGTTGGGATTACAGGCATGAGCCACCGTGCCCAGCCAAGACATGTATTCTTACGCTTGAGATAGAACAGGTCTACCAGCATTGAATAGAAATCAGGGAGTGCTCACTGTTTGGAAGAGAAGGCAGACAATGAAACTGGGTAGACAGGCGGCTGTGGAGCACGGCTCTGGCCTCTGAGATGCCTGGGGCCAAAGCCAAGGGTGGATAGATCTGTGTTTCTGTGCCTCACAGCATGAACCTAGATAGGTGATGCTTCCTGGGAGAAGCAGGTTTAATCCAGGCACTGCTTTCTACAAAGAGCTGTTCTCAGAGGGCTTCTCTGAGGTCAAGGCAGGGTCTTCTGCCAAGGCATGCTGGGTGGGTGGGGTCCCAGACACCCATGGCTGCAATGAGATTTGCAGGAGATGCAGATCACCTCAGCCCAGTGTTCTTCATAACCTGTCCCAGTGTCTAGGAGCTCCATAACATTCATCCTGTGACCCTAACACTAACCCTGATCCTCTACCTAACACTGACCCTACCAATAACCCTGACACTAACCCTGACCCTAACACTGACTTTAATACTGACCCTACCAGTGATCCTGACATGAACCCTGACCCTAACCCTCACTGTATCGCTGACTCTCACTGTGACACTGTGACCAAGACCCTGACCCTGACCCTAAGTCTAGCCCTAAACCTGATCGTAACACTAACACTGACCATGAACTTGACCCTAACTCTAACCCAGGCTCTAACCCTAACCCAGAACCTGACCTTATGATACTGATACCCTGATGCTGACGCTGACCATAACCCTAACCACCGCCCCAACCCTAACCCTGACCTTATGACCTTATGACCTTGATCCTAACCCTAACTCTGAACCTAACTATGACACTGACTCTAGTCCTGACCATAATTCTGATCCTACTGCTAACCCTAACCTTGACCCTGACCCCCCAACTCACACCCTGACCAGGACCCTAACCCTATGTTTGAACTAAATGTCTTCACGTATTAGGGATGTTTTAAGGTTCTTGTAAGTTTGGATGCATCTTGCTGACTTGCATTATTTATAATTACAAACACAAGCAGCTATGATTGAGCTTTGCAGCAAATGTTTTCCTTCTCTTGACTTCTGGGTCAGTTTAATTAAAATGTGCTTTGCTGTAGAAGTCAAGCTTTTTAAAAAACCATTGAATTTATTGGACAAAACACAATATGTTGTAGCTGAGACCACACGGCCATTCAGAGTCCCAGATTTTGCATTTTTGTATGTATCAAAACAGTCTTGTTATCCTTACTGCCTTTAGAAGTATTCTGCTTGACATACATAAAAATGCATAATTCAAAATACTGATTTCATTTGATTCATTGCCAAAAGTAAGTTTGAAATCCACAAACACATAGACACAGACGCACAGCAGCAGGCAGATGCTGAGAGACCGTCTCAGGCACATGGGATGCACACACAGACACACGGGGAAGCACACACAGACACACGGGGAAACACACACACACACAGCATGTGCACGGAGCACCGTGATGCACAGAACATCTCAGAAAGTAAATATGGAGTTACCAGAAGGTCAGGCTGCTTCCTCAGGTGAAGCACAGAACCCCCCTGCAGGGGCCCTGGGATCTCATTTGTGAGCAGTCCAGGAGAGGCCCTGGCCCAAGCAGGCTCCCTCCAGAGGCCTCAGAGGTCCTGTGGTGCCTACCCTGCAGCCAGGCTCCAGTGCCCCAGATCTCCATGCTTTGTAATCTTCAGTGTCTGGGCTGTCAGAGGCTGTCCTCTCGGGGCCAAATGTGATGTGGGGATCACAGCGGGTACTTTGAGGAGGGGCAGGGTTCGCATTTGGAAACCCCCCAACACACACCGTGTCCAATCTCCTCCCTGTGTCAGGACAGAGGAAGGCTTCGTGGCCCAGAGGCCTGTCCAGGCTGGGGCACCACGTGCTCTTTGGCATGTCTCTCCCTCCACAGGCCTCCATTTCCCCATCTGTGCAGTGGGGATGTCAGCGGCCCAGCAGAGGGAGCTGCTGCTGCTCAGGCCCTTGTGCGTGAGTGTCCAGCATCTGGTGGAGGGGCAGGGCCGAGGGTCTGAGCGGGGCTCTGGAGACTCTCAGGGCTGTGTCCTCGACCTCTCCCACTGTGAATGCTGAGAGCCACACGGACCCCGCAGCTGAGGCTGGGTGTCTGCTGGCTGTGTCTGGGGAAGCCCAGAGCCTTCAAGCTGCCCAGCCAACCTCAGGCCACAGAAACCTAGCCTGGGGAGGGGATCCTGGGTTGCTGCCCCAGCTGGAGGCAACTCAGGGACACACAGGCCCCAGGGGTTGACCACAGGCTCCTAAGCCAGGGCCTTAGCCGATCATAGGTGCTCCAGGGGCCTCTGCTCCAGAGCATGGGTCTGGGAGCCGAAGCCCTCCACCTCAGGGCTGTGCCAGGCCTCGCAGGGGTCAAGGGCCTCTGTGGCATCTCTGGCAGGCACAGCTCACCCCAACCCATGGCAAATGCTCTGCTGGAGACAGAGGCACAGCCTGATGTGGGTGATCCCCCTGCATGGGGCTGTCTCCCTGCCCCAGGGGCCTGTGCTCACGGGGGTGCAGGGTCCCATAAACTTCCCAAGGTAGATCCCACACCAGCAGGAGCCTCTTCCAAGGAGGCTGGGAATCAGGGCCTGGGCCCCTCAAAGGGTCCTGGGAAGTCCTGGTCACTCCAGCATGACCTCCTGCACAAGTGACCGAGTGTGCCACCCACTGCTCTCCCGATGCTGGGCCAGGGCAGCCCAGCCTCCAGCCAGCTGCACGGAAGAGGGATTGGGAGAGCAAAGCTGGGGCCGCTCAAGTCAGGGCTGGGCTGCCCCAGGGTCCTGGGGACTTCTGCCCTTCCATTTTGCTTGGCAGGCCCTGTGGTGCTAGGGGATGGGAGGTGGCCTGAGGGGCTATCTTCTCAAATGCCCCAGAGCTCGGAGCCTACTGTGCTGGGATCAGCCAGTACTTGGCCCTGGGAGGAAGACAGGCAGCCCTCATGCCTTCCGAGGAGGCCTGAGCCAAAAGCCAGCATCCCTGGGAAGCCAGGCCATGGGAGGAGACCTCTCTCCAAACAGGTCTCCTGCTGGAAGCCACATCCCAGCCGCACTTCCCAGGAGTCCCCCCAGCCCTCTGGGGCCAAGAGAAGTCAGGAGCCATGCTGCCTGCGGCTGCTGGGCTGGAATGTGGGATGAGGGACTGGGATCAGGTTTCCTCCCCTGCCTGACTTGCTCATTTCAGGAGGGGAGCTGGGCCCTACTCTAATCAGGACCAGCTGTGCTGGCTGGGGCAGTGGGGGATGTGCCTGCGGGGAGAGCAGGGCCCTGCACTCCCTCCTGGCTCCCAGGAAATCCCCAGGAAGCTCTTACGGTGGGAGAAACTGAGGCCTGGGGTGTGGAGCTGCAGCACACCCCTGTCCAGCCACACAGGGCCCTGCCCTGAGAGAAGCTGGCTGCCCCAGCTTCCCCAGCACCCAGTGCCATCAGAGCTGGTTCTGTGCCTCTTGGCAGCAGGGGGCAGGGGCATCGCCCACTGGGATGCTCCTCAGGCCAGCTCCAGAGGGCCGTCCCAGGAACATGACAGCTGTGGCGAAGGGAATTTCATACTGGGAGCCCCCCGGCACCCCAGCCATTGCAGAGGGAGGATCTAGCCATGTCTGGGCTGCTGGGCCAAATTCCACCACACCAGCTTGGGCACAGGACCAATGCCGTGGGCGGCCACGGCTCTGCAGGAGCTGGAAGTCAGGCTGGCCTCCAGTCAGGGAGCCGAGGTGGGTGGGCCCACTGGGTGCTGGGGAGGAGACAGAGATCAGTTCCACTTTGGCTGAGACTTACAGAGAGGCTGGGCCCTGGACTGGGGGATCACAGAGGGTGAGAGGGGCACTGTGGCTGGCTCAGGGCTGAGGGGTGGTGTGGCCCTGGCAGGAGGGTCCCTGGCAGGACACAGAGGGTAGCTGGGAAGGTCAGGCATTGGGGCAGGAGCTGCAGGGCCCAGCGCCAAAGGAAGCAGTGTGCTCAGACACCTGCGCTCCAGACCCCAGGGGCTTCTCTAGGCAGGGATCCTCCAGGCCACCCAGCAGCCTCACACCGCGCCTCACACTGCTGTTCTCCTATGAGGGGCAAAGAGGGTTGGAGGAAGACACCTTGGGACAGGCCCAGCTGTGGGGAGGGGCAGCAACACACAGGCGGGGCTGGGCCCCAGGGCAGGTCCCTTCTCGATAGACCAGGCTGCCTTCCAAGCCAGCGGGCAGCACAGGCACCGCAGCCTCGCCAGGGCCCCGGCAGGTGTCCTCCCACGACCTCCTGAACTCCTCTTTCCCTCAGGAGGTGCCCCCAACCCCTCCTTCCCACAGGAGCCGCCCCCCCAGCCCCGCCTTCCCTCAGGAGCTCCCCCCACCACCCCCGGCTTCCCTCAGGAGGTGCCCCCCACCCCCTCCTTCCCTCAGGAGCTCCCCACACTAGTTCCTCCTTCCCTCAGGAGCTCCCTCCACCACCCCCTCGTTCCCACAGGAGCTCCCCCAACCCCCTCCTTCCCACGGGAGCTCCCCCCACCCTCTCCTTCCCACGGGAGCTCCCCCCAACACCCTCCTTCCAGGGGAGCTCCCCCAACCCCCTCCTTCCCACGGGAGCTCCCCCAACCTCCTCCTTCCCTCGTGAGCTCCCTCCACCACCCCCTTCTTCCCACGGGAGCTCCCCCCACCCACTCCTTCCCACGGGAGCTCCCCCAACCCCCTCCTTCCCACGGGAGCTGCCCCCACCCCCTCCTTCCCATGGGAGCTCCCCCAACCTCCTTCCTTCCCTCGGGAGCTCCCTCCACCACCCCATCCTTCCCACGGGAGCTCCCCCCACTCCCTCATTCCCACGGGAGCTCCCTCCACCACCCCCTCCTTCCCACGGGAGCTCCCCCCACTCCCTCATTCCCACGGGAGCTCCCCCAACCCCCTCCTTCCCTCGGGAGCTCCCCCAACCCCCTCCTTCCTCAGGAGCTCCCCTACCCCTTCCTGGCCTCTGGTGCAGAGCAGACCTGGGGCTCTGGTCTGAGGGGGGGCCTTGGTGGCCTGGGACCTGGGGACACTCTGGGAGCTCCTTGCACACAGGAACATGAGCTCCAGCGCCTCAGCAGGGCCCCTGGTGTAGGAGCAGAGCTGCTTCCCAGGGATCGTATCTCAGCTGGACACGGGGACTCAGCTCTGCTGGGATTTGGACTGTGGGCACTGTGTGGCCTTTAGAGCTTCTAGCCCATCCTGAGGGAGGCCAGTGACTGGTAAGACATTCTGGGCTCTCGGAGCCTGCACAGCTCAGGGACAGGTATTCTGGCCTAGAGGTCAAATACCAAAGCCCCTCACATCCTATCCATACACCATCCACCCATCCAATGCAGGGGTTTATCAGTGGTCTCACATACAGGGCACAGTTGCCACGGGACTGCAGAGTTGGGTGGACAAACCCCTCAACATTCCCATTCCTCTCTCAAAGTCCTTCCAAACAGAAGCCACTGTCACCCACAGGGCCTGATCTAGAACTCCCTGCTAACCCCCAGGCCCACTCTAGAACTCCCTGCACCCCCAGGCCCTCTCTGGAACCCCCTGCCATGTACCTGCAATGTGCCCTGCATGGCGCATGGTGGGCTGGTTACTCACAGCAGCTGCCCAAACTCCCCTTGGGCCTACTGCCGGCCCCACCCACAGTCCCATCCCCTCCTGGACACAGCCCTCTCCAGCCTCATCTGTCAACGGGGAGCCCTGATGGGCTGCAGAGCAGGAGGAGGTGGGTCCCTGAGGAGTGCTTGGACGACCCCAGGGGTGGCTGGTGGTATGGGCTGGTGGTAGGCCTGACGAAGCATGTTCTATGTAAGGGGCTGGGTGGAGGTGTCAGGTGCACCTAACTCAAAAAGTCTGGAACTGTGCTCAGTGACCAGGGGGCCTAGCCCAGGCTGTCTCTGTAGCAAACCCCATCATCCCAAGAGAGATCCAGGAGCACCTCCCATAATCCTTCCTCCAAAGGGACCATGAAACCCTCCAGCATGCAGCTGCCCCCACCTCACCCTCCTGGGGTTGGGAATGTACCTTCTCACCCCACCTCGAGGCCTGGCCTGCTGCAGCCCCCATTCCCCCTTGGCTCTGTCGAGCATCCGGGCTTCAGGCTGTCCCAGCTCAGACCAGCCTCTCCTCTGCCTCAGTTTCTCTGTCTGTGATGGCCTTACAAGCTTCTTTCTGCCCAGCTGAAAATGGGGTGGCATATGGTGAGTGGCCAGCAGACACCCAGGATGGGTCAGGTGGCTCCAGACACAGCAGGGGTGGTGCCAGGACCACAGCCTCACTTCTCCAGCATCCTCCATCCACAGACAGGAAGCCCTGGGCAGCCCAAGTAGCTGCTGTGGCCTGGGGGCCCCAGGACCACTGACCCCACTCCACTCTTCCACACAGGTGGGGGCTGTGAGAGCCTCGAGGGAAAGAGGACACAGGAGGAAGGTGGGTGCGGTGATGGCTCAGGGACCACCTGCAGCTCCAGCTGGCCTGGATAATGGCAGGGTCTGTGGGGCAATGGCCCTGCTACAGGACTGGGGCCGCTTTGCTCCTGAATGCTCACCTGCCCAGGTAAGTTTACACAGAAGCCTCCTCACCCACCCACAAGAAAGAAGCAGATGTCCCTGTGAGGGTAGGGGTAGGCACAAAATCACAGATGACTGTAGGAAATTTCCAAGGAGATGAAAACATTCTGTGTCTTTGCTGGGGAGATAAACACAGGCGTGAGTAAATTTGTAGAATATCATTAAACTGTACCCAAAGAATGTATGCATTTCAAAGTATGTGATTCAAAAAGGCAGTAGAAAACAAATCAATTAAAAGGGTAAATGTGGGCCGGGTATAGTGGCCCATTCCTGTAGTCACATTGCTTTGGGAGGTGAGGTGGGAGGATGGCTTGAACCTGGGAGTGGGAGGATGCAGTGAGATGTGATCACACCACTGCACTCCAGCCCGGGTGACAGAACAAGACCCTGTCTCAAAAAAAAAAAAAAAAAAAAAAAAAAGCAGGAGGCAGAAGGGAGGCAGTAAATTCACCCACATATTTGAGTCTAATTACCTGGCCAGTGGCATAAGGGGAACAGCCAGACTACAGCACCCAACAGATCCAGAAGGTGACCGTGATCCAGATTCCTTAGCAATTTATGTGACCCAACGCAACTGGATTCTTGTAATCGCTAACAAAATCCAAAGGAATGAGGATGACATATTCACTAGATGGAACATGAAGACACAAAGAGAAGAGAAATGCCCCTTTTGGACCTCTGTGATCACTGTAGTGGGACCAGGGCCATGTGGCTGCGTTGCTTTCTCTCTGGGCCATCCCTCAGAGGGACCTGGGTCCTGGGAGCTCTGGCTTCAGTGGAGCCATGCGTGATGCTCTAGGCCTGTCCCGCTTTGAAGCTTGGGAGGCATCTAAGATGCCACAGGAGCTTCGTGCCTCTGAGTGGGGCCTTGCTGGGCAGCTGTGCACCTGGACAGCAGGGTGTCTTCCGTTTCTGGCAGTAGGCTCTGTGGATCCCATTCACTTCTAACGTGAAGGCTGTGTGACTCTCCCTGACCCCAGATTCTGAGATTAAAGCCAGTTTGTGTGATAGAGGGTCACACGAGACATAGAGATCACAAGGCATCTGTCCTAACACCGTGTGGGGTCCGTGTAGGCAGCTTTCTTGCCGTGTGCCTGCTGATCATGTGGAAGACGCCCAACACGTGGCATCTGCTGCAGGTCCAGCTGGGCGAATTTTGCTGAATCCAGGTAGACACCACACCACGGGAGATTGCACCAGGTCTTCAAAGATTACAGACAAAAGCAGGTGGCTTGCACCAAACTCTCTGGAAGACTCTGGAGATGACGTGGCCATTGTCAAGATGAGGACCTTGAAGACGGATTTGTCCCTGTGGTCTGTTAAAACAGAGACCATAGACTGACAGAACAAACTTTTTGTGGCAGAAGGTGCCAAATTGTAAACAAAACCTAAGACCCTGCCAGGCAAGGAGTTAAGTCACACAACCCTACACTTAAAGAATAAACTGTGTTCTGGCTGTGCTACAAGGGTTTTCTTTTTTTCCAGCAGCCAATCAAGCACTGGCCTTGAGCTAAGCAACATTAAGACAATTGCAGTTCATCCAGCTCACAGAGGCTGACTCTCCGACCTCCTGCTCCACCAGCCATGACTGCAGCGTTCAATGGATGGGACACTGACTTCAGGAGCTTTCTCCTGATGAGAGACCACGACTACGAACTGGTTCTGGCCAGTTTACAGAGGCTGTGCACTTCCACACCATCATGTCCCTGCTTCACCTTTTGATATCTAGAGCCTAACTGTAGCACATTTAAATGTTAAGTCTCAACCCCAAAGTGAACATGCACTGTATGTTACATGCATGTTTGTTCAGTATGCATGTGTGTGTCCCCCCCACCGCAAGAATTTGTGAATCTTCATAGTTCCTCCTGTAACCTGTCCAGTATGTATGCTTGTCCAACCATTCAGTGTCTTTGTTTTGAAATGTCTAGGTACCTGCAGGGAGCCGCAGCTGTAGTACTCAGAGTCCCCATTGCCCTTCAACCTCCCCAATCATGACATCTTATCTAACTGTAGAGTACAATGCAGACAACTTTACTGCAGACCTTATTCGGTTTTCAGCCTTTTTTAAAACCTTCGTCCTTGCGTGTGTGTGTGAACACATCTAGTTCTATGCCACTGGATCCTGTGTGGAGATTCTTGGAACCACCACTGCCACCAGGATACAGAACAGCTCTGTCACCTCCAAGGAGCTCTTACACCACTGTGTAGAGTCATGCTGCCCCAAAAATCCACTTCTCCATAAAGCAATGACAAATATTGTCAAAACCAATTTTTCAGAACTCTGGAAGTTAATCAAAAGTTTGCCAAAACCCAAGGAGTATTTAGTAAAGAAAAACATATAAAAAGGATTATATACCATAACGAAGTGGAATTTACAGCATATCAGAAAATATTGCCTAATCCAAAATCATGAAGATTTATTCATGTTTTCTTCTAAGAGTTCTACAGTTTTAGCTCTTACATTTAGATTTATGATTTTTTTCTCCCTCCTTCCTTCCTTCCTTCCTTCCTTCTTTCCTTCCTTCCCTCTTTCCTTCCTTCTTTCTTTCTTTTTGTTTGTTTTTGAGATGGAGTCTCACTCTGTCACCCAGGCTGAAGTGGCACAGTCTCATCTCACTGCAGCCTCTACCTCCTGGGTTCAAGCAATTCTCATGCCTCAGCCTCCTGAGTAGCTGGCATTACAGGTGTGTGCCACCACGCCCAGCTAATTTTTGTATATTTAGTAGAGACAGAGTTTCACCATGTTGGCCAGGCTGGTTTCGAACTCCTGACCTGAGGCTATCTGCTCACCTTGGCCTCCTAAAGTGCTGGGATTACAGGCATGAGCCACCATGCCCTGCTCTTTCTATCTTTCATTTGCCTCCACCCTCCCCCAGCCCCCCTCCTTCTCCTTCTCCTTCTTCTTCTTCTTTCTTCTTTCTTCTTCTTCCTCTGTCACCCAGGCTGGAGTGCAGTGGTATGATCATGGCTCACTACAGCCTTGAACTCCCAGGCTTACACAATGCTCCCACCTCAGCTTCCTGAGTAACTGGGACCACAGGCACGTGCCACCACACCTGGATATATATATATATATATATATATATATATATAAAATATATAGTATATATATAAAAATATAGTGTATATATAAAATATATAGTATATATATAAAAAATATAGTGTGTATATATATAAAATATAGTATATATATATAAAATATAGTGTGTGTGTATATATATATACACACCCACACATATATGTGTATATATGTGTATATATATACATTTTTTTTGAGATGGGGTCTCGCTATGTTGCCCAGATTGATCTCAAACTCCTGGGATCAAATAATCCTCCCACCTCAGCCTCCCAAAGTGCTGGGATTGCAGGTGTGAGCCACTGTGCCCGGCCTATGATCCCTTTTAAGTTTTCTGTGTGGTGTGAGGTGGTGTTCAACTTCATTAGTTTGCAGCTAAGCATCCAGTCATCCCCAGCAACATTTATTGAAATGGCTATTCTTTCCTAATTGAATTGTCTTGACTGTAAATATGAGGGTTTATTTCTGGATCCTTAATTGTATTCCATTGACCTCTATATGTATCCTTATGCCAATACCAACAGACAGCCAATGCTGTCTTTGTGTAACTTTGTAACCTTGAAATCAGGAAGTGTGAGTCTTCCAACTTTGTTCTTTATAAAGATTGTTATGGCAATTCTGGATCTCCTGAATTTTCATATGAATTTTAGGATCAGTTTATTGATTTCTGAAAGAAATTAAAAGGCAATTAGGATTTTGATAGGAATTTCATTAACTGTAGATAATTTGGGGGAGTATTGCCATCTTAATATCAAATCTTCTGATCTATGAACATTAAATGTCCTTGAATTTATTTAGATATCTTTTGATTTCGTTCAACATTTTGTAACGTGCAAATCTCACACTTCTTTTGTTTATTTTTAAGTATTTTATTCCTTTTGATGATATTGTATATGGAATTGTTTTATTTCATGTTCGAATTGTTCTATTTCATGTTTGAATTGTTCATTGCTAGTGTATATTTAGCAGAGACAAGGTTTCGCCATCAATTAATAAATTAATAAATCAATCCCCATATATTGATCCTGTATCCAGCAACTATTGTTAGTTCTAACAGTTTTTTAAGTGGATTCCTGAGAGTTTTCTATATGCAGGATTATGTTTGCAAATAGAGATCATTTTAATTCTTCCTTTCCAATCTGGATATCTTTTATTTCTTTTCCTGCCAAATTTTCCTGACTGGAGTCTTCAGTACAATGTTGAATACAGGTGGTAAGAGGAGATACCTTTGTCTTGTTCCACATCTTATGGAGAAAGCATTTAATCTTTTACCATTAAGTATGATATTAGCTGTGGGTTTTTGTAGCTGTCTCTTATTAGGTTGAGGAAGTTCCCTTCTGTATCTAGTTTGTTGGGTACTTTATCATGAAAGGGTGTTGACTTCTTTCTTTCCTTTTCTTTTTTCAGATGGGGTCTCGCTCTGTTACCCACGCTGTAGTGCAGTGGCGTGATCTTGGCTCACTGCAACCTCCGCCTCTCAGGTTCAAGCAATTCTCCTGCCTCAAGCAATTCTCCTGCCTCAGCCACCTAAGTAGCTGGGATTGCAGGCACCCACTGCCACGCCCAGCTAACTTTTTTGGGTACTTTAGTAGAGATGGGGTTTCACCATGTTGGCCAGGCTGGTCTCGAACTCCTGACTTCAGGCTATCCACCCACCTCGGCCTCCCAAAGTGCTGGGATTACAGGCCTGAGCCACTGCACTCGGCCTGACTTCTTTCAAATGCTTTTTCTGCACCTATTGAGATGATCATGTGGATTTTGTTCTTAATTGACTTCTGTGGCTTTTTGCTTGTTTGTTTTATTTTTATTTTTTTACACTGCAACCATGACAGATGAACTTAATTGATTTTTGAATGTTAGTCCAACCTTGCATTCCTGGGATAAATCTCACTTGGCCATGATGTATAATACTTTCAATATATTGTTGGATTCAGTTCCTTAGTATTCTGTTGAGAAATTTGTGTACCTATCATAAGAGATATTGGTCTGTAGTTTTATTTTCTCGTGATGACTGCATCTGGTTCTGGCATCAGGGAGATGCCTCAAAGAAAGAGTCAAAAGCCTGACTCAGTGGCATGCACCTGTAGTCCCAGCTGCTGAGGAGGCTGAGGCAGGAAGATCGCTTGAGCCCAGGACTTTGAGACCAGCATGGGCAACATAGTGATACCCTATTTCTAAAATAAATAAATAAAATGTTCTTTCTTCTTCTATTTTTGGAAGAGTATATGAAAGAATTATATTAATAATTCTTTAACTATGTGGTAGAATTAATCATTGGAGCCATCTAGACCTGGGCTTTTCTTTGTGGGAAGTCTTAAAATTATTCTTGTAATAGCCTATTCAGCTGCTTTATTTCTACTTGAGTAAGTTTGGGTAGTTTGTGTCTTTTTAGGAAGGCGTTCATTTCATCTAAGTTATCTCATTTGTTGGCATAAAGTGCTTCATAGTATTCCCCTATAAGCCTTTTTTTCTGTAAATCATCCCTGATTTTAGTAAGTTGAGTCTTTCTGTTTTTATTGTCACTCTAGCTAAGAGTTTATTAATTGATCTTTTCAAATAACAAACTTTTGGTTTTGTTGATTTTTCTATATTTTTTCTGTTTTCTATTTCATTGATTTCTACTCTGATCTTTATTATGCCTTTCTGCTGTTTGCTTTGGGTTTGGTTTGCTCTTCTCTCTGTTGCATAAAGTGGAAGATTAGGTTATTGATTTTAAAACTTTCTCTTTTTTTTCATGTAGGCATTTAAAGCTATGAGTTTACCTCCACGACTTGCTTTAACTACATCTCTTATGTTGTGCTTTCCTTTTCATTTATCTCAAAATATTTTCTAACTTATCTTGTGATATATTTGACTCACTGGTTATTTGAGCGTGTTAATATCTATGTATTTGTGAATTTCCCAGTTTTTTTTGTTATTTCAGATTTATTTCCATTTTGGCTAGAGGATTTTATTTGTATGATTTCAATCCTTTAAATTCATTGAGTTTTTTTTTTGGTCTAGCATATGGTCTATTCTGAGGAACATTTCATGTGTCTGGAGAAAAATATGTATTCTGCTGTTGTTGCATGAAGTATTCTATAGATCTCTGTTAGTGCTAGCTGGTTAGTGGTGTTGTTCCATTCTTACACATCCTATTTGATCTTTATTCTAGTTGTCTTATTCATTCTTAAAAGTGGGCTATTAGAGTATCTAGCTTGTTATTGTTTAACTGTCTATTCTCTCTTCAATTGTCAATTTTTTGCTGCCTGGATTTTGGGGTTCTGTTGCTAGATGCATATATGTTTAGAGTTATTATATCTTTATAATGAATCAACCCTTTGTATAATTTTTAAGTGTCTATTTTTATTTTCTAGCAATAATTTTTGTTTTAAAGATAATTTTGTCTGGTAGTATTACAGCTATCCTAGTCCTTTTATGCTTTCTGTTTTCATAATACATGTTTTTCCATCCTTTTATTTTCAATCTATGTATCTTTGAATCTACAATGTGTCACCTGTGGACATGTAGTAGGATCTTGTTTTGTTTTGCTTTGTTTTTGTCAGTCTGACAATCTCAGCATTTTGATTGGATATTTTAATTCATTTATATTTAATGTTATTATTGATATTGTTGGATATATGTCTGCCATTTTGCTTTCTGTGTTCTATATGTCTCATGCCTGTTTTGTCACTTTTTTTCTTTGTGTTTCTTTTTATATAGTTTCTATTGCTGGCTTTAAGTTTACTAATCTTTCTATCTATAACATCTAATCTACCATTAATGTTATCCATTATACTTTTAATTTCAGACATTATTCTTTCATTTCTATAAATTGTTTGTCTTTTTTACATCTTTCAGGTTTCCATGTAAATTTTTGATCTCATGGAATGCAGTTATAATATCCGTTTTAATGTCCTTGTCTACTCATTCTGACATTTGAGTCAGCCACTGGTCAGTTTCAGTTGACCAATTATTCTACTCATTATGGGTTGTGTTTTCTTGATTCTTTATATGCCTGGTATTCTTTGAGTACTGCTCAGTCTAGTGTGAATTATTCCTTATTGCTCAGGCAGGAACATCATACGAACAGGAATTATGAACTTTTCATATCTGGCTAGTAGAAACAGGCACTATTCCCAGCCCTGGATATAAGCACTGAGTAGTATTTTCTTTCTTTTGGGAAATTCTTTATCCAGCCTAGGGTATGTTTCTCATATGCTCGTGCTGATCAGCACTCAGCTAAGTATGTAAAGTAAACTTTCTTCAGTTCTCTAAGGTTCTCTCTGTCTGCATATCTTACATCTCTGGTACTCTGTCCTGAGAACTCTAGTCATCTTGGTCTCCTGGACTCTCACCTGTCTCATCAATTCAGGTACTCTGCTAGGCTCAATATGGGTTTCTTCTTCTTGTGCTATGGCCTGGAAGCTGAGACAATCACAGGGCTAACTCCTTTTCTTTCCTGTCTCTCAGGGATGGCAGTCATTCATTGCTTGATGTTCAAGTCCTGAAAACTCATTTTTCTATATTTATTCTTTGTTGTTGTTTCAGATGAAAGGTAAATTTGGCTCTTGTTACTACCTCTTGGCGGCCAGAAGTATAAATTATTTTTATTGTTTGATTCAAACAAAATTAAAACAAAAATAGTGCTTTAAAAACAGTACATGTATACAGCATTGAAGTACATTCATACTTTTCCTTTTAGAGCATCTTTTTTTTTCTTCCCATTCTGGGTAGTTTCTTCTGACTTATCTTCTAAATCATGAATTCTCTCTTTATCTGGGTCTGAACTGTTGTTAAAGCCATTCAGGGAGTTCTGAATTTAGAGTCTGTGCCTTTCATTTCTTGAAGTTTCTTTTTGGTTCGTAAAAATAATCTCCATCAAATTTATAGTTTCCAGTTGTTGCAAAAAATTCACAAGCCTAGTTTTATCCCCTAGAGCATAATAAGCACATTCATTTTACAGTTTTGGCTGATAATTCAAGTATTTGCATTTCTTCAGGTCTGATTTTCTATTGTTTCTCGGTCATGGTATAATATCTCACATTTCTGGTCATCTTTGTTTATGTGCTGAAAGGTATTTAAATTTTATTTTTAGAAATAATTTAAAGCTAGGGGTGATATTATCATCACCTTAAGAGGATTATTATCTGCTTCTGCTAAGCACGTGGGGGCACTAGCAATCTGGATTTACCTTACACCAAGTTCAGGGCTTGAGATTTTCCGAGCCACCAAGATGACTCAAAGCTGGGCTTCAGTCCATCAAAGGGTTGGTTTACTTCTGATTCACCCTTACTCCTAGGGTACATCCATTCTTGTTTTCAGCCCAAAGCAGGTGTGGTTTAGCATGGTCCACACCCTTGGTGAATCCTAGACTCCCACATGTGTTTCCTTAGACTAAAAAGACTGCCAAAAAAATGACACAAAGTCACTTGGCTGCCCTTTCTTAAAGGGCAGAAACAAGCTTGAATGCTTAGATCTCCTCACTCCTCTCGATATTATTCTGGTGATTCATTGCCATGTTTTTGATATTTCCTGCTTCTATGGAGATGGCTTTTATGTTTTGTCATAAATTGTTAATTGTGGCCGGGCACGGTGGCTCATTCCTATAATCCTAGCACTTTGGGAGGCTGAGGCGGGTGGATTGCTTGAGGCCAGGAATTCAAGACCCAGCCTGGCCAACATGGTGAAACCCTATCTCTACTAAAACACAAAAAAACTAGACCAGCATGGTAGCACATGCATATAATCTCAGCTACTTGGGAGGCTGAGGCACAAGAATCGCTTGAACCCGGAGGCAGAGGTTGCATTGAGACAAGATTGTGCCACTGCACTCCAGCCTCAGTGACAGACCGAGACTCTGTCTCAAAAAAAAAAAAAAAAAAAAAAAAAAAAAGAGTTGTGTTGATTGGGAAGGCTGGCCCTTATTACATTGTTCACCATTATTGGAAACGTGTCTATATTTCAGTCTAAAGTCATAAAGTGTTCTCTTTGTCATTTAAGGGTTTGCTTTTTTTAAAAAATAAAGCATGAGATAGGGTTCTTATTTCATTTTTCCCCATGTGGATAACCACTTTTCCAAGAACCATTCATTGAATAGTTCCTCTTTTCCCCACTGATCTCCCATGCCACCTCAGTCATGTATTGAAATTCCATACCTATAAGGATTTAATTCTGAGCTCGGCTCCTGTAATGGACTGAATGTTTGTGTTCCCCCCAAATTCAGATGTTGAAATCCTAACCCCCAGTGTAATGGTATTAGGAGGTGGGGCCTTTGGGAGATGGTTAGGTTGAGAGTGGCGTCTTCATTAATGGCATTGGTTCCCTTATAAAAGGGGACCCTGAGTACAATTTTATTTATTTATTTATTTAATTATTTTATTTTTTTAGAGTTTTGCCCTTGTTGCCCGGGCTGGAGTGCAATGGTGCGATCTCGGCTCACCGCAACCTCCGCCTCCCAGGTTCAAGAGATTCTCCTGCCTCAGCCTCCTGAGTAGCTGAGATTACAGGCATGAGCCACCATGCCTAGCTAAATTTTTGTATCTTTAGTACAGGGTTTCTCCATATTGGTCAGGCTGGTCTTGAACTCCCGACCTCAGGTGATCCGCCTGCCTTGGCCTCCCAAAGTGCTGGGATTACAGGTGTGAGCCATCGCACCCGGCCCCTGAGTACTCTTTTATCCTCCTACTATGTGAAGTCACAGTGAAAAAATGGCAGTCTTCAACCCAGAAGAGAACTCTCATCAGAACCTAACCATACTGGCACCCTGATCCCAGGCTTCCAGCCTCCAGATCTGTAAGAAATAAATGTCTGTTATCTATAAACCACCCAGTTTATGGTATTTGGTTACAGCAGCCTGATTGACTAAGACAATTGCATTCTCGATCAATATTTTTTTGTCTCTGCATATGCACCACTGAGGTTTTAATTACTGTAGCATCATAATAAGATTTGGTATCTTATAGGGAAATTTTGTCTGCCTTATTCTTCTTGAACCATTACTCTTCCACATGAATTATAACTTTTAAAATAATTTTTTAGTGTGCATTTAAAAGCTATGTTGGGCAAAATAGTAACAATAAAAATCAAATAGAAACCCTAGAGATAAAGAATACAATAACTGAACTAAAGTGTTTGACAGAAAGCTACAATAGTAGACTTGATCAAGCAGAAGAAAGAATCAGTGAACACAAAGATAGGAATTTTGAAATTATCCAGTCAGACAAGCAAAAAGAAAAGAAAAATAAAGGTCTATGGGAATTATGGGACAACATCAAGAGACTAACCTATGCAAAATAGGAGTCCTTGAAGGAGAGACAAAAAGGCCCAGAAAGTATATTTAATGAACTAATGGCTGAAAAGTTTTCAAATCTGGGGAAAGATGACAACGTCCAGGTACTGAAAGCTAAGAGGCTGTCAATGAAATCCAATCCAACAGTTCACCAAAATACATCATAATCAAATTATCAAAAATCAAAAACAAAGAAAGAATACTGAAAACAGTAAGAGCGAAAAAACATATCACAGTCAAGAGAGTTCCAATACAGCTGTCAGTGGATTTCTTGGCAGAAACCCTGCAGGCCAGGAGAGGGTAGAATGATATATTCAAAGTGCTGAAGGGAAAAAGACCCTGCTATCCAAGAATATTTTCCTTCAGAAGTAAGACAGAAGTAACTTTCCCAGACAAACAAAGGTGAGGGATTTGATCACCACTAGGCTTGCACTAGGCTTGGAATTGCTAAAGGAAGTTATTTAAGCTGAAATGAAAGGCTACTACCTAATAACATAAAACATATGAAAGTAAAAACTCAATGGCATAAGTAATACATAGTCATATTCAAAATACTGTAAGTGTGGTGTGAAAAGCAATTGTATCTCTATTATGAAGGTTAAAAGACAAAACTATTGCAAACAACTGTAGCTATAATAAATTGTTAAGGGACCCAAATTAGAAAAAAGGGTAAATTTTAACACAAAAAATCATAAAAGATGTTGGGGGGAGTGAAAGTGTAGAGTTTTTGTTTGCAATCAAAGTTGTTATCAGCTTAAAATAGCCTGTTTTAATTATAAGATTTTTATATAAATGCTAGGATTTGAATGTGCCACCCAAAAGTTCATGTGTTGGAAATGTAATCCCTCTGCCCTCATGAATGGATTAATGTCACTATCATGAGACTGGCTTTATTACAAAAGCAGCTCTCTCTGGCTTTCTTGATTTTGGTCTCTTGCCATGTGATGCCTTCCATTATGTCATGACTCAGCAAGAAGGCTCTCATCAGATGCCAACACCATGCTCTTGGACTTCTTAGCCTCCAGAACTGTGAGATAAATAAACTTCTATTGTTTATAAATTACCCAGTTTGTGGTATTCTGGTATAAAAACAGAAAAGGGACTAAGCCAATAGGTCTTATGGTAACCACAAAGCATGAACGTATAGTAGATGTAAAAAATATAAAAAGAAGGGATTCAAAGCAGACCAACACAGGAAACCACCAAATCACAAAGGAAGACACCAAGGGAGGAAGAAACAAATAATCTATGAAACAACCAGAAAACAAATTACAAAATTGCAGCAGTAAGTCCTTACCTATCAATATTTGACTGGAATGTAAATGAATCAAATTGTTCAATCAGAAGACACTGGGTGGGTGAATGGATTTTTTTAAAAAACAGGAAACAACTATACACTGCCTACAAGAGACTCACTTTACTAGTAAGGACACACAGAGTGAAAGTGAAGGGATGGAAAAAAATATTCAACACGGATGGAAACCAAAAGAGAGCAGGAGTAGTTATACTAATATAACATAAAATCAACTTTAAGTCAAAAACGATAAAAAGAGAAAAAGAAGGTCATTATATAATGGTAAAGGACTCAATTCATTAAGAGGAAATAATAATTGTAAATATACACACACCCAACATTGGGGCATCTAAATACACAACGTGATTATTAAGTGACCTGAAGGGAAAGATAGACTTGATACAATAATAGTATTTTACAGTAATACACTACCCCACTTTCAACAATGAACAGATCATATAGATGGAACATTAATAAGGAAACACTGGATTGAATTACACTTTAGACCACTTGGACCTAGCAGACTTATGCAGAACATTTCACTCAACAGCAACATAATACACTTTCTTCTCAAGTGCACACAGAACATTCTTCTGGATAGATCCTATGTTAGGTCTAGGCCACACAACAAGTCTTAACAAACTTAAGAACTGAAAATATATCAAGTATTTTTTTGGGTCACAAAGGCATGAAACTAGAAATCATAATGAGAAATCTTGGAAAATTCACAAATATGTGGAAATTAAACAACATGTTCCTAAACAACCAACAAATCATAGAAGAAATTACAAAGGGAATTTAAAAAGCCCTTGAGACAAACAATGAAAACACAGCATACCAAAACTTATGGGATGCACCAAAAGCAGTCCTAAAAGGGAAATTTATAGCAAGAAATGCTTATGGCAAAAAAGAGAAAAGATTTTAAATAAACATTCTAATTGAAATGGTTTGGATATCTGTCCCTTCCAAATCTCATGTTGAAATGTGATCCTCAGTGTTGGAGGTGGGGATTGGTGGGAGGAGATTGGATCACGTGGGCAGATCCCTCATGAATGGTTTAGCAGCATTCCCTTGGTAATAAGTGAGTTCATGCTCAGTTAGTTCACATGAGATCTGGTTTTTCAAAAGCCTGGGACTCCCTCCTCTCTCCCCTGCTCTCACCATGTGACACGCTTGCTCCCCTTCACCTTCTACCATGACTGGAAGCTTCCTGAGGCCCTCACTAAAAGCAGATGCTGGTGCTATGCTTCCTATACAGCCTGAATAATAGTAAGCCAATTCAAAAAACCTCTTTTCCTTATGAATTACCCAGTCTCCAGTATTTCTTTATAGTGATGCAAAAATGGCCTAACACACTAATGCTACACATTGAGGAACTAGAAAAAGAAAAAACTAAGCCCAAAGCTAGCAGAAGGAAGGTCATAATAAATACTAGAGCAGAATAAATAAAATTGTGACTAGAAAAACAATAGAACAAAATAAATAAAACTAACAGCTAGTTTTTTGAAAAGATGAACAAAACTGACAAACCCTTACTAGACTAGAAAAAGAAAGAAAAGACTCATATATCAGAAAGGAAAGTGGTGGCATAACAACTGATATCACAGAAGTAAAAAGGATCACAAGAAACTACTATAAACAATTGTATACCAAAAATTGGATATCTAGAAGAAATGAATACATTCTTAGACACATAAAACCTTCCAAGACTGAATCATGAAGAAATAGAAAACCTGAACAAACCAATAACAACTAAAGTGATTGAATCAATAATAAAGTTCTTCCATCAAAGAAAAGCCCAGGATTTAATGGCTTCATGGCTAAGTTTTATCAAAAATTTAAAGAAAAAGCAACATCAATCCCTCTGAAACTCTTCCAAAAAATTAAAGAAGAGGCAACACTTCCAAACTCATTTTATGAGGCCAGTATTACTGTAATACTAAAGCCAGACAAAGGTATTACAAGAAAGGGAAATTACAGATGAACAGATACAAATACAAATATCCCTGATGAATATGGATACAAAAGTCCTTAACAAAATTCTAGCAAACCAAATTCAACAGCACATTAAAAAGATCATTCACTATGATCAAGTAGGATTTATCTCTGAAATGCAAGCATGGTTCAATATAGGCAAATCAATAAATGTGATTCATCACAGCAACAAAATGAAGGATGAAACCATATGATTATCTCAATAGACGCAGAAAAAGCATTTCATAAAATTCAATACCTTTTTTATTCTTGAGATGGAGTCTCGCTCTGTTTCCCAGGCTGGAGTGCAGTGGTGCAATCTCAGCTCACTGCATCCTCTGCCTCCTGGGCTCAAGAAATTCTCCTGCCTCAGCCTCCCAAGTAGCTGGGATTACAGGAATGCGCCACCACACCTGGATAATTTTTGTATTTCTAGTAGAGATGGGGTTTCACCATGTTTGCCAGGCTGGTCTTGAACTCCTGACCTCAGGTGATCCACCCACCTCAGCCTCCCAAAGTGCTGGGATTACAGGTGTAAGCCACCATGCCCAGCCTAAAATTCAATACCTTTTATGATAAACATTGTTAACAGAATAGGTATACATGCAATATACCTGAACACAATAAAAGCCATATATGACAAATGTATAGCTAACATTATATTCAATAGTGAAAGTTGAAAGCTTTTCCTCTAAAATCAGGGACAAGACAAGGATGCCTACTTTCATTACTTTTTTTCAACATAGTTCTGGAAATCCTAACCAGAGCAATTAGGCAAGACAAGAAAATAAAAGATATCCTAACTGGAAAGGAAAAAGTGAAATTGTCTCTGTTGATGACATGATATTATACAAAGAAAATCCTAAAGACTCCACCAAAAAGCTGTTAGAACTGATAAATTCAGTAAAGTTGTAGGAAACAAAATCAATATTTAAAAATTAGTGGCATTTTTATACACTAATAACAAGCTATCTGAAAAAGAAATTAAGAAAACAATTCCATTTACAATAGCAACAATAACAAAATACTTATTTTATTGTCTGTTTATATTCATATTTTGTTATCAAATACTTCTTTATAGGACTTGTATACTAAAAACTGTAAAACCCTTGTGAAAGAAATTGAAGAAAATACAAATAAATGTAAAGATATCCCACGTTAACGGAGTAAAAGAATTAACATTATTAAAATGTCTGTACTACTCAAAGCAATCTACAGATTCAATGCAATTCATATCAACATTCCAATGTCATTTTTCATAGAAAATGTCATAGAAAAAATAATCCTTAAATTCATATGGAACCACAAAAGACCTCAAATTGTCAAAACAATCTTGAGCAAAAAGAACAAAGCTAGAGGCATCGTACTACCTGACTTCAAAATATATTATGAAGCAATCAAAACAGAATGATCCTGGCCAAAACAAAACAAAACCAACCAAACAAACAAACAAAAAACAACAGAATCACTGACCAATAGAATCTGATAGAAAGCCAAGAAATAAGCCTGTGCATTTATAGTCAATTGATTTTTGACAAAGACGCTTAGAACATACATTGGAGAAAGGACAGACTATTCAATAAATGATGCTGGGAAAACTGGTTATCCTCATGCAGAAGAATAAAATTAGACCCTCATCTTACATCCTGCACAAAACTCAACTCAAAACGGGTTAAAGACTTAGACCTAAAACTATAAACCTACCAGAAGAAAACATAGGGAAAAACTTCACAATATTGGCTTAGGCAAGGAATCTTTGGATATGACCCCAAAGGCTCAGGCAACAAAAGAAAAATAGACAAATGGAATTGCATTGTATTAGTCCGTTTTTATGCTGCTGATAAAGACATACTTGAGACTGGGTAATTTATAGAGAAAAAGAGTTTTAATGGACTCACAGTTCACGTGGCTGGGGAGGCCTCACAATCATGGAGGAAGGCAAGGGGGAGCAAGTCATATCTTACATGGTGGCAAGCAAGAGAGAATGAGAACCAAGTGAAAGGGGTTTCCTCTTATAAAGCCATCAGATCTCATGAGACTTATTCACCACCATGAGAACAGTACAGGGGAAACTGCCCCCATGACTCAATTATCTACCACTGGAGTCCCTCCCACAACACATGGGAATTATGGGAGCTACAATTCAAGATGAGATTTGAGTGGGGACACAGCCAAACCATATCATTCCACCCCTGGGCCCTCCCAAATCTCATGTTCTCACATTTCAAAGCCAATCATGCCTTCCTAACAGTCCCCTAAAGTCTTAACTCATTTCAGCATTAACTAAAAAGTCCACAGTCCAAAATCTCATGCAAGACAAGGTAAGTCCCTTCTGCCTATGAACCTGTAAAATCAAAAGCAAGTTAGTTACTTCCTAGATACAATGGGGGTACAGGCATTGAATAAATACACCCATTCCAAATGGGAGAAATGGGCCAAAACAAAGGGGCTAAAGGCCCCATGCAAGTCAGAAATCCAGCGGGGCAGTCAAATCTTAAAGCTCCAAAATAATCTCCTTTGACTCCATGCCTCATATTTAGGTCATGCTGATGCAAGAGGTGGGTTCCCATGGTCTTGGGCAGCTCTGCTCTGTGGATTTGCAGGGTACAGCATCCCTCCTGGCTGCTTTCACAGGCTGGCCTTGAGTGACTGCAGCTTTTCCAGGTGAACAGTGCAAGGTGTCGGTGGATCTACCATTCTGGGGTCTGGAGGACAGTGGCCCTCTTCTCACAGCTCCACTAGGCAGTGCCCCAGTGGGGGCTCTGTGTGGGGGCTTCAACCCCACATTTCCCTTCTGCACTGCCCTAGCAGAGGCTCTCAATGAGGGCCCCACCCCTGCTGCAAACTTCTGCCTGAATATCCAGGCGTTTCCATACATACTGCGAAATCTAGGCGGAAGTCCCCAAACCTCAGTTCTTGACTTGTGTGCACCCACAGGCTCAACACCATGTAGAAGCTGCCAAGGCTTGGGGCTTGCACCCTCTGCAGCCATGGCCTGAGCTGTACCTTTGTCCCTTTCAGCCATGGCTAGAGCAGCTGGAATGCAGGGCACCAAGTCCCTAGGCTGCACACAGCATGGGGGCCCTGGGACTGGCCCAAGAAACCATTTTTTCCTCCTAGGCCTCCAGGCCTGTGATGAGAGGGGCTGTGAGAAAGCTCTTTGACATGCCCTGGAGAGACATTTTCCCTGTTGTCTTGGCCATTAACATTTGTTTCCTCATTACTTATGCAAATTTCTGCAGCCAGTTTGAATTTCTCCTCAGAAAATGGGTTTTTCTTTTTCTATCACATCATCAGGCTACAAATTTTCCAAACTTTTATGCTCTGTTTCCCTTTTAAAACTGAATGCTTTTAACAGCACCCACGTCACCTCTTGATGCTTTGCTGCTTAGATATTTTTTCCACCAGATATGCTAAATCATCTCCCTCAAGTTTAAAGTTCCACAAATCTCTACAGCAGGGGCAAAATGCTGCCAGTCTCTTTGATAAAACATGGCAAGCATTACCTTTACTCCAGTCCTTATCTCCATCTGAGACCACCTCAGCCTGGATTTCATTGTCCATATCATTATCAGCATTTTGGTCAAAGCCATTCAACAAGTCTCTAGGAAATTCCAAACTTTCCCATATTTTCCTGTCTTCTTCTGAGCCCTCTAAACTGTTGCAACCTCTGCCTGTTACCCAGTTCCAAAGTTGCCTCCTGGCAGGGAAATTGTTTTGGGATGATTCAAGCATATTACATTTATTGTCCACTTTATTTCTATTATTATTACATTGTAATATATCATGAAATAATTATACAACTCACCATAATGTAGAATCAATGGGATAAATTTTAGTAGATATAAATGAAGGCTTAATGAATTTTTTTTTTTTTTTTTTTTGAGACAGAGACTTGCTCTGTCACCCAGGCTGGAGTGCAGTGGTGTGATCTCGGCTCACTGCAACCTCTGCCTCTCAGGTTCAAGCGATTCTCCTGTCTCAGCCTCCCAAGGAACCAGGATTTCAGTTGCACGCCACCACACCTAGCCAATTTTTGTATTTTCAGTAGAGACAGGGTTTCGCCACATTGGCCAGTCTAGTCTCAAACTCCTGACCTCAAGTGATCCATCTGCCTCACCCTCCCAAAGTGCTGGCATTATGGTGTGAGCCACGGTGCCCAGCCTATTTCTTTTTCTTTTCTTTCTTTTTTTTTTTTTTTTTGATAGCTGGGTGGCAGATGTATAAATTGTCATTGACCTAACAGAATTAAGCTGGGCCATGGAGAAAACTGAGAACATCACGATTCAAAACACAGAATTCTCAAATGGACCAGTGTGTTTAGACCTGACTGTGGAATGGAATGCCACACCTAGGCATATGAGGTATGGTTGGGGCACTGTCACATGTCCAGCTTGGGAGCCATCATGTGCCCAGGTCGGGAGAGGTAAATCCACGAGACACAGACATGTGCTGGGGGTGCAGTCGCATGTCCAGGTCAGGTGCCCTCACTTGCTGGGAGTGCCATCTGCTAGTGGGAGCCAGTCACATGTTGGGGTGCAACCACCTGTTGGGGGCGCAATCCTGTGCTGGAGACACAGTCACATGTCGGGAGCTAGTCACCCGCTGGGGGCGCTGCCTCGAGCCTCATGGCTGCCCCTGCTTCCGTCATGGGCCCACTCGGGCCCTCTGCCCTGGGCCTTCTGCTGCTGCTCCTGGTGGTGGCCCCTCCCCGGGTCGCAGCATTGGTCCACAGACAGCCAGAGAACCAGGGAATCTCCCTAACTGGCAGCGTGGGTAGGCCCTGCCCCAGGGGCGGATGGGCGGCTGGAGACAGTGCCCTTGGGGCGTCTGTCGGTGCTGGGCCTCCTCCCCCATGTCGCCTGCCCATCCCTTCCCCTCCCCCATGTCCCCTGCCTTCCCTTCCTCCTGTGTCCCCTGCCCCTCCCCCACGTCCCCTGCCTGCCCTACCTCTCCCGTGGCCCCAGCATGGCTCCACCGTCAGCTCCGTTCTCCCTGCAGCCTGTGGTCGGCCCAGCATGGAGGGGAAAATCCTGGGCGGCGTCCCTGCGCCCGAGAGGAAGTGGCCGTGGCAGGTCAGCGTGCACTACGCAGGCCTCCACGTCTGCGGCGGCTCCATCCTCAATGAGTACTGGGTGCTGTCAGCTGCGCACTGCTTTCACAGGTAAGCGGGCGCCGGCCTGGGATGGTGTGGGTAGCTGGGCCTGCACGGAGTGCCCACAGCGGCTTGGATGGACCCCACGCAAGCCTCCCCCATCACCATTGTCGACTCCCTTCACCACTGTCGACCCGCGCAAGGCCAGGTCCCCACCAGTGAGGCTGGTCCCCAAACACACAGCTGGGTCCCCATTCTTGAGGCTGGTCCCCCAAGTGCACAGCCAGGTCCTCAAGAGTGATGCTGGTCCCCAAGATCACAGCCAGGTCCTCATATGCAAGGCTGATCCCCTAAGTGTACAGTTAGGTTCCCATGAGCTAGGTTGGTCCTCAAATGCACAGCCTGGTCCCCATGTGCAAGGCTGGTCCCCTAAGTGCACGACCAGGTCCCCACGAGTGAGGCTGGTCCTCAAGGGCACAGCCAGATTCCCACAAGTGAGGCTGGTCCTCAAGGGCACAGCCAGATTCCCACAAGTGAGGCTGGTCCTCAAGTGCACAGCCAGGTCCCACAAAAGTGAGGCTGCTCCTCAAGTGCACAGCCAGGTCCTCATAAGCAAGGCTGGTCTCTAAGCACCTGGCCTTCCCGATTGCTCCTCCAACAGCCCCATTCACCACAGCTGCCCCGCACAGCAGGCACGCCTCTCCTGTGGCCATCTGGCCTCCAGAGGGATGTGTGCAACCAGGTTGTCAGTAAGAGTCAGAGCAGGTCTCACATGCATGGGCTGCTGGCCTGTACAGCTGGTGGTCGTGTACAGACTTGGGTCCCCAGAGCCTCCATGGGCCAAGTCGACTCTTTAGGGGGCAACTCTTCCAGACAGCCAGATAGGTCCCTACTATGCTGCAGGAAGAAACTGGCTTTTCAATCCCACCGAGTGAGTGCCAGCCCCTTGCGCTTGGCCTCCCCAGGCCTGTGGGCTGACCACACAGGAAGCTGCGGGCATTGTACCTCTGTTCTCACCCCCACAGGGACAAGAATATCAAAATCTATGACATGTACGTAGGCCTCGTAAACCTCAGGGTGGCCGGCAACCACACCCAGTGGTATGAGGTGAACAGGGTGATCCTGCACCCCACATATGAGATGTACCACCCCATCGGAGGTGACGTGGCCCTGGTGCAGCTGAAGACCCGCATTGTGTTTTCTGAGTCCGTGCTCCCGGTTTGCCTTGCAACTCCAGAAGTGAACCTTACCAGTGCCAATTGCTGGGCTACGGGATGGGGACTAGTCTCAAAACAAGGTAGGAATACAGTGCAGGGCTTTGTGGGCAGGATGAAGGCTTCTCTTCCACCACAGGGAAGAAAATGCTCTGCCAGCTAAGGGGGTCCAGGTGTTTGGGGACTGGAATCCCCACCTGTCAATCAACATTTATTTGTTTGTCAGTGTGGATATTTTGTTGTTTTGTTTTATTTCTGACTGGCTTTGTTGTATGCAGAAAAATACAGCTACTTTGATGTGAAGTTGGTATGCAGTATATCAAGAACACAAATTTAAAAGCAGTTTTCCTTAAGATTGTAAACGGAATTTAGAAATCTCTTTTAGCTTATCTAAAAACCGTTTGTTATTAAACTTTTCTCCAGAAAGGCCTGTGCATTCTTTCTAGATTTATACCTGGGCACTTTACAATATTTAGGTCTATTCAAAAGAGATTTTTAAAATTGCATTTGCTAATTAGTCACAGCTAATTAGCTGTGACTATGTGTGATTTTTGCACATTGATCTTATATCCAGTCATCTTATAGAATTTATTTTTAGTAGTTTATCAACTGATTATTTTGACAGTTCTAGACAAAAGATAATATTTTCTTCTAGTAAAGACTATTTTATCACTCTCTTCCCATATTTTATCTTTTATTTATTTTTCTTGTCTTCTTACAATGGTTGGAACCTCCAGTAGAAATGATGCCAGATCTTGTCTTGGTTTTGGTTTGATTGGAAATGCTTATAATGGTTCACTATAGCATTTGTGGCCAGGCCTGGAGATTTCAGGTTGATATATTACACCAGATTAAGAAAGTTACCTTTTATAGCTGATTTACTTAATTTTTAAAAAATTATAGAAAATTATTGATTTTATTGAAATGTTTGCGGCAACTCTTGAGAGGATCATATAGTTCTGCTCTTTTAATCTATTGATGCCAAGAATAGGCATTTAAGCTGGGTGCAGTGGCTCACACCTGTAAATCCCAGCACTTTGGGAGGCTGAGGTGGGAGGATCGCTTGAGCCCAGGAGTTTGAGACCAGCCTGGGCAACATAGTGAGATCCTGTCTCTACAAAAAATGCTGACTTAGCTGGGCTTGACGGCATGTGCCTGTAGTCCCAGCTACTCAGGAGGCTAACGTGGAAAGATCTCTTGATCCCAGAAGGTCAAGGCTGCAGTGAGCCAAAACTGCATATCTGCACCAAAGCCTGGGCAACAGTGAGACCTTCTCTCAAAAAAAAAAAAAAAAAAAAAAAACGTATTTAATGTGAGATGGGTCTAGAATTTTTTTTCTTAGCTGATTTTATCTTTGGCATGAGTGTACTGCTGACTTTGTAGAATGAATCAAAACTTTCCCATCTATTTGTATTCTCTGCAATAGTTTCTATTAAAGTAAAGATTAGCTATTTCTTGAAGGTTTGATGTGGCCATAAAACACTCTGATCCTAGTACCTTTTGCGGGTATAAATGATTACTCTGTCTTACTCTCTGTTATGGCTACTGGTTCATTCCAATTTTAAAATTTATTCTTAGGCCAATTTTGATGGATTATATTTTTCTAGAAAGTTGTTCATTTTATTCCAGATTTTGAATATAATGATATTGTGTAAGACTGTAATTCATGTGCTCTTATTATTACTTTTCTGACTTCTCTTAATTCCTTATCATAGTTGCCAAAATTGTCTATTCTATTGCCTTTTTTATATAAAACTACCTGCTACAGATTTTGCATTGGTGTATGTGGGGAGATGGTGGTGCATGGGACTTTATATGTTGGGTGCTTTGCTATTCACTCCTATAGCCATCTATTCATTCGTTAAACTTTTTATACTCTAAGTTTGCTTAACCAAACTTTTCTAATTTTTTGAGCTGAAAATACAAAAGATTCAACATTTCATACTTTTTCTATGAATAAATTGAAGATTATAGCTTTCAAAGTCTCCTTTGGTCATGTTACAGGCTTTGAATTCTTACATATTTGTTATTCGTTTCTCAAAAGTATGTGCACCCTATTTTGATTTTGTCTATATCCAAAAGTATAGGACAAAATTTTTCATATCTACAAAAAAGGCCATTGGAATTTTATAGGAATTGCATTGAATATTCAGACCATGTTGAGTAATGTTGACATTTTAACAATATTAAACCTGCCTATCCATAAACATGGAATGTATTTCCATTTATTTGAGTCTTTAATTTCTTTCAGCAATGATTTATAGATTCGAGTATGCAAGTTTTTCACCTCCTTCATTAAATTTATTTCCAAGGTATGTTATTATTTTAGATGCTATTGTAAATGAAATTGCTTTCATAACTATCTTTTTTGGATTGTTCTTTGGGGGTGTATAGGAACACAACTGATTTTTGGCCGGGTGCAGTGGCTCACGCCTGTAATCCCAGCACTTTGGGAGGCCAAGGCGGGCGGTTCACAAGGTCAAGAGATTGAGACTATCCTGGCCAACATGGTGAAACCCCGTCTCTACTAAAAATATAAAAATTAGCTGGGTGTGGTGGCACTTGCCTGTAATCCCAGCTACTTGGGAGGCTGAGGTAAGAGAATCACTTGAACCCAGGAGGTGGAGGTTGCAGTGAGCTGAGATCACGCCATTGCACTCCAGCCTGGGCAACAAGAGTGAAACTCCATCTCAAAAAAAAAAAAAAAAAAAAAAAAGCAACACAACTGATTTTTTTATGTGTTGGCCTTATACCCTGCAACTTTACTGAATTTGTTTATTATATGTAGTAGTTTTGTTTTTTTTTTAAAGATTAATTGGGATTTTCTATGTATAGGATCATGTCATCTATGAATAGAGATTGTTTTACTTCTTTGTTTCCAATTTGAATGGCTGTTATTTCTTTTCCTTGTCTAAATTATTTGTCTAGAATTTCTAGTACAAATTAAATAGCAGTGATCAAAGTGGAAATCCTTGTTTTGTTTCTGATCTCATGGGAAATGCTTTCAGTCTTTAACCATTGAATATGATGTTAGCTGTCAGTTTTTAAAAAAATGCCTTAATGTTGATGAAGTTTTTCTACATCAATTGAGATGATCCTATGTTGTCTTTTTTCGTTTATTCTATTAATGTATATTACATTGATTGATGTTCTTATGTTGAATTACACTTGTATTTCTTGGATAAATCTCGCTTTGTCATGGTTTTATATGCTGTTGGTTACAGTTTGCTAATATTTTGCTGAGGGTTTTTACATCTATATTCTTAAAGGTATGATCTGTAGTTATATTTTCTTATGGTGTCTTTGGCTTTGGCATCAGGATAATTCTTGTCTCATAGAATGAATTATGAAGTGTTGCTTCCTCTTCTATTTTTTTGGTGGAGTGTGATAAAGATTGATTAATTCTTCTTTAAATATTTGGTAGAATTTACCAGTGAAGCCATCTGGTCCTGTACTTTTCTTTGTTGGGAGATTCTTATTGTTGAATCAATCTCTTTACTTGTTATAGATCTTTTCAGATTTCCTATTTCTTCTGTGTAAGTTTAGATAATTCATACGTTTGTAGAAATTTGTCTATTTCATCCAAGTTATCTCATTTGCAAGATAAGTTATTTCACAAATTTATAATCATTTTTGTGCATTTGTTTTTTGAATCCTGTTGCAGATAAAAAGTGGAATTAAAAACCAAATAAAAAGTGGAATTAAAAACCAAACTCACTTATGAGTGAGAACATGTGGTGTTTTGGTTTTCTGTTCCTGTACTAGTTTGCTGAGGATAATGGCTTCCAACTCCATCCATGTCCCTGCAAAGGACATGATCTCATTTTTTTTTTTGCACAATATTCCATGGTATACATGTATCACATTTTTTTAATCCAGTCTATCATTGATGGGCATTTAGGTTGATTCCATGTCTTTGCCATTGTGAATAGTGCTGCAATAAATATATGCATGCATGTATCTTTATAATAGAATGATTTATATCATGGTTTAATGGTTTTTATATTTGCCCGTGCATTTACCTTTACCAAAGTCCTTTAATTTGTCATATGGCTTTGACTTACTGTTTTGTGTCCTTTCTTTTCAATGTGAAGCACTCCAGTTAGCATTTCCTCTATGGAAGATCTAGTGGTGCAGACTTCCATGGCTCTTGTTTATCCGTGAACGACTTAATTTCTCCCTCATTTCTGAAGGACGATGTTGTCAGATATAGGATTCTTGGTTGAAAGGTTTTTTCTTTTAGCACTTTAAGTACATCATAACACTGTCTTCTGATCTCCTTAGTTTTTTATGAGAAATTGGCTATTAATCTGATTGAGGATCCTTGTACATGACTAGACACTTCTCTCTTGCTCATTTCAAGATTCATTGCCTTTAGTTTTTGACAGTTTGATTATAATGTGTCTTGTTGGGGGTTATTTGAGTTTATAATACTTGAAGTTTGTTCAGTCTGAATTTGTAGATTTAAATATTTCAGCAGATTGCAAAATTTTGGACCATTATTTCTTCAAATATTCTTTCTACCTCATTCTGTCTCTCTTCTCCTTCTGAAAATACCATAACACATATGTGGTTCATTTGATGGTGTCCCAGGAGTCTCTTAGGCTCTCTTTACTTTCCTTCCTCTTTTTTCCTTTCTAATCCTTAGATTTTATAATCTGAATTGTCCCATCTTCAAGTTCACCTATGCTCTCTTGTGCTTGCTCAAATTGTCTGCTTTGCCCCTTTAGTGAAGTTTTCATTTCCATTATTTGCCATTTTAATGCCAAATATTCTGTTTGGTTCCTTTGATAATTTCTGTTTACTAATAGTATCTTTTTGTTCATATATTATTTTCCTGATTTTCTTTAATTCTTTGTCTATGTTTTCCCTTAGCTCTTTGAGCATATTTAATACACTTGTTTAAAGTCTTTGTCTAGACTTCTTTAGGGACAGTTTCTATCCACTTATTTTGTTTTCTTAAGTGGGCCATAGTTTTTTTCTGATTTTTGTTGTTATTATTACTATTATTGAAAACAGGAGTGTTGAGTTTTATACTTTTGAATATATAATGAATGTTATATGTGGCTGAATATTGATTATAATAATGTGTTAACTCTGGAAATAAGATTCTCTCCAACCCCAGGGTTTTCTGTGGTGTTTTGATTGTTGAAAGCTATAGTAGTCTGTTTAATGATTTTCCCAAACTATTTTGCAAAGACTGTATCCTTTCTCATGTGTGGTCACTGAAGTCGCTATTCCTTAGCTTCTGTTAGCTACTGTTTTGACAGTATTTTCTTGAATGCCAGGAGCTAAAAACCAACAAAACCAAAAATCTCTTCTTATGATCTTTGCAGGTTGGTCTGTGCCAAGGCACTTTTTCAATACTTAGCCATGCTTGCACCAAGCCTAGGGATCAGCCTGAGGTGAAAGTTTTGGTCTTCTCAGGTTTACTTATGAGCATGTGTCTTACCCTGGGCATGTTCATGGCCTTCTAAATTCCCTCAAGTACAGAGGTGCTTTTTCTAAAAATCTTTTCCAATTTATTTACTTTTTAAATTATGTATTTTTTATTTTTATAGATTTAGGAGGTACAAGTGCAGGTTTGCTACATGGATATATTGCATAGGGGTGAAGTCTGGGATTTTAGAGTAACCATCACCCAAATAGTGAACATTTTACCCAATAGGTAATTTCTCATCCCCCATCACCTTCCCATCCTCCTACCTTGCTGAGTCTCCAATGCATATTATTCCACTCTCTGTGTTGTGAACTTTATTTAGCTCCCACTCATAAGTGAGAAGAAGCATTATTTGACTTTCTGAATTATTTCACTTAAGATAATGGCCTCCAGTTCCATCCACATTGCTGCAAAAGACATGATTTTATTCCTTTTTATGGCTGAGTAGTATTCCATGGTGTGTATGATATATATTATTTATTTATACATATAATATAAAATAATATATATACACAAACACACCACATTTTCTTTATCCAATCATTTGTTGATGGGCACTTGGTTTGGTTCTATTTTTTTTCTTTTTTGTTCATGCTGTCCCTGGGTGGGCTCGAAGGTTGGTTCTATATTGACATAGTTTGGATGTTTGTTTCCTCCAAATCTCATGTTAAAATGTGCTCCCCAGTGTTTGAGGTGGGGCCAGTAGGAGGTGTTTGGATCATAGGGGTGGATTCCTCATGAATGGCTTGGTGCCATCTTTGCAGTAATGAGTGAATTCTTGCTCCATTTGGTTTGTGCAAAAGCTGGACTAATGTTTAAGAGCCTAACATCTCTCTTACTTCCTCTTGCATCATATGACATGCCTGCTTCCCTTTCACCTTCTTCCCTGATTGTAAGCTTCCTGAGGTCCTCACCAGAGGCAGATGCTGGCACTATACTTCTTGTACAGTCTGCAGAACTGTGAGCCAAAATAAACCTCTTTTCCTTATAATTTCCCCAGCCTCAGTTATCCTTTATAGCTATGCAAAACAGACTAATAGCCGTATTTTTGTTATTGCAAATAGTGCTGCAATAAACATGTGAGTGCAGGTATTTTTTGTACAGTGACTTATTTTCCTTTGGATAAATACCCAGTGGTGGGACTGCTGGATTGAATGGTAGCTCTATTTTTAGTTCTTTGAGAGATCTCTATATAGTTTTCAATAGAGGTTGTACTAATTTTCTTTTTTTTCTTCAACTTTTAAGTTCAGGGGTACATATGCAAGAGGTGCAGTTTTGTTATGTAGGTAAACATGTGCCATGGTGGTTTGCTGCACAAATTATCCCATCACCTAGGTATTAAGCCCAGCATCCATTAGCTGTTCTTCCTAATGCTTTCCCTCCCTCTATCCCCCCAAACAGGCCCCAGTGTGTGTTGTTTCCCCACTCCCTGTGTCCATGTGTTCTCATAATTCAGCTCCCACTTATGAGTGAGAACATGTGATGTTTGCTTTTCTGTTCCTGCGTTAGTTTGCTGAGGATAATGGCTTCCAACTCCATCCATGACCCTGAAAAGGACATGATCTCATTTTTTCATGGCTGCATAGTATTCCATGGTATACATGTACCACATTTTTTTATCCAGTCTATCATTGATGGGTATCTAGCTTGATTCCATGTCTTTGCTATTGTGAATAGTGCTGCAATGGACGTTTGCATGCATATATCTTTATAATAGGATGATTTATATTACTTTGGGAATATACCCAGTAATGAGATTGCTGGGTCAGATAGTATTTCTGCCTCTGGGTTTTTGAGGACTCGCCACACTGTCTTCTGCAATGGTTGAACTAATTTACACTCCCACCAACAATGTAAAAAATGTTCCTTTGTTCTTACAACCTCACCAGCATCTGTTGTTTCTTGACTTTTTAGTAATAGCCATTCTGACTGACATGAGATGGTATCTCATTGTGGTTTTGACTTGCATTTCTCTAATGATCAGTGATGTTGAGCTTTTTTTCATGTTTGTTGGCTGTATGTATGTCTTCTTTTGAGAAGTGTCTGTTCATGACCTTTGCTACTTTTTAATGGGGCTGTTTGTTTTTTTTCTTGTAAATTTGCTTAAGTTCCTTGTAGACTCTGGATATTAGACCTTTGTCAGATGGATAGATTGCAAAATTTTTCTCCCATTCTGTAGGTTGTCTGTTCACTCTGATGATAGTTTATTTTGCTGTGCAGAAGCTCTTTAGTTTAATTAGATCCCATTTGTCAATTTTTGCTTTTGTTGCAATTGCTTTTGGCATTTTTGTCATGAAACCTTTGCCTGTGCCTATGTCCTGAATGGTATTGCCTAGATTTTCTTCTAGGTTTTTTATTTTTTTGTTTTTTGAGAGAGTCTCAGTCTGTCACCAGGCTGGGCTGGAGTGCAGTAGAGTGATTTCAGCTCACTGCAACCTCCAACTCCCTGGTTCAAGCAATTGTCCTGCCTCAGCCTCTGGAGTAGCTGGGATTACAGGCACATGCCACCACGCCCAGCTAGTTTTTGTATTTTTAGTAGAGGCAGGGTTTCACCATGTTGGCTGGGATGGTCTCGATCTCCTGATCTTGTGATCTGCCCGCCTCAGCCTCCCAAAGTGCTGTGATTACAGGCGTAAGCCACCGCGTCTGGCCTCTAGGTTTTTTAAAGTTGTGGGTTTTACATTTAAGCCTTTAATCCATCTTGAGTTAATTTTTGTATGTGGTGTAAGGAAGGGGTCTAATTTCATCTTTCTGCATATGGCTAGCTAATTCTCCCAGCACCATTTATTAAATAGAGAATCCTTTTCCCATTGCTTGTTTTTGCCGGGTTTGTTGAAGATCAGATGATTGTAGGTGTGCAGTCTTATTTCTGAGTTTTCTATCCTGTTCTATTGGTCTATGTGTCTGTTCTTGTACCAGTACCATGCTGTTTTGGTTACTGTAGCCTTATAGTATCATTTGAAATTGGGTAGCATGGTGCCTCCAACTTCGTTCTTTTTGCTTAGGATTGTCTTGGCTATTCAGGCTTTTTTTTGTGTGCCATATGAATTTTAAAATAGTTTTCTTCTAATTCTGTGGAGAATGTCAATGGTAGTTTAATGGGAATAGTATTGAATCTATAAATTACTTTAGGCAATATGGTCATTTTCACAATATTGATTCTTCCTGTCTGTGAGCATGGAATGTTTCTCCGTTTGTTTGTGTCCCCTCTGATTTCTTTGAGCAGTGGTTTGTAGTTCTTTTTGAAGAGGTCCTTCACTTCCCTTGTTAGCTGTATTCCTAGGTATTTTATTCTTTCTGTAGCAATTATGAATGGGAATTCATTCATGATTTGGCTCTCTGCTTGCCTGTTGTCAGTGTATAGGAATGCTAGCAAGTTTTGCATATTGATTTTATATCATGAGACTTTGCTGAAGTTGCTTACCAGCTTAAGAAGCTTTTGGGCTGAGATGATGGGGTTTTCTAGATACAGGATCGTGTCATCTGCAAAGATAATTTGACTACTTCTCTTCCTATTTGAACACCGTTGATTTCTTTCTCTTGCCTAATTGCCCTGGACAGAACGTCCAATATTACGTTTAATAGAAGTGGTGAGGCCAAGTGCGGTGGCTAACGCCTGTAATCCCAACACTTTGGGAGGTTGAGGCGGGTGGATCACCTGAGGTTAGGAGTTCGAGAGCAGCCTGGCCCAACACGGTGAAACCCCATCTCTACTGAAAATATAAAAAAGTAGCTGTGCATGGTGGCATACATCTGTAGTCCCAGCTACTCGGGATGCTAAGGCAGGAGAATCACTTGAACCCGGGAGGCAGAGGTTGCAGTGAGCCGAGATAGTGCCACTGCACTCTAGCCTGAGTGACAGAGTGAACCTCCATCTCAAGAAAAAAAAAAAAGTGGTGAGAGAGGGCATTCTCTTGTGACGGTTTTCAAGGGCAATGACTGCCTCCAGCTTTTGCCCATTCAGTATGATATTGGCTGTGGGTTTGTCATATATGGCTCTTATTTTGAGGTCTGTTCCTTCAACACCTAGTTTAGAGTTTTTAACATGAAAGAATGTTTAATTTTACCAAAGGCCTTTTCTGCATTTATTGAGATAATCATATGGTTTTTGTCATTGGTTCTGCTTATGTGATGGATTACGTTTATTGACTTGCGTATGTCGAATCACCCTTGCATCCCAGGGATGAAGCCAACTTGATTGTAGTGGATAAGCTTTTTGATGTGCTGCTGGATTCGGTTTGCCAGTATATTGTTGAGGATTTTTGCATTGATGTTCATCAAGTATATTGACCTGAAGTTTTGTTGTGGTCATTGTAGTATCTCTGCCAGGTTTTGGTATCAGGATGATGCTGGCCTCATAGAACAAATTAGGAAGAAGTTCCTCCTTTCAATTTTTTGTAATGGTTTCAGTAGAAATGGAACTGGCTCTTCTTTGTACCTCTGGTAGAATTCAACTGCAAATCCATCAGGTCCTGGGCTTTTTTTGGTCGGTAGGCTATTTATTACTGCTTCAATTTCAGAACTTGTTATTGGTCTGTTCAGGGTTTCAATTTCTTCTTGGTTCAGTCTTGGGAGGGTGTATGTGTTCAGGAATTTATTTTCTAGTTTCTTTTCTAGATTTTTTTAGTTTATCTGCATAGAAGTGTTTATAGTGTTCTCTGATGGTTGTTTGTATTTCTGTGGGGTCAGTGGCAATATCCCTCTTATCATTTCTGATTGTGTTTATTTGATTCTTCTCTCTTTTCTTCTTTATTAGTCTAGCTAGTGATCTATCTTATTAATTTTTTTTTTTTTTAGAAAACCAGCTTCTGAATTCATTGATTTTTTGAAGGGTTTTCCATGTCTCTCTCTCATTCAGTTCAGCTCTGATCTTGGTTATTTCTTGTCTTCTGCTAGCTTTGGGGTTTTTTGCTCTTGGTTCTCTAGTTCTTTTAGTTGAGGTGTTAGGTTGTTAACTTCAGATCTTTCTAGCTTTTTGATGTGGGCATTTAGTGCTATAAATTTCTCTGTTACCACTGCTTTAGCTGTATCCCAGAGATTCTGATATGTTATCTCTTTGTTCTCATTAGTTTGAAAGAACTTCTTGATTTCTGCCTTAATTTCATTATTTACCTAAAATCATTCAAGAGCAGGTTGTTCAATTTCCATGTAGTTGTGTGGTTTTGAGTGAGTTTCTTAATCTTGAGATCTAATTTGATTCCACTGTGGTCTAAGGGACTGTTTATTATGTTTTCAGTTCTTCTGCATTCGCTAAGGAGTGTTTTACTTTTGCTATATGATCAATTCTAGAGTAAGTGCCATGTGGTGATGAGAAGAATGTATATTCTGTTGTTTTGGAGTGGAGAGTTCTGTAAGTATCTATTAGGTCCACTTGATCCAGATCTGAGTTCAGATCCTGAATATCTTTGTTAATTTTCTGTCTCAATGATCTGTTAATATTATCAGTGGAGTGTTAAAGTATCCCACTATTACTGTGTGGGAGTCTAAGTCTCTTTGTAGGTCTCTAATAACTTGCGTTATGAATCTGGGTGCTCCTGTATTGGGTGCATATATATTTAGGATAGTTAGCTTTTCTTGTTGAACCCTTTACTATTACTTGGGTCCAGGGAGCCAAGCAGCATCATTCTGTGAGCCTCACCTCCATGGCACCCCACAAGTTAAGACTACTGGCTTGGAATTCCAGCCTGCCAGTCGCGATAGGCTGGAATCTGCTTAAGAAGGACCAATTCCCCAGGGAGAGGAGCAGTGCCATCTCTGCAGTTGAGTCAACTCAGCTGTTCCAGCCTGCCGGCTCTGGAGAGTCCAGACAATCTGGATGAAGAAGGGTCCTCAACAAAGGAGCACAGCTGCACTACCAAGAAGCAGCCAGGCTGCTTCTGTAAGTGGGTCCCTGATTCTGTTCCTTCTCACAAGGGACCACCCCCCAGGGTTATGTAGGGACAGGTTTCCCACCTTGCTGGGAATCCTGGGGCCAGAGTATACAAAACTCCTGGGTCTCCGTGTGTGCCTGAGTGGCTACTCTGTCAGGACTCCACACAGCTCTGTGTAGAGAGACCCAAGGACCTGGTGATACTGGCTTATGAGAGGATCACCTGATCTGCTGGTTGCAATGATTCATGGGAGAAGTGTGGTTTCCCAGGGTGGAATCACACAATCACTTCACCACTTCCCTTGACTTGAGGGCAGGGATTCCTTTGGGTCCATGTGGCTCCTGGGCAGGCCATCACCCCACCCTGCCTTTCTTCATTCTCTATGGGTGGACCTGTTTGCCTAGTCAGTCCCAGCGCGAGAACCTGGATATTTCAGTTGAAAATGCTGAATTCACTTACCACTTTCATTCCTCTCTGTGAGTGCCACAGACCGCAGCTGCTTCCAATTGGCCATTTTAGTCTTGTACTAATTTTCATTTCCACCAGCAGTGTATAAGCCTTCCCTTTTCTCTTCATCCTCACCAATTTCTGTTGTTTTTTGACTTTTTAATAATAATCATTCTGACTAGTGTGAGACGGTATCTCACTGTGGTTTTGAATTTCTCTGACGATTAGTGATATTGAGCATTTTTTCATATGCTTATTGGTCATTTGTATGTCTTCTTTTGAAAAATGTCTATTCCTTTGTCCAAAAAGTGCTTTTGAGCACTCCCAAAGAAATTCCCACTAGCTCTTGCTCATGGGCCTTAGGCAGTATATTGTATATACTTATACTTTTATTGTACATATGTTTACTATATACAGTATATTGTATATAGTTTATGATTTTTGAATCTATTGTGAATGCAGTTTTCTCAATTTCATTTTAATTGTTCATTGTTAGCATATTGAAGTACACTTGATTTTTATTCATTTCATTCTGAGAAATGTAGTTTAAATTCTTTGTAATTCACTGTGAGTTTTTTCATATATTATGTTGTTTGTGAGCAAAGACAGTCTTCTTACTTTCCAGTGTGGGTAGGCTTTCTCTCTCTTGCCTCATTACACTGGCTACAACCTCTAATATAATGTTCAATACAACTGGGAATAGTGGATATCCTTGCCTTGTTCTTCATCTTAGTGGGGGAAATGTTTCGTCTTTCACCATCAAGAATGATGTGAGCTGTGGGGTTTTTTTGTAGATATCTTTTAACAGATTGAGGAAGACTTCTTTGGTTCCTAGTTTGTTGAGTATCTTTGTTATGAATAGGAGTAAGAAATGCTTTTTCTACATCTATCGATATGTTCCTGTGGCTCCTGATTTTTATGTTATTGATATATTATATTCAATTTTGGATATTAAACTCACCTTGCATTCCTGTGATTAATCCCTCTTGGTCATTGTGTATAATAGTCTTTCTAGGTTGCTGGAATCAATTTGTTAATACTTTGTTAAAGATTTTTGCAACTACATTTATGAGACATATTGGCTGAATTTTTCTTGTGATGTTTTTGTCTGGTTTTGGTATAAGAAAAATATTCATGTTTATAGTATTGGTATTGTTTCCCTCTTAAAGATTTGATAGAATTCATGAGCAAAGCCACCTGGGCCTGGGCTTTTCTTTATGGAAAGATATTTTTATTATTAGTTTGTTATATACTTTATGTATTTATTATTGTCCTATTACTTTTACTTTTTCTTATACAGGTGTATTCAGATTCCCATTTCTTCTTGAATTAGTTTAAGGTGTCTACTTTTTTTTTTTTTTTTTTTGAGATGGAGTTTTGCTCTTGTCACTCAGGCAAGTGCAATAGCGCGATCTCAGCTAACTACAACCTCCGCCTCTGGGTTCAAGCGATTCTCCTGCCTGAGTAGCTGGGATTACAGGCGCCCACCACCAAGCCCTGCTAATTTTTATTATTATTATTATTATTTTTAGTAGGGACAGGGTTTCACCATGTTGGCCAGGCTGGTCTCGAACTCGTGGCCTCAGGTGATCTGCCCACCTCGGCCCCCCAAAGTGCTGGGATTACAGGCTTGAGCCACCGTGCCCGGCCTTAAGGTATCTAATTTGATAGCACACAGTTGTTCATAATAGTCTCATCATTTATTTTAATTTCTAAAAGGATAGTAGTAATATTTCATCTTTTCTGATTTTGGTAATTGGCATCTTCTCTATTTTTATCTTGGTCATTATAACTAAAGGTTTATCAATTTTGGTTGTCTTCTAGAACTGATTTTTGGTCACTGATTTTCCATATTACTTTTCTGTTTTCTATTTCATTGATTTCCACTCTCATTTTTCTTATTTTCTTCCTTCTGATTGCTTTGAATTTAATTGTTCTTTTTCTAGTTTCCTAAGGTAGAAGCTTAGAGTGGTTTGTGACCTTTCTTCTTCTTCTAATATAAGCATTTAAAGCTATAAATTTCCCTCTATGCACTGTTTTAAATGCTTCCCACAAATTTTGGTATACTGTGTTTTTGTTTTCATTTAGTTGAGGATATTATCTAATTTCCCTCATAATTTTTTCTTCAAAGTTTCTTAATTTTAAGTATTTGGTGAATTCCAAATAAAATTTCTTCCCATTGTTAATTTTAACTTTAATGCCCTTGTGCTTAGAAAAAAATACTTGCTATAATTTTACACTTTTTGAACTTATGGAGACATGTACTATGGCCTAGCCTATGGTCTGTCCTGGTAAATGATCCATGTGTGTTTGGAAAGAATATGTGTCTTGCTGTCATTGGTGTGGAAATTTTTATAAGTCACAGGTCAAGTTGGCTGATAATGTTTTTAAGTCTTCTATATCCTTATTGGTTTTCTGTCTTTTAAAAGCAGTTATTGGGCCAGGCGCGATGGCTCACACCTGTAATCCCAACACTCCACAAGGTCAGGAGATTGAGACCACCCTGGCTAACATGGTGAAACCTCATCTCTACTAAAAATATAAAAAATTAGCTGGGTGTGGTGGCATGCACCTGTAGTCCCAGCTACTTGGGAGGCTGAGACAGGAGAATCATTTGAAGCTGGGTGGCAGAGGTTGCAGTGAGCCAAGATTACACCACTGCACTCCAGTCTGAGTGACAGAGCGAGACTCCATCTCAAAAAAAAGAAAGAAAGAAAAAGAAAAAAGCAGTTATTTAGAGTAGAGTACTAAAATCTCTATGACTGCTGAATTGTTTATTTCTCCTTTCAATTATGCCAGGTTTTGCTTCATGTCTTTTCAGGCTCTGATTGGGTGCATACATATTTATAATCATGTCTACTTGGTGTGTTGATTATCTTATCATTTAATCAACTGTCTTTCTTTGTCCCTAGTTACATTTGTTTTAAAGTCTGTTTTGTCTGATATTGATCTAGCCATTTAGGCTGTCTTACAATTACTATTTGCACGGATATCTTTTTTCATCTTTTCACTTTCAATCTATATATGCCTCTGAATCCAAAGTGTATCTTTTGGTAGAAAGCATATAGTTGGGTCTTCCTTTTTTATCTAGTCTGGAAATCTCTGCCTTTTGGCTGAAGTATTTAGTCCATCTTCACGTTTAATGTAATTATTGATTTTGTGGATTTAAATTTGCCATTTTGCTAAATGTTTTCTATATACCTATATACTCTCTTTCCTCTATTCATTTTTCCATGCCTTCTTTTATGTTAACAAAGTGCCTTTTGGTATGCCATTTTCATTCTTCCCTTGATTTTTTAGACTATATTTCAAAAGATGTTTTCTAAACAGTGGTTGTAGGGCTTGCTTTGTTTATCACAATCCAGTCAGATTAATACTGACTTAATTCTGGTGAAATATAACAATGGTTAAATACCGAAAGCCTTCCCTCCAAGATCAGGAACAAAATTAAGATGCCTGCTTTCACCACTGGTATTCCATATTATACCAGAAGCTCTAGACAGACAAATTAGGTGAGAAAAATAAACAAAAGAAATTCACTTTGGAAATGCAGAAGTAAAACTATCTCTACTTGCAGATGACATGATCCTATATATATAGAAAATCCCAATGAATCCTAAAAACAAATACACAGTAACAACAAAATCAAACTACGGATAATTTTTAAAATCCAGCCAAGTGGCAGGATGCAAAATCAACACACACAAAAAAAGTTGTGCTTCTATACAACCTCAATGAACAATTCAAAAAGGAAATTAAGAAAATTGTTCCATCTGCAATAGCACCCAAACCAAAATATACCTATAATAATGTATCCAAGGAGATGAAAACTACAAAACTACATTGAAAACTATAGAATGTTACAGAAAGAAATTTTTGAAAACCTAAATAAATGCAAAGACAGCTGATGTTCATGGATTGGGAGACTTAATATTGTTACGATGACAATATTACCCAAAGTGATCTACAAACACAGTCCTTATCAAGATACCAATGCCCCTTTTTGCAGAAATAAGAAAGCTAATCTTCAAATTTATATGTAATTAGAAGAGGCCACAAATAGCTAAAACAATCTTAAAAAAGAACAACATGGCCGAGTGCAGTAGCTCACACCTGTAATCCCAGCACTTTGGGAGGCCGAGGTGGGCAGATCACCTGAGGTCAGGAGTTTGAAACCAGCCTGGCCAACATGGTGAAACCCCATCTCTACTAAAAATACAAAATTAGCCGGGCGTGGTCATGGGTGCCTGTAATCCCAGCTACTTGGGAGGTTGAGGCGGGAGAATCACTTGAACCAAGGAGGCAGAGGTTGCAGTGAGCCAAGATCGTGGCACTGCACTCTAGCCTGGGCAACAAGAGCGAGACTCCATCTCAAAAAAAAAAAGCAACGTTGAAGGACTCATACTTCCTGATTTCAAAATATACCATGAAGCTGCAATAGTCAAAATCGTGGGTTATGGCATAAGGAGAGATATATAGACCAATGGAATGGAATTGAGAGTTCAGAATCACTGGCCCATTCATTTTCAATGAAGGTGCCAAGTCCATTCCATGGGGAAGGAACAGTCTGTTCAACAAATTGTACTAGACATTCACATACAAAAGAATGAAGTTGGACCCTTACTTCATACCATATACAAAATTTACCACGGAAATTATTGAAGACTAAGTATATCAACTCGAAGTATAAAATTTTAGAATAAAACTGTTGTTGGTTGAATTATGTCCCCCAAAAGATATGTTGAAGTTGACACCCCCAGTAGTCATAAATGGGACATTTTAGAAATAGGCTATTTGCAGATGTAATCAAGTTAAGATGAGGATGTTAGGGTGGGGCCTTGTCCAATATGACTGAAGGACATATAGGAAGGGGAGAAGGGACACAGACATGGAGTGTGCATGTGATGACAGAGGCAGAGACTGGAGCCATGCACCTGCCAGCCACAGAAAGCCAAGGATTTCTGGCAACCACAAGAAGCTAGGAAGAGGAAAAGAAGGATCCTCCCTGAGACCCCTGAGAGGGAGCCTGGCCCTTCTGACACCTTAACGTCAGACTTCAGGTGTGCAGAGCTGTGAGAGAAAAACTTTTTGTCGTTTGAAACTGCCCAGTTTGGGGTACTTTGTGACAGCAGCCCTAGGAAACAAATACAGAAACATAGGTCAAGAAATCACAACCTTGGACTTGGCAATGGGTTCTTAGATACAACAAAAACATGAGCATCAAAATAAATTGGCCAGGTGTAGTGGCTCGTGTGTATAATCCCAACAGTTTGGGAGGCCAAGGCGGGCAGATTACTTGAGCCTAGGAGTTCGAGACCAGCCAGGGCAACATGGTGAAACTCAGTCTCTACAAAAAATACAAAAATTAGCCGGGCGTGGTGGTGTGCACCTGTAATCCCAGGTACTCAGGTGGCTGAGGCAGGAGGATCGTTTGAACCCGGGAGGCAGAGGTTGCAGTGAGCCGAGATTGCACCACTGCACTCCAGCCTGGGCAACAGAGCAAGACTCTGTTTCAAAAAAAAAAAATTAGCTGGGCGTGGTGGCGAGTGCCTGTAGTGCCAGCTACTGGGGAGGCTGTGGTGGGAGGATTACCTGAGCTCAGCGGGTCGAGGCTGCAGTGAGCCAAGATTGCACCACTGCACTCCAGCCTAGGTAGGTAACAGACCTAAATTGTCTCAAAAAAAATTGATAAATTGGGCTTCATTGAAATTAAAAACTTTTGTATATCAAAGACAATACCAAGAAAGTGATAAGAATGGAAGAAAATATTTTCAAATTATGAATTGATAAAAGCCTAGTATCCAGAATATATAAAGAACTCCTACAACTCAACAAAAAGCAAGCAACCCAATTTAAAAATGGGCAGAAGACTTGAACTGACATTTCTCCAAAGATAACATGTAAATGGTCCACAAGCACATGCAAGGATGCTCCACGTCATTAGTCATTAGGAAACACAAGACAGAACCCCAGCATCCATTCATCCCTCGCCAAAATGGCTGTAATCAAACAAATGGAAAATAGGTACTGGCAAGGGCGTGGAGAAAGCAGAGCCCTCGTTCATTGCTGGTGGGAATTTAAAATGACATACTCCCTGCAGAAACAGTTTAGAAGTTCCTCAAAAAGTTAAACAGGCCAAGTGCACTGCTCATCTTTAATCCCGGCACTTCGGGAGGCCAAGGCAGGAGGATTGCTTGAGCCCAGGAGTTTGAGATCAGCCTGGGCAACATAGCAAGACCCCAACTCTAAAAAACAATGTTAAACATAGAATTACCCTATGGCCCAATTACCACACATAACAACTCCACTCCTAGGTATGTACTCAAGGGATTGAAAGCTAGTGTTCAAACAAGTACATGTACATGTGTGTTCATAGCAGCACTATTCACGTAGCCAAAAGGTGGAAACAGCCCACATGTCCCACAGTGGAAAAATGAAACAAACTGGGGCATAAACATAGGATGGAAAAGTATTTCAACCATAAAATGGAATACGTGCTACAACACTGTCGAGCCTCAAAAACACAATGCTAAGTGAAAAAGCCAGACACTAAAAGTCCTATATTGTGTGATTCGATGTATAAGAAATATCTGGAACAGGCAAATCATACAGATGGAATACAGATTGGTGGCTACCAAGGACAGGGTCTGGGGTGACTTTTGGCTTGATGAAAATGTTTTGGAATTAGAAGGTGATAATGATTATATGGCATTGTGAATGTACTAAATGCCACTGATTTGTCTGCTTTAAAATGCTTAATTTAATGTAACGTAAATTTTGCCTTGATTTTTAAAAAGTGCTGTCCAGGTGTGGTGGCTCATGCTTGCAATCCCAGCACTTTGGGAGTCCGTGGCAGGACGATAGCTTAAGGCCAGGAGTTTGAGAAAAGCCTGGGCAACATAGCAAGACTTTGGTTATAAAAGAGAGATTTTGTTTGTTTGTTTTTTACTTTTTTTTTTTTCGAGACAAGGTCTTGCTCTGTTGCCCAGACTGGAGTGCAGTAATATGAACACAGCTTATTGCAGCCTCAACCTCCTAGGCTCCAGCGATCCTTCTTCCTCAGCCTCCTGAGTAGCTGGGACCACAGGCATGCACCATCATATCCAGGTAATTTTCTTTATTTTTTGTAGAGATGGGGGTCTCATTTTACTGCCCAGGCTGGCCTCAAGGGATCCTCCCGCTTCTCAAAGTGCTGGGATTACAGGTGTGAGCCACCACACCAAGCCAAAAAAGTTTTTAATAAAAGCTTCCGGCCGGGCGCGGTGGCTCACGCCTGTAATCCCAGCACTTTGGGAGGCCGAGGCGGGCGGATCACGAGGTCAGGAGATCGAGACCATCCCGGCTAAAACGGTGAAACCCCGTCTCTACTAAAAATACAAAAAATTAGCCGGGCGTAGTGGCGGGCGCCTGTAGTCCCAGCTACTTGGGAGGCTGAGGCAGGAGAATGGCGTGAACCCGGGAGGCGGAGCTTGCAGTGAGCCGAGATCCCGCCACTGCACTCCAGCCTGGGCGACAGAGCGAGACTCCGTCTCAAAAAAAAAAAAAAATAAAATAAAAGCTTCCATAACAGAATTTTCATTGGAAACTCTCATCTTTCATGTGAGAATGCCTTTATTTTATACTCTACATTTTTATTTGAGACATTGTTTACAAACTCTAAAATCCACAAATATTGTGTACAGCTGAATTATGTTAACATATTCTTTTTTCATTTTTTAAAATGTTATTTCTTGTAACATTGGAGTTACAATGAATTTTTAAAGCAAATTCCAGATACTATATTTCATCCATAAATATTTCAGTGTAGACAAACATTTTATTTATATATTTATTTAATCTTATTTTATTCTTTTAGTGGCAGGGTCTTGCTCTGTCACCCAGGCTGGAGTGCAGCGGCACAGTCATAGTTCACTGCCGCCTCTAACTCTTGGGCTCAAATGATCCTCCTGCCTCAGCCTTCAGAGGAGCTGGGACTACAGGCGTGCGCCACCATGCCTGGATAGTTTTTACTCATGAATAGTCCTGTTGCACTACCATCACCACCCTCCAAGATAAAGGACATTTCCTCACCAGAGAAAACTTCCAGTCTCCCCAGGTGACAAATCCGCCTTGCCAAGGTAAACACTATTCTGAATTTTGTCATCATTTAGTAGTTTTTCCTTTTCTTAAACTTCGTTAATGAAATCACACACCATGGATTCCTCTGTGCCCAGCTTTTTTCGCTGACTACTGTTTTTGAGATTCATTCATGTTGTTTCCATATCAGCTGCTCATCCTTCTTTTCCTGTTGTGAGTTCTTTCAGTGTTTGCACGCAGCAAAGTGTCTTCTCTCCATAGTCCTGCTAATAGACGTCTGGGTTGCCATCAGTGTTTAGGTCATGTGAACAAATCTGCAACAGATACTTACTGTGCAAGTCTTTTGGGGAATATAGGTACTTGTTTATCTTGGGTCTATGCTTGGTAGAATCTGTTGGCTGTGGTGTAGGGATAAATTCAACTTTATTGGAAACTGCCAAACACGTTTCTAAAGTGGTCATGCCATTTTTCAATCCCGTGAGCAATGTAGGAGAGTGCTAGTTGCTGCACCTCTTTGCCGATACTTGGTAGTGCCATCTTTTTCATTTCAGTTATGCTACTCATGTCATGGCCTCTTCTTGAGGTTTGCTGACTTGTAGGAGTTTCTTTATATATTCTGGATACATGTACTTCAACGTGTATTGCAAATATTTTCTACCGCACTGGCTTGGTTTGTAATTTTCTTTTTTTGTTTTCTTTTTCTTTTTTAGAGATGGGGTCTTGCTCTATTTCCCAGGCTGGTTTCAAACTTCTGGCCTCAAGCGTTCCTCCCACCTCAGCCTCCCAAGGTGTTGGGATGACAGTCGTGAGCCATTGCACCTGGCCAGCTTTTAATTTCCTTAGTAGTGTCTTTTGATGGGAAAAAGTTTTGGATTTTGATGAAGTCCAATTTATTTTTATATTAATATTTTGGTTTCACACATAGGGTCTTTTATATTCTGTTTATAAAGATTTGCCTATTGTAAGTTTACAAAGATAATTTTCAACATCTATTCTAGAAGCGTTTTGAATTTAATTTTTATATTTAGGCATAAGATCCATCTGAAATTAATTTTTGCATATGGTGTGAGGAAAAGGCCAAGTTTGAGCCAGCTGGTGGTGGCGTCATGCCTGCTGTGATTCCATGTGTGGCCCCCGCTGGGCCTGTGGTGCTGTCCATGGCCCTCTCCTGAGCACCGCCCTGCAGATGAGCGTTGTAGTCTAGTGGTCAGAGCCAGCATGGGCGCTCTGGAGCCTTTGCATTTCCACTTGTGTTTGGAGTCAGCCTACTCATTTCTACAAAATGCCTGCTAAGGTTTCGAATGATCCATTGTTTTCCATGGCTCTTGGTCCTGTTCCCTGAGACATCCTTTCTTCTGCATTCGTCTCCTTGGCTACTTCTTAAGCAGGCTTTGAAAAATGTTCATTCTGTCTATTTGTCATGGTGCCAGGATGTCTTAAGCTACAGGACTTACATACTCAGCTTTAAGTTTTGTTTGCTTTGAGCAAGTTAGATGGATGTTTTGGCCATTATAATGTGAAAACTCCTATTTCTTTGTAGTATTTCACCAATTTGTGTGTCTATGATAATTGTAAATACATGCAATATCTGTATTTCTCTTTTCAAATAAAATTCTTTATTTTATTTTAAAAAATTCAGCTAGGGCCTTACTATGTTGCCCAGGCCCAGGTCTCGAGCTCCTGGGCTCAAGTGATCCACCTGCCTTGGCCTCCCAAAGTGCTGGGATTACAGGCATGAGCCACCACGCCCGGCTCTACTGCTCCATTTTAATGCCAAGGAATAAGTGTTCTGGCAGCACAAATTGGTCCATGCGAGGTAACGTGGATACATTCAGGTTCAGCCAAAAATGTTTTGCATTTTTATGCTTCTTTCCTGCCAGCCCTAAGGAAGTCAGTGTTGCCTGAATGCTTTAATAAAACACATCCCTGTTTAAATGTATGCAACTGAGCCAGGTGCAGTGGTTCAAGCCTGTAATCCCAGCAATTTGTGAGGCTGAGGTAGGAGGATTGCTTGAAGCTGGGAGTTTGAGACCAGTCTGGACAACATAGTGAGACCCCATCCCTACAAAAAAGGAAATAAAATAAAATAATTAGCCAGACATGGAGGTGCATACCTGTAGTCCCAGCTACTTGGGAGGCTGAGGCAGGAGGATGGTTTGAGCTCAGGAGGTCCAGGCTGCAGTGAGCCATAATCACACCACTGCACTCCAGCCTGTAACAGGGCAAGAGCCTGTCTCAAAGAAAAAAAAGGTATGTAACCAGAGCAGGACCCTGTCTCAAGGAAAAAAAAAAAAGGTGTGTAACTGAAAAACAAATTTTTAAAAGGTCTTTTATATGTATTGCATTTGAGCAACTTTCTCAGACTTTCTTGAGGGCTTGGTGGTCTTTTGAGACTGTGAACATCTTGTGGCTCAGACTGGCGACAGTTTTACAAGTGCGGACCTCAGATTCCTATGTCTTCTCCTGACATCCTCGATGTGCCACCACTCTTTTTGAGGTAACACTTCCTAAATGTCATCGCCGCCTTTTTGGGTGTGTTAGACTGTTGAGGGACAGCACCCCGAGGGTACTTAGAGTCACCGTCATCCAGCAGAGGATGTCTACCGGGCACTTTCTTAATTCTTCCGAGGACTTAGCACAGGTGCCAACAGCCACACCCTCAGCGGATCTTTATTCTGAGCCATGTCTTGCTTGATTTTCTCTTTGCCCCTCGGCTTTATCTTGAGAATATTTTGCTAGCTAGAAAGACTTGCGAACAGAAACAGTTTAATTTTCCAACCCAGAAAACCGCAGCCCCTGTCTTACAGGGGTCAGTAAACTACAGATGAGGAGTCAGATCCACTCCATTGCTTGGTTCTGTGTTGTCTGTGAGCTTAGGATGGTTTCTACACTTTTGTTTTTAAAATCTTATTTTATATTTTGAGACACAGTCTTAGGCTAGAGTGCAGTGCGGTGATCATAGCTCACTGAGGCCTCAAACTCCCAGGCTCAAGCAGTCCTCCCACTTCAGCCTCCTGAGTAGCTGGGACTATAGGCGTGTGCCACCACACCCAGCTAATTTTTGTATTTTTTGTAGAGATGGGGGTCTCACTATGTTGCCCAGGCTGGTCTCGAACTCCTGGGCTCAAGCGATCCTCCTGCCTCAGTCTCCCAAAATGCTGGGGTTACAGGTGAGCCAGTGTACCCAGCCTACACTTTTAAATGGTTGGGGCGGAAAAGAACCCAAAAGAGGAATATTTCATAAAACATGAAAATTATTTAAAACTCAAAATTCAGTGTCCCTACATTTTTCTTCAAGCATATACATGCCCATTTATTTACATATTGTCTCTGGCTATTTCCATTCCACAACAGGAGAGTGGAGCAGTGGCTGCAGAGCTGAGATGGCCTGCAGAGCCTACGGTGTCTACTCTTTGGCCCTTTACAGAGTTTGCTCACCCCTTCTTCACTGTGTGTCCTCTACAGTTGTTTGAAAATTGGCATCTTCTCTTTCGAGTTTCTCTCTTTTCTGTAGTGCCTTATCCTCAGCTAGAACCAGCCACTTGGCTTTCGTCATTCAGCCTGGAAGTCACCTTGCAAAGTCTCTCAAGTTCATTAAACATATTTTATACCTTCCATGTCTCCATCAGCAACAGTTTGTGCCACTTCATCCCCCAAGCCACCATCTTCCCGACCTCCTATATCAGTTTTCCCTTCATTTTTCCAGATTCTACTGTGAGTGCTGCTAGCCACCAGCTTCCAAAACCAAGACGACGTTTTTGGTATTTTAGAGAAGCCTCTAATTCCTAGATACCATTTCTGTATCATTTTATCTATTGCCACAAGAATGCTGCATTATAAAGAGTGAGCAGGCCTGGTTCACCCAGCAACGGGCCTTTACTGAGCTCAGGCAGTTGTGGGTCGGTGATGTAACCTGTGGGTTCTTCTGGTTTGGCTGAGCTTCTCCCATCAGGCTGCTGGCTGGCCTGGGATAGCCTGAGCTGGGGGGCTGGACTCTGCCCCATGCAACTGTCTCCATCCAGCAGGCTGGCCTAGCTGCACCCCTCAGCAGTGGTGAAGATTCAAGACAATGAGAAACAAGCACTTTTCCAAGCCCCTGCTTAAATCCCGTTGACCAAACCACGTCCGTGGCAAAATTCAGATCCAAGGACTGGTGAAATGTGACACCGCACCTCGATGAGAGGAACCGCAAGACATATGGCAGAGGGCACCCATGTGGGAAAGGCGGGGAAGGGGACCCACTAGTGCAGTTCATTTCCCCTGAACTTGTATTTTACTACTCAGCAGTACAAACACTTTAAATAGCGTAACTCCATTTTCTTCTTTAACCCCTTATACTTTTGTTCTGCATTTTTCTTCTATACATTATATTGGCATGAATGCTGCTTTAAATCCAGTAATCCTTGACCACATTTTTCACTAGTCTTTCATTTTTAACCACAACCAGGAAAGGGTTGACCCAATGCCCAAATTCAGTTCACCCAAAACCAGGACCACCCACCTCCCAGTAACAGCCCTCAATCTCCAGCTCCATCTCACAAATGTGTGCATCCTCCTCCTCTCTGCCAGGGCATGTAAGCAGGCAGTTGTCTTAGTCCATTTGTGTTGCTGTAAAGGAATACCTGAGGCTGGGTAGTTTCTAGAAAAGAGGTTTGTTTGGCTCAGGGTTCTGTAAGAAGCATGGTGCTGGCATCTGCTTCAGGGCCTCAGGCTGCTTCCACTCATGGGGAAGGGGAAGGGACCACATGGCCAGAGGGGAGGGGAGTTCCCAGGCTCCTTTTAACAACCAGCTCTCTCTGTTGGAAGCCAGTAGAATGAGAACTCACTCCCCCCACCTCCACAGCACTGATCTATTCATGAGGGATGCACCCCCCAGGACCCAAATGCCTCCCATTAGGCCCACCTCGAACATTTGGAGTTGAATTTTAACATGGGATTTGGAGGGGACAAACATCCCAACTATAGCAGCAGGGCAGGCGAATAGTGCCTGCAGGTCTATCTGTGATCTATAGGCCCAAGTCATATCCATGCTTCAAGGTACTCTCATTCCAGGAAAGCTTTCCCAAATTCAGCTCTGCCCTCTCTCCCTTCTTAGACACTGAATGCCATTTCATATGTCTGGTGTCTGTCCATCTCTGTTTGTTTGGGGCACAGAATTGGATTCATTCTAATTCTCAGATCAAAAAAAAATTTACTCTACATTTGTTCCTGCATGGTGCTCTTTCAGTGTTTGCTTGCTTATAATAATATGGACACCAATCCAACAGGGAAACTAGAGCATTGACAATAACGTATCTGCTTTTGTGGCCCTGCCCCATCTGGCCTTCCACCTCTCCTTCTCTGAGGGAACTTCTTTTTTTTTTTTTGAGATGGAGTTTCACTCTTGTTGCTCAGGCTGGAGTGCAATGGCGTGATCTCTGGCTCACCGCAACCTCCGCCTTCTGGGTTCTAGCGATTCTCCTGCCTCAGCCTCCTGAGTAGCTGGGATTACAGGCATGTGCTACCACACCTAATTTTGTATTCTTAGTAGAATACGGGGTTTCTCCATGTTGGTCAGGGTGGTCTCGAACTCCCAGCCTCAGGTGATCCACCTGCCTCGGCCTCCCAAAGTGCTGGGACTACAGGTGTGAGCCACCATGCCCGGCCTCTGAGGGAACTTCTTACCATGCATCTTTGACAGACAAGTCGTGGTAAGTATATCCATGGATTCCCAGGCCTTTACAGAGAATCCGTTGCCCTCAGGAACAACAGCCCACAGATTGGAAAGCTCCAACCTTGATCAAAGGAGCAGTAGACTTCACCGTCTCTAATGAGGACCGGCCTTTATATTCTCCTAACACCCTGAGACGGACACTAGGAATAGCCTTGCCCTTTCTATGAGACATGTGTAGCCTTCTCTTGGCAGAATTAGTAAAAAAGCCATCCATACATAATGTAGCACAGGGCTCCAGGATGCATAAATGAGCTGCAGGCCGCAAGACTTGGTTTACGATGCTCCAGTCAAGGCCAGAAAACCAAACGTAACTGAAAAGTAGCCCTCATATTTATTTGGGTCACTTAGATGATATTACATGATATCCAGTTCCACAACAACACATATTTCCTCTTTCATTTTCCCTCTTCTCCCATTCTCCCACACCCAACAAATCTTTGAACACACATAAACACACAAAAACAAAAAACAAAAACCAGCCGGGCGTGGTGGCTCACGCCTGTAATCCCAGCACTTTGGGAGGCTGAGATGGGTGAATCACCTGAGGTCAGGAGTTCGAGACCAGCCTGACCAACATGGAGAAACCCCGTCTCTACTAAAAATACAAAATTAGCCAGGTGTGGTGGCGCATGCCTGTAATCCCAGCTACTTGGGAGTCTGAAGCAGGAGAATCGCTTGAACCTGGGAGGCAGAGGTTGCAGTGAGCCAAGATCACACCATTGCATTGCACTCCAGCCTGGGCAATAAGAGTGAAACTCCATCTTAAAAAAAAAATGTCAAACAAACAAAAAACCAACCAAGCACAGTGGCTCAGGCCTGTAATCCCAGCATTTTGGGAGGCCGAGGCAGGTGGATCACCTGAGGTCAGGAGTTCAAGACCAGCCTGGCCAACAAGGTGAAACCCTATCTCTACTAAAAATATAAAAGTTAGCCGGGTGTGGTGGTGCGCACCTGTAATCCCAGCTACTCGGGAGGTGGAGGTTGCAGTGAGCCAAGATTGTACCAATGCACTCCAGCCTGGGTGACAGAGTGAGACCCTGTCTCAAAACAACAGTAACAACAACAACAAAACAAACAAAAAACCCTCTGTGTTACTTTCAACTCCCCAGACTGTTCTGTCCTGATTTGACTCTTCATGGAACACTCTTTTACTCTGTCTGACATCTTTTGTTTTAACTTTTATAATCGTTTCTTTTTTGATATAAATATTCAGGAAACCAAACACAGGATTGGGGTTAGGGCTAGGGGTTAGGCTTAAGGTTAGTGTTCCTTCAATATGTGGTGGGGATCCTCCCCAGTGAGACCTGGGCTCCTCCCCATCTGTGGTCGGGACTTCATTCATGGGTCATCGGGGTTACTCCCTGTCTGATCAAGGCTTCCTCCCCTACCCCCCATGAGTGGTGAGGTTTCCTCCCTGTGAGTGGGCAAAGCTTCTCCCTACGTGTGGTGGGGCTCCTTCCTCTGAGTGGTCAGGGTTCCTCTCTATGTGCGGTGAGACTCCTCCCTATGTGTAGTCAGGACTCCTACCTGTGTGGTGGGACTCCTCCCTATGTGTGGTCAGTGCTCCTTCCGGTTTGTGGTGGAGCTCCTCCCTACATGTGGTGGGGCTCCTCCCTATGTGTGGTCAAAACTCCTCCCTATGTGTAGTGGGGCTCTTCCCTATGTGTGGTGGGGCTCCTCCCTATGTGTGGTGGGGCTCCTCCTTATGTGTGGTGGGGTCCTCCCTATGTGTGGTCAGGGCTTTTCCCTATGTGTGGTCAGGACTCCTCACTGTGTGATGGAGCTCCTCCCTATGTGTGGTGAGGGCTCCTCCTCATTTGGTGGGGATCCTCCCTCTGAGTGTTCAGGGTTCCTCCCTGTGTATGGTGGGACTCCTCACCATGGGCAGTGGGGCTCCTCCCTATGTGTGGTCAGGACTCCTCCCTATGTGGGGTGGGGCTCCTCCCTATGTACGGTCAGGGCTCCTCCCTATGTGTGGTGGGACTCCTCCCTATGTGTGGTGGGACTCCTCCCTATGTGTGGTCAGGACTCCTCCCTGTGTAGTGGGGCTCCTCCCTATGTGTGGTGGGGCTGCTCTCTATGTGTGGTGGGGCTCTTCCCTATGTGTGGTGGAGCTCCTCCCTATGTTTAGTGGGGTGCCTCCCTATGTGTGGTCAGGACTCCTCCCTATGTGTGGTGGGGCTCCTCCCTATGCGTGGTGGGGCTCCTCCCTGTGTGTGGTGAGGCTCCTCCCTAATGTGTGGTGGGGCTCCTCCCTATGTGTGGTGGGGCTCCTCCCTATGTGTGGTGGAGCTCCTCCCTATGTATAGTGGAGCTCCTATGTGTGGTCAGGACTCCTCCCTATGTGTGGTCAGGACTCCTCCCTATGTGTGGTGGGACTCATCCCTATGTGTCATCAGGGCTCCTTCCTACGTATAGTGGGGCTCCTCTCCATGGGCTATCCCCTTGGTGTCCACTGTGGGGCAGGGATCCCCCCACCCCACACGAAGCAGGTGCTGCCCCCTCACGGGAGCCCTCCTCCCACAGGTGAGACCTCAGACGAGCTGCAGGAGATGCAGCTCCCGCTGATCCTGGAGCCCTGGTGCCACCTGCTCTACGGACACATGTCCTACATCATGCCCGACATGCTGTGTGCTGGGGACATCCTGAATGCTAAGACCGTGTGTGAGGTGTGCCCCTCCTGGTCCATGAGACAGAGGTCATGGGTGCCCTGTGCCTGTGGACCCCACAGGACCCCACTCTGGCCTCCCACTGACTAGCAGGAGCCCTGCAGCCATGCCCCAAGCTGAGCAGGGCGATGTATGACAATGTGTGAACGCCGCATGCCTGCAGCAGGCCTCCCCTGCAACTCTGGGCTGTGTTGCAGCCAGTAGGGAGGCTGGGTGAGAGGGGGGCACTGGCCCCTTCCAGCAGGGTCTGCACAGCCACCCCCTTGCACCCTGGGGGACAGGTGCAGGAGGCGGCAGGCCTGGGACTCCCAGTTCACAAAAAACTCCCTCTTCCTTTCTAGGGCGACTCCGGGGGCCCACTTGTCTGTGAATTCAACCGCAGCTGGTTGCAGATTGGAATTGTGAGCTGGGGCCGAGGCTGCTCCAACCCTCTGTACCCTGGAGTGTATGCCAGTGTTTCCTATTTCTCAAAATGGATATGTGATAACATAGAAATCACGCCCACTCCTGCTCAGCCAGCCCCTGCTCTCTCTCCAGCTCTGGGGCCCACTCTCAGCGTCCTAATGGCCATGCTGGCTGGCTGGTCAGTGCTGTGAGGTCAGGATACCCACTCTAGGATTCTCATGGCTGCACACCCTGCCCCAGCCCAGCTGCCTCCAGACCCCTAAGCATCTCCTGTCCTGGCCTCTCTGAAGCAGACAAGGGCCACCTATCCCGGGGGTGGATGCTGAGTCCAGGAGGTGATGAGCAAGTGTACAAAAGAAAAAAGGGAAGGGGGAGAGGGGCTGGTCAGGGAGAACCCAGCTTGGGCAGAGTGCACCTGAGATTTGATAAGATCATTAAATATTTACAAAGCAAGCCTCTGAGATCACCTGTGTGGCTCCTTCCGCCCCTGCCGGAGTCGTTGTCCTCTTCCATGCACAGAAAGGGGGACTATCACCCCTCCTGAGGCTCTCAGAAAAGGAGAAGCACAGGCCGAATCAGCTCTTTCCAGAAACAGAGGGGCGATGACACAGACACACTCCTCTGAATCTGTGGGATGTGGTCAAAGCCCAGGCCCAAGGAAAGGTCATTGCTTACATGCCTACGCCTGTACATATAAAACAGCTGCAGACATTTAAACATCCAATTGCAAAAAAAAAAAAAAAAGTGTGTGTTGTGGGGGTAACCGGAGCTGAAAGTAGACACAAGGAAGGAACAAACACGATAGAAGCATGAAGGAGCCCCAAGTCAGAAAAGCACCGAAAACTCATATTTCAAAAGTCTGCTCCTTGGAAAATATCAAACAGTGGACAGGGGTTGGAGAGATCACTAACCTACCCAACACAGGAGATAAGAACAAAAATACACAAAATGAGAAATGACAAGTGAAAATGATCCATCAACTGAGACAAGGTAAGAAACCACACGAGAGAGTGTACAACTCTATATAAATTTAAATGAAAAGCAGCACTTTTTAGGAAAAAAAGTTTACTAAAACTAACCCCAGTAGAGAGGTTTTAGGCTGGGCACTGTGGCTTATGCCTGTAATCCCAGCACTTTGGGAGGTCAAGGCAGGAGGATCACTTGAGCTCAGGAGTTCAAGGCCAGCCTGGGCAACGTAGCAAGACCCCTGTCTAAAAAAATGAGTCGGGCATGGTGGTGCACACGTGTAATCCCAGTTACTCTGGAGGCTGAGGTGGGAGGATCGCTTGAACCCTTGAGGTTGAGGCTGTAGATATGATCATGCCACTTCACTCCAGGCTGGACCACACAGTGAGACACTGTCTCAAAAAAAAAAAAAAAAAAAAAAAAAAAACAGAGAGAGAGCCAGAGAAGTTTTATTAAATAGACCAAATTTTTATAGAAGAAATTGAGACATTTAAGAAAGAATATCCCCCCCACCCCGGTAAGTTTTTGGGGAGTCAAAAGCTATATATGGATTTTTTACTGCATGGGGGGATACCAGTAACCCCAACATTGTTCAAGTGTCAACTGGACTTTCTTTTACAATTTTAAATAGTTGCCCTAGAGTTCACAATAAAGAATTACAATTAATCTATGTCCACTTTCAAAAAAACACTACCATTTCCCAGGTAGTATCTCATCTACTGATGAGACATCAATAGCATGCTTCATTTCTGTTACAGTGGTTTTGAGTTCTAGCATTTTTTTTTGTTTGGTTGGTTTTTGTCTTCACATTTTATTTTTATTTTCGTAGATTTAGGGGTGCAACTGCAGTTTTGTTACATGGATATATTGCATAGTGCTGAAGTCTAGGATTTTAGTGTAACCGTCACCCAAATAGTGAACATTTTGCCCATTAAGTAATTTCTCCTTCCTCATCCCCGTCCCACCCTCCCACCTCTCTGAGTCTCCAATATCTATTATCTGCTTTCTATATCCATGTGTACACATTATTTAGCTCCCACTTATAAGTGAGAACATATGCTAATTGACTATTTCTGAGTTGTTTCATGTAGGATAATGGCCTCCAGTTCCATCCATGTAGCTGCAAAGGACATGATTTCATTCTTTTTTATGACTAGTATTCCATGATATATATGTATATTTTCTCTATCCAACCATCTGTTGATGGACGCTCAGGTTGATTTCCTGTCTTTAGCATTTCTTTTTATTCTCTGAGTTTCACTGCTCTGCTTTCAGTGCCCCTCTGTTCTTCTATGTGGCCCACTTTTCCCATTTCAGCCCTTAGTATATTAATCCTAATACTTCAAATTCCCAGTCCAATAATTCCAAAATGTCTGCCCTATCTGAGTTTTGTTCTGATGCTTGGTCTCTTCAGGCTGTGTGGGGTTTTTGTTTTGCTTATTTTGCCTTTTAGCATGCCTTGTAACTTTTTGTTGAAAGCTAGATATGACGTATTAAGTAAGAGGATCTGAGGTAAACTGGCCATTGGTGTGAGATTTATCTGACTAGCAATTAGGCTGTTTACCGCCTCCTGAAGCTGTGGTGTTTGAGTCTGAACTTTCCCCTAATGATGTTGTTTTTGTCTCCTCTGTTGTCTTTGGGTCTCCCTGGAGACTCCTTCTTAAATAAACAAGTAGCTCTTTCTGTAATCCTCTGATATTACATAGGAACCCCACGGATGTAGTGATAAGGTGTGGGGATGAGGAAGCATTCTTTAGTTCTGTGGTTAGGTCTCAGTCTGTTAGTGAGAAGGTCACCACCCAAGTGTTTTTCTTGCCTTCACTTTCCCCCCTTAAGTGTGATGGAAAAATAATGGGCTGCATTGGGTATTTCCCAACATTCAAGGCTAGGGCAGGCTGGATTCCAGTATTTCCCTTGCCATGGGTCAGACTGATAGAACCCAAGTCAGTTAGGCTCTGGTTAAATAGTTTCCCTTGAGAGCAGGCTTTGGTCAATGAGAATAGACAGTGCTGGGCATACTTAAAATTGGCTACTTTTCTCCTTGCTCTGCCACAAACGCTGGGGGATTCTTCTCTGCTCTTCACCCTGAGAGCCTGGTGTAGCTTCCAGGACTAAAACTCATAAAAGTGTGAGGACCCCTAAAAGTGGGCCCTAAGGGGTTTTAAGCTCTCAACTTAGCCCACGCTTAGTCTCCAGCAGTTCATCAATTACCCTTTAAGTATTTCCACTGGTGCTGACTCTGCTGGGGCTTCTCCTCCCCGTAAGCTGTGATTGTCTCTGTCCACCTGTCTGTCTCTCCAGTGTTCAGGGAGGTATTTTGTTCTGTGACCTCACTTCTCTTATGAATTTAAGAACAGTTGTTGATGTTTAGTTTGTTCACCTTTTTTCTTGTTGTAAGGATGGGAGTGATAACTTCCAACCTGTTTACATGCCAAAACGGAAGCTAGATGTCACTCAGATACTTCTATAAAGAGACATCTCGTCTTCTACTATTTGGTTGCCTAGTGACAAATTTATATAGAAAAGACAATGTCTTATTCTTTTCTTTAGAAGCTCTTGAGATCATGTGATTGTTCTTTTTCACCATCTAAAGCGGGCCAATTAGCTTTTAAATGTTTTTTTTAGGTCATGGATTTAAATGTATTTGATGGGTTTCAATTCATTGCAATTATTATTTCTATGAAAGCTCAAATTGCCCCATATTTGTACAACAGGAGCTTTGCCAGCTTGGTTCCTGAGTCCTTTTAACAGTGCTGGGCATAATAGTACTAATGGTATCTGCTAGCTTTCTTTTATATGGTTTGACAAGATGTTCAGGCTCATCTGGTCTATTTCCTGCCTAAGACCTAGAGTCAGTCATTCCCCCAAGAAGTCTTGTTTTTTTGTAGTCAAACATAGTATTACAAGAGCACGATCTGAGTGCTCGGGAGATCATTGCACTGAAGTTGGGATGTAAATTCCAATTTAAGTCCAGAGCTACAGAGTTTTTACTTATATTCTTTTAAAAAAAAAGCAATCTGTAGTTTGTATTCCATATTGAAAATACTTTCATCAGTTCTAACAGTTTTAGCGTTTTGTGGGGGTTTTTTGGGTGGAGCCTTTAGGGTTTTCTATATATGAGAAATAAAATGTCATCTGAAAACAGAGACCATTTCATTTCTTCCATTCCTATTTGGATGTATTTTATTTCTTTTTCTTGCCTGGTTTCTGTGGCAAAGACTTCCAGTACCATATTAAATGGAAGTGGTGAGAGTGGGCATCCTTGCCATGTTCTTGATCTTAGAGGGAAATTTCAATTTTCATCATTGAGCATAATGTGTTTCTCAAGGAGGTGATAGCCCATAATTATTCATTTGTTTTGCCACACATTCACAAACAACAATCTCATAATCACATAATTAATGTGAACACTACCAATATGATGACTGCAAACAGCTCAGATGTTTTGGTATGGCCTTTGTTTCCTCGCAGTCTTTAATATTTGTAACTATACTTACATCGCTGGAGCACATGCCAATTATGTTCTCTTCCCTTTAACTCTCATTTAGTGTTAGTGCAACAAGTGACTGTCTATTTAATTCTGGTCCTTGAATAAATGTCTCTTATGGATGTTTCAGGAAGGGCTCATGGAAGCAACCTTCCCTGATTTCCTACAAGTATATCTGTGTTCGTTTTATTCAAAGGGCAGTCTTCCTGGATATAAGTACTTGGCTCCCTTTTTCTTTGAATAAGTATCTTACATGTGGAACTCCATTTTATTATAACATTGAGGCTTGTTGTCAAAAATATCTGATATTAATAATTCATTGTCATCCCAGCACTTTGGGAGGCCGAGGTGGGCGGATCACCTGAGGTCGGGAGTTCGAGACCAGCCTGACCAATATGGAGAAACTCTGTCTCTACTAAAAATACAAAATCAGCTGGACGTGGTGGTGCATGCCTGTAATCCCAGCTACTCGGGAGGCTGAGGCAGGAGAATCGCTTGAACTAAGGAGAGGAGGTTGCAGTGAGCTGAAATCACGCCATTGCATTCCAGCCTGAACAACAAGAGCGAAAATGCATCTCAAAAAAAAAAAAAAATTTGTTGTCTTTCTGCTATGTCATTGGTCTTAGTGTTGATCTTTCTGAATTGATTCCCAAGTAGATAATGTGCTATTTTAATACTAATATAACATTTCAAAACTTTTTCTTTTTTTCTCCAAAGTTTACTGACTCCAGGTTACCAGCCCTTGTTAAAGTTATATAGACTTGGGTTTCTTGTTTGTTTGTTTTTAGTGGCTTATTTATTCATTTATTTTTGTAGAGAAGGGTCTCACCATGTTGCCGAGGCTGGTCTCAAACTCCTGAGCTCAAGCAATCCTCCTGCCTCAGCCTTCCCAAATGCTGGGATTACAGGTGTGAGTCATCATCACACCTGGCTTCAAAACTTTTCTTAATTTAGGAAAAGTTTTAATTATATTTTATTATTTGTTCTAGTATCTGAATCTTCCTTTCTTCTTAGGAATTCTATTAGTTTTTATTTTAAACTCTTCTGCCTACTTTATTTTTAATCAATTTTATCAAACTTTACTTATCAATTTCCTTGGGTCTTTCTTACCCTTTTCTTAATTCATCTTTCGTTTTTAAAATTGCCTTCCTGTCTGCTAGCTTAATTTTCATTTATGAGATGATTTTTTAAATTTTAATATTTTCCTAAGTACTATCACCTCATTTCTATGTTTTTCTAATTCTGACTTATGCTGTTTTTTCATGTCTTGTATCTTTTTTTTTTTTTTTCCGAGACAGGGTCTCACTCTGTTGCCAAGCCTGGAGACAGTGGTGCAATCATGGCTCACTGCAGCCTCAAACTCCCGGGCTCAGGTGATTGTCCCGCCTCAGCCTCTCAATTAGCTGGGACCACAGGTTTGTGCCACCATGCCTGGCTACTTTTCTTTTTTGTAGAGACAAGGTCTCAGCATGTTGCCCAGGCTGGCCTCAAATTCCTGGGCTCAAGTGATGCTTCTGCCTCAGCCTCCCAAAGTGCTGGGATTACAGGCGTGAGTCAGCACACCCAGCCATTTTCTTTTTTTCTTTTCTGAGATGGAGTTTCGCTCTTGTTGCCCAGGCTGGAGTGCAATGGCACGATCTCGGCTCACGGCAACCTCCACCTCCTGGGTTCAAGCGATTCTCCTCCCTCAGCCTCCCAAGTAGCTGTGATTACAGGCATGTGCCACCACGCTCGGCTAATTTTTGTATTTTTAGTAGAGACGGGATTTTGCTATTGCTGTCAGCCAGGCTGGTCTCGAACTCCTGACCTCATGTGATCCGCCCGCCTTGGCTTCCCAAAGTGCTGGGATTACAGGTGTGAGCCACTGCACCCAGCCCAGCCATTTTTTTTAATCTGTTTTGAAATAGTAGATTACAGTTTTCATCTCTTTTGAGTGCTTCTCTTTCTGGCATGCTTTCTTGTCTGTAGGGGTATTATTATTCTCTTTTCTCTTGCAATAATCTTGCAGAAGATTTGATCTCAACACTTTTGCATTGCTTGTGTTTGTGAGAAATTAAGTCTTTCTGAGCTTTTATAAAGAAGCATACTTTAGGATAATATCTTTCGTTGTCTTCCTGTACCATGCATAACTGTGGCAGCTTATTTTCCAAAATTCCCTGTCTCCATTTCCCGCTTTGACTTTTTTTCCCGCCCTTCTCTTCATTTTGTCACTATTGTCCATAACCTCCCCTATTTTGCCTCCACTGCCAATGGGGTCTCCTCAATGGGACCTGGTCCCAGAAGGGAGGCTTGGGGGGCCCTCCAGCACCACCGACTCCCTACCCAAGCTGTGCCTTCTGTAGTGTGGGCTACTTGTCTTATGCTGGCCCATGTGTAAGCTGCTGCTGGCTCTCTAGGGATCTCCTATCTCCAGGCCCTCGATGCCGCTTCCACCGAGCAACACTCTTAAACATGTTGCAGCTGTTGGTGGTTTACCTTTCTCTGCTTGTAATGTGGGAAGTAGGAGAAGCCTTATCACCTAATTTTATTGTGAATGTCGTCTGTTTCTTTTACTCTCCAGTTGCTCTTTAAAAAAAACAAAAAAATTGAGACAGGGTCTTGCTCTGTCGCCCAGGCTGGAGTGCAGTGATATGATCACAGCTCACTGTAGCTTTGACCTCCTGGGCTCAAGCAATCCTCCCACCACAGCCTCCAGAGTAGCCGGGACTACAGACATGCACCACTATGCCCAGCTAATTTTTTAGATTTTTTAGTAGAGACAGGGTCTTGCTGTGTTGTCCAGGGTGGTCTCAAACTCCTGGCCTCAAGCCATCCTCCCACCTTGGCCTCCCAAGGTGCTGGGATTACTGGTGTGAGCCACCACACCTGGCCTGCTCTGTCTATTTTATGTGGAGATTCAGAGAGACCTCAATTCTATGTCATTGCCACTGCCACTTCCAGAATTCCTCGTTTGTTTTCAACAACCATTGTTATTTTCTACTCACACACATATATTTACTCTTTAGGGTCCTCTCTATAGAAGGCATTTATCCAAGGAAGAGTCGTGACTCACATATATTTACTCTTCAGGGTCCTCTCCATACAAGGCATTTATCCAAGGAATAGTCGTGAGCATTAAATACAGTCACTTGATGTACTAATAATAAATGAGAATGAGACGGGAGAGACAGTAGTGTATAACAGGATGTGCTCCAGTGGTGTAATGATAGTTACAAATATTAAAGACTGCAGGGAAACCAGAAGACCTCTTCTCCATTCCTTCTTGCAGTCCAATGCTTAAATTTGGGATCACTGCCTTTACATGAACTTCTACCATGGCGGGTATGAAAAGGGAATGGAGTGATAGCTACGGTGGGGAATATGAAAAGGGAATAGGGTTGGAGGGGACTCCCTGGAGCTCAGAATGTCCTCGATCTGACTCCAGATAGTTGTTACAAATGGGCTCACATGCACACAGATTCATTGAGCTGCTCCCTTAGAGTGTCCTCTTTACAAACGTAAATGAACACTGATCATAGAAAAATGGTATTAATAATATTTAACGAGGTTTGGGAAAAATAGAATTAGAATACTAGATATCAAAATGTAAAATTGCGGTGGAGGGAGTAGGGCTAAGGTGTTCTAAGGTCTTGTATTATCCAGGGTGAGAGTAAAGATTTTGATTAACTTTAGACTTTAAAGACTATATGCTGTAATTTTAAGACTAATCACTGAAAGAACAGAAACAGAGTTTGTCATTGTAATTAATAATGGAGGAAGTGGAGCACTAAAAAAATTTTTTAAAATCAGCCAATCCACAAGAAGGCAGGGAAAAAGAGAAAATGTAGAAAAGCAAGAAAAAATAGAAAGCACAAAATAAGGAGGTATACATAAAAACCAAAACATCAGCAATTACATTAAACTTACAATATAATACAGTTAAAATCAAACATTGTCAGGATGGTTACAAAAAAAGAAAAGAAATGCTATTACAATAGACATACCTAAAACAAAAATTAATTATAAATTTATTAAATAGAAATTTAATGTATGATAGAGAGGGCCAATAAGGTTAAAATTTGGTACTTTGAAAGAACTGTTCATTTTTCTAAGTCTTCAGATAGTTGTGTTTTATATTTTTATTTTTATTTTTTACATATTTTTTGAGACAGGGTCTTGCTCTGTCGCCCAGGCTGGAGTGCAGTAGTGCAATCTTGGCTCTCTGCAACTTCCACTTCCTGGGTACAAGTGATTCTCCTACCTCAGCCTCCTGAGTAGCTGGGACTACAGGCGTGTGCCACCACGCCTGCTTAATCTTTATGGTTTCGTAGAGATGGGGTTTCACCGTGTTGCCCAGGCTGGTCTCGAACTCCTGGGCTCAAGCAATCTATCCACCTTGGCCTCCCAAACTGCTGGGACTGCAGGCTGTGTCTTTAATATTTTATCTAGTTCTTAGTTATTTATGGGAAGGTTGAACTGATAGGAACTACGTAGCCATTAACAGAAACAGAAAGTACATTCATTAACTCACAGAGAAAAAAAATCATATGATTATCCCAATTAATGCCTTTATAAGGTTCAATATCTATTTATGATTAAAATATATGTAGGGCAAACTTGAAATATCAGGGAAATTTTCTGCCTTGGCAAAGGCTACATTTAATATCCAAGAGCAAGCATTATACTTTTTCTTGAAAAAGCAAGGTATAAAAATTTTTAAAATAAAAGTAAAGCATTATACTTTTGTAGAAAGTTTCAATTCTCCTAAAGACTGGGAACCATATAAGAATGTGTTAGATATCATATTGGGCATGTTGACCAAGTAGAAGAAAAGGGCTGGAAGAGAAGAAATGAAACTAATGTTATGGCAGATGATGGGATGATCTATCCTCCTAGAAAAATCTGCAGAATCAACAAACTCTTCAAACATTTTTAAATTCAGCAAGTTTGCCAGATACACAATCAACCTACAAAAGTCAGTTACATTTATTGCCATAGCTAGTAAATATAATCACAAAGAAAGAAAACAAAACCGTGAAGTATACATAAAACTCCTATGGAAAAAGCACTCCCACTCTAAGGAAAGGCAAAGAAGAGGAAACGAGACATCCCATGCTCTTGCATGAGACAATGTAATATTAACACATGTCTAGTTTTTCTCCAATAAATCCATATATTCAAAACAATTTTAACCAAAATTTCAATTGGATATTTTTGAAAGAACTCCATAAATTTAATCTGGAAATGTATGTGGTGGAACAAAAGGTCTGTAAATAGCTAAGTCAACCTGAACGATAAGTATAAAGTTATGAACACCTACTTCAAAGCTGTGGTGGTCTTAGTAAGAAAGCTTCTGCTTTGATGAAGGACAAAAAGGCCCGTGAGACAGAACAGAGCTCAAACAGATGCACAGTGAATGTGCTCCCCAGACAAGGAACAGCCAGGCTGCTTAGTGTAGATCATATCAGGAAACAGGGCTTGCCGTAGGGAGGAAAATAAAACTGGGTTTTACCTAACATCGCCCTTGAAAATGGCCACAGGGCCAATTAAAGACCTAGATACAAAACTTAAAATGGGAATCAAAAATGCAGAACATCTTTGCAACCAAGGACTGGAGAAGAGTCTCTCACATAGAGGCTCAAAAGCACAAACCATCTGAGGAAAAAAGGTTATTTAATTCCAGCAAGTCAAAGAACTTTTTTTTGAGACAGGGCCTCACTGTGTTGCTCAGGCTGGAGTGCAGTGGTACAATCATGGCTCACTGCAGCCTCGAATTCCTGGGCTCAAACGATCCTACTGGCTCAGCCTCTTGAATAGCTGGGATGACGGGCACACACCACTACACCTGGCTAATTGTTTTTAAATTTTTTGTAGAGGTGGGGTCTTGCTATGTGGCCCAGGCTGGTCTCAAACTCCTGGGTTCAAATGATCCTCCCACCTTGGCCTCCCAGAGAACTTTGGAAAGGCCAGGCCACTGGCACATGCCTGTGGTCCCTCCCAGTGCTTTGGGGGACCAAGTCAGGAGGATTGCTTGAGCCCAGAAGGTGGAGACTGCAGTGATCTGTGATTGTGCCACTGCACTCTAGCCTGGGCGATAGAGCAAAGACCCTGTCTCAAAAATAAATAAATAAATAAAATTTAAAAAGAGAGCCAAAAGTGGTAATAGCCCAAGTGTCCATCACCTGATGAATGGATAAAGCAAACATGGGCCATCCACACAGTGGAATAACATTCAGCCATCAAAAGGAATAAATGACTCAGGCCACAATGTGGATGAGCCTTGAAAGTCTGATGCTGAGTGAAAGAAGCAAGACTCAAAGGGCCGCAGAGTGTGTGATTCCACTTTGGACAATGTCGAGAATAGGCAAAGCCCGAGAGACAAAAAGCTAGCTGGTGGTTGTATAACTGTAGAACCAGGCCAATCTGGTTCAACTTTTATATAACAAAATTGTGAATTGTTTTTCAGTTGTCATGGACCCCAGATTGCAAGTTACCTGAACACATCCAGGTGAACCAAGCTTGCAACCACAGGCAGAACCTAAGTGCTAGACCAAGGAACAGGGTAGTGAATTAAGAAACTGACACCACAGGCCGGGTGCAGTGGCTCATGCCTATAATCCTGTACTTTGGGAGACCGAGGCGGGCACCCTAGCTCTCTTTTGGTATGATTTTCATGGGTTATCAGGAGTTCAAGACCAGCCTGGCCAATATGGTGAAACCCCATCTCTACTAAAAATACAAAAATTAGCCCGGCATGGTGGCGCGTGCCTGTAGTCCCAGCTACTCGGGAGGCTAAGGCAGAAGAATCACTTGGACCCGGGAGGCGGAGGTTGCAGTGAGTCGAGATCACGCCACTGCACTCCAGCCTGGGTGACAGAGCGAGACTCTGTCTCAAAAAAGAGAAAAAGAAAAAGAAAAAGAAACTGACACTGCATAACGGGATCCATGCTCCAATCAGATTAAGCCCCGGTGTCACCCCATGGCGGGATCCAATCAAATCGCGCCTCTCAACATCACCTCATTGCAAGATCCAATCAGATCATGCCTCATTACCCTCTTTATGAAACCTGCCTCAGATCCCAGCTCTGGGAGACAGATTTGAGCACTTCCTCCTGACTCCTTGCCAGTCAACACACAGTAAAGCCTTTCTTTTCTCAAAAGCTGGTGCCATAGTATTGGCTTCCATGCATGTCAGGCAGCAAGCCCATTACTCAATGACAGCTGTTAGGGGATGAAGGGAAGGGAAGGCAGTGTGATTGCTAATGGGTACAGGTTTCTTTTGGGGGTGATGAGAAGATTCTGGAACTAGACAGAGGTGGTGGTTGCACAACGTTGTGAATGCACCTAGGGCCACCAAGCTGTTCATTTTGAAATGGTTAATTTTATACACAAAGCTCACCTAACAAAAAGAAATGCAGTCACACAAAATGATTATGCACACATTGCAAGAATGTATTCCAGTAAAAGTGCACCTTAAAAATATGTAAATGATTACCTCAGGTAGAGAGGGAAAGGAGAATGAATGTGGCAAAAGATAGCCATAAAGAAATGCACAGATGCTGGAAAAAATAAAAAAAGAAATGCACAGATAAGTACCTGAAAAGAGGTGTGGCCTGCCCAGATCGGCAAGACCAGAGGGAAAAAGGAAAAAAAAGAATGCCGATGTCCCTGTCCCTCTGCTGGTCAAGTGGCATGGCTTGTGAGGCTCCTGTGCTGGTGAGACCTGGGCCAGGCTGGGGTGGGGAGACACCAGACCCAGGACGGGAGTTGGGGAAGGCATGGGTGGGGTCCGTCAGCAGAGGTATCTCCTCAACCCTCCAAGGGGCTTTACAAAGGCAGGTGCCATCGCACTCTGTTTTTCTTCTTGGACTTGAGATTGTGCAGGCCTGTCCCTTGGCATGCCCAGTAAGTTGTACATGCACTCCAGACCCTTTTGTATACAAATTGTACAGGAGCTATACAGTGGCTCATGCCTGGAATCCCAGTACTTTGGGAAGCCAGGGTGAGAGGCAGAGTTTGCTTGAGCCCAGGAGTTCAAGAGCAGCCTGGCAACATAGCAAGACCTCGCCTCTAAAAAAAATTTTAAATTAAAAAAATTAACCGGGCATGGTGGTGTGCACCTGTGGTCCCAGCTACTTGGGAGGCTGACGGGGTAGAATCGCTTGGGCCCAGGAGTTTGAAGGTGCAGTGAGCTATGACTGAGCCACTGCACTCCAGCCTGTGTGACAAAGCAAGACCTTGCCTCTAAAAAAGCAAAAGAAGAAAAAGTTGGACAAGATGCGATGACATTGCTTATGGGATGTGCCAGAACTGGCAAGTGCCTGGGAGAGGCCTCTACAGGTCCACAGCTCACCATGCCACCCAGCTTTCCACTGAGGCCAGGCTGTTCCCCAGCACCCCTCCCCACTGTGGTCTTTGTCCTCCAAAGACCATGCAAAGACCTCCAATGACCATGCAAATGCTCATTTTGATGAGCACCCACAGGTGCCTTCAGAGAGCTACTGATGCCTGCCCCTTCTTGGGCAGGGACTGTCAGCTCCAAAGACCTCTTTCAGAAAGTGACCTGCAACCCTGATCCTCCAAATTCACTGGCTAGGCAAGTCCCATGACCACACCTTGCTCTGGAAGGGGATGGGTCAGGTCCAGGGGAGGAGTCCACCTGTGGGCAGATGAGGGTCAGAGAGACTGGGACTGTCTACACCTGCTGCTTGGGGTGCCTGAAGATTCTAGGGTTCACGATCCAGCCTTCTCTTCTGTGGATTCCAGGATCCGCCTCCCCGCCCACCCCTGCGGGCATGGTGGGCATCCTCAGCCTGCTGTGTTTATGCAGAAAGGTGTTCCTGGGACCCTAAGGCCAGCAATCCCATGCAGTTCCCAAGCGTGGCTTTCTCATCTGTAACTCACAACTTTACAAAGTTACATCTGCAACTCTCAAATGATTTTCCTTCAAGGACAGACCAAGGGGCGGCCTTTTTCTGGTGGTGGCATCCTGAAATCTCCCACCACCAGGGAGCATTTCTCTGACGTCCAGGAAACTGAACTTCCCAGGACCCCAGTAAATTCGCATGGACTTCCCAGTAGATCCCTTCACTGCCCAGTAGGGCAGGCAGTGCCCAGAGACCCACCGGTGTGAAGCACAGTCATGGCATGGTGACACTGGGTTTAGGGGTGCTGAGATTGGCAGTGGCAAAAGGCAAGTTGAATCTGGGGGTTCCCCAATCTTTCATTTGTCTTGAGCATTGGAATGCCCCCACTAATAGAAGCTACCAGAGAGACCATGTCTATGCACAGATCACAGGTTGCAGAAAGCCCGGCCCATGGGGCTCCCTCTCACACTCTAGCCAGGCCCCACAGGGGCACACGGGGGACAAGGCCCAGCAGACTGCAAGGGCAGAGGCTTCACCATGGTGCCTGGCGGCCTGTGCACTCCAGCATTGGGCCTAGCCACCCAGCACTCGGCTCTGGCCGGGCACTAGGGCCTGCTGCTTGTGGGCCCCTTGGGGGAGGTCCTGCAGAGTGGACACATCTACTCCTGCAGGGGCTGCCTCCAGGGGAGACCTCCTGAGGGGCCTCTGCTTTGCCACCCAGTGCTGGGAATGCCACGCACACTGTGCAGAAGAACCTCAATCTGCCCTTCTGCAGCCTATGTCTATTCCTGAGATAGTGGCAGGGAAACGTGCTTCCTACACCAGCATGATCTTCCCAGATCCAGCCCCTGGCCAGCTTCCGGTGAACAACTGGCCATGAAATCCAGACAGACCGTAGTGTCTGGTGCTTGGGGTGAGGGTTTAGGAGACAGGCAGGTGCACCTGCTCCTAACCCACAGCAAACTCTTCTCTTTTTTTCCAGGTGAACTCTAGGACGCCTGAGTCTGTAAACTGAACCACATCTGGAGATGTTGTTCACAACCTGGAGATGTGAGCTGGGATGACACAGCTGCAATCTCCCTGGGGTCCCCGGCATTCGTGCCAGTGTCTCTTACTGCATAGAATCAATCCATTTTCATTGCTGTGTCCCACCGCTTCTCCAGGAAGGCTCCAGCAGGTGACATCCGCTCTCCTGACCCTCTCAGTGCCTCAGTGCCTCAAGGTCCCCTGTGTCTGTCATGATCCAAGGGCCTCTCCCCGTCAGGAGGCCTCCCTGGAAGCTGCCCATCTCATGCCCTCCCCTGGCAGTGCATGCTCTCACTCAAATCACTTTATCTTCTGCCCACCCCTGCATCCACCATGGTGGTCAGGAGCCTCCCCTGAAGTGTGAAATATCCTCTCTGAAATGTGGAGGGCAGTACAAAGGCTGCGACATTCTTCTAATGGCAACTGTGGAAGGACAGGATAGATAGAATGACGGGACATAACACCTGCAGATATAATGGACAATAATCTTCCATTAATGAAGAAAGTATGTTTTCCACTTGATAAATCCCACTAAAGATGTAGATGCATATTTTTAAGTTCATATTTTGTACATCTTAGTAAAACTTTGGAAAACCAAAAATAGATAGAAAAATCTTAAATGCTGAAAATAAACAGAAGGAGATTCAAAGTGAAATCAAGCTAATAAGGAACATACTGAATACCAAAAGAAAGTAGGGTCATATCTTCAAAGACAAAGGGAAAATAATTGTGAGCCTAAGTTTCTACACCCAGTCAAGCCAACACACCTGAGTGAGAATGAAATGAAAGTGTTTTGTCAGATATAAAAGGACTTAGAATGGACACTACAAAAACTGAAGGCCACTGAAAGTCACTACAGAATGTACACAGTGAGGAGAAAACTGAGCTCACACATACGTTCTCTGATTACAGTGAAGTTGACTAGAAATTAATAACAGAAGGATATCTAGGAAATCTCTGTGCGTTTAAAAATGGAGAAATGCACTTCCAAATAACCTATGAGTCAAAGAGGATATTAGAAAATAGTTCGAACTGAATTTTTTTACCCAAACTAAATTTTTTAAAAGGAAATAAAAAAAATAAAAATAGGGAACATCAAAACCTGATCTACAAGAACTACCCTACGAGAAATGCCAAGGGGCCCTTCAGGCTGAAATGAAAGAACACGGGACAATAATTCACAGCCACATGGAGAGATAAAGCGCACTGGTTCAGGTGCCTACAATGGTAATATGAAGGCCAGTAGAATTGTAAGGTTTTTTGTAATTCCTCTTCTTTCCCTATATGATTTAAAGGACAAATACATGAAACAACAATTACAAATATATGCTAATGGGCATACAATATATAAAGATGTAATTTGTGACAATAATAAGGAAGGAGGAATAGAACTGTGTAAGTTCAGGGTTTTTGTATACTATTGAAGTTAAGTCAGTATTAATGAAAACTAGAACATTATATTAATAAGTTTAAGGTGTTAATTGTAATCCCCAAGGAAACCACTAAGAAATAACTAAAACATATACAAAAATGTAAATGAGAAGGGAACCAAAATGATATACCAAAAAAAAAAAAAAAAAAAAAAAACACCTCAAACTAAGCAGAAGGCAGTAATGGAAGGATTGAGAAACAAAAAAAAAGAAACATTTCTAAAAATAATAAAATGGTAGTAGTCTTTTCTTATCAGTAATAATTTTAAATGTAAATTGCTTAAATTATCCAATTAAATAGCAGAGATTGGCAGAATGGATACCAATAGCAACAAAACCCCAACAAAACAAAGCTTATGGTTCATCTATATGCTATCTAGAAGAGACTCCTTCAGATCCAAAGACACACATAGGCTGAAAGTGAAAGAACAGAAAAAGATAACCCATGAAAATCATACCAAAAGAGAGCTAGGGTGCCTATACAGACAAATTAGGCTTTAGGTAAAAAACAGTTACGAGAGACAAAAAGGGACATTATATTCAAAGGTTCAATCCATCAAGAAGAGACAACAACCATAAGCATATATACACCTAACAAGAGATCTCTAAAAAACGTGAAGCAAAAATTGACAGAATTGAAAGGATAAATAAAGTTTCACAAGAATAAAGATTTCAATACTCCACTTTCAATAATGGATAAAATAACCAGACAGAAGATCAATATGAAAATGGAGGACTTGAACAATACTATAGACCAGCTAGACCTAGTAGATATATACAGAACACTCCATCCCCAGACAGCAGAATATATATTTTCCCCAAGCACACATAGAACATTCTCTAAGATATACTATATGTTAGACCACAAAACAAGTCTTAATAATTTTCTAAAAGTTAAAATTATCCAACTTATCTTCTCCAACCACAATGGAATGAAACTAGAGATTAACAACAGAAGGAAAACGAAATTCACAAACACGAAAATTAAATGACATATTTTAAAACGATCAATAGGTCAAAGAAGAAATCACAAGGGAAATTAGAAAACATTTTGAGGTGAACAAAATCAAAAACACAAAATATCAGAAGTTGGTTATGCAGCAAAATCGGTGCTCAGAGAGAAATGTATAGCTGTAAACATCTACATTAAGAAAGAAGATCAGTCCAGTGATCTGGTGGAGTTGTACAAAAAAAGAAAGAGAGAGAGAAAGAGAAAGAAAGAAAGACAAAGAAAGAAAGAAAGAGTCAGTTAATACAGTTGAAAAAAAGAGAAGTATAACAGTAACCTAGCTTTTCACCTTAAGAAACTAAAGAAAGAAGAACAAAGTAAACTCAAGCTAGCAGAAAGAAGAAAATAATAAAAATTAGAGCAGAAATAAAAAATAGAAAAATAGAGAAAATAAATGAAACAAAAGTTGGTTATTTGAAAAGATTAACAAATTTGCCAAACCTAGACTTTCTAAGAAAAAAAAGAGAGAAAATTCAAATTGCTAAAATCAGAAAGTGGGAACATTACTATTGACCTTAGAGAAATAAGAAGGATTGTAGCGGAATGCTATGAAGAATTGTACACTGACAAATTAGATAACCTCGGTGAAATGGACACATTTCTAGAAACACAGAAACTACCATAAAGGCCTCAGGAAGAAATAGGAAATCTGCACTGACCTATAATGGGTGAAGAGCTTGAGTCCATAAGAAAAGCCTTTCTAACAAAGAAAAGCTTAGGACCAAGTGGCTTTACTGGTCCTAAGGGAAGTGCTGGGTGCAGTGGCTCAAACCTGTAATGCCAGTGCTTTGGGAGGCTGAGGTGGGAGGATTGCTTGAGGCCAGGAGTTTGAGACCAGCCTGGGCAACATAATGAAACCCCATCTCTACAAAAATAATTAAAAATTAGCTGGGCGTGGTGGCGTGCATCTGTAGTCCTAGCTACTCAGAAGGCTGAGGTGGGAGGATTGTTTGAGCCCAGGAGGTCAAGGCTGAAGTGAGCTATGATTCTACCATTGCACTCCAGCCTGGGTGGCAGAGCAAGACCCTATTTCTAAAAAATAAATAAATAAAAATAAAAAATAGCACCAATTCCTCTTGAACTCCTTTAAAAATTAAAAGAGGGAAGAACACTTCAAAACTCATCTTATAAAGCCAGTGTTATCCTGATACCAAAGCCAGACAAACACATCATTAGAAAAGAAAATTAAAGAGCAATATTCCTTGTGACTATATATATGAAAATTTTCAACAAAGTACTAGTAAAATGGAATTGGAATATTAAAAGTATCATACACCATGAGCAAGTGGGATTTATTATAGGACCCCCAGGGTGGTTCAAGATACAAAAAATTATCGATGTGAAACACCATATTTATAGATAAAAACACCATATTTATAGATAGAAACCATAAGCATCTCAAGTGATGACAATAAAAATTTAAAAATCACTTGACAAGAGCCAATATCTTTTCATGATTAAAAAAAACAAACTCAATAGAATGAGCATGGTGGCTCACATCTGTAATCCCAAGGAGGCCAAGGTGGGTGGATTGCTTGAGCTCAAGAGTTTGAGACCTGCCTGGGCAACATGGTGAAACCCCATCTTTACCAAAAATACAAAAAAATTAGTTGGGCATGGTGGCACATGCCTGTGGTCCCAGCTACTTGGGAGGCTGAGGTGATAGGATCTCTTGAGCTGAGGAGGCAGAGGTTGCAGTGAGCCAAGATCACACCACTATGCTCCAGCCAGGGTGACAGAATAAGAATCCATCTTAAAAAAAAATACCACTTAATAAACTAGGAATAGAAGGAAACACCTTCAACACAAAAAGGGCATATTTGAAAAATCCACAGCTAAGAGCATAATCAATGGGGAAAAACTGATAACATTCCCCCTGAGATCAGGACAAGACAAAGATGCCTGATTTCTCCACTGTTATTCAACATTGTACTGGAAGTTCTAGCCACAGCAATTAGACAAGAAAAAGAAAACTCATTAAAATTGGAAAGGAAGAAATAAAACTATCTCTATTTTCACATGGCATTGTCTTACATATAGAAAACAAAGGATTTAAAAAGACTTATCACGGCTCATAAATAACTTTGGCAAAGCTACAGGATAAAAATCAGCATGAAAAAAATTGTATTTGTATACACTAGCAATGGACAATCCAGAAAGGAACTTAAGAACACAATTCTGTTTTCAATAGCCTCTAAACAATAAAATGCTTAGAGAAATACATTTTATCAAAGAAGCACAAGACTTGCACACCATAAACTACAAAACATGACTGAAAGAAATTAAAGAAAACCTAATAAATGGAAAGACATCCCATGTTCATGGATTGGAAGGTTTAATATTGTTAAGATGCCATTAGTCCCCAAAGCAATCTACAAATTCAATGCAATCACTATCAAAATTTCCCTACTGTTTTTGCAGAAGTGGGCATGCTAGAATATGAGACCAGAAAACCACTGGCTGGCACATTCCACAGGAGGGCCTGAAAAACACTGCATTTATCAAGAGCATACAGCATGTCCCAAATGGCTGTCCTCCATGGGAGATGCTTTTCCCAAATGGGTGGGAATGTTGGGACTCTGGAAGAGTAGTAGCCAGGGCAACACAACTATCAGAAGCAGCATGGGCATAATTACCATTATAGTCAGCAAAGTCAGAACAGCAGCTATAGGAATCTGACCTTTGAGTGTCCATGGAAATAAACTGAGTGAGAACTTGGTGTTCCTGGAGCAAGTTTGACAGGCAGCCAACAAGAGTATCACTAATCTATAAAATGGGAAGTGGTCACTGATGAACAGAAGGCTGAGGTCAACCATCCTAGTGGAGACTCACAGTCTCTTCCCTTGCTTCCAGTTCTGAAACAATTTTCAGATCCAGAACCTGGGTCCCTATGAGGAGAGACCCTACAGCTCCTAGAAAGACTGTACAGTATTGATCCCACATCCCTTCCCAGTGGGATCTATGGCCACTTCCACGGTAATCCTATCTTAGGTAAAGGGAAACCCCTAGATACTTCAAGGGCTGTTGAACACAGGGTCCAAATGGAAACTGACCACTGTGGATCCAAATGGCCCATGCTACTACATTGCATAGGTGCCCAGAGCAAGAAAGGGCTCCAGGTGCAGTAAGAGCAGACACACCTCCAGGTGCAGGTTCCAGCTGCAGTACAAGCAGACCCACCACTTGGATGGCATGTCTCAGCAGATTCCATGGTACCAGGTAGATTTAAGGTAGAAACAAACCCTGTGTGGGGCATCTGACCAGCCCCAATAGGAGGTGGGCAGGGCAGCCCCTCCCCTTGAGCCACTGTTAAAATGCTGTCCTGGGCATGCCACCAGAGCTTAGTAGAAATCAGGCATTCAGCCAACTGACCAAGTGACCACGTGGCTGAAGCTTCCCCAGACGAGGTGAGTACTGACAGACCCACTAAGTCATAAACTTAGGTGGGCCCAACTTCTAACCATTGTGATACATAGGGATTGTGTCCAGACAGGTTGAGAGGGCACAGTAACCTACACAAACAGGCAGCCCTATCCTCTGTGTCACCTGCTAGTATTGTATGGATGCCTTTCCTCAGTTCACCCCTGGCCCCACGGGGGTCCTTAAAACCGGCTGACAGAGAAGGAGGAAGCCTTGAAGTCAGTGGTGAGGGGAGCTTCCCAATGGTGGAGCTCCCAGCAGGGCATTTGGGCATCCACCTTGTGCGAGAGAGAAGTGGTCCAAGATAAGGCTGTAGGGAATACATCTAGTGAAAGATGAGCTGCAAATTGCTTAACTGGTTGGTCAGGAGACTGGAAGGAGCAACTTCCAGAAAAAATCAGGGACAAGAAGATTGGAGAAGAGACACCCAGTGGACTTATGGAAGTGGGTACAAAGTGTGAGAACATTTCATTGCATGCTAAAGCCCAACTGAGACCATCCACCACAGGAGAGGCACCCAGCCACTAGAAGGACATGATGACAGGCCCAGAGACATCAGCACATCAGCAAGCCTATGTCCCCAGCCATCCTGTGAGCCTCCATGAGGTCATGGAGCAGCCCAGAGGGCAGAGAGGGAGACCAGGCATGAGCCCTCCAGGGTGGGCTCCCTTCCTCTCCCCAGACTGACTTCACTGATGTTGCTGCCCCTGAATCTCCACTTGCCAGCAAGAGAGGCCAAAGCTAAGGCCCTGTGCAGTACAATCTTTTGAAGAGACCAACCAACAAATTTGGGGGCAAGTTTATCACCTTGGACAAAATTTTATTCTGACCAGGACTGACATATATCCCAAGAATGGGTTTGCCTCTCTGGCCTGCAATGATTCAGCCAACACCAACCTCTGACAGCTCATGAAGGTCTGATTGACATACATGGGATCCCACCGAGCCTCATCAAGGGATCACTTTTGAAGCAAGTGAGCAATGACAGAGTGCACATGTTTTGCAGTGGGCAGATCTATGCACACCTATCCCCAAAGTCTGAAGAAGTTGAGAGGCCAAAGAAAGAGGCTGACATGTGCTAAGTAGCAAGAGGAAAAAAAATATAGGTAGATGATAGATAGATAGACAGATAGATATAGAGATGATATAGATATAGATATAAATATCAATACAGAAGAAAGAGGCTGACAAATCCAGTCAGTCTCTCAAGAAGAAACATTTAATAAGGACTTACAAGCAGAAGCCAGGTCTGTGTCATGGTGGCGGTGAGACAAGATGGTGAGTCCCCATACCATTCCCCCTAGACCCAGGGCTTACATAAACAGGGAAAGAGTATACATGATTCAGAAGAGCTGTGTGGGACAACTGAAGTATGATAACATTAAGGTTGTTTGGCAAAGGGCAGGATTTATGGTAAGTACCTGCTCTTACACAAAGAACAATAAAGTGAAAATCTTAGACACCTTCCCAGAACTGAGGTTAAGTGGAAGTCAACATGGCACATTGGCATCCAAGATGGAGCTGCTTTAACTCCACAGCATGTGACCATGGGATCCATCAGCCCCTCTAGATGCTGCACCATTTGGAAGCTGCCAGCTGATAAAGTGATGGGTGGATTGTCCTCTTGAAGGTGCAGCTGAGACTCCATCTTGGAGGTAAAGCCCTATGAGGATAGGGTGCTAACTTTCAGAATATGGTATAGACCTTCAACCAATGGCCACTGTATGTGGTTGTCTCCCCAGATGGTAGGATATATAGATCCAAGAACTAAAGGAAAGACACAAGAGTAACTCCATTCACTATCTGTCCCAGTTGGAGAATGTGAGCTTCCCATCCCTGCAACCTAAAGTTTTGTGGGTCCAGAGATCTTGGTTCCTGATATATTTTGGATGTTTGTTGCCTCCAAACTTCACATTGAAATTTGATCTCCAGTGTTGGATGTGAGTCCTAGTAGGAGGTGTTTTGATCATCTCTCATGAACTACTTGGTCCCATCCTCATGATAATAAGTGAGTTTTTGCTCTATTAGTTTCCGTGGGAGCTAGTTGTTAAAAGGGGCCTAGGCGCACCTCCCTTCTCTCTCTCTCTCTGTCTCCCTCTCTCACTCTGTGATCTCAGCACAAACCAGCTCCCCCTCATTGAAGGGGTGGGTTGCCCCTCCTCACCTGTGGGTGTTTCTCGTTAGGTGGAACGAGAGGCTTGGAAAAGAAAAAGACACAGAGACAAAGTATAGAGAAAGAAATAAGGGCACCCAGGGAACCAGCGTTCAGCATATGGAGGATCCCGCCAGCCTCTGAGTTCCCTTAGTATTTGTTGATCATCTGTGGGTGTTTCTCTGAGAGGGGGATGTGTCAGGGTCACAAGACAATAGTGGGGAGAGGGTCAGCAGACAAACACGTGAACAAAGGTATTTGGATCATAGACAAGGTAAAGAATCAAGTGCTGTGCTTTTAGATATGCATACACATAAACATCTCAATGCTTTACAAAGCAGTATTGCTGCCCGCATGTCCCACCTCCAGCCCTAAGGCAGTTTTTCCCTATCTCAGTAGATGGAACGTACAATCAGGTTTTATACCAAGACATTCCATTGCCCAGGGACGGGCAGGAGACAGATGCCTTCCTCTTGTCTCAACTGCAAGAGGCATGCCTTCCTCTTATACTAATCCTCCTCAGCACAGACCCTTTATGGGTGTCGGGCTGGGGGACGGTCAGGTCTTTCCCTTCCCACGAGGCCATAATTCAGACTATCACATGGGGAGAAACCTTGGACAATACCTGGCTTTCCTAGGCAGAGGTCCCTGCGGCCTTCCGCAGTGTTTGTGTCCCTGGGTACTTGAGATTAGGGAGTGGTGATGACTCTCAACGAGCATGCTGCCTTCAAGCATCTGTTTAACAAAGCACATCTTGCACCACCCTTAATCCATTTAACCCTGAGTTTGACACAGCACATGTTTCAGAGAGCATGGGGTTGGGGGTAAGGTCATAGATTAACAGAATCTCAAGGCAGAAGAATTTGTCTTAGTACAGAACAAAATGGAGTCTCCTATGTCTACTTCTCTCTACACAGACGCAGCAACAATCTGATCTCTCTTGCTTTTCCCCACACCTCACCTTCCATGGGTGGAAGCTTTCTGAGGTCCTCACAAGAAGCAGATGCTGGCACTGTGCTTCCTATACAGCTTGCAGAACCATGAGTCAAATAAACTTCTTTTCTTTACAAATTACTCACCCTCAGATATTCTTTATAGCAACACAAATGGACTAAGACAGTTCCCATAGGGAGGAAACACCCACCAGGAAATGCAGCAAGATTCCAGCGGACTTACAGCAGCTGCTTCCACCTGATCACTTTAGGCAGAGAAAGGAGTCACAATGACAGCAGGGCTGATGGACATGGCACCATGAGTCGGGGCTGGTGACACGCCATGGGGGAAGGGGTGCTGATGAATGTACTTGATGTGCAATGTCCCTTGCTCTCCCTGTGCCATAGCCCATGAAGGGTCACAGACTCCTCAGGGATGAGGCCCTGGGCTGCTGCACTGGGTCATCTCCATCAGCAAAGGGAAGTGGGCCGTGGTGGTGGAAGAGGGAGATGAGCATCTGTTATGGCCTCAGGACGACCTGCAGCAGCTCATCTGTCTTTTATTATCCCGCTGACTCTCCATTTGAACATCTTCTCAGGAATTGGGACCCACCAGAACCCTGAGGAAGCTGGGCCAGATGGAGTGCATTTGGTCAGGGAAGCCAGGATGTGGTGGATGCTGTTGGTTTCCTGCCCAGATCCTCTCCAGCTAGCAATGCTCCCTGTGCCAGCTGTGGTGAGTGTTGGCTGCCAGCCCCTCACAGCTGTCCTCAGAAGTGTCAGCCTGAACCAGGTGGAGCACCTGGCCTGGGAGGCCCCATGCCACTGCCCACTGCAGACCAGACCATGGTCATGAATGACCTGGCAGGAGGTGCACAGGGCAGCTGCCTTGCCCGAAGATGACAACAACTTTGCCAGCTGCTCTTGGGCACGAGGTTTCCTGCAGGCTCCAGCCGAGACCACATCCTGCTTAGTTTTCCTCCTCTGTCCTGCCCGCCACTTTGCTGCTGTTCTCCTGAGAACACACCCTTGCTCAGTAAATCTGCTTTAACAAAACCAATAAACTCAACCTAAAACAATTACCATTTCAATAATTTTTTAAAAATCATGATTGATAATAGACAATTTCATCATCTACTTAGGAATAAATCTAGCAAAATGTGTGCAAGATCTCTACCCCACAAAGCTACAAACGATACAGAGAAAAATTAAAGAATCCTTCAATGAACAGAGCTGTGTCATGATGCCCCTCCAAAATTCATGTGTTGGATACTTAATCTCATTGCAGCAACGTTGGGAGGTGGGGCCCAAGGGGAGGTGTTTAGGACCTGGGGGCTCTGGCCTCATGAATGGATTGATGCCTCTGTAAAAAAGCCTGTTGGGAGTGGGTTTTCTCTCTTCCGCTCTTCTGCCATATGAGGACACAGTAAAAAGTCCCACATTGGATGCTGGTGCCTTGATCTTGGACTTTCCAGCCCTCAAAGCTGGGAGGAGTACATTTCTGTTCTTTTTTTTTTTTTTTTTTTTTTTTTTATTATACTCTAAGTTTTAGGGTACATGTGCACATTGTGCAGGTTAGTTACATATGTATACATGTGCCATGCTGGTGCGCTGCACCCACTAATGTGTCATCTAGCATTAGGTATATCTCCCAATGCTATCCCTCCCCCCTCCCCCGACCCCATACATTTCTGTTCTTTATGAATTGCCCAGTGTGTGGTGTTCTTTTACAGTAGCACAAACAGACTAAGGCACATAGTCAGGAGTTGGAACACTCAGTATTGTAAGGCGCCAACGCTTTTCAAACTGGTCTATAAATTAAATGCTATTGCAGTAAAAACTTCATTGTGTTGTGTAAATTGATCCTGATGCTAAAACTTCTATAGGAAAAAGTAGTCAAGACACACTTGAGGCAGAGAAAGGAGTCACAGTGACAGCAGGGCTGATGGACGTGGCACCATGAGTTGGGGCTGGTGACACGCCATTGGGGAAGGGGCACTGATGAATGTACTTGGTGCCTGATGTCCCCTGACAAAAGAAGTCAAGACATACTTGAAGAAGCAGAACAAGGTGGGGTGACTTCCTCTGTGGGATATTAACAAAGCTACGGTAATTAAGACAGAGGACATTGGTGTGTGGATAAACAAATAAGCCCATGCAATAGAATAGAGAGCTGAGAAATGGTCATATCTGCATATGGACACGATGCAAAACCAAAATGATTCTGCATGGTAGTGAAGAAAGAAGTGTTTTCAACATTTATATGGAAAAATAATGAAACTTGACCTCTATCTCCCAACTTGTCAGTTCCAGGTACATTTAGGTCCAACTGTGAAGACAGAACAAAACTTGTAGAAGAGAATATAATGTATTTTCACAACCTCATCATAGGCAGATATTTCTTTAAAAGGATGCACAAGTTAGCAAGGCATGTTGGCAGGCACCTGTGGTCCCAGATACTCAGAAGGCTGAGGTGGGCAGATGACTTGAGCCCAGGAGGTTGAGGCTGAAGTGAGCGATGATTGTGCTACTACACCCCAGCCTGGGTGATAAAGCAAGACCATGTCTCTAAACAAAAAATATTTAAAATTAAAAAATTAAGGGGACCTGGCAAGATGGCCAAATAGGAACAGCTCCAGTCTGCAGCTCCAAGCAAGAGCAACACAGAAGGTGGGTGATTTCTGCATTTCCAACTGAAGTGCCTGGTTCATCTCACTGGGACTGGTTAGACAGTAGGTGCAGCCCACAGAGGGTGAGCAGAAGCAGGGTGGGGTGTCGCCTCACCCAGGAAGCACAAGGGGTTGGGGAACTCCCTCCTCTAGCCAAGGGAAGCTGTGAGGGACCCTGCCATGAGGAACAGTGCACTCCGGCCCAGATACTATGTTTTTCCCATGGTCTTCACAACCCACAGGCCGGGTGATTCCTTCAGGTGCCTACACTACCAGAGCCCTGGGTTTCAAGCACAAAACCGGGTGGCCATTTGGGCAGACACCGAGATAGCTACAGGAGTTTTTTCATACCCCAGTGGCACCTGGAACACCAGAGAGACAGAACTGTTCACTACCCTGGAAAGGAGGCTGAAGCCAGGGAGCCAAGTGGTCTAGCTCAGCAGATCCCACCCCCATGGAGCCCAGCAAGCTAAGATCCACTGGCTTGAAATTCTTGCTGCAAGCACAGCAGTCTGAAGTAGACTTGGGACACTTGAGCTTGATGAGGCGAGGGGTGTCCGCCATTACTGAGGCTTGAGTAGGTGGCTTTCCCCTAACAGTGTAAACAAAGCCTCCGGGAAGTTCAAACTGGGCAGAGCCCACCGCAGCACCACAAAGCTGCTGTAGCCAGACTGCCTCTCTAGATTCCTCCTCTCTGGGCAGGACATCTCTGAAAGAAAGGCAGCTGCCCCAGTCAGGAGTTTACAGATAAAATTCCCATCTCCCTGGGACAGAGCACCTGGGGGAAGGGGCAGCTGTGGGTGCAGCTTCAGCAGACTTAAATGTTCCTGCCTGCCGGCTCTGAAGAGAGCAGCAGATCTCCCAGCACAGCGCTCAAGCTCTGCTAAGGGACAGACTGCCTCCTCAAGTGGGTCCCTCACCCCCATGCCTCTTGACTAGGAGACACCCCTCAGCAGGGGTCAACAGATACCTCATGCAGGAGAGCTCCAGCTGGCATCTGGCAGATGCCCCTCTGGGATGAAGCTTCCAGAGGAAGGAGCAGGCAGCAATCTTTGCTGTTCTGCAGCCTCCGCTGGTGATACCCAGGCAAATGAACTCAAGAAGACCTGCAGCAGAGGGACCTGACTATTAGAAGGAAAACTAACAGAAAGGAATAGCATCAACATCAACAAAAAGGACATCCACAAAAAAACCCCATCTGAAGGTTACCAACATCAAAGACCAAAGGTAGATAAAGCCATGAAGATGAGGAAAAACCAGCACAAAAAGGCTGAAAATTCCAAAAACCAGAATGCCTCTTCTCCTCCAAAGAATCATAACTCCCCACCAGCAAGGGAACAAAACTGGACGGAGAATGAGTTTGACAAATTGACAGAAGTAGGCTTCAGAAGGTGGGTAATAACAAACTCCTAAAGGAGCTATTCTAACCCAATGCAAGGAAGCTAAGAACCCTGAAAAAAGGTTAGAGGAATTGCTAACTAGAATAACCAGTTTAGAGAAGAATATAAATGATCTAATGGAGCTGAAAAGCACAGCATGAGAACTTTGTGAAGCATACACAAGTATCAATAGCCAAATCGATCAAGCAGAAGAAAGGATATCAGAGATTGAAGATCAACTTAACAAAATAAAGCATGAAGACAAGATTAGAGAAAAAAGAATAAAAAGGAACAAACAAAGCCTCCAAGAAATAGGGACCAATGTGAAAAGACCAAACCTACGTTTGGTATACCTGAAAGTGACGGGGAGAATGGAATGAAGTTGGAAAACACTCTGCAGGATATTATCCAGGAGAACTTCCCCAACCTAGCAAGACAGGCCAACATTCAAATTCAGGAAATACAGAGAACACCACAAAGATACTTCTCGAGAAGAGCAACCCCAGGACACATAATCATCAGATTCACCAAGGTTGAAATGCAGGAAAAAATGTTGAGGGCAGCCAGAGAGAAAGGTAGGGTTACCCACAAAGGGAATCCCATCAGACTGACAGCAGATCTCTCTGCAGAAACCCTACAAGCCAGAAGAGAGGGGGGACCAATGTTCAACATTCTTAAGGAAAAGAATTTTCAACCCAGAATTTAATATCCAGCCAAACTAAGCTTCATAAGCAAAGGAGAAATAAAATCCTTTACAGAAAAGCAAATGCTGAGAGATTTTCTCACCACCAGGCCTGCCTTGCAAGAGCTTCTGAAGAGGCACAAATATGAAAGGAAAAACCAGTACCAGCCACTGCAAAAACATACCAAATTGTAAAGACCATTGACACAATGAAGAAACTGCATCAACTAACTGGCAAAATAACCAGCTGGCATCATAATGACAGGATCAAATTCACACATAACAATATTAACCTTAAATGTAAATGGGCTAAATGCCCCAATTAAAAGACACAGACTGGCAAATTGGATAAAGAGTCAAGACCCATCTGTGTGCTGTATTCAGGAGACCCATCTCACATGAAGAGACACACACATGCTCAAAACAAAGGGATGGGGGAATATTTTCCAAGCAAATGGAAAGCAAAAAAAAAAAAAAAAAAAAAAAGCAGGGGTTGCAATCCTAGTCTCCGATAAAACAGGCTTTAAACCAACAAAGATCAAAAAAGACAAAGAAGGACATCACATAATGGTAAAGGGATCAATGCATTTGATAAATGGTAAAGGATAGCTAACTATCCTAAATATATATGCACCCAATACAGGGGCACCCAGATTCATAAAGCAAGTTCTTAGAGAACTACAAAGAGACTTAGACTCTCACACAATATAGTGGGAGACTTAACACCACATTGTCAATATTAGACAGATCAATGAGACAGAAAATTATAAGGATATTCAGGACTTATCTCTGGGACACAGCTAAAGCAGTGTTTAGAGGGAAATTTATAACACAATGCCCACAGGAGAAAGTGGGAAAGATCTAAAATTGACACCATAACATCACAATTAAAAGAACTGGAGAAGCAAGAGCAAACAAATTTAAAAGCTCGCAGAAAACAAGAAGTAACTAAGATCAGAGCAGAAGTGAAGGAGATAGAGACACGAAAAACCCTTCAAAAAATCAATGAATCCACCAGCTGGTTTTTTGAAAAGATTAACAAAATAGATAGACCACTAGCCAGACTAATAAGAAAAAAGAGAAGAATCAAATAGACATAATAAAAAATGAAAAAGGGGAGACCACCACCAATCCCACAGAAATAAAAACTACCATCAGAGAATACTATAAACACCTCTACACAAATAAACTAGAAAATCTAGAAATGGATACATTCCTGGACACATACACCCTCCCAAAGCTAAACCAGAGAGAAGTCAAATCCCTGAATAGATCAATAACAAGTTCTGAAATTGGGGCAGTAATTAATAGCCTTCCAACCAAAAAAAGCCCAGGACAAGATGGATTCACAGCCAAATTCTATCAGAGGTACAAAGAAGAGCTGGTACCATTCCTTCTGAAACTATTCCAAACAACAGAAAAAGAGGGACTCCTCCCTAATTCATTTTATGGGGCCAGAATCATCCTGATAACAAAACCTGGCAGAGACACAACAAAAAAAGAAATTTTCAGGCCAATATCCCTGATGAACATCTATGTGAAAATCCTCAATAAAATACTGGCAAGCCGAATCCAGCAGCACATCAAAAAGCTTATCCACCACGATCAAGGCGGCTTCATCCCTGGGATGCAAGGCTGGTTCAACATACACAAATCAATAAACATAATCCATCACATAAACAAAACGAATGACAAAAACCAAATGATTATTTCAATAGATGCAGAAAAGGCCTTTGATGAAATTCAACACCCCTTCATGATAAAAACTCTCAATAAACTAGGTATTGATGGAACATATCTCAAAATAATAAGTGCTATTAATGACAAACCCATAGCCAATATCATACTGAATGGGCAAAAACTGGAAGCATTCCCTTTGAAAACTGGCACAAGACAAGGATGCCCTCTCTCACCACTCCTATTCAACATAGTATTGGAAGTTCTGGTCAGGGCAATCAGGCAAGAGACAGAAATAAAGGGTATTCAAATAGGATGAGAGAAAGCAAAATTGTCTCTGTTTGCAGATGACATGATTGTATATTTAGAAAACCCCATTGTCTCAGCCCAAAATCTCCTTAAGCTGATAAGCAACTTCAGCAAAGTCTCAGGATACAAAATCAATGTGCAAAAATCACAAGCATTCCTATACACCAATAACAGACAAACAAAGAGCCAAATCATAAGTGAACTCCCATTCACAACTGCTACAAAGAGAATAAAATACCTAGGAATGCAACTTACAAGGGATGTGAAGGACCTCTTCAAGGAGAACTACAAACCACTGCTCAAGGAAATAAGAGAAGACACAAACAAATGGAAAAACATTCCATGCTCATGGATAGGAGAATCAACATTGTGAAAATGGCCACACTGCCCAAAGTAATTTATAGATTCAATGCTATCCCATCAAGCTACCATTGACTTTCTCGACAGAATTAGAAAAAACTACTTTAAATTTCATATGGAACCAAAAAAGAGCCCATATAGCCAAGACAATCCTAAGCAAAAAGAACAAAGGTGGAGGCATCACGCTACCTGACTTCAAACTATACTACGTAGCCTTGTACTCACTGTAGCCTTCTGTGACCAAAAGCATGGTACTGGTACCAAAACAGATATATAGACCAATGGAACAGAACGGAAGCCTCAGAAATAACCCTACATCTACAACCATCTGATCTTTGACAAACCTGAAAAAAACAAGCAATGGGGAAAGGATTCTCTATTTAATAAATGGTGTTGGGAAAACTGGCTAGCCATATGCAGAAAACTGAAACTGGAGCCCTTCCTTACACCTTATACAAAAATTAACTCAAGATGGAGTAAAGATTTAAATATAGGACCTAAAACCATAAAAACCCAAGAAGAAAACCTAGGCAATACCATTCAGGACATAGGCATGCGCAAAGACTTCATGACTAAAACAGCAAAAGCAATGGCAAAAAAAAAAAAAGCCAAGATTGACAAATGGGATCTAATTAAACTAAAGAGCTTCTGCACAGCAAAAGAAACTATTAACAGAGTGAATAGGCAACCTACAAAATGGGAGAAAATGTTTGCAATCTATCCATCTGACAAAGTGCTAACATCCAGAATCTACAAGGAACTTAAACAAATTTACAAGAAAAAAGCAACCCCATGAAAAAGTGGGCAAAGGACATGAGCAGACACTTCTCAAAAGAAGACATTTGGCCGGGCGCGGTGGCTCACGCCTGTAATCCCAGCACTTTGGGAGGCCGAGGCGGGCGGATCACGAGGTCAGGAGATCGAGACCATCCTGGCTAACACGGTGAAACCCCGTCTCTACTAAAAATACAAAAAATTAGCCGGGCGTGGTAGCGGGCACCTGTAGTCCCAGCTACTCGGGAGGCTGAGGCAGGAGAATGGCGTGAACCCGGGAGGTGGAGCTTGCAGTGAGCCGAGATCGCGCCACTGCACTCCAGCCTGGGCGACAGAGCGAGACTCCGTCTCAAAAAAAAAAAAAAAAAAAAAAAAGAAGACATTTATGTGGCTGACAAACATGAAGAAAAGCTCATGATCACTGGTCACTAGAGAAATGCAAATCAAAACCACAATGAGATACCATCTCATGCCAGTTAGAATGGCAATCATTAAAAAGTCAGGAAACAACAGATGCTGGAGAGGAGGTGGAGAAATAAGAACGTTTTTGCACTGTTGGTGGGAGTGTAAATTAGTTCAACCATTGTGGAAGACACTGTGGTGATTCCTCAAGGATCTAGAACTAGAAATACTATTTGACTCAGCAATCCCATTACTGGGTATATACCCAAAGTATTATAAAGCATTCTACTATAAAGACACATGTACAGGTATGTTTATTGCAGCACTATTCACAATAGCAAAGACTTGGAACCAACCCAAATGCCTATCAATGATAGACTGGATAAAGAAAATGTGGCATCTATACACCAAGGAATACTATGCAGCCATAAAAAAGGATGAGTTAATGTCCTTTGCAGGGACATGGATGAAGCTGGAATCTATCATTCTCAGCAAACTAACACAGGAACAGAAAACCAAACACTGCATGTTCTCACTCATAAGTGGGAGTTGAACACATGGACACAGGGAGGGGAACATCACACACCAGGGCCTGTCGGGGGATGGGGGGCTAGGGGAGGGATAGCATTAAGAGAAATACCTAACGTAGATGACGGGTTGATGGGTGCAGCAAACCACCATGGCACATGTATACCTATGTAACAAACCTGCACGTTCTGTACATGTATCCCAGAACTTAAAGTATAATAATTTAAAGAAATTAAATAAAATAAGGATACATGTACACACAAAAAGGAGTAGTCATCAAGGAAATTATTGAAATTTTTAACTATATTGTAATTAAATTTTTATGTTTATCAGGAGACACTATTAAGAGAGTGAAAACCTATCAAATCTAAAAAAAGTGTAACTCATAAAACTGACAAATATAAAGAATTCAAAAAAAATCAACAAGAGAAAGACAACTCAATATAAAAAGGGATAAGAGACTAAAATGAACACCACAAAAGAGTATATTCAGATGACCAATATGCACACATCAGGGAAATGCAAATTAAAACTCTAATAAGATAAAACTACATACCCACCAAAATACCTAATATTAAAAAAAAAAGAAAGAAACCCAGACAATAACAAGTATTGGCAAGAATGGAAGCAAGTGAAAATCTCATGCACTGCTCGTAAGAGTTCAAATTGGTTCAACTGGTTTGGAACATGGTTTGGTATTATCTACTCAAGGTGAATATGAATCTATTATTTGACCTGGTAATTCCATCTTTAAGTATATCCAAAAAAAGAAATATGTGCACATATACAGCAAGAAATGTGGAGAAGTTATATTTATAGCCTCATTATTAACAACTGTCCCAAAAAGGAAAATAACCGAATATCCAGCAACAGAATAAGGCATTAAAAATAATGGCAGCCGGGCACAGTGGCTCATGCCTTAGATGGGAGGATCACTTGAGGCCAGGAGTTTGAGACCAGCCTGGGCAACATAACGAGATCTCATCACTGCAAAACATTTAAAAATTACTCAGGTGTAGTGACATGCACCTGTAGTCCCAGCTACTTGGGAGGCTGAGGTAGGACAATCACTTGAGCCCAGGAGGTTGAGGCAGCAGTGAGCTGTGATCATATCACTACTACTCCAGCATAGGTGACAGAGTGAGATCCTATCTCTAAAAAAGAAAAAGAAAAAAAAAATAGTGGTACAGCAATAAAAACAAACAATTCAAAACAACAAGCGACAATATGCATGAATCTCATAACTCTAATATTGAGCAAAAGAAGCTAGACACAACAGAATATACATTGTATGATTCCATTTATGTACAGTTCAAAACAAAAGCAAGACTAGACTGGTATTTAGGAACACAGGTGTAAAGAAAAGTGAGGAAAGTATTTTATAAAGCTCAGGATAGTGGTCACCCAGAGGAAGTGACAAGGAGGAGGGAAGAAGGAGTTCTCAGGAGGGGCACCAGAATGTCTCTAGGGTGCTAGGAGTATATTCTGTCCTGATCCAGGTGGCATTCCCATCATAAAGATATTTCTTTTGTTATCACTCTTTCATCTGTACAATCTTCTTTTATGAAATTTTCTGCATGGATGTTATTTCTCAAAAATGATTTTAAAAATGGGAAATGAAGGATGCAATTACAAAAACAGCATATAAAAGTAAACCTTCAGGAATTAATGGAGTTGGTTTTTATAATGTAACCTCAAAAATGTAAAATATAATTGCTTAAATTAAAAAAAAAACCCACAGTACATGGGTTCAGCAGGCTACACACAGTTAAAGAGAGAAGTAGTAGAGGAGAAGAAAACCCAGAGAAGACGGGAAGATGAGAAACATGAAAGAGAGAGTAAGAGACATGAGGGGATTCAATGACAGCATCTAATATGTGTCTGTTTGAAATCTCTAAAGAAGATGGTAAGAATTTAAGAATTTACATTAAGAGAATAATGTATTATACATTAAAAGAATTATGTATTAAGATAATTTTCTGGAACTGATGAAAAATATGCATCCAAAGATCAAGGAAACACAATATTATTCTACACCTAAACATGTTATGGTAAAGTTGAAGAGTATCATCAACAAAGAGAATATCTTGCAAGAACCCAAAGAGAAGGGAGAATCACCTATAAGGAAAAGACTTGTAGACTTCTGAACAATAGCAACATGATCACCTGCCTCCAAGATGGCCTCCAATAATCCTCACCTCCTGCCATCTATGCTTTTGTGTAGTCCCTCACAACACACTGGATGGGGTCACTCCTGTGTGAGCAAGAAAGTACTGAGGAAGTGATGATGTAGGACTTCTAAGGATAGATCATAAAAGGCACTGAAGCTTCCACCTTGGTGTCTTGAGTTGCAAATCCTGGAGGAAGTTAACCACCGTACAGCGATATCACTCAAGCAGACTGTGGTGAAGTCCTCTCGGAGTGGAACTGCAGCCTCCAGCCAACAGCCATGTGAGTGAGCCATGCTGGAGGCAGCTCCTCCAATCCAACCTCTAGAAGGCTGCAGCCTCAGCCAACATCTGACTGCAATCTCATGATACAGCATGAGGCAGAACAGACCAGCCAAGTCACTCCCAAATTCCTGATCCACAGAAACCATAGAAAGAAATAAATCATTATTGCTGTGTGAAGCCATCAGTGTTTATGTAATTTGTTGTGCAATAATGGATAATCAATTTATTAGAATAACAGCTACAAAGTGCTGAGAGGAAATAAATTGTATAAATTGTCAATCTAAAATTGTATATTGAGCAAATCTATTTCTGTAAGACAATGGCAAAATAAAATCTTTTCAAAATAAATGGAAATGGAGGGGATTTAACATCAAAAGCCTGCTCTCAAGGGGTTTCTACCGTACATGCTTCAAGAAGAAGGAAAATAATCTGAGGACAGTCCAGTGTGCCAGAAGGAATGGTGAACAAATAGAATGGTAAAGAGGTGGATAAATCCAAACATCATCTATAAAATAATAAGTCAGCATTTGGGAGGCTAAAGACAGAACTAAAATACTCAATAAGATTAATTTGGGAAGGGATGGTTGGAGCTAAAATGTTCTAAAGTCCTTTTATTGCCTTGGGAATGGTCGAATGTTGTTTAAATCTTTATGAACTGGAAATATGTATGTAATAGCTCAAGGAGCAACATTAATAAAAGAATAGAATGGTCATATATACATTTAAAACACATATGGAGAGAAAAATCAGTAAAGGGGAAAGAATATTAACCCTTTTCCCATTTAGAAAAAGGAAGTGCGGCTCATAGCCAGCGCTCATTTAATTTTACATAATCACACTCTTTGAAGCTGAAGCAAATATGACTGATTTTCAATGTGAAAATAAAATACACAAATTGTTCTTGAAGTTATTTAGAAACAGAACTAACATCAGAATCATCTGAATTATCAGAATCGTCCATTTCAGAAAAATCAGATTCATCAAATGAATCCTCAGCCAACTGTTTGAGAGCAATGTTGACATCACGCATAGGAATCCTATATTTTCTAGGATTTGACATTTTCAGCGATCAAGAATTACTATATTTTGAAAATGAAAATACCACTACCCAAAACAGAATGCTATAAATAGAATGATGTCTCTTGTTTCCAAAGTCAATCAACTAGAGCGATGTGAATATAATAATAAAAGTTGAATATTTCGTGGTAAAGTTATCTCGGTAAATGTTGCAGCCGCAAGTGCTGGCGGCAAGTATTCTCAGGGCAAATGAGAAAAGGGTTAAAACAAAAATCTCTGTTTAAAAAAACAAGGCAAGAAAGTAAAAACAAACAAACAGAAAATTTGGTTACAATGGAAATAAAATGTAAAATGATAGAAACAAGTCCAAAGATATCAATAATCACTGTAAAAACAAATGAGCTATTCTTACCACCTGAAAGAGCATGTCAAAGTATTTTTTTAAGTCTACAACCCCCAGCTATATGCTATTTTCAAAAAACACATCAATACAGTAGAATGCAGAAAAGTTCAAAGCAAATATATGGGGAAAAATATATCAGACCAATATTAATTAAAAGAAAACTGGTACAATTATTTGAATATCTCACCTGATAGACTTTAAGAGAGAATACATTGCAAAGAGTCAGTGCTCTCTGAGAAAAGGCTCTTATCACATAAACTTGACCTAATAAATGTGAACAGAATTCTGCCCCAACAACAATGGGTGTGGTGGCTCATGCCTGTAATTCCAGCATTTTGGGAGGCCGAGGCAGGAAGATTGCTTGAGCCCAGGAGTTCAAGACCAGCCTGGACAACATAGAGAGACCCCATCCCTACAAATAACAAAAAATTAGCCAGACGTGGTGATGCACACCTATGGTCCCAGCTACTCGGGAGGCTGAGGTGGGAGGATCATGTGGGCCTGGGAGGTCAGGGCTGCAGTGAGCCATAATTACATCTCTGCACTCCAACCTGGGTGACAGAGTAAGACCCTGTCTCAAAAAGCAAAAACAAAAACGAAACCATTTTCAACACATTTCCAACAGCATATACTATATAGACCAAGGTCTCTGACTACAAAACAACTCAATTAGAAATAAACATATAAAAGATTGTTTTCAAAAATCCTTATTTTTGGAAAGAGTTGCTAAAAAATGTTTATAGCAAGGTGGTTGGATATAAGATCAATATACAAAAGTCATTTAGATTTTATAAGGCAATAAACCATTAGAAAATATACTTAAAAAAAGACACAATTTACAATAGTAACAGCCACAACCAGAACTCCAAAAAATGTACACTCATGAATCAATGCAGAAAACATGCAAAACCCACATCTTATAAAATCATAAATCATAAAACCATGCATACTGCTGAAAACAGTCATGCCATGGCTTGACTCCCATCCCAGTGAGAATGGGGCGAGAGGAACAAGAGAGGGCAGAGAAGAGGGGAGAAGGCAGGGACACACAGCTGTCTGAAATCTGAGAGTCAGGCAAGCAGTGAGGGGAGGCTGTGATTCCTTTCTCAGGTGGAACTTCATGAACACTTCGTGCTGCCAGGCATCTCCCTTGTGTCTCCCTCCTCCTGCCCCCAGCATGCATCCATGCACCGAAAACACAAGGCCATGGGGGCTTGGATGCACTTCTGGCCAGGTGGCTGCAGCAGGTCAGCCTGCAGTTCCTGGGTCACCCCACCTGCCCACCTGCGGGGACGCTCTCCTCAGCCACCACTGGGCGTTCACTGCAGCCTGCTGCTTTTCCACGTGAGCCTGCAGGGCCAGGCTGGGGGTCTCACCCCGAGTGAAGGGGTGAGGCGAGGCTGGGGGGTTCTTGCCCTGAGCAGAGAGGTGGGGCCAAGGGGAAGGGGCTCACCCACCAGGCCCAGTGACGTGGAGGTCAGAGGTTGAGGCACACTGACTGGCTGGGCCAGCACGGGTGTCCAGGCCTTGGCTTCAGGTGTGGTCACTGGGGTCTCTGGAGGGCTCTCTGGCTCCTGATGGTGAAGCAAGACCACCCCTTTCCCACAGATCCATTAAATCAAGAATCAGAGTCCTCATGGGGTACTCCAACCTCAAGGACAGAAGCTAGAAAAGCCGGAGAGCAGAATAAAGCAGTTTGGCTCACCAGGTCTGGTTGACTCTTCTGGGGACACCAGCTGAAGGCCTCAGGAGCTGGGCTGGGGCTCGCAGCCCAAGCCAGAGAGGCCCAACCAAGCCCAGTGTTTCCTTGGCCGCCCAAGCCAGTGTTTCCGGTTCTCAGGGCTGGGGCAGCTGCGCTGGCTCTGTTCATGGTCCTCTGAGTACCAATTGCACGGAGCCTGTGTGCCCATCCCTAGCTCCCTGTTTGCCCATCCCTAGCTCCCTGTGTGCGCATCCCTAGCTCCCTGTGTGCCCATCCCTAGCTCTGGCCCCGACGGACCCCCGGACCCCCATCATCTGGAGTGTCCGCCTGGCCCTACTTCCAGGGACCTCTGCCCACCCCCACCTGCAGGTAGCCTCAGCTAACTGCTCAGCCCCTCCTAGCCTCACTTGCCCACGCACATGGGGTCTGCTTGGCATCCCCACGTCTCTGTAGACACTCGGTGCATGCCAGCCAGCTGGCTGGGCTCACATGGCAGCCACTGGTATTCATCCTTCCTCCTCCTGGGAGCGAGTCTTGTCTAGAGTGAGTGTGGCCAGAGGTGGGGCCACTGAGTCTGAATCCCCCTCTGCCCCTCACCTGGGTGTCACCAAGCTGTTTTAGCCTCTCTGAGGACCATTTCCTCTGTGAGATGGGACCGTAGTATGCTGTGTCGTGAGGTCATCCCCACATGGATGCCACTTGGAGCCCACGGCAACAGGCCCACATCTCCTGGCCCCTGTCACCTGGGCAAGTGACCAGAGCCTTGGTGGGTCCCCGGGGAGGCTGGGAAGGTGTGTGCACAGGGTCCACCTGTAGCCCGATGGACAGGATGGTATGGGGAGACCGACACACTGCAGCCTGGAGACCCCTGGAGGCCTTGATGTTCATCGTGGGCATCAGTCTTGGCCCCTCCCCCTCAGCCTAGCCTCGTCCAAGTCCGGTCCTGTTCCTGTCCTGCCCGTGTGGAGAGGCGGGGCAGGGCAGGGGGACAAGGGCACCCCAGGGAGCTGGCTGCACTACCCCTCCACCCCCAGTCTGGGGTGCCCTGGGCTGGGCTGCCCATCTGGGCCCGCGCATGGAATCAGGAGTACATTAGCTGTTCCTGAGTGAGCACTGTTCAGGCCTCCCTGCAGGGGCCATCACTCCTGTGTGCACAGATAGGAGGTCTCAGAGTCCCCCGCCCACACCGCAGGAGGAAGCCCAGAGGAGGGGCTGCAGGACCCCCACCCACAAGGGCGTTCAAGGCATCTCTGCATCGGGTAGGACATTTGGAGGGGAGGGGGATCCGTGAGTCAGAGGCCCACTGGCCCTGGTGCCCCCCAACTCCCATGCCCAGTGATAGACCTCTTTGCCTCTTCACCTAGACCTGACCCCTCCCTGCAGACCCCCCTGAAAGCCCCTTTCCTCACCTTGTCCCTGGGACCATGGGACCCCCACCCACCCACAACTCTGTTGGAAAGCTCCTGTCCTCCCTCTGTCTACTCCTTGGGAGCCGCCCAAGGCCCCTCTCTTCACCCACCCACCCCCTTCATGGGAACCCCCGAAGGCCCCCTCCCTCTGTCATCCCCGCTCCTCACCCTACCCTCCCTGCTCTCCTGCCAGCCTCCTGTGGGGCGCTGCCTGTTCCCTGTGCCCTGGAAGTTCAGGGGCCCAGGTGCAGCAGAGGGCAGGCGGAGGGTGCAGCTGCTGTGAGCAGGGCAGGCCCAGAACTCTGTCTGCACCACCGCTGCAGACTCAAATACATGCCTGTGTGCAGACCACAGGCCAGCTGTCCCATAGGGTCTCAATCTGAGACCCCAGAGGCAGGTGTGGCCCCCCTTTGCAGGTGAGCAGCCTGTGGTGGGGAGGTCCGGATGCAGGCCAGGCTGAGGTTCCAACCCTCACAACAGGACTCCGCCCTTCCTCCGCCAGGGTTCTGCACACTGTCTGTGCTTAATAAGTGCTAGGCACCCAGGATGGCCTCCCTGTGACCTTTGGGGCCAGAGCAAAGCCCCTGCCCCAGGGAGATGGGTAAAGAGAGGGCAGCAGGACCCCTTCACCACCCCTTGTGACCCTGCAGGGGCTGTGAGACAGGCCCACGTTGCCGGCAGCCCAGCTAATCACATAGACAGCTCCTCACCCACCAGACTCGCAGGCAGGTCTACTGGCCTCTCCTCAGTAGTTTAACGACCAAAACAGACCCTCCCGGTAAAAAGCCATTTTTTGACTGCAGCCAGGACCCAACCCATGAGCCGATCCCACGCTGTTCCTGTTCCGCTGTTCACCCAGAGGCCATGAGTCAGCCATGGTGGCCCGAGGCCAGCTGAGGAGGCAGGCCCAGTCTAGCCTGTGAGAACTTACCTGTTGGGGGCAGCCAGTGGCCACCCAACCTGGGCCATTACAGACAAGGGTAGTCAGGGCAGGACTGGACCCCGGGGTGTGGGCAGTCACTCCTGTCTGCTTACAGGAAGAGCAAAATGGGGTGGGGCCCGTGTCCCCCAACCACTTGGGAAGTAAGCCTAGTACTGTGCTGGGGGGCAAGGGAGTCCCTTGTTCTCAGGCTCTACCCTGGCCCCAGCCTGTCCAGAGCTGGCATAAACACAGCATGATCTGTAAGCCAGTCAGCACCAGACAGCTGGGGTCCCTCCCTGCGCCCTCCCTTGTCCAACAGACTGGCTGGGACTCCCCTGTGGCCCTGGGGCAGGCTTGAGGCCAAGGGGACAGTGGGGGGCTCCGTGGCTGCAGCAAGAGCTTAGGCGGGGCCAGGGGTATCCTGCAGAGGGACCCCCATGGGGCTCCAGGTGGGAGGGTCCCACCCACCAGCTCAGTCACAGAGATAGGGCTGCCTGGATCTCCTGGGATTCCCAGACCTCTCCCCTGCCCAGCCTCCCCCACCCGAGACCTCTCCGCTGACCCCTTCCCCGGATGCTCCCTCCCTAGGACTGTTCCCCCCAGGCCTCTCCCCCACCTTCCCCCAGGCCTATGGTGCTCCCCTCCTGAGCAGCAGAGCCAGCCAAGCTTCTCAGCTCCTAAGTGGGGCTCTTGCGTCTTTACAAGTCTCCCACCCCATAAAAGAGATCACCGCGGAGCTGTCCAGAACCCCTGGAAACAGCTGGGTCGGACGGTGACAGGGTGGGTGGAGAGAGGCGGAACGGGAGCCCGGGAAGCCTGGGGGTCGCCCTGGGAGCTCCAGACACCCTGTCCAGGACCGGGCAGCTGCAGCCCTCCCCACGCAGGTACCTCCCCACCCACGACCCCGACCCCCACCCCGGCGCTGAGCCTCTCTGCTGGCTGCAGGGGTGGGGGGCTGGACAGGCCCTTCCAGGACATCCAGGAGTATCAGGCAGGGTTGACAACAAATGCCTGCTGATTAATAACAGTTTGATGGGAATTTCATACGCTGCCTGGATCCTAAACATTCTCCAGGAACATCTGGCTGAGACCGGGCAGCCTGTTTATGTTCACAATGAGAACATTTTTTCCGACGCAGCCCGCAGCGATTGTCTCCCTCAGAAGCAGCGCTGGGGACGCCCTCCTGGGCCGGGCAGGGGGCGGGGGACTGGGGCCGGGGCTGCAGCCAGCCAGCCTTCCTTGGGGCCCAACCCCTTCGCCGACCCTGCAGGGTGGGACCCCACCCCCGAGTGGAAGAAGGAACCGGAAGCCAGGCCCGCGGGCAGGGAGGGTGGGGGCGAATCCCTACCCCACCCGAGGGGAGGGGCCTGAGAAGGGCTTTTCCCCCCCTCTTCCTCCATTCTGCCCCCTTACTCCTCCCTCTCCAAGATTCCAAATCCCCTTCATCCCATAGAGGGGCTTCCTGGCTTCTGGCCCGCCCGCGGTGCACAGCCTTGCTGGGGGAGGGGAGGTAGTCAGCGGAGTGGTGTGGGTCACCAGGGAGGGGAGGGGACACCCAGCTGGGGCTCCCAGGCTCACGTCTACGGTGGGGACCGGGCTGTGGGCCCCTTTGGCCCTCACCTCCCTGGCCTGGTCCAGTCCCTCCCGCCCTGAGCTTAGGGCCTCCAGGGGTCCCTCTGGGGGCGTCCAGGAAGGGGAGGGCAGCCGTGGCGTGGAGGGCCTTGCGCACCCAGGTGGTGATGAGGGCGGGCGGGGCGCGGGGAACGTGCAGCCAGAGACCGTGCTAAGACCCCGAAGTCGAGCCCTGGGCAGGGGCGGCGGCACCGTCTGCCCCTCACCCCATCCCCACCGCAGCTAACGTGGCCCGCCCGCCCATGGGGTCAGGGTTTCCAGGCGGCCGGTCCTGCCCCCGGGGCTGCACCGCGCCACTGTGTGTGGTCCTTGTGGGAGCCACTCATTTATTTTTCTTTCTTTGTCCCTCCTCTTCCTTTTTAATAAAATGCATCAGAGCGGAGTGCAGACGCCACCTCCGATGTCCTTATAAAACGTGTGCGCGGGTGCTGCGCATGCGTGTGTCGCTGGGGGCTGTAGGCTGGGAGCCTCCGGGAACTCCCCTCGCCAGGCCACCAGCCTTCCTACTCATGGGGAGGGGGCGTCGAGCCCAATGAGCTCATGCTGGGCCTTGGAGACCCGTCGACACTTTGCACATAAACAGGGAAGCACCGGGTCCCCAAGGCGGTGGGGGCCAGGCTAGGAGGGGATGGATGGTGGCCACCCCCAGGCCTCCCTCCACAGCCCCGAAGGAGCTTTACGGGGTCCACTATCCTGGGACCTAAGGCCCAGGGTGCCTGTTCTTGGCTGTAACCCCTGCCGGTGGACCATGCTCAGGCAAAGAAGGGGAGGGGCCTGAACCCACAGCAGCTCAAGGATGAATCCTGCTTCTGTTGGGTAGGAGAAGGGTCGGCCTCTGTGAGCAGGTGTCCCCCACCACTAGGCTTGCAGTGCTGGATAATGTGGTCCTGCAGGCCTGTGTGAGGGCCCAGGCCTCCCCTCCAGAGGGGTGCCCAGCACTGCAAGGATGTGGGTGGATGGGACAGGCACTCCCAGCACCCAAACACTTGCTCTAAGTGACAGCCCAGGTGTTCCCTGGTGTTTATGTTTTCCTGCAGAGCTGATCTCAGCGCCTACCTGCCCACCACACAGGCAATGTCAACAAATCCCTGTAGGTAGGCCCAGCCCGGCCTCCCCTGCAGCGCCTCAGGGACCTGCCACCCCCACCGAGTCCAGACACGCACTCAGGCATCCCAGGCTTCAGGTGCCCAGAGATCAGGTGTCCAGGGCTCAGGTGCCCACAGCCCAAGTGTCCACAGCCCAGGTATCCAAGCCCCAGGTGCCCACAGCCCAGGTATCTAAGGCTCAGATGTCCACAAGCCAGGCATGCATGGCTCAGGTGTCCACGGCCCAGGCATGCAAGGCCCAGGTGCCCACATCCTGGTGCCCACAGCCCAGAGAGCAAGACTGCAGCTGGCGGAGGGTCCTGGGCTGGCTCTTCACCCCCTGACCTGGTCAGGCCAGCATTATCAGGTGTCACCACCAACCGCTGGCCACTATCTCCTGGAGGAGCTCTGTCCTTCCGACAGCACTGATAGGGCCATCCTCTTGTCACTCAGCTACAGATAGCATTATCCACCAGCCCTGCCCGCTCCCTACCCCCCCACTCCCCTGCCCTACCCATGCACCCAGGAGCCTGGGAGGGCGGGGGCTGCTCCCATGCACCACAGCCCTAGCACCTCCCATGGGAGGCCCTGTGGCCCACTCCCCTCCCCACTGTAGACCCCTTCCCAGGTAGCTCTGGGGGCTCTGTGGCACCCACGGTGGGAAGGGGCTCAGGGTATGCATCTGGGAGAGGGGTGAGTGGAGCAGGTAGGGGCTGGTGCTGCCCTGTGGCCTCTGAGGCTTGGCCACTCTCCAGCCTCACTTTCCCCTTCGCTGCAGACACTCACTGGGGGCAGCCACCTGCTGCACAGAGCCACCCAGGACACTGCCTCCCTCCATCCCCTCCTGGTCTGCCCCTCCCCATGCTCCAGCCACTCTCCCCTCAGATCTAGAAATGCCACTCCCAGCGACTGTCCCTGCTACCTAGGGCAACCCCCCTTATCCTGCTCTGGGGAGGACCTCTGACCCCTCCTGGCCTTTCTCGAGGGAGCTGTGGAGCCAGAAGGAAGGCTCAGAGGATGCCGGCAGCCACGCCGCCCCAGTCTCAGTGATGAGGGTGTGGGGAAGAAGGGCTTCCACCATGCCAAAGGCTTCCAGCAGTCTTTACTCGGGACAGCAGGACAGCATCTGGGCAAGCAGGAAACTGGTCGGCAGGAACCAACCGGAAATTTTAGGGCCCCTTGGAGGGAGTGCCCCAGAGAGGGAAGGACCAATCCCACCCTGCAAGGCACCCAGGGGACTCTCAAAGGCAGGACGATTCCAGAACCCTTCCCTGGGTCCCTGGCCTCCCAGTGTCTGTTCCTGTGTCCAGAATGCTGGGTCTGGAAGTCTCAGCAAGGAGAGCCCCCAGCCATCATGGGCAGGACTTGGCAGAAATGACGCTTTTTCTAGAAGACTCTAACTTGCCTTGGGTCAGAGGTGGCCCAAGGGACCCACAGAGAGAGGCAGAAGGGGTGTGCGTGGCCTCTGAGGCTGCATCACAGAGGCATTGCAGCTTCGGTCGTTGTCCCGGGGACTGGCCATGTCATGAGGACACTCAAGCAGCACCGTAGAGAGATTCCCATGCAGAGAAACCGAGGCCTCTGGCCAACAGCTGGCCCCAACTCGAGGGGGCTTGAGCCCATTCCCCTCGCAGATGCCCCGCCCAAGCCAGGCCCCAATCCTGACCCACGACGACCACAGAGGCAGCAAACAATGGTTGAACAGAAACCAGTTCACTTGGGTTGGGGGTGCATGGTTATGCGCCCAGAATACATACCCTTAAAGTCTGTTGGCGGATGATTTCCTGGGCACCCATGGGTGTGACCTGCTATGCTGCTGGGAAGCTGCCCCAGGGCCCACTGAGGCATACGGGCACACACATGCACACCCAGACACTGATGGCTGTGGGAGGAAACGGCCCCGAGAGTGCAGCTGCAGCATCCCAGGGCCAGGGGTGGTGCTTACATGTGCCCACTGGGGCACCAGAGGGACTGTCCATCCACTCGCACCCCAGCCAGGGGGAGGCTCCAGGCCTCCAGGGCAGAAAGAAGAGGGTGGGACCTCAAGACAAAGAAATAGGATCCAGGAGACACCTGCAAAGTCCTTCTGCAGGTGCGGGGCAGGTTAGGAAGGCCGGAGGTCGTGGGTGTCCTGTTGAGGCCCTCCATGGGAGGCCACAGGTCCAGTGAGCCACCTCTCTGTCCCTGACCAGAGACAAGGGTACCCAAGGAGGGGATCACTCTCACTTCAGCCACCTTGTCCGTGGCCACCCAAGCCCAGGGACCACCCTGTGTGCAGATGGGGAAACTGAGGCTCAGAGAGCTGGTGAGAGCTCTGACTCTATATGGCTTCCTCAGCCCCAGGATCAAGCCAGAGGTGCTCCTGGAGTTTGGGGGAGATGACATACATTTCTCTGCCTACCCAGGGGGCCGAGGAGCCAGGCCCAGATTGGGCAGGTGGGGAAAAGTCGTCCTGACCCTTCCAAGCAGCGGAAGAAGCTGCACAGACTGCACAGGAGGGGATGGGAGAGCCAGCTTGTGCTTAAGCGATGCTCACACACACACCCGTGCACACGTGTGAGCACACACACACACACGTGTGCCTGCCAAGTTGGCATGAGCTTGGCCTGGGACTCCCCAGCCTGGCCTCCCTCCTTGTACCAGGGAAGGCTCCGTGGGAGGCTGGGCAAGGCCGCCTGCAGCTGCACCCCAGACCAGCCCTGGAGCTTAGCTCCCCGGAGGGCAGCCATGGGGGCCGAGCACATGTGCTAGAGGCCCCGCCACCCCCTGCATGGGTGCAAGGGGGACCCCATGCCTGATTTACGACGGGGCTCCCGCACATGTGTCAAAGACGCCGTGTTAAGCACCGGCATAAAAGTAATATATAGGTGACCACAACATTTTTATGACCTTCCTCAGCCCAGCCCTGGAATGCTGGGATCCAGCAGGTGAAATAACACACATTTCGGCGGCTGCAGCCGCAGTGGCCCAGGGCAGGCAGGGAGTCGGGGAGGCTGCATCTGGCCTCAGCCCTGGGGGGACCCCGTGTTGGAGTGTGCAGGGTCAGACAGAGAAGGCAGATGCCAGGGTGGTGTTAGGATAGAGGCCTGGAGGACTCAGGACACACAGCATGGTGGGGCAGCCTGGGTTGTTCTGAGAGAGGGCCACCTGGCAAGGGCTCCAAGTGTCCCTTCCTGTTTACCCTGCACCTGCTTTCTGCCCCAGGGAATGGGGAATGCAGTGTCCCACAGACAGGCTGCAAAAGAGCCTTCCAGAGCCTACAGCTGTTCTAGGGTTCCCTGTCATCATGGGGGCCTCATCCCAGGGGAGCACAGCCCTTGAATTTGTGATGACCTTGGGCTGCAGCAGTGGGGAGGCTGGGAATGTCCCCCAAGTGAGCTACAGTTACAGTGAAGCAAACAGCATGTGCTGCCTGACAAACACACCCACATCATCTCTACCTGTCTTCAAGTAGTAACGGTGAGGAGTCCTTCTAAAGGTGGGGCCAGCAGGGCCTGAAGGTGCAGCTTGGGGGTCATGGCGGAGGCTGCGTTTGGACCATGAGGACACCGGGCTTGCAGAAATGGCCACAGCAACACCTCCATCAGTCTCCAGCCTTTCACTGCTTTCACCTCCCATCAGGGAGGAGAGGCCCCCAGGGCTGGGTGGACCTTTGTGATGCAGGTGGGCAGGGAGATGGGAGGTTCCAGGTCTGGACGAAAGGTGGGCCCAGCTCCCAACCATGCACTCTATCTCTCGTCTCTGCCTCTTGTCTCTCTCTGTCTCTGCCCCTCTATCTCTCTCTGGGTCTCTCCCTATCTCTCTCTCTGTCTCTCTGTCTCTTCCTCTCTCTCTCCCCCAACCTGCTCTTGGAGCCCAGTGCCGGGTAGTCAGGAAGCCCCTGGGGTGTCCAGGTGGCCCTGCAGGAACCCCCAGGCTGCCAGCCCTGATTGCTTGGTGCAGTCAGACAACAGCTGCTGTTCCACCCAAGACACGGGGGCAGCTGGGCTGGTGGCCGTGTAGCCCTGTGTGGAGCCAGGCCCTAAGATGGCGCTGGGAGCACAGAGCCCTGGATCCCACCCAGCTCAGAAAGGAGATGGGGAAGGAATTCCGGGAATTCGCAGGAAGCGGGTGGGAGGAACGAGGCTGGCGGGGCTCGGGTGGGGCTGAAGTGCCTGACTGTTCTCTTCTTCCTGGTTCTCTGAATTCCGCAAGAGCACATAGTACGTTTATGATCAGAAAAAACATCTTCTAACCCTGAGGCTCCCCTGCCCTCAAGCCAGAGACTGAATACGACTCCTGGTTCCCAAAGCCTGTGTCCCCATCTCCCCTGCTGACCACCTCCAGCCCAGGCCCCTTCCCCACTCTCCCTCCAGTCACTTCCCCCCTGCAGCCACCCAAGGCTGGCCTCTAGGCAGTGTCCCATGAGCACTTTCCAGGGAGCTGAGCCAGCGACACCGCAGCACCCACATTTTGGGGTCTGGGGAGGGAAGAGGGGCAAGGGGAAGAGCAGGCAATGACGGCTAGGGGTCTTTTCCACCTCCAGTCCCCTGAGGGCCATCAGGGTTCTTGGGCTTCCATGCTTGACCCACCAAGAAAGGGCCTCCGAGACTCAAGTTCTTCTGCCTTAGGGCCCAGGAGCAGCGAGAGAGTGAGGTCCAGGACAGGGAGTGTCTGGGAAGAGGAAGGCCACAGGCTTGAAGGGCCTAGGAACCCCCAGCCCCTTTCAAGGCTGCGGTTTGATGCCACAGGAAGGCCACGGTCAGGTCAGAGACACCCCAGCCCTGACTGTGGGTCCGTGCCTGCTGTGCTCACCAACCTGGGAGGACAGAAGAGGCCAGCACTGACCTGCCCTCACCCCTAGCTCGGGGGCTGGCTGCATCCCAGAGCCGTCCCATTGCCCACAGGCTAGTGGGTAGTTTGGGGCAGTGGCCCTGCTGGGTCTCCAGCCCATGTGGCTGGGGGAAGGGGAGTGCTTGCTGAGGAGGAGGAGAATGCAGGAGCTGGGAGGCCTGAGCCCTGAGGGTCCCCGTCTGGTACATGACCTTTCTGAGCCTGACATCCACAAACCCAGTGGGATCCTCCTTTGGCCAGCACCTCCTCCTGCAGGAAGCCCCCTGACCATTCCCTTCTTCCATTCGGCTTTCCCCCAGAGACTTTGGGGGTGGCACAGGGGGTTCCCGAGGCCCTCAAGGCACCACTCAGGGGCTGAGGGTATGTAGGGTGTCCCCAGAAGTCTGCCCCTGCTGACCTCTTCTAGCATAGAGACTGGCTCTTCTGTCCCGGCCGCCCCTCGTGCCACCAGCAGCTCCACCCCACCCATCCACCACATTCTCAAACATTCACGGCCTGACTCGGAGGCAGCAAGAACAAAAGCACAAACACAACGCGAAGGGAATGGACTTATCTGCTGCGGCATCTTGGACATTCTTCTTCTGGACTTTAGAAACGCTGCCTGGAGGCAGTTTCTCTTGGACTGCATTCAATGTTTCCGCAGGAGAAGGGGAGCAAGTGGGGCGGAGTGACTGCATCCTTTGGGTACTGGCATGGGACAAGGTGGGTGCCCGAGAGCCCTGGAGCACAGATGTCTGTGCACGGCTCTGTGCACCAGCCCAGGTGCAGGGTGTCCACAGTGCAAGAGCCCACAAGCACACAACCACAATAGGTGTTCGCACACGAGCCCAGGATGTGTGGTGCCTGCAGGCATGTGCCCAGGACCCAAGGTGTCCACAAACGTACCCATGCCCTTCACATGGACTCAGACACAGGGTGTCCACGATGCAAGCATCCACGCACGTGCCCATGCCACATGCACACAACCATGAAGGGTGTCCATACACAAGCCCCGGACACATGGTGCTTGCAGGCATGCGCCTGGGACCTTTGGTTTTCACGAACGCGTCCATGCTCTTCACATGGACTCAGATGCAGGGTGCTATGACACACGTGTCCATGCACACGCCCGTGAAGCAGAGTGTCCATACATGAGCCCAGAGACATGATGCCTGCAGGCATGTGCCCAGTACACATGGGGTGCACCCACACCCATGCATGGCACCTCCTGCCACTGTTTTCAGAGTCCACAGCTGTAAACACACACATAGATCCCTTTTCTCTGCTCACAGACCAGGTGGGAGCACATGCTTGTGCTCACAGTCATATGGCAGACAGGTTGGAGAGCACACACTCACACCTGTCCAGGGGCCCACACAAGCAACCTCCGTGACACATCTACCCCCAGGCTTAGAGGGTGGGAGGCCTTCCGGGCTTATGGAGGGGGATGGGGCACAGGGGCTGGGGCTGAGGCCAGGCTGCTGCAGGACCGTGCCCCTAGACGCTGGGTAGGCTGGTGACTCAGGGTTAGCATGGCAGCCAGAGTCATCTACCCTTCCACTCACCCATCATGCTGTCAGCCAGGACAGTAGCATTCCTGTTGCCACCGGATGGCCCATCAACAGCATGGAGACACGGGGTCATCCCCTGGACTTGCTGCCATGCTCTCTGTGAGGAAAAAATTCCTCATGATGCGTGTTAACGTCAGTGAGGAAGACTGCACCAAGGCACATCACGTGGGTGTGGGCCCCTGCCTTGGGGCCTTGGGGGAGATGGGGCTGAACCCCGACACAGCAGGGCAGTGGGTGGGGAAGCCGAGGAGCAGCATGGGGTCGGTGTGTGGGAATGACTGAGAGGAGACAGCAGGGCTGAGGGGGGTCTGGCTAAACCCACCTCACAGGGTCCTTGCTGCAGGCAGGCAGGGTGATCAGACATCACCTGGGGACAGTGGAGGATAAGGGACCCCATCGGATGTCATTGAGGGTGAGCAGATATCCAGGGTGTGGGGTTCTGCCTAAAAGGACTAAGTCAGGTTCTTTATAAAATTGGACCATGTAAGCCAGGTGCAGTGGCTCATGCCTATAATCCCAGCACTTTGGGAGGCTGAGGCAAGAGGATCTCTTGAGGCCAGGATGGCGAGACCAGGCTGGGCAACATAGCAAGACCCCATCTCTACAAAAATGAGAATAAAAATGAGCCATCAGACACAACTACGGAAGTGCAAAGGTCAGTCCTGGAGGCGGCGAGTTGGCAGTAGCCTGAGGGTAGGACTTGCGTCTCCCTGTGTACCTGCCGCCTCCAAGTTCAGATGCACTGGCCGTTCTCGCTGGGGCCATGAGCCAGGCAGCACCCGGGGCCCGGCACCCCAGGCCTGGACTCCTGGGCCTCTGCTCGCTCCAGTTTCCGGCACCTTTCCCAGGAGGGGCTCTGGGTGAGTGCTGGCCCTGTAGGTCCCTCGGCCTGTCGGGAGAGCCACTCAGGACAGCGGCTTCAGGCCCCCAGGCACTCTCAGCTCAGGAGGCCCGGCCTGGTTTCCTGCATTCCAGCAGAGGGCCAGATCTGACAGGCCAGCATTCCTCTCGCAGAGCATGCCCGGGGCGGCCACTCAGCACCAGGCCCCGCTGGGAGTCTCACTGGGCAAAGGCACCCAGCATCCAGCTGCCTCCCCTGCAGGACCCCAGGAGCATGGCCTGGGCTGCCAGGTGGCCTTGGAAGAGCACAAAGAGCTGTTTGTCTTCAGGCTCGGGTGAGGAGGAAGGGCCTGCCAGGAGGCTGGAGTCAGACTCTGACTCCTTCTGACACCACGGCTCCCTCTTCCCAGCAGCTTCAGCTGGTGCCTCCCCTCTCTCAGCCTCAGCTTCCCCACTGCCATCCATCCGCTCAGTCAGTTTTTCCCAGAGTGGTCACTCATGGACTCTGTTATGCGGCAGGGGCTCGAGCCTCCGCCCTGCCCGGGAGGGGCCCACAGTCAGGAGGGAACGCGGGCAGGCAGCCGTGGGTGAGGCCCAGGACAGAGGATCCAGGGAGCTCTCAGCATCCAGAGCTGCAGTCAGGGAAGGGGAGCCAGGTGAGGGGACCTCTGAGATGGGCTTTGCAGTGTGACTAAGAGTTCACAAAGAGAAGCGTGTTCCCTGCCGGAGTGTGGTCCTCAGGGGCCTGTGGTTCCAGGTTCCCATGATTAAAGCCTGTGCCCAGGAGAGATGAGCAGGGACAGGGTGAGGGCAGATGGGCCAGGAGGCTTCCACAGGGTAGAAGCTTTGGTTACAATGCCCTTTCCTCTTCCTGCAAAGCAGTGGCCCATGGGCCAGCCCTCCCACACCCCCGTACCTGCCAGGCTTCGCAACAGCCCACAGGGACACACAGAGCCCCTGCCCAGTATCTCAGCTCCTGTCCCCAGGCATCCCAGTGCATGGAGGCTTCAAGAGGCAGAAGCCCTGTGTTTGGGAGCAGGCCTGCTGGGGACCACTAAGGGTCAGGGTCCCTCATAAGACTTTGGGGGCAGCCTCGGAGGCCCAGGCCACTCAAACATGGGAGCCAGGCTGGTGGACAGGGCCACAGCCCCACCCAGAGTCCCCCAGCACTGGGCTTGGGCCCCCGCTTCCTCCAGGGGAGACCACGTGGGTGACTGAGTCCCACTTGTCCCCTCCAGCTCCTCCCCTGCCCCATGGGTCCTCCCTCACCCCTCACAGCCTCAGTGTCCTTATCCGGGAGATGAGCTGCCAGCCCCTCACATACAGGCTGCAAACCATCTGCCACACTGCGGGAAATCTCTATTTCCTGGGTTCTGCAGTGTGGGGATGAGAGCAGGGAGACAGGACAAAGAGGAGGGGCCCTGAGACTGGCTCTCAGCCCTTGGTGCAGGCCACAGCTGGATTGGGGTATGGGGCTCAGGCCCAGTACTCTGTATCCAGCTGACACCCACAGGACATTCTTGTAGCCTCCCCAGCAATGGGGAGCTCCCACCTCCAGGGACAGCCCATGGCTCTGGGGTCACCATCCCACAAGTCAGCTCTGCCCAAGATGGTGGCCACCGGCTCCTGGCTGGTGATGGGCCTGAGGTGGAAACAGGGCTGTCTCCTCCCTCCAGGCTGAATGGCTCTGGACCTGGCTGTTTCCAGGGATAGAGCCCCGTTGCCTGGCTCAGCCAGCCTCATGGTTGTCTAGAGAATGCATGGATGAATGAACGAATGATTGACCAAACAAATGAATGAATAAATTAATGATTAACTGAACAAATGAGTGAATAAATGAACTAGTGATTAATCAAACAAATGAGTGAATGAACTAATGATTTACTCAACAAATTAATGAATGAATAAACTAATGATTGGACAAATGAACAAAGAAATGAATGGATAAATGCACAAACAAGTGACTGAACTGATTGGATGAATGAACAAAGGAATCAATGAGTGAACAAATGATTGAACAAAGGAATGAATGAATGAATGAATGAATGAACTAGTGATTAATCAAACAAATGCATGAATGAACTAATGATTTACTGGACAAATTAATAAATGAATGAACATATGATTGAACAAAGGAACAAATGAATTGATAAATGAACTAAGGAGAAAATGAGTGAATGGCTGAATGAATGAACAAACGAATGGCACCCGGCCAGTGAGGAGTGAATGCATTTGTCCCTTCAGCAGATATCTGACCACCAGGGTCAGCGGTGCTAACAGGCCAGGGCCCAGCTCAAGCCCCCGTTTCCTTTTCTGAGGAGTATCCCCAGGGTCTCATCCTCCCAGTGATTCAAGGCCCCTGCCTGTGGCCCAGTCCCCCAGCCAGCACTAGGAGGGTCCCACCTGCCTCCTTCAGCCATAGCCCCCATGTACACCCATGGGTCTCCTCCCTCACCTCTCGACTCTGAGGTGGGTGGCAGGAGGTAAGAGAGCTGACCACCACCGGCCCAGGGATCTCACACATTGTAAAAAAAAAAAAAAAAAAAAAAGGTGCCTCAGTTTCCCCACCCCATTGCCCTCCTTTGGAATTTCTATGAAGCATACGTGGGGTGGTGCACACTTGGCACACACGGACGGACACACACACAGTCACACAGCCACACACAGACCAGGAAGTCACACACAGAACCTTGAAACCTCACATGAGACCACTGAGAATCCCATGGCAGAGGACGCCCTGCCTGTGGGCAGCCCACGCACTGACAGCTTCCTGGGGCCCACAGTGAACAAGGCCCAGGCCCCTAGGCAGACACACGCAACGAGAGGATGGACAGGTGGACAGAGGCAGAGGAAGGAGTGGATCCCTGGACGGCTGCCTGGCGAGTCAGGCAGGTGGTGTGGGTGGGGTGGGGGTCATAGTGGGAGGTGGGTGGATGAATCCTGGGAAGTTGATGGGACTGGTTTCTACCATGGGGGACACCACAAAGCTCCAAGCTTGGCTCGGGAGGCTGGGCACAGAAGCCCATCCTTGTCCCAGCTCTGCAGACCCCACTGTCCTTGCCAGCCCCACCCTCTGCACCTCCCAGTCCCTTCAGATATTTCAGTCCCCAGGTAAGTGCTTCTGTCTCCTGACACAGGTGCTCCTGCACACACACGTTCTCATGCAGCACACTCAAGCGCAGGCTTAGGCACACAGGCCACCTCTCACAGCTAACATAGGTCAAGTGACAGTGGGCCAGGGGGTGCAGGTGGGAGAGCCGGAGAGGGGGGTCTCAGAGAACCACAGGGGAGTGGCCAGAGCAGGGGGAGGGACCAGGATGAGAGGAAGGGATGGGGTAGCTCCAACAGGCGTATGACAGCAGGGTCACAGGCTGTACCCACCCTGCCTGGCCGCTGACACAGGGGGCCAGACAGGGGGCACAGGGCAGAAGTGCAGGGCACTGGGCCAGGCTGAGGACCTTCTGCTGCCCTCGGGAGAGCTACCCCCCGCCAGCCCCTGGGTGACAGGCCCTCCCCTAGATGCCACTGGTTCACCCCTGCCCTCCCCAAAGTCACGTCCTAGGCACCCCTGCCCTCTGTCCCCTCTTCTTCCCTTGCAAAGTGGCAGGTGCAGGTGCTCACGCCAGGCTCGGCAGCCCCCAGTCTGCTTTGCGGCTCTCTCTTTCAGTCTGTCTCTCTGTTTCTGTCTCTCTGTCTTACCTCTCTGCCACTCTCTGTCTCCCTCTGTCTCTGTCTCTCTGCTTCCCCCCTCTGTCTCTATCTTCCCCTCTGTCTCTCAATCTCTCTCTCTCTGTCTCCCTCCATCTTTCTCCGTCTCTCTCCTTTCCTCTCCCTATCTCTTCCTCTCCCTGTCTCTGTCTGTCTCCCGGCATGTCCCTCCCGCTAGTGTCTATGTTCAGCTGTTTTCCTCTGGCTGTGTGAGGGCAGTGGTGGGTGCAGGGGCGTCCCATGCTGCTCTGCTGTTGGAAGTTCCTTCATCCAGGGCGGAGAATGTGCTTGGGCCAGGGGTAGGAGGCGGGGCGCAGGCGGCCTGCAGTCCCACAGGAACTCGTGCAAGGAAAACTCTCTGAAGCTGCAGGGCCCACGCACCCACCTTGGCTGTGGGACGGAGAGAAGCCCCTCCGGGGTACAACTCCGCCAGACGGCCCAGCCTGAACCTCTTTTCCACGCACTTCCCCAACTTCCACAGCCTCCCCACAGCCCTAGGTCACTGGCCTATGCCCCACCATGCTGGGACCAGACCCCGGAACGCCTCCCACCTGAAAATGGCCTTGAAACACATGACTCCGTCACAGTCACAACAGACTGCAGGCAGGGCACCAGCCTAGTGCCACAGCCCACCAACAGCGTGCGGCCAGACCAGAGCACAGGCCCACAGACCCACAGGAGCCATGCTCAGTGTCCCTCCCTCAGTGTCAGCCCACAGAGGCTGGTGGCCATGGAAGCAGGAGAGACAGGACAGTGAGATAGACACATAGGGACAGACAATATCAGTGTCCCGTCTCCACAGGGTCCCCATGTCCTTGAGGTGACCTGGGCCACATGTCCCCTCAGTGTTCTGTCTTTCTACAGTGTCCCCATGTCCACGGGGAGGGGGGGGGGAAGTGGGCCACACATCCCCTCCACATCCCATCCCTCCACAGCATTCCTATGTCTACAGGGGGACCTGGGCCATGCGTCCCCTCCACGTCCCATCCCTCCACGACATTCCCGTGTCCATGGCGGGACCTGGGCCACATGTCCTCTCCACATCCCGTCCTTCCACAGCATTCCCATGTCCACAGGGGGACCTGGGCCACACGTCTCCTCCACATCCCGTCCCTCCATGGCATTCCCGTGTCCATGGGGGGACCTGGGCCACATGTCCCCTCCACGTCCTGTCTCTCCACAGCACTCCCATATCAATGCAGGGACCTGGGCCACGTGTCCCTTCCAGGTCCTGTCCTGTCCGTGTCCTGTGCTCCTGCCTTTGGGGCTGTAACTTTCAATTTCTTGGCCCAGTTCCAGGCTTGTCAACAGCCTCTGGCAGTCAGGAATTGGACATTCTCAGAAGAGTATCAGGCATGGTGCCCATTGGGTCTGTGCAGTTATGTTGTGCCAACTGTTTGCTTTTCCCGCCATGTAGGCTCATTCTTGTGTAAAAGATTCCCAATTGCACAAGAACCTGGCTGGTCTTTAGGGCTGGGTAACTGGGAGTAGGAGGGCCCCAGCCTTTTCTTTTGGGCCTTTGAATTGATAGAAGCTCAGGGTCCATCGGGAGGGATCTCCTAGTGACCTTGGAGCCCACAGACCCCAGCAGAGACCCCCCCGCCCCACCAGCCCTCCTGGTTACCTCCCCGGCCCAAAAGGTCCATCGGGGACTGGCCCTGGGAGTCAAGGATGCTGCGATACCTCCCCCTGCAGAGCTCCCCTTCCTAGGGAGCCTGGACCAGACCCAGCCTCTCCCAAGCCCTTGGCCAGCCCTCCAGCCCTGATCCAGTGGAGCTTGACGTCATGAATTCAGCAGCATTTCCATGAGTACCCCTCCTCCCCTGTCCCAGCGACCGTGCTAGACCAAGCAGTCTGTGGGGCTGTCTGGCCTCCTCCTTGGCTGTACCCAGGGTACATCAGGCCTCCTGTCCACACCAAGCCCCTGCTGGGGACAGGCACTGGGACCTTCCAGGCAGCCCACCGGGCCTCAAAAAGCCCCTCTCCCATGGGCATCATCCTTGAAGGCACCTGGCCCAGGATAGACACGTTGTCTCTGAGAGTGGCACCTAGGCCTGGGCAGGCAATCCCGGGAAGCTGCCTGGAGGAGGAGGTGGCACACTTGAGTCATTTGTGATGGGAGTTCCACCTGCACGTGAGAAGGCCAGGAGGGTCCAGGCAGAGTTCCTGGGCCTGGACAGCATGTGGGCCATAGGCAAGGCAGGGACACTGGCCTCAGGGGTCGGAACATTGTCAGGGGAACAGATGGAGGGGCAGACTTGGGGCAGGTGACCGCCCGAGGAAACTGAAGTCCAGCCCTAGGTCCAGGTAGTAGGGAGAAGGTGGGTAGGGACAAGACAATGGGGACAAGCCTCACGGTGGAGAAGCTCGGGAGGAGGGTGGGGGTGCCCATGACAGAGCCCCAGGATGGGCTCCTGCGAGGGCACAGCTCCACCCCCCGCCCCCCAGGCTGAGCCCACTTCCCATCTCCAGCATCCCCAGGGATGGGAGAGGAGACTCCAGGTGGGAAGAAACCCCTGATCTGAGGCTGCTCCTAGGGGAAGAGGGATGGCTTACCCTGACCCCTGATGGCCAGGCCAGGCCAGGCAGGTCTCTGTCTCTCTATGTCTGTGTGTCTGTCTCTACCTCTGCCTCTCTTTGTTTCATTCTCTCTCTGTCTGTCTCTGTCTTTCTGACTTTGTGTCTGTCTCTGTCTTACTCACTGTCTGTGAGTGTGTGTGTGTGTGTGTGTGTGTGTGTGTGTGTCTCTGTGTGTGTTGCTGGGTCTCCCTGGTGGCCTGGGGAGGTCCTGCGGGTGGTGTGGCCTGGTTGAGCCTAGTCAGCCGTGGGGAGGGGCCTCTCCTGCTGGCCCCGGCCTCCTGGGCCTTTGTCTCCCTACCCGTGCATTGAGGAAAAGAGTCATCGGTCTGGGATAACAACCTCCTGCCGTCCAGAGGCTGGGGGCCCAGAGCCACATGTACAGGCCAGGACAGTGGGCAGACGGCTCCATCCTGGAACTCTCAAGACAGCAGGGGGTGGGGCTGACCAGGGAGGGAGGCGGCTTCACATTGCCTGGAACACCCAACCTGAAAGAGCAACTGCTCCCCAAGCCGAGACCAGGGTACCAGGGGCCAGGCAGGGCTCGGGAACCCAGGACACGCCAGCCTGGCCTGTCCTGTGGCGCCGCCAGACCCCCATGCCTGGGCTGCCTCAGTGCTCCTGCCATCCTCTCCTCCAGTCCCACTGTGGGCACCAGTGGGGCGGGGATGCCTGATCGTGAGCAAGGAGGGGCTCCCCAAACCCTAGGCTGAGGCTGGGGGCTCTAAGGAGACCCGAGACAGTGTGGGGCAGTGGGGGGACTGGGCAACTGGCATATCCCCACATCCTACAGCTCCAAGGAAGACCTGTCCTTCCCGCAGCCCTTGAAATTCGAGCCTAAGAGAATCTAGAGCCAGGGCCTGGCCTCTGCTCCCAGCCAGGCACTAGGCACTGCAAACCCCAGGGTGGGACCCTGACCACCTCACAGACCTACCCCACACACAGCTGGCTCTGGAGCCCCACCTGGGCCGTTCACAGACTAGCCAGGCCCCGGATGGTGGCTGGAGACGGGCGCCCCTCCTCCCACACAGCCAGACCCCTCAGCCAAGAAGGTGCAGCCCCACGGGCACCACAGGGCACCCCTTGCCCAAAGGCCTCCAGGTGGAAAGGAAGCCAACACCTCATGGCAGGAGAGGAGGCCACGCCTGCCTGGGGTGTGGGGGATGCAGCCCCACCCTGGGGTCTTGGAAACACGGCCCTACCCTCGGGTCTGGGGGAAGTGGCACCACCCTGGGGTCTTAGGGATGTGGCCCCACCCTGGGGTCTGAGGGACACAGCCTCACTCTGGGGTCTGGGGGACATGGCCCTACCCTGTGGTCCGGGGGATGTGACCCTACCCTAGGGTCTGGGAAATGTGGCCCTACCCTGGGGTCTGGGGGACATGGCACTGCCCTGGGGTCTTAGGGATGTGGCCCCCCTGGGGTCTGGGGGACACAGCTTCACCCTCGGGTCTGGGGGACATGGCTCAGGGGATGTGGCCCCACTCTGAGGTCTGGGGGACACAGCCCTGCCTTGGGGTCTGGGGGATGTGGCCCCGCCCGGAGGCCTGGGGTACACAGCCTTACCCTGGGATCTGGGGGACATGGCCCCGCCCTGGGGTCTGGGGGACGTGACCCTACCCTGGGGTCTGGGGGATGTGGGCCCGCTCAGGGGCCTGGGGTACACAGCCTCACCCTGGGGTCTGAAGGATGTAGCCCTACCTTGGTTCTGGAGACACAGCTGTGATCACAGGGCTGGCAGCTCCCAGAGACCTAGTTGAACCCAACCTTGGCTCTGCCCTGGTCCTCTCTGGGCTGTGACCTGGGCATGTCAGGTGGAGGGGTGGCCAGAAGCGCACAGCGGGCCAGGCGGGCCATTCCCCATTCCTGCTAGAGCATGCCCAGCCGAGCTCCAGTCTAGACCCAGCTGTTCATGAACCCTCTGCCAAGGCCATGTAGCCCTGTGACATCCCGGCTCCCAGCTGCAGTCTTTCCCAGCCTGTCATGGGGACAAGGCAGTTGGGCCCTCCCTGACCAGGCAGGCCTCGTGGGACCCCCAGCCCTGCCCTGGGTCTGCCAAGGGGACTTTGTGCTCTGGGTGCAGACGGGGCGGGGGTGTGCATCCCCACCATGCCACTGGGGCTTGGCACTCGGCCAGTCACCCTTGGCTGGGGGCAGCGGGAGCCAGGGCAGCAGGAGGTTAGCCGGGTGTCAACGAGGCGATCTCCTGGGGTCAGTGGGCACCAGCTGAGGGCAACATCTCCATGGGATCCCGGGTGGCGGGCATGTTCCCTGGAAGGTTCGCTGTGGCTCCTGTCTGTGCCTGAGCTCCCAAGAGCATCTGGCCCTCGCATTCCATCAGGGGAATAAGAGGGCAGCTCTCACACGGCCCCAGCCCTGGACTGGGGAGGGTCATTGTCCCCTAAGCCTGGAGGTGCTGTTCATGGTGGGTGGCTCTGCAGATGCCCCTGTCCGGCCGGGTGGGCAGCCACCCTTCCTGCTGTGAGCCTCAGGCACAGTGCCCACAGCCAGCCCTTCTGTGGGGACCGCAGCCAGAGGCCCAGGAGTGGGGCACAGTCCCTGGTAGCTCCTGGACCACTCAACATGGGGTGAGAGGCCCACAAAGCCCCGTCATCTTCACACACAAGGCTGCAGGAACTAGTCTAGGGGCCTGGGCACCCCTCAGGGTCACTCCAAAAGCGCCCTGGCTCCAGTCTCTGTGTACCTGGGAACCTCAGTGCTCCTCCTGGGCTCTGCTCCCTCCTAGGCTCGAAACTGCCAGGGCACCCAGGCCCCTCCTCCTAGGATCCCTGCCCCCGGGCAGCCCCTGCCTCACCTCTCCCTTCAGGGCCATCCCTGGGAGGGGTTCACCCAGCAGCCCCTGGACAGAAGGAGTGGGCCTACTGTCTTCTTTCGTTCATGTGGCATCTGAGCATGCATTGAGCCACATGCGTTGGCCAGTGTGGAAAAGGAGCTGAGAGGCCAAGTCAGGATGGGGTCTCTGGGCCCCCGCCATGCCAGCAGGGTTCCAGCCTCCTCCCAACCCCATGGTTGCAGATTGGTGGGGGCCTTGAGGAACCAGCGTTTCCCAGCTCCCCAGTTCAAGTCACACACTTCGCAGAGATCAGCCCCGCTTCCTCTGGGAGGGCAGTGAGGACTCCTGGGAATAGCCTGGCCCACCCCCACCCCAGGCCACAAGGTCCCAGATGCCCCCATAAAACGTTCAAGACCTCCATGTGGGCCTGGGTTTCATATGTTTGTCCCCGATATGTAGGCCTTGTTATTTGGCACTGAGGACGCCCCTGGGGCTCCATAAATGTCACTGGCCGCAGACATTCGGTGCCTATTTCCACCGTTCAGCGCTGGCCACCCTGCCCAGGCCCTCGCTGTGGGCCAGGTCGGGGGACAGCTTGTTCCTCCTTCCCACTTGCGGTGTGATTCCAAGAGCTCTAGGCCTCTCTGGGCCTTCAGGTGGGCCCTGTGGAAAAAGCTCTGCTCCCAGCTGGCCAGGCCCAAGCTGAATGCCCCTGGAGGGACCCACGCCCACGTTGGAGGCAGGAGACTCCAGCATTGGAAGTACAGGATCCAAATGCCTGGGGGTCTCCAGCTGCCCATAAAGGAGTCACAGTGACACCTTCTGGCTCCATGCCCGCTTCCCTGGGGAAGGGCCCTGTGGCCAGCATGGTGGGCACTGCCTGCCTGCCCTGGCCAAGCTGCACAGGGGACCCACGCCCAGGGAAGCCCTGTCCACGCCACGGACAGAGGGGCAGGGCCTGACCCAGCACTGCCCCTGGAGGCTCCCAGGGGACTGAAGCTGGAGGAGCCTGGTCTCCATTGCTAGCCACAGAAGAGTCCACACCTCCAGCTCCCGCATTAACCGAGGCCGAGCAGACGGAAGGGAGGGGAGCCGCCAACTCCCAGTGCTAGAACTCCAAGTCCTGCCTGGGCATGGGCTGCCAAGCCTCCCACTGCAGTGGGTCCCTTAGGAGGCACTCAGCTTAGCAGCTCACTGGGTTTCCCGTCCCTGTGGCCTGGCCCTGTCACCATTCTTTAGCCCCAAGGTCCTCCTGGCAACTCAGGTCCCTCACACTGGCTCCATACAGTGCCTCCCTGCCTTCCTGGCCTCTGCGCACCCTACCCACCACCCTCCTCCTCCCTCCTCCTACTCCCTCCCTCTCCCTACTCCCTCCTCCTCCCACCATCCCCCTCCTCCCTCCTCCTACTCCATCCTCCTACTCCCTCCCTCCTCCTCCTACTCCCTCCTCCCTCCCTCCTCCTCCCTCCTCCTCCCACCCTCTCCCTCCTCCCTCCCTCCTCCTACTCCCTCCTCCTCTCACCTCTTCCCACCCTCCTCCTCCTCCCTCCTCCTGCTCCATCCTTCTACTCCCTCCTCCTCCCTCCCTCCTCCTACTCCCTCATCCCTTCCCCCTCCCTCCTTCTACTCCCTTCTCCCTCCTCCTACTCCCTCCTCCCTTCCTGCTCCTCCCTCTCCCTTCCTTCTTCCTCCCTTTCTCTCCCTCCCTCCCACTCTCCTTCCTCCTTTCCTGTTCCTGCCTCTCCCTCTCCCTTCCTTCTTATTCCTCCCTTTCTCTCCCTCCCTCCCACTCTCCTTCCTCCTTTCCTGTTCCTGCCTCTCCCTCCCTCCTCCTTTTTTCCTCCTCCCTCCCTCTTCCTCATCCTCCTTCCTTGTTACTCCTCCCTCCCTCTCCCTTTCCCTTCTGCTTCTCCCTTGCCTCCCTCCCTCCTCCTACTTTCTTCCCTCTCCCCTCCCGCTCTCTCCCTCCCTCCTAGAGGCTGCTGTCTTCTGCTGCTGTCCTGAGCAGCACAAGACATAACCAGGCCCATGCCCATTTGTCTTTTCACAATGGCAGGCTGTTACTGATGCTATTTCAATTATAAAAGCCACGAGCTGCAAGGAGTTCCCCGGGAGGCAGTGCTCCTTAGTACTTCCCGTTCACCGGGTTGTCAGGGCCGGAACCCAGGCTCAAGCCACTGCACAGGGCAGTAGTTACTGCATACCTCGCATCAAAGCACACTTAAGCCACGTGTAATCGTATAGATTAAGCATTCCACAACCAAGTGACACCTAACAGCAAGAGAAAAGGGATAGGAAAAGGGGTCAACGATCTGGTCCAAGGAGAGCCACATGGACAAGGAGCATCCTAGCCTGACCCTAACGGATGTCAGCATCTTGCAAAGAAGAGGCCTTGATATGGGCAGAGATTTGGTCTGCGGATGCTGAATCTGACCATGAGTGATAGCAGGATGGCGTCTGTTATGATGGCCGCCTCGAGCTGGTGAAGCCCTGCTCTTTTTATGGCCACAGAGTCCTTGGTGAGGACGGATGGTAAACAGCGTGCCTGGCTACGCCCTTATCTGGTGGGGGACAGCCTCTGGATTAGGCGAACGTCTGGTCCCTGCTGGCCTGATGCCCTCTCAAGTGGAGGAAGGAGTCTTTTCCTAAGAGGGAGTGACTATGTGGAGAGTGCTCTGCACACCTGTGCAGCTTGTCCCATGCCCCACCCATGCCCAAGCAAACCATGCCAGCCTCCACACCCGCATGCCAGGCCTGTCTTAGTGACCCTGGCACCTGGACTCCCAGCCAGGCCGAGAGAAGCCCACTCCTCCCAGCCCCTCACCAAGGGGCTGCCTCACCCACAGCCCACAGCCGCCTCACCAAGGGTGGCCCACAGCCGCCTCACCAAGGGTGGCACCCTGCAGGTCCCTAGGCCTCCTTCTAGATGTGGCTGACACCTGTTCTGCCACCTTGGGGGCCACTGGCTCAGAGTTACAGGGACATCAAGGCTGCGCTGGCTGTGTGGGGGCCCCTGCCACTCTGAGTAGACAGGGATTTAATGTGTGGGCCAAGTGCTTAGAAAGTCCCCAAGGGCTGGGCACAGTGGCTCATGCCTGTAATCCCAGCATTTTGGGATGCTGACGCAGGAGGATTGCTTGAGCCCAGGAGTTCAAGAACAGCTTGGACAACATAGTGAGACCCCCGTCTCTACAGAAAATCAAAAATTAACTAGGTGCGGTGGCACATGCCTGTCGTCCCATCTACTTGGTAGGCTGAAGTGGGAGGATTGCTTGAGCCCAGGAGTTTGAGGCTGCAGGGAGCTGTGATTACATCACAGCACTCCAGCCTGAGTGACAGAATGAGGCCCTGTCTCTAAAAAATTAAATGAATAAAACAACAGGACCTACGACCATGCCATGGGCCCCTACACTTAAAGAATAAACGGTGTTCTAACTGTACTACAAGGGTTTTCTTTTTCTCCAGCAGCTAAAGAAGCACTGGCCTCCAGCTAAGCAACGTCAAGACAACTGCAGCTTACCCAGCTCACAGAGGCTGACTCTCCAACCCCCTGCTCCACCAGCCACGACAGCAGCGTTCACTGGACCAGGACACTGACTTCAGGAGCTTTCTCCTGGTGAGAGACCACGACCGTGGGCTGGTCCTGGCCAGTTTACAGAGGCTGTGCACTTGAGCCCCTTTGAGTCCTGGAAAGACCTAATTGGAATACATCTACATGTGAAGCCTCCACCCCAAGGTAAGCATGAGTCACATGTCACATGCATGTGTGTTCCACGAACATGTGTGAGGGCCACCCTCATGGATCTCCATAGACCTCCTGTAGCCTGTGGAATATGTGTGTTTGGCCCCTGGACTGCACACCCTTCTCCATTCTCTGCCTCCTCCCAACCAGCTCCTCCTCACGGTCTGTGCTGCTCCTGCACGGCTCCCCAGAAGCTGATCTGGCCACACACAGGCTGGCCAATGACCTCGAAGGCCCAGTCCACCTGCCGAGTTCTTCCTTCATCATGCTCACCGTCAGTCCCCTCGTCCACAGCCTCTTCCACCGTTAGAATGACTTTCAGAAAACCAAAACTAAACAGTATTGATTGTGTCATGTATTTGTAAAAATCAAGCAAAATATAAATGCACCATGAGAGTAAAACACGACCCCAGATTCCTTCCCTGAGAAGTAAACTGTGCTAATCCTATGTGACATTTAATCCAGGCCTCCCTCGTGCATTCTATAGGATCCTGGGGTTAACATACAGGCCAAGAGAATTACAGTTTATTTAATTATAGGTCTACCTTAAATGAACAGTGTTGACTGGAAATATGTTCTTTAAATTATGGGAAGGAAGGAATGAGAAAGAAGGAAAGAGGAAAAAAGAAAAAAGGAAGAAGGGAGGGGGAAAAGAAGAGAAAGAGAGGAAGAAATAAAAGAAAGAAAAGAAAACAGAGGTGGGGGAAGGAATGATGGAGAAAAAGAAAATATGAAAGGAAAAATGAAAAAAAAGAAGGAAGGGAGGGAAGGAAAAAGAAAACAAGAACGAAAAAAGAGAAAGAAGAAAGAAGGGAGAGGAGGGAGTGAGGAGGGGAGGGAGAAGGGAAGAAGGAAGGGAGGAGGGGAGGAAGGAGGGAAGGAGGGGAGGGAGGAGGGAAGGAGGGGAGGAAGGAGGGGAGGGAGTAAGGGAGGAAGGAGGGAAGGAAGGAGGGGAAGAGGTAAGGGAGGAAGGAGGGGAGGAGGGAAGGAAGGAGGGGAGGAGGGAAGGAAGGAGGGGAGGAAAGGGGAGAAAGGAAGGAAGGGAGGAGGGGAGGGAGGAGGCAGGAGGGGAGGGAGGAGGGAAGGAGGGGAGGAAGAGGGGAGGAAGGAAGGAAGGAGGGAAGGAAGGAGGGGAGGAGGAGGCAGGAGGGGAGGGAGGAGGGAAGGAAGAAGGGGAGGAAGGAGGGGAGAAAGGAGGGAAGGAATGAAGGGAGGAGGGGAGGGAGGAGGAAGGAAGGAGGGAGGGAAGGCAGGCAAGTGAGGAGATTATCTGGAAAGATCACTGAGGGACCCTGAGGTAAATCTTTAACATGTCAGATATGTGTTGTTAAACAATCCTTCTTCTGGCTGGGGGCGGTGGCTCATGCCTGTAATCCTAGCACTTTGGGAGGCCAAGGCGGGTGGATCACGAGGTCAGGAGTTCAAGGCCAGCCTGGCCAACACAGTGAAACTCCGCCTCTACTAAAAATATAAAAACTAGTCGGGCGTGGTGGTGGGTGCCTGTAATCTCAGCTACTCGGCAGGCTGGGGCAAGAGAATTGCTTCAACCCGGAAGGTGGAGGTTGCAGTGAGCCAAGATCACACCACTGCACTCCAGCCTGGGTGACAGAGCAAGACTCCGTCTTGGGGGTAAAAAAAAGCTTCTTCCATTAAAATAAATGGGAGGATAGGAGCTGAGACAGAAGCCTTTCAGCCCGTGCTGCAGGCAGCCCCAGCCCCAGGCATCATTGCGGTGGGAGACTGTGACGCTGAGAGGTTTCTGCTCTGTTCCTCCAGGGTTCAGGCCTCGGAGGATGGTAAGTGGGCTCCCCTCAGCCCAGCCTCCTCCCTAGATGTCTCCATGTCGAGGTCTTTATTTTTATCTTAACACAAGGACCTGCTTTGTTTTGTTTTGTTTTGCACAGAGACTCACACAGGCTGGCTGTCAGGCCATGGCTATCCCTGCCTCTCTGCCTCCCTGCCCTGGCTGCAGGGCCAGCCCTGCTGCAGCTGCCGCCTGATTCCCTTCCTCACCACCCAGGGGAGCTGCTCCTTGGGACCTCCAGAATTCCTCTCCTCGGTTTGTGCCCAAGCACACCCTCAAATCGTTGACTGGAAGAGATGTGAGGGTGGTGAACTTTGCTGGAATTTGCCTGCCTGAAACTGTCTTTATTCTAGTTTTTTAAAAGCAAGCTTGGCTAGGCGTGGACTTCTAGGTTGCAAATGACCCTTGCTACGAGTTTGCAAGGGGCCGCTGCATTTCAGCCCAGCATCCCTGCCGCAGGCCTGATACTCCAGGCTTGATGTGCACATCAGTTAGGAATGACTTGGGTGGCAGATGACAGAAAACAGCCAACTCTAGCTTAAACAAACACACTTTCATTTGTTTTAAATCTCACACACAACAAAAGCTAGGATTTGGCCTGGCGTGGTGGCTCATGCCTGTAATCCCAGCACTTTGGGAGGTTCAGATGGGAGGCTCACTTGAGCCCAGGTGTTTGAGATCAGCCTGGGTAACGTGGTACGACCCAGTCTCTACCAAAAATACAAAAATAAGCTGGGCATGGTGGCACCTGCTGTCTTTATAAAACTCATATAAAGCTGGCGCCTATGGTCCCAGCTACTCGGGAGGCTGAGGTGGGAGAATAGCTTGAACCTAGGAGGTTGAGGCTGCAGTGAGCCGAGCTCTCACCACTGCACTCCAGCCTGGGCGACAGAGTCAGACCCTGTCTCAAAAAACAAAACAAAACAAAACAAAACTAGGGTTCATGCGAGAGCACCATGAGGTCACTGGAGCCTTTTCTATTTTTGCTCTGTCTTCCTTAATGGGTCGCTTCCTTACTCATGATCTCAAGACGGTTGCGGTGACTCCACCATCACATCCTGTGTCCTATGCAGGAAATGGGTGCAAGGGAAAAGATATGCTGAGCAAAATGGGCATGCTTTCAGCAAAGCTTTGCCTGCTTGCTGGAGAAGAGACCTTCTCGCTGTAGGAATTTATCATGACATCTCATCGTCCAAAAGGGTGTCAAGTGCCCACCATAGATTCTCCTACAGCCAAAGAAAAGCTGACCTATTTTTTTTCTCACTAGATTTCTTGGGCTTTATATTTCCAATTTTTATTGAAAATAATTACTTCACTGGCCATATTTTTGTTTTCAGTAGTTTACTTTTTTGTTTTATTGTTCCTTTTTCATAGATGATTTTCTTTTTCTTCTTCTTTTTCTTTTTAGACAGATTTCACTCATGTTGCCCAAGCTGGAGTGCAATGGCATGATGTCGGCTCACCACAACCTCCACCTCCCAGGTTCAAGTGATTCTCCTACCTCAGCCTCCCAAGTAGCTGGGATTACAGGCATGCACCACCATGCCTGACTAATTTTGTATTTGTAGTAGAGATGGGGTTTCTACATGTTGGTCAGGCTGGTCGCAAACTCCCAACCTCAGGTGATCCACCCGCCTCAGCCTCCCAAAGTGCTGGGATTACAGGCGTGAGCCACTGCGCCCAGCAGATGATTTTCTTTCTTTTCTCCTTCCTTCCTTCCTTCCTTTTCTTTTCTTCCCTTCTTCCCTTTTTTGAGACAGAGTAGTGGCATGATCTTGGCTCACTGCAACCTCAACCTCCTGGGTTCAAGCGATTCTTCCACCTCAGCCTCCCAAGTGGCTGGGACTAGCTGCGCCCACCACCTATAATTTTTAAAAAATTGTTGTGCAGAGAAAGGGTCTTGCTATGTTGCCCAGGCTGGTCTTGAACTCCCGGACTCAAGCGATCCTCTGGCCTCAGTCTCCCAAAGTGCTGTGATTACAGGTGTGAGCCACTGCCCTAGGTGGTATTTTTTTCCCCAGGTCTTCCTAATGATACTTATTAGAGTTTATTTAAAACTCTTGTCTGTGACCTGGATTATTTCTGTTTCTTTCAGCATCATTTTTTGGTCTGTCTCCCTGGAGCACTCACATTGATTCTGTGGACACATAAATCAGACCACATCTCACTTCTGCCTCAAACCTCTGACATCCAGAAAGCAAGGAAGTCCTCAGAGACTCAAAGAATCACAATGGCACTGCATTGAAACACACTGAATTTGAAAGAAGGAAGGACCCATGCATCTTTAGCAATACTAAAAAACAAACACAAATAAGGGAGGGAGAGTTTTCTTTCCTGAATAATGACATCTCATCAGTGTAGCAGGGGAAACGGAATGAGAAAGCTGGAAGTGCTGATGTCAGGACTGAAACAGGAGCATCCGTGGGGCCCAGGAGAATCGCCGTTCAAGGGCAGCTAACTCTTTACCTACCGAAGCAGACAGTCCCCAAAGACGAGGCATGGCCTTGATTGGAGCCTGGATCCGGGAAAAACACAAAAAGCAAGAGCAGCTCAAAGGAACACCACGGGAGGGAGGATAGGGCAGGACAGTGCAAACGCTGTGGGCCCCAGCCCATCCCGTCACGCTGTCACATGTGAAAGGAGAATGCCGATTCACGTACGGTACCAGATGCCTCCAACTTCCTCTCTAAGGGGCCAAAAAGCAAAAAGACATGCATCTTGTTTTTAGAGACAGAAGAGAAGAGAGATCAAATGACTACAGCTCATCCTGGAATAACGTGGGGGTTAGGGGCACCAGCCCCCATGCAGTTGAAAATCCCCACATAAGTTTTGACTTCCCTGGAACTGAACTGCTAACAGCCTCCTGCTGACTGGAAGCCTTGAGGAGAATATGAACAGGTGATTAGCACGCATTCTGCATTATCTGTGTCACATACTGTGTTCGCACAATACAGCAAGCTAGAGTCTAGAAACGTTAGTGGGAAAATCCCAAGGAAGAGAAAACATAGTTCCTCTTCCCTGCATTGAATGGATCCTCCTAAACGCCTTTGTCCTCCCGGTCTTCAAGCTGCAAGGCTGAGGAGGAGGAGGGAGGGGACTTGGCCTCACTGTCTCAGAGGTGGCAGAGGCAGGAGAAAATCTGCATGTAAGGGGCCCACACAGGGCAAATCCATGTTATTCAAGGGCCAGCTGTAAATGTGAGCAGTTGGTGAATCCTGGTGCAGGATGCTGGGCGCCATGGCAGACCCTCAGGCATCCCGTGACCCCTGTGTCCCAGGTTCCTGCCCTGACCTGCTTCCTGCCCAGCAGAGCAGAGCAGCGGTGCACCCTCCCCACCCCTTTTGGCAGCTCCGCAGACTTCAAGGCCCCTCCTTCCAGCATACTCTCTCCATCACCCCCGCCTTGGGAAGTGGAGGAAGCCGCCCCTCAGAGAGGCCCTCATGGCAGGTTGCTGAGGATGGCCTCGGGAGGACAGCTCCCAAGGACCCAGGCCCTCCTTCTGACAGGGCATGGTGCCTGGAAGCAGAACCTGCCCCAGGCGAGCCTCAGATGAGACCCTGGCCCTGGCTGACACATCAAGAGACCCCGGGTCTGAGGCCCCAGTCCCCCGAAATGGGTGCTGATAAGCCTGTGTGGGTGAAAACCCATGCACGTGCACTCATCTGCCACCCAGCCCTGGACAGACCCAGGGTGCCTGTGAGAGCCACTGCTCCCTTCCACAGCTTAGGACTTGCTGCAGAAGGCAGGGAGGACTGGCTGCAGAGCTAAGGCCACCCCTGGAGGCCTGGCCTGGGCCACGCCCCACCCCAGCCTCTTCCCCTGTCTCTCCCCTCCTCTCCCTCCTCCTCTTTTAACTCCCCTCCTCCATCCTCTCCTCTCTCTCCTCTCCCCTCCTCCTTTCCCCTCCCTCCCTGCTGGGGAGGCCTCTGGCTGGTAAGCACAGCGGGAGCCCCCAGCTGTTGCCATGGATGTGGGCCCAACACAAACACAGGATGCTAGGCTCCTCTGCCAGCCCTGGACCCCCCACCTCCAGTCTGGCCCTGCGCAGGGTTGGGTGGGCAGATGAGGTCATTGCCATGGGAGCCCCCTCTGCAGGGCTGCAGGGGGAGTGTTTATTTGGTCTTGTTTCCCTGGCAATCTGCTGGACCCCTGCTCCACTCCGTCCACCATCCACGGGGGCGTTCCAGCAAAGCCGGCCAGCCAGGCCCCGCTGCCCTTGGTGCCTACGCCAGCCCCTCCACCTGGCCTGGCCAGCCCCACAGCAGACCCCTGCCCAGAATCCCAGGCTATCAGGCAGGGGCTGCCTCCTAAGGGGTGGATAGGGAAACTAAGGCCCTGGAGCCTGGCAGAGGCAGGACCAGGCACAGCCAGGACTCTGGTCCCCAGCCTAGGCCCTCTGCAGCCCCCAGGAGTGGCCTGCTCTTTCCCGATCAGCCCCCTGGGCCTGGCTGACCCAAGGTCACCTCCAGGGAGGTGACAGCTCTGCCCAGCATCCGCTCCTCCTGGGCCAGCCAGTTGCTGTATGCACTGGGCAGTGGGCAGGGAGGGGCTTCCGAGGAGCACAGAGGCTGCAGAGAGAGTGAGCCCAGTGGGGCTTAGAGGAGCAGGGGCTCTAGTACACGTCAGGGGAACTAAGAAGACAGGCAGCATGGTCCGGGGACGAGATGCAGGATGGGTCAAGGCCACCCCCTTGTGAACATCCACCCCTGGCCCCAGGATGAGGCCCACCTACATGAAAAGGCCCCAGGAATAGAGTGTGCAGGCAGAGAAGGTGAACCCCTGGGACCCCAGGCCCCAATGCAGGGGCTGTGGCCTGTGTAGCCAGGTGGGGCAGGGAGTGAGTCTGAGCCTCCCACACCTCCAGACTCCTGCACCCCGGGGCCTCCTGGGCCACCTCCTTCTACCCTGACAGCAGCTGCCTGCCTCAGGAGCTGGCCCCAGAGCACCTACAGTGTGCAGCCTGGGCCAGACCCCATGGAGGCAGTGAGGACATCATCCTGGGGTCCCTAGCAGTTCCCAAGGTCCATGACACAGGAAGGGCAACACAGGACCCCACCACAGTCTGTCTGGGCTCTGGGGCGCCAGACTCATTCTTTGCACCCTCCCCTCCTCCTCCTCGTCCTTCCTCTTCCCTCGTCTCCTTCACCTCCTCCCCTACTCCTTCTCCCACCCTTCCCCCTCCTCCTCTCCAGCTTCTCCCTCCGTCTCTGAAGTCAGCCTGGAAGGCCAGGCAGGATCCCACTCAAACCTTCCTGCTGCACACCCCGGGCCCTTCTGAGACATTACCTAACCGCGCCTTCTTACCTAATCCCCTAGCCATCCCCTGCCGCTGCCTGGAGGGGAGCCAGATGCCTGCCACCGCCCCAGCCGCCTGGGCCCCACCAGCCTGGGCTCAAGCCTGGGCTTGCCTCTGGCCACCTGTGTGTCCTGGGCCTGTCTCCCACCTGCGAATGGCACCAGAGACCGCTCGGCTAAAGTAGCTCCATGCCCTCTGGGCCCTGCTTTCCTCACCCCCGCAAGCCAAGATGGGGATGCCCTGTTGTCCGGAAACTGCTCAGGAGCATCTGACCCGTGCTCGAGCAGGTGAGGAAGCACCTCGTGGATTCCAAGGTGTCTCCACCCACCTGGTGGATGTCGTTGGACAGGGTGGGCCCAGGGCCAGTGGGAGCTTGTCAGCTGGAGACCAGAGTGGGGGTAGGGGCCAGGCCTCAATCACCCAGGAAAGTCGAGGTAGGAGGCTAGAAAGGAGATGAGCTATGGCTCAGCACACACCTTCAGCACACACCTACAGCACTCAAGCACATGTGTGCATGCAGAGAGAGACGCATGACACAGACACATGGACATGTGCATGCATGTGCATGTACCCACATGGACACATGCACCTGTGTGCAGAGACACACAACACAGACTCATGGACACATGTATGCACACATATGAATGTAGCTGCATGAATCCAGCCACACATATGCACACATACATGCACTCACACATGTAGACAGATACACGGACCCAGCCATACATACATACGAGACACACACAGACACAGATGCATAGGCCTAGCCATATACATGGATGCATGCAGACACACAAAAGATACACATATGTATGCACATGCATGCACAGACACCAATGCATGGAACCAGCCACATGCACGCAGACACACTCGAGACACACATGCACATACAGACACAAATGCATGGAGTTAGCCACATATATGCATGCACACATGTGGACACATGCACAGACCCAGCCACATGTATGCATGGAGACACATGCACAACACACACACATATGCATGCTCACATGTGGACAACACAAACCCAGCCACACACACATGCATGCTTGCATATAAATGCACACAGACATGTGGACACATACAACACACATGCACACGTACACAATACCTGCAGACACAGATGCACTGACATGCAGACCCACACGAATCCAACCTCACACATACACATGTGCAGATGCAGACCAGACACACAGAGCATCCACCATACACAGGGAACCCTAGCCCACACAACTGGACCCAGGACAAAGGGGGAGGGTTGGCTGTGCACAGTGGCCTGTCCAGCCAGTCCACCCACCAGCGACTTGTCTCCTCAGCAGCCTGGCCCCCGCCTGCCTGTCGCCTGCACCCGGATTGAATTCAGCTATGGTTTCACTGCTGTCACTCAGAAGAATGGTCTCATTCAGGCCACCTGCTCCCTGGCTGGACAGCTCACATCCCCCTCCCGCCTGGGCACAGAGGCCCAAGCCCCTGACCACCCTGCCCTGCACAGGCCTGTCCCTCCAGGCAGAGCTATCCAGTGTGGCTTCACCCGGCAGTGGCCAGAGGCTGAGGGCCAGGGGCCGGCACCAGGAAGCCCCCACCGGCCTCTTAGTAGGAGCTGTGGCCATGGGTCTGGAAAGGAAGCCTGGACTGTTCCCATCAGGGAGATAATCCCACATTCCTCAGTGGGCAGCCCCTCCCTCCCCGGTGCTGTGGTGGGCGTGGACCTGGATGTCTGGGAGGGCACAGACCAGACGCGAGGTGGCAGGAGAGGGGCAGGCAGGGTCTGGAAGGGCGAGTGAGGGGTTTCCTGCAGGGCATGTTGCAGTGGTGGGGGACCCACAATGTGGGCTCAGAAGGGTGATGGAGGTGAGAGGAAGGTGAGGACTGTGGGCTGGGAACTGGCTTCGAGTCAGGGAGGTGAGGGGCTATGCCCAGAAGACCCCACATGCAGGGCAGGGGGATGATGAGGCCCTGCTTGTGACCCAGCAAGAGAGTGAGGGGCCTCCTTCAGCAAGAGGCTGTGGGCAGGAGTGGGATGGAGCTAGGTGTCTGAGAAGACGGGGCTGGACAGGGCTTCCTGTGGCACCCCAGGCTCTCCAGCCTGGACATGGGAAGCACAGAGACTAGGGTCAGCTGGGGCCATACACGCAGCCTGGAGATGCCTGCCCAACAAAGGTGCCAAATGTGGCTGGGAGATGGGGCTTCTCCCCCAGGGTTCCTTCTTAAGTCCTCCTCCTCCCAACGGTCCTCCTCTTCCTCAGGGCTGTCCTCCTCAGGTCCTCCTTCTTCCCAGGGCCCTCCTCCTCCCCAGGTCCTCCTCTTCTTCAGGGCTGTCCTCATCAAGTCCTCCTTCTTCCCAGGGCCCTCCTCCTCTCCAGGGCCCTCCTCTTCCCCAGGGCCCTCCTCCTCCCGAGGGCCCTCCTCTTCCACAGGGTCCTCCTCCTCCCCAAGTCCTCTTCCCAAGGGCCCTTCTCCTCCCCAGGTCCTCCTCTTTCCCCAGGCCCTCCTCCCCAGGGTCCTCCTCCTCTCCAGGGTCCTCCTCCTCCTGAGGGTGCTCCTTCTCCCCAGGGCCCTCCTCCTGTCCAGGTTCCTCCTCCTCCCCAGGGTCCTCCTTCGTGGATACCCCTTCTCCCCAAAACCTCCCCCTTCCTCCTCCTCCCTGGTCCCTCCTCCCAATTTCTCCTCCTTCCCAGGCATACCTCCCCGAGCCCACCTCCTCTCCAACCCTCTTTCTTGTCCTCCTCTTCGCAGAGGCCAACTCCTAGGCCTCCTCCTCAGGCCCTCCTCCTCGTCCCAGGCCTACAGAAGCCCCTGTGAAGGCAGCAGACTGAGATGAGGCTATAATTTAAAATACATTTATTTAATGTTTCCATTTGTTTCTGGTTCTGTGACACAAAGCTGTTAAATAAATACATTCTCCACAGTCCCTCTGGGACGGGCCACACAGATGAGGTAGAGAAATCATTGCACGCACGGAGACTCGGAGCACAGACAGGGCCCCTCCCACCCACCCACACCTGGCCAGAAGCCACCTGGGGGTCCAGGTCCCTCAAGGCAGGGCCTGGTGCAGAGAAGGTGGCTGGGATCCCCTGGCCAAGGAGCGGGCTGAACCCCTCCCAACAGCCCTTTCTCCTCTACTGCCCCTCAGAAGAGAAGCGCATGAAACAGGAGGCTCCGGCTGAGCGGCCTCTTCATCCAGCAAGACATTCGAATATGTATTTGTATAGAAACCAACTAGCTAGCAGACATTTTTGGTCTGCCTTGTTTAAAAAAATAGTTTTCTGAATATTTATGACATAGAGCTAAATGTGGTATTTGATTAAAAATAAAAACCTTCCTCTGACTTGACGCCCTTCATAGACCCAATAGTGACTGAGTGACAGTCTTGTCATGTCATGAGGGTGTGGCCAGCTATGCTGCTCAGGGACCAGTGGATGCGGACACTGCAGAGGGCAGGGGCTACCACCCCCACCCCTTCTAGCCAGGCTTCACCAGACAAAGGACAAACCCAGCGTCTTGCACCCACACTGTGGTACGGGGATGCAGCTGCAGGCACATGTCGGGGTGCTCTCTGAACCACAGGAGAATAAAGGTTCTTATGTACTATAACACAGGGACGGCAGAGACCCACAGCAACATAAATAGGTTTTCTTTTAAAAACACAGACACCCCGGCTTTCTGGAGACCCTTAGGGCTCTGAGACACCTATTCACTCAGTAGTTCCTGTATCCATACCAGCAACCCGCCCAGAACCCAGCCCACAGCCATCAGGACACCCACAAGACGGAGCCCAGGGCGAGAGGCTCTGGGAACCTAAGGCACCGCCATGCCACTGACAGCACAGCACAGCCAAGCTGACCATGCCAGTATACACACACACACACACACACACACACACACACACACAGACCATGCCAGCATGCATTTATACAACACACGCTTACACACATTGACCACGCCAGCACACACGCACTCACAACACTCACAACATACGCACACGTATGCACACTGACCACGCCAGCACACACACTCTCACAACACACACACACACTACACCCTCAAACCAAGCCAGGTCAGTGCAGGTCACCCTGTCCCCAGCACACACAACAGCAGGGCCATAAAGCATGGCGTTCCATGGCCAGATGCGAGCCCAAGACTGCCTCCACCGGCATCTGTCCCAATCTGTCCCCCAGTGACACAAAGCAAGCAGCTTCCTCATGACATGACATGAACCAATCAAAGGGCTGCCCTGCCCCCTCACCATGCCCGCCCCTCTCCACCACCCCCAGCTCGAGAATCTGCACTGAGCTGCCTGGAGGCCGGGCGTCTGCCCACAGGGTGCAGGGCAGGGGCCGCCGGCTGGCCCACCACGTGGCAGTGGCTGGCTGGCATGGGGCTGGGGGAGCTGGCTTCCAGAAGCCCCAAGGGCTGTGGCCAGACGCAGCTCACTGTATTTCCTTAACTACACACATCTATCTCGATTTAGTGGTTTCAAACAACTAAGCAGATCAGAGGCAGGGTTAGGAGGGAATATGTCAGGGACGGAAGGCGGGGCCCTCCCAGACTGGGGCTTGGCCGAGAGCGGGGAGCTGCAGCCGGGGAGGTGGCAGGGATGGAGAAAATAATAATTATTATATTAGTTAAATAATCATAATAATTTAAAAGTCACTGATATTTACTCCAAAGAGAAGTGCTCAACGTCAGAGGTCGGCAGTGTCCCCCCGAGCCTGGGCACCCGCACGGCCGGGCCCTGGGAGTGCAGAACAGGCTGCGTCCTCTTCTAGTGGTTTGAGTCTCTGAAGACAGTGCTGGTGTTGGGGCAGCCTGGGCCAGGCCAGTCCCCAACGGGTGGCCCACACGGAGGCCGCATGGTCACCAAGGTGCACCTGCCACCCATGCCTCAGAGGAGGTGGGGAGGGAAAGCCAATGGACTGGCATGGGGAGCCGCTTCCCAGGGACTGGTGTGTTAGGGATGGGAGAAAGCTCAGAAAGCATTGGTGCAATGCTCTCGGGTCAGAGGGAGGAAGCTGAGGCCCAGGGCACAAGCAGAGAGGTTGCATACGCCAGACCAGAGCCAACCCCCGCCTCTGGGTCCTGGAGAGGGGGAGATACAGGGCTTGGACAGCCAACCCAGAGGACCCCCGGCACCCTGCTCCAGCTGTACGCCCCGACGTGCTAGAAAAGCCTCTCAGTCCTTGCAGGTGTAGACCCCTCATACTGCATGCATGGCCCTCACCCTGCACAGCAGGGTTGGCCAGGCCCGGGGACTCGTCCCTTGCAGGTGTAGACCTTCTCACACCATGTGCAATGCCTGCACTCTGAGCAGCAGGGCTGACTGGGCCCAGGGCCTCAGCCCTTGCAGGTGTACACTCCTCACACCGTGTGCAATGCCTGTGCCATGTGCAGCAGGGCTGACTGGGCCCAGGGATTCAGCCTTGGCAGGTGTAGGCCCATTCATGCTCTGTGCAATGCCTGCACCCCATGCAGCTAGGACTGAGCCCAGGGACTCACCCCACGCTGCTAGGTCTGAGCCCAGGGACTCAGCCCATGCAGGTGTAGACCCATTCACACTGTGTGCAATGCCTGTACCCCACGCAGCTGGGCTGGTCGAGCCCAGGAACTCAGCCTGTGCAGGTGTAGACCCTTCACACCGTGTGCAATGCCTGCACCCTGTGCAGCAGGGCTGGCAGGGCCTGGGAACTCAGCCCTTGCAGGTGTAGACCTCCTCACGCTGCGTGCACTGCCTGCACTCCACATAGCAGCACCAACGCACCTGGCACTGGCAGGGCCTTGTCACCACCCGGCTCTGTGTGTTATGGCCGCGGCCACAGCAGATGCTCTCGCAGTTCTTCTCACGGTGGCACCTACGGCCAGCGGTGCCCGGGGAGAAGCGGCCAGCCAGGCAGAAGCTAGGCGAGTCATCCAGGTGCACCAGCTCTGGAGTGCGGGGCAGCGGGTCGCTGCCACCTGCCCCCGAGGCACGGCCCCGTGGTGGGGAGATGGCACCTGCCTCGCCGGCAGCTTCATTGGTGGTGCTGCCCACCTTGAGTGCCGTCTCATACTTGTGCTTCAGATGCTTGCCCACCTCATGGAAAGGCGCCAACTGCCGCCAGCAGGTCCGCACCGTGCATGAGCCTGACACGCCGTGGCACTTGCAGGTGGTCTCCACCCCAGCCTTGATCACCTGGCAGAAGGGTGCGGGAGGGAGGGCAGTGTGAGGGCTGTGCAGGTGGGCCCAGTGAGCAGACCCTGCCCTGGACCCCCAGAGGGACCCCACACCCCCACCCAGGCCCAGGCCCTGCCGGCGGGCGTCACCACTGCACATCTCACATCCAGCTCAGTCTCCCGGCTCGTAGCATTGTCCTACCTCCTCCAGGCTGCCGACTGCCCAAGACAGAGGCTCCAGGGCCGGCACCTCAGCCCCTGGGGTGGCCACCCTGGCATCTCCACAATGGGAGGCTCCTGCCTGATGTCCACCCTGCGTCAGGGGCTGCCCTCAGCAGGGGCTAGACCTTCTGCCCCCATTCCCATAATCCCAGTCCTGCCGGGACTTCACATCTGCTCTCAGCACACAGCTTGCTGGACAGGTGAGGACAAACATGACCTCATCTAGTGGTGTATGTCTGAGCTGACCGCAACCTCCCTACCCCTAATATCGGGAACCAGGTGCTACCGCACATGCAGACGCGACCCCCAACCCACCGGTGCTGAGGGTCAGCCTGCTGGGGGGCCAGTGAAGGCACCACAGGAGCAGGGAGGCCCACGCTGCAGGGGAGAGGGGCTCCTGGGGAAGAGAGAGCTCCTTATACTGCAGGAGAGTGTCCAGGCTGGCCCCAGAGGGGGGTGCACCCCTCACCCTCAGCAGGGAGGGCCAGGCACCCACAATCCATACTGGGGGCTGCCACAGAAGCCTGGCTGGGCCTGTCCCCTCCCAGGACTTAGGGCCCCACCTGCAAAGACAGGCCTGGTGGGGAGGTCCCTTCCCAGGTGGGACCCGAGCCAGGCGGCTCTGCTCCCACGCCAGCAGCCCCCAGGAGGGCCGGCTCAAGGAGGATTAAGAAATCCAGCCACCTCTGGCCCGGCAACCGAAGAGTCACATTTAATGATGCTTTGCAGAGAAACCCGGACCAATTTAATTAAAATGTCGCTGACCCAGGCTCTGTGGAGCTAATGGAGCACCTTCATGTTCCGACTTCTCATTAATCTCTTACAAAGCGGCGAAGAGGGGAAGGGGGGTCATACACAAAGGAAAAGAAAGGGCCTTGCTTAGGGCTTGAATCTGCCTTCGAAGGCTCTCCCCTGCCCAAGAAGGCGGAAGGAGGCACAAGAGACCCAAACAGGGGAGGTTGATCCTTTAGTAAGTTGGTGATTGGGTACTCTGACTTCTCAATCAAGTGGGGCTCACAGCAGGGCCGGCTCTATTTACCTTACCCCTCCCCAGGCTGGGGCTCTACATTCCCAGCCTGCCTGGCAAATGTGAAGATGAAGGCAGGAGGGAGAAATGCCCCTCAGCTTCCAATAGAGGTGTCAACCCTGCCCATCCCTGTTCAGGAACTGCAGAGATGCTGGGGGCTCTGTGCAGAGTGGGGTTACAGGTCCAGCCCGGACTCCCCCAGACATGTGGACCTGGGCACTGACAGGCTGCAGGTAGCATGAAGGATGACCAGAGAGCCAGGGTCACCCCGGGTCAGCCACCCCAACAGCCAGTGGCCCCTGGAAGGGCTCAGGAGAGAGAGTCCTTTTATCTCGAAGTCTTTAGGTTGGGATTCTGTCTCTCAGAACAGACGCCTGGCCACGGAGAGGGCTGGTGGGGCAGAAAGAGACTCCCCTGACTTGGGTGAGTGGGTTCCGTACCCCTAACCCTTCCCTGGGATCCCCTGCCCACCATGCCTCCCACCTTGGTCTGTGGGGGGCACATCTTCCTCCCACCGGTCTTCGTGACAAGCCTGCCAGCTGGCTGACAGGTGGGGCCCACAGTGCCATGATACTGGTTAGACTGCCTAACCAAGGACACCCTCCTGGTGGCCCCACAGGGACCGTGGGGGCCCCTCTGCAGGCAGACATGGGGTACCCCTCTAGAGAGAACCTGAGATACCTCTCCATGGCTAGTGCCCCGTTTGGTGGGTAGGGAGCCTTATGGGCACGAGAGGCTCCAGGACCATGACTGGCGCTGCACGGCCTCCACCCTCCTACAGGAGGCCACTCCACTGTGTGCCTGCCTGCCCTGCTGCAGCCCCGCCCCCAGTCCCACGCCCCACCCCCAACCCCCTGACGCTCTTTCTGACCCTCCCTTCCCACCCCGCCAGCCCCACCCCACTTGCCTTCACACCCACGAGGTTGTTGTGGAAGTCCACACGGGCTCGCAGATCCTTGCTTGACCGTCTGCCCAGGAATTCCTTGACGAACTTGCTGCTGTACTTAAGGTTGTCTCCGCAGCCCCCCCACTGCCAGGCCTCACGGTTCTCCAGGTCGGGTGCCTCATCGCAGGTACAGCGCTCCATGCGGCCCGCGCTGCACGCCTTGGCCAGTGCGTGCGTCAGGCCAGCCGAGGAGATGGCATAGAGGAAGGCAGTCTCCTTGAAGCCTGGGGTTGGCAAGGGCCGATCAGTGAGCCCAGGCTGCCCAGAGTTCCCCCTTCACTGTCCTGCAGCCAAATCACCCCAAGAGTATGAATCCCATGTTGGGGCTCAGAGCATCTTTCCTGGTGCTGCACTCGGGACAGGGTGTGGGTGTGCCCTGGCCACCACAGGGTAGGAAACGCCTGGGTGTCCCAGGCGCAGGGCTGGCTGGGGGGAGAAACCAGAGCCCGCCATGGCCATGGCTCCGGCTCCGTGGTCACAGTCCCCATCAGGGTCTCGAACCTCCCAGCCTCACCATGGGGCCATTGGCAAGGCCTGCCTGGCCCTGGGCCTTGGGTCCCCAATTTTTAAACAAGCTCATGCAGTGCAGTGGCACACAGCTGCAGCCCCAGCTACTCCAGAAGCTGAAGTGAAAGGGTTGCTGAAATAGGCAGTGGAGAGCCCCTGGGAGGGGGCGGGAGGAGGCTGGGTGGGAGGGTGGCTGAAATAAGGCATCAGAGAGCCCTCATGAGGGTGGGAGGGGCAGGAAGAGAGTCTGCACAGGCATAGCCCACTGGGCACTGGGCCACCTGGCATGAGCCGAGGGCTGTCGGGGCAGCCCCGGGTAGCCTGGGGCCCCGTCAAAGGCCGAGTCAGCATGCCCTGGCCACCAGCAACGACTGTGCGTGTGCCTAAAGCAAGGCAGGGCAGGCAGCACTCAGGGAGGTCCCGGGGCTGCCCTTTCCAGGGCCTAGGCCCAGGAGCTCTGGGCAGGCTGGGCCCGGCGTCCCCAGGAGCGCAGCCTAAGAGGGGCCTCTTGGGATATGGACAAGGCCTGGGCTGCCACCTGTCTGGGGCCTTCCTGAGGGCCAGGCCGGCCACACTCACCTCGCTTGAGCAGGCTGGCCCGGTAGCGGCCCTCCAGCGTGCAGTTCCAGCGCTCAAAGCGGAACTGGAACTGGCACTCGAGCGCACTCATGCTCACGGCCTCCACCAGCGTCTCTGCCACGCCCGGGTCCCGGCGGCACATGCGCCGCTGCTTCCGCTCCAGCTTCAGCCGGTCGCAGGCCTTGTAGTGCGCCTGGGCAGCCGCCTCTGGCTCCAGGGTCAGCGGGAGGATGGTCAGGGGCTCGCTGCCCGTCAGCCTGGGCACAGAGAGGCCAGCATGAGCCCGGCCCCAGGAAGCCCTGCTGGAGCCTGGCCAGGTGTCTCGGTGGCCAGGGTACAGGGGACAGGCGTGTCCATCCGGGGGTGAGGGGGCAGAAAGAATCCAGGATGAGCCAGGCAGGGGAGAGGGAGGCGAGAAGGGCCTTGGCCCCCTGCACACCCATGGCCCCCACTCCAGCGAGCATGGTCTCAGTGACCACAGGGCTGTCTCTGCTGCCGACTCGACCCCCACAGTTTCAGGGAGTCTAGCTGACTCTGGCTGCACTGGACAGATAAGACCCCCACAACACACACAACATACGCAAGAGGACAGCCCCGCCTAGGGCTGTGGGCAGGGAGGAGGCTCCGGAGCCTGAATCCCAAACTATGCCTGATGGGCGTCTGCCACATCCTCCACCCTCTTTGGCCCCAGCTGACCCGCAGGATCCCGCCTGAGGTCCCCCTACCCTCTGCCATGACCTGCTGGGATGTCTACAGTCCTGTGGCCCCCTGCAGCTTCCCAGCACTCCTGCAGTCTACGCATATGTCCCCAGGTTCCAGCTGGGGTCTCCCCACCTCAGTGCCTGGGTGTGGCACTGGGAAGCAGCTCTTGGTTCTCTGACACTCTACCCCTCTCACCTCACCAAATCTGGACATCCTCCTTTGCAGGACAGACCCCAGCTAACCCATCCCCATAGGCCACCCCTGGGGGCCTCTGAGCTGATGAACACCACCCTCCATCTTTACACGAGGCCTTGCACCAGTACCCAGCACTGAGGACGCATCCCCAACCTCAACTGCTCCAGGAACCCGGCTCCACCCCACTGGGTGCCCCCTCCCCCCAGCTGGCTGCTGGCTCACCTGCTGCTGCTGCTGGGCTCACTTCACAAGGCTTCCCTCACACCCCGCCCTGGCCCAGCCCAGCCCATATCGAGTCAAGAGCCCTCAACCCCAAACCCTGACCCCGACCCCATGTCACCTGTCTATCCTGGGACTGACCGAGCATGCTCTGCAGCTCTGTGTCAGACCTGCCAGCCCAGTGTCCCCACATGGGTGGACTGAATGTCAGGGGCCCCAGGCACGGCCACCTCAAGCCAGACTCAGCCCTCCAGCCCTTAGGAGGGCACCCACCTGGACAGGGCCAGGGCTTGGAGGCCCCTCCTGAAAGCATCACTGGACACATGACGACCAACCCACCCCCAGCAGAGAACGGCAGACTCAGGATGTGCTGGGAGCCACCGGGGTGCCAGCTTGGGAAGGCTCCCCCCACACCCTCACATGGCCCTGCTAGACCCTGCCACCCACCCCGAGGGAGTAGCTCCTGCCCAACGGTATGGAGGGGAGGGGCCCAAGAGGCTCCCTAGCATACCCCATCAAAGGCAAGGCCACATAGGTAACCCCAAGGCTACTGAGGGGCACCTGCCTCCAGGGCCACAGGCGCAGGCCACAGAAGGAGCAGGTAGTGGCCCCAGGAAGGATCCCACAGCCCCTCCACAGGAGCCACCCACCTGGTGGTCATGCTGAGATACCCTGCCCGGCCAAGCTGACGTCCTGCCCCCTAAGCTGCGGTCTGCTTCTTCAGGATGCTCAGAGCCAGCCCGAGCACCCATGAGCCCTCGGAGTTGAGCCAGAGTTGCAGAAGGACCTGCAACGGCCCCCATCAGTCAGTGAACCACCAAGAGGTGCTGCAGAGGGGGTCTTCACTTAGGGAGGCCATGCCCAGGATTCAGGACACACACCCATGTGCCAGGCTGCCAGGGAGTGGGTAGAGGAGGAGCCCAAGGGCCCTTCTAGCAAATCCCCAAGGTCCCAGAGGCACGGGCCCCATGCAGCACAATGGGCCCCATGGGGAGGACAGGAGGGACCAGCCAGTCCTCTGAGCCTGGACACTGCCGTGGGCTGAGGTTGGAAGAGGCCGCCTGGGTGAGGGAAGGAAGGGCAGTGCAGGCAGGTCCCCTCAAATGCCCTGGGGGTCAGGACAGGAGCACAGGGCGGCACTGTGGGCATCCATGCACAGACACCTCCAAGCCCCAGGGCTAGGGATGGGATGTCCCAGGACATCTGGGCACACAGAGCACGGCTAGGGCGGGAGGCAGGCGGGGGAGTAAGGCCAGGAGAGCCGCACCTCACACACAAGGGCAGCTTGCAGGTGGAGACCTCCATCCCCAGACGGAACGCCACAGCTGTGACCAGAACAGCCCTCAGGAAGACGACAGCCTCCCACCTGTGCCTCCCCAGGCCTGGACCCGCCAGGACCCACGAGCCCCAAGCCACTGTCCCAGAAAACCCCTATGACCAGGCCAGCATGGGCCCTCCACAAGCTGCAAAACCCAACTGTGGGTGTGGACAGGGGACAGGGGGAGGGGAGAGGGAGGGCACTAAGAAGAAGATGGGGAGGGGAAAAGGGGAGAGGAGGAGGGTAGGGGATGAGGGGACAAGGGGAGGAGGGTGAAGGGAAGAGGGCAGGGGAGGAGGAGGAGGGGGAGAAGCCCCATCTACCAGAGCCACCCCTCCCTCCCTGTCAAGGATATCAGCCTGCCCTGCCCTCTCCCTGTGACCCACCGCCTTGCCCACACTGGTCAGTGTGAGGCCCGAGCACGCCGGGGCACTGAGAGCTGGTTTGACGGTGACTAGCTGAGTCCTCCAGCCTTCCCTAGGGCACCCCTGAAGCATGCAGACAGCAGGGCAGCAAGTGTGGCTACACCTGGAGACTTGCCGGGCAGCTGCCCTCCCCTCTGGCCCCAGGACACCCCTCTATCAGAGGCAACTCCCTAAACGCAGCTACGGGTGACTGACCCTGATCCAAGGCCAGGCAGGGTGGGCAGGGTGGGCCGTTGGCACTGTCAGAAGGGTGTGGAGGGAGGGTTGCCCCAGCCTAGCAGTGGCAAGGGATGGCCTGAGGCCCAAAGGCTACGCCCTTCCCTGGAGTATTCACTGAATTCTGTGCTGCTCTGGCCATGGCCTTCTTAAGCTCCTGCCCCCTCACCTCTCCCACCCTGGGTAACCCCTGCCCCATGCCTCCTTCATTGTCAGGGTGGGCTCCACATGCAGCCAACTGAAGGGACTCACAGCCTCAGGGGGTGCAGGTCTGAGGATAAACAGGCAGACCACAGGCACCACAGGGCATGCTGGGGAACAGGATGGGCGATCTCAGAGCCTGGGCCCAGCAGAGGGGGCCCAGACCCTCCTGACAGGCAGGGCTTCCAGGTGGGGCTCTCTTTCTGCCACACGACAGAGCCACAGAAGGGCTGAAGAAGGGAGGAGTGGTTCCCAACACAACCTCAGAACAGAGAAGCTTTCTTCCGTGAGACTCAGAACTCAGAAGTCACTGAAAAGTGAATATATTTGACTACTTAAAAGTATAAAAATCTCTGCACAGCAAAGAACAAAAAAGAGGCAGCGCAGAGTCCAGAGACCAACAGACAAATTACATCTGGGGCAAATGCCTACAACTCACACCCCAGACCAGGGGCCGGCGCTGTGCACGTGTGTGTGTGTGTCTGGATGCATATCTCTTCCTATAAACCAATAACAAAGGAACCGACTGAAGACAGACAAAGGGTATAAACCTACAGGCCAAGGGAAGGAAACCAACTGGCTCTTCAAACCTGTGAGCCGACACTCAGCCCCACTCTAAGACATTCTGTGCCTTCCTTCCCAGCTGCTCCAGAGACCGTGACGGGAGGGTTGTTTGAGCCCAAGAACTGGAGACCAGCCCAGGCAACATAGCAAGACCCCATCTCAAGAAAAAAAACTATATTGATACATTATGCTTTGTTAATTAATAAGCACAAATCAAATGTCTGATGGGAATATCGTCAAGGACACGGGGAGACACTCTTCCACGGCTGGAATTCCAGACTGACATATCTAGGAAACTTTAAAAATAATCCACTGTAGTGGTCTGAATGTTTGTGTCTTCCCCAAATTCATATGGTCAAACCTAACACCATCAAAGTGGTAGCATTAGGAGGTGGGGCCTCTGGAAAGTGATTAGGCGATGAACAGGATTAGTGTCCTTACGGACCCCAGGCTGGGTGCGATGGCTCACGCATGTAAACCCAGAACTTTGGGAGGCCAAGGCGGGAGGATCACTCGAGGTCAGGAGTTCAAGACCAGCCTGGGCAACATAGTGAGACCTGGTCTCTATAAAATATTTAAAAATTAGCCAGGCGCAGTGGTGCATGCCTGTGGTCCCAGCTACTCAGGAGGCTGAGGCGGGGGAAACACTTGAGCTTGGGAGGTCAAGGCTGCAGTGAGCTGTGGTTAAAATAATAATAAAATAAAATATAAATAAATAAAAGGGACCCTAGAGAGACCCTTGCCTCTTCTGCCATGTGAGGACATGGTGAGAAGGCAATGTCTATGAACAAGGAAGTGACCTCACCAGACACAGAATCTGCCACACCTTGACCTTGGCCTTCCAGCCTCCAGAGCTGTGAGCAGCATACTTCTGTGTTTTATAAGCTCCCAGGCTGTGGTGTTTTGCCATAGCAGCCTGCGTAAACTAAGATGCCTGACAATTACAGATATAATCACATCTTTCTGGAAGCATAGCCTGCACGTGCATTGTACCTTCCCAGTATGCCATTCAACACAGCCTTGTTATAGGAACGTGCTGGAGACAGCAGGAGAGCAGCTGGGAACGTCGGATCCACACGCTCTGTGGCGTGTCACGTGGTCCATGAGCAGCCAGCCACCCTATGTGAATCCATGCCGAGTCGCGCCCCAGGTGTGCTCAGTGGACAAGCAGAGCCCAGGAGTGGGTGGATAAGCTCAGCAGGGGCTGCATGTGCATGCGCGTTTGTGGCTGCACCGGACCAAGCAAAGACCCAAAGATGGAGGAAGCACGTTCTTCCCCATACAGCTGTGAGTTGTGCCGGGGCACAGATGGCCTATCCAGAATCCATGGAACTCGCTCCACACTCAGCAAATGGCACAGGCCTGGGAGGTGGGGGTTGCAGTGAGCCACGGACACACCACCACACATCAGCCTGGGTGACAGACTGAGACCATCTAAAAACAAACTAACAAAAAAACCAGCCTGCATCACCCCGGTTTGCATAAAGGTGGCAGCCGCCATCCTGGTCTTGCTCTTCATCTTCAGAGGAATGCTTTCAACATTTCAGCATGAAGCCTGACGCCCAAACACCGTTTCCGGCCACAGAGGCGCCCTTTGGTTCTTAGTTTGCTAAGAACCTTTAAAAATCATAAATGAGGCCAGGCGCAGTGGCTCACGCCTGTAATCCCAATGCTTTGGGAGGCCAAGGTGGAAGGATCACTTAAGGTCAGGAGTTCGAGACCAGCCTGGCCAACATGGTGAAACCCTGTCTCTACTAAAAATATAAAAATTAGCTGGGCATGGAGGCATACGCCTGTAATCCCAGCTACTCGCTTGAACCCGGGAGGCAGAGGTTGCGATGAGCCGAGATCACGCTACTGCACTCTAGCCTGGGTGACAAGGGTGAGACTCCGTCTCAAAAAAAAAAAAAATGAATATTGAATGTTATCAAATGTCATCCCTACATCTTTTGAGGTATGACTCTTCTCTCATCTTCCTTCCTTCCTTCCTTCCTTTTTCTTAGAGGAAGAGTCTAACACTGCCACCGAGGCTGGAGTGCAGTGGCACAATGACAGCTCACTGCAGCCTCACTGTTGCAGTGAGCTACAGAAACTGACCAATGTTCTGTGGAAGTTTGTCTTCCTGGACTCAACCTGGCCAGGACGGGCTCCATCCTCTTCTATGGGGCTAGATGTCTTCCGATAGTGTCTTCCTAGGATTTTCACGTCTGTGTTTGTGATTTTCTTCTCTCTAGCTCTTCCCACTGAGTTTCAGTGCCTGTGTGAAGGGTCTTGTTTCATTTTCCTAGGAGAGTTTGTATCAGATGAGAATTGTATCTTCTTAACTGTTTGTTCTGAAGAACTGGCCATGAAGCCATCTAAGGACTGAGCTATTCTTGGCAAAAAGATTTCCTTTCTGATCCAGTTTCTTTTTTCTTTTCTTTCTGAACAGCTTTACTGAGATACACAGGCACACCTTGAAGATGTTGTAGCTTTGGTTTCAGATCATCGCAATAAAGAAAAGGTCAGAAAAAAGCAAATCACATGAGTTTTTTTGTTTCCCAGTGCTTCTACAAGGTATGCTTACACTACAGTCTTTAAGTGAGCAATATAGCATTATGTCTTAAAAATAATACATATACTTTAGTTAAAAACACTGGACTGCTAAAAAGGCTAACAATCATCTCAGCTTCACTGAGTTGTCATCTTTTCGCTGGGGGAGGGTCTTGCCTCCATGCTGGTAGCTGCTGACTGGTCAGCGTGGTGGCTGCTGAAGTTTGGGGTGGCTGTGGAAATGTCTTTTTTTTTTTTTTGTATCTTTAGTAGAGACAGGGTTTCACCATGTTGGCCAGGCTGGTCTGGAACTCCTGACCTCTTGATCCGCCTGCCTTGGACTCCCAAAGTGCTGGGATTACAGGCGTGAGCCATCACGCCCAGCCGGAAATTTCTTAAAGCAAGACAACTATGAAGTTTGCCACATCAATGGACTCTCCCTTTCATGAAAGACTTCTCTATAGCAGGTGATGCTGCTTGCTAGCATTTTACCCACAGTGGAACTGCTTTCACAATTAGAGTCACTCTTCTCAAACCCTGCCACTGCTTTATCAACTAAATTGATATCAATTCTAAATCCTTTGTTGTCATTTCAACAATGTGCACAGCATCTTCACCAGAAGTAGATTCCATCTCAAGAAACCACTTTCTTTGTTTATCCATAAGAAGCAACTTGTCATCCATTCACATTTTATCATGAGACTGCAGCAATTCGGTCCCATTTCCAGGCTCTACTTCCAATTCTCATTCTCTTGCTGCTTCCACCACATCTGCAGTGACTTCCTCCCCTGAAGTCTGGGATCCCTCAGAGTCATCCCTGAGGGCTGGAATCAACATTTTCCAAACTCCTGTTCATGTTGCTGTTTTGACCTCCTCCCACGAATCATGAATGTTTTTAAGGCATCTAGAATGGTGAATCCTTTCCAGCAGGTTTTCAATAGACTTTTCCTAGATCCATCAGAGGAATCACTGTCTATGGCAGCTGTAGCCTTATGAAATGTCTTAAATAGTAAGACTTGAAAGTTGAAATGACTCCTTGATCTATGAGCTGGAGAATTAATGCACATTGTGTTAGCAGGCATGGAAACAACATACATCTCCTGGCACATCTCCACCAGAGCTCTTGGGTGAACGGGACACTGCCAATGAGCAATAATACTTTGCAGGAATCTTTTTTTCTGAGCAGTGGGTCTCCACAGTGGGCATAAAATATTTAGTAAACCAGGCTGGGAACAAATGTGCTGTCATCGAGGCTTTGTTATTCCATTTCTAGAGCACAGGCAGAGTAGACTTGGCGTAATTCTTAACAGTCATGGAATTGTTGCAATGGTGAATGGGCATTGGCTTTAACTTAAAAGTTACCAGCTGCATTAGCCCCTATCAAGAGAGTCACCCTGTCCTTTGAAGCTTTGAAGCTAGGCATTGACTTCTCCTCTCTAGCTATGGAAGTCCCAGATGACATCTTCTTTCAGTAGAAGGCTGTTTCATTTCCGCTGAAGATCTGTTGTTACTGTGGCCCCCTTCATCATTGATCTTAGCTGGATCTGCTGGAGAGCTTGCTGCAGTGTCTCCACCAGCTCTTGCACTTTTATGTTACAGAGACCGCTTCTTTCCTTAAACCTTGTGAACCAACCTCTGTTTGCTTCCACCTTTTTTTCTGCAGCTTCCTGGCCTGTCTCAGCCTTCATAAAACTGAAGAGGGTTAGGGCCTTACTCTGAATTAGGCTTTGGCTTAAGGGAATGCTGTGGCTGGTTTGATCTTCTATCCAGACCACTCACACTTTCCCCATGTCAGCAATAAGACTGTTTCACTTTATCATTTGTATGTTTACTGGAGTAGCACTTTCCATTTTCTTCAAGAACTTCTTTGCATTCACAGCTTGGCTAACTGAGGCCCAGCTTCCAGCCTGTCTTGGCTTTGGACATGCCTTCCTCACTAATCTTAATCATTCTTCACTTTAAAGTGAGGGACGTGCGACTCTCCCTTTCACTTGAACACTCAGAAGCCACTGTAGGGTTATTAATTGGTCTAATTTTAATATTGTCTCAGGACGTGCTTGTGACAGGGCTGCTACTAATCCTTGACATGCAATGGCACCACAGAGCCAAGCACAGTGGAGCAGGGTCAGGCTGCAGCTCACACACCACAAACTCACCCACTGCAAGATTCGCTGTGAATTCACCGATATGGGCAACAATCACCACAGTCAGACGCAGGGCCTGCCATCTCCTCAGAAACCCCCCAGCCCTGATCCGCTTTCTGTCTTGATGGATTTGCCTATCCTGGATATTTAAGTGGAATCACGCAGCATTGACCTTTTGTGGCTGTCTTATTTCACCGAACACAATGTCCTCGAGGTTCATCTGGGCTGCAGCCTGTGTCAGAACATCCCTCCTCTTAAGGGTGAATCCTATTCCATTGTGTGGATGGAACACGTTGTGCTCATCCATTCATGTGCTGAGAGGCACCTGGGTTGTTCCATTTTCCAGCTTTCATACCTGCTGCCATTATGAACATTCACACATGTGTTTGTGTGGACATATGTTTTCACTTCTCTTGGGTATACACCTGGGAGTGGAGCTGCTGGGTCACAGGGAAACTCTGTGCTTAATCCCTTGGGAAATCAGATGTTTTCCAATGTGGCTGCACTTTATATTCTCAATGCCCCACTTTCTTTAATTATTATAGGATTAATGAATATTTCTGTATCTTGACTTAGTTTCTATTACTTTTCTTTTCTGGTTTTGTCAGTTTCATCTAAATTTTCAGATTTATTGTCATGAATCTATTAATTGCTTTCTCCTGTTTTTGTCTGAAGAATCTGTAGGGATTCCCCTAGACAGGAAACTAATGCAATGAGCCTCATCTTTCTGGATTAGTCTCAGATATTTCCAAGAAGTGAGCTGTCATCTCTACGGCATGTCTACTCTTATGTAATTACTGTTGGCACTATTTCCAATGTCTTCCTTCTATTTCCTTTCACGTTGGCCTGTAGTTCTCTCTCTAGCTTCTCAACAGTACTGTGCGTTCTAGTTTCTCTCCTCTTCTAAAATGTGCACTTAAAGCTATCACTGTCATCATTTCAGTTGCTCCTAAACTGGAACCTCAGTCACAACTTCAGGTCACGACGCAGAGCCTGAGTCACAGCCTCAGGGACCTCTACAAAGCCTGAGTCATAGATTCAGTTCACCATACAGAGCCTGAGTCATAGCCTCAGGTAAGCTCAAGCTGATCATAGTGGGGGCTGTGACCCCAGTCACAACCTTAGGTCACCATAGACAGCCTGAGTCACAGACTCAGGTCACTATAGACAGCCTGAGTCACAGCCCCAGTTCACCACATAGAGCCTGAGTCACAGCCCCAGTTCACTATACAGAGCCTGAGTCACAGCCTCAGTTCACCACAGAGTCTGAGTCACAGCCCCAGTTCACCATACAGAGCCTGAGTCACAGCTCAGTTTGCCATACAGATCCTGAGTCACAGCCCCAGTTCACCATACAGAGCCTGAGTCACATCCCCTGTTCACCATAGCAGAAACTGTGACCCCAGCCACAGCCTCAGGTTGCCAAGCAGACCCCAGATCACACCCCCAGTTCACATACAGAGCCTGAGTCACAGCCTCAGTTCACCATACAGGGCCTGAGTCAGACACAGTTCACATACAGAGCTTGAGTCACAGCTCCAGTTCACTATAGTGGGGACTGTGACCCCAGTAACAGCCTAGGTTTCTGTTTGCCATAGAGAGCCTGAGTCACAATCTCAGGCTGCCAAACAGAGACCAAGTCACAGATTCAGGTCATGCTGCAGAGCCTGGTTCACCATCTGGCCCTCTCCTCCTTCTTCTCTCGAGATTCCCTCTGTGCCCTAAGCCCTCTGAGTTGGTGAGTTCTCTCCCCTCCTCTAACATTCTGTATCCTCCATCCTTGGAGTGTCTCTTACAGGGAAATTAGACTAAGCCCTTAACCACACTCCAATCAACCCAGGCTTTCGCCTGGAGCAGTTCATCCCCTAGGGTCTGGAGCCTCAGTTTACCCTCTTGTCTCATCCTTTCTGTTGACCATGCCTGTCCTGGGTTTTTTCATCCTCTTTTCCTCTTTTTGGGTTTTTGTTGTTGTTGTTGTTATTCCACATATTCCCTCTGCTCATCTGAAGTTGCACAATATTTTTTGTAATTTCCACAGTCACCTTCAATGCTATACCATGTGTCTGTGACCTACCTAAGCCTGATGCTGGTTAGTGCCTTCTCTACCTGGGCAGCACAGGGCCAGAGAACATATTCCCATCGACTCTCCCGCCCTGAGTTATGTGCTAATTGCATGTTTTACCTCCATTTGGGGGCCCAACAAGACACTGTTTTATCAGTCAGCACTACCTCCATGGCACCTTCAGAGCCCACGCTCTGCCCTCACTCCTTCCTGCATCTTGTTATGCAGCAGGGCCTCCACCTCCTGAGGTCGGCACCAGCTTGTTGGTGTCCTCACGCCTCATCTGTATTCTTCTTTCTCAGGATGGCTTTTATGATTCTGTCTTCAATCTTGTGCAGTTTTTCTTTTTCTTTTTCTTTTTTTTTTCAGACGGAGTCTCGCTCTGTTGCTCAGGCTGGAGTGCAGTGGTGCCATCTCAGATCACTGCAACTTCCACCTCCTGGGTTCAAGCGATTGTTCCTGCCTCAGCCTCCCAAGTAGCTGGGATTACAGGCAGCTGCCAACATGCCCAGCTAATTTTTTTGTATTTTTAGTAGAGACGGGGTTTTGCCATGTTGGCCAGGCTGGTCTCAAATTCCTAACCTCAGGTGATCCACCTACCTTGGCCTTTCAAAGTGCTGGGATTACAGGAGTGAGGAACTGCACCTGGCCACCCAGCTAATTTTTGTATTTTTAGTAGAGACGGGGTTTCACCATGTTGGTCAGGTTGGTCTCAAACTCCTGACCTCAGGTGATCCACCCACCGCAGCCTCACAAAGTGCTGGGATTACAGGCATGAGCCACTGCACCCAGTCTTTTTTTTTTTGAGACATGGTCTTTGCTCTGTTCAAGCTGGAGGGCAGTGGCGCTATCTTGGCTCACTGCAGCCTCCAGCTCCAGGACTCAAGTGATCCTCCTTCCTTAGCCTCCCAAAGTGCTGGGATCACAGGCACGAGGCACTGTGCCCAGCATGCTGTGTGCTTCTAATGTGTCATGTTCCAGGGTGAACTTATTTTTACTTTTGGCCTGGGAAGACACTGGGCTTCTGGAATCTTCTTTACAGCTTTATTCAATTTCGGAAAACTCTCATCCTCTCCCCTCATACATATCAGCCCTGTCCCACTCCCGCACCCTTCTCAGCTGCCTCTGGCATGGCCTCCCCGTGTCACCGAGGTGTCCTGCCCTCTGTCTGACATCTTGCCGCCTCTCTGGTATACTCTGGGTAATTTCTTCTGACCTATCTTCCGTTGTGCTAATTCCCTTCAGCTGTTTCTAATCTGCTTTTAAATCAGGCCTTACTTACTTTTCTCCCCCTCTAGCTCTATTTGGTTTTTCCAAACTTGCTGGGTCAGTCTTTGTGGTTTCCCGAGCCTTGCAGCCATCCCCAAGTGTCTTCCTTCCTAGAGGCAGAGTGAGGAGAGCCGCTGCACTCAGCACCGCTGCTCCGCTTCCTGGGCTGCGGCTGTCTTTTCGAGGCCCCTGTTGTGTTTCTGTGCAGGCCTGGTTAGCTCTGACCCCGGGCTGCTCACTGTACTGAGGAAACAGTTGGCAGAAACAAGTTGAAGGAGAGGATAAAGGTACTACAGTAGGTGGAATGGTGTCCCCCACCAAATGCGTCTAACGCAACCTCAGTCAGGGGCCTTATGTGGAATAAGAGGCATTGCAGAAGTAACTGAGATAAGGATCTCAAGGCAAGATCATCCCAGACATGGTGGGCTCTTTAGAGCCAGTGGAGGCTGTCCTTATAAGAAAAAGGAGAAGACACAGAGGCGGACGAGAGGGCCACGTGAAGATGGAAGCAGGGCGTAAAGTGGCCAGTCAACCAGCCAAGGAGCCCCACGGTTCGCAGCCATCGCTGGCAGCTGGCAGAGGCAGGAAGGACCCTCCCCTCAAGCCTCCAGAGGGGCATGGCCCTGCGGACGCCGTGATTTCAGACTTCTGGCCTTCAGACCTGAGACAGAAGTCCTGTTGTTTTAGGCCAGCCAGTCTGTGGTGCCTGACAGCAGCCCCAGGACAGCAGCACAGATTTTGGAAAGGATCTCGTTATGTGCACACCAGCCAGGCTTCTAGGGCCACCTGCGGTCCCAGAGCCAGGCCACCCAAAACCCAGCATGAGGCCAGGGCCCGGGACCACGCTGGTGACTCAGGCCTCAGCGCACACGTGGTGGCTGTGCCCTGCCCTGGGGGCCACCTGGGACTGTGGGAGGGCCTCCTCTGAGTATTCTCTCCTTAGCGGGTCCTGGCCTTTACTATGCACCCTCATCCCATGAGACCAAACCAACCTCACACTTTCTTGTTCAGCATCTGTTCTTGCTATTTCTAGGGATCCCCACCAACCATTTCATCAGCTCTTTGACACTTATAAAGTTAAATATACACACACACACAAACCCCCCCACACAGATACACCCATACACACGGACACACATGTGTACACACACACCCCCATACAAACCCATAAACCCATACACACACGCATACACACACACATATACCCATACATACACACCCATACAAACCTATACACACAGACACACGCATACACACGTACAGGAACAAACACACCCACACAAACCCCCTCACACACACACACACAAACACACCCATACGAACCCATAAACCCATACACACAGACACATGCATACACACATCCACAGGAACGAACACACCCACACACACAGATACACCCATACACTCATGTGTACACACAGACACACCCATATGAACCCGTAAACCGATAGAGATGCACGCATACGCACGTGCAGACACACAACCCCCCACATGCATACATGTATACACACATGCACATGTCCATCCAAACACAAACACACATACATGCACATACACATACATATACATGCATGTACACACATAAGATCCATGTAAAAATTCGCTTTAGTTGTTTCAAGCAGAAAAGCCTCTGAGTCTTGTGGGCCTGTTGCTGAAAACAGGCATCTATGCTCTCCAGTGTCTCATGTCTTCATGTCCTAAACTACCTGGTGAGTGTGTTTTTGACTCTGCTACACCGGCAAGAAACTGAGGTTCAGGGGATTAAACAGTGTAGCGGCATGTGCAGCCTGTGAGTGCAGAGGCAGGGCTGGGACCTGAAAGCGGCCTCTGACCTGGCTGCACCCCTGCCAGGCTCACGGCAGCACCAGTTCATGACTGCTCTCCCCGGTGAAGGGCCCGGATGACGACGGCTCCACGGGACACCCATACCTCTCAAGCCCCAGCCACTTCCCACCTCTGACTGTCATTCCAGGTGCAGCCATGCAGGAGGACACAGGCCAGCTGGAGAGAAGGAAGACGTCTCAACACCCATACGTGGCTGCGGCTGCCATGCCACAGGGCACACAGAACAGTTCCACGCTGCAGATGGGGCCGCAGACAGTGCTGGTCTCAGGAACCACGGGGGAGGTGGCTCCAGGGAGCGGTGACCCGGTCGCCTCCTTGAGCCCTGGAAGCTGGCCGCGGTGGTCAGCACTGACCCCTGCAGAAGCTCCGTGGAGACCATTCCCCAGCCCCACAGGAGTGGAGCTTAGCACACATGGTGCTGAGTCTGGGGACGGCCCCCCGCTCCTCTGGCTAGGCCTGATGCTGCCATGTCCTGGCTGCTTGGGGATTGGGCCACCCTGGGAGGACCCACTCAAGACACCTTGCCCTGAGCCTGAGGGCAGCTAAACGGGCCTTGTCCCCAGAGAGAACCTGAAACACACAGGGACAGCCACCCCACACTGCCAGGTCCCTAAAGCCACAGGCTCCTTCCAGCTCCCAGCACAATAGACAGGAAGTCCTACGGAGGGAGCACACATCACCAAGGCCGGACTCCGACCTTCCTGCCTCCTGCCAGCAGGTCTAGCCACCCTGACCGGGACCCAGCTTTCTCCCCCAGGCTGGGGCAGAGGGAGAAGAGACTGCAGTTCCAGAAGCCACAACACCCCGCCAGCAAAACCTCAGTCCTGCCAGACAGCGTTTAATTTCTGTGTGAAACAAAATCAAAACAAATTCTAGCACTGAGAAACCGGGGCTGAGATCAACTCTCCACCCTCCCCGTGGTCTGCAAATCAACCCAGCCCGAGCCCAGCTTCCAGCCCAAGCACGTCTGCTGTGTCCCTCAGGGCTGCAACGCCACCAGGGCCCAGCTGCACCCAGGAGGTGGGGCACATGCCGCAAGGATGGCACGGGTGGCCTGTGCAGATGCCCAGGTGCCTGCCAGGTGAAGCATCCTCGGGCCTGAGAGAAACACCCCCCTCCACCCTGCTGAAAGCACCGTGTCCCATGGCAGCCCCTGGAATAAGCCCTGCCCTGTCTGTGTCTGCAGCATCCATGGGGTCCCCCAAACCAGACCACAGAGGCCAGCCCAGCTCCCCCAGGCTACTTGGGCTGACTGCCCTTTTCTGGGGCAGGGTCCTGGACCCCAGAAGGGGCATGGCTGGTCTGTGGGCTGCAAGACAGGCAACCAAGGCTGCACGCAGGACCCCCCGGGGGAAAGGTGAAGAGCAGAAGCTTCCAGGAGGCCTCTGTGCTCAGTGACCACAGCCCCCCATGGCCTTCCCAGACAGCCGCAGACCCACACAACTGGTCAGCAGGACAGGGAGAGCCACGCAACCTTCCAGTGGCCACCAGTGTCACCTCCCACACTGTCATCCCTTCTGGAGCTCACTCTCCTGTAGGTGTCACAGAGGGAGCATCCCAAAGTCCACCTGGCTCCCCTCCCCACCCCACAGTGACTCCAGGTCTGCAGCCTCTGTCCCCATCTGGCCAGGAGGGACGCCGGCCCTGACGTTCTCCAGCTCTGGGAGGCTCTGGCAGCAGCTCCTCCTGGGCCAGACCTCCAGCCCACTTCCCCTGGCTGCACTGACCTCAGGTATCGCTAAAAAAAACAAATGCAGCCTGCGGCTTGCCTTTTTCCATCGTCCCATCCGGCCACTGGTCCTGAGGTGCTGCAACTGCCAGCTGGACAGCTGGGCTTCCTCTGGCGGGCAGCGGCGCCCAGCCAGCCAGGACCATGCCGGGAGGGCAACAGGCTCCTGGGAGGGCCCAGGCTGCAGGTCACGGGGCCGGGGCGGCCCAGTGCCACCCAGGTCAGCAGGCACAGCAAGACCATCCCCAGCCACCTGCCACCCTGCCCGGCCTGGACCACGGATGTGCTTGAATATGACCCCTGAAGGAAAACCAGGGTCACGTCCCCGCCGGGGCTGCACTCTGCATGGCTGCTCTGGTGGGGCCATCAACACCTGGCCTATCGTCCACACACGGGAAGGTGCGGCAGCCTGGCAGCCAGGTCTGCACTGCACTACGTCTGGCCACAAGTGTAGACACAGCCCTGCCAGAGTCAGAGTCCTGTAGGACCCGGGGCTGGGCTGCCAGGTGAATGAGTGACACAGATCCACCTGGCAGGGAGAGCCTCAGGCTTGAGGGAGTCTTGGGATAGGAGGGCACACAGAATGCAGCTTGGAGAAGACCCCACAGGGACCCTTCTGGCCAATCCCAGAATTGAGCGACCAGGGAGAGAAGGATGCATCTGAGGAGAACACAAGGGGACCCTCCTGGCTGATCCCAGAGTTGAGCGACCAGGGAGAATAGAATGCATCTGAAGAGACCCCACGGGAACCCTCCTGGCTGACCCCAGAGTTGAGCAACCAGGGAGAGAAGGATGCATCTGAGGAGACTCCATGGGGACCCTCCTGGCAAACCCCAGAGTTGAGCATGCAGGGAGAGAAGGAGGCATCTGGGCAGTCACTGGGCTTCCTGCAAGAAGCAGCAGCTGGGGCCGACCTCAAGGGACAGGCGAGGCCCTGGGAGCACAGGGGAGATGGCACCACTGTGCCCCAAGGGCCTCACCTGACCCTAGGGGTCAGCCCCATCAGAGGTCAACTTCCAGCCAGAAGGCATGGGGTCTGGGGAACCCCCACTCGTGGCTGGCCTTCTGGGTTCTGGGGGCCTGGCTCAGTCCCCAGTCCCACAGACACTGCTGCGGGAGCCACCCTGGTCCCAGACAACTGCACCGGTCCTGACCCCGCCGCCCAGCACAATGCACAAAGGGAGCCCGTGCCGCAGCTGGGATCAGGTGGCGCGACCGAGGCCTGTCAACAGGTGTCGCTTTCCCGCAGCCCCCACCCTCCCACAGGCATCACCTCCTCCCTGCCCCAGGGTCCAGAGCCTCCAGGAGGTATCCGTGCCTGTGTGCTCTTTCCTAGGGGAAGAGTCACCCACACGCTTCTTTGATGGCCAAACCCCAGAGCAGGGCACCCCCAGCCCGGGCCACCCCAGCAGCCGGCGGAAGGTCCCAGGCCAGGGCAGGCACTGGGGCCCTCTGCAGCCTGCAGCAGGGCGGGAGCAAGATGAGGCCAGCTGTCTCCCCAACCAGACGTCCGCCGGCTGTGGACAGGACATCTGCTCCCTCAGCTGTGGCAGGCCAGGCACTGCTGCTCCGTCCTTACCACACACCCTCCACACCCTCCAGGGAGCCAGGACCCCCAAGCAGGTGGGGCAGGGAGAGGCTGGGGGTTCCAAGGCCCCTGGGTGCAGAGCAGGAAGGAGGAAGGCCACCAGCGCCTGCAGGGGCCATCAGGCTGACACTCCAGACCCTCCCACTTACGGCCCCACTGTCAGGGAAGCCAAGCACCTGGGTCCCTCTACTGGCCACGGGGTCCCAGTCCAGGAGTCCTGGAGAAATGCCCCGACTTTCCACTGGCCCTGTCCTCTCCTCTCCATGCTAAGAAGTCCCCAGGGAGTCCCCTGGCCCCCAGGGCCCCTCCTCTCAGCCCTCTGCTGAGGTCTGCCCCACTGAGCCACTTCCACGATCTCTCGAAACAAGGCAGCTCCCTGGCCCCTTTCCTCCCTGCCCTTCTGGCCCTCCAGAGCACTCTGTGTGGCCTTTCTTCCTGATGCCAGGCCCCACATGCTTCCTGGGGTGTCCTAAGTTGTTGGAGGGGGTGGGTCTCCAGGACAGTGCCTGCCCAAACCTAAGCCTGAGCTCTCAGCTGCTCCCAAACCCCCCGGCCCACAGTGCTCAGAGCACCCGACCCAGGCCCCAGCCATGGGGTCACCCCAGATGCCGCCTTCTTGCCAGCTCCTTCCCAGGCTTCTCTTGCCCAGCACACAGCCCCATGATTCCACACCTCAGGCCCACCCCTCCTTCTCCGGCCCTGCCAGGGACCCACAGGTGCCCCTCATCCAGGCAGCCAGCTGTGCCCCAGGCCTGATGCACAGAGAGGCAGAGCCATGGGACCAGGCAGGGTATGTCCTGCCCACAGCCAGCAGCCTCCCTCTTGGACCCTGCGGGGTCTGATGTTGGCACTAATGTGAGAAACACATCCCCTCCCCACGCCCATGACAGCAGCCTCTCCGCAGCCTCCTCTTGAGAGTCCCCTGAGCACCCAGAACTGCCCCACACCAGGCTCTAGGCAACGGGGGATGTCCTGGCTGCCCCCACCCACCCAGTGGGGCTGCCAGGGTGTCGCTGGCTCCTTGTGCAGGGGTAAGAGCGCCCACAGGCTCACAGGTCTAGAGACAAGGTTCTTCTCAGTCCAAGGAGAAATCCAAATATATAAAGAGCTCTCATAAACTCAACAGGAGAAAGACAAGCAGCCCCACTAAAAACAGGCAAAGGAGCTGCATGGACATTCTCCAAAGAAGACCCATGGCCCATGAGGCCACGAAAAGATGCTCAGCGCCACTGGCCACCTGACAAATGCAGTCAGAGCCCCACAAGGTGCCATTCCACACCCACTAGGATGGCTGCGGTAGAAAATAAAACAGAAAACCAGTGTCAGCGAGGAAGTGGAGAAAGGAGCCTTTCTGCACTGCCGGCAGAAATGTAAGATGCTGCATCCAGAAGGGTTTGGCAGGGCCTCAAAAACCTAAATGCAGGCGGGGAGCAAGGGCTCACGCCTGTAACCCCAGCACTTTGCGAGGCTGACGTGGGAGATCCCTTGAGCCCAGGAGTTCAAAATCAGCCTGGACAGCATGGTAAAACCCCATCTCTACAAAAAATAAAATTTAAAAAAATTAGCCAGGATTAGTGGCTTGTGCCTGTGGTCCCAGCTACTTGGGATGCTGAGGTGGGAGGACGGTTGAGCCTCTGAGGTGGAGGCAGCAATGAGCCTTCATCACATCGCTGCACTCTAGCCCGGGTGACAGAGCAAGACTCTGTCTCAATAAAACAAAACAAAAACATCACATGCATGTGACCCAGTACCTCCACTTCTATGTACCCCAAGAACTGAAAACACACACACACACACAAAACCTCACATACCAATGCTCACAGCAACATTATCCATCATAGCCAAACAGTGGAAGTGATCCAGATGTCCGTCAACTGATGAACGGTCAAAAAATCTCTCGGAGAGTCTTCCAGTCGAGTCTAACTCAGTCATAAGAAAGAAGGCAATACTAACGCGTGCTACAACGGTGATGCTGAGTGAGAGAAGCCAGGCGCGGAGGCCACACGGCATAGGATTCCATTTCTAGGAAACGTCCAGGACAGGCAGACCCGTGGAGAAAGAACGCAGACAAGTGGTTGCCAGGGACTGGGGGAGGGGAACGGGCAGCGACTGCCTAATGCGTATGAGGTTTCTGGGGTGAGGAAAATGTTCTGGAATTAAACAGTGGTGAGAGCTGCATGGCCTGGCAAATGAGGTACTCAAAATCACGGGGCTGTATACATTAAAAGAGTGGATTTTACAGGACGTGAGTTACGGCCAATAACAAAAAGCCTCAGCCAGCCCTGAGGCCCACCAGGCCCCCAATTCACAGTGGTCACTCCCTCCAGCCTGGCTTCTGGACCAGTTCCAAGCACCTTTCCAGCCCCGATGGCTGGCTCTGGGGCCACAGCCGGGGGCACCTCAACAATCCCTCAGTGCCAGCCTTGGTTATGCCTCTTCCAGGCAGGCCTCCAGGCTACTGAGGCCCAGAGAAGGGGGCAAATTGGCAGGGCCTGGCCTCCCACCATCGTGCCCCCGCAAAGTAACCTGCAAATGTTTCCTGAGTGATGTAAACTGCAAGGGCCACCACCACAAAACAGCCTCAGGGTCTTTAAAAAAGAACTCCAGTGGGAAGCCTCAGACCTCATCCCGAGCCAGCCCAGGACCCCTAAGGAAAGGGCTGCAAGGTGCCAGGGAGCCAGGCAGCCTAGCAGCCAGGGGTGGGGGTCCAAGCCCCGCTGGGCAGGAACAGCCCCCAGACCCAGGCCCAGCCCTGACTCCACATCCAGAGGGTCTGGGCCCAGGAGAGAAGCAGCCCCGGCGTCTAATCCGGATCTACCATCTCAGCTGAAACCACAACCCAGCAAGGGCGAAGCGAGAGGGGCCTCCCAATGGAGGACAAACCATGTCCTCAGACCACCACCAGGCCCACCCTCTTGCTATAACCTTGGGGAGAGGGTCTGAGTCTGTACCCCAAGCCCTCCCTATGACCTCGGGCTGGCCTCCCTGCTTACCCCTCTGTCTAGAAGGGCTTGGGGCCAGGCCAGCGAGGAGGCACATGGACATAGCCATGGGAGAACCAGATGGAGATGCCACCTGCTAGCCAGGCCAAGGTGCAGGGCCAGGCCAAGGGGAGCCTCTTCCCCACAGGGGGTCCAGCCTGGTGGCCAGAGGCCTCTAGGAGGGCAGCGGGCGCCAGCCAGGGTTGGGTTGCAGCTCAGGGAGCAGGCAGGGAGGGCTCCCGTGGGTCCACGTGACCCTCCCCCAGGCCAGCCTCTCCTCTCCGGGTTCCTGGGCTGTAACTGGAGCCGTGTTCCTGCCTGGGAGACTCCGTGCCAGGCAGAGCTTTTGAGAGGGGGAAGGGAGAAAACGGCCCTAGATCCCAGCCCCTTCTCCCTGCTTCCTGGACTGGAGCTGGGAAGGGCCACCCCAGCCCCCCTCCAGCTCCAGCCCCGCCTGGCCTTTAATGCCCTGGGCCACCCCCTGCCTTTGCTGGGCCAGGAGCCACAGCAGGAGAGGCCTCCGCACAACCCAGCCTGGAGCCCTTTGTGCCCTGCTTCCCCTCCCCAGCCCAACCTTGGGAACTGACTTACAGGGGGCCCAAGGCCTCCAGCAGCCCAGATGGAACCTGGCCTGCCCTGACCCAGGATGCCCCCCCAGCCCCTGGTTCAGGAAGGTGCTCATTCTCCATCAGTCAAACAGAGTCCTAGCTGCCCTCTGCAATGCCAGCTGTCCCCAAAGGCAGCACACTTGCCCTCTGGACTTCCCACAGGGCAGCTACATGGAGAGCTGCCCTCAGACAGGACTCAGGAATTCTCCCTTGATGGGTCCTTTGGAGCCAAGAAGCAGGGCCAAGGGGGCCTGGCCAGAGAAGCCACAACAGCACTTAAGTCCTTGCTATGCGCCTGGCACCAGCCTGGACTTACTGTCTGCAAGAGAGCTGAAACACACGCACACAAAGCAGCAGAGCCCCTTGACCTTCTCTAGGGCACAAAGCCCAGAGATAGGTCAGAGAAGGAGAGGCCAAGACCCAGCGCCACCCCGTCTCCAGGAATCGGATCACAGCAGGGACAAAGCCGCTGCAGCCTGGACAAGCCCAGGGTGTGTCCCCAGCCCAAGAAGCAGAGCCTCCGCTGGGCCGGAGAGCAGGGAAGCACAGCTGGCTGACAAGGCCACGGTGAGTCACCGCGGACCTGTGGCCCTCCCTCCTGCCCTCCCGGGTGAGGCTACGGGTTGCACAGATGGCGTGCAGTGGCGTGCCAGCCCAGGCCCAGGGCCGTACCCACAGTTGGAGCCAGGAGAGGGCTGCGGGTGGGGGCCCCAGGGAACTGAGACACCGGGCTGACCCTGGAAGACGACCCAGAAGAAAGGAACAGAGAGAAGAAAGGGAGAGAAAGAAAAACACAAAGGGAAAGTTTCCCATGAAAATATTTTATTTTCTTTGAGAACAGGATACACCTGCAGGGCTCCTCGGCCCAGGCGGCCTCTCCCTGCCCGGGCGGGTGCCAGATTCCTGGACCAACGGGGCCCTCTGCCGGCCAGCCCGCCGCGCGCTGGCGCTCAGGCCAGAGGGCCGGGAACAGGTGACCGGCGGAGGGCGGCGGCCCGGCTGAGGGAGCGGCCCAGGGCGTCCAGGTCGGGGGCTGGGATCCGAAGGCCAGCCAGGGCTCCCAGCGGCGGCGCTCGGGGTAGGAGGCTGGAGGGTGGCGGGGAGGCCCGGGGCGCTGCCTCGCACGGCGCCACCCTGCACCTCAGCGCGCCCAAAGCGCAGCGAGGGTCCCTGTAAAGGTCGCAGGACTGGGCATCCCAGACCTCAGAGAGGGGGAGGGAAGAAGGAAGGGAAAGAAAGGAAGAGAGAGACGCGCCGACAGCCCGGCAAAGCGCTGCTGCAGAGACACGTGAGCACGGGCAATGACACCGCGGGACGCCCCGGCCGGGCCCTGCGCTCCCGGCCAGGTTCCATGGACGCGCTCCCGCGGGCCGGGGCCCGGGCCACAGAGTCAGAAGCAAAGCGCAAGAAAAATAAATTCCTCCAGCTTGGAGGATTTCTCTCTTTCTCTCTCTCTCTCCGTTTGGGGCTCAGCGCGAGGAACATCTGGATTTTGTACGTATTTTTGTTATTGTTAAATTAACTTCTCGAGAAGAGAAAGGGGGGGAAGCTGCTAGGTGGGCGATGGCCAGGGGCTGAGGACTCAGGCTCCAGCCTTTTGGCAAGGACACGGCGGCCCAAGGAAGTCGGGACCTGATCCCAGTCCCTAAGCGCGAGGCAGTCCTGCTCACGGCGGCGACTACGACGACGACGACTCTGCGGTCACGGAGGACCGCGGCCCGGCGCAAGCCGGACGGGTCCACCCGCCTCTCTAGCCGTGCCGCGCAGCGGACGGAGCGACGCGCGCGCCGCAAACAAACAGCGCCAGGCAACCCGGCGGCCCCGCCGCGCCCCGGCCCCAGCCACCCCGGGTGCCTCGGGGACTCCGGACGACCCCGCCCCGGCCCCGCCGCCCCCGCCCACCAGTGCGCGCCGGCCGCCGAAGGCACCTACCCGAAGTAGGCGGCCGAAGGGCGCAGCGCGGCGAGCAGCAGCGTCAGCCCGAAGGCCGCGGCCAGCCAGCGCGCCAGCGGGGACCCATCCAGCATCTTGCCGCGCCTCGGCGGCCGACCATCGCGCTCCCAGCTCCGCGCAGGGCGCGCCGCGGCCGCCGCCCTCTTATAGCGCCCGGAGCGCGGCCAGCTGGGCCCGGCCCCGCCCCGCGCCCGGGAGGGGATCACGCCGGCGCCGGGGGCGGGCCGAAACCCGAGCCGCGCGCGCCAGCCCGCCAGCCCCTCCCGGCCACTCGGGGCCCCGGCCGCCGCTCCCGGCGCGGGTCTCGGGCGCGCCCTGCCCGGCGGGGATGGAGGAAGGGGAGGCGGAGAGCGGTGGGAACCGAGGGCGGGGCGTGCGAGAACCCGGGGCGACCACGGCGGGACGGCATTGGGGGGCCGGAGGCGGGCATCGGGAAGCGGGTAGAGCGTTGGGGGCGCTGCAGTGGGAGCTTGGGGCGGCCCCCGGGGCGGGATTGAGGGGGAGGGGAGGGGAGGCGTTGGCCGCCGGGCTAGCCGCCGGCGGGGCTCCAGGCCGGGACGGTCGGGGATGGTTCCACAGAGGACCCAGCCGTCTGCCCCGAGCTGGGCGCTGCGCGGCTGCTCCGGGGGAAGCTTGGTGAGGAGGAGTCGGGCCAGCCGGTGATGCCTGCGCCTCTTGCGCATGCTGACCCCCTCAAGGAGCGGGGCCAGAGAATCGCTCCTTTCTGGCAGGGACTGTGGCCGCTTTCGGCCTGGGAATGAAGCGACGTAGCCTGCTGGGGCTGTGAGGTGAGTAGCTCTACCTTTTGGGGTCCTGATGGTCTCCCCATTCTTAAATTGTGGGAGTGGAGCTAGCGGCTAAGTCAATGAAACACCAGCCATCGGGCAACGCCCTTCTCAGAGCCTGTGTCCTGGCCGGGACGGGGAGAAAGAGGACTCCTGGGATGGAAGGTGCACACCCAGGCAGCTGGAAGCGCTCAGTCACAGCCCGGGGACTCGTCCCCTCTGCGATACGGATTCGGAGCTGCTTCTGAAGCAGAATGGTGTCAGAGGACCCAGAGCTGGCATTAGGATACAGGTGCACACATTCCAGACAGACCTGGGGGTGGCATCCAGGAGAAGGCTTATAAGTTCCCTGGATGGGGCCTCTGTGCCATGCAACAAGGGACACAAGAACAGGGCTTGGGGTCCAGGCTGGCGGTGGCATGCCTGCCACCTGCAGACCCTGGTCAGTGCAGGATGGTGCCTCCAACACGGGCTAGGCTGCCAAGGCTGAGGACACAGGGCCAGCGAGCCTGCCCAGCCACGTGCTGCAGGGGCCTCAGAGACCTGGGCTGCGGTGCCAGGTCTCTAGGCAGTGCCCTCTGTGCCTGCAGGGACTGATTCTGGCACAGTGACCGCAGAACCTGGGGGGCGGAGCACATGCCCCCGGAAGGCTGTGAAATCCCGCCAGTGGCAGTGACAGAGGCGAATATGAGGGTCCTCAGAGGAAAAACAAAGAAGATAGGAGCAGCAGAAAATGGCCCCCACGAGGATCTGAGCCAACCTCGCCACCCCTAGGGCTCCCGGCCCTGCTTCCCTGGGAAAGCCTGGCCATGTGGGTCACCCCTGTGAGCATACCCTTTCTGAGTGTCTGATGGCCAGTTTGCCAGGTGAGCTTCAGGTGCATGTGGGGCAAAGCAAGGGTGGGGAAGGGAGGAGACCGGGCCTGAGCAGTCACTCCCTCTCGGGGCCTCGGTTTCCCCATCTGAGACCCATCCAACTCCAGCGAGTGGTGGCTTTTCTCCAAGGCATGATGTCCTGTGTGGGAGCCCTGGCCCCTGGTTCTGCTTTTCCACTAGGTGTGACTGGTCTCACATCCTTCCCCATCCATAGGACCCCCCTCCTGTGGGGAGAGGGCACTTGTTTGTCCTCTTTTGCTCAGGGGGCTGGGCCACCTCCCTTGAAATGGGGCTGACTCAGCAGAGGGAGTGCAGACGGCAGCCCAGCCCACCCAGGCTGCAGCGACCCCAGTGGGAGGCCCACCCGCCCCACGGCCATGGGCTCCAGTGAGCCCCCAAAGTCTGGCTCCAGCACCAGGAAGTGAGAGGCAGCAGAGGGAAGCAGACAGGACGGGAGACCCTCCCCACCCCCCACACACCCCCCTGCAATGATGGCATGCTTAAAGGCATGGAGGCTGCCTCCAAGAAGACGTGTGAGATTGTAAATGTGCATCACAAGCGCCTCCGGCATCACAGAGCTCCCTTCCACTGGGGGTGAAGCACTCTCCCAGCAGCAGCTTAGTGGTCCCCAAGGAAGGAGGCAGCTGCCTGGCCGGCTGAGGGGCAGGGGGCTCTAGTCCCAGTCCTGGACTCTCAGGACCACATTTGGTGCAAGAGGGTGCTGAGAAGGATGATCCGACATCCATGAACTCGGGAAGGACCCTGCTGTTTCGCCAGAGAAGGGAGGCCATCAGCTCATGGCAGCTTTTGGTGGTGGTGGGAGTGGCAGGCCAGCCCTGAGTGGCCCCACCAGACCCCCACTTGAAGCCCTGGCCCAGCTCCAGCCAGGAGCCTATCAGAATGCCCAGGAGCCCAGGGCATGTGGTTGGTAGGACCCAGTGCCCCAGGCAGGGTAATATCAGAGATACACCTGAGGTCTGGCAGGGCTGGCCCAGCTCTTACCTCCCTGCACCTAGGATGATGGCGGCAGATAGAGGCAGTCCCCTCAGCCTACCTGGACCCAGGGAGAATCACACCCCCTCCCACGAATGTCCCAGGCTCTAACTCCCTTTCACGTCTGGCTGCCCTCGCCCACCGTGGCCTACCTGCTGCCTCAGCCACAGCCGCTAGTGTCCCTTCCCAGAGGGCAGCATTCACCTGCCCCCACCTCCTGCTTCTCTCAAGCCATATCCAGACAACCTTGGGCACAGTGTGAGGTGGAGACGTTTCCCAGGAAGTGTGGGCTTTTTTATTCTCATCTGCCATAATGCAGTCTGGCCCCTATGTTTCTGTTGGAGAAGCTGGGGCTGGCGGTTCTCTGGCTGGAAAGTGCATTGTACCCCACAACTCCCCACGGCCTCCCAGGCCTAAGAAGCTCTCCAGGTAAGGGATGGCTTGTCCAGGTAGGCAGGACAAGCCATCACTGGGCCCACAGTCAGGTGAACAGAAATCCACCTCCAGTCAAAAACAGGCCAGGTGTGGTGGCTTACCCCTCTACTCCCAGCACTTTGGGAGGCCAAGGCTGGAGGTTCATTTGAGGCCCAGGGTTTGAGACCAGCTATAGACACATTGCAAGACCCTGTGTCTATTAAAAAAAACAAACAAACAAATAAGCGGGCCAGGCGTGGTGGCTCATGCCCGTAATCCCAGCACTTTGGGAGGCTGAGGTTGGGGGATCACCTGAGGTCAGGAGTTCAAGTCTGGGCTGACCAACATGGTGAAACCCTGTCTCTACTAAAAATACAAAAGACATTAGACAGGCTTGGTGGTGGGTGCCTGTAATCCTAGCTACTCACGAGGCTGAGACAGGGGAATCACTTGAACCCAGGGGGCGGAGGTTGCAGTGAGCCGAGATCGTGCCATTGCACTCCAGCCTGGGCAACAAGAGCAAAACTCCATCTAAAAAAAAACAAAGAAGAGAAAATAAGAAAAACAGATTAGCAAATTAGCTGGGCCAGGCACAGTGGCTCACACCTGTAATCCCAGCAATTTGGGAGGCCAAAGCAGGCGAATCACTTGAGGCCAGGAGTTCAAGACCAGCCTGGCCAACATGGCGAAACCCCGTCTCTACTAAAAATATAAATAAATAAATAAATAAATAAGTTAGCTGGCCATCATGGTGTGTGCCTGTAGTCTCAGCTACTCAGGAGGCTGGGGAAGGAGGATTGCTTGAACCCAGGAGTTCAAGGCTGCACTGAGCTATGATCGCACCACTGCACTTCAGCCTGGGCAACAGAGTGAGACTCTGTCTGGGAAAAAAAAAAAAAAAAGTCCAAGCTCCTCAGTCAAGTCCCAAATTTGAGCCAGTTTGCAGACCCAGAACCCGCTGGATGGAGGGGACTGGGCCCCCTTGAGGGGGACCCGCTGCACTACCAAAAACTTACTGTTCTTACCTTTCTCCCAGCCTTCCCCAAAGGCACTTCTGGCCTTTTACCAGGGTGACCATGCAGTGGGGAGAAGAGATAATCAGACCTTTCAGGGATAGCTGGACACAGCCCTGCACCGACATTGATTCCAGGAGAACCAGCAGGTCGCAGTGGCCCCAGGCACAGTAGGGGCTTGTGGAGGTCCTGGAACCCATGGAATTGTAGCTCAGTCAACTCCCAGTTGGTCCCACAGCTCCTGGAGCCCCTCCTGTGGTGGTTTCCCCAGCTCCAGATGTGTAATTATAATGGATGCGCTGGGCCCCTGGCAGAAGCCCCAAGGGATTGCAAGAAGTGTTTAAGGCCAGGCTGGGTTTTCCCTGCCCTACCCGCAACTAGGGTTCAACATGCTTTCCAAGGGGTGGGGAAGGCACAACCCTGACAGGTTGTGTCAGCGCCAGGGAGGAGGCGTGGGCTCAGGAAGGAGCCTTACCACATAGAGAGAAAACCCAAAAGTAAGCTGCCTGTGAATGCTCATCACGTCCAGGCGCTCTTGCAAACATCCGTCTTCGTGCAGACCCCTGCCCTGTGAAGTGCTGAATCCCCCACAGCCGCAGACCCTGACTATGCCCACACAAGACAGCATGTACAGGGGCTGCCTGAGCTGCCGTGGTGTCTGGGCGCTGCTGGGACACCCTGCTGGGCAAAGGCAGCCACCCCCCGAGGCCAGGCTCATCCCGACTCCCCTTCCAGGCCCAGTCTGGATTCCTCAGGGAAGTGGTGTGGGTTGTGAGGAGCTTGGAGGGCTCTGGGCTCACACACCCCCAACGGTGGGCCCTTCTCGAAAGCCAGGGTGCCCCCACCAAACAGAAGCAGCTCTAACATCCTTCGATCCACTCAAGTCACCATGTGGCTGGGCAGAAATAAGTGCTTGTTACCCTAGGCCTTGCCAGAAAGCTCACGAGGCGGGACCCTTGGGAAACTGAGCGACGCCTCCGCCCCAGGGCCACTCCTGCCCCACTGTCCCTGGCTGCGCACAGCAACTGGGCTGGGTGAGGATCCTGCTAGTTCCTATCTCCACCTCTCCAGTCCAGTGATCCAACCTCCTCAGTCTCATGCTCCCTGGGCCAGAGTCAGAGAGAGAGACAGAGATGGGAAGAGAGACAGAGATGAAGATAGGGAAAGAAAGAGAATGAGAGACAGAGACGGAGAGACAATGAATGAAAGACACGGAATTAATGAAAGATGAAGAGAGAGAATGAGAGGGAGACAAAAGAGACAGATGGAGAGAGATACGAAGACAGAGAATGAGAGACAAAAAGAGATGGAGAGGGAAAGATAATAAATGAATGAGATAGAAAATGAGAAACAGAATAAGAGCATGTGAGAAAGAGACAGAGAGACAGCATGAACCAGTGAGAGAAAGGGATCCTTTCCCTTGGGGCAGGGAGGACAGAGAACAGGAATGCCCACAGCCACAAGCCCCTGATTAAACCCTTGCAGGAGGGGTGTGCAGCAGGGCTGCCTGAGCTGCCACAGTGTAGGCGCTGCCAGGACGTCCTACTGGGCAAAGGCGCCCCCCGCCACCATGCCCACCAAGGCCTCGGAGAGCAGGGGGAGGCCTCTTCCCCAGCAGATGTGCCCCTCTCTGGACCTGGCCCAGCTAACAGAGTACATGAGGATGGGGTTCCAGGGAGCTGCACACCACTGCTCTGAGCTCAAGAGGCCGTGGGGAGGCCCAGGACGGGGCGGCTGTTGGCACCACCCAGGGAGGGGGGGCCAATCTCTTGGGTGGTCTTGGAGGAGTGGGGCGAGAGGCTGCTTATCAGGAAATGTTGCCTCCTTGGGAAGGTTTATGACGCCAGGCAGGGGGTGTCCCTAGGGGAGAGGGCAAAAACCACTCATGAGTCATCTGAAATGGAGCTGGACAAAGAGCTCAAGCAGAAGCAACCCACCCAGACTGCCAGCCGTGGGCAGAGTGAGCTCACAGGCTGCGCCGTGTGTGTGTGTGTGTGTGTGTGTGTGTGTGTGTGTGTGTGTGTGAGAGAGAGAGACAGAGACAGAGACAGAGACAGAGACAGACAGAGACAGAGACAGACAGACAGACACAGAACAGCTCCTCGGCTCACAAGGCCAGGCCTGGGAGGCTGAGCCCAGCCCAGGGGCGTCTGCTGAGCCCAGATCCCTGCAAGGCGGGGCTGCCCCCTGCAGGCCAGCTAGAGAAGGTGCCTGCATCCCCGCCGGCACACACACACCCCTCAGGCGGCATCCAGCACAGGACCTGTCCTGCTTATTCTCATGGATAGCACCATGTCCTCTGTCAGATGCATGCTGGACACTTGCATAGAAATAGTGCAGAGAGACCCTTGGTATCCTTCCCCCGGTTTTCCCCAATGGTAACCGCTTGCAAATCTCTAGGACGTTATGACAGCCAGGAAGTTTACATTGTTACAGGCACTCATTTGTGTGTGTGGGTGTTTAGGTCTATGCTAGCTTCATGTGTCCACCGCCACAATCAGGATACTGGACATTTCCATCAGCACTGGACCCCTCCTGCTGCTGTTGCATAGACACAGCCCAACCCAGGAACCCACTCATCTGTTCTCCATCTCTCATTTTGTCTTTTTGAGGATGCCATTTACCTGGAATCCTATAGCAGGTAACTCTTTGGGATTCATTTTTTTACTCAGCAGAATTCCCTTGAGATCCACCCAAATGGATCAATAGTTCTATGGATCAATATTTCATGACTTTTCACAGCTGCATAATATTCCACTCTACAGATATACCACAGTGCATTTCACCATTCACCCATGGAATCTGGGCTGTTTCCAGTTTCTGGCTGTTACAAATAAAACTGCTGTAAGCATTCATGTCCATGTTTTTGTGAACATGAGTTTCCTATCTCTAGGAAATATGCCCAAGAAAGCAAAGACTGGGTCACAGGGCAACTGCATGTTGAGTTTTGTAAAAATCTACAAACTGTCTTCCAGAGGGGCTGTGCCAGCAGGCACATTTTCCACCCTCACCAACAGTGAAGGAGTGATCCAGTTTCTCCACACACTCACCGGGATTTGTAGTTGTCACTTTTTTATTTTAGCCATTCTGATAGATGTGTCATTGTGGGTTTAATTTGCATTTTCTTCATGGCTAATGATGTTGAACATTCATGATTTTTATTTGCCATGAGTGTATCCTCCTTGATGGAATGCCTGTTCATCTTTTGCTCATTTTCCTTTTTAATTTTTAAAAATATTTTAAATATATATAATTTATTATTTTTGCCCATGGAGGCAAAAAGCCTCTGAAGGTCCTGAGAACATGTGCTCCTGCCCACTCTCTAACTGGATTTTTAATGTTGAGTTTTGAGAGTTCTTTATATATTTTAGGTATAACTCCTTTGCAAATGTGGTTTACAGATATGCCCTTCCAGTCTGCAGCTTGTCTTTTCATACTCTTCACATGGACTTTTGCAGAGCAAAACTTTTAAATTTGATGAAGTCCCACTTAACAATATTTCCTTTTGTGGATCATGCTTTTGGTGTCAAGTCTGAGAAACTCTTTGCCTAGCCATAGATTCTGAAGATTTTCTCTCATTTATTTTATGTGTTTTATAGTTTTACAGTTACGTTTAAGTCTGAAACCATTTTACGTTATTTTTTGGATAAGGTGTGAGATTTAGGTTCAGATTCAGTTTTTTGTTGTTGTTGTTGTTGTTTTTGCCAATGGCTATCCAGTTGCTCCAGCACCATCTGTTAAAAGGGCTGCCTTTTTTCTATTGAATTGCTTTTGAACCCTTATAAAAAGAATCAGCTGTGGATAGTCGGATGGAGCTATTTCTGAGTTCTCTGTTCCATTGATCTATATGTCTATCCCTCAGCTGTTACCACACTGTCTTGGTTTCTGTAGCCATATACTGTAGGAAGACTTACCATCATGTAGAGCAATTCTTCTCATTTTATTCTTCTTTTCTAAGATAATTTTATGTAGTTAGGATCTGTGCCTTCCCATACATTTTAGAATAAACTTGTCTATACCCACAAATTGGCTGAGGATTTGATAGGAACTACATTATTCCTGTGGGAATCAATGTGGGAACAATTGGCATCTTTGCTATTTGAGTCTTCCAATCCATGAACATAGTATTCCTATTTATTTAGGGTTTTTGTTTTTTTACTTTTTTCATTATCAATTTTGCAGTTTCAACACATACTTGATCCTATACATGTTTTTGTTAAGTGTAACTGAATATTTCATTTTCTTTGGAGTGATTGAAAATGGTGTGTTTTTATATTTATTTCAGCTTCCACATGTTCACTATAAGTATATGGAAATAAGATTATTTTTGTGTGTTGATATTTTATTTTGCAGCCCTACAGAACCCATTTATTGGTTCTACAAGGTTTATTTTTTAGGATTCATTGGTGTTCCTATGTAGATAATCATGTCATCTGCCAATAGGAACAGTTTTATTTCTTCCTTTCCTATCTGTATGCCTTTTATTTCCTTTTCTTGCCTTATTACACCAGCTAGAACATTCAGTACTGTGTTAATAAGAGTGATGAGAGCTGACATCCTTGCCTTGTTCTTGATCTTATGGAGAAAGCATTTCTCTTTTATCATTAATTATGACATTAGCTATAAAGATTTTTATATTTTTAATATAAAATATATTTTTAAAGTCCCCCTCTGTTCCTAGTTTGCTGAGAGATTTTGTTATTAATGGGTGTTCCTATTTTGCTAAGAGATTTTGTCATTAATGGGTGTTAGATTTTTCCAAATTCTCTTTCTGCATCAATACAATCATATGCTTTTTCTTCTTTAGCCTGTTGATATGATGGATTACATTGACTTTCAAACATTGTCCTAGCCTTACATACCTGGAATTAATCACACCAGGTCATGGTATATAATTCTTTTTATATATTGCTGGACTCAATTTGCTAATATTGTGTTGAGGATTTTTGCTTCTAAGTTTGTAAGGGATATTAAAAATGAGTTGGGATTGATTCCCACCTCTTCTGTTTTCTAGAATAAATTGCATAAACTTCCTAGAATAAATTGTATAAATTCTTTATTTTTTCTTTTTTAAAAAGTACATAGACAGATTCTCACTGTGTTGCCCAAGCTGGTCTTGAACTCCTGAGCTCCAGTGATCTTCCCACTTCAGCCTCCCAAAGTGCTGAGATTACAGACATAAGCCACCATGCCTGGACTTATTTCTTCTTTAAATGTGTAGTAAAAGTCTCCAGTGAAACCATCTGGCCTTGGACATTTGGGGAAGGAATGTTTATTTACAGCAATTTTTAAAAAATGGCCATAGGACTATTCAAGTTGTCTATTTCATCTTGATGGAGTTTTGCTAGTCTGTCATTTGTGAGGAATTGGTTCATTTTTCCTAAGCTTCTGAATTTGTGAGAGTAGAAGTGTTCATGGTGTTACCTGATTATTCTTCTAATGTTGCAGGATCTGTAGTAATATCTCCAGTTTCATTCATAATATTGGTGATTTGTGTCTTATCTCCTTTTGTCTTTTTCAGTCTTACTAGAGGTTTATAAATGTTACTGATTTTATTTTTTTATATTTTTTTATTATTGTTATTATTTAGATGGAGTTTCAATCTTGTTGCCCAGGCTGGAGCGCAATGGCACAATCTTGGCTCACCGTGACCTCCGCCTTCCGGGTTCAAGTGATTCTCCTGCCTCAGCCTCCTGAGTAGCTGGGATTACAGGCATGCGGCACCATGCCAGGCTAATTTTGTAACTTTTTTAGTAGAGACGGGATTTCTCCATGTTGGTCAGGCTAGTCTCAAACTGGCAACCTCAGGTGATCTGCCCGCCTCGGCCTCCCAAAGTGCTGGGATTATGGGTGTGAGCCGCCACGCCCAGCCCTGATTTTGTTTTTTAAAGCCAAATTTTTGTTTCATTGGTATTTCTCTATTTTTCTGCTTTTGATTTCATTTACTTATTTTTCTTGTTTTTATTATTTTCGTCCATCATCTCACTTTTGTTTCATTTTGCTCCTCTTTTCCTAGTTTCTTGAGGTGGGATTTTAGAATATTGATTTGAGAGCTTCCCTCTTTTCTAGCATTTACCGTTACAAATGTCCCTCTCAGCACTGCTTTAGCTGAATCCCATATATTTTGATATGTTGTATTTTCAGTTTTGTTTCCAAATGTGTATGCACCAAACAACAGAGCCTCAAAATCCATGAAGCAAATCTGATAGAGCTGAAGATGTAGACAAATCTGCAATTATAGTGGAGGACTCAAAATCTCTTTGTCAGAAGTTGATAGAACTACTCTAAGAAAATCAGCAGGGATATAGAAGAACTCAATAATACCATTGACCTGGAGGGTCTGCTTGACACCGATAGAACACTCCACCCAACAACAGCAGAACATACATTCTTTTCAAATGCCCATGGAACATTTGCCAAGATGGGACACACTATACACTTCAATGAATTTAAAAGAATCGAAGTCACAGGATGCACTGTCTAACCTCATGGTGGAAGATGAGGACACCAAGCATGAAGCTGGCCAGCCCCGTGGGGAGGCAGGTGAGGTGCTGGGCCAGGTTTTGGTCTTCCCACTGGGTTGGTAGCCCTTCTCTCCCGAGATGTTCTCTAGACTTGAGATTCACATCTGCAAAGTTTCCTTTTTCATCATGGCAGTAGCTTTGAGCAGTAATCCAACTAAAAGCCGCTCTAGATTCTGCCTGGCTTTTCACCTCCCCATGGCTGGGACCCCCGCCCTTGACTATAGCTCCCTAGTGGGCCTCAAGGGGCATGAATTCCTGCATCAAGGCCCTTCCTGGCCCCAAGTACTTGTCCCTCCAAACCCCAAAGCAGCCCAAATCTAGTCAGGGGCCCCTGGTCCAAGGGTGCTCACTGATTCTCCTGGGAGGAGGGTGTGGGCAAGCAGGAGGATGCTGAGCTCTTCACCTGCTCATTGGCATGTCCCTGAGGGTGGGGCCAACAGCCTCCAGGGTTGGCTCTGAACTAGTAGCTCTTCCCCACATTTGACAGGCTCAGCCTTTGAGGCCAGGAAGGCCTGTGAGTGGCCCCTTCACCCCTCTGAGCCTCTCTGCCAAATTTAATTGACTCCCTGAGCTAAAACACGATTCCAGGGAGTGTGGGCCCCAGGAACATTTTTGTCTGAGATTTGGGTAAAGGAGCACCTTGTGTCTTTAAGCCTGGATGCAGGCACAGGCAGATCTGTCCCACCCAACAGTCAGCATGGGACAGTGACTAGGTCCATGGCTCCCTACTCCTGCTGCATCCTATTTTATTTTATTTTTTATTGTATTTTATTTATTTTATTTTATTTTATTATTTTATTTATTTTATTTTATTTTATTTTATTTTATTTTATTTTATTTTATTTTATTTTAGAGATAGGATCTCACCCTGTCACCCAGGCTGGAGTGCAGAGGTGTGATCATGGCTCACTGCAGCCTCAAGTGATCCTCCCACCTTGGCTTCCCCAATTGCTGGGATTATAGGCATGAACCACTGCACTCAGCTTTCCTGCTGGATCTTTTGCCTTGGCCCCGCCCCCCACAACCCTGACCAGCCAGCGGGTGTTTAATGCAATACAAAAGGCAACATCCTCTCCTGCATGGACCCATCACTGAAGGTAGAGGCTGGGAGGTGGCAGGAGATCCTTCCGGGTCCTGCTGCACCTTCCTGGGCTGTGACTCTGCCTCACAGGAGCCTCATATCCACCTCATGCCCATCTTCCACTTCCATCTTCCCATGCCACGAACTTTCAAGTCAACAGCTTTCAAGAAACAGTATAGGCCGGGCGCGGTGGCTCACGCTTGTAATCCCAACACTTTGGGAGGCCAAGGCAGGCAGATCACCTGAGGTCAGGAGTTCGAGACTAGCCTAGCCAACATAGTGAAACTCCATCTCTACTAAAAACACAAAGAATTAGCCCGGTGTGGTGGTGGGTGCCTGTAATCCCAGCTACTTGGGAGGCTGAGGCAGGAGAATCTCTTGAACCCGGGAGCTGGAGGTTGCAGTGAGCTGAGACTGCACCACTGCACTCCACCTTGAGCAACAAGAGCAAAACTCTGTCAAAAAAAAAAAAAAAAAAAGACGGTATAACCAGCTCCCAAAGTGATGTGAAGTCAAAAGTCAAATTTCTGTCATTAGCAGGTACACATCTCCAAGCTGTTTACTTCTCCAATCAAACCCTGACTGATAGATACCTTGGGGTATGATGATAAAGCCATCTTGTCTAGGGGCAGTGGCTCAAGCCTGTAGTCCCAGCATGTTGGGAGGCTCAGGCAGGAGGATCGCTTGAGTCCAGGAGGTCGAGGCTACAGTGAGCTATGGTCATGCCACTGCACTCCAGCCTGGACATAGAGTGAGTGAGACCTTGTCTCTTAAAAAATAATAATAATAATAAAGACATCTTCAGGTGTGAGTCAGCTTTGCAGTGGGCGAAGGTGCTATAGTCTAGAATTGGTTGGTACGTAGCGGTTCTGGTATCCATATCCACATCATTATAGCAGGGCCGTCAGGATAAAACTGGGGTAGATTCCAGGGCTCTGAGAGAATATTTGGTCCTGGGGATCCTCCCTCCCCAGCCAGACACGACCGCAGGCCCAGAAGCCAGTGTTACCCTGTGTATCTCCCTTGCAAGCACCCAGGTATGGCCCCAGCTCAATTTGAGGAGGGGAAGGAAGGAGAAATGTTCCACAAAGAGGTGCCAATGGAAACCCATTTTGAAGAGAGGAAATTAACTGTTTCCCAAATAAAAATAAAGTCACACCCTCGCTTATGCCATAAACAATTTTCAGGTGGATTAGGGAGAGACTTTAAAATAATTGAAATATAGGAAAACTTTTTATTGATTCCAGAATAAGAAAGTGCTTTGTAAGCATAGGAAGAAAGCGTTGGTAGTATCTGGGTAGAATGATACAAAATTTTTGGTGGCCTTCTGGCAATATACCTCAGAGGTTTTAATTTTGTCAAAGATTTGACTGAGTCTCTAAGCATTTATACTAGAAAAGTAACCGAGATGCACAAAACATTCTGCATGAGGGCAGTGATCAAAGCATTATTTACAATAGTAAAAAGTTATAAGCATTGTAAATGTCCCCCAGGAGAACATCTGCCTTCAAATAATGTTTCCAAGAAACTTTAACTGTTTAAAGACATGAGGAAATGTCTGGTGGAAGACGGCAGTTTAACCTGTTTACACTCACTGGTTTCTTCTTCCTTTGAAGATCTCACTAAAATAATCATGAATGAATGAAAACATAGAAGACCCATAGGGACAAGTTGATCAGGAGAAGCTCACTCAAGAGATTACAACAAATCTTTGAAAGAAAAAAAAACAGAGAAGAGGTAACTGATAAGTCACGGCAGAGAGAGCTACAAGAGGACGGATGGCAGGGTCTCTGGGTAGCAACCTGGGACTCTGCTGAGGGCCACCAGGGCTGGGATGAGGATGGAGTGGAAAACAAGAGGACGGGTTAAGCAGCTGTATTGTAAGACTTCTACTCCAGCTAAGATTAAGTAAAAAGGATCAAATTTACCCTCCCTCCTGAAACAACTGAAAAATCTAGACAAAATGGATGGAACCACAATTTCCAACATTAGCCAACAGGCAGCACAGGATAACAGGCCCTAAGAGGGGACAGAGCGAGGTGGGTCCAGGCAGGGGCCAGTAGTCTCCCTGAGGAGATAGAGCCAGAGTCCCAGAGCCTGTTCTGGGCTGAGTCCTGACACTTTCCTACCCCCAAAATCCATATGTTGAAGTCCTAACTCCCAGTACTTTAGAATGTGACCAGATTTGAAAACAGGGTCTTTAAAGAGGTGATTGAGCTAAAATGAGGCCACAAGGGGGTCCCTAATCCAATCTGACTGACGTCCCTATAAGAAGAGGAAGTCTGTACACACAGACACCAGGCTGCGTGTGCACAGAGGAAAGGCCATGTGAGGACATAGCAAGGAAGTGGCATCTGCAAGCCACAAGGAGAGGCCTCAGGAGAAACCAGCCCTGCCCATACCTTGACCTCAGAATTCTGGCCTCCTGAACTGTGAGAACATAAATGTCTGTTGTTTCAGCCCACCAGCCTGAGATATTTTATTATGACAGCCCAAAGCAAGCTGGCTGGAGTTCACAGGGCAGAAGACTGGAGAGGAGGAGGGAGCTGCAGAGGGCTGCAGAGTGTCTTCGTCAGGACTGATCAGTGCACAAGGGCAAGAAAACTACCTAAGACATGGGAAAGAACCACCCAAATTGCAGGAGAAAAAATCAGTGGAGCTCACACAAAGCTGGGAATAGGTCGCTAATAGCCAGATCAGAAAACTTCACAATTAATGGGACATAGAGAAGAGGACAAGAAGGACACAGAGATGGCCAAATGAGCCCTTGACTATGAGTCACTCTGTGCTTGTTGAAAAACACTCAAAAGCAGTCTTTGAAAGGATCAGATTGCATCCCAAAACAAAGCTCAAAAACATTTAAAGAAATAACATTCAACAAGGTGAAGTTCACAATGCCAGACATCCAATCAAATATAACTAGGCATGCAAATAAACAGGAAAATATGACCCATAATGAGAAAAAAAATTATCAACAAAAACAGATCTAGAAATGAAAGAGATAATATAATTAGTAGATAAGATCACTTAAGCAACTGTTACAAATATACCCCACATGTCCGAGAAGATAGAGGAAAGCAAGAGTATACAAAGGAGGTCTGGGCGCGGTGGCGCATGCCTGCAATTCCAGCATTTTGGGAGGCCCAGGTGGGAGGATGGCTTAAGGTCAGGAGGTTGAGACCAGCTTGACCAACATGGCGAAACCCTGTCTCTACTAAAAATACAAAAATTAGCTGGGTGTGGTGGCAAACACCTATAGTCCCAGCTACTCAGGAGGCTGAGGAGAATCACTCAAACCTGAGTGGTGGAGGCTGCAGTGAGCCGAGATCATGCCAATGCACTCCAGCCTGGGTGACAGAGTGGGACTCTGGTCTCTCATACAAGAGGGAGCACACCAGACCTGATTGGCAAATTATTGTGCATGTCTGTCCTAAGCTGCCTGAGGGCTAGGGAGAGGTGCCTGAAGGACTCATACAAGGTGCTTGTCTTTGTTTTGCCTAACTCAGAATGCATATGGAAACATGGCAGATATTGTGTGTGTATATATATGTATATATATATATATCTACTATATATATAAAAATACTCTAATATTATATATATAAATATATATATGTCTGTAGTGTATATGTGTATGTGTGTGTATATATATATTACATTTTACAGTTTCAGAGAAAGTTTGATATTTATCTAAAATTTTTCAATGTATGAACTTTTTCATTTGACAAACCATAATTGTACATATTCTTGGGATACAGAGTGATATTTCTTTACATGTATAGAATGTGTAGTGATCAAATCAGGGTAATTTCCACTAATTTAAAATGCCACCTTTATGTTATTGTAATTTATATATATACTATATATATATACACACACATATATATACATGTCCACATACAGTGTGTGTGTGCACAGGTACACACATGCATATGTGTATATAATGCCCAGTATAAGCAATGTGCACAAATAAAATTAGCTAACAGAGATAGTATAGAGTGAGAGGAGAGGCAGATTAATCTTTGAGGAAAAGCACAATTTTATGGCTGCATGGAGAAAGCTGAGGTGGTTTCTAAGATGGAGAATAAGACGAAAAATGTAAGTACGTTGTTTGACTGAATTCAAGAAAGAAGGGTAAAAGAGAAGAAAGTAGTGGTCTTATCATTAAATGCCACAGAGAGGTAAAGATAAAAACAACATATTGTTTTGGGTTTAGTAATTTAAGGGTTACCAAATTCTGTTTTGGAGGAGGAACAGATTCCATGTCCACTAGAATGGAATGAACAAGAAATGGAGGAGGAAAACAGGTAGTTTTTCAAAAGTTTTCAAAAATATGAAAAGAAGAAATGAAATGGTACTTGGAAGAGATTGTTGAAATGGGAGAGACTATGGTGGCTTGTTTAGAAGCAGTTGAGATAGATCCAATTGAGATAGAGATATTGACTATATAAACAAAAGAATGACAAATTAATAGTGTAATGGATAACTTGACTTTGGCAAATATTGTGAATTTTTGTGAAAGTACAACTAAAAGGTAATGTCACTCCAATAATCACCAGAGTAATCAATTTGCTTATTGCTGTCCCTTTAAATATAGTTCTCTGGTTTTAACTAACATATTTTTAACTAATGATGCTTCTTAAAGAAAAGGGAAAAGACCTTTTTCTTTCTTTCAGTCTTCAATGATTCACTGCTTCATCTCGCTCCACCAAAGATAAATGAAATCTACATCTCTTATACATTAACAATGCATGACAATTTATAAATAGCTAAATTTTTGGAGCTAACTTTAAGTACCTGAATGGAATTTAATCAACCCACTAATCTCCTTCTCACTTCTCAGTTATCAAGTTTATGTCAAGGGACAAGGAAAAATTATCCAAACATTGTTTAAAACAATCATCATTAATTAGTAACACTTATCCAGGGGGGTTTTTAACCTTTCCCCCACTCAAGGATTATTCTAATGTCAGAGTAGAATAAAAAATAAGTGCAGCGATGCTGACTCTTCCAAGCTTAACATTTCTCACAAGTCAATTAGCTTTGTACTGGGAGGAGGGCGTGAAGGGCTGCTTGCGGTAGTTATGTAGCAGCAGCACAATGGCCGCAGACAAGGAAAACAGTTTCTAGGAATTCCTCGTATATAATTTTATATTTTTGACAAGATTAATGACCCATGCTCCCTTCCTCTCCATTTCTTTTTTAGGAATTCTGTGTTGGTATGTAGTTACTATATTTTATTAAAGGAAATTAGCCTTATCTCATTATATTTTATTAAAGAAAATTATTATATTATTCCTTTATATTTTTATTAAAGGAATTTATTATTATTAAAGGAAATTAGCCTTATCTCTTATTATATTTTTTATGACCTTCAAAGTAGTGTCTCTGCTTAAAAGTGTACCCTGGCTGGGCGTGGTGGCTCAAGCCTGTAATTCCAGCACTTTGGGAGGCCGAGGCGGGTGGATCACGAGGTCAGGAGATCGAGACCATCCTGGCTAACATGGTGAAACCCCGTCTGTACTAAAAATACAAAAAATTAGCAGGGCACAGTGGCGGCCGCCTGTAGTCCCAGTTACTCAGGAGGCTGAGGCAGGAGAATGGCGTGAACCCAGGAGACGGAGCTTACGGTGAGCTGAGATCGCACCGCTGCACTCCAGCTTGGGCGACAGAGCAAGACTCCGTCTCAAAAAAAAAAAAAAAGTGTACCCTGAAGCACACATCAAGCGACATGTAGAGTTCATAAATTCTGGCCAAATGGTCATACCTCAAACCTAATCAGCACTAAGGCTCTTTACTTGCACTGACAAATATGAATGCTGGGGAATTTGGAAATGATATATAATATATAATATTATATATATAATAGATATATAATATATAATATTATATATATAATAGATATATAATATATATTATATATATAATATTATATATATAATAGATATATAATATATATTATATATATAATATTATATATATAATAGATATATAATATATATTATATATATAATAGATATATAATATATAATATTATATATATAATAGATATATAAATAATATTATATATATAATAGATATATAATATATAATAACTGTAGGGAGTCACCATCCCTACAGAAAAATACATGAATTAGCCTAGTGTGGTGGCATTTTCCTGTAGTCCCAGCTACTTGGGAGGCTGAGGTGGGAGGATCACTTGAGCCCAGGGAGGCTGAGACTGCAGTGAGTCATGATCAGGCCTCTGCACTCCAGCCTGGGTGACAGAGTGAGACCCTGTCTCAAAACAACAAAAAAGTAGCAGCTAACATCAACTGACCTTTCATACCAGGTGCCTATTGATATCATAGTTTAATTTCTTATAACTGTTTCTTATTTCACTTACCAACTCTGTCTTCAGTTACTCCCAGATTTTTACTGTGTTTGTACAGATGACCTTTTGTTTAGATTGAATTGTCTCCCCAGAAGTAAGATTACTGTGAGACATGGTGAATGGACATTCTCATTACCCTTGATGTAAATTGACAGGGTTTTGTGTGCCTCCCAGCTATAATCTTAGCACTTTGGGAGGCTAAGAGAGGAGGATTGCTTGAGGCCAAGAGTTGGAGGAGGCAGTATGGCAGTATGGTGAGACCCTGTCTCCATTATTTTAAAAAATTGACAAGCCTTACCCGGGAAGGCTTATACACAATTTAAACACCCCTCACTATGTAGTATAAGAAAGTGCCCATTTCACTGCACCTTTGCCAGCACAGGGTATTATAATTTGGTAAGTCATTTTTTGTTTGATTATTTTAAATAGATAAAAGACCTCATATTACTTTACTTGTCACATTTCAACATCTTTCCTTAGCTTATTAGCTCTATTTCTTTTCTGTCTGTAAATGGTTGTTGTTGTTTTGTTCTTTGAGACAGGGTCTTGCTCTGTCACCAGGCTGGACTGTAGTGGCATAATCATGCCTCGCTGCAGCCTTGACCTCCCAGGCTCAAACTTCAGCATTCCGAGTAGCTGGGACTACAAGTGTGCACCACCACTCCCAGCTAACTTTTTTCGTTTTTTGGATAGAGACAGGGTCTCACTGTGTTGTCCAGACCAGTCTCTAGCTCCTGGCCTTAAGCAATCCTCCTGCATTAGCTTCTCAAATTGCTGGAATTTCAGGCATGAGCCACCATGCCTGGCCTGGGCTAGTCCTGTATTCTCTAGAGTTCTCTTTACTTTGTGCTAGCCAATCTCTCATTATGCTGTTCACCTGTTATAATGAATAATTCTCCATATTAAATTTTACCACTTTAAACTTTTGAGTGGTTTATGCTTCCTGATTGGACTCTGACTAATATGTTAGGAAGAGTCCCAGGAGATAAACCCACACAGATGGGATTTGGGCCTAGGTTTGGTTTCCCAGGGGGCAGTGCTGAGCTCTTTGCCAGTGGGAAATGGGATGCTGGTGATTTCCAGGAATTGACCTCACAGTGACTCAAGCTACCACTTACTGTTGATTGTGATGAAATGCCAGCTGAGGCACATGCCTTGGGAGCTAAGTGGTTGCTGCCCTTGACCACTATGAAGACCGGTGTGGGAATGTGGGAAGGGTCGCTTTGGATGCACTTGAGCAGGGGTCCCCAACCCCTGAGCCATGGAGCCGTAAGGAGCCACACAGCAGGAGGTGAGTGGTGTCGAGTGAGGGAGTGAGGGAAGCTTTGTCTGTATTTACAGCCACTCCCCTTTGCTCACATTCCCGCCTGAGCTCCACCTTCTCAGATCAGCAGCAGCATTAGATTCTCATAGGAGAACGCACCCTGTTGTGAACTGTGCATGTGAGGGATCTAGGTTGCGCTATCCTTATGAGAATCTAATACCTATTGATCTGTCACTTTCTCCCATCACGCTCAGGTGGGACCATCCAGTTGCAGGAAAACAAGCTTAACACGCCCACTGATTCTACATTATGGTGAGTTCTATAATTATTTTATTATATATTACAGTGTAATAATGGAAATAAAGTGCCTAATAAATGTAAATGTGCTTAAATCTTTTGGCCCAGCTCCTACCTCCCAGCAGCCTCTCCAGGCCCAGAACTTTCTCCAGTCAGCCTCTACAGACCAAGCTCATGACTCACAATGGCCTATTTAGGCCCATACCCTACCTCACGGCAGTCTCCGCAGATGAGCCTACTGCCTCACAACAGCCTCCACAGGCACAGCTCCATCGTTACAATGGCCTCTTTAGACCCAGCTCCTGCCTCCCAGCCTTCTCTCCAGGCCCTGAACTTTCTCAAGTCGACCTCACCAGGCCCAGCTCATGCTTCTTTGCAGCCTCTCCAGGCCCAGCTCCTGCATCTTGGTGGCACCTCCAGGCCCAGCCTCTGCCTCCCGTCGGCCTCTACAATCCCAACATCTGCCTCACAGCAGATTCTTCAGGCCCAGCATCTGCCTCACTGTGGACCCCCCAAGCCAAGCTCCCAACCTTTCAGCAGCTTCTACACACCCAACTCCTGCCACCCAGTGGCCTCTTTAGGCCAAGCTCATGCTTCACAAGGGCCTTTCCAGGCTCAACTTTTGTCTCATGGCAACCTTTCCTGGCCAGATTCCTGCCTGTCTCCCAGCAGCCTAGACAGGCCCAGGTCTTGCCTCACACTGGCCTCTCTACATCCAGCTCATGCCTCACGGTGGCCTCTCCAGGCCCAACTCCTGTCCCAGGACGTCATCTCCGGGCCCAAAACTTACTCAAGTCAGACTCTCTAGTCCCAACTGCTGCCTCCTGGTGGCCTATGAAGGCCCAAAATCTCCTCAAGTGGACCTCTCCAGGCCCAGCTCCTGCCTCCTGTCAGCGTCTACAGGCCCAACCTCTGCCTCATGGGGGCTTCTCCAGGCCCACCTCTTCCTCTTGGCTGGGTCTACAGGCACAACTGCTGCCTCACAACAGCCTTTTTTGGCCCAGTTCCTGTCCAGCTCATGGCGGCCAATGTAGGCCCAAAACTTCCTCAAGTCAAACTCTCCAGGCCCACCTTCTGCTTCCCGGTGGCATGAACAGGCCCAGCTTTGACTTGAGAACAGCCTCTGCAGGCCCTGCTCTTGCCTCCCAGGGGCTTTTTCCAGACCCAGCTCCTGCCTCATGGCAGCTGCCCCAGGCCAAATTTCTGCCTGCCTGCCAGCAGCCTCAACAGGCACAGCTCCTCCCTCACAGTGGCCCATTTAGGCCCAACTCATGACTGTCGGGCCATTTCCAGGCCTAGTGCCTGCCTCGTGGCTGACTCTTGAAGCCCAAAACTTCCTCAAATCAGCCTTTTGCCCAACTTCTGTCTACTGTCGGACTCTACAGGCCAGCCTCTGCCTCACAGTGGACCCTCCAGACCCAGATGGTGTCTCACTGTGGCATCCTCAGGCGAAGCTCCTGCCTTTCCGCAGCCTCTACAGGCCCAGCTCCTGCCTTGCAGTGGCCTCTTTAGGCCAAGCTCATGCCCCATGGCGACTTTTCCAGGCACAGCTTTTGCCTTTTGCAGCCTGTCGAGGCCCAGAATGTCCTTAACTCGGCATCTCCAGGATGAGCTCATCCTCCCAGTGCGTCTACAGGCCCGTCTCCTGCCTCACAACAACCTCCTTTGGCCCAACTCCTGCTGAGCTGCTGGCAGCCTCTGTAGGCCACAGAATTCTTAAGGTAAAGCTTTCCAGGCCCACCTTTGGCCTCCCGGCAGGCTCAGCAATCAAACTATTCCCTCACTGCGGCCACCGAAAGCCAAGTTTCTCCCTGCCTCACGGCATCCTCCGAAAACTGAGCATTTGCCTCACGGTGGCCTCCCCAGGCCATGAATCTGCCTGCCTCCCAGGCAGCTGCTGCCTCACAATGGTCTCTTTAGGCCCAGCTCATGCTAAAAGATGGACTCTCCAGGCACAGCTCTTGCCTCCTGGCAGCCTCTGCAGGCCCAAATTCTCCAAAAGTTGGCCTCTCCTAACTCAGCTCCTGCCTCATGTCTGCCTACACAGGCCCAGACTCTTACCACACAGTAGACCCTCCAGGCCCACCACTTGCCTGATCATAGCCTCCTAAGGCCAAGCTCCTGCCTTTCGGCAGCCTCTACAGGCCAAGCTCCTGCCTCGCAATTGCCTCTGTAGGCCAAGATCATGCCGTGAAGTGGCCTTCCCTAGCCTAACTTTTGCTTTTTGACGCATACTCCAGTCCCAAAACTTCCTCCAGTCAGCCGGTCCAGGCCAAGCTCTTCCTCCCAAAGGCTTCTGCAGGCCAAAATCATCCTGAAGTCACCCTCTGCAGGCGCAGCTCCTGCCTCCAAGTGCTGTGTAGGCCAAGCTAATGCCTCACAGCACACTTTCCAGGCTGAGCATTTCCTTTTGTGCATCCTCTCCAAGCCCTGAACTTACTCCAGTTGGCCTCTCCAGACCAAGCTCTCCCTCCCAGTGGCCTCTACAGGCCAAAATTGTCCTCAGGTCAGCCTCTCCAGGGCCAACTCCTAGCTACCGGTGGCTTCTGCAGGCCAAAATCGACCTCAAGTCAGCCTCTTCACACCCAGCTCTTGCCTCTGAGTGGCCTCTCCAGGAGCAAAACTTTCTCAAGTCGGCCTCTCCAGGCCCAGCCTCCTGCTTCCCGAGGGCATGTACAGGCCCAGCCTCTGCCTCACAGCAGACTCTTCACACCCAGCTCTTCCCTGTCTGCGGCCTCTCCAGTCCAAAGCTGCTCCTGCCTTTTGGCAGCTTGTACAGGCCCAGCTCCTCCCTCACGGTGGCCTCTTTCGGCCCAACTCATGCCTCTTGCAACGTGCCCAAGTGTCAGCTCCTGCCTCACACTGGCCTGTTGAGGCCCAGCTCATGCCTCTCGTGGCCTCAACGGGCCCATCCCCTGCCTGTCGGCGGCCTCTACAGGCCCGGCCTCTACCTCACAGTGGGCTCTCCAGGCCCACCTCTTCCTCACCGTGGCCTCCTGGGGCAATGCTCCTCCCTCTCGGGAGCCTCTGTGGGCCCAGCTCCTGCCTCCCAGTGGCCTCTGCTGGCCAAGCCCGTGCCTCAGGGCAGCCTTTCCAGGCCTAGCGTTTGCTGCTTTGCATCCTCTCCAGGCCCTGGACTTCCTCCAGTCGGCCTCTCCAGGCCCAGCTCTTCCTCTCGGCGGCCTCTGCAGGCCCAGACTGTCGTCAAGTCGGCCTGTCCAGGGCCAGCTCCTGCCTCCCGGCGGCCTCTGCAGGCCCAAGTCGTCCTCAAGTTGGCCTCCCCAGGCCCAGCAACGGCCTCTCGGCGGCCTTTCCGGGTGCAAAAGTTCCTCGAGTCAGCCTCTCCAGGCCCAGCTCCTCCTGCCTCCCAGTGGCCTCTTTCGGCCCAGCCCAGCTCATGCCTCCCGGCGGCCTTCCCAGGCCCTGCTTTTGACTTTCGGTGGCCTCTGCAGGCCTCGACAAGGCCAGGCCTCCTGCCTCCCAAAGGCCTGCACAGGCCCAGCCTCTGCCTCACAGCAGACTCTCCACGCCCAGCTAGCTCTCGCCTCACTGCGGCTTCCCGAGTCCAAAGCTCCTGCCTCTCAGCCGCTTCGGCAGGCCCAGCTCCCGCCTGCCAGTGGCCTCTTCAGGCCCATGGGGCTCATTCCTCACAACGGCCTTTCCAGGCCCAGTTTTTCCCTTCCGGCGGCCTCTCCGGGCCCAGAACCTCCTCAAGTCGGCCTCTCCAGACCCACTTGCAGCCTCCGGGCGTCCTCTCTGGGCCCAGCTCTTCCTCCCGGCTGCTCTCCAGGCCCGACTCCTGCCTCTCAACAACCTTTTTGGACTCAGTGCCTACCCATCTCCTGGCGGCCTTGGTCGGCCCACAGCTTCCTCAAGCCAAGCTCCCCAGGCCCAGGTCAGGCCTCACGGTGGCCTCTCCAGGATGAGCTCCTGCCCTCCGATGGCATCTGCAGGCCCCAAATGGTCTCCGGTCGGTGGGCTCCTCCACGCCAAGCTTGGGCCTCCCGGCGACCTCTGCAGACCCAAGTTGTCCTGAAGTCGGCCTCTCCCGGTCCTGCCTCCCAGCAAGTAAGCAAGCTCTTTTGGCTCAACTCCTGCCCAGCTCCCAACCGCCTTTGTAGGCCCCGAACTTTCTCCAGCCAAGTTCTTCGGGCCTAATTCCTGCCGCCCGGTGGCCTGTACAGGCCCAGCACTGGTTGGAGAACAGCCTCTGCAGGCCCCGCGCTTGCCTCCCAGGGGCCTCTCCAGGCCCAGCTCTTGCCCCCATGGCGGCCTCCCGGGGCCAAGTCCCTGCCTGCCTCCCGGCAGCCCGCGTGCGGCCCAGCTCCTCCCTCACGGTGGCCTGTTGATGCCCAACTCATGCCTCTGGCACCCTGCCCAGAGGCGTGAGCCCTTGCCTCACACCGGCCCCTCCCATGCTGACAGAGGTCAGCCTGAGCCCCTATTCTCACACCGGCCCCTCCCAGGCTGACAGAGGTCAGCGTGAGCCCCTGCCTCAACAGGCCACCGTGAGGGAGGAGCAGGGTCGCACGCGGGCTGCTGGGAGGCAGGCAGGGACTTGGGCCTGGGAGGTCGCAGTGGGGCGAGAGCTGGGCCTGGAGACACCCCTGGGAGGCAACAGCTGGGCCTACAGACTCTCTTCTCCAGCCGGAGCTGGGACTGTTCAGGCACTGGGAGGCGGGATGTGGGTCTGAAGAGCTTGGTTGCAGAAACTTCGGGGTGTACAAAGGCTGGCGGGAGCTGAGCCGAAAGAGCTTGTTTGCTGGGAGGCGGGAGATGCAGCCAGGAGGAACAGCTGGGCCTGCAGAGGTGGCCATGCAGGAGGCAGAGGCCGGGCCTCCTCAAGTCGGCCTCTCCAGACCCACTTGCAGCCTCCCGGCGTCCTCTCCGGGCCCAGCTCTTCCTCCCGGCTGCGTCTCCAGGCCCGACTCTGGCCTCCCAACAACGTCTTTGGACTCAGCTCCTGCCCAGCTCCCAGCGGCCCTGGTAGGCCCACAACTTCCCGAAGCCAAGCTCCCCAGGCCCAGCTCAGGCCTCACGGTGGCCTCTCCAGGATGAGCTCCTGCCCTCCGATGGCATCTGCAGGCCCCAAATGGACTCCGGTCGGTGGGCTCCTCCACGCCAAGCTTGGGCCTCCCGGCGACCTCTGCAGGCCCAAGTTGTCCTGAAGTCGGCCTCTCCCGGTCCTGCCTCCCAGCAAGTAAGCAAGCTCTTTTGGCTCAACTCCTGCCCAGCTCCCAACCGCCTTTGTAGGCCCCGAACTTTCTCCAGCCAAGTTCTTCGGGCCTAATTCCTGCCGCCCGGTGGCCTGTACAGGCCCAGCACTGGTTGGAGAACAGCCTCTGCAGGCCCCGCGCTTGCCTCCCAGGGGCCTCTCCAGGCCCAGCTCTTGCCCCCATGGCGGCCTCCCGGGGCCAAGTCCCTGCCTGCCTCCCAGCAGCCCACGTGCGGCCCAGCTCCTCCCTCACGGTGGCCTGTTGATGCCCAACTCATGCATCTGGCACACTGCCCAGAGGCGTGAGCCCTTGCCTCACACTGGCTCCTCCCACGCTGAGAGAGGTCAGTGTGAGCCCTTGCCTCACACCGGCCCCTCCCGCGCTGACAGAGGTCAGCCTGAGCCCCTGCCTCAACAGGCCACCGTGAGGGAGGAGCAGGGTCGCACGCGGGCTGCTGGGAGGCAGGCAGGGACTTGGGCCTGGGAGGTCGCTGTGGGGCGAGAGCTGGGCCTGGAGACACCCCTGGGAGGCAACAGCGGGGCCTGCAGACGCTCTTCTCCAGCCAGAGCTGGGACTGTTCAGGCTATTGGAGGCGGGATGTGGGCCTGAGCGCTTGGTTGCAGAAACTTCGGGGTCAACAAATGCCGGCGGGAGCTGAGCCAAAAGAGCTTGTTTGCTGAGAGGCAGGAGCTGGGCCGGGAGATGCAGCCAGGAGGAACAGCTGGGCCTGCAGAGGCCGCCATGGGGGAGACAGAGGCCGGGCCTCCTCAATTCGGCCTCTCCAGACCCACTTGCAGCCTCCCGGCGTCCTCTCCGGGCCCAGCTCTTCCTCCCGGCTGCGTCTCCAGGCCCGACTCTGGCCTCCCAACAACGTCTTTGGACTCAGCTCCTGCCCAGCTCCCAGTGGCCCTGGTAGGCCCACAACTTCCCGAAGCCAAGTTCCCCAGGCCCAGGTCAGGCCTCACGGTGGCCTCTCCAGGCTCAGCTCCTGCCCTCCGATGGCATCTGCAGGCCCCAAACGGCCTCCGGTCGGTGGGCTCCTCTAGGCCCAGCTTGGGCCTCCTGGCGGCCTCTGCAGGCCCAAATCGTCCCGAAGTCGGCCTCTCCAGGCCCAGCTTGGGCCTCCCGGCGGCCTCTGCAGGCCCAAGTCATCCTCAAATCGGCCTGGAATTGGGCCTGGAAGAGCAGCAAGTCGGCCTCCCCGGGCCCAACTCCGTCCTCTCGGCGGCCTCTCCAGGTGCAAAACTTCCTCGAGTCAGCCTCTCCAGGCCCAGCTCCTCCTGCCTCCCAGTGGCCTCTTTCGGCCCAGCCCAGCTCATGGCTCTCGGCGGCCTTCCCAGGCCCCGCTTTTGACTTTTGGCGGCCTCTTCAGGCCCAGAACTTGACCTCCAGTGGGCCTTTGCAGGCCCGGCCTCCTGCCTCTCGAAGGCCTGCACGGGCCCGGCCTCGGCCTCACAGCGGACTCTCCACGCCCAGCTAGCTCTCGCCTCACTGCGGCCTCCGGAGTCCAAAACTCCTGCCTCTCGGCCGCTTCAGCAGGTCCAGCTCCTGCCTCCCAGTGGCCTCTTTAGGCCCAGCTCATTCCTCACAACGGCCTTCCCAGGCCCCGTTTTTCCCTTCCGGCAGCCTCTTGGCCTCTAATTTGTTTATCTTTTGGGTATAAATCCCAAAATATTGAATTTTGGAATATTTCCACCATTATATAAATATTTTTTTCGGCAATTTATTTGGAGTGAGTTTCTGCACCATGCCCGAATTTTTTATTCTATTTTCCTTATTATTTGGTGTTAAACAGGTTTAATGACGGTCATGGCAACTTTTTGGCACAATGAAAAATATCGCCCATGATCAACGTGTTCTTTTCTGGGGAAGGGGGCAAAGGCAGGGTGAATCACTTTCTTAAAAAGTATAGCTCAAGTTGGGAGTGCAGAGGGAATGGGGAGAAAACCCTCCCGCTCCCTGTGTCGAAGTGCAGGAGCCCCCACCCCCATACTCACCTGAGTCCAGCCCCTCTGAGGAAAGAAGGGGTGCATGAACTCCCCCTAGTCCACAGGCGCCTCCCTGTGGCCCAAGGCCCTCTTCACACTCCATCTTGTAGCCCCAGCAGGAGCTATTTTCCGAAAAGTGAAAAGCTCTGAAGGTCCCACAATTCATGGTATGTACAGGGGCTCGGAGGAGGGAAACTGCCCAGCTTTCCCCCGGCACAGCTGCAGGGGTAGGGGGTATAGATAAGAGGAGCAGGCCTTGGCCAGGCGTGGTGGCTCACGCCTGTAATCCCAGCACTTTGGGAGGGGGAGGCAGGCAGATCACGATGTCAGGGGATCGAAATCAGCCTGGCCAAGATGATGAAGCCCCGTCTGTACTAAAAATACAAAAATTAGCTGGACGTGGTAGCGTGCACCTGTAATCCTAGCTACCCGGAAGGCTGAGGCAGGAGAATGGTGTGAACCCAGCGGGAAGAGGTTGCAGTGAGCCAAGATCGCACCACTGCACTCCAGCCTGGGCGACAGAGCAAGACTCGGTCTCAAAAAAAAAAAAAAAAAAAAAAAAGAGGCAGGCCTTATTCCGTCCCAAACTGAAAGGATTAAATGGCTTTACCTGGGAGAAGATAACCATCCTGCCCTCCATTGCTACCCCCACATACTGTCCATGTTCTCAGGGGGTACTGTGAGTCCTGGGATCTTCTTTGGGGTCGCCCACCTGCCTGTGGTAGTTATGGAGACCCCCAGGTGTTGAGGCAGGGCTGGGGTGTCCCCTTCCAACCAGGCTGTCAAGGCCCCAACTCTGGGGCAGAGGCAGTGGCAGGGCAGCCAGGGTTGCGCCAGAGCCTGAGCAGGGTGAGGTGGGGTCAGGCAGGGCTGGGAGTCAGGGCAGGGGCAGCAGCAGTGGACCCGCTATGCACACATCTTCTTCTCCAAGGTTTGTGTGCAGAACATCCTGCCCATGCTGCCCCAGCAGCTTCAGTTGGCACCTGCCCCAGTCCAGCCTCTGGGAACCATGCAGCGGCTCCCAGCGGCCCTGCACCCACCACCAGCATCCGTTTCACCTGCAGTTGAAGATCCGTGAGGTGCCCAGAAGATCATGCAGTCATCAGTCCCACGGAGCAGCCCGCGAGGCTGAGGCTCCTCCCACTGGACCGCCCCCCCAACTGGCACCACTGCTGCCCCTGCCCCTACTCTCAGCCTCACGTGACTCTCGGGCAGAGGCAGTGGTGGGGCAACCAGGGCAGCGTCAAGAGTCTGAGCCAGGTGAGGTCCGGTCAGGAACCCCACAGGGCTGGGAGTCAGGGCAGGGGCAGAACAAACCTTGGAGGGGAAGATGTGTGCATAGTGGGCCTGGAGAGCAGCTGTGGCCTAGTGGACAGGAAGAAGCAGTGGGCCTGGAAGAGCTGCATGATCAGGGCCGGCACTGGTCCGGGGCGCGTGCAGTGAAGAGGACAGCGCCTTCTCGGTCTCCGGTTCCCTGAGCCTGTCCTCAGCTTCTCCACCTGTACAGGCAAAGGGGAAGCTGTCCCCATCACACATGGCACACTTGGGGGTGTTGGGCTTTGGGCTGCAGCTGGAGCACCTTCTCATCTTGCATCTGGGCGTGGTGGGGTCCTCCAGTGTGGGATCCATGTCCGTGGGGTTCCCTCTGCCCTGACCCCAAAAGCCCAGTCAGTTTCTCTTCAGGCTCTGCCCCCTGGGTGGCTCAGCCCAGCTCCTGCCTAGGAAAGCCTTAGTGTTGGGAGGGACCCTGATGACTGAGGAGCCTGGTAGTTCCAGGTCGCCCACACTTTCAGGTCTCTTGCACCAGAAGGTGGCAGGATCCATTGGGAGGAAACAGATCGCCTTGGAAGGCGTCCCTGGGCCCCCATCCCCAGGGGTAGGGGCCGTAGGGGGCCCGCTCTGCTGTCTTGACCAGACTCCTGGGCTTTGAAGGCTCCTGGGCCCAGTAAGAAGGAGGTGGGTGCCAAGGTTGAGGAGGAAGCATCCGAGTATGTGTAGGAGGAGGACAGGGTGGGACCATAGACTTTGCCAAAAGCTGCAGGTGGATCGGGGGACCCTGGGGGCTCAGGATCTAGCAAGGGGCGGCAGGAGTAAAGGAGGAAGGAATGACAGGTGCAAATACCTTCCCACCAAAGCCCTTGTTGCCCTCTGGCTCCTCCCCAGAGTTGTCCCCACTCTCAGTCGGTCACCCACTCCTTGAACTTGAGATCAGTGTCAGTGGTGCTAAAGCCATCATCAGCAATGACATCATCACCCCCTCCTCCTCATGGATGACCGTGTGCTCCTCGTCACTCGCTATGTCCTCACTGGCCATGTGCTGGGAATGAGCAGCTCAGGTGGGCAGCAGCAGGGCTGCCCACTGGTCACCTCCCTCACCAGGGGCTGCAAAGTGGCCTGGAGCTCCATACTGAGTAGAAGGCTTTGGGCCAGAGTATGATGCAGTGCCAGACACCACCTGTGTCAGTTCCTGTAGTGCCTGACGGTCTATTTCCCTGCCGTCCAGGCTGTGTACCCCACTGTGGGAGAAGGCTTGGGCCAGGCTGAGCCAGGTTTCCTGACTGTGTGCAGCCGTTCTGCCCCACAGAAGCTGCTCCTTGGTATCCGAGCTCTGGAGTGTTTGGGCTGCAACTGACAGGAGTTCAGAGGACACCCCAGGGGCAGTGGCAGTGCCCATCTCTGATATGCTCCACTCCCACGAGCCCTTGTTACACTCCTGCTAGCCCCTGGCTTGTGGGCTTGGCCTCTGAGCTGGACTTCTTTTGGTCCTTGTTGCAAGTGGGCCACCTTCACCTGGAAGGCCAGGTCGTATTTCTGCATCTCATTGGGCCCCAGGGTGTACCATTGCTCGCTCAGCATCTGGCTGATGGTCCGGTTATCCTGGTTGGGGTGACCCTGGTGCGCCCTGCCAGGGCCTGGTGCTGCTTGCTGAAGATTATGACTGCCACTCATGGGCCACCAGATGTGGTCCTTGTCCCATTTGTTGGGGCTGCGTCCATCCTTCTCAGAAGATGAGTCCTGTTCCTTGCGCAGGGCACTGAGGGACTGGGCCTGACATCATCTGAGTGGTAGAGGCAACTGGGTGTCAGGAGACATGATGGAGAGGAAAGCATCATCATGGTCATTCTCTGTCTCACTGTCCAGCAGGGACTCCCCTGAGGGGCTCAGGGCCCCTCCTCCATGGTGGGAGGTGAGCTTTTACCAGGTTCCACCACCCCCAAAGTGTGTGGGGTTGCGGGCCCTGGGCTTTCAGGGCAGGTGGCTCCAGGGGGCCGCCCAGGGTCAACACTCCCCGTCCCACCTGGTGGACGCTCATGAGCAACAGCTGCCAACTTGGCAGGTTGTTTTCTCTGGTTGGAGGCCACTGAGTGACTGGCAGTTTGCTGGGCCTCATGTGGCTGCAGGGAGGGGTCAGGAAGGGGATGGAGTACCAGGGGAACACGGCCACAGAGTGACCTTCCACATTCCTCCACACGAACATGCTGACGCCACGGGAGGCCTCACTGAACGCAGGCCTGGGGGCCGAGTACTTGGTCCGGGCAGGGGGTTCCTGGCAGGGGCTCACACCTCCTCGCCCCCTCCTCAGCCAAGGTGGCTTGGGCCCAGAGAAGGGGGGGTTGGAGAGGAGCAGAAGGCCAGGCCTCAAGTTTTGTTTTTTTTGTTTGTTTTGTTTTTTGTTTTTGAAATGTAGTTTGACTCTTGTCACCCAGGCTGGAGTGCAGTGGCACGATCTCAGTGGCCTTCATACCTGGCTAATTTTTTGTATTTTTACTGGAGGTGGGGTTTTGCCATGTTGGCCAGGCTGGTCTTGACCTCCCGTCCTCAGGTGATCCACCAACCTCGGCCTCCCAAAATGGGATTACAGGCATGAGCCACCGCTCCCAACTTCATTCATTTTTACTTGAAAAACTCCGTTAAGCATTTTTTTAAGGTAGACCTAGTGGTCCTGAATGCCCTCAGCTTTGTTTGTCGAGGAAACACATTATTTCTTCTTTCTTTCTGAAGGACAGCTTTGTCAGACATAGTATTAGTTGCTGGCAGTTTTTTTCTTTCAGCACTTTGAATGTATTATTCGATTCTGTCCTGACCTGCAAAGTTTCTTTAACTTTTGACTATTTGATTATATTGTGACTTGGTGAGTATCTATTTGGTTTGAACCTCTTTAGGAATCTTTAAGCTTCATGGATTTAGATGTCTAAATATTTCCCATGATTTAGGCAGTTTTCAGCCATTCTTTAAATAAGCTTTCTTTTCCTTTCTCTACTTTCCTTCTCAAACTCTCATAACCTGACAATGGTTTGCCTAATGGTGTCTTGTTGGCTTTCTTTTCTCTGTCTCTTTTTTTTTTTTTTTTTTTGAGACAGAGTCATGCTCTGTCACCCAGGCTGGAGTGCAATGTGTGGTCTCGGCTCACATTGCACTCCAACCTCCGCCTCCTGGGTTCAAGCGATTCTCCTGCCTCAGCCTCCCAAGTAGCTGGGACTACAGGTGTGTGCCACCACACCCGGCTAATTTTTGTATTTTTAGTAGAGATGGGGTTTTGTCATGTTGGCCAGGCTGGTCTTGAACTCCTGACCTCTTATTCTGCCTGCCTTGGCCTCCCAGAGTGTTGGGATTACAGGCTTGAGCCACCACGCCCAGCCTTCTTTTCTCTTTTTTATTCTTTTTTTCTTTGTCCTCTGACTGGATAATTTCAGAAGATCTATATTCAAGTTTACAGATTCTCTCTCCTGTTGAAGTTTACTATTGTGTTATATCACCCAGTCTGGTCTTGAACTCCTGGGCTCAAGCGATCCTCCCACCTTGGCCTCCCAAAGTGCTGAGTTTACAAGCATGAGCCACTGCATCCAGTCAGTCCCAGCACTTTGGGAAGCTGAGGTGGGAGGATCACTTGAGCTCAGGAGTTTGAGACCAGCCTGGGCAACATACCGAGAACTTGTCTCTATATTAAAAAAAAAAAAAAAGTCTTTGAGAGGCCAAAGCGGGAGGATCACCTGAGGTCAGGAGTTCGAGACCAGCCTGGCCAACATGGCAAAACCCCATCTCTACTAAAAATACAAAAATTAGCCAGGTGTGGTGGCACACGCCTGTAGTGGTGGTGCATGCCTGTAGTCCCAGCTACTCAAGAGGCTGAGGCAGGAGAATCACTTGAACTGGGAGATGGAGGTTGCAGTGAGCTGAGATCGCACCAGTGCACTCCAGCCTGGGCAACAGAGTGAGACTCCATCTTATAAAAGGAAAAAAGAAAGAAAAGAAAAATTCCATATCTGAGTGTTTACTCCTGAGTTTTTGAGATTGCTATTAAGATCGTGCTCTACTGTGATGATTTGGGTTTGTTTGATAATCAGAAAAAAGCATATCCTTTTGGGTGTTCAGCCACACTGCTTTGGTGTCACAACTGCACATTGGTTTCACAGCTGCAGGACAAGTTCGAGCATCTTAAAATCATTCAACAGGAGGAGATAAGGAAGCTCGAGGAAGAGAAAAAACAACTGGTAGGAGAAATCATAGATTTTTATAAAATGAAAGCTGCCTCTGAAGCACTGCAGACTCAGCTGAGCACTGATACAAAGAAAGACAAACATCGTAAGAAGCAATAGTTTCTCTTACTATTCTGAGAGACTTATCATTCTACATCCCATGTTCCTGTGAGATTGTCTTTGTAGCATTTAACTCTAATTGCAGTTCTCATTTTAAAAATTGGCTTGCTTATTGTATATTTTCCCCAACTAAAGCGTGAACTCCTAGCAGGGCATGGTGGCTCATGCCTGTAATCTCAGCACTGTGGGAGGCCGAGGTGGGTCGACTACCTGAGGTTAGGAGTTCGAGTCCAGCCTGACCAACATGATGAAACGCTGTCTCTACTAAAAATACAAAAATTAGCTAGGCGTGGTGGCTGGGACCTGTAATCCCAGCTACTTGGGAGGCTGAGGCAGGAGAATCACTTGAACCCTGGAGGTGGAGGTTGCAGTGAGCAGAGATCTCACCATTACACTCCAGCCTGGGTGACAAGAGCAAAACTCCATCTCAAAAAAAAAAAAAAAAAAAAAAAAGGGTGAAATTGAAGGCAGGTCCTGTGTCCATCTTTTCAGATTCTGTATCCCAGCACTTAGGACATAGACAAACACGAAGATGACAATCAATATTTGCCAAAATGAAAAAACAAAAGAAACATGTAATATCATGTAAAAGAAGCTGGTTAGGTGGAGAAATTTATTTACCATAGTCTTGCTTGTGGATCCAGTAGTGACTTTTACATTTTATATCTAAATAGAAGCTGGAGGCTTTGTTGGGGACTCATAGGCATAAAATATTATGTTATTTATTATAGAGTTAAATGCTACAAAGACAAATCTAATTAATAGGCCTATTTTCCTTTTTAAATTCTACTCATAATTTCTTCATAGTTTTTATGATAAAAGGTTGGATTTTGATTAGAACTCCCATGCTTTTGTGTCAGAATTAAAACTGGTATTAGAATAAATAATTCAAAAGCTAGAGAAAGAGTACAATGAGAAGCCATGAGTTGCATTTGAATTATAATATTATGTCTTACAGATTTGGGGTATATGCTAAAGTTACCAAAGTTGTAGAAAATAAGGCCGGGCATTGTGGCTCACATCTGTAATTCCAGCACTTTGGGAGGCCGAGGTGGGCGGATCATTTGAGGTCAGGAGTTCGAGACCAGCCTGGCCAACATGGTGAAACTCCGTCTGTACTAATAGTACAAAAATTAGCCAGGCGTGATGGTGTGCATCTGTAGTCCTTGCTACTCAGAAAGCTGAGGCAGGAGAATCGCTTGTACCCAGGAGGCAGAGGTTGCAGTGAGCAGAGATTGTGCCACTGCACTCCAGCCTGGGTGACAGAGTGCTATGAGTCACCACACCTGGTATGAGCCACCGTGCCTGGCCCACAATGACTTTTACACATGTTGTTAAATCATCTTACAGATTTTATAATTTGGGGGAAGAAAAGTTTTACTAAATGGTCTTTTAATGGAAACTCTACAAGAACCAGAATCTTTGCTTTGTTCACTTATGTATCCATTCCTAGGCCTAGAAAAATGTCTGACACATAGCGGCAATTATTCATTGAATAAATGGACCCAGCGATAGTACATTAGCTGTGCTATATGCATACATTAAAGATGTAGATTATTGACTTTCAAAAGATAATTAATGTAACTTCTTACTGCTTCTGAACATGTTTGTGAGTTATATTGCTGAGGGACCTTTATCTTCTCATTCTTTCATCTTAACCCAGTGTTATAAAATTGAAATCACCAATATTATTCCATATCTAAAATTAATATCTACCTTGTAAAAAATATCACTCTGCTGCATTTGAGAATAGACTTTTTAGGTAACAATGATGCAATCCATAGGGTTTTTTGGGGGCACAGAGGGATTCATGCTAACAGAACATTTTATTTTCTATTTTCCCAGAGCTGTAAAACATGAAATTAGGGTAGTATAAGGCATATTTTTACTCTTTTTATAATTTTTTCTAAAAAAAATTAGTGTTTGTTCCCTATATAACTTTTAACTTTATAGGTAAATATTTGTCTCTTTCAGCTCCAGTTTTATGTGAAATAGAGTTTTCAGATTTATGTAGCATGGAAAGTTTTAATACGTCAGAGTTACTGATTTTTGCCATTTTCTCAATTATTTCTTTTTTATCTTTAGTTGATTTTTTTGTAGTGACACATTTTGTTTCTAGTCTCATTTCCTTTTGTTTATATTCTATGTATATTTCATTTTTGGTTACTATGAGAATTACATAAAACATCCTAGAGTTATAACATTTTAATTTGAATTTATTTCAACTTAAGTTCAATCACATACCAAAATTCTACTGCTATATATATAGCTCTACTCTTTTTATGTTATTGATGTAACAAATTATGTCTTTATTCATTGTATACCAGCTAACAGATTTACAATTACATTTTATGCATTTGCCTTTTAAATTATGTAGAAAATAAAAAGCAGAGTTACAAACCAAAATTACAATAGGACTGTTTTTATGTTTGTTTATGTATTTACCTTTACCAGAGAGCTTTGTATATTCATACAGCTTGCTTATTTACTTATATAGTTATTGCCTAGAGTTCATTTATTTCAACCTGAAGGACTTAACACTTCTTGAATGGCAAATTCAGGGATAAATGGATTTTTTTCAGTTTTAAAAAAAAATCCGGAAATGTCTTAATTTCTCCCTCATTTTTGAAGGATAAGTTTTCCAGCTATAGATTTCTCAATTGACAGGTTTCTTCATTATTTTAAATATATAATCCACTGCCTACTGGCCTTCAAGGTTTCTGCCGAGAAATCAGCTGCTAATGTTATCTGGATCCCTATCTGTGAGAGTTGCTCTTCTCTCTGAGTTTTCAACATTCTCCCATTATCTTTTTTTGTTTGTTTTTGAGACAAATAATTGTACATATTCATGGGATACAGAGTGATATTTTGATACATGTATACAATGTCCAATGATCAAATAAGGATAATTAGCATATCCATCACCTCAAATATTTGTCATTTATTTGTATTGTGAACAGTCAACATTCTTTCTTCTAGTTTTTTAAATTTATAAACATTTAAATTTTATTATAGAAATTTAAATTTTTTGATTCTGAAAAAGTCATATATGTATGCAACATCTTTTTATCATTTATTTGTATATTTATGCATCTTTCCTTTTAGTTTTGACAGAGATTTTCTATTTTATCATTATTTCAAAAGAACTCTTACCTGTATTTATTTATCAATTATATTTCCCTTGTTTTTTCCTAGTATATTAATTTATTTACTTATCTTCTAAAAATCCTCCATATAATCTGTTTATTTTGTTTCCTTTCTATAATTTCTTCAATGATTAGTTCTGTTCTATTTTCCATTAAAATATTTAAATCTCGTATGAATTTTTGTCAGATTAGAAATTTAGGGCATTTCTTAATTTCTCTATATTCTAGCTTTTGACTTTTTTTTTTTCTGACCTAAGAGGTATTTAGGGCACATTTTAGATTTTTTATTTTGACTAATCATTTAAAATGTATACTAATCTTCAATTTAAATAAAAAACTGGTCTATAGTGACAAAAATTACAAATGAGCCTAACTAATAAATTATCAGCTGTGTTTATATGTATAAGCATGCACAGATTTTGGTAAATATGTACATAGTATATTGGTGAGCTTATTTTTATCATTCTTAACTCGTTGTGTAGTCTAAACGCTGGGGAAAAAATAAAATACAATAATCAGATGGTGTGAATAGGAAAATAGTTCTAATGTTTGTAAACCAAGCAACTGTTTTAACTGCTCCCCTCTTCCTGATTGACTTCTAAAAGGGATTAATCCATATTGGGTCCTATCATATATGTCACGGTATAACATCTCCAGCTATAAAATGGAAATTTGAGAATAACTTTGCTGCTACTCGGATACATTTTATTTCAAAAACATACACTAAGGTGTTGCTGTTGGATCTTTCCAAAAACATATTCACACAGAACTTTCAATCACACTGAGCCATATTTGAACAATCTTTCAAGGTCAGCTCTGGCATAAGCTAACATTATACCATTTAACTCAGAAATTTCTTTAGTATTTGATTAATGGGTTTATGTTTGATATGTAATGTAATTTTCTAATGCTAAATCAAGTGGTAATTTTGTTAGTCAAGTTGATTTAGTGGCTTGGGAAGAAAGCTTTTAATGTTCCCCTAATTTTTCTTACCTTTGACATGATCCTTCACATGTCTTATTTTGCTTAGTGATTTTTCTTTTTTTTTTTTGAGACAGGGTCTTACTCTACCACCCAGGCTTGAGTGCAGTGGTGCGATCACAGCTCATTGCAGCCTTGACCTCCCAGACTCAAGCTATTCTTCCACCTCAGCCTCCCAAGTAGCTGGTACTACAGGCACATGCCACCAAACTTGGCTAATTTTTGTATTTTTTGTAGAGACGGAGTTTTGCCAAATTCTCAGGCTGGTCTGGAATTTCTGGGCTCAAGTAATCCTGCCTTGGCCTCCCAACATGCTGATATTACAGACATAAGCCACAGTACCTGGCCAGTTTTCTTTTTTAAAAAATCTATTGGTTATTAATTTGAAGCCTTCCTTTTCATAGCTGTGCTCCTTAATTGGGAGCAAACATGAATGGACTACAACTTAGCCAATTTTTTATATACAATCTTTGCCATCCTAATTTAAAGGAATATTAATTCTTTCTTTTCCTCTTTCATTCCACAAACCTGTATTGACTACATCTAAGTTCTAAATGGTGCACTGGATGTTGAAAAAGTTGATGATGAGCAACAACAAAATTCCTCCTTTCAGGAGACTTACAGTTCAATATGGGAAATATAATTTGTTAAAATATAAAAGTGCAATTGTGTTACATGCTGTACGAAGTACATGTTGACATGTGAGCATATAATAAATGGGCTGGAGGCCAGAGGATTGCCAAAGAGAATGGGCCTCCTGCTGAGACGAAAAGTTGAGCAGGGATTAGTTGGCGAAAGTGGAGGGACGATCCTTTCTAGGCAGGAGGAAGAACATGTACAGAATCTCTGAGGTGTGATGCAACAAAGTCTATATAAAAAACTGAAGAAAGGTCTAATGTGGCTTAAATACAGAAGCTAGTAGGAGAGGAGTTGAAAAGAGGCTGGAGAAGTAGAAAGTGTCTGCATTCTGCAGGAACTTATATTGTATAAAAAGAATTTCTCTTTATTCTAAGTGCAATGTGAAGCCAATGAAGTGCTTTAAACAGGTGATGTGATTTGATTGAATTTATTACTTCACTTAACAAATATTCATTACATGCCCACTGTTTGTCAGATATTGCTGTAGCCCCTGGTGATACAGTAGGGAATAAAACAGGCAAAAATCCCTGTCCTCTTGCAGCTTATAATGGACTGCAATGTTTAATATGTCAGAGGAGGTCCACGGAGGAGTGACTTCTAAGCAAGAATCTGAAAAAAATGAGGATATCTAAGGAGGGAACAAATGGTTCAAAAGCCCTATAATTGCAAGCAGGCGTGATGAAGCAATTGTAGTTTTCCTGACTCTCAACACCATGGAACTCAAAGGAGATGGAAAGATTCTTTCTCTCCCTCATATATTTTCTCCCTTTCTGTCTATATATATAGAATATGAGACATTTCCCTAATCATTATGCGTAATTACAATTACATATATATATGTATGTAATATATAAACATATATATATGTAATTGTAATTACACATAATGATTAGGGAAATGTCTCATATTCTTCTACTCAGAAATAAGCAATATAGCAATTACTTGCTATATATATATATGTAGCAAGGTGAACTCACATCCTGCAGATGCCTAGGGCAGAAGATTATAGTTGAGACCTACAATAAAACACTTAAGACCCAGTAGTAAAAGCTGGTGAGGGTTTATTTGGGAAATCAGGGCATTCAAAAGCACCCATGTGTACAAGGGGATTTAGAAGGCCACATGCATGCCCAGGGCAAGATGCATCCTCAGAAAACACCTGAGGAGATCCTAAGCTTCCACTTTGGGCTGATCCCTAAGCTAAGTGCAGGCTTGGGTAAGTGTTGAAGGAGTGCCTGGCACAGAGTCAATCTGCAAAGTCTGGGAGTGGTTATTTGGTTCCTGCTATTTGTTTGTTTGTTTTTAGTTCCTGATATTGAAGGGAATCTCTGTCAAAACACAAGCTGAGATCGAGTGCAGTGGTTCACCCTTGTAATCTCAGCACTTTAAGAGGCCAAGGTGGGAGGATTGCTTGGGCCCCAGGGGTTTGAAACCAGTCTGGGCAACATAGTGACACCTAGTCTAAAAAAAATTTAAAAATTAGTCCAGCATGGCAGCACACTCCTGTAGTCCCAGCTACTCAGGAGACTGAGGTGGGAGGATCGCTTGAGCCTAAGAGGTGGAGGCTGAAGTGAACCATGATCATGCCACTACACTCCAGCCTGGGTGATAGAGTGAGATCCTGTCTCAAAAAATAAAAATATAAAATAAAAAAACACAAGCTGAACACAGGCTATGGACAAAATGTCAGTGATTGAATATGGCAAGGAATACAGTCTTTGCAAAAAATAGTTTGGGAAAGTCATTATAGAAATTATCTGCTACAGCCTTCAACAATCAAAAATCCAGCAAACACTGGGAAAAGGGGTAATCTGATTTCCAAAGTTATCACATTATAATATTTAAATGTCTAGTTTTCAAAATAATTACACAGCATAAAAAGAAACATGAAAGTATGGCCTATTCAAAGGAACAAAATAGATCAAAACTGTCCCTAAGGAGCCCAGGCATTGGACGATTGGATAAAGACTAAAACAATGATCTTAAATATGCCCAAACAGCTAAAGACAATGAAAATCAGGAAAACCATGTATGACAAAATAAGACTCTCAGTAAGAGATAAGAATTATAAAATGAGACCAAACCAAATTTTTGGCATAAAAGGTGGGATAACTGAAATGAAAATTTCACTAGAGGGGCTCAATAGCAAATTTCAGCAGGCAGGAGAGTCTGCAAACCTGAAGGTAAGACAACTGAAATTATTACGTCTCAGGAATAGAAAGAAAAAAGAACAAATAAAAGTAAAGAGAGTCTAAGAGCTGTATGAGACACCATCAAGTGGACCGATATACACAGTTAGAGATTCACAGAAGACAGAAAGAGGTAGAAAGAATAGTTGAAGAAATAATGGCTGAAAACTTCCCAAATCTGAGGAAAGACATGAATATACTTGTCCAAAAAGCTCAATGAACTTCAAGCAGGATAAACTTAAAGACACCCACACCAAGACAAATTATAACCAAATTGTTGAAGGAAAAAGACAAAAAGAAAAATTTGAAGGCAACAATATGAAAACATCTCATGCACAAGGGATTCTCAGTAAGATTAACATCTGATTTCTCATCAGAAAAATAAATGATGCCAGAAGGCAATAGGATAACATATTTAAATCTTGAAAGAAAAAAGCCCTGTCAACTAAGAATTCTATATTTAACAAAAATTTCTCTTTATTCTCATTTGAGAATAAAAGATAAATTAAGACATTTCTAGAAAAACAGAAGCTGAGGGAGTTTATTATCAGAAGATTGTTCCTACAAAAAATGCTAAAGGGAGTTCTTCAGGCTGAAAGGAAAGGACATTAGACAAAATCAAAGCCATAAGAAAAAATAAAGAACACTGGTAAAGGTAATTACATAGGTAAATATATAGGCCACCACTAATGTACTTTTGGTATGGTTTGTAACATCTTTATTTTTCTATATGATATAATAGGCATACACATAAAATAATATCTATGTATCTAACTTAATTGGCATATAATGTATAAAGATGTAATCTGTGACAAATAATAATATAAATGGGGAGGCACAGAGATGTATAGAAGCAGAGTAGTGTATAGAAGACAGAATTGAAACTAAGTTGGTATTATTCAAACCAGGTTGAAAGTGGTTACCTTGGGGTAACCACTAAGAAAATAACTTTAAAATACACAGAAAAGGAAAGAAGGGAATCAAAATTGTACATTACAAAAAATCAACTAAATATAAAAGAGGTAGTAATTGGGGAGCAAAAAATTATATAACATATAGAAAACAAATAAATGGCAGAAGTAAATCCTTTTATCAGTAATCACATTAAAGGTAAATTAACTAAAATCTCTAAGAAAGCAGATTGGCATATTGAATTTTAAAAGTCAACGTGCATCTATATGCTGTCTACAAGCGGCTCACTTTACATAGAAGGATGCAAAGAGGTTTAATATAAAATAATAGAAAAAGACTTTCTATGTAAATAGTAATGAAAAAGAGCTGGGATGGCTATATTATTGTCAGAAAAATATACTTTACAAGAGACAAGGAAGAACAATATATAGAGAGGAAAGTCTTCATACAGCAAGACATTATGGCTATAAACATATAAACACCTAACAGACACAAAAAATTTATAAAGTAAACATTGACGGAATTGAAGGGACGAACGGTTCTACAACAGTAGTTGTAAACTTCAATATCCCACCTCAATAATGGATAGAAAAACCAGACAGAAGAACATTCAGAAAATAGAGGATTTAGAAAATACTATAAACCAATTAAACCTAAAAAAACATATAGAGCATACCACCAAACAACTATAGAATGCACATTATTTTCAACGGCACATAGAACATTCTCCAGGATAAATCACATGTTAAGCCACAAAACAATTCTTAATAAATGTTAAGAGATTGAAATAATCTGAAGTATTTTTCTGATCAGAATGGAATGAAACTAGAAATCAATACCAGAAGGAAAACTGAACATTTTAGAAATATGTGTAAATTAAACAAAACACCCTTAAACAACCAAGGGTCAAAGAAGAAACCACAAAGGAAATTAGAAAATAACCTTGAGACACATGAAAATAAAAAAGAAACATACCAAAACTTCTGGGATACCATGGAAACAGTGGTAATAGAGAAATGCATAGCTGTAAACACCTACATTAAAATAGAAAAAATATTTCAAATCAATAATTGTACACCTTAAAAATTAGGGGAAAAAAGAGCAAACTAAACCCAAAGCTTCCATCCAAGAGAATGGAAATAATAAAAATCAGATCAAAGATAAATGAAAAAGAAAATAAAAACACAATAGAAAAAAATCAATAAAACCAAAAGTTATTTCTTTGAAAAGGCCAGCAAAAAATGACAAATCTTTCAATAGAACAGCCAAGAAAGAGAGACACAAGACTCAAGTTAATAACATCAGAAATGAAAGTGGGGACATTACTACTGATTTTACAGAAATAAAAAAAATGACTAAATGCCATGAACAATTGTATACTAACAAATTGAATAGCCTAACTAAAATGGATATTTCTAAAACACAAAATGTGTTAAAACTGACCCATAAAGAAACAGAAAAATTGGAACAGACCTATAACCAGTAAGGAGATCTAATTAGTAATAAAATCAAGGCCAGGTGACCTCACTGGAGAATTCTACCAAACATTTACAAAAAAGAACTGGGTGTGGTAGCTCATGCCTGTAATCCCAGCACTTTGGGGGACCAAGGCAGGAAGATCACCTGAGCCCAGGAGTTTGAGACTAGTCTGGGAAACCTAGTGAGACCCTGTCTCTACAGACAAACAAACAAAGAACAAATAATTAATTGGGCATGGTGATGCACACATATAGTTCCAACTACTTGGGAGGCTGAGGTGGGAGGATCACTTGAGCCTGGGAGGTCAAGGCTGCAGTGAGCTATGATCATGTCATTGCACTCCAGCCTGGGCAACAAAGCAAGACTCTGTGAGAAAAAAACAAAAACTAATACCAATCCCTTTCAAACTCATCCAAAAAATTGAAGAGGAGGGAGCGCTTCCTGACTCATTCATTGAGACCAGCATTACCCTGATACCAACACCAAAGTACAAGAAAACCATAGACCAATATCCCTTATGAATGTTGATGCAAAAACCCTCAAAAAATAAAAGCACAATGAATTGAGTAGCATAGTAGAAAGATTATATATCTGACCAAGTAGGATTTATTCCTAGAATGCAATAATGGGTCAACATACAAAAAACAATCAATAGAATACACCATATCAACAGAATGAAGGGGGAAAAAACATGACTATTTCAATTGATTAAAAAATGATTAGAAAAATCATTTGACAAAGTCAAACACCCTTTCATGATTTAAAAAAAAAAAAACACTCAACAACCCAGAAATAGAAGGAAACTTTCTCTAGTTAAAGGCCATATATAAAAACCCCACAGCTAGCGTCATATAATCAATGGTAAAAGACAGATAGCTTTCCCCCGAAGACCAGGAACAAGAGAAGGATGTCCACTTTTGCTATTTCTATCCAATGCAGTAGTAGAAGTTCTAGCCAAAGCAATTTGGCAAAAAAAAAAAAAAAAAAGGCCAGGCACAGTGGCTCACACCTGTAATCCCAACACTTTGGGAGGCCGAGGCGGGTGGATCACCTGAGGTCAGAAGTTCAAGACCAGCCTGGCCAACATGGTGAAACCGCATCCCTACCAAAAATACAAAAAATTAGCCGGGCGTGGTAGCAGGTGCCTGTAATCCTAGCTACTTGGAAGGCTGAGGCAGAAGAATCCCTTGAACCCAGGAGGCAGAGGTTGCAGTAAGCTGAAATTACGTCACTGCACTCCAGCCTGAGCAACAAGAGTGAAACTCCATCTCAAAAAAAAAAAAAGAAGTTAAAAACACAATGGAAAGGAAGAAGTAAAATTATCTCTGTTCACAGAGGATATGATCTTATACAGAAGAAATCCTAAATGATCCACAAAGAAACTGTTAGAGATAATAAAGAAACTCAGCCAAGTTGCAGGATACAAAATCAACTTGCAAAAATCAGTTGCATTCTATACAGTAGTAATGAACAATCCAAAAAGAAACTTAAGGAAACAATCTCAGGCTGGGGACGGTGGCTCACGCTTGTAATCCCAGCATTTTGGGAGACTGAGAAGGGCAGATCACTTGAGGTCAGGAGTTCGAGACTAGCCTGGCCAAGATGACAAAACCCCATCTCTACTAAAAAAAACAAAAATACAAAAATTAGCTGGGTGTAGTGGCTCATGCCTGTAATCCCAGCTACTTGGGAGGCTGAGGCAGGAGAATAGCTTGTCTCCAGGAGGCAGAGGTTGCAGTGAGCCGAGATCACAGCACTGCACTCCGCCATGGGCAACAGAGCAAGACTCCAACTCAAAAAAAAAAAAAAAAAAAGAGACAGAGAAAACAATTCCAAAAGCTACAGTTATCAAAACAGTATGGTACAGGCATAAAGACAAACATATAGAACAATGAAACAGAATAGAGAGCCCATAAATAAACTCTCATGTACACAGCCAAATGATCTCCAACAAGACTGTCAAATCCATACACTAGAGAAACAATGCACTCTTCGATAAATGGTGTTGGGAAAAATGGAGATGCACATGCAAAAGAATGAAGTTGGACTCTAAGTTTACACCATAAACAAAAATTAACTCAAAATGGATTAGAGACCTAAACTTAAGACCTGAATCTATAAAATTTCAGAAGAAAATGTAGAAAATTTGACATTGGATTTTGCAATGGTTTCTTGAATATGACACCAAAAACACAGGCAACAAAGGCAAAAATAGACAAATGGGACTAGATCAGACTTTAAAACTTCTGCACAGCAAAGGAGACAATCAACAGAGAAGACAACTTACAACATGAAGAATGGGAGAGAATACTTGTAACACATATATTTTGATAAAGATTAATATCAACAATATATCTAAAAACTCTTACAACTCTTCAACAACAAGCACAACCAAATAACTTGACTAAAAAATGGGCAAAGGACTTGAATAGATGATTCTCAAAAGAAGACATACAAATGGCCAATAGGCACATGGAAATATGCTCAACATCCTAATCATAGGGAAATGCACATCGAGACCAATGAGATACCATCTCACACTCCTTAGGATGGCCACTATAAAGAAAACAAAAACAGAAAACATCAAGTGTTGGCAAAGATGTGGAGAAATTGGAACCTTTATGCACTGTTGGTGGGCACGTAAAATGACACAGTTGCTATAGAAAATAGTATGGAGGTTTTCTGCAAGATTAAACATAGAATTACTGAGCCAGGCAGGGTGGCTCACGCCTGTAATCCCAGCACTTTGGGAGGCCGAGGCGGGTGGATCACGAGGTCAGGAGATCGGGACCATCCTGGCTAACACGGTGAAACCCTGTCTCTACTAAAAATACAAAAAATTAGCCGGGCGTGGTGGCGGGCGCCTGTAGTCCCAGCTACTCAGGAGCCTTAGGCAGGAGAATGGCGTGAACCTGGGAGGTGCAGTTTGCAGTGAGCCGAGATTGCGCCATTGCACTCCAGCCTGGGCGACGCAGAGAGACTCCGTCTCAAAACAACAACAAGAAAAAAATACAAAATTAGCTGGGCATGGTGGCGCATTCCTGTAATCCCAGTTACTTGGGAGACTGAGGCAGGAGAATCACTTGGACCTGGGAAGCGGAGGTTGCAGTGAGCCAAAATCATGCTGTTGAGCTCCAGCCTGGACAACAAGAATGAAATGCTATCTCAAAAAATAAACATAAATAAATACATAAATAAATAAAAATAGAATTACCATATTATCCCTCAATCCCACTCTGGGTATAGATCCAGAGAACTGAAAACAGGATTTTGAAGAGATATTTGCACATCCATGTCCATTGCAGCATTAATTACGGTAGCCAAGGGGTGGAAGCAACCTAAATATCAGTTGACATAGGAATGGATACACACATACACACGCACATGATATATAGTATATATACAAATGTGATATGTGATATATACAAATGTGATATATATACACAAATGTGACATATACATATATACAAATGTTGGCTGGGCACAGTGGCTCACGCCTGTAATCCCAACATTTTGGGATGCTGAGTCAGGTGGATCACCTGAGGTCAGGAGTTTGAAACCAGCCTGGCCAACATAGTGAAACCCCCTCTCTACTAAAAATACAAAAGTTAGCTGGGCGTGGTGGCATGTGCCTGTAATCCCAGCTACTTGGGAGGCTGAGGCAGGAGAATCAGGAGAATTGCTTGAACCTGGGACGCAGAGGTTGCAGTGAGCCGAGGTTGCACCGCTGCACTCCAGCCTGGGCGACGGAGTGAGACTCTGTCTCAAAAAAGAAAAAAAAAGTTATATATACGCATATATAAAAATGTGATGTGTGTATATATATATATGTATATATAAATGTAATATATATTATGTATATATATGAATGAGATATATACAGTTGGCCCCTCAACAACATGGATCTGAACTGCATGAGTCACTTACACTCAGATTTTCTTCTGCCTCTGCCACCCCTGAGACACCAAGACCAAGCCCTCTCTTCCTCCTCCTCCTTACTATATTGTAAGAATACAGTATATAATACATATACAAAATATGTGTTAACTGACTGTTTGTGTTATTGGCAAGGCTTCTGTAGTTAAATTTGGGGGAGTCAGAAGTTATACATGGATTTTCAACCATGCAAGGGTTGGCATGCCCTCGGTTAGTATGGTCACTATGAAGAAAACAAAAATAGAAAACAGCAAGTGTTGACTGCAGAATGAAAAGGCACCCTACAAAATGGAAGAAAATACTTGCAAATTATATATCTGCTATGGGATTAATATCCAGAATATATAAATAACTCCTACAACTCAACAACAAAAAACCAATTTAAAAATCAGCAAAGGACTTGAACAGACATTTTTCCAAAGAAGATACATAAATGGCCAATAAGCCACACTGGAGGAGGTTGAAGAGACATGACGGCTAAATGCAATGCATGATTCTGACCAAGACACTCTTTCTTTTTTTTTTTTTTTTTTTCTGAGGTGGAGTCTCGCTCTGTCGCCCGGGCTGGAGTGCAGTGGCGCCATCTCGGCTCACTGCAAGCTCCACCTCCCGGGTTCACGCCATTCTCCTGCCTCAGCCTCCCAAGTAGCTGGGACTATAGGTGCCCGCCACTACGCCCGGCTAATTTTTGTATTTTTAGTAGAGACGGGGTTTTGCCGTGTTAGCCAGGATGGTCTCGATCTCCTGACCTCGTGATCCACCCGCCTCGGCCTCCCAAAGTGCTGGGATTACAGGCGTGAGCCACCACGCCCGGCCCAAGACACTCTTTCTAAACAAGGCTTTTTGGGACAACTGGTCACCCTTGAACTGCTGTGACAATTAGACAGCAGTAATAGGTCAAGGTAGTGTCTTGATTTCAATGGTTGTTATTGTAAGTATCAAAGTTCCCAAGACCCTGCCTTGTGGGAACCCACCCATCCCTCAGTAGGAACCTAACCTCCCACCCAGGCCCTGAGCATTCACTCATTCCTTGGTCCTTTGACTCAGAGACCAGGCTGCTCAAAGATTAGACAGTCAGGTGGAGGGGTGGGGACAGTTGTTCTCATGCCATTGGTGAGGTTTCTTTCTGAATGTCAGTTTAATGATATGTAGTAAAATCTTCAATGTGCATGACACCTTGGGGCCAACTGTCCCACTTTTGAGGAATTTGTCCTAAGAAGGCCTTCAGGGAAGGAAGAACACAGCTGCCTGTTAGCAGCCCCAGGACTCATTTGACAAGCCCTCCCTGAGGAATGAGATTCTCCCCGCCCTGTAGTGTCTCTCCCCCGGAGGCATTCTCCACCATCTCTGTCTACAGGCTTGTAAAAGCAGAGTCACCCCGGAGGGGAGGAGGCAGATGGGGAGATGGACCAGATAGGACAAAAATGTCCAGAGCGTATCCTTGCATGTGAACACAAGATGGGATTCTCCTTGTGTTTGTCTTCTCTGGAAAGGGCCAAAATGGGTACCTAGAGAAGAGGGAAAGCCCTGCAAGAAAGGGAGGGAGCAGAGACAAAAAGCAAGATAGAATCAGAGAACATGCAGAGAGGTGGGGGGGACAGGCCAGCCGGCCAGGATGGAGGGTCTGGAGGCACAGGGGGCTCCAGTCCAGGCCCCATCACTATGTGCTATGTTTGGATGCAAGTCCGTAGTCTCTCTGGACTGGTTTGCCCACCAGTGAGATGTGAGGCTGGGCGTTTGGGCTGGAATTCTGGGATTTTCTATTCCATGGCACTGCCTAGGACAGAGTAAGACCCTGGAGGCTGGAAGTGTGGAATTAGTGTCTATTTTTCCAATGTCACAATGGCTCCCCTTGAGTTTATGATGGTCTGAAAACTGTGCTATTTTCTGAGTCAAGATCTGACAGAACTGGGCTAGAAGAGGGGGCTCTTTGGAGACCAAAGCCCAGCTAAGCATCTGCCGTACTGCAGTGAAGGGTAACTGCTAACTCTGCTGCAAAACCCTGAATCTTGGTCCATTTGCTGTTGCTTATGACAGCATGCCTGAAACTGGGTAATTTATTAAAAAAACAAAATTTATTTCTTATAGTTTTGGAGGATGGGAAGTCCAAGACCAAGGGGGTGCATCTGGTGAGGGCCTTCTTGCTGGTGGGAACTCTCTGCAGGGTGCTAAGGAAGTAGTGGACATCCCATGGGGAGGGTGCTGAGCATGCTAGCTCAGGTCTCTCTTCCTCTTCTTATAAAGCCATCAGTCCCACTTCCATGATGACCCATTAATCCACTGATCCATGAATTGATTAATCCATTCACAAGGGCAAGACCCTCTGACTCAATCACCTCTCAAAGGCTCCACCTCTCAATACTGCCACATCAGGGATTACATTTCAATATGAGTTTTGGAGGAGACAAATGTTCAAATCATAGCACCCAGCTTGAACTAGGAAAACGTAAGCCCACCTTGGACAGGTGATAGACAGGTGAGCTCTCCACTGTGGTTTTCCAGGCTGACCAGAGCCAGCTGAGCTCACACATGTCCTGACTGCAGAGAGGGCAGAGCTCATTTCCCAAAGGAAGAGCAGAGACTTCTCATCCCAGGCTCTCTACCAGCTGCACTAGAGATTGAGCCATCCATGGCAGTAGCCACCAGCCATGCGTGGCTACCTACATTTAAGTTGAAATTCATTAAACTTAAAATTCAATACTAAGTTCCTCAGTTGCATTAGCCACACTGTCTAGAGAGAGTTTACACTGCAGCAGGGAGGAGGACTGAGTCCAGGGAGTTCAAGTTGGCTGGGGTTCACAAGGCAGAGTGCCAGAGAGGAGTGACTGCATGGAGAGAGCTCCCAAGACTTTCAGAAGGGTTCCTCAGTGTATCTACCTGAGTGCTGGCCAGTGCACACATGTGATGAAACTACTTCCTCAAAGAATTAGAGAAGCAATCTTCAGAGCTCACACAGTGCCAGCAACAGTTTGTCTTCCCAACAGCCAGAGTGGAAAAATCTAGTGATTCATAGGACATCAGGTGGAATGATCAGAAGGGTATTGCCTCAGTACTGGGGAAAAATTAGCCCTAGACTAAATGCTGCTTAGGTTCTGCCTAACAAAGCTTAAAAGCAAGCCTCAGAAGAATTAAACTGTTTTCAAGTAATTTTACTGCATTCCAGAATAAAGCTGAAAAATATTTATAAGAATACAAAAGTATTCAGAACCAAGTAAGGTAAAATTCACAATGTCTGGCATCTAATCAAAAATTACTAGGCATGTGAGTAAGAAGAAAAATGTGACTCATGAACGAGGAGGAAAATCAATCAAGCAATAGAAACAAACATGATGATACAGATGATAAAATTAATAGACAAGCACATCAAAAAATTGCCTCTAGTGCTTCCACATGTTCAAGAAGGCAGAGGAAAGATGGAGCATGTTATGTGTGGAGAAGGAGTAGATATTTAAAAGCACCAAATCAAACTTCCAAAGATGAAAACTATGATATCTGAGCAGACACATGCACTGAATGGCATTGATGGCAGTTTAACACTGCAGAAGAAAAAATTAGTGAACTTGAAGACATAGCATAGAAAAAAGGACTGCAAATATGAAAAGAGAATCAGTGAGCTATGGGAAAACTTCAAGCAGCCCAACATAGATGTAAGTGGAGTCCCTGAAGGCAGGACAGAGTTATCACAAGGAAGTGCCTTATGCATTTGTAGAGGCTGAACATGTCCAAAATTCATAGGCCAGGAACTCAGGAAGACCATAGACAGGCTCAACCCATGGGCTTTCTGTCTCTATCCAGACAACCCAGGAAAAAGAGAGAGGACAATGACTAATCTCAATAATTAGAAAGGTGACATCTCTACAGATTCTATAGATATTAAAAAATAAACAGGAATAAACATCTACATGTGTATAAATTCAACTTCTGTAAAATGAACAAATTCCTTGAAAGACATCAACTACCAAAGCTCGCACAAGAAATAAATAAACAAAATGGTTCTATAGCTATTTAAAGAACTGAATTGTGGTTACAAGCCTTCCTACAAAGAAACTTAAAGGCCAGATGGCTTCATTGGTGAATTCTACCAAACATTTAAGCAAGACATAATAACAATTTCCACAAACTCTTCCAGAAAATTAAAGAGTTGGAAATACTCATGAGTATCTCATGAGGCCAGAATTACCCTAATGCCCAAATCAGACAAAGACATTATAAGGAAAAAAAATTCTAGATCAGTACTTCTCAGGAACATAGATGCAAAAGTTCTTAACCAAGTTTTAGCATATCCAATCCAACAATATATAAAGAGGATGATACACCATGAGCAAGTGGGATTTATCCCAGGAATGCAAGGTTAGTTTAATATTTGAATATAAATTAATGCAATTCACTATATTAATTGGCTAAATAAAAACATATAATTGTCTCAATAGATGCAGAAAAATCATTTAATAAATTCCAATATTTATATAAAAACTCTCAGCAGATTAGAACTAGCTGTGAACTGCCTAAACCTGATAAGTGGCATCTATGAAAAACTTCAGCTCACATCACACTTTAATAAAACACTGTGTGTTTCCTCCCTAAACATCAAGAACAACACAAGCACATCCACTCTCACCACTTTTATTTGACACTGTCCTGGAGTTTCTAGCTAGTGCAATAAGACAAGAAAAAGAAATGAAAGGCATCTAGAATTTAAAGGAAGAGGTAACCTGTCTTTATTCACAGGTAACACAATTGTTTATATGGAAAACGCCAACAAATCTACAAAAAAGAATAAGTCTGCTGGAACTAATAAGTGAACTTAGGACAGTTGCAGGAAACAACATCAATGTACTAAAAGTCAGCACTTGCAACAAAACATGGAAATGGAAAGAAATAATACCACTTTAAATAGCTGATAGCTTCTGGACTAAGAGGAAGCTGCAGGTAGAGGGGGCAGGTGGAAGATTTAGGAGAGTATGGAGGTGGTTGCTGAGCCTGATATGAGAAGAACCTGGACAGAACAGGAACAAATGCTTTGCCGAAGCTTCTGGACCCACTGGGCTGGAGGACAACCAGCAAGGAACAGCAAGGAAGGAACCAGCAAGGAAGCTTCTGGACCCGTTGGGTTGGAGGACAACCTCAGCAACCCTCTGAGGAGGGAGAGACAGAAACTCTCTGCAGAGACTGCAGGTTGTGACACAGAAGCTGATGGCCTCGATTTCCCTCCATGAAATGGGACAGTAGGGTGCCGTTGACAGTCAGAAAGGGTGTGCAGGAGGTGGATGCTAGGGAGGAAGCCCACAAAGGGGCTGATGGACTGGCCTTGTAAGAAACAAAACATCATGTCTCCTTGGAGCCATGTCTCCTGTGCCTCGCCAGGGACAGTGGGCCCCAGCTTCTTCGACCAGGGAAGATGGCAGTCAATGGATACCCCAATGGCTTTTTCTCTTCACCTGTTCCCCCCACTCTCCTGTTCCCTAGAACCATGTTCCCACATAAACCACCTGCACTCACTACTTGTATCATGTTCTAAAAATCCCACCATGTCCCTGGAGCTCAGGATCTTCAAGGCCAAGGGGAGGCCCTAAAGGTGAAGTTGGGGGTGAACCAGAGTGAAGGAGAGCATCTCCAGTGATGAGGGAGTCCAAGACCCATGATCCTGGGTGATGGGGGTGGACAGGAGGAGCGTGACTGTCAAGCTGCCCAGGCCCAGGCCCATGTGTGAACAGCAGCCCTGTGAATCTTGCTCTTGGCCTCTGAGCCTTGGCTCTGGCTTATGCTCCAAAGATGGTGACACTGCATCTCCTGTGGTCTCAGGGATCAGCTGGGTCATGCAGGTTTCAGCAGGGGTTGTGGTCACCACTATTCCCATGAGAGAGGTCATACCCACAATGTAAAATCCCACTTGGGCTGCAGGACAGCCAAGGGCTAGGGAGGAGGCGCCGCTCATGTCACCCACAACCTTGCCCAGAAGGGGCACTGCCTCTAGGGGAAGATTGGACCCAGGCACCCCTTCAGTGCCGCCCTCCTCTGGCATCTCCACTTGGTGGCAGTATTGGCCCAGAAGCGGAACTCCAGCAAGCAGCCACCAACCGGTCCCTAAGAGCTGCTGTGGCAGCAAAACTTAGCTCTTTCCCAACAGGAAAGTCTGGGGAGTCTATTGCCCTCATTTCACAGGGAAGTAAGTTATGGCCTGGGAACCAGGATTCTGGATAATTAATCTGCAGGATTCCAGAACTCCATGATACTGTGATTTTTTTTTTTTTTTTTTTGAGTAGTGGTCTCTCTCTGTCACCCAAGCTGGAGTGCAGTGGCACAGTCATGGCTCACTGCAGCCTCGAACTTGTGGCCTCAACCAGTCCTCTCACCTCAGCCTCCTGAATAGCTGGGACTACAGGTGCATACCACCATACTCAGCTAATTTTTTATAGAGACGGAGTCTCACTATGTTGCCCAGGCTGGTCTCAAACTCCTGGGTTCAAGAGATCTGCTGGCCCCAGCCTCCCAAAGCACTAGAATTACAGGCATGAACTACCTGTCTGGCCCATTGTGATTTTTTTTTAATTCTCAAATTTGATTTTCTTATGGTTCTAAGACTCTCCATCTATGGGTCCATGCTTGAAGAACCATAAGATTCTAAGATCAGAGGGTTCTACTGACTCAGTTCCCCTGCATCCTATAATTCTGTGTTTGGATGATTCCAGCATTTCATGGCCATTTCATGGGATCAACCAGGATTAACCACATGGCTAAAGGGAGAGGCTGATGGCCCTACTTCCATGGTTCCCAGATTCCATCTTCTCTTCCTCATAGGGAGGTCCACAATTCCCCACATATCACCAGGCCACCTGCAAGGAGAGCAGGTCCAAGAAGTCACCTTGCAATGAGAATGAGATCGTGTGCCTCCTACATCATGCCCTAAGGGAGAGAGGACAGCATGGAGCTAGGAGGTGGATGGCTGGGGTGTCAACTGAGAAAGACATGCCTGTTGGACCCCAGAGTTGACTTTTATGGCATCCAAGAGCTGCCTGTGAGAACACACATGGTTTGATTTGTGAAGGGATGTTCACACAACCATCATGCGTCAGCCTTCTCAAAGGTGGCGTTCGTAGCACAGCATGCGAAGGGCTTTGAGTCAACAGACATTCCTGGAAAGAAAGCAGTGTGGGGGTATGGAAGGATCCCTGGAGGCTGGGACCTGGAGACCAGGGTCTTTCCTGCGGGCCCATTGCTCCTTCCACTTTGCCTTGAGCCCACTCTTTCCATACAAGGAGAGGCTGACCTAAGGTTCCAGTTGCTTTCATCAGGTGGGATCTGGTGAAGGGTCAAAATGGAACTCTAAGATGGGTAGTTGAAGGGGTGACACCCGAGGAGAGAGTGATGTCTCAAAACAGACTGAATTATTTCCCAAAGAGGTGCCCCAAGCCCCTGCAAATGCACTCTCTAGGAAGTCTGGCCACTGGGCCCCTTGCCCTCGTCCCACAGGGCAGCTCAGAAAGGCAAGCTCATGAGGACCGGCTCGTGTCCACCTACCCCCCTCATTGCCTACAAGGACTCCCGAGCATGCCCCCCATCCTGGCGCAATCTTCTGCCCTGGAGCCAGGAAAGGATGGCCTTCTGAGTTGGAGTCCTGCAGTCGGTCTTCCAGTCTTGGAGGGAAACATATACTCTACAAATGGTGAGCCTCGGAGAGAGCCCAGCCCTGCTGTGCTGCCTCCAGGAGGTTCAGGCGGCTATGCCTCCTCATTCAGCCTCACTGAGCCTTTTCCACTTCCAGAACATGGTGAAATTCACTTCCCTCTGACCACACAGTGCTTGGTGGATCACCGGGCACACAGTGGGCCTACAGTGGGCATGGTAGTCGCTGTCATCACTCCGCTCCAGGAGCCTTCAAGAAATCATCTCATCTGACAACCCACATTTACCATAAGGACCTTTTGGAGGCCAGGCGCAGGGGCTCACCCCTGTAACCCCACAGTTTGGGAGGCCAAGGCAAGAGGATTGCTTGAGCCCAGGAGTTAGAAACTACAGTGAACTATGATGGCACCACTGCACTCCAGCCTGGGCGACGGAGTGAGACCCTGTCTCAAACAAATAAAAAAGAACCTTCCGGAGAACTGAAGGAAAGTGGAAATTTGATAAGAGATCTGGGCTGGAGAGGAGAAAAGTCTTTTAAAATATAAATATAACGGCAAGCTCAGAAAGATAGATACAGGGCAATGGTAAGAAGCAGACAGGTAACCAGATTGGGCTAGTGGGAGATGCTCATTGAGACAAGCAGTGCAGTGGTGTGCCACTGTGAGGGGGAAACGGGGATGGTGCCCCCGCCATCCTGCTTTGTGACTGGCGTGCACGGCAAGGGGGCAGAGCAACAACTTCTGTGGGCTGGACCTGCCCTGGGCAGGGGCCACGGGGAGGCCACAGACTCCGGTCTGAATAAATACACAGCAGGAACCCAGAGCTGTGGATATGTAGACCCCACACACAGCCTCCCACAGAGGGCAGGTAACCCACAGGAAGACAGACAGCCCTGAGCTCACAGCCATACCTGCAAAGCCCTGCCAGGACATACCCACATCAGTAATGTCCACGGGGGCTCTCATGGTGATATTAACGCGGAGGAGGTAATTCCCACAGTGCCTGAGCTGAACAATGCCAACAAAGGTGGAGACGGGGCGGAGGGACAGACAAGGAATGTAGAGAGGGGCTGCAGACAGGAAGAGCAACTCACAACTGTGCAGGAGGGCTCATCGGCTGTGACAGGAAAACACACAGAGACTGATAGAAAGACAGGACAGCCATAGACAGGAGGTGGGAGGCAGACAGGTCTGTGGCCCAGAGACCCTGTCTCACCACAGCAGCTTTGGGGAAGCAGGTGGCCACGTCATTTTCCTTGTCTCTGTTTGGCTGACCTGTGCATCTCAGGCCCAGCCCTGGCTGCTGTTTTTCCAGCTGCAGTTCCCAAACTGTGTGCTAAGGCACCCTGGGACGCCACAGCAAATTCCCAGGGTGTTGCAGAATATCACGCCTGTAATCCTAGCTCTTTGGGAGGCCAAAGTGGGAGGATCACTTGAGCCCAGGAGTTCAAGACCTGCCTGGGCAACATGGTAAGGCCCTCGTCCCTGCAAAAAAAATTTGTTTTAAAGAAAGTACAATTGAGTCTTGGACAACATGGGGGTTAGGGGCACCAACCCCCTGCAAAGTCAAAAACTTGAGTATAACTTTTGACTCCCTGAAAACGAAACTACTAACAGCCTCCTGTTGACCAGAAGCCTTGCTGATCCCACACACAGTCAGTCAGAACATACGCTGCATGCCACATGTGTTATCCCCTGTGTTCCTACAATAAACTCAGCTGGAGAAAGGAAATTCCTGCTCAGAAAACCTAGAAAAGAAGCCAGACTCACAGTTCATGAGGCGGCAGTGGGTCCTCATAAAGGTCTTCATCCTAGTGGCCTTCATATTGAGTGGCTGAGGAGGAAGACAGAAGCGGGGCTTGGTCTTGCTGTGTCAGGGTGGCAGAGGCAGGAGAAATCCATGTATAAGTGACCCACACAGTGCAAACCTGTGTTGTTTGAGGGTCACCTGTCCTGCATGAACATCTCCTTGTATGGCCTGAGAGCCAGGACCTTGAACAAGAAGTGAGAGTGTTGCTTCTGGAGGGCCAGTAACTGCAGTTATGTGAGGATGAAATAAAAATATGATTCATTTATTTTTAACTGATATGATTTTTTTTCAAATAGCTACTGATCATTAAGTGGTTGGACCTAATTACTTAATAAACAAAGCTCTTAGGTATTTATTTTAGCCTGAGGAGCTGGGCAAAGAATGACTATAAGTTGTTTTCTTGATTAATTTAATTTAATTTTATTTTATTTTATTTAGAGTCAGGGTCTCACTCTGTCACCCAGGTTAGAGTGCAGTGATGCAATCATAGCTCACTGCAGCCTTGAACTCCTCAGCCCAGATGATCCTCCCATCTTGGCCTCCCAAAGTGCCGGGATTACAGGTGTGCACCATCACACCTGGCCAATTGAAAGTTTTGATCTCAAGAACCCACTGCTTATGGAGAAGGCATCCAAAGAGTGACCCCCACAAGGAAGGTCAGGGAAGCTTCCAGAAGGGACCAAGTTCCAATGGAACTGACTGTGGAGGGGCACTCCGTCTTCTGACCCTGGACCCCTACCCTGTCCTGCTGCTGTTCCTTCCAGGGTCCCTCAGCCAGAAAGCCCCCAGAGCCTTGAACTCTGTCTGCCCAAACCCCTTCTCTGTTTTCCCCCAACTTATTTTTGCTCAAATGAGAAAAAAAGGAAGCAAAAGATGACCAGTTAGTGTCTGAAATCCTGGCTTGCCCCACCCATAACAGGGACTCACACCCGCTGTAGACAGGGAACCCACTACCTCACACAGCAAACTGTCCATCAGAGATGCCCCTCCCACCTGGCTTACCCCACCCAAGCAGGTATCTTACAGAGCTTCCGGGGTGGGCAGCGCCTCCTCTCGCCTGGGGGCCTATTCTGGAAGGAGGGAGCACGCTCCCTGGGCCCTCCAGCAGGCCAGAAATGATGTTCCCTCCAGCACCATCCATACATGGGGAGTTTTGTTTTATCAAACACATGGCTGGCTGCTCAGGGCTTAGCTCCAGAGCTGCCCGGTTGTCAGGCCTTCTCACACGTGCCCTCTCTGAGGACGATTAGCCCTTTCCTGACGCTGGCTTGCAAAGGTCTCACCCACCTCCCCGTTCCAAGTGTTGGAATGTGGGTCTGTGTCCTGGCCAACAAGGAGGTCTGTGGAGACAGGACCGGGTCTCAGTCACCGTTCAGCAGCCACCCGGCATGCCCCCAGGAGCCTGCCCTATGCCTTGACCTCAACCTACGCCATCCCAGTCCCCAGCGCAATGCACAGGTGGGGACATAGACCTTGACAGACTGGTCAGGGACAGCTCCCTTTAGGCAACAGCAGAGGGCGCTTCCAGGGAGGCCCCTCACCTTCCTCTGCACCCCAAGCAAGGGACAAGAGGTGCTGTAGGCAACATCACCCGAGCCTGGAAGACACTCAGGAGAAGCCCCTCAGGCCCCTGACACCCAGCTGGGGTCCCACCCTTGCTCTCCCACTCTGCTCTCCACCCCACCCCAGCCCAGCCCCACTGACTTGGCTGCTCAGGAGCCGAGGCTCTCGGAGGCTCACAGAGGGAAGGAGGAGCCCCACGTGGTACAGGCAGGTACCGAGGAGCTAGTTCCAGAAGCCTCCGCTCGTTCCTCCATGCAGCCTACCCTGGCTCCCTGGTATCCAGAGTCTTCAGAAACAGGAGCCCTCGCTTGAGAGCCTGGCCTGGGCAGGCTGAGCTCCTGCCTGGGGCCTCGGAGTCTGCTCCTCCCTTCATCTTCTGCAGCCTGGGAAGCGGCCGGATCTCAGTGTGTGTACTACCCAGGTGGCACGGGCAGAGGATGGGGCCTGATGGGGGAGAAGAAAGCAGCCAGGAGGAGGGGCTTGGGAAACCAAGGGGCAAGAGGGCAGGACTGAGCAGGCTGCGCTCACCTGCCCCCTTCAGTGAGGTCACGAGGCCCATCCTGTCGGTGGGCAGAGCTGGCATCCTCTAGGGGGCTCTAATCCCCGAGCCTCATTTCTGGGGAGGTGGGGGTAACAAGAGTCTGCGTGCCTCAGGCTGGGCTCAGGCGCCCACCCCACCTGCAGCCCAGGTTTTCCCCAGTACCACAATTGGGTGGGATTTTTGCTGCAAGGCCAAGTCCAGAGGAGCACAAACACGCTCCTCCCCTCCCCCTCCCTGACCCCACCGCCGCTTCATTCCAGAGCTCTTCCCTCTTTCCCTCTGAGGGTGGGGGCCCCGCAGTGCCTGGGAGAAGCGGGTGGGCGGCCGGGCATGCGTAGCGGAAACTGGATTCCCAAGGTAGTGAGGAGCAAAGGGAACTTTTTTTCAAAGAGAAAGGCTGTCACTCTGAATTCAGGACTCCTGACATAGTCACCAGGTGACCCCTAGGGCCGGTGTCCACAGGACCACAGGCTCCCTCTGCAAACGCAGAACCAAGTTGTGAGTGGGGCACACTGTGGGAAGCAGCTGCCTCCATCAGCCAGCCAGTGACACACCTGGGGACATCTCAGCCACCCCCTCCCTGAGAAGCTGCACAGAAGCGGCCACATGCCCATCCCTGCCTCTCCATGCACCTCCCTCCCGCAACTCTGCAGCCGCACAGGAGGCCTAGCCCACAGGCTGGGCAGTGCAGTATCCCCAGAGAACACACCACGGATGAGTCTGGAGTTGCTTGGAGCTCTCAGAAGCTCCCGGAGCCTCCTTCCTCAATTCCAACGCGGTAACCAAGATTCCTGCTGAGCTTAGGTCACAGTGTGACTGCAGGAGGACCAGCCGCGATGGGAGAGTGCCTCTTAACCATCCCAGTTATCAGGTCCCCCGGGGGAGGCTGGGGACACTTCCCCTCTGCAAATTACAATCTCCCCAGGCGGCTCCCGGGGCAACACATGGATATGCAAATGACTGGGAGCTGGAGAGTTGACTGGTCACTGGGTGACCTTGGGCAAGTCACTTTCCCTCTCAGGTCTTCCCCTCTCCATCAGCAAACTCCTAAAGCTTAACTAAACAGTCAGAAATCCCTCTGTCGGAACAGGCTGCATAGCTCTGGGCAGACCTGGAGGTTGGTGGTCCCAGAACCTGGGGGCAGCACTGCGCTTCCCCACCGTCCCATCGCGTCAGGGGCTTCCACTGTTCTCTTCCCTGGTGGAGTGATGGGGAGAAAAATGGAGGGGTCAATCCCTGCGCCACAGAGAGAGTCCCACTCGTCCCCAGCTGTGACCCACAGACGCGTGGCTGCACCTTGGAGGTCCACCTGGCCGCTGTCCCCATTGCAGGCTGCACCCATCCCGGACCCTTTCTATCCGCCGAAGGCGCAGGCAGCTCTGGTCTCAGCGGAAGGAGTCCGGCCGCAGGCAGACGGGGCCAAAGGACGTGCACCCGACAACCGTCCGCTCCCTCCCCAAACCCCCGCCCCGAGAAGGTTGATGGATGAAGGGGAGCCCTAGCCCAGCCACCTCGGGGGCAAGAGACGGAGCTCGCCACAGACCAGGAGCGAGAGGGGGACTGCGGGTCCCACCGTGAGCGCAGGGCGCGCGGGGCTGGAAACCCAGGACGCGGCCCGGGAGCTCCAGGAGGGCGCCTGCGGATCGCGCGGCCCCGGGCCGGCCGCCTGCCCATCTGGCGCACCCCAGCGCGCCGCGCACACCTGGGGGCCCGCACACCAGCACGTCCTCAGACACACCGACACCCACGGCAGCAGGCGGGGGCCAACGCCGCCGCCGCGGTTCGGGCTCCCGTGGCCCCGCCTGCCCCTGCCTGCCCCGCCCGGGCCCCGGCCCCGGCGGGCGCCCCCCGCGGCGCTGCCCCGCCCCCGCCGCCCCGCGCCGCCCCGGGCCTCGGCCCGCAGCCCGGCCGCCGGCCCACCTGGCGCAGCGCCGCCCTCGGAGCCCGCGCACACCCGCGCACCCGCGGCCGCAGGAGGGCCCAGCGACGCCGCCGCGCCAGCTCCCAGGGCCCGGCCCCCCCCGGCGCTCACGCTCTCGGGGCGGACTCCCGGCCCTCCGCGCCCTCTCGCGCGGCGATGGCCCCACTCGGATACTTCTTACTCCTCTGCAGCCTGAAGCAGGCTCTGGGCAGCTACCCGATCTGGTGGTGAGTGAGCCTCCTCGCGTTCGCCCCTGCCCCTGTGCGCCGCGCCCGCAGCAGACGGTCCCCTCGGGCAGGGACCCCGCGGTGGCCCGAGCCCGCGCCCTTCTGCTCCAGCCCCGCGTGCGGGCCGCGGGCGGTTGGTTTTCCTTGACGGCCACTTTGGACCTGTTCAGGCCGCTGGGACGCGTGGGTGGCGGAGTTTCCGGAGACATTGATTCCCGAGCGGGGGAGTAGGGGAGGTTGCGGAGGTCCTAGCTGCCCCTGGCGTCGGACAGGGCGAGCAGTGGGCTGGGGAGAGGCTGAAAGAAGGTCGGCACGCACGGTCACCGAGGGGACAGGCAGCTCGAGGCCAGGGGACAGGCGAGGGAAGAGGGCCAGCGAGAGAGAATTCGCCGGAGACTTTCCTCAAAAACCGTATCTTACACACAAACACACACACACGTTTTAAAACAAAGTCGATGAGACAAGACTGAACAGCTCGGAGCAGCGTGGTTACGTAAAGAAAGCTGGGACCCGGCGGGGAGTGGCGCAGAGCCGGCGGCGGGGCGCACTGGGGGCCGGCCCTGGGCCCCGCGCGCCTCCCCGCCGCAGTCCGGGCACGGGGGTTTCCAGGGGCCCTCTCTGCGAGCCCTCCGCATGGGTCCACCTGGCAATGAGGGGCTGCTGTAGAGAGAGTTAAGGGTGAGTTAAGCACGGGGTGTGAGGGGCTCCAGGACCCTCAATCAGAAAGCGCTGTGCTGCGCCCTCCACACCAGAAAAGGCGCGTTCCGTGAGACCCTCCCCAGCCTGGCGATGGAAGTGCAGATAAACCAAAGGAAGGGTCCCGAAAGGTCTCTCTCAGGCCTCCCACCTCCACTGCACATATCCTGTGGGAGGGGGAACGGTGGCCACACTTTCGCCAGGGCTTGTGATCCCTCAGAGCCCTCACCAAGCAAGGATCACCCCAGTTCCGAATTAAGGGCGCTCTGAGATGCCCAAGATTGAGGAACACAAGTGGGAGGAATGTGGGCGCGCAGGGCCGGGCGCAGCGCTGGTAGGACCCACAGTTGGAGAGAAGCCTCCCCACAAGCATGCACACTCCCCCCCATCCTTCTCCGACGGCAGCCTGGAATTATAATAATTACGCCGAGGGGAAGGGGGGAGACCCAGCGAGCCGAGGTACATCTAATCCGATAATAATTTTTCTCTTCGAGATGGTTCAGGAGCGGGGGCTCCCGCGGTAGGGGCGCCGGGCCAGGAGCAGCGGGGAGGGGAAGGGGCAGCCCTAGGCAGCTGAAGGGCCTGGAAGAGGCCACGAGGCCGCGGGGACGCGCTTCGGGGACCCCCGCGCGCCCCTATTTCCGCGTGCCCCATTTCCCGTGCGGCACCTGCTGCGCCCAGTGGCCCACCTGAGGGTCAGGCTCGGGGCTCGCCTTGGGGTGCGGGGATACTGACGCGCGTCCAGACGGCCGCAGGGAGCCAGGGGCAGCGCGTCCGTCCGAGAGAGCCCCGAGGGCTGCCGGCTTACGCACCAGGCTTCTAATTAGAACCCGCCGCCGCGTTCCTGAGCGCAAAAGGAAGCTCCTTCGCCCCGCGCCCTTCCCATAAATGTCGCCAGCCTCCTGGCAACCCCGCGCCCTAGGATCTTTGTCTTGTCGGCCCTGAGGGTTCCTAGCCTCGGTCCCCATCCACCTCATATGCATGTATACCTCCTTTTCACCTGGGCCCCCTGTGTTCTACCCTGAATGGACCCTGAGACACCCTCGGGGACAGTCAGGCATTCTGCAGGGGAGCCAGGAGGAGCAGAGAAGTGAAGTCCCTGTACCCTCCGCACCCTCCTATCAAGAGTCCAGGACAGCCCTTTGGCCACACAGGGAAGCGGGGCATAGAACCCCACCTGACACTGACCGGGGTGGGTGGTGAGGACCCCTCCCCCATCCCCACCACCACTTTGTTCTCAGTAGGGTTCTCACACTTGGGGATTCTCTGCTTCCTGAGAAGCAGCCTCCCCTTGGGGGAGGCTGGCTCCCTGGGGACAAGTCTGCCCCCTTCTTGATCCCCTCTCTGCTCCCAGGCAGGCTGCTCGGGCTGGAGCAAAGACATGGCTTCCCCCAGGCATGAGCAGCACCCCGGCAGCATAGGGAAGAAGACTCACAGAAGGACGCAGTGCTGCAGGACCCCTGCTGCTGGACCCCTGCCGCTGGCATCCTACAGTTTAATAGCCTTAATAGCCGGGGAAGATTCTCTCTCTTTCTCTGGTCTTCTACCCAGTAGAGCATCTCCTCCTTTCTCCTGCCTCCCCGCATCCACCCCAGATTAAGCATCACCAGGGGAGGAGGGGACCTTGGCCCCTGCCAGGTGGGCTCCTGGTGAGCCCCAGTGGAACAGAGCAGGCTGGGGTGGGGGGCCTCCCTGTAACTCCTCACCTGTGCCCCCAGCCCCTCCCTAACATGAAGCCGCTGGCCCCTTGATTCTCCCCCCTCCACCATCACCGGCACATGAAAGTGAAAGTGAAGGGGAATCTCCTCACCTGGAGAAACAAACCAGGAAACAGCCCAAATCAGGGTAATTAGGCTTTTGAAGTTGGCAGAGGGAGAGGCAAAGGTGTCCCTGTGGCCAGCAGCCCTGTGAGAGTGTGAAGGGCCACCTGCCTCCCCAGGGCTGGGTGGCCCAGAGGTGTCTTATACCCACGCAGCAGATGCCAGTGGTCCCAAGGCTGAGCGGGTCTGAAATGCAGAGAGACGGGCCTAGCCTAACACTGAATGGCCCAGAGCTGCACAGATGTCCAGGGGCATCCATTCTGAGCTCATCCAGTGACAGAGAGGAGACAGGCAGGAGACCAGACCAATGCATATGCATCTGCCCACCTGCGTCCCATGAGGCCACAGACGGCAGGAACCTAGTGGCCCCAGCCTCCCAGCACGCCCCTTCTAAGCTGAGTTCTCAGGAACAAGAATTCTTGGAAGAGCCCACATGGACAGAGGACAGGGCAGCTGCGCTGCAAGGAGACCATGGCTCCATCTGAGAACAATCCCCAGGCACACCCGCACTCCAGGGCACTCTGAGCACCTCTCCCTTCTTCCCATGTCTGGGTTAACGGAATCTTGTCATCTCCCCAGGGACCCCACCAGGACCCTAGAGGTGGGCCTGTGCCTCCCGCCACCGCCTCCCCAGGGTCCAAGCCCACTTCAGGGCTTGCAACTGGATTTTGTTCATCTTTCAAGTCCCTCTGCTGCCTTTACCAGACTGGGCTGTGGCACTCCCGCCACGGCCACCTCCTGCTTCCGTTCTCAGTCCTGGCCCTCCCCTGGGACCCACACCCTCCCAGCCACCTGGAGTTGCTGCCAGGCCTGGCCATAGCCACCGTCGCTGCCTAGTGGAGCACAGCAAGCTCCACCCCTTACCCAGCCCTGCTCTCCCTCTCAGGCCGTTCCTTCTGCCCGGCCGTCACCAGCTCCTGCTGGACTATGGGATCCCAAGCACAGAGGCCTGGCTGCTTGCAGATGGCCACCCCAGTTGTCCCAGCGAAGTGCAGTGTGGGCTGTGTCCAGCCTTTTGCCTGCCCCTGGCCTGCTCCACAGCCTCGCTCATGCTCCCTCCAGGGTCTCCCTCACATCCCTCTGGGCCTCGAGCTTGTCACTATGACAGAAACACATCATGACCTCCATTTTTATAGGGCACCTCACACAGCCCTCAACAGAAGATGTAGGCCCTTTCAGGCCCCCACTCTCCTACACACTCATGGGTGCAAACAACCTCCTGGGCACAAGAGCTCAGCCCCTCCTCCTAGCCCTTCATGGGCTGGAGGGCCAGCACACTTGGAGGCCCTGCTCAGCCAGTGTCTGCACTGCACCACCGCCAGGCACTTCGCCCCTGTGTCCTCAGTCCTGGTGGGCCTCATTGTGGTGGGGAGACAGCCTGACTGGAAGAGGGGTCGGGTGAAGAGGCAGCTTAGAGAGGCAGGAGCCAGGAAAGGGTGCAGGAGAGAAGGAGCTCGGCTGGAATGATGGGTCAGGCATACGTGTGTGGTGTGTGGGCAGGTGGCTGCAGCATGGGTGTTTCGGGGACTGAGAGGGGCCAGTCGAGCAGGGCAGGGACATGGCCCAGGGTACCCAGAAGCTCAGATGGGAAGGGCCTTGTGATAGGAGGGATGGTTGCCACTCCCAGAGTCACCCTGCCTCCACATTAGCCTGCCACTGGCCCACTCCCTCTGCAGGCCTGGCCTCACCCTAGCCCCTTCTTCCTTCTCCCTTCGCCCGCATCTGTCTGTGTCTCTCTGTCTCTGTTTCTCTCTTCCCTGCCTCTGTCCCTCCATATCTCCATACCTTTGTCTCTCAGTTTCTCCCTGTCTGTCTCTCTCTCTTCCCTGTATCTGTCTCTGCCCGTCTCTGTCTCTATCTCTCTGTGTCTGTCTCTCTCTTTCAGTCTTTGTCCTGTCTCTCTCTGCCTGTTTCTGTCACTCTATCTCTTTTCATCTCTGTCTTTCTGTCTTTTGCAGTCTCTGCCTCTCGTCTCTGCCTCTGGTGCTGAGGACAGCAGTCACTAGCAAATAAAACTCGTGAAACGAGCTGAGTGGAGCCACCAGGCCAGCCCTCCCAGAGCTGTGGGATCTCAGGGCCCTGGGGGTGGCATTGCTTCTCAGAGCTGCCCACACACAAACCCCTCCTGAGGGTGACGGTCAGGAGTGGCCACACGTCAAGTGTCTGCAACCAGACATTGGCCCTGCATAACTGCCAGGATCCGTAGCCGCCTCAGGGACGCACAGCACCCTTCCAGAGTGCAAAGCTCCTCCTGCCTGGTGCTCGCACCTCAGGCACTGGCCAGCTTGGGCCCTTGAGGCCAGCTGCCCCTCTGACTCACGGGGCTTGTTCTAACGATGTTTGCTTCGCATAAGCCTCCTAGAATCTTTTGTAGCAGGGAGAGCAGGATGAGTAGATACAGTCATAGCAGCCCAGTCTTAGGGGTGGTGACTGCCCGGTGGCCACTTCTTCCACTGGGTCCCTTGTGCACATCACCGTACTGTGAGGAGGGAAGCTCCGGTGTCCAGCAGCCCTCCCAAGATACAGGTGACAGGGCTCCCGCCATCTCCATCCAGGGACCCCGTTGGGGCTTCTCAATGTGGGGCCTACCATGCAGAGCCCAAATGTGAATGCTTGGCCACCTGCCATGAAGAAATCAGAACAGAAATGGGAATTTAAAAAGGATTTGGTGACATTGTAGCGGTTTGACGGTGCTGCAACCATTTCTGTGGATTTTGTAATAATGGAAATTTAAAAACAAACCAACCACGTCCCTCTGTTGGGACTCTAGTCTGAGAAAGCCAGCCTGAAGCCACACCTGGAGTAATGGGGGTGGGGGGGCTCTCTCAATGTGGACCACTGCCTGTAGCCCTCATCCATTGGATTTTTGACCCAAACGTGAGACTTCTAACTTGCCCCCTTTAAGAGTAGTTGAAGGGCTGGTTGCTGTTTCTGTTCAGAAGACCCGCTTCATGTCTCTGAAGGCTATTGGCTGGGGAAGAAGGATTAGACTGTGGCTCAAGGGGCAGGGGCTGGGGCAGAGGTTGCAGGTGCCAAGGAGGCTGGTTCTGGCTCCCAAAGAGAAAAAGCTCCCTAGGGATGAGAGCCTGTGCCCCAAGTGGTACCAGGGAGGTGCTGAGCTGCAGCTACCGAGGCCGAAGAAAAGGAATGTCATTCACAAAGGAGACCTGTACAGCCCCACAGACAGGGTCTCGCTCTGTCACCCAGGCTGGAGTGCAGTGATGTGATCTTGGCTCACTGCAGCCTCGACCCTCATGGGCTCAAGTGATCCTCCCATCTCAGCCTCCTGAGTAGCTGGGACCACAGGCGAGCACCACCACTCCCAGCTAATTTTTGTATATTTGTAGAGATGGGTTTCTCTCTCTACAAGAAACCATTTCTCTCTCTAGAAGAAACCATGTGGCCCAGGCTGGTCTCGACCTCCTGGGCTCCAGCAGTCCTCCCATCTTGGCCTTGTGAGTAGCTGGGATTACAGGCTCGTGCCACTACGCTTGGCTAGTATTTTTCATTTTTTGTTGAGATGGGGTCTTGCTCCGTGGCCCAGGCTGTGCACTTTAATGTTGGACAATCCCCCACCCCACCCCTCACTGGTTACAGCCCTGAGGCTGGTGAGGGGCACATGGCCTCTTCCTTGGCCTCCCTACTGGCCTCCCCAGGTGACACCCTGGAGGTGTCTCTCACGTTGCTGCTTCCACATTCCTTCCCCGGCAAAACGTGCCGCTGCCGCCCAGGGAAACTGGCAAGTGCGTGGCCGCGGGCACAGGAGCCGCTGTGCCTGCTGGGACTCGTTCAAAGTATGTGTCAGTAATCCCAGCTGGGCCGGCGGGCAGGAGGAGGTGCGGGTTGGGAGAGCTCCAGGCAGGGCTGGGCAGCCTGGACTGGGAAGGGTTGCCGACACCCAGGAGGGACCTGGGGGCCTTAAGTCCTGGGGACCCTGGCCGGCTCACAAGGTGCTTGAGCTGCCGAGAGTGGTCTTCTAGGCAGCTGCAGTTCCACCACTGGGTGTGAGAAGAAACCAGAACCTTGGGGGTCTCCCAGGCAGGTGGGTGCCCTCGGGCAGTCTCAGCCTGGGCGAGATGGGAGGTCATCCACCAACAGGGAAACACTTCGAGCCTCAGGTCTGAGGAAGGAAGCCTTATCACCGCCCATGGAGTGGCCCTGATCTTAAGAAGACAAAGATTTGGAACAGGATGTTTGCTCCAGAGGCCCCACAGAGGGGAAGCCCACCTGCCCAAGCAGGACCCTCAATGGCAGAGACACCCACCTGCCCTGGTCCTCCACACCTGCCTGCATTGCAGCTGTGCTGGAGCCAGAGGGGTCCCAGGAGGCGACCAGCTGGACTCAGGGCACAAATTGCATCCTGGAGGGGTGGCCCTGGCAGGTCCGCGAGTGGGGTGCACTGGGTCCCTCTCAGGCCAGGAGGAGGCTGAGATGACATCCAGCAGGGCAGCAGGGCCTGAGATCAGTGTCCCCATTCCATGCACTGCTCCCCTCCTCTCTCAGAGCTTCAGGTAGGAGAGGGGTCCATTACCCCATTTGACAGATGGGGAAACTGAGGCCCAGGAGGGGAAAGAGAGAAAGAGCAAACAAACAAGCGAGTAACAGGGCCCGAGTTGGAGCCCATGCCCACCTTCCAGGCCTGTCCACACGCCTGCATGGAGCATTACTGTGAGGTCCCCACGCCCCCAGCAAACATGCAAGCACAGAGCCGTGCCCTTGGTACATGGGTGCTCTGAGTTCGCTAAATTTTACTGCTAAAAGACACCAGGCCTGGACTTGAGAAACCTAAGAGCCTGCCAGCCTCAGAAGGACTTGCACAGGAACAGTGGAGGCTGGATATGGTGGCCACTCAGGACCCCCACAGCTGTGTGGCTGCGAGAAGGCCCCCACGCTTTGCCCTGAGCTTCCATCCACAGGGATTAGGTAGCACCTCCAGTGCCGCCACGTAAGATGGGAAATTGCACATGGGACCAAACCAAGCCGGGGAGGCCAGCGTGGCCCGGACTGGGCTGGCCTACCGCCCGCCTTGTGGTCCTGGGCCAGCCTCCTTCTTCCCCTGCATGTCACAGCCAGCATCTCTGCCGTACCTCTGGCGAGCTGCCCAGCCTTTCAACAGAAGTGAGGGAGTGGGGAAGAAAAACCATTAGTGCTTGTGGGCTGGAGGCATGGCTGCTGTGACTTTGGCCACAGGCGGAAGCCATGGGTCTAGGGACTGGGGCCATTTTATAAAACTACATTTGTGTGTGTTCTGAGTGAATATGACAGCCTCCCCTTCAAAACAAACGATTGTTAGGAAAAAAACAAAACAAAACAAAACAAAACCTAACAGCATTAGTGAAAATCTGGAAGGAAAGACAAGTCTGTGATCTTATCAACTTTTTCAACTTTTTGTTTTTCTAAGGATAGAAACAGTTTGTGTTCTGTTTTTGAAAACTCACTAAGCATCATCTCCATTTCTGGGGCCTTCTGGATGATCACACGATGGTTCCACTAGGTCTTGTGGTGCTGGTACTGCGATCTGCTAGCCCAGCCCTGCCGTTCCCTCCAGAGCTGGGATTCCAGGGAAAGGGGACAGAGCAAGAGAGGCTGGAGATATTGGAAGAGCAGGGTCACATTCCCTTGGGACACCAATTTTGCACAGCCAGAGGGATATCTGGTGTCCCATCCAGTTGGGCAGTTAGAATTCCAGCCACTCAGCTGTGTGGCAGCTGGACGTGGGAAACATGGACTCTTCCTGGGACGCTGTGGTGTTGGCAGTGAGAGGGGAGAGGGAATGAATTCCTCATCCGGTGAATCACAGGCTCGGGGTGCAGGGCATGGGGGCAGGGAGGGCAGGCTGGCCTCAGCCTCTCCCCGGGGACTGGGCCCAGCCTTCCTGCCCCTGCTGTTCCCACCACCCTGAGGCAGGGCCCAGACCTCACTGTGATCCAGATCGTTGGCATCCAGGAAGTGAGTAGGGAGTGACGGATGGCAAGACCACCACCCCCGCCTCCCCCCCACCCCCGCCGCCCAAGTGCTTACCTGTGGTTCCTTGTGTGAGTGATCCTCAGCAAGGACCCTTCGTCCTTGACCAGACACTTGTTTGCATGCCTACAAAGCGTGGGAGAGGTCGAAGGGGAGATTGGAGAATTCATCAGAAGCCCCAGAAGCCCAAGTGGGAGCTCCTGGCCCTGCCTGCTGGCTGGGGCCACGCTTGTCTTAGGGCACCAGGCAGGACAGTGGCCAATCGTGGCTGCTCCGCCTGAGGCCATGAGCAGGCAGGAGCCACGGACTGACAGCCAGTGCTCAGGGTCTGTCTGTGCCCGTCACCTTCTGGGCACCCGATGTTGCCCCTTTCTGTCCCCCGCATGTGCTTTAAGCGCCTGCTACTACCTTGCTCTTTTGGGGATCCTACTGACTAGAGGGTGGAGGTAGGTCCCTGACCCCCCAGGGTGATTATCAGCAAGGCTGACTCCCCAGGGACTCAACCCAAGGGAGCCCCCAAGGACCCTCAGAGTCCTCATGAAGACAGACAGGGGCCATGGAGCAAGTTTAGACTCAAGGAAGCCATAGAAGTTTCCCCGTCAGCCTTAGAATGTCCAAGCTAGAGGCAGCCTGGGTGAACCCAGCACACATTCCCTGTGGCACTCACGCTCCTGGGGCCACCCTGGGAGGACCCTGTTCTAAACCACAACTGCCCAGTTCAGTTGGGGAAACTGAGGTTCCAACAGTCCCAAAGCTGCAGGTGCAACTGTTAGGGCCACCACCCATGTCCCCCTGGGTGGCCTCCTGGGGTGGAAAGGGGGCTGCATTGGGGACAGGAAGCCCTATGATGTCTTGGGTCATCAGCTGCAAGGAGGCTGTCCAGGGTCTGTGTGACTTGCGCCATTTATCTCTGACTCATTTATAAATGTTATTTTGCAGGGACTGGGGTTTCATACGTGTACTTGTCCATTCTGCATTGCTATAAAGGAATGCCTGAGACTGGAAAGAAAAAAGGTTTAATTGGCTTAGGGTTCTGCAGGCTGTACAAGCATGGCACCGGCATCTGCTGAGGCCTCAGGGAGCTTCCACTCATGGTGGAAGTCAAAGGGGAGGTACGTGTGTCACACGCGGGAGAGGGGGCAGGGGAGGGTGCCAGGCTCCTTCTAACAACCAGCTCCTGCATGAACTCAGAGGGAGAACTCCCTCATTACCGCAGGGAGGGCACTGTGCCATTCACGAGTGATCTGCGTCTGAGACCTAAATGGGTGGGGCCCACTAGGCCCCACCTCCAACACTGGGGGTCGCATTTCAACATGAGATTTGGAGGGGACACACATCCAAACTATATCAACACATTTGAAGGGCATTGTAGGATCTTAGAAAGCAGTGGCCCCTGGAGGCCAACATGCGGGAAGCCCTGTTCTGCTGTATTAGCCGGTGGCTGTGGCAAAGCTCCATTCCCTGAGCCTTGGCTTCCTGCTCTGGGAGGTCCCAGTGCCACCTATCCAGGTCCTGTGGGTTTCAGGGAGCCACATAACTAGAGCCCGTGGGGAGGTCACCAGTGAGCTCTGCCCAGCAGGTGGAGGCCAGGTAAGGGGCTGGGTGGTGGTAGTAAGAGGAGCGATGCTGGGTATTGGAAGGGAGAAACAACCAGCTTCAGCAAGCCTCCCTTTCAGAGACAAGAGTGCTGGAAAGGTGGAGAGGCCGCAGGAGGAGGGAAGAGGAGGGACTAGCTCTCTAAAGACCACAGTGGCCAGGCGCGGTGGCTCACACCTGTAATCTCAGCATTTTGGAAGGCCGAGGCGGGAGGATGGCTTGAGTCCAGGAGTTCAAGACCAGCCTGGGCAACATAGACAGACACCATCTCTACAAAAAATACAAAAGTTAACCGGGCATCATGGCACAGGCCTGTGGTTCCAACTACTTGGGAGGCTGAGGCTAAGATGGGAGGATCCCTTGAGCCCTGTAGGTCAACGCTGCAGTGAGCCCTCAGCCTAGACGACAGAGCAAGACTTCATCTCTAAAAAAGTAAATTAATAAAATTTAACAAATAATAAAGGCCATGGCAGTGGGCTGGCGGAGACAGCGGTGGCTCGGGCCCCTGGAGCTTGCATAGCAAGATGCTGGAGGTGGCAGCCTGGCCTTCAGATCCTTCTCCTTCTCTGGGTCTGAGAAGCTTAGGTGTTGGAACTCAGAGGTGGTCAGGAAATGCCAGCATGAGCAGGAAAGTGAGAGGGAGTATCTGCTGGCTCCCAGTGCTGCAAGACCCTATCTCTACAAAAAATACAAAGCAAGAGAACAGCACGGGGGCTTTGCCATTGGCTAACGCAGACTGACCTCCCCAGTTTGGGCATGAACATCCTTTTCACGTTCCAAGGTGGGATCCGGGAGTCCAGGTTGCATTGTATTTGATGCACCCTGAGAACTTGCGCTGAGAACAGGACCCTGGGGACACTCGATCTCGAAGACGGGGTTCTCATTCACTCTCCATTTGCAGAGCCCCTCCCCCACTCACTGCAGCCAATACTCCCTGGCGAGACCCTGAGACAGGCCTGTCTGTCCCTTGTCCCAGGCAAGCCTGGCCCACAGGGTGTGGGAGGAGGAAGTTACAGGTCATAGTTTCCCAAGCACTGATGGATTCCGGGCATCTGCATTCTCCTTGGATTAGAAATTTGGATCCTAGGAGCTTTTGGGGGCTGGTGTGGGGATAGTGCCTGTGCAATTTAGATTTTTTTTTTTTTGAGACAGGGTCTCACTCTGTCACCCAGCCTGGTGTAATCAGAGCTCACTGTGGCCTTGTCCTCCTGGGCTCAAGTGATCCTCCCACCTCAGCCTCCCAAGCAGCGGGGACTACAGGTGTGTGCCACCACACCCAGCTAACCTTTGTATTTTTGTAGAGATGGGGTCTTGCTCTGTTGCCCAGATTGGTCTTGAACTCCTGGCCTCAAGCAATCCACCTGCCTCAGCCTTCCAAAGTGCTGAGATTACAGGCATGAGCCACCATGCCCAGCCTTATATTTGATTTTCTTTTTAATGACCCAACTGATCCTTCAAGGCCCAGCCAAAATCTGGTGGCCCAGTGAGCCTCCAGGGCCCTCCTCTGCACTGCTCCCTGGCCCCACAGGAGCTCCCCGCTGCCTGCCAGCTTTCCACCCTCCTCAGGCAGGGTCTGTGTGGCCCAGGCCTTCTGGTGGCCTGGTGCTATCAGAAGGAGAAATCTCTCAGGAAGCAATTCAACGAACTGGAGGGGCCCTCTGGTCCACAGGAGGCAGGAGAAGCCCATCCTGACCCCAAATCCACAAGGGCCCGTCAAGGGAGGGGTCCCATCAGGGCTGTGAGAGGCCAGGGATGCTGGAGCCACCTCTGGCCTGGCAGCTGGCCACCTGCACCCTGGCCATACTCAGGAAGGTGGTGGGCCAGGGCCCACCCGGGAGGAGGGTGAGAGGGGCACAGAACTGGCTGACTCAGCACCCTGAGAATGGAGGCTTCAGACTTGGGAGTCCACCTCTCTGCTTTATCTAGAGACCAGGGACAAGGCCGCCCCTCCCAGCCCCGAGCCTGCGAGCTGAGGTGGTCCCGGCTCCATGCTGGTCATAGTGTTCTGGGGGTGGGCAGAGTGACAGCCCCCAAAATGAATCCAGCATCTAGCCTCGGAGAAGGGATGAGCCTTGGAAATGGCCGCATCCCCCAGGCCAGTCCCTGTTTTGTAAGCAGCAAGCTCTAAGTGGATTCCTTTGTTTCTCCTCATTCTAAGTCTCCAAGTAAAAAGGACATTCAACTACTCTTGCTTTTCCTTCTTTCAGACACCTCTTGCTCACTTCCCTGGCTGTAAGCTAGGCTGGCCCTGGAGCCTGGGTACCCGGCCCTTCTCAGACACACTCCCAGGCCTCAGCCATGACACTCAAGTGTTTGTCCTCTACAACATTCCATTAGGAAAATTTTCAAACATCTGGAAAAGATGCAGCCTTTGGACATCAAAGCCTTGTGTGTCCACAGCTCACACTGAAGTCAGCCTGCTTTATCTCACACCCACCACCCTCTCCATTCTCTATCTATCCGTCTTATCTTTTTATGCTTACGTCAGTCTGCTCTGTCCCAAATACTGTAGCAGGCACGTCCTGAACCAGTGCTGGATGTTTTGCAAGTAACATCCCACATGGAGTCACACCATAGAATGGGTGAAGGGGAAGCATCTGGGTTCATGGAATGGAGGCACCTCACCTGGGGCAACCACCTCACCCTGGCTTAAAAATGGAAGCCCCTTGCCTGGGCACGGTGGCTCATGCCTATAATCCCAGCACTTTGGGAGGCCAAGGCAGGTGGATCACCTGAGGTCAGGAGTTTGAGACCAGCCTGGCCAACATGGCAAAACCCCGTCTACTAAAAATACAAACATTAGCCAGGCATGGTGGTGCACACCTGTAACCTCAGCTACTCGGGAGGGTGAGGCAGGAGAATCGCTTGAGCCAAGAGGGGGAGGTTGCAGTGAGCTGAGATCACACCACTGCACTCCAGCCTGGGCAACAGAGCGAGACTCCGTCTCAAAACAAACAAAAAAGGAAGCCCCTGCAGTCCTGGGCGAAGCAGACAGTTGGTCTCCCGGCCTCACCCATGGGCACCCCCAGGCCCCTCTGCTGGCGTTCCTGGGTGCTCTGAGGTGCATGGTTTGAAAACCACGAGTCCAGCCCCTACGGTCACCTCCCTGGCCTGGTTCAACCCACCTTCTCCTGTCCAGAGGCCTCTCACCCACAGTCCAGGTCACAGACAGCTGACCTTGGTCACCACCACTTGGCCCTGGGCAGTGGCAGTGCAGACCATACCCCAGGGACCCCGGATGGTCATCCAGTTGCCGGGACTCAAAGGAAGAGAGAGGATGAGGAAGGAGACATGGAAAAAGACTACCCAGCTACCTACAGCAGGAACACCAACCCAGGCTGCATCAGCACTTCCTGGAAGTGCTGGGATCTACAAAATGGTGGAGGGGGTGTGCAGGGACACCTGGGGCAGGATACCTGCGTGTAGTGAATGAATAAAGAAGTGAACAAGGGAGCCGACTGTGCAAGGACAGACTGCAGGGGTGCAGGCTTGAGTGGTGGCCTGGGGATGCACGTGGGGTCTGGCGCGAGGTTATGCACTCAAATGAGGGACAGACAGGAGGGAGGGTGACTAGGGAGAGGGAGGCCAGATCTCCAGGGGGTAGACATATTGGGGACCCTGAACACTGGGAGTCCGGTCCGGAGGCCAGACTGGTTGGATCCAGTGGACACATCGACAGGTGGTCATAAGCATAAGGAACTCTCTCCCTCCACCCACCTCCACCAGTGCCCAAAAGGACCTGGTGATTTCTTTAAATTGAGGTGTATTTTGTACAGCAAAATGGAAGACCCTAAGTGCATGGCTCAATTCGTTCTGACGTGAAGCACTCACATAACCAACATCGCAGTCAAACGCAGAGCACTTCGGCCAGGCTGGCCTGGCAGAGCTTCCCTGATGACAGGCACATTCCCTATCTAACTGTCCCATTCAGGGTAGCCACGGGCCACACGTGAAGCATGGCTGGTGCCACCGAAGGGCTGAGTTTTACATTTCTTGCATTTTAATTAATTTTAAACTTAATTACATTAATTTAAACGGCACAGGTGTCGAATGCCTTTTGCCAAAAGCAGAGCACAGCCTGGGAGCTGTTGGGACCTGGAAAACGAGGAGTGAGGTTGCCACGGTGCTGACCTCTCCCGCGGATGAGTGTTGCCTGGTCTTGAGCTCAGACTGGGGGATGCGGAGGGCCCCAGGAGCATCTCACAGTTGAGCCCCTCCTCCCCACGTGCTCACGGGAGCCCATGCCTTCGGGTTTCTGAGCAGCCTGGCACCCTAGAGGCAGTCTTCATTTGTTTATTCACTCTCCTATTGACGGATGCTTGGGTGGCGTCCAAGTTCCTGCTCTCAGGCTCAAAGGCCTGGGAAGATTCCTGAACACGTCTCATTGTGGACACGTGTTTACATCTAGGGGTACATAGCCAAAAGTGGGCCTGCGGGCTGGCGGGATGGGTCTGAGTTCCACAGTGATTTCTGCGCTGGGTCACGCCTACATCCCGGAAGCCAGGCCTCCTCCTCCAATCCCAAAGCCAAGGGCATCCCTTCTCTGGGCAGCCCCCACCTGACCCGGTCCCCAGCCTGAGGTTCTCAGGTTCTAGCCCTGAGTCCCCCATTGGGCTCCAGGTCAACCTGGTGTGAACGGGGCCCATGCAGTTGTGCTGAGCAGGAATGCGGGGCTGCATCATTTCCTGTTACAGATCTGGACGACTTGAATTCTGAGCTGAGTTTTGGGGATAGGGCAGGTCAGGGTCCTGGCCTTGTAAAATCAGACTTCCAGATAAAACATACAGAAAAACACATAGATGATATCAAAACATCTAGAAAAAATTAAATAGCCAGCATTGAGTATTTATTCTGCACACAACATTGTATTAAGCACTTCCTGTATAACATACAGGCTTAAGAGCTGGGCAAGGTGGTTCATGCCTGTAATCCCAGCACTTTGGGAGGCTCTAGCGAGAGGTCACTTGAGGCCAGGAGTTTGGGACCAGCCTGGGCAACATAGCAGGACCTTGTCTCTACAAACTGTAAAAATAAAAATTAGCTGGCTCTGGTGGTGTGTGCCTGTAGTCCCAGCTAATCTGGAGGCTGCAGTGAGCCATGATCATACCACTGCACTCCATCCTGGGCAACACAGTGAGATTCTGTCTCAAAAAAAGAAAAATTAGAAGGCATGGTTTATGAACATTATTTTAGAGGCCACAGAGAATCCTTAATTGGGCTTTTAAGTAAAAATTCTCTTACTTGCAAAATAAAAAATCAGATTTCCTTCATGGTGGAAGCTGCGTCTCGCCCCCCGAATGCACTTGAGGCCCCAGAGCAAAGGGTCTGTAGCCTGCTCATCTGTGTCGCTGTCCCAGCCCCACACTCACCACCGGATCTTGCCCTCTGCAGGTCGCTGGCTGTTGGGCCACAGTATTCCTCCCTGGGCTCGCAGCCCATCCTGTGTGCCAGCATCCCGGGCCTGGTCCCCAAGCAGCTCCGCTTCTGCAGGAACTACGTGGAGATCATGCCCAGCGTGGCCGAGGGCATCAAGATTGGCATCCAGGAGTGCCAGCACCAGTTCCGCGGCCGCCGGTGGAACTGCACCACCGTCCACGACAGCCTGGCCATCTTCGGGCCCGTGCTGGACAAAGGTATGGGGGTGGTCTGGGGGAGGGCAGATGAGTCTGGAGTGGGACAGAGTCTCCCGCCTAGCGCTGCCTGACATTCTCATCTGTGCACACGGTGGGAACAGTGCCTCACGCGGACGCTGGGGTCCTTCCCGCTTACCTCCAGGAGGACGGTCTGGGGCTGAAGCAGGACTGAGCCTGTGGGGTTATTCGGGTATCCCTCCTCCTCCTGCTCCCTGGAGAGGAAAGCGGGCATTCTAAGGTGACTCCAACCATGGCCAGTGGCGGGGCTGCTCCCAGGAGCCAGGGCACAGGCCAGGCTTGCAGAGGAAATACACAAACTTAAAGACCTACAAGAAGGGAGAGGTTTGGGGGCACCCTAGAGAAGAAAGAGAGACAGAGAGAAAGACAGAGAGAGACAGAGAGAGAGAAAGATAGAGACAGACAGAGACACAGAGAGAGACAGAGACACAGACACAGAGAGAGAGGAACAGTGAGACGGAGAAAGAGACAGAAAGATGCAGAGAGAGACAGAGAAAGACACACACACAGAGAGACAAAGACAGAGAGAGAGACAGAGAGGGACAGAGCGACCAAAAGAGAAAGACACAGAGGAATAGAAAGACAGAGACATAAAGATGCACAGAGACAGAGAGAGACAGAAATAGAGAGAGACAAAGAGGGACAGAGAGAGACACAGAGAGAGAAACTGAGAGACAGAGAGACAGAGACGGAGAGAACATGGACAAGATTAAAACTTTAGCATCTTTTTTTAAAAAGTTGAGGTGAAATTCACATAACCGAAAATCCGCGATTTTAAAGTATTCAATTCAGTAGCATTTGGTATACTCACAGAATTGTGCAACCATCACCTGCCTAGTTCCAAAATATCTTTATCACCCAAAAAGGAAATCTGTGCGCATTAAGCAGCCATTCCCGTTCTTCTCCCTTCCATAGCCCCTGGCACCCACCCGCCTGCCTTCTCCCCTGTGATTTAGCTACTTTGCCTGTTTAAGAAACGGCATCACTCAATATTTTGCGTCTGGCTTTTTTTCACTGAGTGTGTTGATTCACCTGCACTGTGGATAGTTTCAGCACTTCATTCCTGTTCATGGGCTGAATAATATTCCATTGCATGGATGGAGCACACTGGTTTATTCGTTCTTCAGGTTGACGCATATGAGCGTGGTCTCCACCTTTTGGCTGCTGTGGCCTTTTCTTGGACATGCATGTGTTTGAACGCCGTTTTCACACCTTTTGGTTTCTGTATCTAGGAGTGGAATTGCTGGGTCACAGGGTAATTCTGTTTCGCTTTGCTTGACCTGGGAGGTCAAGGCTGCAATGGGCTGGAACCATCACACTATTTTCCACAGCAGTTGCACCATTTTATATTCCTACCAGTATTGTTTGAGGGTTCCAGATTCATCCTCACTGATACACTGTTTTCTGGTGTTTGTATTTCTTACTTCTGGCCATCCTAGAGTGTGAAGTAGAACCTACTTCTGATTTCAGTTTGCACTTCTCTGATGACCGATGATGCCAAGCACCATTTCATGGGCTTTGGGGCCATTTGTAGACCTTCTTTGAAATGTTTAGTCAAGTCCTTTGCCCATTTTTAAATTGGATTCTTTGTCTTTTTGTTGTTGAGTTGTGAGTGTTCTTTATATATTCTGGATACTGGATGTGCATCAGATGTATGATTGGTGAATATTTCTCTCTCATCGTGTAGGTTTTTTTCATTTTTGTGAGAGTGTCCTTTGATACACAAAATTTTTTAATTTTGGTGAAATCCAGTTTATATAGATGTCATACTGAAGCAAGAATTAGCTAACATAAGGTCACAAAGATTCACATCTATGTTTTCTTCAAAAAACCTAATAGTTTATCTTTTACTTTGAAGTATTTAATCTATTTTGAGCTCATCTTTTTATATGGTATGAGGTAGGAATCTAACCACATTTTTTTGCATATGGAAATTCAGTTATTCCAGTACCTTCTATGGAAAAAACTGTTCTTTTTCCCATCAAATGGTCTTGGCACCCTTGTTGAAAATCAATTGGTCATAGATGTATAGGTTTATTTCTGGACTCTCAATTCCAGTCTATTGGTCTGTATGTCTGTCCTGTCACCAATACCACATTATTTTGATTGTTGTAGCTTTGTGGTATGTTTTGAAACTGGGAAGAGTAAGTTTTCCAGCTTTGTTCTTTCTTTTCCAGATTGTTTGGGGGGGACAGGAAAAAAGATTGTTTTGGCTATTTGGGGTCCCTTTCAAATATATGTAAATTTTAGGAGCAGTTTTTCCATTTGTGCAAAAAAAAATGCTGCTGGGATTTTCATGGGGATTTCACTGATTCTGTAGGTTGCCTTGGGAAGCATTGCCTCCTTAACAATATTAAGTTATTTAATTCAGGAGCTCAGGGTCTTTCCATTTATTTAGGTCTTCTTCCTTAATTTTGTTTGTTTGTTTGTTTTTGTTTTTGAGACAGGGTCTCACTCTGTTGCTCAGGCTGGAGTGCAGTGGCATGATCACGGCTCATTGCAGCCTTGACCTTCCAGGTTCAAGCGATCCTCCTGCTTCAGCCTCCCAAGTAGCAGGGACCACAGGCATGCGCCACCATGCCCTCCCAGTGTTTGTATTTTTTGTAGAGATGGGATTTTGCTGTGTTTCCCAGACTGGTCTCTAACTCCTGGGCTCAAGCGATCCACCTGCCCTGGCCTCCCAAAGTGTTGGGATTACAGGGCATGAGCCACTGTGCCCAGCTTCTGTAATTTCTTTCAGCCATGTTTTGTAGTTTTCAGGGTATGAGTTGTGTACCTCCATGGTTAATGTATTCCTAAGTACTATTTTTCTTTTTGATGCTATTGTCAATGGAATCATTTTTCTTTTCTTCTTTTTGTTTTGAGACAGTGTCTGGCTCTGTCACCTAGGCTGGAGTGCAGTGGCACCATCTCAGCTCACTGTACTTCCATCTCCCAGGCTCAAGTAATTCTCCTGCCTCAGCCTCCTGAGTAGCCAAGCTTGGCTAATTTTTTGTATTTTTTTTTTTTTTTGTAGAGATGGAGGTCTCCCTATGTTGCCCAGGCTGGTCTTGAACTTTTGGGCTCAAGCAATCCTCTCGCCTTGGCCTTCCAAAGTGCTGGGGTTACAGGCGTGAGCCACTGTGGCCAGCTTGTAATTGTTTTCTTAATTTTTTTTCAGATTTTCCATTGTTAATATATAGAAATTTAACTTTTTAATCAAGAAATACATTTTTTTTTTTAGTTTTGATCCTCAACTGTAACCCTGCTTAATTTGTTTGTTAGCTTTGAGAGGGTTTTGGTGAATTGTGTAGAATTTTCTACATATAAATTGATGTCATCTGTGGATGGAAACTGCCTCCTTTCTTCCTATTTGAATGTCTTTTATTTCTTTTTCTTTCCTGATTGCTCTGGCTAGGACTTCCAGTGCTATGTTGAACAGAAATGGTAAAAGTAGGCATCCTTCCCTCGCTCCTGATCTTAGGGTGAAAACTTTGAGCTGCCTGCATATATGGTGTTGGCTGCAGGTTTTTCTTTCTTTCTTTTTATTTATTTATTTTTAATTTCTATTTCAATAACTTTTGGGATACAAGTGTTTTTTTGTTACATGGACAAATTGTTAGTGGTGAACTGAGATTTTAGTGCACCCCTCACCTAAATAATGTACATTGTAACCAATATGTAGTGTTTTATCCCTGGCTTCCCTCCCAACCTCCCTCTTCTGAGTCTCCAGTGTCCATGATATCACTCTGTATGCCTTTGTGTTCTCATAGCTTAGCTCCCACTTATAAGTGAGAACATAGGATATTGGTTTTCCACTCCTGAGTTACTTCAGTTAGAATAATGGCTTCCAGATCCATCCAAATTGCTGCAAATGACATTATGTAAATCCTGTTAATGTCTGAGTAGTATTCCATGGTGTATATATACCACATTTTCTTTATTTTATTTTATTGAGATAGGGTCTCACTCTGTCATCCAGCCTGGAGTGCAGCGGTGCGATCTCGGCTCACTGCAGCCTCCACCTCCTGGTTTCAAGCGATTCTCCTGCCTCAGCCTCCCGAGTAGCTGGGACTACAGGCACCAGCCACCAAGCCCCACTAATTTTTGTTTTTTCAGTACAGACGGGGTTTCACCACTTTGGCTGGGCTGGTCCTGACCTCCTGACCTCAGGTGATCCACCCGCCTCAGCCTCCCTAAGTGCTGGGATTACAGGCGTGAGCCACGGTGCCTGGCCTTATACACCACGTTTTCTTTATCCACTTGTGAGTTGATGGGCACTTAGGCTGGTTCCACATGTTTGCAATTGGGAATTGTGCTGCTGTGAACATATGTGTGCAAGTGTCTTCTTCATATAATGACTTCTTTTCCTTTGGGTAGATACCCAGTAGTGGGATTGCTAGATTGAATGATAGAACTACTTTCAGCTCTTTAAGGAATCACCATACTGTTTTCCACAGTGGTTGAACTAATTGACATTCCTACCAGCAGTGTATAAGCATCCTCTTTTCCCCACATCCATACCAACATCTATTATTTTTTGATTTTTCAATAATGGCATCCTTGCAAGAGTAAGGTGGTATCTCGTTGTGGTTTTAATTTGTGTTTCCCTCATGATTAGTGATGTTGAGCATTTTTACCTATGTTTTTTGGCCATTTGTACATCTTATTTTGAGAATGTCCATTCATGTCCCTTACCCACTTTTTAATGGGATTATTTGTTTTTTCTTGCTGATTTGTTTGAGTTCCTTGTCAATTCTGGATATTCGCCTTTGTCAAATGTATGCTTTGTGAATATTTTCTCCCACTCTGTGGGTTGTCTGTTTACTCTGATGATTATTTCTTTCTGTGTGCAGAAGCTTTTTAATTCAATTAGGTCCCATTTATTTATTTTTGTTTTTGTTGCATTTGTTTTGGGGCTGTTAGTCATGAATTATTTGCCTAGGTTGATGTCTAGAAGAGTTTTTCCAATGTTGTCTTCTAGAATTTTTATAGTTTCAGGTCTTAGATTTAAGGCTTTGATCCATCTGGAGTTGATTTTTGTATAAGGTGAGAGATGAGCATCCAGTTTCATTCACCTACATGTGGTTTGCCAGTTTCCCCAGCACCAATTATTAAGTAGGGTGACCTTTTTCCAATTTATGTTTTTGTTTTCTTTGTCAAAGATCAGTTGTCTGTACATTTTTGGCTTTATTTCTGGGTTCTCTATTCTGTTCCATTGGTCTATGTGCCTACTTTCATACAAGTTCCATGCTGTTTTGGTCACTATAGCCTTGTAGTATAATTTGAAGTTTGCTTCAAATTAGTATAGTAGTATAATTAGTAGTATAATTTGTTTTTGCTTAGGATTGCTTTGGCTATTTGGGATCTTTTTTGGTTACATATAATTTTTTTTTTTTTTTTTTTTTGATGGAGTCTCACTCTGTTGCCTAGGCTGGAGTACAGTGGAGTGATCTCGGCTCACTGCAACCTCTGCCTCCCAGGTTCAAGCCATCTCCTGGATTCCCTGCCTCAGCCTCCCAAGTAACTGGGATTACAGGCATGTGCCACAATACCTGGCTAATTTTTTTTGTTGTTGTTTTTGTTTTTTGTATTTTTAATAGAGACGGAGTTTTGCCATTTTAGTCAGGCTGGTCTCAAACTCCTGACCTCAAGTGATCCACCCACCTTGGCCTCTCAAAGTGCTGGGATTACAGGCTTAAGCAACCACACCTGGCTAGTTCCGTATAAATTTTAGGATTGTTTTTCCTAATTCTGTGAAAAATGATGTTGGCATTTTGAGGGGAATTGCCTTGAAGCTGTAGATTGCTTTGGGCAGTATTGTCATGTTCACAATATTGATTTTTACTGTCCATGAGCATGGGATGTGTTTCTGTTTGTTTGTGTAGTCTATGATTTTCTTCAGCGGGGTTGGCTGCAGGTTTTTCACAAATGCCCTTTATCCAGTTGCCCCAGGTGGCAGTGGCTTTATTTAACTTTCAAGGTTTTCAAAGACCACCCTTCAATTAGCCACTGCTCTCTCCTGAGACAGTTCTGAGTTAGGCAAAACGAGTTTTTTTTTTACCCAGACAGGTTAAAACAGACAAACAATTCCTTGGGGAAAAGGTCTGCTCCGCTCCCTCCAGAACTATCCACCCACCTGGGGAACGCCGGCCTTCACTGTCCCAGGCAGGTTTGTAGGCACCACCACATGAAAACACTACCAGGCTCTCCTAGCAAGTCAAGGTCATCATTTCCTCAAGTTGGCATTCAGTGGGTTGCGGTGACCCTTTGACTACTTTCCAGAGAGCTAACAATGTCGGTACTAACCGTTTGTGTCTAATTTTTTGGAGGGCCCTTGGAGCTTCCTTTTGGGTTCCAGGCTGCGTTCTGGGGTAGAGGACACAGATCCCACCACTCGATGGAGCATCAAGGTCACCTTGGGAGACCCACATGTAGGGCGGAATGTGCATAGTACCATCCACCCCAGGGTGGCTCAGCACAGTCCTGCCGGCAGAGGCGGGGCCCAGGGAACCACAGCTGTGCTGAGCATGTGGTCAGCAGGCCGAGGAGACTTTGGAGACCATGGTGCCGAAGGAAGGCTACTCAGACAAAGCGAGACAGGTCACGCTGGGAAAGTCCTCCCAGGGACCTTGCAGTCCTGGGGGTCCTGTTGGCAGAATGCCCAAGGCCAGAGTTCATCTCACTTCTCCACAAATCTGCTTCCCCGCTGTCTCCCTCATTTTATAACGGACAACCCCAGTTCTCTGTTGCTTAGGTCAAAAACCCTGGGCCCCTGGCTGCCACCTTACCCTCCTCCCTGTCCTCCCCGCAATAGTATGAATGCTTGTGCCCACCCCCCCCCCAATTCCTACATTGAAATCCTCACCCACAGGTGACGGTGTTAGAAGGTGGGGCCTTTGGGAGGTGGTCAGGTCATGAGGATAAAGCCTCATGAGTGGGATCAGTGCCACTGAGGCTGAGGTGGGAGGATTGCTTGAGGCCAGGAGTTCAAGACCAGCCTGGGAAACATAGCAAGACCCCATCTCTGCAAAAAATAAGTTAACATATATTAGCCAAGCACAGTGCCTTGTAGTCCTAGCTACTCAGGAAGTGTCACTTGAGTCCAGGTTGAGGCTACAATGAGCCATGATGGCACCACTGAGCTCCAGCTTGGGCAACAGAATGAGACCCTGTCTCTAAAAAAATATAAAAATAAAAATAAATAGGCCAGGCGTGGTGGCTCACGCCTGAAATCCCAGCACTTTGGGAGGCGGAGGCGGGCAGATCACTTGAGGTCAGGAGTTCGAGACCAGCCTGGCTAACATGGTGAAACCCTGCCTCTACTAAAATACAAAAAAATTAGCCAAGGGGGGTGGTGGGCATCTGTAATCCCAGCTAGTCGGGAGGCTGAGGCACGAGAATCACTTGAACCTGGGAGGCGGAGGTTTTAGTGAGCCGAGATCGCTTCACTGTACTCCAGCCTGGGCAACAGAGTGAGACTCCATCTCAAAAAAAAAAAAAGGAAAAATATAAATAAATAAACAAATAATAAATAAATAAAAAGGAACCTCTCAGTCCTTCCACCATGCATATGCTGACCCAGCGAGAAAAAGAGGTCTGACCCAGTGAGAAAGAGAGGTCTATGAACCAGGATGTGTCCTCGCCGGGCACTGAACCTGCCAGTGCCTTGCCCTTGGACTTGTGCTGTTTATGAGCTGCCTGGCTATGGTGTTTTTTTAGAGCAGCCCACACGGACTGAGACACTCTCTGTGTCTTCCAGCCCCACTGGCCTCTTGGCTGCTTCTCAAACACTGAGCATGATGCCCCCTCCCTCCCACCTTTGCACTTTGCAGTCCCTCTGCCAGGAACACCCTTTCTCCTGTAGTAATTCCCACAGGCCCTCTCAGGAGTGTCCCCCACGCTTGCTCCTATCCCCCAACCCTGCTTCACAGCCTCTGGTCAGCCCCATGAGCTGATGATTCTGTGGAAGGACAGCATGGCCTTGCTCAGCCCCTGCAGCCAAATGCGAAGGAAGACCACAAGTCCTTTGGAGGGGAGGTGCCTGGCCCTGGGGGGCCTGGCATGTGCACTGACCAGGAGAGCTCCTGAGTGTGCAGCTGACACTGCCTCCAGGGCTGGTGGGGCCTGGCTGAGGCCATCCATGGGCAGGAGCCCTCCAGCATCCAGTGGCCATGGCCACGCCCCAGCCCTCATCACGGGCCTGTGTTCTTCAGGCGTGGGGAAGGCACCGTGGGGCAGAGAGTGGGGACCCGAGGGTCAGGCTCAGAGTCCGGGCACTGGTCACTGTGGGTCTGGGATGAGGAGGACGTCCCTGAAGGACAAGTCAGGGTCCCTGTAGGAGAAGAAACTGGAGCTTGGGGAGCTTGGATGGTGGCCTTCCTGTGATCTTGAGTGAGAGGCAGCTCACTTCCTGGAGCATCAGCCTCCCATTTATAAAGTGGAAGAATACTTACAGCTTGTCAGACCTCACAGAGCTGCTGGCTGGGGTAATACACCACGCAGCTCCCCTGGAGATAGCTGCCAGGGTGCACAGGAGTCAGGTCCCAGGGCCGTGCAGCTCATCGAGCGTGTCCAAGGGTGTGTGTGGCGTGTGATGCATTGTGTGTATGTGAGTGTGCACGTGTGTGGGAATGTGGTGTGATGTGTCATGTGTGCACATGCATGTGGTGTGTGGGGTGTGTGCCTGTGCATGTGTGTGCATGTGTATGTGTCAGGTGTAGTGAATGTGTATGTGGTTTGGTGGATACATGTGCCTGTGCATGGGTGTATGTGGATGTGCCTGTGCCGTGTGCATGTGGCTGTGGCATGCATGTGCATGCCTATGTGTGCATGTGATGCAGTTGCTGCCCGCTAGGGTTCCTGGGCTGTGCTGTAGCCAGTGGTGGCATGGAGGGAGGCATGGGCAACATATACACTGCAAAAGGCCAAGAGCACCAGACTGGGCCCTGTGCCATGTGCTTGCTGGCTCCAGAGCCAGGATGGGGTGCTTAGGGCTGCCACTCCCCCTCTGAGAAGGAAGCAGCGATTTTAGGAAGAAAGCAGGAAGCCTGTCCTGCTTGGAGCCATACCAGGTGATGGAGGAAGGCTGTGCTGCATGGGGTCAGAGGGGAACATGCCATTCCCTAAAGCCCTGCTACCCTCGGGAATCTTTAGGATATTTCATTGCCCTCCAGAATGTCAGGGTGTCTCTCACTTGTGGAAGCAGGGAGGACATCTCACTTGCCAAAGCGGGGAGGGCTCCTGCCCATGGACGGCATCAGCTCACTGACTCCCAACCTGGGCATCTGAGCCCAGCTGGAGGCCAGGAGGAAGCTAGCCTCATGAGTCACACCATTCAGGAACCCTTGGGTCTGTCCTCCAAGCTGAGCCTTGGGGAGCCTGTGCATCACTGTCTGGATTGGACGATGCCCATGGAAAGGCACAGATCTGCACAGATGGGAATCCCAGCCAGCAGATTGGCTGGGGGCCCAGCCAGCTGAATGCAAAGCCCCAAAGTCGGTGAATAGCACTGGGTCCTAAACCTGATGGCAACTCCAGCTGCTTCAAGGAAAGGCCTATGAACGAGTCCTGCTCTGGAGTCCCCAAATCTATGGTCTAGGAGCCTGGTCATATACCAGAACTTCCTTCCCTTTTATGGCTGAGTAATATTCCATTGTATGGATAGACCATATTTTGTTTATCCATTCACTCACTGATAGGCATTTGGGTTTTTTCAATTTCTTGACTATTATAAATAATGCCTTTTGTGTGAATGTGTATTTTCAGTTCTCTCTGGCATATACCTAGGAGCAGAATTGGGTCACAGAGGAACTCCATGCTTAACTTTTTGAGGAACTGTCAAACTATTCCAGAGTGTCTGCACCATTTTACATTCCCATCAGCAGGATCTGAGGATTCTGATTTCTGCACATCTTCATGAGCACTTGTGATTTTCTGCTTGTTGTTTTTGTTCTAGCCATCCTAGTGGGTGTGAAGCAATGTCTCACTGAGGTTTTCATTTGCATTTCCCTGATATCTAAGGATGTTGAGCATCTTTTCATGTGCTCATTGGCCATTTGCCTCTCTTCCTTGGAGTAATGTTATTCCATTCTTCCACCCACATTTTAATTGGGTTATTTGTCTTTTTGTCGTTGAGTTGTAAGAGTGCTTTATATAGTCTGCTTACAAGTCCCTTATCCAATACATGACTTGCAAATATTTTCCCCCATTCTGTGGGTTGTCTTTTCACTTGCTTGATGGTGTCCTTTGATACATGCAAGATTTTAATTTTGACGAATTCCAAGTTATCAGTTTTTTATTTGGTTCCTTGGCTTTTGATGCCATATCTAAGAGACAATTGCCTAACCCAAGCTCACAAAGATCTACTCTTCATTAGGTTTTTTTTAAATAAGAGTTTTAGCGTTTTAGTGCTTACATCTCGGTCTTTAATTTTCATCGACGATGTGAGGCAGGGATCCAATCACATTCTTTTGCATGTGGAAATCCAGTTATTCCAGCACAATCTGTTGCAGACTGTTCTTTCCCCTTTGAATAGTCTTGGCAACTTTACTGCAAATCAGTTAGCCCTAGATGTATGAATTTATCTCTGTGCTCTTTATTCTATTCCATTGTTCCATATGTCTGTCTTTATGCCAGTGCCACACTGTTTTGATTATTGTAGTTTTGTAGTGTTTTGAAATTAGAACATGTGAGTCCTCCTGCTCGTCTTTCTTTTCAAGGTTATTTTGGCTATTTGGAGACAATTACAGTTCCATGTGAGTTTTAGGATTAGCTCATCAATTTCTGCAAAAAAAGCTTAGATTTTTAGAAATTGTGTTGAATGTGTAGATCGGTTTGGGAAATATTGTTCTACTAATATTATGTCTTCTGGTCCATGAACATAGGATATCTTCCTATTTAGGTCTTTAATTTCTTTCATGACATTTTGTAGTTTTCAGCATACAAATCTTGCACTTATTTTGTTAAATGTATTCCTTAAGTATTTTATTATTTTTGATGCTGTTGTGAATGAAATTGTTTTATTAATCTCATTTTTTAATTATTTGTCACTAGTGTATAGAAACACAAATGAGGCCAGGTGCAGTGGCTTATGCCTGTAATCCCAGCACTTTGGGAGGCCAAGACAGGGAGATCATTTGAGGTCAGGGGTTCAAGAACACCCTGGCCAACATGACAAAACCCTGTCTCTACTAAAAATACAAAAATTAGCCAGGCATGGTGGCACATGCCTGTAGTCCCAGCTACTCAGGAAGCTGAGGAACAAGAATCACTTAAGCCCAGGAGGCGGAGGTTGCAATGAGCTGAGATCACACCACTACACTCCAGCCTGGGCAACAGAGTGAGACTCTGTCTCAAAAAAACACACACACATACGCACACACACATACACACACAAATGATTTTTAATATAGATCTTGTACTCTGTAACCTTGCTGGAGTTGTTGATCAGTTCTAATGTATTTTTTAATTTGCAGATTCATTAGGGCTTTCTACGTATAAGATAGTTTTATTTCTTCCTTCCAATCTGGATGCAGTTTTTTCATTTTTCTTCCTTAATTGCCCTGGCCAGAGCCTCCAGTGCCATGATGAATAGCAGAGTTGAGAGTGGACAAACAGCTTTCAGTCTTTCACCACTGGATAGGATGTTAGCTGCAGGTAGGCCCCTCTTGCTTTTAAACTTAGTAGTTCTAGATGTGAGAAAAACTTTGTTCACATAAATAAATAGATAAAAATGGGAGCACTTAGTTACCATGCATCTCTCAATTCTTTGAATTTTTTTAGAGTTATATATGCCAAAAATCACATGGTGGCCTATCATCAAAATGTGAAAAAATCCTATCAGCCCATGACTCAGTTAGGTCCTCCTTAAAGTTTGTGGAAAACAGGGAATTAAAGGTGCCTGATTTTCACAAGTCCCAGTCATTATCAATGGCTCCCACTCTTGCTTTCTGGGAGAAACTCCCTAGGGTATGGCACACTCCAGGAAGATCCAGGAGTCTCCTGGAACAAGAGCTGGGACCCTTGGGGGTCTCCCATGGGTCTGGTGTGTGACAGCATCCCTATAGCATATGCCACACAGGTATACATGTGGCGCAAATGTACACAGTCGGTCCCCTGGGAAAGCACAGAGATGCACTCTGCCACACAGCATATGCTTAGAAATGATGTATTAAGCCAGTGACCTAAGGACAATGGTGCATGACTCGGGGAATCCCAGGAGGGCTTCCCAGGGGAGGTGGCCCCTGGGCTGAATCTTGAAGGATTTTCTTCCTTTAAAACACACACATATGCAGTATTTTCTAGGCACCATTTAAGTGTTCGACACACCATGGCCAGTTGAATCCTCATGCCCATCTGTTGAGGCCAGCAGTGCGGTGACCCTGTTTTACAAATGAGGAAGCAGAATCACTGTGACAAAGCAGAGACATGAACCTTGGCAGCCTGGCTCCAAAGTCCCCAGGCAGAGGGGACAGCCCATGCCAAGGTTGGGGCTGACGTGGGGGTGAGCAGAGCCCTCAGGCAGGCCCAGCAGTGACAGAGCCTAGCTGGAGCATACAGTTTAGGAATCACTGGAGGAACCCCAAGCCCACAGGGAGGGCAGGTGCAGCCCGGGAGGAAGCAGAGAAGGTAGGACTCCAGAGGATACCCGGTCCCCATGTGTGCATCCCTCCGGGCAGGGCGGGGATGGATCTGAGCGGTCACTGAGAATTTCTCAATGGGGCTCTTGGATTAATGCCGCAGGCTCTCCAGGGGCAAGTGGGCCTCACAGATGCCCAGGTCCTGCCCTAAGGTGCCAGCGTTGGGTTGGGGCGGGGAGCCCCCATTTCCGGTTGTTTTCCTGCTGCTATGCCGGCCTCTCTGCAAAGGGCTGAGCTCCTGCTGTGCTTCTAGCCTCCCCTCCCATCCCACTTACCTCCCCTGGACCCTCTCCTTCTCCGCTTCTCTGATCCTACTACCCCCTTCTCCTCCCCTTTCTGATAGAGGAACACAGTCTGGAACCCCTCCTACCTCCTCATGGCTTAAATAGGTTTAAGTAGGAAAGGGGAAGTCCCGGCTCCTCCCTCCTGCCTGCCATGGGGACTCAGAAATGCTTGGAGTCCTGGTGGCCTGGGAGGAAGGAGCCCGCCGGGTGCCTCAGAGAGAGGCCTGCTCAGGAGGCCATTGTGGAGGCCCTGGCTGCGCTCTCCATAATCATATGATTGGATTAGGGTCAGGGCAACCCTAATCATGTCAAAGGTCACCCCAGGCTTTGTGGCAGTGGCCACAGGGTGCCTGACCACCCCTGCCAAGATGGCCTTGTTGAACACAGTTAAAAACCCTCAGTCAGCTGTGAAGAGAGGGGCCCAGCCTCTTGTGTGTGTGTGCACATGTGAGTGTACACCCTAGCGTGTGCATTGTGAGGGGTGCATGTGTGTGCCTATATGTGCACATAAGCCATATATGTGCATGCCTGTGTGTATGCATGTGCATGTGTGTGTGTGTGTGTGCATGAGTGTGAACATATGAAGGAAGAAGCTTCATATCCTCACACCTCCTGCTTTCATCCCCATCTGCCGTCCACCTGGCCTGGGGCTGGGGACTGGGGCCACCAGACTGAGGCTGGGAGAAACCATCAGTCCTTGGAACATGGGGCTCTGTCACAGAAGCTGAGCCTGGTCCCTGAAGAGCCCTCTCTTCTGGGGTCCAAAAGGAGCAGGACATTCAACCTGCCTGGGGTAGAAAGCATTTGAGGAATTTTAAGTGCATGGAGACTGGGCACACCGTGCAGCTTCTCTGTCCCCTGCCGCAGGACCCAGGCACTGGGAGGGCTCACTTCCCTGCAGAGCTGGAGACACCTCACTCTTGACCCCTGGCAAGGTAAAGCTGGCAAGGACACAGGTACAGAGAAAGGGCAGGGACGGCTGCAGTGGATGCAGCAGCCCAGGGCCCAGCAGCTGGATCTCAGGCAGCACGTGGCTCTGCAGAGAGCCTGGCCTGCTCTAGGCCAGGTGGGGCATGTGCTCCTTAGAGAAGGGGACAGAGGCCAGGAGCGGGCGAGGCCTGGAGCCTAGGGATGCCACCTGTGCCCACATGCTCGGTGCCCTCTAACATGGGCTGGGCCCAGGAGTCCCCCCGGGCCCTGGCACCTGCCAGATAGGTCGGGGGGAGTGGAGTGGCATGGGGAGGTATGCAATCTCTTGTGCTTCCCAAGTAAGTGTGCTTCCCACAACTCCCAGTGGACACTTCCCAGAGCCCTGGGGTTTGCTTCTTCGTACCCAGTGTGGGTGGGGCCTGCAGCAGTGGCCCTCCCACTCAGCCTTCACACACCACCCCCTCTTCAAGCATTTCCAGTCCCCACCCCCTGCCCTATTCTGTGAACCCCAGGGTATCCCCACTCAAAGCACACGGCCAGATTCCTGGTTGGTGCCCCAGGACCCCTCCAGCCCCAAAGGGTGGGGAGAGTAATGAAAGGGTCCTGCGCACCACATGTCAGTAAGCCTTGTTGGGTGCCCCACAAGTCCCCCTTCATCTCTCCAACGTCTTCCCCAGGCAGGAGACAGCCCAGCCTCCTCTCCTCCCCGCTGAGCCCCCAGGAGCCCCTCGGGGGTGGTCCGCCACCTCCCTGTGTGTCCCCTGCCTATGAGGGCCGGCACAGGGGTGGGGCCTGCCTGCTAGGACATGGGGACACACAGGGCAGCTCTTTAGGGAACCAGCGTCCCCAAAGCCAGGTTGCGACCCCTGACCCCCCCCATCGGAAAGTGTTGCCGTTTAAGATGCGTTGGGGTGGGGGGCTCCCCTGGCTCCAGCGGCCTCTCTGGTATATCATTAACTCTCCCCAGTGGGAGGGGAACCCCGGCCGACTCCCCGCCGCGTCCGGCTGGGAGCACAATATCCCAGCGACGGCGACAAGATTAAGCACAAGGGGAGAGTGCAAATGCGCGGGCGGTTCACACGCCCTTCGCGGTGCTGAATTAAAGCGTCTGAATGGGGATTTCCCCTCGCGCCGGACGGCCTGGCGCGCGGCGCATACTTCCAGGTTGCTATGACTGGCCTGCGCTCGCCTAATCACCGACTAGGGGGAAATTCATATAAAATATCGCCGGCCATTGTGGGCCTAACTCGGCGTGACAGTGGCGCACAAAGCCGGATTCAAGCGCCCCAGCGGGTCAGCACGGCGCCCGGCCGCGCGGGCCGCCCGGCGGTGTCAGGGGCCGTGGCCGCGGTGGGGCGCGGGCCGCATTCCGCTCTCAGGTGGCTCCGGGGCCTTTTGTGCAGGCCATGATTACCAAATGCCACCGCGACACCCCCTCCCGGCCGCCTGGCTCCTCCTGGGGCCGCAGGAATGAGGGAAGGTGGGCAGCCCCCGAGGGGAGGCGCCCGGGCGTCGGCTCCGGCGGGCTCCGGCGGGGACCGGGGCGCGGGCTGAGTCCCCCTGTGTGCCCCACAGCAAAGGGTCTTCTCCTTCCCCTGTGTTCAGGCCTCAGTGGGGGAAAAGGGCCCACGCGTTGGCTGCTCTGGAAGCCTGTTGTGGCCTCCCGATGGGCACGAGAAGGACTTTGCTTGTCCTTTTTCAGGGGCGATGGTCCCCAGATGACATGACATTTGGGGCCACAGTGACCTGCAGGCCCCTGGCCAGTCTGGTCAGGTGGTCCTAGCTGGGATCCAAGGCACCCCCCTCACTCAGCCAGCCCCTTCCAGCAGCTGTGGCGTGAGCAGGCAGGAGATGGGGGCAGCACCAGGAGGGAGGGACCCAATGCATTCGGGGTGGCCACTGTCCCCACAACTCTATGGGTCCCAGGTATGTGGTGGGGGTGTGGTAATCATACAGGGTGCAGCGTGCACGGGGGGCTGTGTTCGCTGTGACCCTCCATCCCCCAGGATGCCTGAAGGCCAGTCCCTGGAGTACAGGGAGACTGCTCCTCACTGGTGCATGGAAAGGGCTGGCAGATCAGGCAGGGGGAAGGCCTGTGGGGTGGGGCATTTGCCCTGCAGACCTGGGGAGAGAAGCTGGCTGCAGTAGGGTGCACTTGGGGGACAGAGGGCATTTTTTTGTCACAGTGGAGGTGAGAACTTCCCGGTGGAGATTCAGCAGAGTTTTTCTCCTGGGCAGTGGGCAATGTTGGGAGTCTGGGCCCCCAGCACCCGGCTGGACTGGCCACCATGGAGTCCTGCCCTCGGCCAGTGCATCCCTGCCAGAGCTGGGGGTGTCCAGCCAGACAGTCAGCATTGCCAGGGGAAAGAGACGAAGCCACAGGTTTCCAGGGGCTGGGGACAGCATTGGAGGGCCCCAGGAGGCATGGCCAGGTGAGCATGGGTCAACATCAAGAAGCAGACTGGGCAAAGGCGGCATCCCAAGCTCCTAGGAAAGGAGGTGTCAGCTGCCCCAGGATGGGGCCACAGAGGCAGAACCATAGCCCCCTTCCCAGACTAAGCAGCCCAGCCACCAGCTGCCAGCAGCCAGGGCCCTGAATCCCAGAGCCTGTGACCAAGGTACCCACCTCCAGGAAGAGGCCAGGCCAGAGACCCAATGACCACTGTCTACTCATGGGGGGATGGCCATCAGCATATCAGAGACACCCTCCCAACCCCCTTCTCCTGGCAGGCTCCTGTTCAGGGTCTTGTCCAGGGTCCCATAGAGCCCTTACAAAGTCATGGCCAAGCTGTCCATAGCCTTCTTTCTGGTCACAGCCCAGAGGAGGGGTCAGCACGGAATGGAATCTGAGCTTGGGAGATCTCATCTCAGTTGATGCATCAGAATCACTGGAGACCCTTTAAGATATAGGTGCCCCCCACCCCAGTTGAACTTGGGTCCCCAGGGCGGCCCTGCAGTGATTCATTGGCCCCCCAGCCATGACCATTGTTGGAAGCCTCCAGTCCTAATTCCCTGATGGGCTTCCCAGAGGGGCCAGCCTGGGTGAAGCCCTTCAGACTGAGCACTCTGCCTCCCCGAGGAGCTGGATTTCATTGTCCTATGGTCGCATTTAACAACAATCCCCACCCCCTGACCCAGAACTTTCCCTCCTTCAAGTTGTTTGTCCCTCAGAAAAGCCACTCAGGAGTCCCCTCTGGACCAACAGGCATGTCCCAGGAGCCCAGGAGTCCCAGGCTGTCCCTCTCCTCTCGCCCTGTATCAGCCCCCACAGCCTTTCCACAGATAGGCATGTCCCCCTCAGCCATGCAGTGGGGGCCCAGCCAGGCAGGTGGGCTCCCTGCTCCCTTGAGGCTATGGCCATGGAAACGCCAGCCATGGGAACACCCATTGGAGCTGCAGGAGCCCATAATGATGAGTTCAGGGACCTCTCTTGGGACCCCTCTGTCTGGGCTCTGCACTCACTGCTGTGCAGCCTGGGGCCCATGGCTGACCCTCTCTGAGCCATCTTCCTGTTGGGGCCACTTCTCTCATTAGTTAATACAAGGATCGGCTTGGACCTGCTTTTCCCACTGTCACCCCCTAACAGGGCAGCCTCCATGCTATGCTGCCTCAGCAGCTACCTTCTGAGCAAACACCTGTCCCTGCCGAAATGCTTCTTGGGTCACCTCCCCATGGTAAGGTCAGCTCTGAGAGGACAGAGGCTGCAGCCTTCTTTGCCACTTAAAAGACAGTCACTGCGTAATAAATAGTGGCAACTGAGCAACTTTAGTGAAATGTGAAAGACAAGGATTTTGGAATGATTTGGGCAAATGTTGTTCAACGTTTAAGAATTTGGAAACATGGCCGGGCGCAGTGGCTCATGCCTGTAATCTCAGCAGTTTGGGAGGCCGAGATGGGCGGATCACGAGGTCAGGAGATCGAGACCATCCTGGCTAACACGGTGAAACCCTTTCTCTACTAAAAATACAAAAAAAAATTACCTGGGCATGGTGGTGGGCACCTGTAGTCCCAGCTACTCGGGAGGCTGAGGCAGGAGAATGGCGTGAACCTGGGACGTGGAGCTTGCAGTGAGCCGAGATCGCGCCACTGCACTCCAGCCTGGGCGACAGAACGAGACTCTATCTCAAAAAAAAAAAAAAAAGAATTTGGAAACATATCCTTCCTGTTTGATGTTCAAAGGTCCTTTTCTGAAGTTATGATGGTAGATATTTTATATATATATATATATATATATAATATCTACTACATATCTATATCTATCTATCTATCTATCTATCTATCTATCTATCATCTATCTATCATCTATCTATATCTTTTCCTGTCTCAACAAAATAAAAGCACTTGGCAGTCCTCTGTTAGTCCCCAGATGCTCTCTGATACTTGAAAAGCCCATTAAATCCAAACCTAGAAACGAAGGATTTGTTAAGATCCCTCTAGTCCAAAAGTTCTGAGATGCAAGAGACAAAGGAACCATCAAAGCTCATCTCATGATTCCCTGCATCTGACAACTGCACTGCCCTCAGCTGTGATGGAGCCTTGCCTGGCAGCTCTTCTGCCTTTCCCTAAATGCCCACCTCTTACCACCTAGAACTCCCTCACCTTCTCCGACTTTATCCATCCATCCATCATCCATTCATCCATCATGCACGATCCACCATCCATCAATTCATCCATCCATCCATCCACCATCCAACATCCATCAATCTATCCATCTGTCAATCTGCCATCCATCAATCCATCATCCATCTATCCATCAATTCATCCATCCATCCATCCATCCATCCATCCATCCACCATCCATCAATTCATCATCATCCATCTATCCACCATCCCTCAATCCATCATCTATCCACCCACCCATCCATCTACCCATTATTCATCACCCTCCCATCCCAGGCCTGCCTCAGAGCTCATGTTGTCAAGCCTTGCTATGTGTCCTTGTCCTCTCTACTGCCTCCCTTGTGAACTGTAAGCTCCCAAAAGCACATGGTTTAGCACAGTCCCAGGCAAAAAACCTAACACACACACCAACAAAGCCTCCCACCAGAGATAGGGAAGGCTTCCCCTGGTTCATTCTCCTTACCAAGGCAAGGACTCTCTTCTCCTGAAAGTGGGTCATCCAACCTCTGTTTTATTATCACCAGGACAGGAACTCCTTCAACTTTCAGAAAGCCTAGGTTGTTAGAAATTGTATCATATTGAGCAGCAGTCCACTTTCTGGAGGATTTTTTTTTCTTTTGATGGAGTCTCCCTCTGTTGCCAGGCTGGAGTGCAGTGGTGTGACCTCGGCTCACTGCAACCTCCGCCTCCCGGGTTCAAGCGATTCTCCCACCTCAGCCTCTTGAGTAGCTGGCACTACAGGTGCACGCCACCATGCCCCGCTGATTTTTGTATTTTTAGTAGAGACGGGGTTTCACCATGTTGGCCAGGATGGTCTCAATCTCTTGACCTCGTCATCTGCCCACCTCAGCCTCCCAAAGTGCTGGGATTACAGCTGTGAGCCACCGCGCCCAGCCTCTGGAGGATTTTTTTTACTGTGGTTATTGAGAGTGGGCACCTTGCTTCTTATTCATCTCATATTCCTCATTCAGCCCAGTGCCTGGCTCATTAGGGACTCTCAGATCCTGGATGGATGGATGGATGATGGATGGATGGTGGGTGGTGGATAGATGGATGAATGGATGATGGGTGGATGATGGATGAATGGTGATGGATGAATGGTGATGGATGGATTAGAGATGGACAGATGATGGGCAACAGATAGGTGATGAATGTACAGATGATGAAGGGGATGATGGATGGATGATGGTTGAATGGTGGATGGGTGATGAATTGATGATGGATGCATGATGAATGGATAATGGGTGAATGGATGGATGAGTGGTGGTAGATGGTGGATGATGGGTAATGGATGGACAATGGATGGATTGTGGATGGATGGTGGATGATGGATGATAGATGTATGGATAATGTATGGATATGGATGATGAATGGATGAATGGTGGATGATGGATGATAGATGGATGATGGATAGATGTGGATGATGGATGGATGGATAATGGATGATGGATGGATGTGGATGACAGATGATGGGTGATGGGTGGATGGATAGATGGGTGGTGGATGGTGGATGATTGTACATGATGGATAGTAGATATATGGATGATGGATGGATGGATGGTGAATGGATAGATGAATTTATAAGTGGATACATGGTAGGTGGTGGTAGAGGATGTATGATAGGTAATGGATAGATGGATGGATGGATGGATGGATGGATGATGCACGATAGATGAATGGATAGATGGATAGATGTGGATGACGGATGGATGAATGAACGAAAGGAAGGAAAGATAGATAATTGATACTTTGGATGAATTCAGTAAATAACTGCTAAATGAGACCACAACAAGTTTCTGGGAAAGATGGTTTTCCCAGGTGGAAGATACTTCCCTTACAGAACAATTTTGTTATGCAGTTTCCTTTCTTCTTCCTTTCTCCAACAACTGATTGCTGTGTTAGAATAAAAGTCTTGGGCCTGAATGGGGCAGGCCTTAGGTGGCTCAAAAAGTTCAGCCAGGCTCCTTCCCAGGTGACTTGGCCAAATTGGCAGCATTTGTGTCTAAGCACCCTGCCTCCCAGTAGCCTGTGTCCCATTCCAGTGGGAACTCCGACAGTCCACTCTAATGAAGGCATTTTCCTGCTGACTGGGATGATTTCCTGGCCTTCTGGGATGGCTGGCACTTCCCACGGGCAAGATGCCTCCGTTTCACCCCCATAGCTGACTCTGTTGTGTCAACAAAAGCAGAAACCCCTGACAAAGGTGTTTGTGGTAGAGAACTTGGTTTCCGTGGAGGCTGGCTGCCAGAACTCCAGAGCCTGGACGTAAGTCCTGGCCTCAGGGGAGCCCTGAGTCAGCTCCTCTGTAAACAGAGGTGACTCTGGGCAGTGGTTCATAGCCTGCATGCTTCAAACACCTGTGGAAATCTGATCAAAGCAATGGATTCTCTCTCCAGAAAGATGCCCGTGCTCCCAGACATACCCCATCGTTTGTGCTATTTTGGGAGGGTAGTGAACCTGCTGCAGATTCCCTCTAGAACCTTGGGTGGAATCCAACCCATAGGCTCAAATCTCCTGCCGCTGTGCCTGCCACTTGGACATTCTGGGGGGTCTTCCTTCTGCATGGTTTCAGGACATTTTTTAACTTTTTATTTATTTTATTTTATTATTTTTAGATTAGAGATGAGGTCTCATTCTGCCTCCCAGGCTGGAGTACAATGGTGTGAACACGGCTCACTGCAGCCTTGAAGTCCTGGGCTCAAGCAATCCTCCTGCCTCAGCGTCCCAAGTAGCTAGGACTACAGATGCACACCACCATGCCCAGCTCATTTATGTTTGTTTGTTTTTTAAGAAAGGGGGTCTTGCTATGTTGCCCAGGTTTAACTTTTTATTTTGAAATAATTTCAGACTTTCATAAACATCGCAGGAGTGGCACTGAGAGTCCTGGGTCCCCTCGTCCAACCCAGTGGTGCATAACTATGCCAATTGTTCAAAACTAAATGTGTTCTATTCACCACACTCTGGACGTCACTCAGCTTTCCTTCGTTTTTCTATCAAGATCCCTTTTCTGTCCCAGAACCCCCTCCTGGGTCCCTTGTTACTTTTGGTGATGCCATGCCTCTGGCTTCTCCACTCTTCCCTGTCCCTCATGCCCCTGAGACCTCTGAGGAGCACAATTAGGCATTTTGCAGAACAGCCATCAATTTGGGTTGGTCTGATGTCTCCCGACAATTAGATGCAGGCTGTGCATTTTGGGTGAGAATACCTCAAAGGCTATATTTGGCCTTCATGCATCATCCCTGGAGCCACAAGGTATTGTGTGTCCCATTTCAGGCAAGGTTAACTCAGTCCCCAGAATAAGGTGGTGTCTGCCAGGCTTCTCCTGTGCACAGTTAAGGTTTTTCCCATTGTGCTTGATAAACACTGTGAGCAGTTGCGGAACCGCTTAGAGACCTTGTGGCTTCAACTTTAATGCAGGCTCTCTTTGCCAGAACATAGGGTCTCACGCTTTTCTGGCCTGTGGTCTTGCAGCCTGCAGCTTCTACTTCAGCCTCGGATGGGGGTGTCTGTCCTGGGATCTGAGCCTCTCTGCAGAGACTTCTTGTCTTCAGTCTTCACGAGTGAATTGAAGGCCTGCTCCAGGGTTTTCTCAGCCTGGCAGGGAGCTCCACCTCCACATGTGATGGAAGAGAAAATCAAGGTTCAGCCAGCTGGTGACCAAACTGAGCAAGAATGAGCTCTTTTCTGTCCAAGTGGAAGCCCTCAGCACCACCCGCCCTTGCCCTTGAGTGTGTCTGGCTATTGGGGCTGTTTGCCTGAGTTTTGATAAGCAGGGATCTCGAGGCCCTTGTTATGGGCAGGGCATGAGTGAGGCACAGAGAGCCCTAGCCTCAGGCTCTGGTTCTCCTCTTACCAGAAGCTCAGGAGCAAGAGGGAGGGGCTGGCCTTGGAGACAGACTCTTGTAGTAGCCAGGCCGTGAGGTGGGAAGGCAGACTCAGCTGGGGTGGGGTATTCAGGGTGTGGGATGCCCAGGCCATTTGGGAGTGAGAAGGTCCGGCCAGGAGGGCAGGTGGAGCTGTGTGCCATGCGTGAGCTCCAGGAGCACCCAGGACACTCCTCAACTCTACCTCTCAAGCTGCCCTAGAAGGGAAGCAGGGCAGATGGCAGGGGAAGGGGCGCTGACTAGGGAGGGGACGACCTGAGTCCTTTAAAGACAAGAACAGGCGCTCAGGCCTGGAGGCTTAGAGAGGAAGTGCTCTGCATCCAGCCACACGTGTATTCACTCAGAGGCAGTGGGTTCAGCAAAGGCCCCTCCAGGCCTGTCTGTGAACTGATCAGTTGTGTTAGGGAAGTAACATGGGGTCAGGGGTGGGGGCTTTAAGTTTCTTGGAGAGGTGCGGAGGAGGTGGCTGCCTAGCTGCTCCCTGGGAAAGGAAACAGCGGAGGTTGCATGATGGGCCTGGGTGCCTTAGAGGGGCAAGGGTGGGTCTGCTCTGGGTAGGCTCAGACCCTGCTCATTCCTTGACTCAGCCCACGGCTCCTGCCTTTCATTCTGGCCCCAGGAAATATCTATGGGCTGGGCCTTGTGCTCCAGATTGCAAATAAAAGGTGAGCCAAACAGTCCCTGCCCCTAGGCAGCCGCGGCTAGGGAGGGAGTCAGTGGGCAAATCTTCCTGGTTGGGGAGGGGCAGCCAGGTGTAGAGGACACCCGATCCCTGGCCGCTCCCCTCAGAGCAGGCAGGGGCACAGCAGGTCCAGCCTGAGCCAAGGAAGGAACCGGAAAGAGCCCGAGGGGAGGACAAAGGGCTGAGTGCGGCCTGAGGCCAGGGAGTGGCATTGAGGTCAGGAGAGGAGATAGATCCAGAGGGGGCCTGGCATGGCCAAACTGGCATTGGGCGAAGACCTCAGCCTGCAGATAGTGTGTTGCGAGGGAGAGGTGTGCATGTGTGTGCATGCATGTGTTTGCATGTGTGTGGTGCACATGTGGAGGGGTGTGTGTGTGTGTGCATCTGTGTGCATGCATGTGTTTGTGTGTGGTGGGTTGTGAATGTATATGTGCATCCGTGGGAGGTGTGCATGTGTGTGGTGTGTATGGTGTGCATGCATGCATATGTATGTGTGTGCATGTGTCTGTGTGTGCATTGCACGAGGCGTGCATGTGGGGGTTGTGTGTGCATGTATGTGTATGGTATTCATGTATGTGTATGTGTTGTGTGGTGTGTGTGTGTATTTGTGTGTGTGCATGTGCATGGGGTGGGGTGTGTATATGTGGGGTATGTGCATGCATGTGTGTGCATGTGTATGGTATGTGTGGTATGCCTGCATGGTGTGCATGTGTGGGGGGGATGTGCATGTATGTGAGTGCATGTGTATGCTGTGCTTGCATGCATGTGTATATGTGTTCATGTATGTAGTGGGGTGTGCATGTGTGCTTGTGTGTGGTGGGGTGTGCATGTGTGTGCATGCGTGTGATGTGTGCATGTGTGTGGTGTGCATGCCTATATGTGTGTGTTTGCATGTGTGTGTGCATGTGCATCAGGTGGGGTGTGCATGTGTGTGTGGTATGCATGTGTCTGTGTGCGCACGCATGTGCGCATGTGGCTGTGCATGCATGTGGTGGAAGGAGGAAGCTGGAGGCTGGGGCCTCCTAGGGGCCTCTTCATGGCGAGGTGGGAGATGGACCCACAGATAAGAACCAGGAGGGGCAAATTGGCTGAGAGGCCCCAGGGCCACCTGGGAAGGCCACAGCAGCCTGGGCGGCTGGGGCTGTTTCAGGACTGGACAGTCTCCAGCCAGCAAGCAGAGCCCTTCCTGAGCTGGTGGTGGGAAGTGGATACAGAAGAAATGGACAGTTTTCTTCTGGGCTTGTGGCTGGATGCAGTGGGTGTCCAGGCCTGACTTGGACAGGGCCCTAGGGAGGGACGGGGCTGCTGGGACCCGCCATCAGGGGGCTGTTGGCCAATCCACAGAAAAGTCAACCAAAGCAGGCCCGAGGGGCTCAGGGGGCTTTGTCAACAGCCAGGGGGATGCCAGTGCAAAGCCATAGCCTCAAATACCTTCCACTTTGTATGTTCTTGTTATGGGAGCAACGTGCGTTCTTCTGTGCTGGCTGTGTGTGGATGTGTGTTGGGCCGTGTGGGAGCGTCTGAGTGTGTGCACACTCACTCGTGCCTTTCTGTCCCAGCTGGCCTGGGCTCAAGGGCATCACGAGCCCCAGGGGCTGCTGTCTCGGTCCTCTCCTAGGCAGCCTGCAACCACATGCCTGTGTCCCTGAGTTAGGCCATTCTTGCATTGCTATAAAGAAACACTTGAGGCTGGTAATTTATAAGAAAAGATGTTTAATTGGCTCAGGGTTCTGCAGGCTGCACAGGAAGTGTGGCTCTTGCTTCTGCTTCTAGGGAGGCTAGGAAGCTTCCAATCATGGCGGAAGGCAAAGGGGGAGCAGGCATGTCATGTGGCGAGAGCAGGAGCGGGATAAAGAGTGGGGGAAGAGGTGCCACACACTTTTAAACAACCAGATCTTGCAAGAACTCACTCATAATCTCGAGGACAGCACCAAGCCATGGGACCCACCCCCCATGACCCAGTCACCTCTACCAGGCCCCACCCCAGCCCTGGAGATCACAGTTCAACATGAGATCTAGGCAGGGTTAAATATCCAGACTACATCAGCCCCATCCACCCGAGGATGAAAGCTCCCTGGATGTCCAGGTGGCAGAGGAGGTCACAGCCCCCTATGATGACTCTGTTGTGACCCTAAGGGGTCCATTGCAGGCCTCTGCCAAGGAGGAGCAGGGGACACTGTGGGACGTAGCCCTGTATCCCCGCCTTGTCCCATGGGAGGACCCTGGCTCCAGGAGAACCTCAGGCCTCCTTCTATCCCCATAGAGAGGGCCCATCGGAGCTCCCTTCTCCCTCCTGCTCTCCCAGGGCCTCGAGGGGAGAGAGAAGGTCAGAGCCAAGGAAAGGTGGAGGCTCAGGACTCTCCCACAACAGAAGCAGAGACATGGAGGAACCTGCCCCAGGGCACACCTAGCCCCCAGAGGCCAAGCCGAGGCTCAGGGGCTCCAAAGCCCAGGTGTCTTCTTGCTAGGTCTGTAAGATCCCTGCCCAGCAGCAGGTCAGGCTCTTTCCTGGTTGGCTCCCTGCTAGTTCCCCAGCTCAGACTGCAATGCTTGGCAAACAGCAGGCACTCTGTTCCTCACCTGTGTCAGAGTGTGGGTCCAAAGTGAGTGCCTGTCTCTTTTTATTTTGTTTTTTTGAGACAGGTTCTCACTCTGTTGCCCAGGCTGGAGTGCAGTGGTGTAATCATACCTCACTGCAGCCTTGAACTCCTGAACTCAAGTGATCTTCCTGCCTCAGCCTCCTGAGTAGCTGGGATTATAGGCCCCCAGCCCTGAGTGTCTTTTATCAATGGAAGCAGGGCCTGGCCAGGCCCACCCCCTCTCCTCATGCCCTTGCAGAAGTGTCTGCATACACCCACCCCCAAGACACAGCTCATTCTTTCAACCTGTCTGGGGAAGCCTGGCTGGGGTCCTGGCCTCTGCAAAGCCCACACCACCGCTCATTCCCATCCCTCTGATCCTAGCCTCCAGAGCTTTCTCCTAAATTCCAGCCCTCCCCTACCACCCTTCTGCACAAGCAATGCCACTTCCCCAACTTGGCCTCTATTTCCCCATTTGGGGAAGAAGGAAGCTGTGTACAAGGACCCAGGCAGCTCCAATGTCAGCAGCGGCAGACACCCTGCAGCCTTCCAAGCTGGAGGCAGGGGCATTTGGGGCACTGGGGCTGGCCCTGGGGAGGCGGGCACTGGAAGTCACTGGTGTTGAGAAGATTCCAGAAGAGGCAGCTGTACCGCTGAGCCATGCAAGTGTCGGTGCTTGGGGTGGAGGAAGGCAATGGCAAGTGGCACAGCAGAGGTGGGCGGTGTGTGGGGTGGAGCCACACTCTGGGGTCTGCACCCCAGGCTATCTGGGCAGCAGAAGGAATTAGCTCTTGTCTGGTTTTACCTGCCTTCGTTCAGTTGTATGATTATTTTGAGATCCTTTGTGCTATTTTTCTTGTTATTCCTAAATTAAATGCTGTTACAGACTTGCCACTGCTTTTTAACCATCCCTGTTAATGGACATTGGGGTACTTCCAGTTTGTGGCTTGTGTGAACATTTGCTTACAAGTCTTTGCACAGACACGGGTTTCCTCTGGGGCAAACCTAACGGCTGGTGGACGTTTACCCTTGAAGACACTGCCAAAGTGCCTCCCAAGGGGACTGCACCTTTCCCCTCCATCCAGCTGTGAACAAGGGTCAGGGTCTGATTTCTCCACATCCTTGCCAACACTTGCTACTCTTTGACTCTTTGATTGCAGCCATCCCCGTAGGTGTGAGGCGGCCCCTTATTGGGTTTTTTGATTTGCACATCCCCAGGATGGGTGATGTCGACCATCTTTCCAGGTGCATGCTGGCCTTCCTTGTGCCTTTTTTTTAAAGACAGGGTCTTGCTCTATCACCCATGCTGGAGTGTGACTATAGCTCACTGCAGCCTCAAACTCCTGGGCTCTAGCAATCCTCCCACCTCCGCTTCCTGAATAGCTGGGACTACATGCACACACCACTGCACCTTGCTAATTTTAACATTTTTTTGTAGAGATGGGGTCTTGCTACATTGCCAAGGCTGGTCTCAAACTCCTGGGCTCAAGCAATCCTCCCACCTCTGCCTCCCAAAGGGCTGGGATTACAGATGTAAGCCACCTTGCCAGCTGTATGTTTTTTAAGACAGGGCTGGAGTGCAGTGGTGCTATCCTGGCTCACTGCAGCCTCCACTTCCTGGGCTCAAGTGATCCTCCCGCCTCAGCCTCCCAAGTAGTTGGGGCCACATCCAGTTAATATTTTTAGTTTTTGTAGAGATGGGGTCTTGCTATGTTGAAAAGGCTGTCCTGGTCTCAAGCAGTCCTCCTACTGTGCCTCTCAAAGTGCTGGGATTACAGGCATGAGCCACTGTACTTAGCCAAAGTTGCTTGTTAAAAAGAGCCTGGTACCAACCTCCCCTCTCTCACTTCTGTCACCATGTAATTTCTTGCACACACTGGTTCCCCTTTACGCCCCCTTTCCCTTCTGCCACAAGTGGAAACAGCCTGAGGCCCTTGCCAGAGGCAGTTGCTGGAGCCATGCTTCTGTGTAGCCTGTAGATCCGTGAACCAAGTAAGCCTCTTTGCCTTATACACCACCCAACCTCACGAGTTCCTTTATAACAATGCAAATGGGCTAAGACCCCTGACCTGCCCAAGGCGGTCCTTTGAGCTGAGCCCTGTTAACCCTGCATCTCTCCTCTCTCTACAGCTACCAGGGAGTCGGCCTTTGTCCACGCCATTGCCTCAGCCGGTGTGGCCTTTGCAGTGACACGCTCATGTGCAGAAGGCACGGCCGCCATCTGTGGCTGCAGCAGCCGCCACCAGGGCTCACCAGGCAAGGGCTGGAAGTGGGGTGGCTGTAGCGAGGACATCGAGTTTGGTGGGATGGTGTCTCGGGAGTTCGCCGACGCCCGGGAGAACCGGCCAGATGCCCGCTCAGCCATGAACCGCCACAACAACGAGGCTGGGCGCCAGGTAGGTTCGCCGCCCGCAAGGGTGCTTGGGAAAAAGGAGCCTCCTCAGCAGGGTGTGTGCCCTGGTTCCTTGGGGCATATGGCCCGGTGAGGCAGGATGGTGGCCAGGCTGAGGGTCTTCTCGACCCCTGCCTGGGGTGTGCGAAGCTTAGCACCATCCAGCTACACCACAGCATCCAGTGCGCTCCTGGGGATGGCGAGCCCACCTGTGGACTGGGGTAGCCAAGAAGGAGTGATGAGGCAAAGGCCTGGTCAACAGGAGCCCCGGCAGAGCCCAGGGAGGGAGACAGCCAGGCAGCCACAGAGACGGGGAGGAATTCTGCAATGAGGAAATGCAGGCACACAAGGTGACCCGATGTCAAGGACAGCTGGCAGTAATTTAGGGGGAGGGAGGCTGGGAGAGCCTCCCAGGCAGCCTGGAGGTGAAAGACAACAAGCGACTTGGTGGGCAGAGCACAGAGTGTAATGGAACAAAGAGCATCTTGATCTGCAGAGGCCAACCCAAACCAAGCCGTGTAAAGCTTCGTGAGCCTGTGTCTTATTCTGTCTGTGCTGCTACAACAAAATACCTTAGACTGGATAATTTATAAACAATGGGAGTTTAGTACTCACAGTTCTGGAGACTGGGAAGTCCAAGGTCATGGTACTAGCAGATACCTTGTCCGGTGAGGGCCTGCTCCTCATGGATGATGCCTTCTGTGTCCTCACCCAGGGTGTGGATCGCTCTGGGGTTACTTTTATAAGGGCATTGTTTTAGGCCATTCTTGCATTGCTACCCGAGACTGGGTAATTTATGAAGAAAAGAGGTTTAATTGGCTCATGGATCTGCAGGCTGCACAAGCTTGGTAACAGCATCTGCTCAGCTTCTTGGGAGGCCTCAGGGAGATTTTACACATGGCAGAAGTGGAGTGGTAGCAGGCACGTCACATGGGCCAGAGCAGGAGCAAGGAAGACAGAGTGGGGGAGAGGTCGCCACGCACAGATCTTGTGTGAACTCACTCATTATCATGAGGACAGCACAAGCCATTCATGAGGGATCTGCCCCCATAACCCAAACACCTCCTACCAGGTCCCACGCCCAACACTGGGGATTACACTTCAACATGAAATTTGGAGGGAACACAGATCCAAACCGTATCAGGCACGAATCCCATTCACGATGCTCCACCCTCATGACTTGACTTGATCACCTTCTAAAGGCCCTACCTCTTAATGCTGTCACCTTGAGGGTAAAGATTTCTTTCTGGGGGGGTGGGGACACAGGGTCTTGCTGGATACAGTGGCACCATCTCAGCTCACTGCAGCCTCCACGTCCCGGGTTCAAGCGATTCTCCTGCCTCAGCCTTCTGAGTAGCTGGGACTATAGGCGCATGCCACCACACCTGGCTAATTTTTGTATTTTTAGTGGAGATAGGGTTTCACCATGTTGGCCAGGCTGGTCTTGAGCTTTTGGCCTCAAGTGATCCACCCACCTCGGCCTCCCAAAGTGCTGTGATTACAGGTGTGAGCCACCATGCCCAGCCGAGGGTAAAGATTTTAACCCATGAATTTTTGAGGAACACAAACATTCAGACCACAGCAGCTTGCTAGAAAGGATGTGGTCAGAAGATCAGTGGATGGCCAAGGGAGGAAAGATGGCTGATGGGCAGTGACGGGCGTAAGGACCAAGTGGCGTCCACGGGATTTAACAACATGAAGATGGCAGCTGACCTTGGCTGTAGAATCAGGGGACCACAGAGGGGTGACGAGTGAACAGGGGATATTCACCTTTTAACAGTGAGGAACTAGATAACTCAGACTAATCTTCCTGCAGAAGACAACTTCAGATGCAGGATGAACTATAAAAAGCACCCTGTTAAAAGTGTGGAGTCCCCATAATTACCCAATTCATGATAGATGAGGCAGTGCAGTGCCATGGGAGAAATGGGCTTTTCAATAAATGGTGCTCAGTCAACCGGGTGGTGCTATGGTCTGAATGTGTCTCCCAAAATTCGTATGTTGTAAGCTTGATCTCCAGTGCAACAGTCTGGAGAGGTGGGACCTAATAAGAGGTGTTTAGGTGATGAGGGCCTTGCCCTCATAAAGGGACCAATGCTGCTGTAAAAGGGCTTGCAGAAGAGGGTCTCTCTCTCTCTCTCTTTCTATTACTTTCCTGCCATATGAGGACATGATGTTCCTCCCTTCTGGAGGACATGGCATTCATTCAGGGTGCCCTCTTGGAAGCAGATAAACCAAGCCCTAACCTGTCAGCACCTTGATCTTAGATTTCCCAGCCTCCCAAACCATGAAAGAATACATTTATGAATTACTCAGTCTCAGGTGTTACGTTGTAGCAATACAGCATTGACTAAGACAGATAGCAACATGGAAAAAAAATAACCCTGGCTTGCTACCTCACACCATCTGTAAAAATCAATTACAAATCCCAGTGGGACAGGTAAAACAATAAAACTTTTACAAGAAAATATAGAATATCTTTGTGACCTTAGAGTAGGCAAAGGTGTCTTAAACAGTCCAAAAAAGCACTCACATTGAAAGAGAAGTGGAATAACATAGACTATATTCAAATTAAGAACTTTCATCCATAAAAAGACACCACTATGGGACTGAAAAGGCAACCCATAGAGGACACATTCACATACATACATCCACACTCACATATGCAGCAAATGTAGAGAAGCTACAGTAGGAAAAGAACTCTGCAGACTAAGAAAAAAAAGATAGACAAACCAATGGGAAAATTGGCCAAAAAATTAAAAGCCATGTTATGAAAGAAAATATAGAAATTCCACTACCTATACAAAAGGTGCTCAATGTTATGAGTCATCAAGAAAATGCTGTGAGAACCTATGTCCTGGAAAGAGAGAGGAGGATGGGGGTGTCTGAGACACTGGTGTTCTGGGGCAGGTAATTTGTAAAATTTTGTATATTTTGCACTTATGACACATATATATTTTTGTATGTCTATTATACTTCCATAAAATGATTTTTAAGTGTCAAATAACTGACCATCTAGTGAGGAATTAGCAGCCCCTGATCCAAGAGAAGATCCCAAGTCTGGTACCTGGGGTAGCTTTTGTCTAGGGGCCATTTGCTGACCTGGAAGAGACTACAGAGGTTGCACTGCATTTCCAGCAGACTCACAGAGCTAAGGGGCCCACCAAGGGTGCCATCTCTGGTAAATCCTTCCTCAGTGTAGGCTGTGACCCTGAAGAGCAAAGCCAAGCCAGAAGTAGTCTTGTCCTGTTCACATGGGCAGACTAGAAATCTCTCAAAACCTGAACTTGGATTAAGGTAATCCCAAATTGCTGGTACTCCCATACACCTGGAAAAAGCAGACAAAATCCTCTTTGGAGAAGGATGATATCCCTCCTCTAAGCCTATAAATGTTTCTATAATAATTTTTTAGAAAACACAATGTTGGCTGGGCGTGGTGGCTCACACCTATAATCCCAGCACTTTGGGAGGCCGAGGTGGGCGGATCGTGAGGTCAGGAGATTGAAACCATCCTGGCTAACATGGTGAAACCCGGTCTCTACTAAAAAATAACAAAAAAAATTAGCCAGGCGTGGTGGCAGGTGCCTGTAGTCCCAGCTACTTGGGAGGCCGAGGCAGGAGAATGGCGTGAACCCAGGAGGCGGAGCTTGCAGTGAGCCAAGATCGCACCACTGCACTCCAGCCTGGGCGACAGAGTGAGACTCTGTCTCAAAAAAAAAAAAAAAAAAAGAAAACACAATGTCCAGCACACAATCAAAGATAATCTATCACATGATCTGATGACACAGTGAGTTAAACCAGAAAAAAAAAAAAAAACACAAGTACACAGGGAATTCAGACAATGGAATTATTAGACACAGACTTTGAGGGGAAAAATGCTTACTTAGGTTCACAAAGCTAAAACACAAGTGTGAACATTGCATCAGGAAACTAGAAACTATAAAAATTATATAATAGGCTGGGCACGGTGGCTCGCACCTGTGATCCCAGCACTTTGGGAGGCCGAGGCGAGTTCGAGACTAGCCTGACCAACATGGAGAATTCCCGTCTCTACTAAAAATACAAAATTAGCCGGGCGTGGTAGTGCACGCCTGTAATCCCAGCTACTTGGGAGGCTGAGCCAGGAGAATCACTTGAATCCAGGAGGCGGAGGTTGTGGTGAGCTGAGAGTGCACCATTACACTCCAGCCTGGGCAGTTTTTTTTTTGGAAACTGGGAGTTTTTTTTGGAAACTCCGTCCCAAAAAAAAAAAAAAAAAAAAAATATATATATATATATATATATATATATATATATATATATACACACACACAATAGATTTGGAAAATAATTACACAGAAATTGCAGAACTGAAGAACAAATAAGGACTTCCAGTTAAAGATGAGAAGCTGAACACTTCCGTCTGCACTCTCCTGGAACCCACTAAAATAACAATAAATTAATTTTAAAATAAATAGATATGTAGAGATAAATATAAATAAAATATAAATAGATACAGGTAGGGACAGGTAATAGTAGATATAGATGATAGATATAAATGGATATAAATAGTGCATAGAGATTATACATAGATATAGATGCTAATACAGATAGGATGGATGGATAAATAGATTAGATAGATGGATGAATAGATAGAGATGGATACTCATGAGAATACAGAAAATAAAGAGGAAACAATGGTAACAAAACTTTGAAAGCTAAAAGCAGATAGATGAATACTCAAGCAGACTCAAGAAAACTGAGTCTTAAGCCAGTAGAGAAGAAATTTGAGAACCAGTCTAGGAATTCCTAGTGTCTGATATCTTGAGAAGTTGAGATAAATATGGGGCTGAAAACAGGAAGATTGGTTGAAAGATGACTTTCAGGGTACTTTATAGCCCACTCACTCCACTACCCAACTCTTTGTAGCCAGGCAGCAGCCTCTCCTTTCCCTGTTGCTGAAGCCTGGAGGTTTGTTTTCTGCAAAGCACAGGTCTCTGATCTGAGGGACGCCAAGCACATCTCAGAGTGAACCTTCCAAAGTGAAAATTTTCTCTCTACATATGGAAGTTCATGCCTTTCTCTCTCCTCCTGATTTCCTAATGCTAGCTGTGAACCCTAGTTATCCTCCAGGCAAGAGGATGGAAGATTCTGCTCTGGGGACTCTGACCAACTCAAAAGAGGAGACTTCAAGACAGTTACCTGTGGAAGGTCCCAATAAAGTGATGCAGCTAGATCACTCTATAGAGAGGACCAAAGTTGACAAGTCTCTCCCATGTACAGGAACTTCCAATAAGATTTTTAGTGTCCCATTTTTAAATACGAGCAGACAGCCAAGGATCATCAGACCTCTGAGGAAGGACTCTAACAACAATAATGGCAAAGTCCAAAACAAACAAACTCAAACAAAATTTATGGGAAAGAGACATTGTAAAGAGAGATGAAACTTCGAAAGATGATCATTAATATCCCCAAAAGATAAAACACTATATCCATGAAATTGGAACAGGATGGTAATTTTAAACATTCAGGTTACAAAAGAGCTCTTAGAAATTAAAAATATGATAACAGAAGCAAAATCCTCAAATTGAAAGATAGTTGAGATACCCTCCCACAAGACAGAAAGAAAAAAAAGACAAAGAGATTAAAAATAAGAGCAAGGAGAAGATTTGGAGGATCTGTCCAAGAAAGACAATGACAAACAAAAAGAGGAGGCAGTCAGCAAAGAAACAAGGCAGGAAGCTTCCTCAGAACTGTGGAGCACAGGTTGCAGACCAAACAGGCCACTAAGTGACGAGAACAACAGAAGAAAAAGATCTACTTCAAGACACACTGCTGTGAAGCTCAGAGCCTACTGCACAGAACAGCCCTCCAAGCTGCCAAGGAGAATGTTTGGGCTTCAGGATCAGGAATCAAAATAGTACCAGACTTTTCGGGAGCAATAATGAAAGCTAGAAGAAAACAGTAATAATACTTTTTGAACTCCAAGATGTAAAAATGATTTTAAGCCAAGAATTCACTTCCCAGCAAAACTATCAATTAAATGAGATAGTAGAAAAGATTGTTTTTAGACATGGACATTTCAAAAAATTTACAAGGCCTTTTCTGGGAAAAAAAAATCTGCAAGAAAATGAAATTGATAGAATAGCTGATGTGTTTGGACATCTTGAAGAGAATATGTAGATAAGTAAGGGAGAATTTGAGGCTGAATCAGTTACAGGTACATGGATAACACCAACTACAAAAAGTCATTTAGGAAAAGAAAAGTCATCATAATATATGACACTTAAAGTAGTCCCAATACCACCAGCAGTGAATATTGATGTGAAATTAAGCTAGTTTTTAGGGCAGGAGGGGTTGGTGCTTGGGAAGTGTGCATCAGTGTGGTGGAGTAAGGAGAGAAAACTAACTGCCACCCACCATGGCTAGAGGCCAATAAATAATGCCTAATGCTGAAAAATCAAGAGGTGTCAAGACAAGTGTGTTAACAGAGTTGTAGACATTGCAAGGGGCTGCATGTAGGACCAGAATTCCTGTTTATCTAAACAGGTCTTGGAAACTGTTGGACTCTTCCAAGTAAGCACCTATATAACTTTGATCCAATATAAAACTAAAACAAAAGAGGAAATAAAATGGATATTAGATAAACTAGACTGGGCAGGGCGAGGGATATGTTACTCTACAGATGCCCATAGGAAACAGTCAATATCAGAGGGAGGAGTTCAAGAAAGAGCCAGAAGGGGACGAGGAGGAGGCAGGATTGGGACCCAGAGCCCAGTTGAAGCCTTAGATTAGAACTGTCCAATAGAAATAGAATGGGAGCCACAAATGGCTCATAGATTATTATAATTTGTCCCACAAATGACACAAAGATCATTATAAATTTTCTAGTAGCCACATTTAAAGAGTAAACAGGTAAAACAAGTTTTTTTGGTTTTGATTTGGTTTGGTTTGGTTTGAGACAGACTCTCGCCCTGTAGCCCAGGCTGGATGGAGTGCAGTGGCGCAATCTCCGCTCACTGCTGCCTCCCCCTCCTGGCTCAAGCAATTCTGCCTCTGCCTCCCAAGTAGCTGGGATCACAGGTTCCCGCCACCACGCCTAATTTTTGTATTTTTAATAGACACGTGGCTTTGCCTCAAGTGAGCCACCCGCCTTGGCCTCCCAAAGTGCTGGGATTACAGGCATGAGCCACCATGCCCGGCCAGAAACAAATTTTAATACCAAATTTGATTTAACTCAGGATAGCCAACATGCTATCATTTCAATAATGTAGTCAGTATTAAAATTATGAATGAGCTGTTTCTCATCCTTTTCTTACACTAAGTCTTGGGAATCCAGCATGCAGTTGGCACGTATAGCATTTCTGAATTCACACTGCCATGCCTCATGGGCTCCTGTCTGTCCAGTGGCTGCCACAGTGCAGTGCCACCTAGACTGTTCTGATGTTCACATGCCCCTTCACGCTCACCCCTACCCCTTCCCCAAAGAAAGAAGGGAAAAGAAGCTGAGTTCTACACTGCCCATAGGGGAAACCGTTCGCTCCTCAGCGAGGTCCTGCCCGGTCCCCCAACAGCCTTATGTCCCAACATTGCCTTCCTCTTCCTCTGCAGTCCCCATACAGTGACCAGCTTCCTGGGCCACTCTCTTTACTCATGCTCAGGACTCGTGCCTTTCCACCCAGCCGTATACACCTCTGGGCAGCGTGCCTGAGTCCTCAGGGTCAGAAGGAACGCCTATCCCCCTGCATCCCTGCACTCTGACTGCTGTGGCTCTTCGTGTATGGCATCCCACGCTGCAGCTCTGTCCTTCATTCGCTCCACCCTAGACAGTGTAGAAGTACTCAGCTAGGAGACGGGAAGAGGGGAGCCCCCCAAGCCCTGACCTGGGAAGGCTTGGGTCTGGCAAGGGAGCAGGCACCAGTATCTGCACCATAGGAAGGGGGTGGCCCTGGGGCCCTGCCTGGGAGTCTGCCCCCTCTGCCCGGGGGCTTTATGGAGCAGGTAGGCTGCAGGCGACATGTAATGCTGTTTCCTCGGGGAGACGCACCAGGGGGCCGCCCTGACGCTGGCTCCTGCGCGTGCCCCGCAGGCCATCGCCAGCCACATGCACCTCAAGTGCAAGTGCCACGGGCTGTCGGGCAGCTGCGAGGTGAAGACATGCTGGTGGTCGCAACCCGACTTCCGCGCCATCGGTGACTTCCTCAAGGACAAGTACGACAGCGCCTCGGAGATGGTGGTGGAGAAGCACCGGGAGTCCCGCGGCTGGGTGGAGACCCTGCGGCCGCGCTACACCTACTTCAAGGTGCCCACGGAGCGCGACCTGGTCTACTACGAGGCCTCGCCCAACTTCTGCGAGCCCAACCCTGAGACGGGCTCCTTCGGCACGCGCGACCGCACCTGCAACGTCAGCTCGCACGGCATCGACGGCTGCGACCTGCTGTGCTGCGGCCGCGGCCACAACGCGCGAGCGGAGCGGCGCCGGGAGAAGTGCCGCTGCGTGTTCCACTGGTGCTGCTACGTCAGCTGCCAGGAGTGCACGCGCGTCTACGACGTGCACACCTGCAAGTAGGCACCGGCCGCGGCTCCCCCTGGACGGGGCGGGCCCTGCCTGAGGGTGGGCTTTTCCCTGGGTGGAGCAGGACTCCCACCTAAACGGGGCAGTACTCCTCCCTGGGGGCGGGACTCCTCCCTGGGGGTGGGGCTCCTACCTGGGGGCAGAACTCCTACCTGAAGGCAGGGCTCCTCCCTGGAGCTAGTGTCTCCTCTCTGGTGGCTGGGCTGCTCCTGAATGAGGCGGAGCTCCAGGATGGGGAGGGGCTCTGCGTTGGCTTCTCCCTGGGGACGGGGCTCCCCTGGACAGAGGCGGGGCTACAGATTGGGCGGGGCTTCTCTTGGGTGGGACAGGGCTTCTCCTGCGGGGGCGAGGCCCCTCCCAGTAAGGGCGTGGCTCTGGGTGGGCGGGGCACTAGGTAGGCTTCTACCTGCAGGCGGGGCTCCTCCTGAAGGAGGCGGGGCTCTAGGATGGGGCACGGCTCTGGGGTAGGCTGCTCCCTGAGGGCGGAGCGCCTCCTTAGGAGTGGGGTTTTATGGTGGATGAGGCTTCTTCCTGGATGGGGCAGAGCTTCTCCTGACCAGGGCAAGGCCCCTTCCACGGGGGCTGTGGCTCTGGGTGGGCGTGGCCTGCATAGGCTCCTTCCTGTGGGTGGGGCTTCTCTGGGACCAGGCTCCAATGGGGCGGGGCTTCTCTCCGCGGGTGGGACTCTTCCCTGGGAACCGCCCTCCTGATTAAGGCGTGGCTTCTGCAGGAATCCCGGCTCCAGAGCAGGAAATTCAGCCCACCAGCCACCTCATCCCCAACCCCCTGTAAGGTTCCATCCACCCCTGCGTCGAGCTGGGAAGGTTCCATGAAGCGAGTCGGGTCCCCAACCCGTGCCCCTGGGATCCGAGGGCCCCTCTCCAAGCGCCTGGCTTTGGAATGCTCCAGGCGCGCCGACGCCTGTGCCACCCCTTCCTCAGCCTGGGGTTTGACCACCCACCTGACCAGGGGCCCTACCTGGGGAAAGCCTGAAGGGCCTCCCAGCCCCCAACCCCAAGACCAAGCTTAGTCCTGGGAGAGGACAGGGACTTCGCAGAGGCAAGCGACCGAGGCCCTCCCAAAGAGGCCCGCCCTGCCCGGGCTCCCACACCGTCAGGTACTCCTGCCAGGGAACTGGCCTGCTGCGCCCCAGGCCCCGCCCGTCTCTGCTCTGCTCAGCTGCGCCCCCTTCTTTGCAGCTGCCCAGCCCCTCCTCCCTGCCCTCGGGTCTCCCCACCTGCACTCCATCCAGCTACAGGAGAGATAGAAGCCTCTCGTCCCGTCCCTCCCTTTCCTCCGCCTGTCCACAGCCCCTTAAGGGAAAGGTAGGAAGAGAGGTCCAGCCCCCCAGGCTGCCCAGAGCTGCTGGTCTCATTTGGGGGCGTTCGGGAGGTTTGGGGGGCATCAACCCCCCGACTGTGCTGCTCGCGAAGGTCCCACAGCCCTGAGATGGGCCGGCCCCCTTCCTGGCCCCTCATGGCGGGACTGGAGAAATGGTCCGCTTTCCTGGAGCCAATGGCCCGGCCCCTCCTGACTCATCCGCCTGGCCCGGGAATGAATGGGGAGGCCGCTGAACCCACCCGGCCCATATCCCTGGTTGCCTCATGGCCAGCGCCCCTCAGCCTCTGCCACTGTGAACCGGCTCCCACCCTCAAGGTGCGGGGAGAAGAAGCGGCCAGGCGGGGCGCCCCAAGAGCCCAAAAGAGGGCACACCGCCATCCTCTGCCTCAAATTCTGCGTTTTTGGTTTTAATGTTATATCTGATGCTGCTATATCCACTGTCCAACGGAGTTAGACGAATAGATGTGTTGTGTTTTTTTTCCCTTTTCTTTCTATGAAAGAAATTGTTTTAGTCATAGCTTGTGGGTTTCAAACAATGGGAAAAGTGAAAAAAGAGAAACAAGCCATCAAGGCTGTGGTCTGGGCTGGATGTTTGGTGGTGGGTCAGCACGGTGTTGAAAGAGTAGAGAAGATGCCCACTCAGGGGCTCAGGGCCTGGGTCCGGGGGCAGGGGGATGCCCCAGGGCCGTGATGGGCAGGGGACCTCCAGAGCTGGAATTCCATGGGGAAGGAATAAGGATAGCCAAGCTGAGGAAATGAGGGAACGGCCACTGGCACCAAGGCCTGGAGCAGAGTAGAGCCTCTGACAGGGAGAGAGCAGCAGGCACCTGGAGGCCCCAGGTAGGCAGCCCTAAGGTAAGGGGGTTGGCCGAGCCCCCAACAAGTCAGTAGAGCAGCAAGACGCCCACCACCTCCCCTCCCGCAGAGCCTGTACTCACTCAGCTGATACCTTAGCACCAGCTATGGATGTGCCCCCTCTCTAGGTTTGGGGACAGTGGCCTGGTGGTATAGGATCAGCTGGATCCCAGCAGGACCTTGGGATGGGACTGGCCATCAGGAGTTCCTCTGGGATCCTCACCTCGTGGGGCTGTGCACAGGGGTGCCCCCTGTGCGAGCCCCCATCTCCTTTCCCCAGCCAAGGAAGGCAGGGAGAGCCCCTGGAACAGGTGAGCCATCCTGCCGACAGGAGCCCTCATGAGGCCTTACTAGGGGTGCTGGGTGTGCCTCTGGAAACAGGCAGCAGGAGCCCAAGGGCTGTCTCAAGGCCATGCCTTCCCCGTCCCAGCCCCACCAAGGATCTCTGCTCCACTCTCTGCCCTCCCATGCCTGTCCAGTCCCCATGCCCATCTCTGGGCCCTGACTGGATGCTCAGCCAGACCTTCAGGGCAGTGAATGCCAAGGGAAGAAGCTATGGAGATGGGGCAGCCAGGAGCAGCCAGTGTACCTGCCTGCAGGCCGGGCCCAACACAGCCACCATACTCAAGCCATGTGCACGCCGGCGGGGAGCCAGGCCTTCATAGAACAGGAATGGCTGGCCATCCCCCAGTGTGCCCCATGGTAGGAAGGGGGGTCAAGGCAGCCCCAGGAGTGGGGTGGGTGCACCAGCGTCCTAGGCATGGAGGTCATGGGAACACAATCCCCAGGCCTCAAGAGCCAGAGAAGGGCCAGCCCCAGGCAGGAGCATAACCCCTCCAGGAACAGTGTCCCCTGACCCTGCCACGCACCTGCTGTCCTGGACCCTGAGGGCACAGGCCCAGGGCATGCAGCTAAGGCTGGGCAGAGGGGCCTGAGGGACTGCTGACCTCCCTCCCCACACCCTCACCCCAAGGTGCCCTCACGGCTGCCCAGCAGGACACCCTCTCTAGGCCACACTGGGCCTGGCCACCCTCTCTGGGCACCATTTTCAAGCTAGAGCCCTTGCTCCTGACCTTTGTGACGGGTCCACTAGAAGCCTGGCCTTCCCAAACCCCCCACCTGCCCCTCACTATCCACTTCCTAGGTCCCCCTGGTCCTGTGCCTCATCCACCTCCCTAAGGCTACAGATCCAGCCCGGCCCCCACCAGAGCCCTGCTCCTCCCCACCCCAGGTCAGGTCTTTCCACCCCACTCACTGCCCAGGGCCTCCTCACAGTGCTGGCATAGTGAAGCCTCACAGCACCCACGGAGCAAGAGAGCATACCGCCCTCTACCATACCCTGCTGGCTGCACAGGGCTTCTGCCCAGGTCTGGCTGCTGCCCAACCCCTGCCTGCAGCAGCCTTGCAGAACCTCATGAAGCAGAGGCTCCCACCCGAGGACAGTCAAGGAGGCCAGGCCCAGGAGGGGATGAGGGCTGAAGTGTGGCTGCTGGGGTGGTTGTAGGGAGGGAGTGTTTCTCCAGAGCCACCAGCCATGGGAGCACAGAGCTACCCAGGGCCTGTCAGGGCCAAGGGAGAAGGGACCCGGTCCAGGACTCTGGAGGTCAGGCACCCCTCTCCTTTGCCTCCCAAAACTGTGCCTCAGCTTCCATGCACCCCCAAGGTCTGGTGGGCACCCCAATATCACTCCCAGCCATGGCCTCATTGGCTGGGGCCGTGACACCCATCCCAGGTGGGTCACCCACTGCTCCAGGGCAGCCCTGACCCTCCATAGGCAGGGCCACTGGAATTCCCGGGGGGCACCAAGGGCAGCTGTGCTACCGTCTACAAAGAGGGAGCCAGTGACTAAGGGCATAGGACCCCTGTGGTGCATCACCAGTGGGGGGACCCCAAGCCCGCTCAACCCGCCAGGCCTTCCTGAGCAATAGCCATAAAGGGTCAGTCCTTGGGGGAGGGCAGTGCCCCACAGGAGCCCCTGGTCAGCCCCAGCCCATGGGCACAGTGCCTCTTAGTCGGGACCCAGGTCACAGCCACCCTAATTAGCACCTACTGGGCCCCAGTGCCAGGGGCATTGCAGATGACAGACACTGACCCAGCCGGGAGGCGGCTGGGCAGGCAGAGGGCACGAGATCATGGGCATGGCTGCCAGGTTGCAGGGACCTGAGCAGTCAGCATAGGCCGGGGCAAGAGCCCACACCCAGATCCAGGCCAGGGCCAACTCGGGGCTCAAAGCTGAGGTAGGCCCCAGAGAGATCCCCAGCACCCAGGCTCTATCTCCGCTGCTGGGGCCCAGAGAGGAGATGGTGCTGGCCTGAGGACACACAGTCTGCTGGAGACCCAGGGGGCCATCTGGGTGGAGAGCCGAAGGTCCCCTTGCAGGCCAGGTGTGAAGGACCACTGTGAAGATGGTCTCAGCTGTCCCCATCCCCACTGTGGCCCTAGCACAGACAGAGGGTGACCCCACAAGAGGTTCTGGATGTGTTTCTGAGGAATGGGGGTCGGCTGGTCTGCAGCCCCTGGGGCCATAGGACACACCCCAGTTTATAGGCAATGGGGGCTGGGAGGTGAAACGCTCAACTCACCCTGTGTAGGAGCAAGGCCCACTCCTGCCTGGGCCTCAGTTTCTTTTCTATGTAAAAGGCAGTGAGCCAAGGGAGGTCTTCCCTCCCACGGGCCTGCTGGCTTGGGCTGCTGCACCTGGTGCATGGCCTCCCTCACCTGCCAAGGGCAGGCATCACCCCGGGAGCCCCAGCCCCCAACCCCCCCGGAGCCTGCAGGCCTCCAAGTCAGTCTCAGAAGCCACCCCCCAGGGCGTTTATAGCCCATCCTGCCCACCCGCCCTGCAGAGGGAGGAAATGCGCCTGGTGGGCCTGTTCGCAGGTAGTTGAGACAGGACAGGAATAACCATATAAAAGGCCCGGAGGTAGTGGGGCCCCACCCCACCAGGGCTCCCCTGCCCAGCCCCCTGCACATCTCACCCTCCATGCTTTGAAGTCCTGGAGGGGTGTGGCCAGCCCCCAACTTGGGCACTCCTCCTCTCTCTGACACTCCCCTCCTGACACCTACTTTCAGGATCCTGGGGCCTCAGTTTCCTCCCTTCAAGGAGGATCCTGGAGGCTGCCAGCCTGGCCTCCCCAGGACGCTGGGACCGCAGCAGGCAGGTGCAAGGCCAGCTCCAGGTCCCCATGCCCGACATGGGGTGGGGGTGAGGCCCTACTTACTGACTGCCCAGTGCCCGTCCCCAGTGCTGAGCCTGGGCTTGGTGTGCCCCGGGGCCCTGCCAGCCCTGGCCCTTGCCCCTGCTCCATCATGGGTCCTCTCTGGACCATGCTGGGTCGGTGGGGGCCTGAGAGGCTCATCAGTGGAGACGGCCCCTCCCCTCTCAACCGGGTTCCACACCCAGCCTAACTCCCCTAGTGTGGGCCTGGCGTCACCATCCTCCAGTGGGTGGGAGAGGAGAGGGCAGAGGGCAGGACCCCTGACCAAGCTCTGGGCCTGTCAGCTCCCAGGGGCACAGCTGCTGCCCCAGGAGTTGACACAGCCCAAAAGATGACCTTGGCTCAGGGGGTCCTCGGCCTGTCCAAGGTTGGAATGTGGTCTGTCACGGCCTCCAGGGAACTCCAGGACACAGGCTGAGCAGCCAGGAATGAATTCAGGGCTTCCCCGCAGTCCCTTGGGCTATCCTCAAGAAGGAACATTCTAGAAGCTTCTTGTTGGGGGAAGGCGAGGCCTGGGGAAAGATGCCCCTGAAGAGGAAGAGAAGCTGGGACTTGGGGGTCCCACACCCCAGTCCTTGGAGGGGGTCCTCCAAGGACCAGGGCATTGCAGAGATGATGTCAGGCCCAGCTTGCCGTCCAGGCCTCAATACGCCTGTTTGTGTATGGGGTGGAGTGTCTGAGACGTCGTCAGACATCAGCCACTCCTAAGCCCTAGCAAGGCTGCCCTGGCCACAGGTCCCCCGATAAGGTGACCCTGTAACTTCATTCCCTGGAGCCTTCCTCCAGCCTGGCCCTCCCCGATGTTTCAGCCGGATGGATACCTCCGCCCTTTCCCCTGCAGATAGCCTCTCACCAGGAATTACAATCAGGGCCATGCACTCAGAGCCTGGCATCATCAGAGTGGGGGACCCAGGTCCCCGAGCCCAGGGCGGGGCTTGGTGGGTGGACTGTCCATCCTGCACTGAAGCCTGGAGTGACAAGCCATGAGAGAAAGTCCACGGGGAGAACCAGAGGGGGACTCCTGGGATGCGGAGCCAGCCTCTGCCCTCTGCCAGGCTCTGTCCTGAGACCCTGCCCTTCCATCTGTAGGCCCTGCCATTCCTGGGCTACTGGCAGAGAGGGTAGAAGACGTTGGAGCACCCTGGGCTGCGGGCCCAGGTAAAACAAGTACAGACCCTGAGCCTGGACTGAGCTGAGGATGTGCCCCATCCTGGAATATAAGAAGACACGGCCCTGCCCTGGGGTCTGGGAGACACAGCCTCAACCTGGGTCCTGGGGGAAGCAGTCCCACCCTGGGGTCCAGCTGTCGACCTGGGATGAGCCCTAGTTCCCTCTGCCCTACAGTGGCACCACCGCCCCCCACAGGCCCCACCCCCTCCCCTGGACAGCTCAGCCCTCTTTCCCAGTCTCCTCCCCTCATGGATCCCCCTTTCTGCCTCTGAACCCCTAGGGATGGATGCCTCAGGACAGGGCACTCAGGTCCCTGTCGGAGTCTTGCTTGGATCTGGAGCCCTGGATCCCAGGGGCATGACCTCCTGGAGCAACTTCCAAGGTCTGGGGGACTAGGTCAGTGTTCCTCCCTGCAGAACTGGACTGCTGTCAGTGGCTGCCTTCGGGATCATCTGGGAGGGCTTCCAGGAGGAGGTGAGCATGGGGACACTTCCTAGGGCTCCAACATCCTCCTGTAATTCTGAGATTGCATCCCTGCAGACGCCAGGAAAAAAGTGGGTTCCCATGGCAGCCGGGGAGCCCTCAGAAGGGGCCCCACTGAAGCCTGGGAGCCACCACCCGCCTGCCTGGCCAGGATGGGAGCTCAGCAGAAGGTGCTAATTGCTGTTTAGCTCCAAGCTGACTCCTTGCTCTCTTTTTGTCTCTCTCTCTCTCTCTCTTTTTTTTTTTTACTTGAGCCTCTAGAGCACACAGTAAACAGTCATTTGGCTCTTGGGGCCCTGCAAATTGGTGTTTATGGTGCGAAGATGAGGAGGATTTGTCCACCCAAACACAGGCTGGCTGGGAGGGAGGAAGCAGGGGTGGGACATCCCATCCAGGCCCAGCTCGGGGAAGCCTCCTTCAGACTGAGGAGCTGTGGTCTCACAAGCAGGGGACTGTGATTAACCCAGGAGAGCTTCTAGGAAGAGGTGAGGCATCCGCGGCAAAAAGACCTCCTCCAGGGGAAGCTGCAAAGGCTCCACCATACCCTCAGGTGCCCATGGGGAGCCCTGCCCTCCAGACCCAGCTGGGATCAGAGCTTCTTGGCTGGGTCACAGCCTGGGTCTCCTTCCAACAGCACACCTCACCTGCCCACCCAGCAGCCAGCTGCAGAATTACAAACTGGAATGCCAAGGCCCGGTCTCCTGGCAGGAGCAGGAAACACAGAAGTCCAGGCGCAGGCATATGGGCTGGATGTGTGGCTGGGAAAAGTGGATTTCCCCAGGTATCTCCCCCTCGTTCACGAACCTGAGGTGGGCAGACTATGCCCCAGAGCCAGTGCCCGGGCTCCTGTCTTCTTCTGCTGCCCAAACTCACCCCACCATGGCAGAAGGCCAAGAGGCCAGACTGGCATTGCCCTCTCCCCACTCCATCCAAGGTCTGGCATGAGGCACCGGCCCTGCAGTGCCACTCCTCAATGGAGCAGGCAGCCTGCAGCACCAACACCAAAGGCTGGGGAGGACATGGGATGCTGGACATGGGAACCATCAGGAGTGTGCAGGAGGGGCAGTGTTGGCGGGTAGTGTAGACCAGAATGTACAGGGCATGTAGAAGAATGGATAGTGTAGACAGGGTAGTGCAGAGGAATAGCACAGGTGGGATAGTGTAGGGGGATAGTGTGGGGGGATAATGTAGGGTGTATAGTGTAGAGGGATAGTGTAGGGGGATAGTGTGGGGGGATAATGTAGGGGGTATAGTGTAGAGGGATCGTGTAGGGGGAATAGCGTAGGGGGGATAGTGTAGAGGGATAGTGTAGGGGATAGTGTATGGGGATAGTGTAAGGAGGATAGCATGGGGGATAGTGTAGAGGGATAGTGTAGGGGGCATAGCGTAGGGGAATACTGTAGGGGATAGCACGGGGGATAGTGTAGAGGGATAGTGTAGGGGGAATAGCATAGGGGGATAGTGTAGAGGGATAGTGTAGGGGGAATAGAGTAGGGGAATACTGTAGGGGATAGCATGGGGGATAGTGTACAGGGATAGTGTAGGGGGAATAGCATAGGGGGATAGTGTAGAGGGATAGTGTAGGGGATAGTGTAGGGGGATAGTGTAAGGAGGATAGCATGGGGGATAGTGTAGAGGGATAGTGTAGGGGATAGTGTAGGGGGATAGTGTAAGGAGGATAGCATGGGGGATAGTGTAGAGGGATAGTGTAGGGGGAATAGCGTAGGGAGACAGTGTAAAGGGATAATATAGGGAATAGTGTTAGGGGATAGCATAGGGGGATAGTGTAGGGATATAGTATAGACGGATAGTGTAGGGGAAATAGCATAGGGGGATAGCGTAGGGGGATAATGTAGGGGCGATAGCATAGGGGAAATAGCGTGGGGGATAGTGTAGGGGGACAGTGTAGGGGGGATAGTGTAAGGGACAGTGTAGGGGGATAGTGTAAAGGGGATAGTGTAGGGGGATAGAGTAAAGGGAATAGTGTAGGAGGGATAGTGTAGGAGGATAGCATATAGGGATAGTGTAGCGGGGATAGTGAAGGGGGACAGTGTAGGGGGGATAGTGTAAAAGGGATAGTGTAGGGGGATAGTGTAGGAGGGATAGTGTAGGAGGATAGCATATAGGGATATAGAGTAGGGGGGATAGCGTAGTAGGAGCACGGTGTAGGGGGACAGCATAGGGGGATAGCCTAAAGGTATAGCGTAGGGGGATAGAGTAGCGGGGACAGCACAGGCAGATAGCATAAGGGATAGCGTAGGATGGCATGGGGGGATAGCCTAGGGGGATAGTGCAGGGGGGACAGCGTAGAAGGATAGCGTAGGAGGGATAGCATAGGGGGATATCGTAGGGGGGATAGCATACGAGGATAGCATAGGAGGGATAGCGTAGGGAAAGAGTAGGAGGATAGTGTAAAGGGATAGTGTAGGGGGTACAGTGTGGGGGGCACTGTGTAGGGGACAGCATAGGGGGGATTCTGTAGGGGGATAGTGGAGGGGGCATAGCATAAAAGGGATTGTGTAGGGGGATAGTGTAGCGGAGAGTGCGTAGGGGGGGTAGTATAGGGGGATAGCGTCGGGGATAGTGTATGGGGGATAGTGTAGGGGGACAGTGTACGAGGATAGTGTAGCGGGGATAGAACAGGAGGATAGCATGGGGGATACTGTAGGGGGGAGAGAGTAGGGGAGAGTGTAGGGGGATAGTGTAGGGGTATAGTGTAGAGGGAGTGTAGCGGGGATAGATTGAGGGGATAGGGTAGAAGGACAGCGTAGGGGAATAGTGTAGGGGTATAGTATAGAGGGATAGTGTGGGGGGGATAGATTGGGGGGATAGGGTAGAAGAACAGCGTAGGGGAATAGCGTAGCAGGGGACAGCGTAGAAGGGATAGCATAGCGGGGAGAACATAGGGGGATAGCGTAGGAGGGATAGCATAGGAGGGATAGCATGGGGGATAGCGTAGGAGGGATAGCATGGGGGATAGCATAGCAGGGATAGTGTAGGGGGGATAGCATGGGGGGATAGCATAGGAGGGATGGCATAGGGGGATAGCGTAGGAGGGATAGCATAGGGGGATAGCATAGCACGGATAGCGTAGGGGGGATAGCATGGGGGGATAGCATAGGAGGGATGGCATAGGGGGACAGCATAGCAGGGATAGCGTGGGGGGATAGCATGGGGGGATAGCATAGGGAGATAGCAAGGGGGGATAGTGTAGAAGGATAGCGTAGCAGGGATAGCATAGGGGGATAAGGTAAAGGATAGCGTAGTGGGATAGCAAAAGGGAATAGCATACAGAGATAGTGTAGGGGGATATCATAGGGGAAATAGCGTGGAGGGATAGCGAAGGGAAATAGGGTAGAGGAATAGGGTATGGAGACAGTGTAGGGGGATAGTGTAGGGGGTATTTTGCAGGGGGGATAGCAGAGGGGAGATTTTGTAGGGGGATAGTTTAGGGGCGATAGTGGAGGGGGATAGCATAGGAGGGATAGCGTAGGGGGATATCGTTGGGGGATAGTGTAGGTGGATAGTGTGGGGGGAATAGTGTAGGGGGGATAGTGTAGGGGGATAGCGTAGGGGGATAGAATAGGGGGATAGTGTAGGGGGATAGAGTAGGGGGATAGAGTAGGGGAATAGCGTAGGGGGGATAGTGTAGGGGGGTAGTGTAGGGGGATATCGTGGGGGATAATGTAGGGGGATATTATGGGGGAATAGTGTATGGGGACAGTGTAAAGGGATAGTGTGGGGGGATAGCGTTGGGGGATAGAGTAGGGGGAGAGTGTAGGGGGATAGTGTAGAAAGGATAGTGTAGGGGGATAGTGTAGGGGAGAATGTAGGGAGGAGAGTGTAGGGGATAAAGTAGGGGGATAGTGCAAGGGGAAAGTGCACAGGGATAGTATAGGGGGATTATGTAGGGGGATAGCATAGAGAGGATAGTGTAGGGGAAGAGTGTAGGAGGGATAGTGTAGGGGAATAGTGTAGGGGGGATAGTGTAGGGGGGATACTGTAGAGGGATAGTGTATAGGGATAGTGTAGGGGGATAGTGTAGTGGGAGAGTGCAGGGGGGACAGGGTAGGGGGATAATGTAGGGGAGATAATATAGGATACAGTGTAGGGGGATAGCGTCGGGGGATAGTGTAGCGGGGATAGTGTACGCGGAGAGTGTAGGGGGAATTGAGTAGGGGGAGAGTGTAGGGGGACAGTGTATGGAGATAGTGTAGGGGGAACAGTGTAGCGGGATAGCGTAGGGGGACAGCGTCAGGGGGATAGAGTAGTGGGATAGCGTAGGGAGTAGCATGGAGGGACAACAAAGGGGGATAGTGTAGGGGACATAGCATAGGGGGATAGCGTAAGGGAGACAGCATAGGGGTATAGTGCAGGGGTATAGCATAGTGGGGACAGTGTAGAGGGATAATGTTTGGGGGATAGAGTAAGGAGAATAGCATGGGGGCATAGCGTACAGTGAATAGTGTAGGGGGATAGTATAGGGAGATAGTGTAGGAGGGATAGTGTAGGGTGACAGTGTAGGGTGATATAGCAGGAAGGATAGTGTAGGGGGGATAGTGTAGGGTGATAGTATAGAGGGACAGTGTACAGGAAGCATGCAGGAGGATAGTGTAGGGCGATAGTGTAGAGGGATGGTGTAGGGGGATAATGTAGGGGGGATAGTGTAAGGGTAGAGTGCAGGGGGAGAGTGTAGGGTGATATTGCAGAAGCAATAGTGTAGGGTATAGTGTAAAGGGATAGTATAGGGGGGATAGTGTAGCGGGATGGTATAGGGGGAGAGTGTAAGGGATAGTGTAGGGGTGATAGTGTAGGGGGAATAGTGTAGGGAGATGGTATAGAGGGATAGTGTAGGGGGTAGTGTAGGGGAATAATGTAGGGTGAAGAGTGTAGGGGGATAGTGTAGGGCAATAGTGTAGGGTGATATTGCCAGGGCGATAGTGTAGGGTATCATGTAGGGGATGCTGTAGGGGGGATAGTGTAGGGTAATAGTGTAGGGGGATAGTGCAGGAGGATAGTGTAGGGGATAGTGGAGAGAAATAGTGTAGGGAGGATAGTGTAGGGGAGTAGTGTAGGGGAATAATGTAGGGGGGATAGTGTAGGGGTGATAGTGTAGGAGGGATAGTTTTGGGGATAGTATGGGGTAGAGTGTAGGGTAATATTGCAGGGGTGATAGTGTAGGGGACAGTGTAGGGCAATAGTGTAGGGGGATAGTGTAGGGCAATAGTGTAGGAGGATAGTTTGGGGGGATAGTGCAGGGGGATAGTGTAGGTGGATGGTGTTGAGGGGATAGTGTAGGGGGATAGTGCAGGGGTATAATGTAGGGGTATAGTGTAGGTGGATAATATTGGGGGACAGTTTAGGGGGAGAGTGTAGGGTGACATTGCAGGGGTGATAGTGTAGAGGGATAGTGTAGAAGGATAGAGTACGGGGGATAGTGTAGGCAGGAGAGTATAGGGGCATAGTGTAGGGGAGATAGTGTAGGGCAATAGCGTAGGGTGATATTGCCCAGGCTATAGTATAGGGGGTGCTGTAGAGGGATAGTGTAGGGGAGGAAAGTGTAGGGGGGATGGTGTAGAGCGATAGTATAGGTGATAGTATAAAGGGATAGTGTAGTGGGGATAGTGTAGGGGAACAGTGCAGGGGGGATACTGTACAGGGATAGTATGGGGGAGAGTGTAGGTGGATAGTGAAGGCGGATAGTGTGGGGCATAGTGCAGGTAGATAGTGTAGGACAATAGTGTAGGTGATAGTGTAGAGGGATAGTGTAGTGGGGATAGTGGAAGGGAATAGTGTAGGTGGATAGTGAAGGGGAATAGTGTGGGGCATAGTGTAGAGGGATAGTGTAGGGGATAGTGCAGGGGTCACAGTGCTGTTGGGGTGCCAAGGCACCGTGCTCAGTGTCCATGATGGTTTGTGTGCTTTGTGTCTGGAGCATCACGTGGGGACCCTGCAGACACAGAGTCCTGGTCACCCTCCCTGTTTCTGTGTCACTTGGCCTGCCTCAGGTGGAGGGTCAGAGGTCAGTGTGTTCCCCGTTAGTGTGGGCACTTTCCTGGGCTGTGCCTAACCATAGGTGGCTCTGCTCAGGCCATCCTGGCCCAGTGCTGCCTAAAGGTGTGCAGCTGGCCACCACCCACTCTGAATTGCTTCTTTGCAGGCCAGTCCAGGGTCAGGAAGGAGGTCTGGCGTCTGCCTCTGTCCCCTCTTCTGCTGCCTGGGACTGATAAGCAGCCTCCACCTTTATGGCATGAATCCCACCCCGGCCCCTTGGACATCGTGGCCTGCCGTGTAGCACAAGGGGCTTCCTCGGGCTTCCACACCACCAGCCTGGTGTGATGCCTGGCTCCCAGGCTCCAAGCCATGTGCCTAGTCAGCAAATGGGGCCCCTTGACTAGCCCCCAGCATGGCTGCTGTCTGCACCTGCAAGTCCATTGCACCAGTGCATCAGTTGTTTAGATCTTTCCCAGCTGTTGCCAAGGGTTCATCTCTCTCCTGGATCACAAGCACCCCTGTGTGCCAGGTGCACAGGACCTCCTCCCACCACCTGCCTACTTTGGCTCTGTGGGGGCCTCCGGGCCTGGACCACAGCGCTGGGAGACCCGGATGGGTGCCCAGGCTCTGGGCGGGTGGCTGTCCTGTGGGCCACGGTGACACTCTGTCACCTCCTCGTCTATCATCTCCTCCCATTGGGGCAGAAGGGGGCCTGGCACTCGCTGACTGCTTGAGTTCTTCTTTCTCCCCCTTCTCCTCCAACCACTGTCTCCCTCACTGCGGCCAAGCCCCCGGGCATACGCTGAGAGGGCAGTGTGACAGCCCTCCCCTGCCCTTCGTGCCAGCCTCCCTCACGGGGCCACCCACCCTCTGCATGTTCCTGTGGCACCCAGAACCTTCCACGGCAGCCCTGGCTACTCCCTGCCTCCTGAGAAAGGGGTCTCCCGGGTGTAGGTGTGTAGCTGGGCCTGCAGGTGATGGGCAGAGGAGCTGGAGAGGGCAGGGTCACCGCGCAGTCGCCTGGGAGCCGTGGGCAGCACCCAGACCCCCAGGGTAGGAGTTAGGAGCTGAAACAAGTAGGCCGGGGCAGGCCGGGGTGCTCTGGTGTCCCACAGCCAGCCTTGCCCTCCCATGGTGGGGCATTGGGGCCCATCAGTTCAGGGTATCCAGGAGAGTCTCCTTTTCATTAAGGCCAGAGGGGGCACTCACTGAAGGACCCAACAATGAGCACGGTCCCCCGCCCAGGCTGGCTGCAGGCTGCAGTGACAGGCATGGGGGCTGGAGGCCCCTGGGGCATGGTTCTGCCCACCCCGGTAGCCCAGGCCTTGGGCACAGGCAGGCGGATGCTGGCAGCAGATGCTAGGAAGACAACAATGTCTTCAGCTGGGCTTTTTAATTAACCTCAGCCGGCCCCTCCTGAAGGGCCCCAATTAAGTGAAGAATGCATGGCAGAGTGGGGTCATGCTCCGGGCGGGTTTTAATTAAAGCTCCGTGGCCTGGGCAGGAGCGCCCCCGCCTGACTGCCTCCTCCCTTGTTCTTGTGCTGGGCGACCACACACCTCCAATGGGTGCTACAGGCCTCTCCTCCTCCCGCCTGTCAGGCCCCAGACCAGGCAGCCCCTCTCTGAGCCACCATCCCGTCCTGGCATAGTCCCACCCACCTGCTGGTTCAAGCATTGGCTGAGCGTCTGTGGTGTGTCCACTGCAAAGGCAGACAGAAATCACACAACTAGTAACCATGTCAGATGTGCACATGCCATGAAGAAAGCAGGTGAGGTGAGGGACAGAGAGGGCTGGGCCACCATGCCCAGGAAAGGAACCTGCAGGAGGCAGGCAGGGAGTGCACCTGGAGGGTGGGCTCTGTGGACAGGAGCAGGGGCCTGGCTGAGCAGCTGAGGGGTCAGCCTGTGGACGCCCGCATGCAAGAATGAGAGGGAAGACAGACATGTCTCCGGAGAAGATCTATAAACAGCAGCAAGCACATGGAAAGACGCTCAAAGTCACGAGTCCTTCAGGACAGGCAAATCAAAACCACCATGAGACACCAGCTCACCCCATCAGGATGGCAGCTATTAGAGAAACAAACAAAAAAAAGTCACTGGATGCAGTGGCTCTCGCCTATAATCCCAGCTACTCAGGAGGCTGAGGTGGGAGGATCGCTTGAGGCCAGGAATTTGAGATCAGCCTGGGCAACATACTGAGACCCAGTCAGTACAAGAAAAAATATATTAATTAGCTGGCATGGTGGTGCGTGCCTACCATCCCAGGTACTCAAGAGGCTGAGGTGGGAGAATTGCTTGAGCCCAGGAGGCGGAGGCTGTAATGAGCCAAAATCACGCCACTGTACTCCAGCCTGGGTGACAGAGCAAGACCCTGTCTCTTAAAAAATTTAAATTATTTTTAAAAGGTTAAAATGGTAAGTCCTATGTTATGGGTATTTTACCACAATTTTTAAAATGAGAAAAATTTGAGGACAGAGGGCTGTGGGTATGGGGGGCTTTCAGCCGCACTCAGCAGAACAGGGGCTGCGTGGGGCTTCTGAGCAGGGACCCACACCAGGGGCCTGGCTCCCCACAAGACCCCCAGCCTCACACAATGGGGTGTGCCCCAGGACCGTGAGCCACGTATTCACGGGTCCCACCAGAAGAGCACATGCGTCCAAGAACAGCAGCTGGGCAGGGGTAGCAGGCAGGCACGTGTGTCCTGCTTTGTTCAGGGCATCTTTGCATTAATCGCCACTGCAGGACCAACATTCTCCACAACTGGCTTCCTTTAGAGACACCTGGCCTTGGGAGCAATGAACGAGGGAAGGGAGGGTCTCCTCCAGGGTCACCATGAGCACTCTCCTCTGCCCAAGCCACGCCCCCTGGCCAGCCCCGACTCTCTCTCTCAAATCTGAGCGCCAAGGACTCCCTCCCCAACGAGCCTTGTGCTGGGGGATCCCCTTGGTTCTTCTGGGGATTCGGGATACAGTGTGCCCAGGAAGGGAGTAGTCTGATCCTAGCAACCAGAGTCACCGTGGCAACAGGTGACATCAGAGCCCAGCAGCCCTGAGCCTTACACGGGACCCAACCTGCTGCCCAAACTGACCCATGGGGGAGACACATGTCCGGCTGGACAGGTCAGGTGGCTGCCTGCAGAAAACTCATGACCCTGAGGCCGTGTGGGCAGACACCCTATGCAGGGGTGCAAAGAGGATCATCTGAGGAACCCCAATGCTTTTAGCCCCAGGTATTTGACTCTCCCGGCCTTGGCACCAGACATGAGGGAAGGAGGTATACTGGCATCACAGGGTGGCCACAGCAAGTTACCACAACCTGGGTGGTTCACAACAGCAAGGGAGGTATTTCCTCGCAACTCTGCAGCCAGAAGCCCCACATTGAGGTGTCCCGGGCATGCTCCCTCCAAAGGTTCTGGGGAGGACCCTGCACAGCCTCCTCCAGCTCCTGGTGGCTCAGGTGCCTCAGGCGCATGGCCACACACTCCAGTCTCTGGCCTGTCTTCATGGCTGGTTCCCGATCTGTGCATCTCAGATCCCCCTCCTCTTTCTCTTAGACGATCACCTGTTACGGGTCCAGGGCCCACCCTAATCCAGGATGGCCTGGTCTCGACGTCACTCATTGAGGATGTCTGCCAAGACCCTGGTTCTACAGGAGGTCCTGCTCCAAGGCTCCAGCTGGATGTGAAGGGGGGTGCCCAACCTACCCCACTACAATACCTTCGAGGTAAACCCAGGCACTGACACCTCAGTTGAGACCTTAGAGCAGAACCAGGTTGCCATGGAGCCCAGGGTCCTGCTTCCCAGGAACTGTGAGAGACCATCTATGTGGACTGCTGTTTTAAACCACTAAGGTTTGCTAGAATTTGTCACCAAGCCTCGGAACACAGACGGGGACCAACAGTTCCCCTCTCCCCAAACAAGACAGGGGCCATTCAGAATCCAGTGCCTTTGTTGTGGACTGCTGTGTCCTCTGGGTCCTGTCTGCCCTATGCGGAACAAGATCCATTTGGTTTTTTGTTCTTTTTTTGTTGGAGACAGAGTCTCGCTAGAGTGCAGTGCAGGCTAGAGTGCAGTGGCATGATCAGGGCTCACTGCAGCCTCGAACTCCTGGCCTCAAGTGATCCTCCTGCCTCAGCCTCCTGAGTAGCTGGGAGTATATATACATCAAGACACTCAGCTAAGTTTTTAATGTTTTGTAGAGACGGGGTCTCACTATGTTGCCCATGCTGGTCTCAAATTCCTGAGCTCGTGATCCTCCTGTCTCAGCCTCTCAATGTGCTGGGATTACAGGCTGAGCTACCATGCCTGGCCACTTTGATTTTAGTGTCCTTCTCTGGGGTAGTGAAAAGTTGACCACCCTATAGGAGTCCCCAGTATCATTTTGAGACATTACTGCTCCGTGCAGCCCCAAGCTGGGAAGGTCACACACAGAGTGAGTCTGTGATGCATCTTGGAGACAAGGCCCCCAGCCCAGGCGTACCTCTCCTGCTAGCCTCTGCCTGGAAGCTTGGAAGGTGAAAAGGAAGCCCTGAAAGAGAGGTGCAGACCCCAGCCCCCTAAAACCTGGAGGTGGGTCTCAAGAGAAAAGCTTCACCCAGGAGGAGCCCGGCAGGCACCTTCACAATGTGCCTCTCCCTTTCCCCCATCCGTGGGGGCCTGGCCCTTCCTCACTCCCAGCCCCGCCACCTCATAGGGACGTCACCCAGGCGTTGCCATGGCCCCATGCCCTGGTCAGCCTCCTGCTGGTGTCCTCATCACACCTCCATGTGGAACCTCTCTCGCACCCACCTCCAGGCCTCATCCAGATGAGACCCCTGCCCCTTCACCCACATGGCCCTTCCCAAACGGGGCACACTCAGTCATTCTCTAAGGACAAAGGGAAGCCCCCCAACCAGCTTTCCTCACCAACACATCTCTCCCATCTCTGACTTCCTGCCGCACAAGGATCGCCTTAAACAAGCCTTACTTGATGCCAACAACCCCCGACAAGCAGAGCCTTTTGTCAAAAGTCTGCTTAGCCTCTTGTATGCCCACAGCAATGGTAGCTCACTGCCAAGATGCTTCCACATTTGGAGATGCAATCTGTTCTGTGTTGGCCCCTGCCACTGGCCTGGCTGTGTCCCCTGCCACAGACCCCGTCTGTCTCCCAGTCCCTGGTTGCCCCCAGAGAGCTCTGACTCAAAAAGGCCCTAGAGCAAAGTAGCTCCACACCTTCAGCCATGTCTCTTCAAAGCCGTGGGGCAGCACCCAGTGCATTCCCAGGGCTCTGAGCTCAGATACAGGTCTCGACGGTGGCCAAGGAGATCCCAGGCAGGCCTTGAGCTGTAGGGCAAAGTTGGTCACTTTACAGAATCCCAGGTTCTGACATCCAGCCTGGAAGTAGACCGGAAAGATCCCTCTCCCCCAGGATCCCCCCGGGGGTCTCAAGGCTCAAGTAGCCATGATCATGCCACTGCACTCCAGCTGGGGTGACAGAAAGAAGGAAGGAAGGAAGGAAGGAGGGAAGGAGGGAGGGAGGGAGGGAAGGAAGGAAGGAGGGGGAGGTACTAGGGTGGGGAGTTGGCAGGTAGACAACTTGCCCAAGTCCCACGGGCAGAAGGGAGTGTCCGAAAGTAGGCAGAGGCCCACAGTCAGGGCCACTGTCTGAGTCCAGGACAGGCAGAAGGCTCATGTGTGCAGGCAGGGACCACTCTAGCTGACAAGTGGGGTTTCACCAATGCCTACGATAAGTGATGCACGGGACTGGGGAAATGGTGCCATCAGACACTTTAAGACTTGTGGCATGTCACTTTGGGGATGCCAGGTATTTTGTTATCCTGATAGGAGGAGTGGATCGGTACATGTACCCAGAGTCAGAACTTCTTTTGTTATTAGCACCTGAAATGATAAAACCAGGCCGCCTCTGTCACTCCAGTTGATCGAGGAGTATAAACAATATTTCCAGCCAGGCGTGGTGGTACCCCCCTGTACTGCCAGCATTTTGGGAGGCTGGGTTAGGAGGGTCATTTTCCCAGTTCAATACCAGCCCAAGCAACAAAGCAATACCTTGTCTTTAAAAATAAAAATAAAAAAGAGAGAAAATATTTACAGATTTCATGCAACAGCTCTGAGATGAAAAGTTCTGATATTTCAGCAACAAAAACCACAGGTATTGCTAATACTGCTTTTGGGGAATGCTGCTTGCATTTAAGATGGGAGGAAATGCTAAATGTCACTCAGAGGTTAAGAAGAGCCAAGATGTGCTTTTCTGCAATCCCTCCCCAGGGTGCTCACCTCACCGGCTCCCCATTTGTCCACCCAGGCATGACAATAGGCTGGAACCAGAGAGAAAACAGTCCTTTCCCTGAGAAGCCAGCCTGCCTGGGAAAACAAGGTCCCCTGAGAGCTAGTCCAGGGGAGGGACATGTGCAGCTCTAGGCTTTCATCTGAGGTTTGGAGGGCTGGCAGGAGATGGGGAAACTGAGGCCGGAGTGAATATAAGGGGAAACAGGTGATGCTTTAAAAGGACCAGAAATCAGACGACTGTGAGCAAACTCCCTGGAGTTCACGGAACTCAACTGTAATTTCCTAAGCCACTGTGTAGTGCAGGCAAGCCGCTGGGACCCTCACCACTGGCCACCGGCTTCCCGAATGACCCCAGACCCCAGCCCAGGCCCAGAAGGCAGGGCAGGGCCACCCTGAGCTGGGAGGTGGGGGCTTCTCCCAGGGCCCATGCAGTCAGCATAGCCGTAATAATTCCTGTGGCGTGCTCCAGGTCCTGTGGTGTGACCAGCCAGAGGGTAGGCTTTGGGTAGGGGTCTGGGGAAGAAGGAAACAGGGCCAGGCAGAGGGGACAGCAGGGTCCTATCCCCACCTCACCCCCCAGAGAAGTCTTTAAGGGTATGAGTTCTTCCTGCCACAGGTCTTAGAGGTTGAGTGTTTGGACTAAGCCCTGAGCGTGAGGAGGAAGTACTGACTCTGGTGGAGGCAGCGCCACCCTGCAGAACACCCTGGCATCTTGCAGTGTGATTCTCCAGCTTTAGCCCACCTAGAGTCTCCCAACAGAGAGAGCGGGCAGAGCAACCATGTTGGAGACAGAGTGGGGCAGGATATCCAGAGAGGTGAACTCTGTCCTGGGATGCCTGGTGTAGTAGTGAGCTCCCCATCACTGGAGGAATCCAAGATAACATTGCAGTCTGCAGAGGCACCAAAGTGCTTGTTCCCCAAGAGGGAGGGCAGGGCTGGGGAAAGAGTAAAGGTGTTGGCAATAAGCAGACTTGGGCATGGAGTAGTCAAGCTCCAGAGGGGTTCCATCCTAGCTGTGTGACATCAGGTACGTGTGAGACCTCTCTGAACATCTGTGGCCTGGCTCAAATGCCGCACACTTCATAGCCCTGCACTCAGAGGTTGACCAAAGTGCCTGCCAGGCCTGAGGTGGGCTGGGGTCCCCTTCACCTAGCCACAATGGCTGCCTACTAGGTCTCCCACATGGGTATTCCTGCTCCTTTGCCCCAGACAGCCCATCTGTCCTTCCAGCCACCTTCCCTAGGAGGCCAGCCCGTTCTGTTGTTTGGCATCCCTGTCTCTGACCTGGTTCTCGGGTGCAGCCACCCCCAGAGGAGAGAAGCCCAGCCCAACCTGAGCTGGCGTCTTTGAGACTGACAATGGAGGCGGCCACGAAGGCTGGAGGGTCCCTGCCCAGCCTGGCCCCCAAACCCCTCCCTCCAGTCAGCTCATCCCACCCCTCTTGGCTAAACCTCATCTGATCCCAGGGACCTCAGAGGAGAGAGAAAGGGATCCCTACTCCCTAGGCAGCGTTGGGGGAGCACCTGGGCCTCAATTACCCCAGGAACTCACTGCCTGACACTTCTTAACTCCCTAGTGGGTCTCCTTCCAGGGGCAGAAATCTGGGTGTGACTACCTGGGCTCCCCTGCGCCTGTTTGGCCTGAAGACATCATCTTTGCCCCGGTGGTGGTGGGGAGCCCAAACCAGGAGCACAGAATCAGCAGGAAGGGACTTTTTATTATTATTATTTTCAGACAGGGTCTCACTCTGTCACCCAGGCTGGAGTGCAGTGGCACAGTCCTACTAGGTCACTGTAACCTTGAACTTCTGGGCCCAAGCGATCCTCCCACCTCAGCCTCCCAAGTAGCTGGGACTACAGGTGTGTGCCACCACACCTGGCTATCTTTGTAAAATTTTTGTAGAGATTATGTTGCCCAGGCTGGGGAAGGTACATTTCTTAACCCTAGGGCTGGCTATACAGGAATCCATTTTATTACTTTTTAAACTGTGCATGTATCTGACATACACTCTTTCCTGTCTGCATTTTTTCACATTAAAAAATATATATTTTAAAGGGGCCAGGCACGGTGGCTCACACTTGTAATCCCAGCACCTTGGGAGGCCGAGGCGGGTGGATCACCTGAGGTCAGGAGTTCGAGACCAGCCATGGCCAACATGGTGAAACCCTGTCTCCACTAAAAATACAAAAATTAGCTGGGCATAGGGGCAGGCGCCTGTAATCCCAGCTACTTGGGAGGCTGAGGCAGGAGAATTGCTTGAACCCGGGAGGCGGAGATTGCAGTGAGCCAAGATTGTGTCACTGCACTCCAGTATGGGCGACAGAGCAAGACTCCATCTCAAAAATAAATAAATAAATAAAAAGTATTTTAAAGGAAGGGGAGGCAGGCTCTGGTTCCCACACAATCCCCGCTCAGTGACCCTGGAGCCACCCCTGGCCACGCTCTGCCAGCAGAGAACCAAAGCCAGGTCCCTTCAGCCCTAAAGAGGCCATAACCACATGTAACCCCCGTGAAATGTCCGCACATGGCCCCGCTCTGGCTGAGCAGGGAGAGGCAGCACAACCAGAAGGTTCCACAGGCATCCACAACCCTCCCTGGGGCTTTCCAAGAGTATCTGAGATGCCTGTAGGGTGGGAGACGTCCTTCCCCTAAACAGACAACCCTGCCACAGCTTCACAGAGGTGAGATTTCGGAAGGGAGCCCCAGGCAGAAAAAGGGACTAAATTTGGGGGCAGGAGGGTCACCGCTTTTGGGGACCTTCGTAGCCCCCGCAGGTGCAGCCCTGGGGGAGAGATCTGCCCATCGCAGCCTCCAGAGGCAGTGAGGACGCCCTGCCCAAGGGGCAAGCAACGTAGGTGATGGGGGCAGCAAAGGGGCGCAGGAGGCCTGGGCCAGGCCCAGTGATCCCACCCCTCAGGCCCTGCCCCCGGGCCTCGGCCTGCACAAATCAGGTTGATTCCCGACCTCCACAATACCCAGGGCACTGTGCTGCAGGGACACTTTCCCACAAGCCCAACCCCTCACAGCAGCACAAGGGAAGAGGCAAGAAGACCTGAGGGTGGTGGGCAGAGCCAGGCCTCCAGCACACGGAACACAGAGGGACTGCAACGGTCCTCTGTTCAGGTGCCTGAGAGCGGGATCTCCTCCGCCTCAACTGGATCTCAGCTTAAAGGCCAGCTCATTAGAGACCACTGTGACCTCCCTTCTGGGCGGCCGTCCCCAACCCTGGGCCCCACCCCCACGGCCCCCGCCTCACCCCGGGGTCCCCAGGCCACCTCCTCCTTTGCTTCATCTGCGGCCAGCTCCCCGGCGTCTGCTCCGGGCCCAGGTATGAGCCCGCGCGTCACTGCGGCCGCCGGGGCGCCGAGGCCAGTGCGGGGACACAGCAAGCCTCCCGCCTTCGGACCTTCCGCCGTGGCCCCGCGAGTGCCACAGGTTTCCACAGGGCCGGGGCACGTGGACCCGCGCAGCCTGGGAGCCAGGAACCCCAACCCCGGCGAGGGGCGCCTCGCACCCCCGTCCTCACGCAGTCCCCGAGGCCTCCCGGTGACTGCCGGGTGTGGGAGGAGGAAGGTGGCAACCAGCCCCGCAGCTCCAGTTGCTGCAGGAGCCCCCCGGGCCTCAGTCTCCAAATACGCCAAACGGGCGGGAGTGAGCCACAGGCTGTCTTCGCGGAAGACTCACAGGCGCAGGCGCAGACGGGTGCGCGCCCCTAGGGTGCGCGCGAGCTAAGACCGCGGCCCGGGGCAGGGTGTCCCCGGCCCCGCCCCCTGCAGCCCTACCGGAGCCAGCGCGCCTGCGTCGCGGGCGCACGGTGGGCGGAGTTCCCGGCGTCTCCGCCCCTTACCCGGCGTGCCCCGCGCCCGGAGGCGCTGACGTGGCCGCCGTCAGAGCCGCCATCTTGTGGGAGCAAAACCAACGCCTGGCTCGGAGCAGCAGCCTCTGAGGTGAGGGCGAGGGGCGCGGGCCGGTGTGGGCCGCAGAGACGTTGGAGCCGGCGGGGGCTGGGGACTGGCCTCGGGGCGACTTGAGGTTCGCGAAGGGCACGTCGACCCCCGCGGCGGCGGCGGCGACAGGGCCGGGCCGGGGGCGGACGCAGACGGGCCGGGCTGAGGCTGGGGCCCGGCCGGAGTCGGGGCTGGGCGGACGGGCGGGTCGGTGAGCTCCTCGCACCCCTCACAGGTTCCCGAAGTCGCTCGCGGCCGCTTGTCCTCCTCTGCCTGTCCCTGCCCCCGCCCGTCGCCCGGAAGTCCGCTTGGACGCCGGGCTCTTCTCCAGGAAACCTGGGCTTCCTGCTTCCCTCGCCTCTGCCTTTCTCGTTTCCCGAGGCCGCCCGCGCGTGGACGGTTGGGATTAGCGGCCGCGGGGGCCGGTGGGGGTCGTGGGGCCTCCCCCACCCGAGTACAGGCGAGCGAGCGGCATCCGGGCGGACCCCCGCCTCGGGGACCGGGAAACTGAGGCTCGGGCGGCCTGAGACGCCGTCAAGGTCATGTAGGTGGTGGGGGCTTGCATCTTCGCCTCCCGACTCCATCCAGTTCGTGTTTGCTGTGAAGACGGTACCGGGTCAGGGGTGGTGAGAGCGGGCGGGCAGGTGGACAGGAACCCCGTGCCCTTCCCTGTCTGCTGAACGGAATGCGTGGACCTCCGGGGGAGCCCAGAGTGCCTCCCTTCACACCAGTGAGACGCAATTTGGGGTCAGCACTCAGGGCACCGGTGGCCTCCAGAGGGCCGGTCGATCTTCGCTTTAACTCCAGGGTGGTTTCCTTGACGTTGTCGGCAGTAGATAAGAAGGCCTCTTCTGAGCTGGTGAATCTTTAACCTACCTGAATCTTTAACCTGCCTGCGGAACGACCTGCTCGCAGACTCTAGGCCGCAGAGGCCGGCCCCAGCGCTCTCTCGGAGCACAGCCTGGGTGGTTACGGCGTGTGAGATTGGGGCTGGACAGCCGTGCGCACCTAGAGTGTTAAATAACCATTCCGACGGCACCTCCTGGCACTCCCTTTCAGTCCAGGCAGCCAGTTGCTGCTTTGCAGGAATTGAGCAGAAATGCACTCGGAATCGCGGGCAGGAAAAGAAGGGAGGTCGGAGGCTTTGGATGGTCCCCGAAGTCGCCGCCTAGTTGAGAGCTGTAGAGTTGGTGCCACTGCCCCTGTTGGAGTGGGCAGTTGTAGTTCTTGTTTCAGAACTAGTGGTCAGCAGTTTTCTTTGCCGGCTGTTGCAAGGCTGGTGGTTCTGGCGTTTTCCGCAGTGTGTTGGGAGGAGTGTGAGATGCCGCGGTGCAGTTGTGTGCGGCCCCTGTGGCCCTCTGCTGTTGCGTTAGCCATTGTCTAACACGTGTGACCGCATGGATGGTGTCCTCATTTAATTTGAATTTTCACCAGCACTGCCTAGGTAGCCAGAACCATAAGGTCCTGAAATGCCGTACTATTAGCTGGGTCCAAAATTGAGAAGAATTGAGTAGTGTAAATGTTAGTCACACATCTCATTGGACACATTGTTAGAGTGTGTTGTCCATGTTTTCACATGTTGGTAGACTGGAGAATAGCTGTCACTTGTCTTCAGGCGTATCTTGTTGAAAATAAATCCAAATCACTGCAGCAGTAGGAATATGCTGTTGCCTGTGAGGCAGATTTTCGGATTTGCTAGTTGAAAAAGATTTGAAACAGTTGGTTTGGACAACAGCTGAGTCACACAATGACTGTGAGTGAAAAGCAAAAACTGGTTCTGTGCCCCTCACAGTTCTGGTTTTGTACATCATGTGGTCTAGCTATGGGCTGTACCTCTTGCACAATATGGAGAGGACATTCAGACATCTTCAACTGCTCATCTGCCCCTACGGACCAGACAGGCTTGAAACTATAGGAAGATGCATTTGACCTTTCATTTTTCAGTTCAGTAGAATTTAATATGGACTGTCAGCCGCTGCGGTGATCATGGAAGTAGACCTAAGAGAAAAAAACTTGTGCAAGTTCACACGTGGAGTAGTATATGACCATGGTTTCAGAGAACTGAAGCAGTTCTTTTTAGATTCTTCAAATTAAATGTCTCCTTGGTGTATTTAAACCTGCTGTTACTCACAGGCCAGGCTCCACCAAGCTTTCCTACACACTTCTTCCTGAGCTGTGACCATTCTCCTGAGCAAGAGGCTGCAGCCAGCCTGGGCTGGCGGGCCCATACTGTCTCTCATAGGCATTCTCTCCCCTTGACCTTTCACCTCCGTAAATTCAAGAGGGTGAAAGGAAATAGAGTGCACTGTCAAAGATAATTGGGAGAGAAACACGAAAAGGCCTCGCAGTGGGGATCTTAAATTATGAGAACTTGTGTTTTCTGTGTTGTGCCTGCTCCTCATTGGCGTGGATGGTTGGTAGGGGCATTCTGCCCGTAGCGTCTGAAGTGGTCTTTTGGAAAAGATTTGGCCCCTTCATGTTGGGATTCCAGGACTTGCCTTCATCCTCAGGTTAATATTCTCCTGTGATTGTTACAAGCTCTCTAAGGCATAGTTGCATTTATTGCCTTACAGCTGCGCAGCTGCCGCACCGTCCAGATAGGTAGTTTCACATTCTCAGGTGGGTCAGATGACCTTGTTAGCGACTTGACAGACATGTCCTGGATGCTCTTTGTTCCCAGGAGGCTCTCAGGTCCTCCCCCAGGGTCCTGTCACTCAGCCACCTACAGGGATGGGGAGACAGTGAGGCTGGCTGATAAGCCATAAAGTCCTTGACTAATCCTGGTTTCCTGGTTCTCACACAGTGGTAACAAGGGCTTGCAGCCGGTTGTCAGCCAACAGACTGGGAAGGGTGGTGCTTCTTACAGGCCCTGATAACAGGAGAAGCCTAAATGACAAGAGAAGAGACAGGGAAAGCATAAAAGGCAGGCAGATTTTCACAGGCACAGCAATTGAAAATGATTCTGTTTAGAAGGCAGACATTCTCCCACACCCTTGAGGCCCAGGGCTCACTGCTGGTGTACAGCATGAAGTGGACAGGAGAGTTGATTCAGTCCATGAACATTTCAGGAAGTTAGAAGTCTATAGTTGTGGATTGCAAAATACATATCTGGCCTGCCTCCCATTTCCTGGCTAAAATACTTGGAATCTCCGAAGTGATGATGTCTTTTTGTACCCTAATGAGTTGACCAGTGATGGGCAGCCCCTACGAAACTTCAGGGTAGGGCTAGTCACAGGGCCAAGGCAGGATTAGAGGGTTTCAGCCCCACCCTCCAATTTTCCCAGAGTGGAGAGGGACTGAAGATTGAGCTGGTCACCAATAGCCAATAATTTAATCAATCACACCTATACCATGAAGTCACACTTTTGCCTTCAGTAGTTAACAGCATCTACAGCCCCGTGTTTCCACATTTGTACAAAGGAATGTTCAGACTGAACCACACTTAAGTACAATTTTGAAACAGCATGAGGCTGGGCGTAGTGCCTCACGCCTGTAATCCCAGCACTTTGGGAGGCTGAGGCGGGTGGATCATGAGGTCAGGAGATTGAGACCATCCTGGCGAACATGGTGATACCCCGACTCTACTAAAAATACAAAAAAATAGGCCAGGTGTGGTGGTGTGCACCTGTAGTCCCAGCTACCCGGGAGGCTGGGGCAGGAGAATGGCGTGAACCCGGGAGGTGGAGCTTGCAGGGAGCAGAGATCGCGCCACTGCACTCCAGCCTGGGCAACAGAGCGAGACTTTGTCTCAAAAAAAAAAAAAAGAAAAAAAAGAAACAGCATGAAATTCCTTGTTGATGGGAAATACCCGAAAGGCCTGCCTGGGTTTTCAGAGAGCTTCCAGAAAGCTGAATTCATGGAGGTTCCTGGAGAATGGCACAGCCAGGAGGGAAAGGTAGCGCCGTGTCTCTTCCCTCATACACCGCCCACTGCATCTCTCCATCTGTATCCTTTGTAACATCCTTTATGAAAAACCAGTAACCTTTAGTGTTTTTCTGAGTTCTGTGAGCCACTCTAGCAAATTAATTGAACCCAAGGGGAAGGAGTTATGGGAACCCTGATTTATAGATGGCTGTCCAGAAGCACAGGTAAAATAACCTGGAGTTTGTGATTGCCTCCAGGTAGACAGTGTCAGAATTGAACTGAATTAAACGACACCTAGCTGGTGTCTGCTGCAGAACGCAGAACTGGTTGCTTGCTTGGCATGTAGGGAGAAACCCCTGCTCATGTGGTGTGAGAAGCGACCTGTGTTATAAGAGTGTGTGAGAAACTGAGTTTGGGTTTTCCTATGTCCTCAAAATAGTATATTTTGAAAGCCTTCTAGGCAGAATGTATTAAAATAGTTTTTACTCCCTGAAGGGATGCCAGCAAGCTAGAAAGATTCATTTCCAAAGGGCTTCCAGTGGTAGCATGGCTAGACATGAGACATCTTTCCATTTGTGTCATACAGCAAGTTATTTTTGCAGTACCATATACGCTATGCGGGAAACTTTTAAGTATTTTATAGGTTTGATTTAGGTACAAATGGCCAAGAAGCTATCATCTATACTCATCCTGGGGATTGGGAACGGAGGCAGTTAGATGTGCCTGTGCTTTGTACCTTCTGTAGATGGGAATGCAGTTGCTCACTCACCAATCAAATTTATTGATTTATATTTAAAATACTATGAATACATCTTCTGGCAATTTTGGTGGTGACATTTTCCTTAAAATATTTGTACTAGCCAGGCACTGTGGCTCACACCTGTGTAGTGCAATCTACTTGGGAGGCTGAGGCAGGAGAGTGGATCACTTGAACCTAGGAGGTCAAGGTTGCAGTGAGCTGTGATCATAACCACTGCACTCCAGCTTGAGTAACAGAGCAGGACCCTTAGCTCTTAAAAAAATTTATACCTACTCATCAGCTGAGGACCTGGGGGCAGGTTTAGAAAACAGATTTTGAACACACATCCTTCCCTCCCTCTTGTGTCTGACATCACTGAGCTGCCACACTTTTGCCTTCAGTAGTTAACAGCATCTACAACCCCATTTTCCCACATTTTTATGGTCAAAAGAATGTTCAGACTGACCCACACATGAGTACAGTTTTTAAAAAGCATGCAATTCCTTGTTGATGCGATAGGTTTTTCGTGACGAACTTAATTTTTAGGGAAAGCACATCTGCAGATGTGTACAGTTGATCTTCATGAGCCCTATGGGCCTGATAAACATTCTTTTGCCATTGTTTTCTCCTCTCCTTGGTGGTGAGTCACTTGTGCAGTGCCCAGCGGAAGAGGGTGGGAGGCTGGGGAGGAAGGCCTGTTCTGGGCAAAGGAAGCCCTGCTTGATGAGCATGAGGCTCCACGGGGGCAGTGGCTGTGACGGTGAGTGCCACACAGAGCTGCCCACACTGGTGGAGGGAAGGCAGGGAGATACCAGGACCATCCGGAAGGGGCTGAGTGTCATTTGACAGGTGCCATGTGAGCAGAGATGTGAAGGAGTGGCCCGGGACAATCAGGGCAGAATCCCTGAGGTGAGTGCGCTGGCTGGCAGAGTTTGGAGACCTGTCAGGAGTAGGGTGCATACTGGGTGGGAAGCCTGCTGGGGTGTGCAGTGGCCCTCGGAGGGGGTCCGCGGTTCCCAGAAAAAGGAATTTGGTAATCTGTGGTGGCATTTTTGGGTGGCAGCACTGGCACCTTTGGCAGTGGCAAGAACACTTCCTGTCTGACCTTCATGTAGGGGAGGTCGTCTGATGTCCCAGACCTGTTATAAATATGAAAAAAAAATTTTTGTGCATAGTTTTAACAGGTGTTCTGAAGTTCCAGGAACAAAATCACCTTATAAATCAAAGATGACTGTGTATTGTTCTCTTCAGAATCACAGCAAGAATTCAGTTTCCAGAAGGAAAAGCTACAGTAGTTGCTTCATGGACATGGCTTGCCCTTGAGGTTGGTGGTGTCAGTGCATGAGCAGCCTGGTAAGGGTGGTTCTCTGGCCGCCACCCTTGGTCCTCTAGCGTGGTTGTGAAGTCACTTTCCTTTACTCCCCATTGCATCATAGTTGGGACAGAGCAGTGGTTCTCTGCCGTCTTGTGCGAGTGCTGGGATGCTGTCTCTACTTCCTTTTGGGTTGCCAGAGGCAGCATTTAGAGCACAGTGTGGGCATTATGTTGTGGACCAAGGCAGCCTATTGCAAGGACCTGATCGGGCGGCAGCCGTGGGGCAGCTCTGAGTAGAACATCGGGTCACCTGGCTGACTGGTGTGCTGAGAACACGCAGGAGGAGGCTGGAGACGGGGTTCTTGCCTGGGGAACAGGAGGGAGGCTACTCGCATCACAGCGGAGAATGCCTGTTGGGTTTGGGAGGGGGGTTTCGGCTGCAAAGCTGGCTGTCAAGGGGCAGGAATTGGGAGGAGGGTCTAAAGTCTTGAAGAGAAATGTGGGGTCGTTGTGTAGGGGCCACCATCACCTGGAGAGCAGGGCAGATGCCAGCGTGTGTGTGAGAACTAGGTCACTTGAAGGGAGGTCCCCAGAGTGTCCCCGGGGTGTGCCTTTCTCTCACCTAGGTCTGGAGTGCCTCCAGAAGCGAGGATTTCCTGCAAGGGCGGTGGCCTCCCAGGGTCTGTGGGGGGGCATCCCCGTCTCTTTACATGTCTGACTGACCAGAGTGGGGTGGGGTGGCAAGGTGGTGCTCGTCCCAAAGCTGGGGGAAACCTGGTGATGGTTCCCACTCCCATTGTTGCACTTCGCTTTTGATTTCTCTGGAAGAGCAAGTCTTTGTGTGGTGTTTCCCCTCAGCCTACATTTTTAAAATGAACGTTTCTTGAAGGCAGAAATCAAGTTTTAGGCATTGGCTCAATCACTGGTGCAGCCATTGCATTAATTTTCTTTAACCTGGTGCGGAGAAGCTACAAGGGCCCCACCCCCTTCTAGTGGTTGGAGGAAGGAGCAACTTGCTCTCCCAGTTTATGACAGCAACACCAGCAGTGTGCTGTTCCAGTTCCCCTTTTTTTTTTCAAGTGGTGTAGAAAGGGGCCTTCAGGGCCCTGGATCCCCCAGCCCCACACAATGGTGGGCCTATGTTCGTCCAGAACAGTGCCTGGCAGTAGCTCAGTGCCCAGCATGTCTGTGGTGAGTGTGTAGTTCAGGAAGTGAACTGGCAAAACTGAGTATCACCCTCTCTTCCTGGGTTCTTGCCACTCCCCTGAAAACCAGGGTAGCATTGTCACATCAGATAGCTCCGCTACGTGTGCGCTGACCATGCTGAGATGGGCACTGTGGACTCAGCCTCTGGTCATTGCTGGAACCAGCGGCCTCCATGTGAGGTACAGGGGAACGCACTGCTAGCAGATGGTTGGGATGTGGACACTCGTCCTGCCCTCTTGGCTTGGTGCTGTGCCATCGCACAGTCATTCGCTGTTTAGCATGCATGGGAGAGAGTGAAGCACAAGGGCCCAGGCCCCTGGGAGTGCCTGCCCTCAAGTTGGAAGAGCCCTTGGGCACAGCATAGGCGCCTGGCAGAATTGGACTGGGCCATGATCCAGGGCATTGGGACCTCACCTAGGAGTTGGGGTTCTGGTCAGAAGCCCTGTGGAGACAGGGTCTCCCCTGTGGGCACCAAACTGACCTCAAACTGCTGGTTCTTTGGCCCTGGGGACGGGGCTGGTTGAAGTACTCTCCCGGCAGCTGTCACCTGCAGGGAGAGGTGGGGGTAGGGGTGCTGTGTTTCTTAGCTGTTCCTCGTTGCAGTGTTAAATCCCTGCAGGTTCCTTATTCTCAGCTTGTGTTGTGAGTTTCAGTGTTGGGGGCTAATGTGGGTTTGCGTTTTTGGTCTTGGTTTTCCCAGTGGCCAGTCCATCAGCCACTGCACTGGGGGCCAGGTAGAGGCCAACTGCACCCTGCCTGCCAGAGTAGAAATACTGGTAGGCCCCAGGCTCTGCTGCCCCTTCCATGTCCTTGTGTAAGCATCCATGGACAAAGCTGACTCACGGGGTGTGCACAGCTGCAGGGAGGCCAGGAAACAGGGGTTTTATTCTAGAGGGCCTTGTGCTCAGTGACAGACCAGAGTCCCATCACTGAGAGAGCAGGGCTGGGGCAGCACAAAGGACTGGAGAGCATTTGCCATGATGCCATGTGCACAGCCAGTGCAAGTCCTTCATTGTAGCTGTGGTCAGAGGTCATGAGACACTGCCTTCAGCAGCCCTGGGAGTCCACCTGGTGTGTGGTTAGAGCTGTGCATCTGCAGATTTCAGAAGGACTTACGTTTGGTGAGGTGCTTTGAAGTAACACTTCACAAATACCAAGAAGCAAGAAATACACAAATAAGCAGGTAATGGTTCTTTGGTGTTTACATTAGCTAGTGGGCAACGGTTCTTTGGTGTTCACATTAGCTATAGTCCCAGAACTCAGTCCATGAGGTGGAATCACAAAAATGGAATTCATTTCTGGCTGTCAGTACACAAACTGATTTAAGATATCACCTTGAATTTTAAGCTGACAAACAGTGATCTAAACTGAATTTCACTGATTGCCCCACCTGAAAGTCAGACCTGATAGATAATGCCCTCCCTTAACTCAAGGCCAGCAGCAGATGTGTTAGAGGGGACCCTTGTGCCTCGCAGCCCTCATCTCCTAATGGCTGTGGGGTCACTGTGTCGAGTTGTAATGCCTAATGAGCTCCTCTAAAAACATCCTGAAACTTGTGTAAAAAAAACAGCAGACTCCCAGTGGAACTCGCCTTCAGATGCAGCCCAGAATAAGAGTTCTAGAATGTGTGTGCCATCCTTTTGTCTCAATCTGCATGATTGCAAGTCTCTTCAACATGATTGGGTGCGTGGAGTGTCTCGGTCATGTGTCTTCCCCTCTGAGCATGCCTTTTGATTCGCACCTGTGTCACAATTGTGCCAGCCTGTGAGATGTGTCTGCCTGTCACCAGTATCGGCACATTTAGTTTTCCCTTTACGTGAGTTTTGGTAAAATAGTGACAAAATGTAATGCAGTGCTCAGTCACAGAAAAATGTCAGGCCTACAGAAATGGAGCATTTGGCTGGCGGGTAGCGTGATGACCATAGGCTTTATTTGGCTGGTGTGGTAAACAAGCAGCAGCTTGTGCAGGTGAGAATAAATGGCCATATTGCATTTCATTTTAAGGACTCCCTTAAAATGAAAATCTTCGTGTGGGACATGAACACAGGCTTTCACGAAATTGATCATCTACACTATATGTATGACTGTTGAAAGGCTGTTGTTCCTCAGAAATTCTTAAAATGTTATGTAATGTACATGAGTCCCTTCAGGAAGTCATCAGCTTTGTTCAGTTTCCTCAGATTAGATAGTAAAACTGAGATTATGAACTATAAAGATGTGTGTAATTTATCTGTCAGTGAACTTGACTTTAATAAAAGCTTTTTGAAAAAGAACTCTGGGTGGGGTGCATTGGCTCACACACATAGTCCCAACTACTGTGGAGGTCAGGGCAGGAGGATCACTGGAGCCCAAGAGTTCAAGATCAGCCTGGGCAGGATAGCGAGACCCTGTCTATAGAAAATATTAAAAATCAGCTAGGCATGGTGGCTTGCCCTTGCATTCCCTGCCACTTGGGAGGCTGAGGTGGGAGGTTCGCTTGAGCCCAGGAGCTCAAGGCTGCAATGGGCTGTGATCGAACCACTGAATTCCAACCTGGGTGACAGAGTGAGGCCCTGTCTCAAAAAGAGAACTCTCGATGTCACTGGCTTTCCATGTAAGCAGAGCACATCATGTGAGCCCCATTCGTGGATGTCAGTCAGCAGAACAGAATCTTGGACCTGGAGCTTGTTTGTCCTGTGCTAGAGGTTGGAGGTGTCTCTGTCTTTCTGTTGGTTCCTGTCAGTTCAGGTCACTTAGAGATTCTGTTACATACACCAGCTCTGACAGGTTGGGGGAGATGATCAACCTTCCGCCTGCGCCTGTTCCCTTCCCTGACTCATGCCAAAGTATCCCTGAGATCTGCAAGGGACCGAGGACAGTACTGGCTGGTGGTCTGGGTACAGGCCACAGAGGCATCTGGACCCCATGTGCATCTGGACCAGTTTGGTTGGATCCATTCATGGACACAAAACGGATGTGAACTCACAGAGCTACATTTTCTCCCTGCCCCTGTTCAGGCACAGTGAGGTGTCGGGGAATGTAGCTGCCAGAGTTGACTGTCCCGTTCTTTGGTGTAATGCCTGAAGGCCACCTTTACCATTGGTCTGTGGTCCTCACTGAAGAAAGAAACATTCTTCCTAAAAGACTTTTTTTCCTCAGAGTTGGAGCCCACAGCGTGGTCAGGAAAGAGAAGTAGCCACTGGTGGCTCCTGGCATCCTCCTGCTGGGCAGCCCCTTCTCAAAGTGTGAGGGGTCCCCTTGTGTACAAGCAGGAAGGCTCTGAGAAAGTCAGGTTTGCTCCTACCACAGGATAATTCCGATGAACCTGAAAAGCGGGTTTTGGCTTGTGTGCAGGGACTCTGGTGGAAGAAAGGGTGACAGCACCTGGCCTGGGCATGACACAAGTTAGGACCCGTACCAAGAGGCCCTGGAATTGAGGGTGGGGGTTGCTGTGGACTCTTTCTCCCTCTTAGGAAACTCTATTGGGTCTCCATCTGTCACAGAAGCAGTAAATGATGTAGGGGCTGCCAGGTATAGGGTCCTGTGGGGATGCTGGAACATGCCGAGGCAGGACGTGCCAGCCACCCTCTGCCCATATGTGCAGCAGGGCCACAGATGTGCTTGTCGGTAGGAGAGACCAAGCTGTCTGTGTGCCGATGTCTTGACACCTGAGACTTCAGGTTCACCCATCCTGGTTCTGCCATTCCATTGCAGGGTGGCTTCCCTCCTTTGGGGACTCTTAACGCTTTGGTCTGTTAAAAAAAAAAAAAAAAATCCGGGCGTGGTGGCTCACTCCTGTAATCCCAGCACTTTGGGAGGCCGAGGTGGGCTGATCATCTGAGGTCAGGGGTTCGAGGCCAGCCCTGACCAACATGGTGAAACCCCGTCTCTACTAAAAATAAAAATAAAAATTAGCTCAGCGTGGTGGCACGCGCCTGTAGTCCCAGCTACTCGGGAAGCTGAGGCAAGAGAATCTCGAACCTGGGAGGCAGAGGTTGCAGTGAGCCGAGATCGCACCTGAGAGGTTGCAGTGAGCTGAGATCAAGCCACTGCACTCCAGCCTGGATGACAGAGTGAGACTCTGTCTCAAAAAAAAAAAAAAAAAAAAAAGCCACCAATGGGGAGGGCCTGGGATTACTGGCATCACAAACCCCACTGCCTGCAGGCTGCATGATCTCCTGGGCATGGTTGGCGGCACTGCCCCGGGCATGAGGAGGCAGCAGGCATGTGTGGATCACGGACAGTGCTGGGGTCGAGGGGGTTGGTGACGGTGTGACACCCCTTCCCCTGAGTGGCTGGGTGTTACTGTCAATTCTCCCAAGTGCTGTGCTTCAGTGGTCGTGGCAGTCTGGTGCTGCCTCTGCCCAACTGGCAGGCGACCCTTATTCCTGAGTCCCTGCTGACTTGGTGTCCTAGGTTTATTCCTCCTAGACTTGTTAACTTGTACAGTTAACAAGCCTTTGACACCACACACCCTCGCCTCAGCTTTCCAACCCCCTAGTAATAACAACATCAGGACTCCCTGAGTATCCTCCACCATATGTTTTCCTGGAGTAACTCATAAAAGGCCCTCTTTTCGTTCCATTTCATGCTTGGGTTTTTCATGCGAACCTGTCATTATTAGTTTTTCCGCATTGCCTAGAGTTGCCCAACCCCATAATAAGAATACGTAGGTGGCGTGCCCCATTCTTGCAGGTGTCCACTTCCTGCTCCAGTCTGAGGGGGTTGGCTAGGCTGCTGCTCTCTCTCCATGTGGGGTTGGCTAGGCTGCTGCTCTCTCTCCACGTTGCTGTGGGCTCGCATCCTCTCCCTGGTTCCCTGGGGGAGCTTCTTAGGGAGGGAGCATGTGAGAGATCTGAGGCCCTGCAGTTTGGGAGTTATTTTCATTCTCCCCTAACACTTGTTGGATACTTTGGCTGGGTATAGAATTAAAGGGTTTCGAAAGCAGTGTTTCAGAGTCTTCCATTCTCTGGGGCATCAGAGGTGTCATTTGCCCCTGTGCATTCTGGAGTCCACCTTGCACCTTTATTGGGTCTCATCTAGGTCCTTGGCTTTGCGCTTCAGCCCTTTGAGGCCGAAGCCCAGATTCCTGGGTCCCCACTCTGGAACAGGGAAAAATTTCACCCCGTAATTTCGTACGTTCTTTCTTTTTAGGGTTTCTGTTGGTTGATATCTTAAGTTACTCCTCATCTTCCTTTTTCATTCTGTTTGTTTTTGTTCTGCCTTCTGAGCACCTTCATTTTGAATTTTCCTTTTCAGCTATTTGTGTATCTATCAGGTTTCTCTCCTTGTCCTTTGTTAAAATAGTATTCTGTCTTCAGTCTCCTGTCTTGGTTGCCTCCTTGCAGATTCCTTTTATATTTGGGTCTCTTATGTTGGTGGCCTTTCAAAGGCAGACAGGCCTGTCTCTTGGTGGGGGGTGGGGGTGGGCGGAGCTCCAGTTGCTTGTGTGTGGATCTGCTGGGGCATATAGAACTCTCAGGAATTATTCTGGAATTTCATGGCTCAAGTGTGTTGTCATGGCTCAGCGCAGGCCTAAGCCCTGCTGCAGCTGCTCCCCTAGACCAAGCTTGTCCAACCCTTAGGCCGCATGTGGCCCAGGATGGCTTTGAACCCGACCCAACACAAATTTCTAATAAAACATTGAGATTTTGGGGGTTTTTGTTTTGGTTTGGTTCACCAGCTGTTGTGTTAGTATATTTTGTGTGTGGTCCAAGACAATTCTTCTTCCATTGTGGCCCAGGGTAGCCAAGATTGGACATTGCTGCCCTAGGCAGTCCCAGCTTCATCCCTTGGGTCCCAGGCGGTCCAGTTTTCTCTGCCTGGTCAATCATCACATCCAAGGTCTTCCTCCCTTTTCTCTCTGCCCTTCAAGGCGTGTGTGTCATTTTGGTGTCTTCATTGGTAGTGGTTGCAGGAGTGGACTGAGAGGGCAGGTATTCAGTCTCTTCTGTGCTCCATGGGTGGTGGTCTTCCTCTGGGCTTAGAAAACCTGGCCGTCCCCAAAAAGGGAACACTACAGTGAAGGTCCTTATAAATTTCAGAACTCATTTAAATTTCAGAATAGGTGACATGTTCAAAACCAAGAGCAAAGTGTCCAAAGGACACTGATCCAGCTTGAAGGGGTTCTGTGGCTCATCTGGGATGATGGCAGTGTTAAATCAGACACGGGCGGCCAGTTCACACCCACTGAAACACACAGGCATGTGTGGGCTCTTGCTGATGTTGAGAAATGGAGAAGAGGCATTTCCTTGCCGTAGCGTGCTGGGGTGACTGGATGAGAGAGTCACCAGCGGACAGTCATGGCTGTGATTCAGCCAAAAGCCACCTGTGTGTGGAACCCCTGGTGGAGGAGGTCTGATGAGGGGTGGGTGTGCTCACAGGCTCCTGGCATGTCCTCTTGAAGGCAGAAGCCTTCCTCACTCGGGGTAAGCCCCGCTTGCGGGTGCAGTGAAGAAGCAGTCATTGTTTCAGAAAGTGACCAGTGTTTTCTAAAGTCCCTGTTCGGGATAAAATCACCTGATTCGTGAAATTGCCCACTGGCCAGTGAGGCCAAAGCCTAACAACTTCAGTGTCCTCACAGAGGCGTCTGGGCAGTGGAGGCCCTTCCTGCTGGAGTCTCCGCAGGGCTCTGATGGTGGGTGCCAGCTGACTTAATTGCTGTCCCCGATATTTGTGTTCTGCTGAGGGAACCCCTACCCTTGCGGTGTGGGGCAGACATGGCGGGCGTGCCCCATCGAGGCTGTGTCCTCATGGGAGTGTGTCCCTGAAGGTGTCCTGCTGAGTCTGGCGTGGCCCTGTGTGCTCTGGTCCTTGTGAGTGTGGGCAGGCACAGTGAGTGGTGCTCTCTGGCCCTGGAAGGTTCTGTGTTGGGGTGTAGAGGAGCCTTGCACGCACCTGGAAGCCAGTCCTCAGGCAGCCAGCCTCCCCTCCTGCATAGGCTGGGATGAGGCAGCCTTTCTGGCCATGCAGCTGTGGGGACAGCTTCCCAAGATGAGGGCAACAGTTTCTCAATTCCTGACTCAGCCATTTTCCCTCAGCCCCCATCCTGAGGTGGATTTGGGGGGCATGGGAGGCAGGGCTCTTTCCCTGTTTCCCTGCAGGCTTCCAGGAGGTGGGGTGAGGCAGTGGTGCATCCCTGGGTGGGTGGGTTCTGAGCAACCACTGCTGGGCAGCACAGAACCAGACATGGAGCACCTTGTCTCTCCAGGTGTCCCTGGCCAGTGTCCTTCCACCTGTCCACAAGCATGGGGAACATCTTCGCCAACCTCTTCAAGGGCCTTTTTGGCAAAAAAGAAATGCGCATCCTCATGGTGGGCCTGGATGCTGCAGGGAAGACCACGATCCTCTACAAGCTTAAGCTGGGTGAGATCGTGACCACCATTCCCACCATAGGTGAGGTGGGGGCCAGCAGGGAGTGGGCTGGGCTGGGCTGGGCCAAGGTACAAGGCCTCACCCTGCATCCCGCACCCAGGCTTCAACGTGGAAACCGTGGAGTACAAGAACATCAGCTTCACTGTGTGGGACGTGGGTGGCCAGGACAAGATCCGGCCCCTGTGGCGCCACTACTTCCAGAACACACAAGGTAAGTGGCTGGGGCCTGGTCCCATGGGCACTCCTGCTTCTAGAGAGGGGGGGCCAGCCCATAGATGGGGCATCGATGCCCATAGATGCGGCAGGGGGGCTGTGTTCCCATGACCATTTGACACTGGCTGCCCGGCAGGCCTGATCTTCGTGGTGGACAGCAATGACAGAGAGCGTGTGAACGAGGCCCGTGAGGAGCTCATGAGGATGCTGGCCGAGGACGAGCTCCGGGATGCTGTCCTCCTGGTGTTCGCCAACAAGCAGGTAGGCGCCCGGGCCAGCCTGGGGAATGTGAGGAGCCAGTGTGGGTTCCGCCTGGTGGTAGGGGTTACTGGAGGCTGGTGGGGCCCCTTTCTCTGTCCTGTGGACAGCCCTTCCCACCAACCCTTCCTTCCCCCAGGACCTCCCCAACGCCATGAATGCGGCCGAGATCACAGACAAGCTGGGGCTGCACTCACTACGCCACAGGAACTGGTACATTCAGGCCACCTGCGCCACCAGCGGCGACGGGCTCTATGAAGGACTGGACTGGCTGTCCAATCAGCTCCGGAACCAGAAGTGAACGCGACCCCCCTCCCTCTCACTCCTCTTGCCCTCTGCTTTACTCTCATGTGGCAAACGTGCGGCTCGTGGTGTGAGTGCCAGAAGCTGCCTCCGTGGTTTGGTCACCGTGTGCATCGCACCGTGCTGTAAATGTGGCAGACGCAGCCTGCGGCCAGGCTTTTTATTTAATGTAAATAGTTTTTGTTTCCAATGAGGCAGTTTCTGGTACTCCTATGCAATATTACTCAGCTTTTTTTATTGTAAAAAGAAAAATCAACTCACTGTTCAGTGCTGAGAGGGGATGTAGGCCCATGGGCACCTGGCCTCCAGGAGTCGCTGTGTTGGGAGAGCCGGCCACGCCCTTGGCTTTAGAGCTGTGTTGAAATCCATTTTGGTGGTTGGTTTTTAACCCAAACTCAGTGCATTTTTTAAAATAGTTAAGAATCCAAGTCGAGAACACTTGAACACACAGAAGGGAGACCCCGCCTAGCATAGATTTGCAGTTACGGCCTGGATGCCAGTCGCCAGCCCAGCTGTTCCCCTCGGGAACATGAGGTGGTGGTGGCGCAGCAGACTGCGATCAATTCTGCATGGTCACAGTAGAGATCCCCGCAACTCGCTTGTCCTTGGGTCACCCTGCATTCCATAGCCATGTGCTTGTCCCTGTGCTCCCACGGTTCCCAGGGGCCAGGCTGGGAGCCCACAGCCACCCCACTATGCCGCAGGCCGCCCTACCCACCTTCAGGCAGCCTATGGGACGCAGGGCCCCATCTGTCCCTCGGTCGCCGTGTGGCCAGAGTGGGTCCGTCGTCCCCAACACTCGTGCTCGCTCAGACACTTTGGCAGGATGTCTGGGGCCTCACCAGCAGGAGCGCGTGCAAGCCGGGCAGGCGGTCCACCTAGACCCACAGCCCCTCGGGAGCACCCCACCTCTGTGTGTGATGTAGCTTTCTCTCCCTCAGCCTGCAAGGGTCCGATTTGCCATCGAAAAAGACAACCTCTACTTTTTTCTTTTGTATTTTGATAAACACTGAAGCTGGAGCTGTTAAATTTATCTTGGGGAAACCTCAGAACTGGTCTATTTGGTGTCGTGGAACCTCTTACTGCTTTCAATACACGATTAGTAATCAACTGTTTTGTATACTTGTTTTCAGTTTTCATTTCGACAAACAAGCACTGTAATTATAGCTATTAGAATAAAATCTCTTAACTATTTCACCGGCTCTCCAGTGCTTCCACACAGGCATGCTGCCCCCAGGAGATGGTGGGTGCATCAGCCAGCTTTACTCTAGGAAGTACAGGTGACTGCCTAGGGCCGCCACCTCAGTCCACACCCTCCCCATGTTCCCTCCTGAGTGTGCAGGCACTTCTCTGTGTCTGTGTGAGAGGCTCTTCCAGCATGGTTGCCCACAGTGACCTTGATCTCGTTTGCAGTCCTGTCGGGCCCAGCCAATGAGACCTGGGCCATACAGGGCAGGGGTCAGCAGGCACCATGGAAGACCTCAGCCTCCGTCCTTCCCTCCATCGGCCTGCTGCTGAACCCCACTTTGTATAGCTGGCTATGGGGCAGGGCCACTGCTAGCATACATAGGGCTTTGTGCCAACCAGGGAATGGTCCCTGCCTGAGTGGGCACAGCCCCCACCTCTCCTCAAGATGCCATGCAGCAGGGGGCTGCCAGTCTGGGGGTACCTGTTTCTGGGATGGGGCCATCAGCAGGTCTAAGGTCTGCCTTCTGTTGGGCAGAGTCCCAAAAGAGAGGGCTGCCCTGGCTAGGTGGCCCAACCTTCATCCCCCTTGACAGCACCCAAGACAGCACAGTCTCTACTCCAGTAGCCACCCGAGGGTGAGGGCAGAGGTCAAAGCCACAAGCTACACCTTGGCCAGGGCCCTGAGGAAGGTCTGCATAACTTCCCTTGAAATCAGAAACAGGCCAGGTGAGGGAGCTCATGCCTCTGATCCCAACACTGCAACGCTGCATTGAACTGTGATGCAGCCCAGGTGCCATCTGTCTTTATGCCATGCAGCCTGGTGGCCGCACACATCCTGAACAGCCCTGATCCTTCTTAGGGTCAGGCAGAAGGGACACCCAGCCCACTGCCTCTGGAGAAGCGGAGCTGAGGGTTGGGGTAGCAGGCAGTTGGAGGAGCTCCCCAACCCCCACACCCAATTGAGGCTGTGCCTCCACAGACTGCAGTCTTTGACCTCACCTGTCGCAGGGATAGGGCTCCCTGCCCCAGGTTCCCACATTGCCAGCTGAGCACCTGCTTCCAGGGCCTCAGCCCTCCCTGGGTTTTGGTGGGGGCTCTGGGCACACATGGGAGGACTACATTCCCCCAGGACATTAAGAATCAGATGGGCACCGGGGCTCACACCTGTAATCCCAGCACTTTGGGAGGCCAAGGCGGGCGAATCACCTGAGGTCAGGAGTTCAAGACCAGCCTGGCCAACACGGTGAGACCTCGTCTCTACTAAGAAATAACAAAAATTAGCCTGGCGTAGTGGCAGCGCCTGTAATCCCAGCAACTCAGGTTGAGACAGGAAAATCGCTTGAACCCGCGAGGCGGAGGTTGCAGTGAACTGAGATCACACCATTGCACTCCGGCCTGGGCAACAAAAGTGAAACTCAAAAAAAAAAAAAATCACCAGGTCTCAGACTCCTGGGAGACAGACCCCAGCTCCGACGTTCCAGTGGGATCTCATTAACCCCTGATACTGACCTTCCAATTTGATATACCTTCCTTTTAAAATATATTTATTGAAATACAAAGAGTCAATATAAAGAAAAATAGAGGTCACCATACTTGGCCACAGTTAGACCGCTCATAGGCCCATGGCTGCTGCAACCATGGGCAGGACACAGAGGGAGTCCAGCCTCTACTGATAAATCTGGGCAGGTTCACCTTCGCAGGCCAAGCCAGGGGCCATCCCTGGTATGCGAAACCTGGAGGTTTTCCAGGAAGCCGGCTGCTCCAGAGCTAGCTGTCAAGTCTTTAGCCCCACAGGCTGGTGCCCAGAGCCACTTCCACAGGAGCAGCCTCGGGCTTCACCCACACCCAAGGAGCTTCCGAGGCAGGAGGCAAGCAAGGTGAAGGGAGGGTTCAGGGTCCCACAACAGCAGTGAGCAGGGTCCAGCCATCAGGCCTCAGAGCCTCTGTCATGCCACCTGCGAGACGGGCTCCTCCTGTCCCCACTGTGTCCCCGCTTCCTCCTCTTACAGCAGGGGGAGTTGGAGTCGGAGTCATGGTGGTGGTGCCTGGGCCTGGGGAGACCAATGGCAGTCAGTCACTCGGAAGGAGTCAACCAGGCCCCCACCCCCAAGAGGCAGATATGGACCAGGGCATACCTCTCAGGAGATGTGGGAGAGGAGGTGGCCTCAGCTGGCCGCCTGTGCTCTTTGTCTTTCTTCTTCTTCTCTTTCTTGTGTTTCCTCTTTTTCTTTTTCTTCTTCTCCTTCTTGCTTTTCCTGTGGCTCTCACAACTACAAGGAGGATACAAGGTGTGCCTCAGACCCTAGTCTTGCAAGCCAAGAGAGTGAACACAAGCAGGCCCCATCCAGATGAAGCCACCACCCACAAGTGCGTCTTTAAATCAGTTAAATCAAACTACAAATTCCACTCCTCAGTTACGTAGTCACGTGGCCAGTGGCTACGTGGGTTAGAAACAGATGCAATATCCCCATCTCCACAGCACGCCCCTGCCCCACCCCAGCCGTGCCCTTGGCAGGTTGACACCTTCCTACCTGCACCCACCAGGCCACTCTTAGGGTCAGGCCCAGGCTCACCATCCAGGAGAAGCCCTGGAGGTGCCACCCACGGCAGGAAAAGGCCCCGCCCCAGGTCCTGAGTGCCCTCCCACGGCACAGCGCCCGACCACTGCCAGTACTTAGGACCTCTCTTCAAGGGTGACCCGAGAAACTCCCCTAGAGAAAAACCTAGGAGTAACTGGGACAGGAAGTAAAGTAGGGCAGGCCACCCGCCGGGCCGGTGCGCCAAGAGAAGCTGCCACCTGCCCGAGTGGGAGCCGCTCCGGTCCTCCCGAGACCCCCCACCCCGGGGCACAGCTAGCCCAGGTGGCACAGCCTCACCTGCTTTCCGTCTGATCCTCCGCCCGCGGCTTCCTCCTGGCCGAGGCTGCCGAGGTCCCGGGCCCGCCGCTCTCTACGCGGTGATGCTGCGGGAGAAGCGAGCTCTGCGGAGGAGTCTGCGGGCCGGCCCCACACCACGCCCCGCAGCGCCCCGGGGAGCTCCGTTCAGTGCCCCCGCCCCGCCCCACCCCTGTTAGCCCCTGCTGCGGTCAGGCGGGGCGGGGGATTACCGTGAACACAGACAGCCCCAGTTTGGCGGCCTCCTTGTCCTCTCGGGACATCGCCACGCGGCCCACGGAGCCACTGCAGGGACATGGCGATGAAGACAGTACGGCAGGGGTCCGCCTCACCCGAGCAATCGAGCCCAGTGCTGCCCTCCCCTGGAAACCCGCCCGCACCTTGCGCTCCCCAGCCCCAGCAGCCGGTCCACGCCCTTCTCCTCGGGGTCGCCTCCTTCCCGCTTGCAGACCTCCGCGAAGTCCTGCAGGTGCGAGAGCACAGGGAGCGCTCGAGTCGGCCCCACACCCACGGCCCTCCACGCGCCCCCCACCCCGGGGAGTTACCTCCTTGCTCAGGCCCGTGGGCTGCTTCTTCACGTTCTTGTAGCCACTGCGAGAGGGCCGGGGCAGGCGTCAGGACGGACGGACCTCCTCCCACCACAGGTCCTCACCACTCCAGCCTTCGTCCTCAGGGTCCCGCCCGCGCGAGTCCCCGCAGCCCCGCTCCCGCCCAGCCCGACCCCCAGTCCCCGGCCCCGGCCCCACCCTGCCCCGGCAGCGCCGTCCCAGGCACCGACCGCTGCCGTCCGCGGACACTCACAGGGCGGCCAGCAGCGCCTCGCGCTCCGCCTCCCGCACGGCTGCCAGTTCCTCCTCGCGGCTCGGGCCCGCGCATGGCGCCCGGCCCTTGGCGTACCAGGTGAGGTCGCGGCCCTTCTGCCAGCGGCCTACCGGCGCCATCAGCGAGTTGCCTGCGGACGTAGACGCTGTGAGTCCAGCGCCCGCCCGGGATCCCGGAGCCCGGAGCCCGGAGCCCGCCCACCGCGCGCACCCACCCAGGTAGTTCTCCCGCTGCTTGTCAGTCTTCACGTCCTCCCAGTTGAACTGGTCCTGCCCGCCGCGCACGCCTCCACGACTGGAGCCGAACATGGCGCCGGGAAGGCAGTTGCCTGGGGCCTGCGGCTTGCAACCTGCAACCCGCAACCCGAGACCCGCTACCCACTACCGTCGGACCCAGGCCCGACCCCGCCTCCGCGTCGCGCGCCGTGACGTCACTCCCGCGCCCACTCGGCTTCGCCGCGCGCCTCTGCGCAGCGCACTGCCCCGGATCTGTGCTCCCGCGCATCACCTCCACGTCGGCTTTGGGCGCCTGCGCACTGCGCCTACCCTGCCGGGCGCGGGAACGCCTCTGAACTGGAAGTTTAAAAATGGTTAAAACGGGGCCGGGCGGAGTGGCTCTCGCCTGTAATCCCAGCAAGTTGGGAGGCCGAGGCGGGCGGATCGCTTGAGGTCGGGAGTTCGAGACTAGCCTGTCCAACATGGTGAAACCCGGTCTCTACTCAAATACAAAAATTAGCCGGGTGTGGTGGTGCACACCTGTAATTCCAGCTACTCAGGAGGCTGAAGCAGGAGAATCACTTGAGCCGGGAGGCAGAGGTTGCAGTGAGCCGAGATCGCGCCACTGCACTCCCGCCTGGGCGACAGAGCGAGACTGTCTCAAAAATAAGAAGTTAAAATGGGCCAGGCGCGCGCGCGCCCCTGTAGCCCCAACGCTTTGAGGCTGAGGCGGGAGGATCTCGAACCCAGGACTTCGCGCCACTGCACTCCAACCTGAACGAGTGAGCGGACCCTGTCTCATAAAAAAAGAAAAAAGAAAACACACAAGATGCGCCTAGTTAACACCGCCAATTGGTCACTGCTAGTCGCGATTCCATATCGGGAGCTTAACAAGGTAATGACCTTAATGATTTGTGGAATTTCTGAGTATTACCCAGTAAACTTCTGGATGAACCAGCAGCTACCCAGACACCCTCAGAGCACTGGTCCTATCCCTGCCGTGTTAAACTGAATGTGCACCCTAACTCCCATGTGAAATCCTCACCCCAAGGCGTTGGTGCTTCGGAGGTGACTAGGTCATGAGGACAGAGCCTTCATAAAAGGGACCCCAAGAGCTTTGTGCAGCTTTCTACTGTGTGAAGGCAGCGGGAAGGAAGTCTGCAGTCTGGAAGAAACCCCTTACCAGAACCTCAGCGTGCTGGGCACCCTGATTTTGGAGGTTGTGACGTACCCCTGCTTCCCCTTTCCACTTTCATTCCCAGTGCTGACTGAGAAACAGAGTCCCTTGGCCACTCTGTGACTTCGCCAACTGTATAATTTCCTCTGCAGACTTGAACCCGAGCCATAGCCATGAACGTTCCCAGGCACAGATGACAGTAACTAGGTTGTTGCTCAAAACACAGAAAGAAACTGGACTCAGCCTGAGCCAGATTCCTCAAACCCTCATATAAATTCCATTCACCAACCCCCTCCCCCACGGACATACCTAGAGAGAACTTCATTTCTCTCACTGCCTATTGCAAGAACTGCTGCAGCCCACTCTGTACAAAAGCCCCACGAATAAATGCTCTGGGCGAATCACCCTGGCATGCTCAATCTGTAGAATCCTAACCAGCCCCATCTCAGGATGGTGTGGGGCACTCCCTTGTGGGAACTCTACTGCCACCACTTTTGGGGCAATTCCAGCCACAGGTTGAACTGGATGAAATACAGGTCTACTGTCCTGTGGGAAATTTCTGTTTCTTAGTGACCCAGTCCATGGGTCAGGCTGTTAGAGCAGGCTGGCAGACAGCCACACGTCTGGCTCATCTATCTACTTAGCAAGTACTGGCTGCCATCTCCCTCATGAGGCACTGCATGAGCTTTCATCATGGAGCAGGTGCATGGCGAGGGCAGAGCAGCAGGCCACAGCCAGGCACACAGAAGGTGACTGGCCGACTCCCAGGAAGGCTCCCTGGGGTGTAGGGCATCATCTCCTGGGTGCCATTGCAGCTTGCCAGGCCAGGGTGGACTTGGGCCATGTGGGCAGGGCCCAGCTGTGGAGTCTGACCACTGACTGGATGTCAGGTGTGGTGGAGAGGGGATAGCAGGGCCAGGTGGACATTGGGCAGGAGTCCAGGACGGCTCTGAGGCTCTGGTCTGGGCAACTGTGAGGATGAAGCAGCCACCTGTCAACATGAGGACCAGGTTTGTGGGGAAGACCTGGTCAGTTTTGAGCCCATTAGCCTGACAAGCCGTAGGCCACAGGAGGAGGGGTCACCAGGGTGGAGGTTGCATGGCCTGTGCCTGCTGGGTGGAGGCCCAGCTGGGGGCACTGGTCACAGTGGTGTCCTCTGTGACAGCAGCGAAGCTGGACCCAGGAGGGTGGCGGTCAGGGAGTGGAGGGGCAGTGGAGATCCCAGGGGAACCCACTATAGTGGGAGGAGGCTGGGTAGTGGAGGGGGGGGGCCAAGTGAGTGCACAGAGTGGCCGGGCAGCTGGCTCTATATGCCACAGGGATTGAGCCACAACTTCAGAGACGGGGGCTCCAGGGAGGCTGCTCAGGAAGTAACCCTGCAAGGCAGAGTCCCAGGCAGCCACACAGCCCATCCACGTGAGGTCAGGCACTGCTCGGTCACAAGGACAGGGGCAGGGCCAGAGGACATCCCTTGCAGGCTCTTCTCAGCAGAGCTGAAGGCCAGCGGGATGAGCAGAGGGCCAGGAACAAGCTTAAGGGGCAAGGGATGGGCCTGCAAGGTGGGGACACTGCCCAGGCTCCTCAGTTATAAGCACTGTCATCACAGGGGCATGACAGAACACACTCCCACACCTCCCTGGCAATCCCAGAACACCACTGCAAGAAGTCTTTGTCGGGCACTCCAGGTGTCAGAGAGACAGCCTGCCAGGTGGGACCCAGTAACATCCCAGGACAGGGACAGGAAGCAGTCTGGGCCCTGAGCTGTCCAAAACCTGGGTTGTTGTGCGTGTGGAAGGTGCCTGCACATTAGCTGGAGCTGGTCCTGAGTTAAATCAGCCTCTGGACAGATGAAGCAGGGTCCGTGGATCTCCCTGGGCTGTGTGTAACTGCAGTGCTCTGCAGACCCCATTAAGAGTCAAGGACAACCAGGGCTGGCTGCTCCTCTGGGGACCCTCCCAGGGCAGGACCTTCCCTGGGGCAGCCTGGGAATGCAGGGCCAGGGCAGGGAGCTGCAGGCTGTGGTCCAGATGGTCCTAGGACTGCCCCACCAAGGTTGATGCCTGAGTCCCAGAACACCCAGCCCCTCCTAGGAACCAACCTGAGGGCCACTGTGCTGTCAGAAGGGCAGTCACCTTGGTGCCCCTGAGGCTGGGAGGGCAGAGCTTAGAGCTTGGTGGTGTTGGGTACTGCCCACATGGTTGTCCACGTGCACCACAGCCCCAGAGCAGTGTCCAAAACCCACAGGTTTGATCTACACCAACCCTCACCCTGCTAGTCCACTGAGCTCTCTCTGTGCTTGAGCTGATGCCTTTCAGGGGATGAGCTGCCAGTCTGGGGCACACACCAAGTGGGGAGACAGACACAGACTCCAGGTGGCAGCTTCAAGAACGAGTGATTTAAGAACAGCCCTCCCATCTTAGCAATGTCCCGGGGTGGCTGGAGCCACGGTCACTTCTTGGTCCTGGTCCAGAACTGTCGGTAGCGCTCCACATGCAAGTCATCACTGAGCTCCTGCTCGTACTCCTTCCTCGACTGGAGCTGAGCCTCACGCTTCCGCAGCCTGGCCCGGCGCTCCTCAGGAGACAGGGTGTCCAGATCTATGGGCATCTGCAGGGGACAGACCAAGTTTCGTCCATGTGGATCGAGGGACCTTGAGAGCTACTGGGGGGACAGCCCAAGGCCTTCCTCTCAACTTACGTCTTCCATCCTATGCTAGCTTAATTTTCAAACATTCTTATTGGTCTCTCCCTTCAAAGCTTTCAATCTTTAAAATAAATTGTTCTGTGTTTTCCCCAGATTTGATGTTTTTAAAAACACACAAGGCCAGGCATGATGGCTCACTCATACCTGTAATCCCAGTGCTTTGGGAGGCCTAGGTGAGAGGATCGCTTGAGCCCAGGAGTTCAAGACTAGCCTGGGCAACACAGAGAGACCCCATCTCTACAAAAATATCTTTCAAAAAATTAGTGAGGCATGGTGGTGTGCACCTGCAGTCCCAGCTACTTGGGAAGCTGGGGTGGGAGGACCGCATGAGCCCAGGGGGTCAGGGCTGCAGTGAACCGAGATCGTGCCTCTGCACTCCAGCCTGGTTGACAGAGCAAGACCCTGTCTCAAAAAAATAAATTTAAAAAATAAAAACACACTACTGGTTAGTCCTATCTAATTTTGGTGCTTAGAGTCAGTTTTGGATCTAAGCCTTCCTCCACTCCTCCAACAACCACCTGCTCCCCTGACTCCTGTCATGTGGTACAGTGACCACAGCCACATGTCCATCCGAAGGCGACTGGTCACCAGCACCCCCACCACAGCCTCGACCCCAGCCCGGCACCTGGAAGCACCTGGAGAGGGAAGCTTACCGCCAGCATGCGCCGTGGCTCCCTGTAGCGGATGTGGATGGTGGAGCCATCCTGCTTCACCAGCAGCACGGGGTAGAGTCGTGCATAAGCCTGGCGGTGCACACGAGTGAGTGAGGCCCTGCTGCTGTCAGCTCGCCAGGAGGATGTGTGCAGGCGGCGGAGTGCAGGTCCGGTGGCCTTCACGGTGCTCTGCCTCAGCCGGCTGCAGATAAATGTTCAAGCTCTGGTCAGCCGACAGTGCTGCAGCAGAGTGCCAACATGACTGAGGCTGGCTGTGATTGGGCACTGCCGGGCCACAGGAGACATTACCAGAGCTGGTGACCCGTGCCGGGGCAGGATGAGCCTCGGGGCTTCCTCAGGAGCCACAGGCTGTGGTCAGAGGCGTTCTGGCCCCCTAGCCAGGAAGAGGCTGCCAGGCTGAGCAAGGGCACAAAGCTTCCAGCACAGGGGACAGTGGACAATAGCAAGGACTAGGGAGGATTAGAATGGCGGTTTCCTGCTGAAGAGAGGGGTTCCCTGGGGTGGCCCCTGACAGTAATCCCCAGGGACCTAAAAGTCCATGCTTACCCAAGCAGGCTGCCCACGGCCGCCATTCCTCCTTACAGCCCCAGTGGCACGTGGAGGTGGTCAGTACAGGCCCTGGCGTGCAACCTGCTAGGCAGAGAATGAAGAGATCTTTTTTAAAAGGAAGGTTCTTCCACCTAATGGTTTCTTATCAAATCCCAGCCCAGGATGCTTCCAAGACACATGTAATCACCACGCCACTCACCAACCTCTCCCAGCAACCCTTGGACTTCTCAGAACCGCCTGTAGAGGTTTTTCCAAAAGCAGAAGTTGGTCACTACTCCCAAAGATTCTGAGTCAGCCTGCGGCAGGGCCCAGGCTGTCTGTTCTGGCCGTTACCGAGTCTGCGAAACCTCTCTGAATGGACTGCAGCCTCAAAAGTGGAGCTGAGGTCATGCCTTGCTTTCTAAGGTCATTGCTAGTTTTAATAAAAACTCAGTGAAGTGAGGATTGTCATGCTTGCTTAAAGGAGAATGGAGGCCCAGGGCTGCTTTGCTGTGACCTGGATTCCCATGGGAGTCTGTGCTGAGGTGTGCGAAGTAAAAGCCCAGTTTTCAATACTCAGATTCCAGGAGATGAGGCTGCACAGAGGCCGAGCGCCCAGCTTCCTCTGGCGTACCCCTGTCTCTCACCAAGGAAGGGACCTGAAGACAGGTCCGGCTGCCTCTAAAATGGAAATCCTGCTACGTGTCCTATGCCCACATCCCTCTCCCTCGGCCTCACCAGCACAGGAGCCTGGGGCTGGTCCAGGAGGGTCTTCGGGGAAAGCTCCCTCTCCTTTCCTGCTAGACTGCATGGGGACAAGGGCTTATCACAGGTGCAGCCCCCTGTCCCCTTCCCTGCCTCCCTCCCTCCCGACTCCACCGGGAGGGTACAGCGCCTCCCGCCTCTGTTCCCGGCCCACACGAGGCGCCAACCTGCGGCCGCCACAGTCGCTGCGGAGGGGTCTGAGGACAGGCGGTCCTGACTCCCGCTGCCCGGTGGAACTAAGACCAGGGACGAGGCCACGCAGGAGATCAAGGTACTCACTGCGTTGGGTGCTGCTGCGCTGCAGCCCACGACGTCACTGGCAGGCGCTGCGTCGCGCGGTATGACGTGTTCCATGGCAGGGAGAGGCAAGAGTGGGCGGTGAGACACGAAGATATACGCCCCTGTTGGGCGGGGCCGGCGCGGCGTGATGTAATCTCGGGGGCGGGACGAAGCCTAGGTGGGCGGGGCCTGCGGGGGCGCTGTGGCGGTACAAGAACCCAGGCGGGGCCGGCGAGCAGGTGACCTCCGTCCCTACCGGGAGGACCAGGGCGGGCCGGCGAGGTCGAGGGGGACCCGCGGGTCTGAGGGAGGACGGAGTGGGGGAGTGCTGAGGGAGGACCCGGGGTGGGGAGCTGAGGGAGGATCCGCAGGGCTGAGGGAGGATCCAGGAGAGCTGATAGAGGTCCCGGAGGGCTGAGGGAGGACCCAGGGGTCCTGAGGGAGGACGCAGGGGGCTGAGGGAAGACGCAGGGGGGCTGAGGGAGGATCCTCGGAGCTGAAGGGGCATCAGCTGGGCTGAGGGAGGACCCAGGGGGACTGCGGGAGCACCCGGGCGGGGGCTGAGGGAAGGAGGATCCGCGGGGCTGAGTGGGCACCAGCTGGGCTGAGGGAGGATCCAGGGGGAGCTGCGGAAGGATCTGCGGGGCTGAGAGAGGATCTAGAAGGGGTGAGAGAGGTCCCAGGAGGCTAAGGGGGGAATCTGCAGAACTGAGGGAGGTCCCAGGGGGCAGTGAGGGAGGATCCATGGGCGCTGAGGTGGGAATCTAGGGAGGCTGAGGGAGGATCTGTGGGGATGACGGAAGTTCAAGGGGGGCTGAAGAGGCACGCAGCGGGCTGAGGAGGACCTGAGAGGCTGAAGGAGGATCCGAAAGGCTGATACAGCGGGGCTGAGGGGGGATCCGCGGGGTTGGCGGGGGCTGAGAAATGACCCTGTAGTTCACAGCAAAATGGAGTAATTTATGTCACAACGTAACCAAAATGGAGTGGGGAGGGCCCTAAGGAAGCAGCTGTCACGCATTTCTGAAATGCCAGAGAGGCTCGCTATTACCTTGTAAACAGAGCTTATTCCGGGCATTTCCACTGGCCTGCAGTATTCCAGATGAGATGTTTGGACCAGGGCAGGCAGATAGCATCGCCTATCTGCCTCAGCGAACCAGGGTCACTTTGTGCAATGAGTTCATGAGACCAGGGCCTTTGTTTTGTGAAAGTTACAAATAAGGAGTGAAATCACTTTGTCAGGCCCAGACAAACAGGGCTGGGAAGAACAGGAGGCTCAGGCTTAGTGTCTGAGATAAGAATTATTCGCAAGGACTTTCTAAAAACCCCACAAGAAACCCTTTTGTGTCATTCACGGGTCTCCTACTTTGACAAAATTTAGACCATCTTTAGGACTGCAGTAATTCAGTTAAGATGCTCGGAATAAACACTTGCCCAGTAATGGCAGCGCCACCAATGAACTGAGGACAACTTTGAGCTTTGGCGTTGGGCCCCTGGAACCAATGAACTCTTTCTAAGCAGCTTCTGTGAACCGCTCCCTTTTCGCTGATAAAAGTTCCCTTTTCACTGATAAAAAGTTCCCTTTACCCTTCCCTCACTGGGAATGCTGGTGGCTTGCTGCTGTTGATGAAAAGAGTCAAACTTTGTAAAATATTTTAAGAGATATATTCTGAGCCAAATATGAGTAACCATGGCCTGTGACACAGCCCTCAGGACAGAGGTCCTGAGAACATGTTCCCAAGGTGGTTGGGGTGCAGCTTGGTTTTATACATTTTAGGGAGGCATGAGACATCAATCAAATACATTTAAAACCTACATTGGTTTGGTTCAGAAAGGCAGGACAACTCGAAGCAGGGGTCAAGGGTGCTGGCTTCCAGCTTATAGGTAGATTGAAAAATTTTCTGTTTGACAATTGGTTGAATTTACCTGAAGACCTGGGATTAACAGAAAGGAATGTCTGGGTTAAGATAAAAGATTGTGGGTGGGGTGCAGTGGCTCACACCTGTAATCCCAGCACTTTGGGAGGCTAAGGCAGGCGGATCACGAGGTCAGGAGTTCGAGACCAGCCTGACCAACATGGTGAAACCTCCTCTCTACTAAAAATACAAAAATTAGCTGGGCGTGGTGGTGTGTGCCTGTAATCCCAGTTACTCAGGAGGCTGAGGCAGAAGAATCACTTCAGCCCAGGAGGCGGAGGTTGAAGTGAGCCGAGATTGCGCCACTGCACTCCAGCTTAGGCAATAGAGTGAGACTCCATCTAAAAAAAAAAAAAAAGGAAAGAAAAAAAAATATATATATATATGATTGTGGAGACCAAAGTTCTTATTTGCAGATGAAGCCTTCAGGTATTAGGCTTCAGAGAGAATAGGTTGTAAAATGTTTATCGGACTTAAAGTCTATGTTGATGTTAATGCCAGAGAGGTATAATGAGGCATGTCTGACCCCCACTTCTTATGGCCTGAACCAGTCTTTGAGGTTAAATTTTAAGAGTTCCAGGCCAGGCACAGTGGCTGACACCTGTAATCCCAACACTTTGGGAGGCAGAGGTGGGCGAATCACTTCAGGTCAGGAGTTCGAGACCAGCCTGGCCAACATGGTGAAACCCGGTCTCCACTAAAAAATATACAAAAATTAGCCAGGCATGGTGGTGCGCACCTGTAATCCCAGCTACTCAGGAGGCTGAGGCAGGAGAATCACTTGAACCTGGGAGGCAGAGGTTGCAGTGAGCAGAGATCGCACCACTGCACTCCAGCCTGGGTGACAGAGCAAGACTCCGTCAAAAAAAAAAAATTTTTTTTAAGAGTTCCCTGGCCGAGGAGGAAGTCCATTTAGATGGCTGGGGAGCCTTATAAATTTATTTTTTATTTTTGGTTTACACTTGATAAAAACTTCAGCCGAATTAAATTTAAAGTTTAATTGAGCAATGAATGATTCACGAATCACGCAGCCCCCAGAATCACAGCAGATTCACAGAGACTCCAGCACAGCCACGTGGTGGAAGATTCGTAGACAAAAAAAGGTAAATGATGTACAGAAATTGAAAGTAAAGTACAAAACAGCTGGATTGGTTTCAGGTTGGTGTTTGCCGTATTTGAACACAGTTTGAACGCTCAGCAGTATATGAATAGTTGAAGTGCAGCCTCTGGGATTGGCCAAGACGCAGCTATTGTTACAGTTGCATACTCCTGTTAGGTTTTCAATCTATCTACCTATTAAGCTAGGTTGCAGTTCATCCACAAGGACTCAAATATAAAAATATGAAGTCCTTCTCAGGCCATATTTAGTTTGCTTCAGCAACTACCCTCTTTTGGTCATTTTCTCAATTTTGAGAGATTGACCAAAACTTTAGTTGTTGTCACTATCACCATAGTAAATGTACTTATTTGCTCCTGAAATCCAGTGGGAAACAGTAGAACAATGAGTTTTCCAAAGGTAGGAACAAAGACTGAGTAGAGGGTACCTCTTTATGCTGGAACATCCTGTTTACAGGAGAAAAAACCTGGTCTGTTCTAGGATTTATATGTATCCTTAGTTTGATTATGTCACATTTAGCATGAGTGACTCCATTTTAGTTTGGTTTGTCCTGTTGGGACCTAGTGCATGAGCTTAGTCCAAAACAATGGCCTCCCATAATTGTGTTTTTTAAAAAATTCCCCCTTTTTGGTCAGGTTCTTACTTAGGTGAGAGTGTGACCAAAACTTGGGGCCTTAGCACCACTCTCTGTTACCATCATTTTGTGTTTCTGGTGTCAGCACATCGTTCATAGGTTATGGTATCCTCATGGTCACATATTTCTTTCAGCTCTTTCATTCCAGTTGAAGAGAGACCATTTGACGTTCTAGAGATAGCTGTGTGCAATCATTTAAAATCTTTGAGAGAATACAGTGCACCAGGGAGACTATTATTATGCCTATTGGGAGCATAATACCAAGAGTTTGGAGTATGCTCCTTACCCAGGGTCCCCATAAACCAAACCACCTAAAATTAAATAGATTAAAGAATGAGTGAGATGAAGGGTCTACTTGCTTGACTAAGTGATCTTTTCATTAATCTTCTACAACTGAATTTTTATAATCTACATTTAATGTATTCCTCCATAGGCCACAGCTGCCAGCAGCTGCACAGGTACTTTTCTATTTAACTAATTCTATTATTTAGCATAACTTTCACAAGAGAATTTAAAGTCTGTTGTGTAACGATAGTCTTTACAGTAGAATCTGCTAGAAAGCCTATTATGAGGGATATATTTCTAGTTATTGCCTATTTTATTCTAAACGATGGAAAAAGGACCTAACAAATGATGTCCTTTTAGAAAAGTGAAGGCCCCCTGACAATGTTCTCTTTAACCCATGATGTGGGTTAAGAGGAGTTTTTACTGATTATGAGGAAATATATGTACAATTAAAGTTTTTCACCTACATTGGGCCTTCGTCTTGTCTTTATCAAAGTATAAGTTTATTCATGTATAAGGCTGGCTACAAAATCCTTCACAAATAAAAGTATACCTTATAACTGAACATAATAGAACCCCTTTTCATTTCTATTATTCATAGAGGCATAAACAAGGAAAAAAATATTCAAAGATAAGAGTCTCATTATAGAAGCCTTGATCCATGATCATGGGAAAAGCTGTTCACATCAAGGATGCCATCTTCTTCTGGGAAGAAACTTTCTGGGTTAGTTTTACCTTAAGGATTCCAATGGGTGTACAGTTCCAAGAGTGTAGAGGGACCCCTTTCAGTTGTTTATGAACCCAAGGTTCAAGGTTCCAAAGTTTTGTTGCAGTGTAGAAGGACAGTCTTTCTCTGATGTTCTCAGAAGAGTCAGTCTTCAGGTTCTGGATTGTGAAGGGGTTGATTGTCCTCAGTGAACCATAAAAAGTTTTCTTTATCTGGTGAAAATATACTCTGGCATAATAATTAGCTGTTATAACATAAAACATGCATTGAAAATGACAGTGGAATGAAATTCATTTATACATGTTTAAATGACCCATCAGGTAGCCAAATGTACCTGAAGGTTTGATTACCTTCCCAGGAATATGGAACCAACCATTGGTTTTATTTTATTTTATTTTATTTTGAGATGGAGTCTCACTCTATTGCCCAGGCTGGAGTGCAGGGGCATGATCTTGGCTCACTGCAGCCTCCACCTCCCGGGTTCAAGCGATTCTCCTGCCTCAGCCTCCTGCGTAGCTGGGACTGTAGGCACCCGCCACCACGCCCAGCTAATTTTTACATTTTTAGTAGAGACAGGGTTTCACCATATTGGCCAGGCTGGTCTTGAACTCCTGACTTTGTGATCCACCCACCTCAGCCTCCCAAAGTGATGGGATTACAGGCATGAGCCACCATGCCCAGCTGTGTTTTTTTTTTACAAGAATCATCTGCTTATTTATTTTACAAAGTAATTATTTAAATTGAGTACATTTGGGCACAGTAGATATTGGACATGAAAAGTATTTGTATCAGAATGGGCATCAGAAAAATAGCAACTCATCTTACACATAATAACTAGAAAATATTATTCTGTCTGATCATTTAAGTGTTACAAATCCTGAGAATGTTATACACTGAACAAATTAGGTACTACCTTAAAATTAAATCTTGCTTGGAAATAATCCTTTAAAAATGATCTGAGGTACAAATCATCTATGTATTAAACGTGAGTCTTTGACATTATACAAAGAGTTTAAACAAATATATAAATTACAGGTCAGTGGCTCTTAAAATAGCTACCAGTCAGGTTCAAGGACACACTGTTCCGCAATTTCCCATAAGCTGGGGTTTTCCATTGCAGCCTCCACTTGCTCTTTGTTGTTTATCTGCATACTTATATCTTCTGTTGAGTGGGTTCCTTCAGAAATGTAGATTTCCAACTTATGTTTAAATGGTAAACACTGCTGAAGTTTTATTCTTAAGCACAGCCCCATAAGAATCGCCAAATATCAATGAGGTACTCTTGGTGTAAACTTGATAATAACCAGATAGTCTTCTTCATTTATCTCCTGAACTTCCATATAACTTTCCGTTACCAATTCCAGTTCTTCTAAAGTATTGGGCTTTTCTGGGTCCCAGATAGTTCGAATCAAATCATAAACCTCTAGCACTTTCTCTTCCATGATCCGGGGCTGCCGGGCAGCTCCCCACTCAAAGAGGCCCGAGAGCCACAGGATTCTGCTCAGTGTCCAGGAAAGCAGCCTCAGCTCTGCCATCCCTGGCAACTGTGGAGGTATTGGTTTTAAACAGTTTTCACAATTTACAAGTTAACCACATCAGTATATTAAATTTGGGTCATTTTATCTTTTCCATGATGAATCATAAAATCCAGAACCATTAATAACAAAAGCCTTAGAGTCTCAAGAGGGACAAGGTGGCCATCCTGGTTCTCCATGAGTCCATGCTTAACACTGGACTTATGTCCTCTTGAATACCAGTTGTTTCTCCAATTTATCATAGGTAATTTGACTCAGACCTTGGAGTTCAAATTGTATATCTAAACAATTTTAGTATTGGCTGGCTTAACATGAAAATCTGGCAAAGTATTTTCTTGGAATTTCAATAATTTTTTCTTTTTTTGAGACAGAGTCTCACTCTGTTGTCCAGGCTGGGGTACAGTGGCATGATGTTGGCGCACTGCAGCCTCCATCTCCTGGGTTCAAGTGATCCTCCTGCCTCAGCCTCCCAAGTAGCTGAGATTACAGACTTGCACCACCATACCCAGCTAATTTTTGTATTTTTAATAGATACAGGGTTTTGCCATGTTGGCCAGGCTGGTCTGAAACTCCTGACCCTGTCAGGTGATCTGCCCACCTCAGCCCCGCAAAGTGCTGGGATAACAGGTGTGAGTCACTGTGCCTGGCCTGTATTTAATTTTTTCTGTTCCACTTGAGTTAGCAGTTTTATGCAAGGGAATTTGGTTATTTCTGTCGTGTATAATAACAACATAATAACCATAATTATGATTGACAATATATATTTAGACATATTAGAATTTTAGAAATCCTATATAATTTTGGAACATATATTATTGTCCACTAAAATACAAACTGAAGATTATACATTATTTTTATTTTGACAATGCTTCTATGTAACTTAACATGTTAAATAATTCTGTTTACCTCTCTTTTGGAGGCTTTAGGGGCCCTCTGTAGCATTCCAAAGTTAGAGGTCAGAAAAGACCATTTTGGGGCCAGGTGTGGTGGCTCATGCCTGTAATCCCAGCATTTTGGGAGGCCGAGGTGGGTGAATCACCTGACACCAGGAGTTCGAGACTAGCCTGGCCAACATGGTGAAACCCCGTCTCTACTAAAAACACAAAAAATTTTCTGGGCATGGTGGCAGGTGCCTGTAATTCCAGCTACTCAGGAGGCTGAGGCAGGAGAATTGCTTGAACCCAGGAGGGGGAGGTTGCAGTGAGCCAAGATTGCACCATTGCACTCCAGCCTAGGCAACAAGAGCGAAGCTCCAGTCAAAAAAAAGAAAAAAAAAAAGAAAGACCATCTTGGGCTGGGTATGGTGGCTCACACCTGTAATCCTAGTAATCCTAGCACTAGCACTGTGGGAGGCTGAGACAGGCGGATCACTTGAGGTCAGAAGTTTGAGACCGCCCTGGCCAACATGGTGAAACCCCATTTCTACTAAATATACTAAATTTACCCAAGCATAGTGGTGCATGCCTGTAGTCCCAGCTACTTGGGAGGCTGAGGCAGGAGAATCACTTCAACCCAGGAGGTGGAGGTCGCAGTGAGCCAAAATCAAACCACTGCACTCCAGCCGGGGTGACAGGGCAAGACTCCATCTCAAAAAAAAACAAAAACAAAAAAGCCAGAGAGACAGAGAGAAAAGACCATTTTGAAGATGAAATTTGATTTTTGGAAGACTATTAAATATGTTAAAGGTTTAAGGCCAGGCACGGTGGCTCATGCCTGTAATCCCAGCACTTTGGGAGGCCAAAGCAGGTGGATCACCTGAGGTCGGGAGGTCCAGATCAGCCTGACCAACATGGAGAAACCCTGTCTCTACTAAAAATACAAAATTAGCCAGGCATGGTGGTGCGTGCCTGTAATCCCAGCTACTCAGGAGGCTGAGGCAGGAGAATAGCTTGAACCCAGGAGGTGGAGGTTGCGGTGAGCTGAGATCGTGCCATTGCACTCCAGCCTGGGCAACAAGATCGCAACTCCATCTCAAAAAAAAAATGTTAAAGGTTTAAAACATTTGATATTATGAACTAGAATTCCGGTTTACCATAAGTCATTCATTTAGCCAAAATGATGACTCAAACATTTTTCAAAAGGCAAAAACCTTTTACTCATTAATAGAAAGAAGACTTACCTTTCCAAATAATCTGTCTTGTGTATTCCCCCCTCCCCTTTTTTTTAGTAGTGTATTTAAAAGGCAAACAAAATCTTTCATTATCTTTCAATATTACATGAAAATTTTGTTCAACAGAGAAAGCCAAATTTCACCCTTGCATTAGTGTACTATTAATGTCAACCACAGTTTTTAATATAACCTCATAGACAAATGTATCCAATCTTAATCAGTTTGACCATAAGGTGAGATTTTCATAAACCTTTTATAACCCTTTACAAATTTTTGTTAAAAAGCAGATTAGTGCTTTAAGAAAACCCTGTTGTACTTTTATTTTGACGTTCAATTTAGGGAAAAAACAAATAATACCCCTTTAAATTTAGTCAATATTTTCACACATAGAATTTCTTTTACAAGGTTAATTTTTACAAACCTTCCACGATTTCTTTAAACCTTTAATTTAATTTAATTTAAAACAATCCCTTAACCCTCTAAAGTAGGCAAAAATTTATATTCCCATGCCCTCTTATAATCTCTTAACCAAAAACACATTTCATTTTCCTTACACACCTCGTAAAACCTATTTTTTTCAGTAGTTTCAATTACATGTTATAATGGTAATTCTTAGCAACTTTCACTTTTGGTGCATAAATTTTCTTTTACGAATCCTTTCACAACTTACACAGAGCATCTATGACATGCTTGGATTTTCTGACTTGTCTTAAACATCCCTCTTTTAAATAACCAGTCATTTTACTTCAGGATAAGAATTTAGCTTACAAGACCCTTTCTTATATAAAGTCTCTTTTCTTTACAAACTTCTTTTCATAGCTAGGGGGCATGGCTAATTCCACATATTCCCAGGCCTTATTTAGAATTTAATGTCTCCAAAATTATTTGAACAATTTTCAAAAGTCAAAGCAGTATATGACCTTAAGGCATTAAGGAAACCTAATATCTGACCTGCATAATTTAGACTAAATACTAAATAATAAATATCTGACCTGCATAATTTAGACTAAACACTAAATACATAAATTTTAGGCTAAAATAAATGTCTTCATTTTATTAATAATTTTTTTTCTTGGAGGCAGAGTCTCGCTCTGTTGTCCAGGCTGGAGTGCAGTGGCATGATCTGGGCTCACTGCAAGCTCTGCCTCCCCGGTTCACGCCATTCTCCTGCCTCAGCTTCCCAAGTAGCTGGGACTACAGGCCTGCCACCATGCCTAGCTAATTTTTTGTATTTTTAGTAGAGATGGGGTTTCACCATGTTAGCCAGGATGGTCTCAATCTCCTGACCTCGTGATCCGCCCCTCTTGGCCTCCCAAAGTGCTGGGATTACAGGCGTGAGCCACCGCGCCACCTGGCCTATTTTATCAATAATTTTTAAGCTGTTTTTATTTTCCAAAGATTACTAAAGTTACATGAATAAAAGGCATTACAGTTTTTATTTTAAAATATTTAAGTGCTTATTTTTGTTTAAGCCAATTAGAGCTCTTTTATATAAACATTACACACACAACAACACATATATAACTACACAGACAGACTGAAGAAGATTACTACAGTAGTTGTAAGATTTTTTCCCAGTTTTTAAGTTTCTTAATTGGATTATTCACTTTAGGGCGGAGTCCTCGGAGGAACAGGGCCAGGAAAGGGTCTCTGGTGCCTCCTGTTTTTCCCAAGGAGCTCCAGGCTGTTAGAGCCTGAATATCTGCTTTTAATTAAGCTGACTTTTAACCATAGAACTCTTTAATAAAGTCTTTCTAAAATTTCTTATTACCTGACTTTAGCCAGGCCAAATGGCTGATATTTCTGGCTTTTAAACTTTACCAAAAGTAACCTCATAGGTGCTCTGAGAAGGGAAAATTCAAGACAGTTGGTGGAGGGGAAGAGAATTTAAAAATGGCAAAGGTCACCCAAATATTAATCAGAAAGGTTCATCCCTTAATCTAGGGATTGAACCCTGAACCCGGGCCGCCATTCTGAAAAGAGAAAGCATGGCCACATAATTACAAGGTCAAGCTCCCAAGGACATAACTGACCAATTTGCTGAGCCATCTTGTAAAGTGGGCTTATGGGCGTCCTAAGCCTGTGTTCTATCCTAAGGTACCCCTCTTTATGACAGAACAACACAGAAAGACACGCAAAGCACACCAGATTTGCTACAGTTTAAGACCAGCCTCACAAATCCTTTCTTCCATTAATCAAAATTTACAGAGGAGATAAACAGTGATTTTTACCATTCATTCAATGAGTTTGCACAGAGAGAGAGAGAGAGATCAGAAGTCTGACTGGTAAGAAATTCTTACCCTTTTGCCGGCATACCAGGCTTCTGGGTTCTCTTTCCCTGAGTGGCCCTAATGACCCAGCTGGCTGCACCATAGTCCTGGGGGCCAAGACACAACACAAAGGAAAATTTTCTTTTTTCATTCTGGCCAGAGCAAAATATGTGTGATAAAACACAGACATTAGCCACTCTGCTTAGCAGCCAATATCAAACTGGCAAGACTTAAATTTGCCCCCAGATGGGCCCCATTGTCTTTAATCCAACCTCTGACTAGGAGTTTCAACATATGGTCTCTGGGCAAGATGGTTTCCCTGAGTAACAGAAAAGATAGGAAAGGAAAGGTAGAGAAATAAAAGTATTACCCATGGCAGGATGGGGAAGGTGAAGAGCTCAGGAAGGCCAGAGCAAGACCGACTCTTTGCAGCAATACTGCAAAGTTCAGGCGGCCGAATGTCAGTAGCAAAGATGTCTTTTCCAGCAGTCCCATCAGCTCTCAAGTTTCCCCATTTGGGAGGAAAAATCTCCCTATGTGCCACTATCCTGTACATACATGCCTAATCTTGTCACCCACAACCATCAGCAAAGAGTACAAGGCAAATTATTCCAAAGAGAATAGCAGTTAACATTCCATAGTGCCTAACCCGTTCTTAGCCAAAAGGGACTTTACTGAGAGCCCTCATTTTAAAATGTACTTCAATGTGTTGCTCATTCAGAACATTCCACTGTAAGTTATCTTTAGTAAGATTTTGCCATTTCTGTGAGACTTTGCTGCCTCCTAGGCCTAATGTGTAATCCAGAAGGAACTCAGTTTTCCAGAAATTAAGAATCCTATTTTTAACTAAAATATTGGCTTTATTCTCAGGTTCTCTTAATTAACTTAGCCAATGATTTTTCCTACTTAAGTGCGCAAGAAAAATGAAACAAAGGGGTAGAACACAAAAATTCCTGTGAATTTTCAAAAGCCAAATTTTATAACCCCTGCAATATTACTGCTTACTACCAGTTTGTTTCTGACTCAGTCATATGTAAAAGGCCTCTAACTGGATCAAAGCCAGTTAATTCCCGGATCAAATCCATTCCTGTACCCAGCCCAGTTTGTGTCATGACTTCCAAACCCAGTTTGAATCAGGAATTTGCTCAAAGAAACTCAGAGAGCTCAAAACACAAATCTGTGGAGCTCTGAAATCTGAGAGCTTACCCACAATCCTCAGCTGCTCCAAGAGATCAGTGGACACAAGTGGGTCCTGCAGGTACCATGCATATTCACTCAGCACTCCTGGGGGTTGCTAGAGGCTCTACCTCGAATCCCACTTCTGACACAACCTGATAAAAGAAAAACTTCAGCCAAATTAAATTTAAAGGAGTTTAACTGAGCAATGAATGATTTGTGAATTGGGCAGCCCCCAGAATCACAGCAGATTCACAGAGACTCCAGTGCAGCCACATGGTGGAAGAAGATTTATAGACAAAAAAAGGGAAATGACGTACACAAATCGAAAGTGAGGTACAGAACGGTTGGATTGGTTACAGGTTAGCCTTTGCCTTATTTGAACACAGTTTGAACACTCAGCAGGGTATGAATGGTTGAAGTATGGCATCTGGGATTGGCCCAGACTTAGCTATTGTTACAGGCACATACTCCTAAGTTTTCGATCTTGTCTACCTATTAAGCTAGGTTGCAGTTCATCCACAAAAACTTAAATATAGAAGTATAGAGCCCTCAGGCCATATTTAGTTCACTTTAACACACTCTTCTGTGCATTCTGAATTATAATCCTCATTTCTTCTCATTCCCAAGTAAACTCAACATATTTAGAGATAATTTTCTCTACTTTTTTTTTTAGGTTGACAGTTTCAAAGCAGTTTGCAGGGATTTCTCTTTGTCTTTAAAAACTCCCTTTTGTCCTGATTTTCCTCAGGTGGGCTATGACTTTCGTAGATGCTGAGTGGATTAAAACAAAGAGTTTTTCACATTATACTCTCAGAACACACTTTTTTAAAAAAAAAATCTTTAATCATTGGCTATCACAACATGCTTCTGACACCAGATGGGGATTTCTCCCCACACACTAAGCAAGCAATCAGTTCTGCAGCGGATAGCAGCTCGGTTTCCTTTGTTCAGTTCGACTCTACTTGAATGCCAATCACAAGCCCCAGGTTGCTTTAGCTGTATTCTGGCCTACCAGCTATAAAGTATGGATCCTAGGACCCCCTTTGGATTTGATTAATTTGCTAGAGCAGCTCACAGAATTCAAACACTTAGGTTTCCTGGTTTATTATAAAGCATACAGATGAACGGATGCACAGGGCGAGTTATGGGGCTGAAAGCTCCACGCTTTCTGTGGGTCAGCCACCCTCCATGAACCTCCACGTGTTCAGCTACCCAAGCTCTCCAAACCTAGTCTTTTTGGGGTGTTTATGGAGGCTTCATTACTTAGGCATGATTGACTAAATCACTGGCCATAGGTACTCAGTTTAACCTTCAGTCCCTTTCCCCTCCCCAGACATGGGGAGGTGGGGATGAGGCTGAAAATTCCAATCCTGCCTTGATCTTTTCAGTGACCAGCCCCATTCTGAAGCTACCTAGGGGCTGCCAGCCACCAGCCAACTCATTAGCATACAAAAAATCACTTACTTATAGAGATTTCAAGGACTTCAGGTGTTGTATGCCAGGAAAGACCTTTCACCCTCAAGATTTGCTGAAAATCATCTGACAAAACAGCGATGAATATATATGACACACAAATTTATTAATATGATGGGAGAAAATCTCAGAGTGACTACCCCACCACTGAGTGGGGTACAGATGGTTACTTGCCCTTAAGGGCAAGGGAGATGGGGAAGCATAAATGATTTTAGGAGCTCAGTAAATGATTTTTAGGGGAGTTCAATGGGCTTGAAGAACATACAATGGCCTCCACGAAGTCTGTTGGGCTCAGAGGGTAGACGGTGGTTTGTGACATCTGTCCAGGTGGACTGACTTCAGACTTTCTCCCTGCAATATGAATTCAGTTAATAAAAACTCAGGGAAGGGACCAGAGATAATTGTTTCCTTCTTTAGGCAGATAAGGGAGCTTCAGAGAACAACTTTATCCTGTGCTTTGGGAGAGACAGAGAATTGGGAGACATGAGGTGGGGAAGGTCAGAGAGACCTTGCAGCTTCTTCATTTCTGCATGTCAAAGCGCCATATTTTGGGGATATCTGTTTCTGAGCCCCCAAAATGGAGACAAAGCCTAAATATGTATATTTCACAATATCATACATGCATACCTTTGGTTGCAATCTTTTGCTATTCTCAAATAAAATGTTTTCTTTTAGGAAGCCAGTCTTTCTAAGGCTGACAACCCAAGGGGGTGGCATGGGTTGACTTAAGCCAGGCCTGCACAGTGGTGACCTAAGTCACTGCAGGGGCAAGTGGGGTGGGCCAGTGCAGAGCTGTGACATAAGCAGGTGACTTTCCCTATCAGAACTTTCAGTTAAGTCACTTCCATGGAAGAAGGGGCTCTTCTATGAAGAGCCTCTGTAACAGTACTGACTCCATGTTAGAGGAAAGCTTGCTTGCTTGAATACAATTATTGCTTTGCTTGAGTCTTTAGATTATTCACTAAAAACAGCCTCAGAAAAAGAGGACCTTCAACAGAGATTTTTTAAAATGTGCCAACCAACAGCTCTGGGAATGAATTGGCCGGCCTGACCATACCCACAGAAGGCCACAAAGCATTGACCAAGAAGGCAAGGATTAAATGCCCACCTGAGAATGCCCACGTTTCACAAGAATGTTTTCATTATTCTCCCTAATTTCCCTTAAAAACCCCTGATTTAGAAGCATGACTCAGAAAGGTGATCTTTGAACCCTAGTTCACTGCCTTCCCTGGGTTGCTGGCTTCTTGAATAAAGCTAACTTTCCTTTCACCAAAGCTTGTCTCTTGAGTTTTTGCCTTTCAAGCTACAAGTGGCCCAGACCTGAGTTCAGTTACACCTCTGCTAGCAACAGCCAGCACCACCAATGAACAAACACTGCCTGCAATAAGCCCCTGTGAACAGTAATTTATGTTTCAAAATATCTTACATGCACTTACTCTTTTTTGCCTTCAAAAGCTTCCTCTTGCCCCAACCCCTCAAATATGCTTATGGTCCACAAAAGCACATGCATCCCAGATTGCAATTCCTTGGCTATTAGCAAGTAAACTCTTTGTTTTGAGAACTGGTCTCTCTTGCTCATTTTGATACTGTAGGTAGTTAGGCAGACATGAGCAGGGCAGGAGAGGCCCTCCCCCAAACCAGGAATGTCAGACAATCACCAGGTGATAATCAGGCAGTTGCTAAACTGTTGCTTTAAAATAATTGATTGCAGCTGGTGCCAGGGAAAGCTGTGTCCTAATAGATAGATAACACCTGAAGCTGTTAATCAGCAGCTTCCAAATAAGATCTTAGGAGTTGGGTGAGTGGGGTCAAGCATGAGCACTAAGAGGCAAAATGGCAGAGTTTAACTGGTGTATGACCTTCCTCTAGGAACACTCAACTGGTAAGGGAAGAATGCCTCAGATGAGCATGCATACAACTCCAGTAAACACACTGTGCATGTGGCCCCTCCCAAGTGCTGGCAGGCCACTGAGCATGTAGACCGCCCACCCTAAGGGAAGAATCAGGGGAGAAGAGATGCAAGATCTCAGAAACATGCCAATGTATAAGACCCCAAGTCAAAGGTCAAATCGTGCACTTGAATCTCTCAAGTTGCCCTCATGGTCCTCTTTCGAGTGTACTTTACTTCCTTTCGTTCCTGCTCTAGAACTTTTTAATAATAAACTTTCATTCCTGCTCTAAAATTTGCCTTGGTGTGTCAAGAATTCAGGTTGGTGCAGACCCATACAGATTCACCACTGCTAACAATTTCAGGTTGACACAGAAAGGAGGAGCTTTTCCCAGATCGGCAACCTCTGGAACCATATGCAGTACCCACCTGAGTCCATTGCACTCTCAGCTTCCATGAGTAATCTTTATTCTGTGTGGTTTAGTTCTATCTTGTATTCAAACTCCCTTTTGGTTGAACTCTCTGACTTTATTCAGGATTTGTTTCTATTGACACTGCGTCCTTTCTTGTGTGTTCTGCACTGGAACAGCCTACATGCAAAAGGCCGGGGGAGCTGAGAGGCTGAAGAAAGAGGCTGAAAAATCTGAAATCTCAGAAAAAAAAATTTGATAGAGACTTATGTACAAAAGCCATGACTCAGGCAGCCTGCAGACAGTGGATCCCTGCTCTGTTACCCCCCAGACCCAGGCCTTCATAAGGAAGGAATATGTAGGGCAATTGAAGTCAACCCCGCAGGGAAAGACAAGAATTTTCCAAAAGGCAGGATTTATGATCATGTTTATGATAATGTGAAGAGATTGTTTTGACATATAGCAGGATGTGCGGTGAGTCCACACTCCTACACGTCCTAGAACTGGGGTTAATCAGAAGTGAGCATGGAAGACTAGCATCCAAGATGGAGGTGCTTTAGCCTGCACATGGTGAGTATTCTTTTGGTTTCATTTTTGGCTGCTTGCATGCAAATTAGACCTTTTCCTCTTGTTTTCATTGTTTCTAAACATCGTTTGAGAGCAAAATAACACAACATTGTTGTACACGGTTGAACACTTAAGAGCCACTGGGGTTCTCACCACCATTTTATAACAGATTCGAGTCTCCAAAGTCAAAGACTCCTTTGAAAGGACAAACTGGTCAGATACAGGCAATATTACCACTGGGGGCATACCAGTTTCAAGAAAATTTCTGTGTAACAAGGGCTCCGTGGTCACAGGTCAGACAACTTAGGGCAAAGGCCATCCACCAAGCAAAACAAGTATCCTGTGAAAGGCATACTTGTGAAAGCAGAACACTTTGTTCAAGAGTTAGTTTCCTCAAAGGACCAATAGGATTTTCTTTTTGCTTTTGAGAGATTAAGAAAGAGAATGGGATTCCCAAATTCTAAAGCATGCAGGGCAACCCTCCTTCAGGACCCCAGCCAGCTCCATGTCCAGACATTCAGGATCACCCTTGTGCACCCTTTTAAACCAATGGGCAAATTACACTAAGGATAATTTGGAGCTCCAATGGCCATTTGCAGATCAAACTTCTGAAGCTTACTTTTCTGAGAACTAAATTAGGAGACCATGGCTATAGGGTCAGTCTTAATGGGAGACATATTACAATTGGCATCTTGAGGCTTCAAATCACATTCAGGACTCAAAAATTACCTCTATACAAAACACTGTCTCAAAGCCAGTTGAGACAAGTAAACAATTAAAAGAGGCAAAAAAAAAAAAAAAAAAAAAAAAAAAAAAAAAAACCTTAGAGGACCAGACTCTCTCCTCCCTGGAACCTCCTCCCCGACTTCCTACAGCCCTTCCTATGAGCACTGATGACCCAGCTAAATCCCAAGTCTCCTATGTTCCTTTGACCAAGGCTTGGACTAAGGCTGAACTCGGAGCCATTGCCAAGGAATTCCTAAAAGTTACTGAAGACTGTAACTCATTTGCTGATGAATTCAACATGGTAATCCAGGCCTATCAGTCTGGCTTTCCCAGTCTATAACAGCTGCTTCATACACTTGTTGATGAAGGCCAAGCCCAACATTGGATGGCTAAAGCTAACTGGACCCCACCTGAACTAGACAAACGCCCCAATACTGGGAACAAGCTCACAATCTAAAGACCCACAGAGCTATTCTTAAGTTTTCCTTAAAGCCATAGACTGGAACAAGATTCAACTTGTACCCAAAACCAAATGAACAAGTTCAGAATTATTACAGTGTTACAGTTGACTCCGCATCATCTTTAAGGACAATTCTAGACTTCTGTAAATGTTTATTCTACCCAAGTAGCCTTTAATTCTATGTTTGTGAATGGCCTAACTTGAGAGCTTTCCCAGCTTGTTAAAATAATCCACATGGAATGCGGAGGCATGTCCACTCCACATTTAGTAAGGTTGGCCAATCAGCCCCATGAGGATACCAATAAAAAGAAAATTATCAAAATCCTCAACCACCAGCTGCAACAAACAGAAGCCCCCAAACAAAATCCTCCTGGCCCCTACCATTATTATAAAAAACTGGACACTGGAAGAGAGGTTGCTATAAGTTAAAGAGAGTTAAATGACCCCTCCCTCAAAACCCTCAAGGTGTATATTCCTTTATTAAGCCATTCTTGAATTGCTATAAATACCCAAGACTGGGTAATTTGTAAGAAAAAAAAGAATTAATTGGCTCACAGTTCTGCAGGCTGTGCAAGAAACATGCAGCATCTGCTTCTGGAGAGGACTCAGGAAGCTTCCAATCATGGCAAAAGGTGAAGCAGGAGCAAGAGAGAATGGGGGAGGTGCCACACACTTTTAAACAACCAGATCTCTCGAGAACTCACTCGCTATCATGAGGACTGCACCTGCACCAAGAGGATGGTGCTAAACCATTCATGAGCAATCCACCCCTGTGATCCAATTACCTCCCACCAGGCCCCACCTCCAATACTACATAGAGATTGCAATTCTTTCCTTCCTTCCTTCCTTTCTTTCTTTCTTTCTTTCTTTCTTTCTTTCTTTCTTTCTAGATAGGGCCTCACTCTGTTACTCAGTTTGGAATGCGGTGGCAAAATCTCAGCTCACTGCAACCTCTGCCTCCCATGCTCAAGCAATCTTTCCACCTCAGCCTCCTGAGTAGCTGGGACCATAGGCGCGCATCACCATGCCTGGCTAATTTTTTTGTATTTTTGGTAGAGACAGGGTTTTGCCTTGTTGCCCAGGCTGGTCTCGAACTCCTGAGTCCAGGCAATCAACCTGCCTCAGCCTTCCAGAGTCTTGGGTTTACAGGTATGAGACACTGCCCCCAGCCTGGGGATTACAATTCAACATGAAATTGGGGCAGGACATTAAAACCATATCAACTCCCAGTAATGGGACTCCAGCGAATTGTAGGGATTCTTCTCATCCTTCCCCACAACCATGTTAGGGAAATAACTCTTAAGATCAAGAATGAGGTCCTAACTGTCCTTATAGTTACTGGAGCCACATTTCCAGGGCTCAACTCCACTAACCTCAACCAGCCTCTGCTTTGGAGTAAATACAAATAGTTTTGAGTCTATAACAAACCTCAAGATGTCTTTGTAGTCCTATCTATCCTTTTCTGCCTCAGTCTCTTACAGGATCTCTTTTGTTCTTAGTAATTCAGCCCCGGTCCACATTCTTGGCCAACACTTTTTTTAAAAAATCTTTTTTATATTAAGAGAGATGGGTTTTTGCCATGTTGGCCAGGCTGGTCTTGAACTCCTAGCCTCAAGTGATCTGCCTGTCTTGGCCTCCCAAAGTGCTGGGATTACAGGCATGAGCCAGAGTGCCTGGCCTGCAAACAAACATCATGCAGGACTTTCTTTCTCCCAAAAGGGGAAAATAATTTTGGGATTTGACAAACTAGGTCAAACTGACTCAATCCTGCAACTTCCTGACTCTTTAAATACCTCAAACAAGGAAGATCTATTGGTCATAAAATCCATCACTGCAGATTATAAGGCACAAGGTCTTGTAATGTCGTGTACCAAAGTTCTTTAACACTCCAATTGTGCCAGTAAAGAAACTTAATGGTTCTGAGTAGAGATTTGTTCGAGACCTTTGTGCAATAAACAATATGGTTGCACCTCACCACTCAGTTGTATCAAACCCCCATAATTTGCTGACCTCAATTCCAACTGATGGTAGTTCTTCACTGCAATTGATCTGTGCAGTGCCTTCTTTAACATCTGGTCAGCCAGGCCAGTCAAGGCCTTTTGCTTTCACTTGGGAAGGCCAACAGTGTACCTGGACGGTCATGCCCAATGTTTCACTGAGAGCCCTTCTTACTTTCCAAAACCTTTTTTTTTTTTTTTTGAGATGGAGTCTGGCTCTGTTGCCCAGGCTGGAGTGCAGTGGCGCAATCTCGGCTCACTGCAAGCTCCGCCACCCGGGTTCATGCCATTCTCCTGCCTCAGCCTCCCGAGTAGCTGGGACTACAGGCGCCCGCCACTATGCCCGGCTAATTTTTTGTATTTTTAATACAGACTGGGTTTCACCATGTTAGCCAGGATGGTCTCGATCTCCTGACCTTGTGATTAGCCCGCCTTGGCCTCCCAAAGTGCTGGGATTACAGGCGTGAGCCACCACACCTGGCCCTTACTTTCCAAATTCTAAAGGCCAACCTGAAGGATGTCACTTTCCTCATGGGTCCACTCTACTGCAATATGTGGATGACCTCCACTGTTCTCCCTCACAGGCAGCATGTGAGGAAGACAGTGTACCCTTGTTAAAACTCCTAGCTGGTAAAGTCCATTAAGTTTCTAAGGAAAAATTACAACTGGTAAAAACCCAGGAAAAGTATTTAGGCCACCTAATTTCAGGAAGTGGACCACACTCAGACCCAGGCTGCATACAAGACATTTTATAATTCCCTATAATCCCTATAATTCCGTATAAATCTAGAACTGAGCACCAGCTTTGTGGATTTCTTGGGTTTGCTGGATCCCCAGGTCTTCTCTTCTGGCTCAGTGCCTCTGCTAAAACCAGTAAACCAGACCCCATTGTTTGGGAAGACACAGAAGATGTGGCTTTTGACAAGCTAAACAGGGAATTTTATTAAATTCCCCAGCCTTGGGACACCCTAATTAGCAACTGCTATGGTTTGAATGTTTGTCCCCTTCAAAACTCATGTTGAAACTTAATCCTCAATACAGCAGTATTGAGAAGTATCGCCTTTAGGAGGTGATTAGATCATAAGGGTTCTGCTCTTGTGAATGGGTTAATCTATCCATGGATTTGGGGATTGATGGGTTAATGGATTACTGAGCTATCCTGGGAGTGAGACTGCTGTCTTCATAAGAGGAAGAGAGACCACCCCCCTCACCATATGATGTCCCGAGCCACCTCCCTTAGGACTCTGCAGGGAGTCCCCACCAGCAAGAAGGCCCTCACCAGATATGCCCCCTTGACTTTGGACTTCCTAGCCTCCAGAACTGTGAGAAATAAATTCTTTTTCTTTATAAATTGCCCAGTCTCAGGTATTCAGTCACATCAACAGGAGACTAAGGCAACTCCTCTTCTTCACTTGATCTTAGCCAAAAGGCCGAGAAGCGACACAACCCCCAATTTTTCCTTTCTGTACATGAAAAAGAAGGAAGCACCCTGGCAGTTTTAACTGAGAAGCACGCAGCTGGCCATGGCTGGGGGGCTGAGGTGGGAGGATCACTTAAGACAGGAGTCTGGGACTAGGCTTAGCAACATAACGAGACCCCCCCCCCCACAAAAAAATTAAATATTAGCCAGGCATAGTAGCACACCTGTAGTCCCATGTACTTGGGAGGCTGTGGTGGGAGGATGACTTGAACCCAGGAGTTGAAGGCTGCAGTGAGCTATGATCACGCCACTGCACTCCAGCCTGAGTGACAGAGTGAGACCCTGTCTCTGAAGAAAATTTAAATTGAAAATTTTTTAAAAGCATGAAAATCAGCATATTCCCATATGATACTACAGTGAACAGTGGGACCTGGGAGCTTGCAGATCTCCTTGTCTGAGGGCTATCCCTGCCACCACCCTGTGGGTCAAATCCACCAAAGAAGTCGTCAGGGGATCTCCTTGGACCATTTTTGTGCCACATTTTCTTCTAGCCACCTCACCTTTTATGAGACCCTTCTGTTAACCACTCCCCATATTACTTTCTCTTGCTGTAATAAACTTAATCCCACCACTCTCCTTCCTCTCTACTCTGGGATGAGATGCCACTGTCTGATTTTAGTGGATCATCTTTTTTTTTTTTTTTTTTTTTTTTTTTTTGAGACGGAGTCTCGCTCTGTCGCCCAGGCTGGAGTGCAGTGGCCCGATCTCGGCTCACTGAAAGCTCCGCCTCCCAGGTTCACGCCATTCTCCTGCCTCAGCCTTCCAAGCAGCTGGGATCACAGGCGCCCACCACCACGCCCGGCTAACTTTTTTGTATTTTTAGTAGAGACTGGGTTTCACCGTGTTAGCCAGGATGGTCTCGATCTCCTGACCTCGTGATTCGCCCGCCTCAGCCTCCCGAAGTGCTGGAATTACAGGCGTGAGCCAACGCGCCCGGCCAGTGGATCATCTTTTGATTTCCCGAAAGGATTTACAGAAAACTCCCCTGGACTATGTGAAACTATCCCGGTTCACAGATAGCTCATACCTGCAGGATGATCGCGGTGAATATCCTGCAGGTCATGCTACGCCCACTTGCTTTGAGGTTGGGAAAGCAGCCTCTTGACCTTCAGCCACTTGAGCCCAGCAGGTGGAGCTATTTGCCCTCACTGGAGCCTGCTTTCTCGCTAAGGGGAAATCTGCTAACCATTACACAGATAGCAGGTAAGTATTTGGAGTTGCTCATGATTTTGGAATGTTGTGGAAACAGGTTTCCTCACTTTCAATAATGAACCTTATGATTTATTATATGCAATACAAATACCTGCTGCTGTGGCCATGATAAAGGTTCCAGGCCATTTGAAACTAGACTCCGTGGAGGCTAGAGGATACTACCTTGCTGAGAATGTTGCTAAGAATGCTGCCCTTAAGAGTCCTACGGATTTCTCACAGTTCTGGAGGCTAGGAAGTCCAAAGTCAAGGGGGCATATCTGGTGAGGGCCTTCTTGCTGGTGGGGACTCCCTGCAGAGTCCTAAGGGAGGTGGCTCGGGACATCATATGGTGAGGGGGGTGGTCTCTCTTCCTCTTATGAAGACATAAGGTGTAATTTTCCAGCTGGAAAGATTTTCAAAGGATGATCTTAGAACCATGACTAAAGATGAACATTATCCAGCACCAGAGGCCAAAAAAACCACAACGGGAAAAATACAGGCTGATGGTTCAGTGATAGAGAGGAACTCTGGTGTGGACCAAGTAAAAGGCCTGTCCTTTTACTTTTACCTGTACTTTTCTCCATGAAATTTCTGTTAAGTATTATGCATGAATTGAGCCATGGGGCTATGGAAAAGAGGATCACCTTTATGAATAGTACTGGTGGGGCCACGTCAATGGACTTGCTAAAAAGGGCTTACCTGACCTGCCAGACCTGCTTTGAAATCAATGCTGGAAAGCCAGTGTGAACAGCCCTTGGCCATTCTGACCTGCCTAATGGGCCACTCAGGGTTTGGCAGATGGACTTTATCCAGACACTTTCTTCACATGGGTATAAATATGTCTTAAGTAAGTTAGCATACTGAAACATTAGTTACTAAGCATAAGTTTAAACACTTTGGCATCGTGTTTTTATATGGTATAGAAAAGCTAAGTGCATTTAGGTCTAGTAACATGAAATATTGTTTCCAGAAATTATGAAATGGTGAATGCTGATATAAGTTCACCACAATGCTTGCTAGTGTTCTAGAAATTAAGATTCTAACAGTTAAAAGTTGTAATAACATATGGGATTAAACTACTAGAAAGAAAACAACTCTGTCTGCAAGGAAAAAAAGATGTGTTTGATAAGCAAAGATATGAATAACACATTTTTGTTTAACAAAGGGGTTATAAATGGTTTGTGGAAATTTTGTGTTATCAAACCTGACTGAAACTGAATGGATTTATTTGAATGGTTTTATTAAAATTAGCTTTAGCATTAATAGTACACTGGTGCAAAAGTAGTATTTGCTCTTTGTTAAGATGACAAAGTTTTCTTGGAGTATTGGTCTGAGAATGTGAAGGATTCTTTTTCCTTTCAATTGGTGTAGGAAAAAAAGATTTTGTGTTTCATCAAGATAATTTTTTGTGCTTTGGCTTTTATTAGGTCTTTATTTTTTATTTTTATTTAGTTATTTATTTTTGAGACAACGTCTGGCTCTATTGCCCAGGCTGGAGTGCAGTGGCACCATCTTGGCTCACTGCAACCTCTGCCACCTGGGCTCATGCCATCCTCCCACCTCAGCCTCTCAAGTAGCTGGGACTACAGGTGCACACCACCAGGCCCGGCTAATTTTTGTATTTTTTGTCAAGACAAGGTTTCACCATGTTGCCCAGGCTGGTCTCAAACTCGTGAACTCAAGCAATCCACCTGCCTCAGCCTCCCAAACTGCTGAGATTATAGGTGTGCACCACCATGCCCAGCCTGGGTCTTTGATTATTTAAGTGAGTCTTCACAATGTTAAAATACCTAAGTTTTTGTTGACAACTCTGTAATGTATATTTGCCTTTTGAAGTATTTTAATTATTACTCTGGTTAAATCAATGATTGTTATTCCACAGTGACCTGAGATCCTATTTTAATCAAGTGTTTTAAACCTTTTTATATTTTGACAAATTTCCCAAAATCCAATTCTAAATTAAGTTTTGAGTCAAGCTAATTTTGGGATATTCCAGAAGGCCTCTGGAACATCCAAAAGAGATATATCAAACCAATTATTTTCATTTGGCATGTTAAATTATATGGGGGTCAGGCACAGTGGCTTGCACCTGTAATTCCAGCACTTTGAGAGGCCACAGTGGATGGATCTCTTGAGCTCAGGAGTTCAAGACCAGCCTAGGCAACATGGTGAAACCCCATCTCTACCAAAAAACAAAAAATTAGCCAGGCATTGTGGCACGCACCTGTGGTCCCAGCTACTGAGGTGGGAGGATCGCTTGAGCACGGGAGGTGGAGGTTGCAGTGAGCCAAGATCGCACCACTGTACTCTGTCACCCAGAGTACAGATTGGGTGGCACTGGGTGTCAGAGCCAGACTCTGTCTCAAAACAAAACAAAACTATATGGGAAGCATTGTCAAATAACTGATGCTAAGCCATCTTTGAATTATTTTTGTGTGGACATGTTATTAATATGTGTTTCATAAATTGTATAAAATTCGTAAAACTCTGGTATGTTAGCCATGATTTTGGTTATTTTGTTAAATCATTGTATGCCACAGAAATAATTAAATTTCCTTGTCAACTGAGACATTATTATTAGGCACTCTCACCAGATCTTTACCCATGGCCATTTAAAGTGTGGTTGTTCACAGTTAATTAGTTTATACTCATGCTTTTCTAAAAGTGTTTTGCAAGCAACTATAATCCTAAAGTGGTTGTGTCTTCAAGGAGATGCATGGAAACCTTGGTGCTTTGGGAAAAATTCTCTCAAATTGGGTTTTTTCCTTTGTTCTCACACTGCCATGACAATCAACACAGAAGACTTCTGTGACGAAAGGTGTAGGGTTTTTCCCCACACACCAGGCAGTGGACACCAGCGAGGTGTCCTCCAACTCAATTCTAACACTATCTACCTGGAGACAGTGTCAGATTCCACAGGCTCGGGGCTCAGTCCCCAAGACTGCCCCTGACACTCCCAGACACCAGTTGCAAGTCCAGGTCTTGGGAACGTCTGACCAACTGGCTTCAAGTTGGGGGTGCCACAACCCTCTCTTTGGGTTTTATTAATTTGCTAGAGTGGCTCACGGAACTCAGGGAAACGTGTTTTCTTGTTTTGTTTTGTTTTTTGTTTTTGTTTTTGTTTTGAGACAGTCTTGCTCCATTGCCCGGGCTGGAGTACAGTGGCATGATCTCAGCTCACTGCAACCTCCGCCTCCCGGGTTCAAGCATTTCTCCTGCTTCAGCCTCCTGAGTAGCTGGGATCACAGGCGCCCGCCACCATGCCCAGCTAGCTTTTGTATTTTTAGTAGAGACGAGGTTTTGCCATGTTGGCCAGGCTGGTCTTGAACGCCTGACCTGAGGTGATCTGCCTGCCTTGGCCTCCCAAAGTTCTGGGATTACAGGCTTGAGCCACCGTGCCCAGCCAATTTTTTTTTAACTTGAAACACAAATGCTTTATTTAAAGACACATCTCAATTCCTGCGTGGCAGGCCAAGAATAAAATAAAGGAGAACGCAGCACACCATTCCCACTGGTCAAGTGGTCGAACCCAACATCCAAGACCCAGCCAGCAGCCAAGCTCAGCGCAACCTCCCGACCTCTGACTCTGACTGCAACAGGGTGAGCACATCGCCCTCGCACACGGGGCCTTTTACATTGTGGATGATGGAGCGGCTCGCATCCTCCATAAATTCCATGCACACCTGCGACCACTGTCCTTTAGAGCCCATTCTGCCCAGAAGCTTGGTGACCCTGACCAGCTTGATAGGCTGCATGTGGCTGGTGTCCATGATGGCAGTGCGGCGGCAGTTGGGTGAAGATAATACTTATGTTTGCTGGTTTATTAAGAAGGGTATTTTTAAGGATACAAATCAACAGCCAGATGAAGAGACGCATAGGGCGAAGTCTGGAAGGGTCCTAAGCGCAGGAGCTTCTGTCCTCATGGAGTTGGGGTGCAACACCCTCCCAGCCTGTGGATGAGTTCTTCTTCACCTTTCTCTCAGCCTCCACATGTTCAGCTCTCTGGATGCCCCCCAAATCCTGTCCTGTGGGCCTTCTATACTTTATTGGTTGTCCATGATAGAAGCATGGACAACTGTGTCAAACACGATTGGATAAAAATAAAGTCTGATCTAAACCTAGCAGGACCTGTCCACGTCCTTCCTCCAGAGTATGGCGAAGGACCCTTTCTGGAATGAGGGTCTTTTGATCCACAATCAGATTAGAGTCCTGCCTTGGGCAAGTGAAAGAGAAGGTCAGAAATATTCTGTCTCCTGAGACCCAAAGCACCCAACATGCTTTGTAACAATGGTTCTGGGAACTATGAGCTAGGAACTGTGGACAACATCTCTATATCAGGACACCACAGATGGAAAAGACTCTGACAAGTACAGATTTCTGATCATTTTAAGATCATACCACTGGGCTGGGTAAGAATTTCTAGAACTCTAAGGGAAAAGCTAGACTCACCAAATTGCTAACCCAACATCAAGCAGGACAAAAATTAATCACACAAGACTAAATGGACTGATGAATTATGGGTTTCTATGTCTTTTTAGAATTCAAAAATATTGCTGGTTCTTTCGTTTTTCAGATTTAGGGAAACCTTTTCTTTTAGGCTATCTATAGCTTAAGGCAATTTGGTAACATACCTTTGTGAACAAAAATGGAGACATTGCTTTTTTCTCCCTACCTGATCCTTCCAGAATTTAGAAACTACTCATGAGGATTCTTATTTTTATGACAAAATAATTATTTGTATATGCTCAATAGAATCTGCTCTTGGCTGGGCATCTCAGCCTCCCAAAAGTGAGGGATTAATCCCAGCACTTTGGGAGGCTGAGATGGAGGGAAGATCACTTGAGGCTAGAAGGTTGAGGCTGTAGGGAGCTATTATTGCACCACTGTGCTCCAGCCTGGGCAACAGAGTGAGGCCCTGACAGAAGAAGAGGAAGAAAGAAGAGGAAGAAGGAGGAGGAGAATCTGCCCTCTTTATAACAGGACACAATTGGAAATATTGGTTATATTATGACTGGGATATCGAAATTGAGACTGTAGATACAGACTTTGCCTGCAGTACTTACAGACGCATTCTATCTACACTGGCTTCCTAGCATCGAAAGATTTTTAAAAGTTCATTTTGAGATTCCTGATCTAAAGTTCCACCCAAGCAAACTTAAAAGAGCCTATGTGGTTGATGCTATTCTCACTGAACTTACCTAAATAAGCAGGGCAAGTTTGATGAGGCTAAACATTTTGCAAACAAATTAGTCTTACTCTGATTATCTCTGGTAGAAATGAGGGGCAACTGTAAAGAGAAAATGTATGTTTCAGAAGAAAGAACATTATAGTACACTTGTTCTTAGATTGTAGCCTTGTTTGTTGTTCTAGAGTTTTTATTATCTACCTGCAGAATGGACTGGACCCTGAATTCTTCTTGTTTCCTCCAACATATGTTGACAACTCTCCACCTTAAGAACAAAGCTACTAAGCTGGACAACTTGATGTAAGCATCAAGGGACAAGTCTCATGCCAACGTGTGGACCATACAGAGTTCACCAAACCATCTGTTGTCATAATCAGAGACAGTCATATTACAAATCAGGACCAGAAGTTGACCATTTTACATTGTGAAGCTTTTCCCCAGATATCCAAAGAAGACTAGCCTCTTGCCCCTCTCAATTTTTCCTTGCTCATGCCTATCTCTTTCACTTGGCAGGCTAATGCTGTAGTTAGAATTTCACACCAGTAGCTTCTGTGGGTTACCTGATAAATATATCGGGTCTGTCAGGCCAGACTCTCATCTTTATGACCCAACAGATCCTTTAGTTTACTTAGTGGGTAAGTTTGGCAACATCCCTGATGCAACTGTTTGGCATCAAAGCAAACCAGACCCACTTCTTCTCACTCCCTGCCTTAATTTTACATAGATTACCTACTAGCTGAACAGGAAGGGGTCTGTGTGGTTTCTGACACATCTTGTTGCACATGGGTAAATACATCAGGTATTGTAGACTCAGCTGCAAAAAATTAACAAACAGGCTACTTGGTTAAAATGGGTAGACTCCCCATCTGGCTTATTGTTTGATCTATTCAGTTTTCGTTGGTTGGGTTCACAGGGACTCTGGCTAAGGAACATACTCCAAACCCTTGGTATTATCCTCCTGACAGTCACAATAGTAGTCTCCCTGGTGTGTTGTATCCTTTCAAATGTTTTAAATGTTTGCATGTGACCATCCATTGAACATCAAATGGTCCCTCTTCAGCTGGAATGACACAAACTCAAAGAAATGCATGATCATGGCCAGGCATGGTGGCTCACGCCTGCAATCCCAGCACTTTGGGAGGCCAAGGCGGGCGGATCATGTGGTCAGAAGTTTGAGACCAGCCTGGCCAATATGGTGAAACTCCATCTCTACTAAAAATACAAAAATTAGCTGGGCATGGTGGTGGGCACCTGTAATCCCAGCTACTCAGGAGGCTGAGGCAGGAGAATTGTTTGAACCCAGGAGGTGGAGGTCGCAGTGAGCTGAGATTGTGCTATTGCACTGGGCGACAGGGCGAGACTCCGTCTCAAAAAAAAAAAGAAAGAAAGAAAAGAAAAGCATGATCATGAAGACACTGTAACCTATCAATGACATGTTGAGACCAGAAACCCAAACTGATAGTAACTGAGAGAGGCACTTTTAAGTTTTGGTCAAGCTAGGTGAGAGCCTGATCAAAATGGGTAAAAATTGTTTTTAAAAAATCATGGGAGGCCATTGTTTTGGACCGAGCTCTTGCACTAGGTCCCAATAGACCAGGCCAAACCAAAATTAAATCACTTATGTTAAATACTACATAAGAAACTAAATCCCAAAACAGATTAGTTTTTCCTCAGTTGGCATAATAAGGAAGTCCCTTCTTCTCTCTAACCCTTACAAAAGAGTAACCTGAAGTAAGCTAAGGTTATCAATCTGTTATTTTTCTATCTTGTTTCCTCGTTCTCCTCACCTTACAAAACCCATGGTTCTGCTATCGCCCAGGCAGGGGCTTTTTTTTTTTTTTTTTTTTTTTTTGAGATGGTCGCGCTCTGTCGCCCAAGCTGGAGTGCAGTGGCGCATCTCAGCTCACTGCAAGCTCCACCTCCCGGGTCCACGCCATTCTCCTGCCTCAGCCTCCTGCGTAGCTGGGACTACAGGTGCCCGCCACCACACCTGGCTAATTCAGGCAGGGGCTTTTATTCTATTTTGTAGAATGAAGGCTGCCTCAATTCATGAATCACGAATAAAAGCCAGCGAGACCTATGAATACATATGACATAATTTTGCCTCTGACAGTGAACTTCCCCTTTTTTTGCCTAAAAAGCTTCTCCTTGCCCACCTCCCCCAATGCAGCACCTATGGTATGACATAGCACATGTATTCCAGGTTACAATCCCTTGTCCAACAAACTGTTTTATTATTAGTATTTAAAAAAAATAGAGACAAGGCTTTGCCATGTTGCCCAGGCTGGTCTCCAACTCCGGGGCAAGTGATCCATCCGCCTTGGCCTCCAAAAGTGCTGGGACTGCAGGCATGAGCCATGGTGCCCAGCCCCAACACATTTTTTTGAAGTTGTATTTTTTAAAGTTTTACTTTTTTTCTTGCTCTCCTGCAGTTCACATTCAATACTTTTTTTTTTTTTTTTTGAGACGGAGTCTCATTCTGTCGTCTAGGCTGGAGTGCCGTGGCTTGATCTCGGCTCACTGCAACCTCCACCTCCCAGGTTCAAGTGATCCTCCTGCCTCAGCCACCCCAGTAGCTGGAATTACAGGGGCCCACGACCACACCCAGCTGATTTTGTATTTTTAGTAGAGACAGAGTTTCACCATTTTGGCCAGGCTAGTCCCAAACTCCTGGCCTCAGGTGATCTGCCTGCCTCGGACTCCCAAAGTGCTGGCATTACAGGTGTGAGCCACTGCACCCAGCCTTCAATAAATCTTTTTTAAAAATTTAAAATAATTTTTAGAAATAGAGTCCCGTGGCCAGGTGCAGTGGCTCACGCCTGTAATCCCAGCACTTTGGGAGGCCAAGGTTGGTGGATTACCTGAGGTTAGGAGTTCAAGACCAGCCTGGCCAACATGGTGAAACCCTGTCTCTACTAAAAATACAAAAATTAGCTGGGCGTGGTGGCGGGCGCCTGTAATCCCAGCTACTCGGGAGGCTGAGGCAGGAGAATCGCTTGAACCTAGGAGGCCCAGGTTGCAGTGAGCAGAGATGGCGTCACTGAACTCCAGCCTGGGTGACAAGAGCGAAACTCCGTCTCAAAAAATAAAAAAAGAAAGAAATAGGGTCTCGCTCTGTCACACAGACTGGAGTGCAGTGACACGAACACCGCTCACTGCAGCCTCGACTGCCCAGGCTCAAGCGACCGTCCCACGTCAGCCTCCCGAGTAGCAAGGACTACAGGCACAAAAAAGTTTTTAAATTTTTTGGTACAGAAGGGGTTTCCCTATGATCCCCAGGCTGGTCTCCAATTCCTGGCCTCAAGCGGTCCTCCCGGCTCGGACTCCCAAAGAGCTGGGATCACAGACGTGAACCACGCGCCCGGCCACATTCCCCAATTAATGGTTTTTGGAGAGTGGCCGGTTTGGAACGGGCTAGCGGAGTCGTTCGTTAGTTAGGTCCCTGCAGTGTAGATGGAGGACGGAAACGGCGCTGTGACATAAGCGGGAGGAGGCGGGCTGAGGCAGCGCTGTGACGTAGCAGATGAAAGCCGGGCCCGCGCTGCACTGAGGTACTTCTCTGAGTGACAAGCGGGACAAGTACGCCGTGGGCGGGGCCGGCGGGTCGTGATGTTAGTTCGCGCTGTGTGGAGGCGGGCCGGCGTGGCGCTGTGACGCAGCGGGAGAAGACGGGCTGGGAGGGCGCTGTGCTGAACGCCCCTGCGGTCGCGACAGGCCAGCGCAGGTGGAGGCGGGGCTAGCGAGGCACTGAGGTAAGTACTTCCCTAAGGGGCGGGGAAGAACGAGTGAGACATGGGCGGGGCAGTCGCCTCATGACGTCAGTCTCGCGCGCGGGCGGAGGTGGGCCGGTGCGGCGCTGTCACGTAGGTTCAGTGGGCGGAAGAGGTGGCCCCGGATGCTGCGGCGCCCGCTGGCCGGGCTGGCTGCGGCCGCCCTGGGCCGGGCCCCACCGGACGGTGAGTACGACAAGCGCGATCGCGAGGGTGACTCGGGTCGAGGCGGCAGCGGTCCCTGCGCTTTGCGGTCGCCCAGTCCACGCCGCCTCCGGATCTCCTCCTAGCCGAGACGCCCTGTGCCGCATTCAACTGTGGGCCCTGAGAACGGGGGAGCTCTGGAGGGCGGACGGGCTGGCAACGCAGCGGAGCCCGGGTCCCGGAGGGCGGGGCGCTCCTCAGGAGCTGGGCAGGCCGGCAGTTATCGCAGTGTCGAGCTGCTCCCCGGGCGTATAGGAGCGCTCGGTGTCTTCCCGACACCTGGGCGCGCCGCCAAAGAGAGCAGCTGGGAGTCCCTACCGCTGGCCCGGCGCGGTGTGCGCTCCGGTTCCCACCTCACCCTGCAAGCCTTGGGGTCCTGGGCGGATGGAGCCGGCTATTCCGGGGCTCCCAGGATTCTGCCTACTCCGCGGCACGGCGCAGAGACGGGGACTTGGGGAAACAGCAGGCCTTCCCGACGCATGGGTGTGGCATTTGGGGTTCGGATTCTCCAAAGCCAGAGTCCGGGTTGGGGTTCTTGAAGCTGCCCTGCTGCCATTCTTGAGCGTCGCCTTAGAAGTATGCCCCAGTAAGGACTGGTGTGGGAAGCAGGTGCCTCAAAGTTGATTTTGACCCTGCGTGTGGTGGGCCTCGGTTTCGTCTTTGCATGAAAGAGGTCGGTCCTGAGGCCCCGGGCTGGGTCCTGCTCTGCTGTCTTTGGGCTCATGGCCCCTTCCTGTCTCAGGCTTGCTCTGCTCTTTACCTGGGGTTGCTGTCGAGGACCCTGTGCAAGACTCGGCCGGTTTTTCTTTCTCCCTGATGGACAGACCCAAACATAGCCGCGCAGCATCGTGAAGGGCTGGGGCCTTCACTCCTCTGTGGCTCTGGAAGAGCCCGATTTCCTCAGGAGGTAAAGGAATGTTCCTGTCCCCCCCGGGGAAAGAAAGTGAAAATGAAAGCGCCCTGGCTGCTCCTGGTGTGGTCCCATTTAAAACGAGGTTGCTGAAGGCCAGGATGCGTGCTACCCGGATGTGTGCCCAGAAACCCTGCAGCCAAGAGCAGCCGCCTGGACCACCAGCCTCCCCTTCATCCACCTGGCCCAGCCCAGAGCCCAGGCCCACGTCTGGTGGTTTGTGTCTTACGAGAGGCCAGGCGGGGGCTGAATTCTCTCGGTTCTCAGAAGGTCAAGCCCTCTGTTAGCATCTCCTCGAACAGTGGGCCGGGGGCAAGGTGGTGACTCTGTTCAGTCCTTAGGATGGCTGGAAGCCAGAAGGAGGAGATTATGCCGCCACAGCAGGGAGTGCCTTTCCAGGAAAGCGGCTGCTGGGGCAGCATGGGAGCCCAGTCCAGGGAGCGTTCTGGCAGAGACCATTCCGGAACATGGATCTGCGCCGGCGGCTCCCAGGAGACCTTCCATCTCGGAGCTCCTGTGGAGACCACGTGCCTGGCAGGTCCTTACAGTTGTGGGTTGTGTGGCTTCTTGCCAGGCAGCTGATTGGAGTTTGCGACTGTGGGTTGGTGAGAGTGGAGAGCACAGAATGTTTGCTGGAATGCTTCCCTCTGCCCACAGGAAGACACCTTTGGCGCATGTGTTCTGGTCAGGGCAAAGGCTCCGTGGTTTCCACCGCAAGATTGCAGGAGCCTTGAGGCCTGGGCCACAGTTTTCTCCCTTGGGTGTGCTCCATGGAAGGTGGCTTTGGTGACCGCCCTGCCACTGGTCTCTCCCCAGGCAGGCAGGCAGCCTGTGCCTCCGCCCTGTCTCCAGCGGTGGTGGTGTGGCTGTGCTTCTGCAAGGCCCGCATCCACTCACTGTCTGCCCTCTGCACTCTCTGGCTGGCCAGGGCCCCCAGTAGTCTGCTCATTGTGCCCTCACGCTTGGGCAGAGCCGAACTCAGGGGACCCAGGAAGAGCGGAGTGTTGGCCCGTCCAGAGTTCTTGGCAATTGGTGTGTCATGTGTGCCTCGTGCCCTGTGCTGGGCGAGAGTGGGCACAGCTGCGCAGACAACGCCCTTGGCGAGGCTGGAGCCTGGACCCCTGCCTGGCAGCAGCTGGGTGAACTGGTGTCTTCTGCCTGCGGGCCCAGCCTCACCTCAATAGCTTACTGCTCCCTCAGGAGGGAGGAGGGGAGGCCTGGGAGCCTGGGCTTGGCGGGGTAAGGGTGGTGCAGGGGCAACACCTGTGGAGGAAACAGGCGGGGTTGGGGCCCACCAGCGTCTGCTGTCTGCTCTGTGCTGGGTTGCATCTGTTGGTGTCTGATCGTTGTCAGGGCCCTGTGGTGAAGAGACACACCTGCCACTTGCTGCTTGCGAGGAAAGGGGGAGATCCCCAACCCAGGAGCCAGAGGTGGGACTCCAGCACCCCCCATTCCTGGGAGTTGGAAGTGAGGCACGAGCTCCCCAATTCCTGGGCATCGGGGATGGGGTTTGGGGCCGAGGAGGGGATGGAGACCAGGGTCTTGTGGTAGTTTGGTGGGATCCTCAGAAGGTGTGGCTCTCCCCCTTCTGAGGACGCAAAAACTCCCAGAGTTTTTGGCGATTGATGTGCCACGTGTGCCTTGTGCCCTGTGCTGGGCGAGTGTAGGCACAGCTGTGCAGACGACGCCCTTGGCAAGGCTGGAGCCTGGACCCCTGCCTGGCAGCAGCTGGGCGAACTGGTGTCTTCTGCCTGTGGGCCCAGCTTCACTTCACTAGCTTAGCGCTCCCTCAGGAGGGAGGAGGGGAGGCCTGGTCAGTGGAGGTCACCACTGTGTTTCCTTCTGTGTGGGTTTATAGTCACGTAGCATCTAGGTTCAGACCCGAAGAGCTTGGAGCCAGGGGCTGGGGGGAACAGGGCAGGACCGGCCTTGGGGCAGCCCTGTCAGGCCCACCAGTGCCATGCTGGTTGTGGGTTGGCAGGGCAGAGTGACCTTAAGAAGGGCCAGCTCAGTGGAGCAACAGGACAGAAGCTCACATGGGGTCCAGCCCACAGGACCATTTGAGTAGCTCTCCCATATCGGGTCCTTCGAAGCACATGATTTAGCTTTACTTTTTCTCCTTCGTATTAGAAAAGTCACCATAATACCATCAAGTCATAATTTCTGTGATCTCAGTGCTTCAAGTAGGTGTGTAGCAATTGCTGGATGTGTCCTGAGAACTGTACCCCTTCCACCCTGGCGAGAAGCAGGGGCCAGAAATTCACACAAGTGGCATGGCTCATTGATTGTGGGAGACTCTGGGGGGCTCCTAGCTAGTGCATTATGGGAACCAGGCTGTGGAGGTTGCAGGGCTCGCTGGCTGGGAGAAGCTGAATGGATAAAGAACCCTGGCCACTGCAGTGCGTGCTGATGGTTGGCTGGCACGTAGAGGAGGTGGCAGGGCTGGGTGAGCAGCAGGAGCCAGGTTAGTGGGGAGGCCCGAGCTAAGCGCAGGGGCAAATTCTGCGGGTGGGAGAGCCAGGAGGGCATGGGGTGCATGGTGAGATGAAAACGATGTGTGCTTGTGACAAAAAGCCCAGAAGAGGCAGTAAGGAGGGAGGAGTCTATCCCTTATGGAGAGCACATGGACTTCTGGGTGGGTGTCCTGCAGTTCCCTTCCTCTTGAGTCTTTTTAACTGGGGGTCCGGTGTGTTTGTGATCAATGACATGTATGCGTGTGCATGTGTACCTTTGCAGGTACACATGTGTGGTGTGTGTGCATTTGCTTGGTGTGCGTGCATTTGTGTGTGTGTTTGTGTGTGCATGCATGTGTGTGTGTTTGTGGTAGGTTTGTGCACACATCCTGCATACCTTTGTGCCTGGGAGTGGCATGTGTGTGGTGGGTGTCGCTGTGCATGATGGAGTTGCAGCCGTGGTGCATTTGTGAGATTACCTCGGTGGCCTAAATTGGGGATTAGGAGGGCATCCTCAGGTCCTTCCCACTGTCTGCTCGTCTGCCCACAGGCGGCTGTGCCCTAAACAGGAGGAGGCCATTCACGCCTCGCCTGAGTTGTGTCCAAGGTGTGCGTGTGGCCAGGGGTCCATCCGCTTCCCTCTAGCCCAGCCCCTGAACACAGCTGCAGTGCACGGCCCCACTCCTCAGCTCTGCTCCCCATCCCAACTCGAAGACGCTGCCCTGGCCCTGTGTGTGCAGCTCATGTGGACTGGGAGGGCAGGGCAGGTGCAGGTCTTGGGGCAAGAGCTGGAGCTGTCTTTTCCTTCCTGCACAGCCGCAGAGCAGGTGGATGGGGCTGCTTCCCTGCAAGGGCCCAGGGCCAGGCCCCCTGGGGATTTATTCGTGGCTTAGAAGGGTGGGGCCAGAAGCAGGCGTAGTGGGGATTAGGGACTCAGCACCCCCAGCTCTCAGTCCAGCAGACAGACCCACCCCAGGCTGACTACAGAGGCTGCACCTCAGCAAACAGGTAGGCCCTGTTCTTGGGGAGGATTCCCACCAGGCAAAGGCCAGCTCCCGGGCCCTCACCTGCCACGTGTCCAAGCTAGGATCCTGTTTGCCTTTCCCTTGGGGGCTGGGAGGGAGGCCTCCAACCCCCTCTGGCATTACCAGCATCACAGATAGGAGTCCCAAGTCCTATGAGAAGTTCCTGGAATAGGTGTAGATTCAGTAGATCTTTACAAGACCATATCTGCAGGGCAAGGTACCAGAGGACAGAGGCGGGGACAGGGACACTTCCATTCCAGACCTAGCAGCCCAGCACTCAGCACCATGCATGGGAGCAAATGGCTGGACTCCTGGGTGGGGTGGGGGTCTCAGAGCAGGCTCCCAGAGGGCTTGGAGGTGACTCCACCAGGTGGGGACGGCAGCTCCCAGGTAGGGTGTCATCAGAGTAGACAGCATTGCTTGCTAGGGACCCCTGGGGAGGCTGACAGGGTCAGTGGGTTTCAGTTGGGGGGCTCCCCTGCTGAGAACCCAGTAAAGCCGGCCTTCCATTCGTCTCCCGTGTGCCCAGAGCCTGGTCTGAGGGCCGCCCTGTGCATGCCGGCCCTTCCAACGTGGCAGAGCTCAGGGGGAAGAACACCCAGGCTCTCAGGAGACTCTCAGGCCAATGTCTCCATCCCTGGGTCAGCCCTTTCCTGCCATGAATTCAGGAAGGCAGAGGCAGCTCAGCAGATGGGGACTAGAGGCCGCACTGCTATCCACAGCCTCTCTTCTCACCCCCAGGCATGTCGGGCCCCAGGCCTGTGGTGCTGAGCGGGCCTTCGGGAGCTGGGAAGAGCACCCTGCTGAAGAGGCTGCTCCAGGAGCACAGCGGCATCTTTGGCTTCAGCGTGTCCCGTGAGTCCAGGGCTCTCGTGGAGGGGTGCGTAGACCTCAAGGCTGCTGAGTAGTCCTAGCACCGTGAGCAGGCCAGGAGCCCAAACCCAACAGGCACACCCACCCTGCAGACTGTCCGAACTCTTGCACACTCCCCCCCACACAGAACCTGAGGTTATCACACTCCTGCTGTCCTGCGTGCCTGTGTCTCCCTTCCCTGGGTCTGTTGAGTACTGATAACTGGGCCACAGTGTTTCTTTCTGGGAGAACCCTCGCCTTGTAGGCTCCTGCGCCTTCCCAGTGGTGTGCTTCACTGGCTGCCTGCATCCTGGGGCTCAAGTGCTGTCGGGACTGCAAGGGAAACGCTGGGTGGGGCATTGGGCTCCGAGCAGCCCCCGATGGGTGACAGGTCTCTCTGCTAGATACCACGAGGAACCCGAGGCCCGGCGAGGAGAACGGCAAAGGTGAGTGGGGTGGGGCCCTATGGCTGGAGCACCCCCAGTGTGGGCAGGGCTGCTGGGCCCTGCAGCTGTGTTGGCTGTGCTGCCCGTCTCCTGCCCCCATCAATCCCTAATCTGTGAGATGGGTCCTTGCCTCCAAGGGCCGGTGAACTCAATCAGGGTGTCAGCGCCACAGCGTGGTGTCGCCTTCCTTGGGTACAGTGTGAGAGGCCGGCCAAGGCCTGGGGCTGTCTTCCTCCCACCTTGGAGGCGGCCACAGTGCTGCTGTCCCCAGCCCTGTCCTGGACTCGGCACTTATCAGCACTTTTGAGCTGTCTTCTGGAGTCCTGGTAAAAAGGGCTACTCTGCCTGCCTGATTCAAGACAAGGGACCCCCTTCCCAACAGCACCCCCGCCCCTTGCCGTGCAACCCAGTGGTCTCCAGTCACCCCACCACATCGTCCCCTCTGTAACCTGACGGTCTCCAGTTCCCCCACCACCTTCCCCCAGAACCTGTTGGTCTCCAGTCCCCACCCCATCACCACCAACTCCCAACTCCCCACTGGAACCCAGCAGTCTCGTATCTCCATCAGTGAGGACAGTGTGAGAAATGGTGTCTGGCTCAGGCACTTGGCAGCACTTGAGGGGTCCTCAGATGTCTCCTGCCCAGCAAGGATCTGACTAAAGCAGTCGTGGGTGTGGGAGGGGCCTGCAGGCATGCCTGGGTTGGGGGCAGCTGGCCCTGGGCACCCTGGTGCAGGTCCAGTCTGCCCTCTGGATGGCCCCTCCTCTTCCCCAGATTACTACTTTGTAACCAGGGAGGTGATGCAGCGTGACATAGCAGCCGGCGACTTCATCGAGCATGCCGAGTTCTCGGGGAACCTGTATGGCACGAGGTGGGCCATGCGTGGGTGTGGGTGGGCTCCCAGGGTTGCTGTTGGCAACAGGGATCCAGGTAGTGCCTGCTGCCTGCCCGCCATCCACACCACCCACCCCATGGTTATGAATGTGGCCAGGTTGTGGCCCAGGGCCAGGCTCCCACGTCTGTGGCCCACAGTGGCTCTTTTCATGAGGCTGCTGGGCCCGGTCCTGCCACCGTGCATTGTCCTGGCAGGGTGAAGGGTGCACAGGACACCTCATGCTCACTACAGGCACCTTGGGGAGTGGGTGGCCTCTGTTCCCTGTAGGCGGGGCAGGGCGTGGGGGTAGCAGGTTTGAGATGCTGTCGGGTGCTGGGTCCAGGCCAGGCCTAGGCTCAGCTGTGGGAGGAGAACGCTGGGCCCGGGAGGGCCTGGGTGTCCCTGAAGCTCCTGTAGGCCTCAGAGAGCCCTGGCACCCCTGCTGACCTGGCACCTCTCCCCAGCAAGGTGGCGGTGCAGGCCGTGCAGGCCATGAACCGCATCTGTGTGCTGGACGTGGACCTGCAGGGTGTGCGGAACATCAAGGCCACCGATCTGCGGCCCATCTACATCTCTGTGCAGCCGCCTTCACTGCACGTGCTGGTGTGTGCTGGGCAGGGTTGGGGGCTGGGGGCCAGGGCATGCCAGGCTCTGATTGCCACCCCCTTTTTAGGAGCAGCGGCTGCGGCAGCGCAACACTGAAACCGAGGAGAGCCTGGTGAAGCGGCTGGCTGCTGCCCAGGCCGACATGGAGAGCAGTGAGTGTGCCGTGGGATCACCAGGGAATGCCAGGAGGGGAGTCAGGGTTCTGAGGTCTGTGGCACCAGGGACCCTGTGGGTCCCCAGACCTCCTGACACCTGGAGTCCCTGTGAGGGTCCTCAGACCTCTCAACTACCTCCCAACACCTAGAGTCCCCGTGAGGGTCCCCAGAACCCACCCCCAGTCACCAAGGGTCTCATTGAGGGTCCTCAGATTTCCCTCTGTTACCCAGAGTCTCCGTGAGGGCCCCCAGACCCCCCATCGCCCAGGGTCCCATGAGATGTCCCCAACCTTCTAGCCCCGGGGGTGTCATGTGCATCCTCTTACAGCTGTTGCCTCTTCTCTGGGTCTGACTGCAGCCCACAAGAAGAGGGCATTTAATGTTCTGCTGTGTGTGTAGAGGATAGTGTAGCCCCTAACCAGAGTCCTGATGGGTGCTGGTGTCCAGACCCAAGTTCTGGGGCTCCAGAGAGAGCAGGAGTGGTGCCTGAGGACTGAGGCCCAGGGGGCGGCCCTTCCCTACCCTGCACAGGCCCGGCTGGGCTGGAAAGCTGTCCCACAGCCGCAGTGAGGACAGCCGCAGGCCAGTGGGCTGCTCTGGGGGTCGTGTGGGACCTGGGGTGGGGCTGCATGGGCTCACTGTGCCCTGACCCCAGGCCCCACCCACAGGCAAGGAGCCCGGCCTGTTTGATGTGGTCATCATTAACGACAGCCTGGACCAGGCCTACGCAGAGCTGAAGGAGGCGCTCTCTGAGGTGGGCCCATCCTTGTGCCTACCTGGGCAAGGCCCAAGGGGAGGCCTGGGGGCCAGGCCTTTGTTGTCCATGAGGCCACTGAGGTTAGATGGGACAGTCCTACCCAAGCACTGGCATGAGACACCGAGGTCCACGGTGGAGGGAGAGCAGGAAGCCCAGCCCTTCCTGGATACCAGCCCTCCCAACTCCCTTTCTTCCTCACTGGCAGGAAATCAAGAAAGCTCAAAGGACCGGCGCCTGAGGCTTGCTGTCTGTTCTCGGCACCCCGGGCCCATACAGGACCAGGGCAGCAGCATTGAGCCACCCCCTTGGCAGGCGATACGGCAGCTCTGTGCCCTTGGCCAGCATGTGGAGTGGAGGAGATGCTGCCCCTGTGGTTGGAACATCCTGGGGTGACCCCCGACCCAGCCTCGCTGGGCTGTCCCCTGTCCCTATCTCTCACTCTGGACCCAGGGCTGACATCCTAATAAAATAACTGTTGGATTAGAAACTCCATAAATGAGTGGAATGTGGCCCCAAGGTTGGTGGGGCCCCATCATCCCGATCGGGCCCTGAGCTCCGGCAGCCCACCCTAACCACCAGCCCCAAGGAGGGCCACAAGATGGCCTCTGCCTAGGCATCTGCTGCCTGCCGGCTCGTGGCTGCTGCCCCAGGGCAGCATGATGCTTGACTGGCAGGCAGGGAAGGTGGCAGGGCTGGTCCCAACCCACCTGGCAGGCTGGCAAGTGGGGAGCAGGAAGCGGCTGCATGGGGCAGCCTGAGGCTGCAGGGGTGGGCCCTGAGGGCTGCCTCTTGGTGCCCGACCCTGTGGGTCTGGCATGGGCCAGAGGTTCCAGGAGAGGCCCCTGAGCTCTGGCAGCTGGAGGTTCTAGATCTCGAGGTCTAAGGGGTTCCCTGAGGGAGATGCCCCTCCCCTAGCTGCCCCAGGGGCTGTGTGTGGTGTGTGAGGAGCCTCCTCTGCTCAGGCTGCCTCCCTCCTTCCCCAGTGCTCCCCCAGCTTGCCTGTCTAAGGCAGCACAGGGCCGTGCTGCCAGCCACCCCTAGGGTCAGCCCCAGCCCTGTTCTGAGCCTAGGTGAGGTGCCTCTGGGGTGGGGTGTAGACAGATGGGTGGGAGAGAAGGAGGCAGGCAGGGTGCCCGGCCGGAAATGGGGGCGGGGAGAAGAGTCCCCGCCCAGAGCCCAGACTGCCGGAGGATACAGGCCAGAGCCGCCTGGACTGGGCGGCTGGGCAGGGGAGGGGAGGGGAGGGCCCAGGCAGCCCCCGGTCGCTTGCTCCAGGGCAGGTGGACTGAGCTTCGGAGGCTGGGGCTGGCCTCTGACCTGCTTGGGCTTGGAGAGCCCTGCCCGCTGCCCTGCCCCCCAGGACAATCAGGGATTCAGACCCTGAGGCCGAGGGGGGAACAATGGGGCCCTTGAGGGCCCCTCCTCCAGCCCCCATTGTGCTTGGTGGTGAGAGGTGGCCCTGGCTCGGCCACACACCCTCGGGGAGGACCAGCATCCAAGCAGGTGGAAGGGCTCTGAGGGAGACTGGAATTTTCTGGCCTGGAGAAGGTAGGGTGCTGGGGTCCATGTATGTACCTCATGGGGCTGGGGGCTGTTGCCCCAGGAGACAGCCTCACGCTGTGCCCCTTGGCCTTGAGGCCCCGAAGGAGGGAGGGCTTCCTAGGGCCCAGCCATAGGAGGGTGCACTCCTTGCGCCTGCCACCCCCTCCTGGGCTCCGCTGCTCCACGCAGATGGTGGGGTGGCCCCCCCACTCCATGTCTGTGTCCTTCAGGCCCAGCTGCCTTCACCGCAGGGTGGGCACCAACCGGTGGGGTCTGCTCTGGGACAGCTGGCAAGCGGGAGGGGGGTGCCTTCAGTACCTCCCCCAGCAGCTGGGGCCCCTCAGGTAGTGATAGGGCTGGCCTCTGAAACACCAGCCAGCTGCATTGTGTCCAGGCCCAGTCCCCCACCCTCAGCGGCCACCTGGAGGTGAGGGGGCCAGCCTGCCCCTGGTATAGACAGACCTGGGGCCCTGCTCAGTCCCCTCCATAGAAGGCCACAAGCCACTAAGTTTGCACTGGGGCCCAGCCTAGGTCTGAAGCCCAGCAGACCCTGTGGTCAAGGATCCAACCCCAGTGCCTGTCAGTGCTGTGATTAACTGGGTGGAGGCCCCCCCGGGGTGCTGGGGCAGGCCCTCAGTGCAAGGAAGGGGCGGCGTGGCTGAGGAGGGGGAGGCCCACACCCCTCTGGGAGGGCGGAGCACCCCAGGGCTGCTGCGCAGGGAGGCCACAGCCCAGGCGCGGGGGCCCCCATCCCAGAGCTGGATGGCAGTGAGCCCAGGATTCCTGGCTGCTGGGCGTTCAGGAGGGAAGAGACGGGTTCGTGGATCCTGCGGGTGGAGGGCAGGGACAGCCTTAGGAGGCTGGGGTAATCATCACCCCCTCACTCCCAGTATGGATACCCGCCAGGGCTCGGTTTCTGGAGGGTGTGTGGCTCAGCTCCAGGCCTGCAACAGCCCTGGAGGCTGGCCTGGGGAGCTGCCCAGGCTTCAGCGATGACACACTCCCAGCCTGACCCAGGCCTAACTCGCCCCCTTGGTCCACCTCCAGAGGAGGAACAGCCCCTCACTTCTGGGCCTGACAGCTCTGTTCCTGCTTGGGACCCTGAGGGAGGGAACTCAAGAACAGGCTGCAGGAGGGGCCCACGCATTCACAGCGCCAACAACCCCAGGGAGGAGAGGGCTCCACGGGGGAGGAGGCACCAGCCTGGATGCTGCCTTGCCACCTGCACGTGTGCACGGCCCTGGCAAGGCCTGGGGATCCCACAGACTCATACCTCCACACCACGCTCCTCAGTGTCCCCTCACTCCCCTGACATTCCTGAGCGCCACACCCATGCTCTTGGGCTCCTGGGGGTCTGGTCAGTTCAGGAGCTGTGGCAGGCCATGTAAGGGGAGCCACCATGTGGGCAGGCACTTGGGGTCTTGGTGGGGGCACCTTGCTTTCCTGGGCCTGGTGGGGACTCCTGAGGGAGGCACGTGGTGAGGTTGAGTCTGAATAGGGAGGGTTCATGGCTATGTGTGAGAGTGAGTGTGTGAGCCCAGCTCCATGTTGAGCTCGAGCAGCAGTGTGCATGTGGCAGTGTGCACTGCTTGTGTGTGGGGGGGTGGAGGGAGGAGCGTGCCCTGTGTGTACATGTGAAGGATGCATGAGGATGGCTGGTGCCCACACCCAGTGGGGCCTACTGCTGCACAGGCAGGACAGTGAGGCCGGCCACAGAGCTGCTGGGGCAGAGTGGGCATGGAGGGAGGGTTCCAGGCCTCGGGCTTGGGTCCTAGGTGGCTGAGCTCTGCACCTCCCTCTGGACCAGGGCATCCAGAGGAGCATGGCTGAGGGTGCACTCGGGGCTGACCGTCCCAGGGCCTGGGCTGTCCAGGACAGGCAGCTGGGGGCTCAGGCAGGGACATGGAGGACAGGTAGTGGAGCTGCCACCACAGAGCTGAGCTCTGGGCATCAGGGTAGGGGGCTACGGCCTGTCAGCGGGTGAGGAGAAATTGAGGCCTGAGGATGGGTGAGTGCTGTAGCCCCCTCTGAGTGAGGACTGTCCCCACACAGGGCCCTGCAGTGGAGTGCAGGGGAAGGAGGGGACTGTGCCTGCAGGAGCTCCAGGGAAGTGGGACTGGGAATCTGCTTTGGACTGTGAGTGGACAAGCGACAGCACAGTGCCTGCCATGCGCTGGGGTACCATCATTTTCGGGGAAGGGAGGAGCCTGCCCCAGGGTCCCGCCTGGTGAACTGTGTGCGTGGGTGCCTGTCTGGTGGCTGCCCTAAACTGCAGAAAACACCCACCCTTCGCGGCCTGCCCTGGGAGGGCCTGGAGATGGAAGGAAATACCTGGGCCCCTGACCCTGTGCTACACCCAGCAGGGCGGGGCTCGTTCTGCAGTGCCTCAGGACCCTTGTTCAGACCCAGGATGAGCAGGAGCTTGATGGGGGAGGGGGCCCGGCTCTGACCGGTGTCCTGAGATACCAGGACACCAGGACACTGGTCAGAGCTGGCCCAGCCAGGTTTGCAGACAGGCAGCCTCAGCTTGGGCCTGCTTGCCCTGAAACCCTTCCCAGAGGTGGCCCCCACTGTGAGCCCCCATGGTGAGTCCCTTTGCTCTTGCTGCGCACCCCTTTGAAGCCCTTCCTGTGAGCCCCCGATGCCACCAGGGCGAGACCGCCCCCACTGTGAAGCCCCCTTTCACACCCTGGCCTAGTAGCGAGCCCCCATGAGACCCTGGTCCCCAGTATGAGAACCCTGTGAGTCCCCGGCCCTCCACCAATGCCCACATCCTCCTCTACTTCCCACAGCCTTCCCTGAGGCTGACCCTGCCTCACCACTCCCAGACCTGGGCCAGGCAGCGTCCTGGCTGGTGGCCTCCTGTGGTCACCCCCCTACCTCGCCCTGACACCTTACTAACCCCAGCAGCTGCCTCCTCCCAGACTCTGAAGCCCAAGGGTGCCTCCAGTTCTTTGGCCAAGCTGAAGCCTCTCCCCACCAATCCTCATTTTGGGCACCCTGGAGGTGTAGCTTTGGGGTGAGATCTCTTGGACTTGTGTGCACATAGTCTGCAAATCCCGGGCCTGGCTCCCTGGGGGCCAGCACCCCTCCCCTCTCCTCCCGTGGGCCTCCACCAAGCCCCTGCTGACAGCCTCATCCTGCAGCACTAGACAGTGCCCACCTCAGCTTGTCCCGCCTCTCTATCATGGTCCTTTCTTTAAGTAGGGGTTTATTTTACAGCACTTTCACAGAAAAGGGCCAAGGTGTGGATGGCTCATGCCTGTAATCCCAGCTCTTTGGGAGGCTGAGGCAGGATTGCTTGAGGCCAGGAGATCAAGGAGACGATGGTGAGTTATGATTGTGCGGCTGCACTCCAGCCTGGGCGACAGAGCGAGACCCCATCAAAAAAAAAAAAAAAAAGTAAATAGGGTCTGGCTCTGTCACCCAGGATTGAGTGCAGTGGTGTGATCTCGGCTCACTGCAATCTTTCCCTCCGGGGTTCAAGCGATTCTCCCACCTCAGCTTCCCGAGTAGCTAGAAGTACAAGCGCACCACCATGCCTGGCAAATTTTTGTATTAAGACCCCATTTCTCTTTTCTTTTTTTTTTTTTTTTTTTTGAGACAGCGTCTCACTCTGTTGCCCCAGCTAAGTACAGTGGTGCAATCTCGGCTCACTGCAACCTCCGCCTCCCAGGTTCAAGCGATTCTCCTGCCTCAGCCTCCTGAGTAGCTGGGACTACAGGCACGCGCCACCACGCCCGGCTAATTTTTGTATTTATAGTAGAGATGGGGTTTCACCATATTGGCCAGGCTGGTCTTGAACTCCTGACCTCATGACCCACCCACCTCAGCCTCACAAAGTGCTGGGATTACAGGCATGAGCCACCGTGCCCGGCTTAAGACCCCATTTCTTAAAAAATAAAAATAAAAATTGCCAGCATGGTGGCATGTGCCTGTAGTCCCAGCTACTCAGGAGGCCAAGGTGGGAGAATTGCTTGAGCTCAGTAAGATTTACAGAAATGCTGTGAGGATAGTGCAGAGTTCTTATAGACCTCACACCCAGTTTCCCCGTTGCTGACGTCTTGCATTAGCGTGACATGCTCCTCATAATGAATGGACCAATATGGATGAGCTGGGATTAACTGAGGTCCTTGCTGTATGCAGATGTCTTTGCCTCTCCCCTACAGCTCCTTTTCTGCCCCGCCATGGATCCCACATGGTGTCAGTCACCGTGTCTCCCTGGACTCCTCTTGGTTTCGGCAGCCTCCTGGGTCTCCTTGTATGGGGTGTCCTCACTGTCTGGATGAACACTGGCCGGATGTTCTGTAGCATGCCCCTTGGGTGGGATCCCTTTCACCCTCATGTTTCCTTATGAGTCTTCAGGGGGATGGGTTTTGGGAGGAATACCATGGAGTTGACGTGACCTTCCCATGAGATGCTGTGAAGCATCCACACCATTCACGATGCTTGTGATGACACCTTGGCCGCCTGGCCAGGGTTGGTGTAGGAGGCATGCTGCAGAGGCGCTCTCCCCCTCTCCCTCCCACACCCTCTGAAGCCAGGTTACCAGGTGCAGCCCACAGGTAGGGATGGGGGTCATGCTCCCCTCCAGTACAGAGTGTCCACATGGCTGCTTTGGATTGACTCTGCACAGAGGAGCTGTCTCCTGTCCCCCATTTGGTTATACATTCAGTCACGTACTTTGGCTTCTAATCTATGTCAGTCTGTAATCTGTAACACAAGACTACTTGATTTCTTTCACTGCTCAGAGGGATCCAGTCTCAGGCACTGGGTGCTCTACGTGCAGGTGCTGCTTGCACAGACTTCCTCTCTGACACTACAGTTTGCGCCAGGCTCTTCTGTACATTCCCAGCCCCAGCCCTCGGGTCTGCCAGTTCCCCACCAGGGGTTCCTGATTCCTGTGATTGGGAGTGGAGGTAGGAACCAAGGCCTGGGCCCCAGGTAGATTCTTGCTCCTAGGGTGTTTTTGCATTGAGGCCTTTGCAGGCGCCAGAGCAAAGGTGTGTGTCTGAACCCAGGTGCATCCACATAGCTGTATTTTCTATGAAACCGCCCACGTCTCTGTGAGACACCCTGTGGTCTCCAGCTGTGATCGTCATCACATGGAATAGTCACTAGCAGCATGGAAGGCGGTGACACAGCGACAGCCTCAGGGAAGGGCTGAACCTGTGTGTGTGCGCCTGTGCATGTGTGTGTGGCGAGGCCAGGTAGCAAAGGCTCCTGGTGGGAGTGGGCTCCAGCCAGTGTGGGAGCCGTGGGCAGAGCACACGAGGGGATATCTGGAGCCAGGCGTGGAATGGGGGCAGGGGACCTGGCACTAAGGCAGGTGAGGCCGCGGCATTCGCTCTGGTTAGGAGTCACAGGCAGGGCAGGAGTCCTGCTGGGTGGGCGTCCTAATGCTCCCCAGGCTTGCAGGCAAGGAGTGAAGTGCTTGAGGCCCTGCAGGCGGGGCCAGGCTCAGGATTGGCTGGGATAGGGAAGCTGCTCTGCAGAGCAGAGTGGCATTTGGGTGTGGCCCTCTGGCAGTGGCTGTGCTTGCTGGGCATCTGAGTGCCCATGTTGGGGGTGGCAGCAGGCCCAAGAGAGAATTACAGGCTGGAGGTGTGGATCTGGGAGTCCCCATAGGCGTGGCCCTGAGACCAGGACCCAGGTTCTTCCAGACCATTCCCAGGACCACTATGTGGGTGCAAGTGACACAGGCCCCCAGAGCTAAGTGCCAGCCCTCAGACGCCAGGGCACATCAGCCCAGGGCCGAGCCACAGTGGTCTCCAGAGCTGAGCCAATGGCGCCGTTTCCTCAGCTGAATCAAGGAAGCCACTCCGCAGTCAGCCACAACGGGAATGCTCACACCATGGGCACTGGCAGGCGCCATTACTGCAGGCTGCCCCCAGAGAGCCATTTGTTCAATATTGCCCCCACACAGCTGGGCAGGCTGGCCCTGGCACTGAAGGCCTCCTGCCCCATCTCTCCCTTGAGCCTGCTCTGTCTCAGGTTCCTGTCGGGCTGGAATCAGTGGGCCTTAGCCTGCTGTGATGGGTCAGGTGGGGAGGGAGGTGGGCCCTGCCTACTGGAGCCAGGGAGATAGGGGAGGTGGCCTCAGGGCTGGAGTGTGCCCGCCTGTGCATGTGTGTGCCTGATCACACGTGTGTGTGTGTGCACGGGTCTGTGTGCATGTGTGTGCATATATGTGTATGTGGTTGTGCATACGTATGTGCATGTGTGTGCATATGCACAAGTGTGTATGTGCCACTGTTTTCATGCATGTGCATCTGCATGTGAGTGCAAAGAAGCATGCCTGTGGATGTACACATACATCTGTTTGCATTAACCCTGTTTGCATGTGTGTCTGAGCATGCACGTGTACATGTGTATGCATGTGTGTGCATGGGTATCTGCATATGCATGTGCGTGTTCATGCATGTGCACGTGTGTGCATGTGTACACATGTGAATCTGTGGGTATGTATCTGAGTGTGTGTGCACATGTGAATGTGTGTGGCTCTGAGGGGTACTGCACAGATGTGAGGAAGCAGGGCCACTTCCCCAGGAACCCTGACTGCCCCCTCTTCCTGCCCCGGGTGGGGAGGCCTCAGCTGCATAAAGAGGCCGGGAGCCTCACCAGCGACTGCTGCTGGTCCCACACCTGCCGCTGCTGCCTCCCAGGCCAGGTACCGGGAGGGGGCCAGAGGCGGAGGGAGCTAAGGGGTCTCCTGCCTCAGCGACCCAGGAGCAGGTACTGGCCCTGGGGCAACCGCCAGCAGAGGGTGGGCAGGGGAGCTGCAGGAGCTCTCCTTCTTTGGAGCACAGGCCCTGCTGCACAGCCCTTTCCTGGGCACTTGCCCACCTTGGGCTTGGCTGGTCTGCGGCATAGCTGTCTCTGAGGGTCGCAGGTGCTGAGTGTGGCCTCACATCACTGGGTCTATAACCTCGCTGGACACCGTCCCTCCTGGACGGACGACTGGCTTCATCCTGACCCCAGCTAGAGATGGTCTGGGTTGAGACCATGGAGGACCAGGAACCTAGACTGGGCGGGCGGAGCCCTGGGACCCTGGGCACCTGAGAAGGGCAGCGGGACCAGCCGGGGGCTGGAGGGAGGATGGAGGATTTTGTGGAGGTGGAGGGACCCCGACGCCCCTGTCCAGGGTGTGGAGGGACCCCGACGCCCCTGTCCAGGGTGTGGAGGGAGGCAGAGCAGGGCCTCTGGGGGCCGAGGGGCTATGGGGATTGTGGACTGGTGGCACTTTGGGGTCTGGGAGCTGATGGTGGTGCAGGCACGGGGGGCTGTGAAGGACTGAGGGCTGATGGGGCTGCAGGGGCTTGGGGGCTAGGGAGCTGGAGGGGCCAGGAGGGATTGAGTGGCTAGGCAGGCTGGGGAGACCCTTTGGATGCTGAAACTCTGTGGGACCCTCCCCAACAACCTGGATGCGGCTGGGGCTGGGTTGGTGGCCATGGGTGCAGTGGACACTGAGACCACCAGTCCCCACACACTTGAGTGGTGCTTGCCTCAGTGTCCCCATCTGCCTCATGAAGGCAACTCACCCAGCTGGGGCCCTGCATCTGCACGAGCAGGGGCCGGATCAGGTGGGGGCTTCCACTTCCGTTTAAGGCGGTAAGCTCCACGTCATTGACTGTGTAAGCAGAGAGGGGCCAGCTGCGAGGCAAGCCTGGAGCCCCGGCTCTGAGCGCCGCGGGCTCCTAAGTGCAGGCCCCTGGCTGACCCCTACCCCGCCCCACAGGACCCGCCCGCCCGCCCCTATGACCAACATGAGCTGGAGCTTCCTGACGCGGCTGCTGGAGGAGATCCACAACCACTCCACCTTCGTGGGCAAGGTGTGGCTCACGGTGCTGGTGGTCTTCCGCATCGTGCTGACGGCTGTGGGCGGCGAGGCCATCTACTCGGACGAGCAGGCCAAGTTCACTTGCAACACGCGGCAGCCAGGCTGCGACAACGTCTGCTATGACGCCTTCGCGCCCCTGTCGCACGTGCGCTTCTGGGTCTTCCAGATTGTGGTCATCTCCACGCCCTCGGTCATGTACCTGGGCTACGCCGTGCACCGCCTGGCCCGTGCGTCTGAGCAGGAGCGGCGCCGCGCCCTCCGCCGCCGCCCGGGGCCACGCCGCGCGCCCCGAGCGCACCTGCCGCCCCCGCACGCCGGCTGGCCTGAGCCCGCCGACCTGGGCGAGGAGGAGCCCATGCTGGGCCTGGGCGAGGAGGAGGAGGAGGAGGAGACGGGGGCAGCCGAGGGCGCCGGCGAGGAAGCGGAGGAGGCAGGCGCGGAGGAGGCGTGCACTAAGGCGGTCGGCGCTGACGGCAAGGCGGCAGGGACCCCGGGCCCGACCGGGCAACACGATGGGCGGAGGCGCATCCAGCGGGAGGGCCTGATGCGCGTGTACGTGGCCCAGCTGGTGGCCAGGGCAGCTTTCGAGGTGGCCTTCCTGGTGGGCCAGTACCTGCTGTACGGCTTCGAGGTGCGACCGTTCTTTCCCTGCAGCCGCCAGCCCTGCCCGCACGTGGTGGACTGCTTCGTGTCGCGCCCTACTGAAAAGACGGTCTTCCTGCTGGTTATGTACGTGGTCAGCTGCCTGTGCCTGCTGCTCAACCTCTGTGAGATGGCCCACCTGGGCTTGGGCAGCGCGCAGGACGCGGTGCGCGGCCGCCGCGGCCCCCCGGCCTCCGCCCCCGCCCCCGCGCCGCGGCCCCCGCCCTGCGCCTTCCCTGCGGCGGCCGCTGGCTTGGCCTGCCCGCCCGACTACAGCCTGGTGGTGCGGGCGGCCGAGCGCGCTCGGGCGCATGACCAGAACCTGGCAAACCTGGCCCTGCAGGCGCTGCGCGACGGGGCAGCGGCTGGGGACCGCGACCGGGACAGTTCGCCGTGCGTCGGCCTCCCTGCGGCCTCCCGGGGGCCCCCCAGAGCAGGCGCCCCCGCGTCCCGGACGGGCAGTGCTACCTCTGCGGGCACTGTCGGGGAGCAGGGCCGGCCCGGCACCCACGAGCGGCCAGGAGCCAAGCCCAGGGCTGGCTCCGAGAAGGGCAGTGCCAGCAGCAGGGACGGGAAGACCACCGTGTGGATCTGAGGGCGCTGGCTTGCGAGCTGGGCCAGGGAGGAGGAGGGTTGGGGGGCTCCGGTGGAAACCTGCGACCCCTTCTCCTCAGCCTTCTCCTTAGCCGGTGGCCTCAGGCAGACTCTGCCCAGAGGGGCAGCCAGGCTGCTCAGGGAAGGGGCTGAAAGCGGCAGAGGAGTGCCCTGGCTTGGTCACCACTGGGGCCAAGGTGGGGTGGAGAGAGGCCTAGGAGCCAGAAAGGGCCCTCTGCTGTGGTCTGAACCCCAGGGGGAGTGGGGCATTGACTCCACCCCTGTCCTGAGCTGGAATAGGTCCTCTGGGATGCCAGCTCTCCCCTTTGTGCTTCCCTGCAGCAACCCATGGAGGGCCCAGGGTGCCTGGTATGGGCATCAGTTGGTGGGGGTGCGGGGGTGCGTGTCCCCATTCCCTGCAACAGCAAATGGGGCTCCTTCTTCAGCCCTCCCCTTCCCAGCCCCAAACTGAGACAGACTGGGAGCTGGGAGCCTGGGGTGGACAGGACCATACCCTCTTTGAGCTTCTGCGATGCCGGCCTTCCGTTCCTCTGGGAGGCTTGAAGTTCTGCAAAGATGTTGATATGCCTTGCAGCTTGGACCCAATGGGTGGTGGTCAGGGCCTGGGGGCTTGGCCATGCTGGGGGAATGGGGCTCTGGGTTCCTGCCTGTGGCCTGTCTGTCCTCCTCCCTAATTCAGACCCAGCCTCAAGAGGAAAGGGAGTAAAATAAAACTAACTTGTTTATAACCTTGTGTGTGCATGTGTATGCATGTGCACGTGTGGCTATGTGTGTGACTGCATGCACATGTATGTGCATTGTGTGCATGTCTGGGTGTATGCTTATATGTGTATGCATGGGTGTGTGTGCATGGCTACCACATGGGGAGACATGGCTTAGCTCCAGGCTGGCTGGGAGAGGAGACCCCTCCCCAGGGACTGGCAGGGGAGTATGGTCACAGGCGAGCCCCTGTAGCTTGTCAGACAACACTCGGGGCCTGCTCGGTGCCAGGCAGCGTGCCGGGGGCAGGGGTGGGTGGGGCAGGGTGGAGTGCACTGATGGTGAGAAAGAAAGAAAACACTCAGAGCCTCAGGTTGGGCCGCAGCTCAGTGGATGGAGGGCGGCTGTCTCAGGCCCCGTCATGACCAGGACGTCGGCCAGAGCCTGCAGGGGTGGCTTTGGCGAGGGGCAGGGGGGCTCATTAGCCCCTGGAGCACACTCCGGGTGACTGGCTACCCCCCAGCCTCCCTTAGGCCTGGTGCAGCCTGGCCGGCTGCCCCTCCTGGGCTGCACACCCCTCTCTCTGTGGTGTCCCTCAGCCAAGACTCAAGCCCAGGCTGAGCCCTGAGTCTCACCGAAGCCCAGCTCCGGGCAGATGCCAACTGCAAGCTGAGTCCCTCTCCTTTCTGGGGCTTGCCTGGCTGACCTCTGGCCCCATGTGAGCCCTGACTCAGGGAGCCACGGACAGAAATGCCGAAAGTGCAGCCTCAGGGAAGAAAAGCAAACACCAACCCCAACAGGTGTCCACTCCAGTGGGGACACACCAGGAGCCTCTCCAAGACAGGAAGGGTTTGGGGCTGTGCTGCTGGCGGTGCCGTCACGGGGGAGGCCAGGTCCCTGTGGTGGGGGCCGCGGTGTCCAGCCATGCTGGGCAACTGTGCATGGCTCACCCTTCCTCCACCTTTGGTTCTGTTCAGGCCTTCACCTGATCAGACGAGGCCAGCCACATTGCAGAGGCCAATCTGCTTTCCTCAGTCCATCTATTCAAGTCTTAGTGTCATCTGGAAATGCACTCACAGACACGCCTAGAATAATGTGTGACCCCATATCTGGGCACCCTGTGGCCCAGTCAAATGGACACATAAAATGAACCATCACAGGCCAAGCACTGTCTCACGTCTGTCATCCCAGCACTTTGGGAGGCTGAGATGGGAGCATCACTTGAGCCCAGGAGTTCAAGATGAGCCTGAGCAACACAGACCCCATGTCTACAAAAAATTTAAAAAGTAGCTGGGCATGGTGGCATGCACCTGTGGTCCCAGTACTCAGGAGGCTGGGGTGGGAGGATCACTTGAGCTAGGGAAGTCGAGGTTGCAGTGAGCTGTGATGGCACCACTGCACTCCAGCCTGGGAAACAGAGCAACACCCTGTCTCAAAATAAATAAAATTAGCCATCACAGGCAGACTGGAGGCAGAACTGCTGCTTCTTTGGGAAACTTTAGTCTTTGGCTATATATCTAGATATAGATATAAAAATAGTATATAGTATCTGTGTCTATATTTCCTATGGTTTTGTTTCTCTGGAGAACCCTGGCTAGTACACATCCCCCAGCCAGAGCTGTTCAAAGGGCACCCCAGCTTCGAGGGAAGCTGGAAATGATCTCAAACTTGGAGGGTGTGCCCGTTGGGACTGCCATAGCACCGCATCATCCACTGGGTGCCTTAAACAACAGACACTGATTATCTCACAGTCCTAGAAGGGAAGGCCAAGATTAAGGTGTGGGCGAGGCTGGTTCCTCCTGCAGCCTCCCTCCTTGGCCCGTGGATGCCATCTCCCCCGTGTGTCCTCACACAGCTGTCCCTCTGTGTGCATCTGTGTCCTAATCTCCTCTTCTTTTAAGGACACCAGCCACCGTGGATTAGGACCCACCCCAATGAACTCATTTTAACTTAATCACCTCTTTAAAGGCTTTGTCTCCAATTATAGCCACATTCTGAAGTTCCTGGAGGTTAGGGCTTCAGCACAGGAGTTTCGAGGGGACAATTCTGCTGGTATTAGAGGGTATATGCCCAGTGGGAAGCTGGATTGCCACAAGAGAAGGGGAGACGGGACCCTGGGACAGACCTCCCTTCTTGAACATTTGGGGGTGGGTGGGCCACATCAGGTTTGTGAGCATCTGCTGGTGGGCTTAGGCTCTGTTACCACACCCTCCCAGCGGGATGGCCCTAGCCAGGAGAGGCTGTGCAAGCCCAAGCCTCCACGCCATCTGCTAGTCCTCCCTCTAAGACCAAGTCCTGGATAATCTGGACGTTCCCACAATGTCATGCCTGAGCCCCACACCACCACGCAGGCCTGGCATCTCCCACTACAGTGGGACGTGGTATCTTAGTTGCTCCAGTCTGCGGACCCCCAGAAGCTAAACCCATCTCGCACTCCTGGCGCTTGATCAGTCACTTTTAGAAAACCCCTGCCTTGGTTTCCCCAGCCACCTGGGGAGGCCACGACGGTGATGAGCTGAGCCTGGCACTGCTGACACCACAGCCCCCCTCCCTCCTCTGTCCTGCATCTTCCGAGCTCTGAGGCAGGTTGGCAGGGGGGCCAGTCGCTGGTGGGCCCAGCCCTGTACACAGCAGGACACACCCAGAGCAGGCGGTGCTGGAGCAGGCTGGCGGGATGGGACTCCATGTCTCACCTCCATCCGTTTCCACAACCTCAGCCAAAACTCTCGGCTGCTCATGGGAGTGCATAGTGGGGTGAGGGGCCAGCTGCTCAGAGACTCCCTCAGAATAGGGCAGTGGCACTCTCCTTCCTCTAGGAAGGGAGGAAGCCCTGAGGCGAGAATAACAGGAAACCACCTTCCCCCAACCCCCCCACAGTACCTGGGAAGCAGGGGCTGCGACCCCTACGCCCAGGCATTTTCCAGTTCTCACTCCCCTGGCCCCTGCTTCAGCCTGGTCCCTGAAGCCAGGACAGGGGCGGGGTTTCCTCCCCCAGGTGCCAGGCCCCAGTCCCCTGCCTGCTGATAAGGAGAACAGCAGCCAGGGTGGCTGGTGTAGAGTCCAGGAAGGCTTCTTGGAGGTGGCCTGGAGTTACGGCCTCACATGGCTCAGGCACTGGAATGTGGCCCCCAGGACTCTGGAGCTGAAAGCTCTGTTTCCTTTGAGTCCATTCGAACTGAAGTGGCCCCTGGTGTTGGTGGTGGCTTCTTTGGGGTGGGGGGGCCTAGGCAGGACAGATTCGGAGCCAGTGGGCCCGGCCCGGGGCACCAGGTTGCCGCACGCCTTTCCTGCTGCCTGTGCAGGGGTGGAAGCAAATTCCTCCTCTGGCTGAGGACCAGGCTGACGTGAGCCCAGAGGAACTCGACCCCCGCCCGTGGGTGTTGTCTGCGCCACTCCCTGCCCCGGGTTTCATCCTGCCTGCCTTCCGCTCTGTCCGCATGGGGCTGCCCGGGGGGTACCGGGTCACCCTCAGGAACGCCAGGCTCTGGCAGAGGAAGGGGTGGCGGCTGCAGCCAGTGGCTAGGGAGCGCATTCTAGGCCTGGCCTATCTCAGTCAGGAAGCTGGCGTCTGGCGGGGGACTGAGGCCCAGGGACCTTGGGGGACCCAGCTGATTTGCTCCAGGCTCCTCACCATGCCCGGAGCCTCGCCTGGTTGGGTAGGCAGGGTCCGGGGCCTCACAGGGCTTGGGGCAGGTGGGGATGCTGTGAGGAGGGTCCAGAAGGGCAAGCGGGAGCTCCAGGGATGAGGAAGCTGCAGTGAAGAGAGTGGGCTAACGGCAGGGCCTCCATGGCCACATCCAGGGCCTGCGGGAATTCGCTGACTGCCCAATGTCACCTGAGCCCCTAAGGCATGCCGGCTGCTGGCCCAGGCCCTCAGGACACGGCAGGGAGCTATGGCAGAGACTTTCTGCTTGGCCAAACTCCGGCTGGGATCTGGAACTTTCTCCTAGGCCCATCTGTGCACTTGCTTGGAAAATCCAGTTTTAGTAAGAGCCCTACTGAGTCAGTTTAGCCAGAACCCCACACCCTGGATATCTCACCCTCGATGACATCCAACCAGGTCCCTCATCCTCCACCATCACCTGGTGACGTCTGATCACCCTGCCTGCCTAGAGCAAGGACCCTGTGAGGTGGGTTTAGCCAGACCCCTCAGCCCTGATGTCTCCTTAGTCATTCCCACCCACAGACCCCACGCTGCTCCTCGGCTTCTCCACCCTCTGCCCTGCTGTGTTGGGGTTGAGCTCCATCTCCCCCAAGGCCGCCAGGCAGGGCCCCACACCACATGATGCGCCTTGGTGCAGTCTTCCTCACTGATGTTACTACGCATCATGAGGAATTTTTTTATTCAACAGATACAAAGACCTCTGCTTGCTGGGACTCTGCACCATAAGGACACATTGAGTAAGTCTTCTTTGGTGCTTTGAGTGGAGGGCAGTGGAGAGGGGAATGTCAACAGGGTGCATGGGCCCCAGGAGGCCAGCAAGGCAGGGATGGCTTGGACCAGGGCAGTCAGACTCTAGGGCTGAAGGCTGCTGGGGCCACCTTGTAGATGTGTCACCTACTACCAGGGAAAGTGGCCACTGTACAGGGCTGCTCAGCAGGGGGTATGGGACATCACTCCTCGAGAAAGCACGGTGGGGTGGATATGTCATAGCAGTGTGTGGTTCCTGCCTAAATTGTCCTCTGTGAGTTCAGCTGTGAAGAGAGGACGAGAGTTATTGGAAGGACGTCCTGTGGTCTGGAAGGACGTCCTGTGGGAGGACAGGCTGGGCTCCAGGGGAGCTTGGAATCCTGCACTGAAGAGGACTATAGACACATGATGGGGGTGACCCTGGCCTGAAAAAAGCAGAAGTTACCAAGGATGTGATTTGAAGCTGTGATTGTGTCTCATCATGTCACACTGATTAGGGGTGCGGAGGGGTTGTGGGCTGGATGGTGCCTGTCCTTATCCGTGGAGACACTTGGGGATGGAGCCTCCTGCCACCTGCAGCTGAAGTCCCAATGGTCCAGCAAATGAAAAAAATGACACAACAGCCACACGTGGACGCTGGCGAACTGGTAGGAAAGAGGAAGCGGCCGGGTGCGGTAGCTCACGCCTGTAATCCCAGCACTTTGGGAGGCCAAAGCCGGTGAATCGCTTGAGCCTAGGAGTTTGAGACCAGCCTGGACAACATGGGGAGACCATTTCTACAAAAAAAATACAAAAATTAGCTGGTGTGGTGGCTAGCGCCTGTAGTTCCAGCTACTCAAGAGGCTGAGGAGGGAGGACTGCCTGAGCTCTGGAGCTTGAGGCCAGCCTGGGCAACATAACCAAGACCCTGTCTTTACAAAAAATAAAAATAAAAATAAAAATAAAAATAAAATGCTGATACATGCTAGACCGTGGATGGACTTTGAGAATACTATGCTGAGTGAAATAAGCCGTCGCAAACGACAAATCCCGTAGGATTCTGCTCCTGTGAGGTCCCTAGAGGAGGCACGCTCATGGAGCCAGAAGGTACAATGGGAGCTCCAGGGCCTCGGGAGTGGGTGTTTAACAGGGAGTTTCAGGTTGGGAGGATGAAGAGGTTCTCGAGATGAGTGACGGTGCCCGACATGGGTGGGTGAAAACGAGGAAGGCCACCGAATGGGACATGGGATGGCGCTTAAGAGGCCGGCAGAAACCTCGTTACCTACCGAGGGTGGAGCCTGCGTGCTGACGGATAGGCCGAGTCCCCGCCCCGAAACACACCCCGCGCACGATGCTCCGCCCCACACGCATGCCCCACCCACCCAGCAGGCACGCTCGCCCCGCCCGCCCCTTCCAGCTCGGGAGGCCCTGCTCCTCACGCACGCACTCTCAGTCGGCCTCAACCGGCGCTGCTCCGCCCCTCAGGCACGCACGTTCCGTTCACCCCTCACGCACGCACTCTGCGCCCGCCCCTTCCCGCCTCCCTCCGGCGGCCACCGCCAGGGGCCGCTGTGGCACCCGCCCCTCCCGCTTCCTTGGGCCCTTCCCGCTGCCCCACTCTTGTCCAAGATGGCGACCGCGGCGCTGCTTCGAGGCGCCACTCCGGGGCGCGGCGGCCCGGTCTGGCGCTGGCGGCTGCGCGCGGCCCCAAGGTGCCGCCTGGCCCACAGCTCCTGCAGTCCTGGTGGCGACCCAACGGCCGGAGCGGCCTGGGCCTGCTTCCGGCTGGACGGGCGCACCCTGCTGCGCGTGCGTGGCCCCGACGCGGCGCCCTTCCTGCTAGGGCTGCTGACCAATGAACTGCCGCTTCCGAGTCCTGCGGCCGCGGGGGCCCCGCCTGCTGCGCGCGCGGGCTACGCCCACTTCCTGAACGTGCAGGGCCGGACGCTCTATGACGTCATCTTGTACGGGTGAGCGCGTGCTGGGAGGGCGCTCGGGGGCGGGCACCCAGGGGAGTGGCCAGGGACCGGCACCCAGGGACAGGGCGGGCGCCCGGGGCCTGCAGAGGGCGTGGGGGGTGGGCACCCGGGGAGGGCCGGGATGGGGTGGAAGCTCAAGGGTGGGTGGGCCAGCGACTGGCACTCAGGGTCAGGCACCCAGGAGATTCCACTTGGGATGGACACCCAGGGGAAGCTCACCCAGGGCCCAGCACCCGGGGGAGGGCACCCAGAGGAGGGCTTGGCTCAACACCCAGGGATGGGTCAGCGACTCATCCAGGGGAGGCCTGGGGGCCAGCCCACCATATCAGAGCAGAGGCGTCTCTAGGTGGGCACCTCCCAAGTGGGCCATCTGGTGACCCTTCTCCCTCCGCAGGGACAAGGGGTTCAGGGGCCCCGCCTGGTGGCAGAGCTGTGTTTCTGAGTGACAGCTTGTGGTGACACTCCCGAGTTCTGTTTACCTTGTGTTTCCCTGTGTCTCCCCATAGCTGGTCACATTGGCATTTGGCTCAGTCATCTGTGCTGACATCACGACTGTCAGTGATGTTCATGCCGGGTCAGGGCCTTGACTGCTTACAGCCTTGGGTTTCCCTTGCCCAGCTTCCAGGGACCTGGATCCCTGAAACCTCCGCCCGGTGGAGTGGATCTGGTTCGCGGCCGCCTGCCTGCTGTCCCTGCTATGGCGGACCCGGTTCTTGTTCTCTTCAGCTTACTCCTGTGTTTTGGTTTCAGGGGATGGACACCTTTTTAATGACTTCCTGAGCTACGTGGGGTGAATTTTTGGACTCATTGTGTCTCTGCTAGTGGCTTTACCTGATATCCTGGCTGGGTGTAAAAATCTAGCTTGGAAATTGTCACCGACAATGTTCACATCACAACTTTGTTTTCTCGCTGCCAGCTTTTCTGAGAAGTCTGGTGCCGTTCTTATTTGTATGTGAACTGTGTTTTTCTCAGAAGCTTTTCTTTATTCTTGATGTCGTGAAATGTCATGCTGATGTGTCTTAGTTTGGGCTTTTTCCATATCACATCTCTGGGCACTTAGTGGGCTCTTTAAATCTAGAACCAGAGTTGGTGAAATACGGCCCTGAGGTCAGACCCAGCCCATTGCCGGTGTTTATAATAAAATTCTCTGGGAACCCCACCCGTTGGATTCCAGGTGGTCTGGGGCTTCTTTTTTTTTTTTTTTTTTGAGACGGAGTTTTGCTCTTGTTGCCCAGGCTGGAGTGCAATGGCACAATCTTGGCTCATTGCAACCTCTGCCTCCAGGGTTCAAGAGATTCTCCCGCCTCAGCCTCCCAAATAGCTGGGACTACAGGTGCCTGCCACCATGCCCGGCTAATTTTTGTATTTTTAGTAGAGACAGGGTTTCACCATATTGGCCAGGCTGTTTTCACACTCCTGACCTCAGGTGATCCACCCGCCTCGGCCTCCCAAAGTGCAGGGATTACAGGTGTGAGCCACTGTGCCCGGCCTGGGGCTGCTTTTGTCTGGAGTGGTAGAGTTGTGGCACGAGTGTGGCCCTCAAGCCTAAGTTATTCACTGGCCCTTTACAGAAAAAGTGTGCCCACCCTAGCTCAATAGGCTTAAATCTTCATGTCCCAGTTCAGAGATATAGTCATCATAGTCTGTCTTATGTATTCATTACATTCTGTCTAGCTGCTTTAATTTCTTCATCTTAAGAACTACATTCTTTGATTCTCTGGAGCCTTCTATGTTAGTACTTTGCTGTTCACATGTTAGCCTTACAATGATGTTGATTTTGGTCCCCAAATTCCCTTCCATATTTCTATAGTCCTCTCTTGTCCTTTTCCCTTTGAGTCCTAGTTCAATTGAATTCCTATTCTTAATAAGTGTTTTGTGGTGTAAAGTACAGCTGACTTTGCACTACATAGGTCACTTATGCGTGGATTTTCCTTCACCTCTGCCACCCTGAGACGGCAAGACCAACCCTTCTTCTCCTTCCTCCTCCTCAGCCTACTCAACATGGAGACCATGAGGATGAAGATGTTTATGTTGATCCATTTCCATTCAGTGAAGTGGAACTACATTTCCTCTTCCTTAGGATTTTCTTCCTGGGATTTGTAGCTTACCGTATTGTAATACAGTATATAATAGCATAAAACATAAAAAATATGTGCCACTTGACTGCGTATGTTATGCATAAGGCTTCCAGTCAACAGGAGTCTGTTAGTAGTTAAGCTTTTGGGGAGTCAAAGCTTAAAGGTGGGTTTTCAACTGTGTGGGGGCCAGTGTCCCTAGCCCTTGCATCATTCAAGGGTCAGCTGTCTGTCCTTTCTGTGTCTCAGGGCTTTTTCCTCTTCATCCTTTCTTGCCTGGTCTGGAGCTTGTCTGCAGACCTACTGGGCCCCAGCTCCCCTTACCAAGCATATGCTTGGTGGCTCCTCTGTGTCTTTCTATTTGCTCTCATTGTGGGGGTCTCTGTCCTCGAGGTCTGCAGGAGGAGTTAATTTTCTTCACTTGTGCTGGGTGTCTGGTGTGTCCGCCACTGTTCTGAGTGCTGAGGGCATTGGAGGCGGCTCTGTTCTTCCCCAGCTCAGCACTGAAGGGTGACGTCATCCAACTCTGGTCTCCCTTCTGAGATGTGACACAACGTCACAGGCCAGGGAGCTCCACTCTGAGGGGTCAGGTGGGGCGGGACCATCCTCCGTGGGATTCAGCATCTGTGTAATAATACTTGAAACCCTCTAGCTTCAGTTCTGTTGGAGTTCATGGCCCTGTTTCTCCTCAGCCGTCAGAAGAGGGACACAACAAGGTTACCTCCTTGAGTGTCTCCCCAGGGGTGGTGGGTGACAGGTGTCCAGATGCCACCCCTCCCAGCTATGTGGCATGGGTGGGCTTAGGGCTGCGCTCGTTGGGCACGTTTAGTTCAGTTCATGAGAGTGTAAACTCTTTTCCTTGTCGGGCTGCTGTTGGCTGTTGACCTCCCTCTCTGTGGTTTGCCCCCTCTGGTCACTCCTCTGGGGAGAGGGCAGCCTGCAGGTCAGGGACCACCTCTCCCTGGAAGCCTCTGTGTGTTCCTGCTTCTCTGGTCATTCCCTGCCCATCATTCCTTTATGGTTTTTTCCTGACTGTAGGATTTTTTATTTCAACTTTGATACTTAATATATCATCCTGAGCCATCGCTTCCTTAAAGCACCCTATTCTTGTTTCCTGAATGTAGCACCTTCTTTCAGATGAAACTATAGTTATTTGGTTGTTGTCTTTTAATAGGAGTTGCTTTTTAGAGCAGTTTTAGGTTCTCAGCAAAAGAGCAGAATGTGCAGAGATTTCCCATATTACCTCACAACTTCCCCCACCAGAGTGCTATTTTCGTCACAACTGATGAACCTCTGTTGACATGCCATCATCACTTGGAGTACAGTTTCCATGAGGGCTCACTCTTGGCTTGGTGTGTTCATGAGTTAGGCAAATGTATGATGACACATGTCTACCATCGTAGCATCACATACAGTAGTGTCACTGCCTTGAAATCCTCTGTGCCCTGCCCATCCATCCATCTCCCCTAACTCCTGGCCACCACTGATGTTTTCAGTGTCTCCATAGTTTCATGCTTTCCAGAATGTCCTGTAGTTGGACTCATGCATCTGTAGCCTCTTCACATTGGCGTTCTTCACTTAGTGATATGCGTTTAGATTCCTCCATGTTTTTTCATAGCTTGACAGCTAATTTCTTTTTTTTTTAGACAGAGTCTTGCTCTGTCCCCCAGGCTGTAGTGCAATGGCGCAATCTCGGCTCACTGCAACCTCTGCCTCCCAGGTTCAAGCGATTCTCCTGCCTCAGCCTCCTGAGTAGCTGGGATTACAGGCATGCACCACCACGCCCAGCTAATTTTTGTATCTTTTTTTAGTAGAGACGGGGTTTCACCATGTTGGTCAGGCTGGTCTCGAACTACTGACCTCATGATCCGCCCGCCTCGGCCTCCCAAAGTGCTGGGATTACAGGCGTGAGCCACGGCGCCCGGCCGACAGCTAATTTCTTTTAGTACTGGTTAGTATTCCATTGGATGGACCACAGTTTATTTGTCCACTCATCTACTGAGGGACATATTGGTTGCTTCCAAGTTTTGGCAATTATGGATAAAGCTGCTGTAAACATCCATGTGCAGATTTTCATATGGGTCTGAGTTTTTTTGTTTTTATTTTTTAGACACAGGGTCTCGCTCCATTGCCCAGGCTGGAGTGCAGTGGCACAGTTGTAGCTCACTGTACCTTCAAACTCCTGGGCTCAAGTGATCCTCCCACCTCAGCCTCCCAAGTAGCCAGGACTACAGGTAGTTGAGGTCTCACTATGTTGCTCGGGCTGGTCTTGAACTCCTGGGCTCAGGCGATTCTCCTGCCTCAGCTTCACAAAGTGTTGGGATTGCGGGCATGAGCCACCATGCCTGGCCTCCTTAGGGTCCCTTTCTATCAGTTGGTTTTGATCTCTCTTCATGTAGGAGGCAGAGAGAGGCTGTAGGGTCATGTTGCAGGTAGGATTGTGGTCCAGTGGCCTTGCTGCGAGCTGGCCGGGGCAAGGATGTGGACTCAGTGCAGGGCTCAGCAGGCCCAAGAGTGTCAGGGCTGTGGCCTTGTGTCTGGCCAGCACTGAGGAGCAGGAGAGACTTGTCAGGCCTCTGGTGGCCTGGGGAGGAGGGAGGAGAGAGAAGGGAAGGAGTCAGGCCGGGTCCCAGAGCAGTGTTTTCCTGAACATGACTGGAAACCCTTGGATCTGATGGCCAGGGGACCCTTTCTTTCAGTTGGCTGGGCCAGAGCCACCCCTGACCTCCCTCCTCTTCCTGCACCCTTGCTCCCACCGGGGCTTCTGGGCTCAGCAAACAAAAGCACAGGACACCCAGGTCCGTCTCAGACGAGCAACGGATGATCTGTAGGTGCATCCTATGCGGTATTTGGGATATACTAAAAAAAGTAATTTGTTGTCGATGTGAAATTCTGATTTAACCAGGTACCCTATATTTTCTTTGGCAACCCTGTCCCCTGCGCCCCTCAGCGGTATCTGGAAATATTTTTGGTTGTCATGATGGGGTGGGGTACAGGCCAGGGGTGCTGCTTAGCATCTGGACAGCCCCCACTATGGAGAATGATGAGGCTGAGAAAGCTCCCCAGGCCGGGGCTCTCCTGTGAGGCAAGTCTCCTGGCAGTCTTCAGGTGTGGCAGGGGTTGGGGTGGGCCCGGGGGTCATGTCCCAGCTCAGCTGGTCCTGAGAAGCTGCCTGGTAGACAGTCACCGGCACAGAGAGCTGGAAAGTGCCCTCGACCCCAGAACCTGGGTCCTGTGAGGACATCCACCCTGTGTGAGGCCAGGGAGTGCTCAGCAGATGGGGGCAGCAGGGGGTGTCAGCATGGGTGGGGGTTCCTGCCAAGGCAGGCAGCTGAGCTGGCCCCACCTCAGAGTGCAGGGGCCCTCAGCTTGATCTTTTCTGGGCTCCACTCTTGACTGATGGACCCATGGGGCACCCTGGCCCCACCCTGCCTGCCTTGCCCCAGCTCCTGCCCTTGCCCTGTAGGGCTCTGCGGCCTCCCCTGTGCCTGTGTGCCTGGCTCACTAGACCCTGGACCTGTGGTCCCTCAGCTCCACTCTAGTCCCCTTACTCTGTCCCTCTACTGCCTGGCGTCGCTCAGCTCCTCCCTGCCTGTCCGGCGCCCAGCATCCTGTGCCCATGACCTCACATCTGTCCCTCTGCCCGGGTCCCCCACTCACCTGTGTTTTGGTCCATCTTTGTCTGCTGACCCCACTATAGATTTTAAAAATACAAATATGCATGCACGTGGTTAAAAACTCGCTGATGTCAGATGGCTGGGATGAAAGGACTGCCTGCTGCCTTTCCTCTTGTAGTGCTCGGACACCTCTGCAGGCGAAGCTCCTTGTTTTTTTTTTTTGTTGTTGTTGTTGTTGTTTTTTCACTTCTTATTTTGAAATAATTATAGATTCACAGGAAGTTGCAAAAAAAAAAACAAAACAAAACCCGTGGGAGAGATCGCACGGACCCCTCCCCAGTTCCCCTGATTGCACACACAGGGCATATCTGGGGTCTCTGGATTTGTGTGTCTTACTTTGTGCGTCTGTGCACGCATGTGTATAACTGCAGTTTTATCACGTGTGAATATCTGTGGCCATTCTCAGGCCCACGCGGCTTCCTGCTCCTGCCCCTGAATGGGCACCCCCAACACCCCAAAACCTGTTCTCAGCTGTAAAATCGTGTCATTTCAGGAGTGTCATAGATGGATGCATCGGCCTGTCACTTTTTAGCCTTACCCTTTTCCCTCACCATAGTGCCCTCAGATCCACCCACTTCTGTCCATCTCCAGCTCCCTGTTCTTGCTGAGAAGTCCCACATGGTGTAGTGGCACCTTGATTCTCCCTTTCTGGCTGTTACCAGTATAGCTGGCTGCTGTGAGCTTTCGCTGCAGGTTTTGTGTGAGCTGCAGTCTTCGTTTCTCAGTGATCCATGCCCGGAAGTGAGAGGGCCAGGTCGTGGAGTAGTTGCTTGTTTGGTGTTGTGAGGACCTGCACCCTGTCTTCCAGAGGGCCACCCGTTTTGCCTCCCCACCAGCAGCATGCCAGTGACCTGGTTTCTCCTCATGCTGGCCAGTGTTCAGGTTCACCACTGCATCTGTCTGGGCCACATCGCCTGTGTTTCCCTGGTGGCGTGGTGACCTTTCCGCGGCACACCTGCGGCTGCCCCTCTGTGCTGTCCTTGCTGTTCCTCCCGTCATCTTAGCCCACGTGTGTAAATGACATATGTTCCCCTCCCTTGTGGGTGTTGTTTTTGATGTCCTGTGACCGCTGTCCTGGAGTGTGGGCCAGATTCACTGGCTGTCACAGCTGGCTATGCCCACCCTCCCTGCGGCAGGGTCCTCAGTGAGACCTGTGCCTACTGGTTCTGGGTGATGAGCGTGAACGTTCTCCGTGGCTGCTGGCACGTGGGCATGACCACAGGGTAGAGTGAGACTGCAGAGATGAGGGCAGCAGGCCCCTGCTTGGCACCTGAAGCCCTGGGCAACTGGCAAGGACTGAGCCCTCTCCTGGCTGGAAGGGGCTGGGCCACCTGCTCTTGGGCTTGTCTCTGGAAGGCCCTCTGGGGGTCTTACTACCTCCCTGTCTCAGCTCCCACCAGCCTGTGAAGCCCTGTGCAGTCCATACCTGCAATCAACCCCAGCCATGGAGGTGGCTGTACCCCAGGTGTCTCCACTTAGTGCCCCCCCCCCCGACATGCCCCACGCTGCCCAGCCTCTCCTCTTCCCACCATCCGTCTGGTCAGGGGTCATTCTTGTGGTGCCTGCCCAAATCCTCTGAGGAGGGCTGCCTGGAGTGCAGGTCAGAATGGCTCTGGGGCCCCGATTGGGTTCTGAGACTTGGCTTGGGGAGGCAGGTGGTGGGCATGGGCAGAGTGGGCCTCAGGCATGCTGTACCTCCCTGACAACCTCCTGGGCTCCTTGCTCCTCCCTCCTGCCCACCTTAGGACCCTTGGGCTCCTCGATGGCTTCCCTGGGCTGGAACAGGCAGGTCTGGTTCTCAGTGGCTGTGCACACCGTTCCCCTGCGGGGCCCTGCCCATCCCTGCTCCCACATCCAGCGGACTGTTGTCATTTCTGCCCTAGGCTCTGGGACTACTCCGGATGATGCCCTCGGGCAGGCTATTGCAGTTCTGCCAGTCCCTGGGCAAACAGGGTCTGTCTGCGCTGGCCCCTGTGAGCTCGTCTTTGCCTGCTTAGACGAGAGCTCCGGAGGCTCAGCTGCGCACGGCTGTGGGCAGGGCTTTCCATGCGCTGGTCCAGGTGTACCCTGCCTGGCCTGCTGTGCGTTGTCTGCACGCACCCTCGCATTGCTGTGGGCGCGGCACTCTGCGCTGGTCTCCAAGGTGCCCGCATCTAGCTGTGATGCGCGCCTTGGGAGGTGCTGCCTGGTGTGGCTGTGGGCGTGGCTCGCTGTGGGCGTGGCTCGCTGTGGGCGTGGCTCGCTGTGGGCGTGGCTCGCTGTGGGCGTGGCTCGCTGTGGGCGTGGCTCGCTGTGGGCGTGGCTCGCTGTGGGCGTGGCTCGCTGTGGGCGTGGCTCGCTGTGGGCGTGGCTCGCTGTGGGCGTGGCTCGCTGTGGGCGTGGCTCGCTGTGGGCGTGGCTCGCTGTGGGCGTGGCTCGCTGTGGGCGTGGCTCGCTGTGGGCGTGGCTCGCTGTGGGCGTGGCTCGCTGTGGGCGTGGCTCGCTGTGGGCGTGGCTCGCTGTGGGCGTGGCTCGCTGTGGGCGTGGCTCGCTGTGGGCGTGGCTCGCTGTGGGCGTGGCTCGCTGTGGGCGTGGCTCGCTGTGGGCGTGGCTCCCTGCGTGTGGTGACCTGGGCGCTTGCCTTAAAGGCGCAGCCCCTTGTGGCTGAGGGCAGAGCTCTTTGCGTTGGTCCACGGTGTGCTCCTCTGCCCGGGTAAGGCGCGCTCCCTCATGCAGCCCTTTCTGGCCCACTCAGTTGGTGAGCTGCCATGCGCCCCTGCCTCTCTCCCTGCAGGCTCCAGGAACACTCGGAGGTGTCTGGCTTCCTTCTGGAGTGTGACAGCTCGGTGCAGGGCGCGCTGCAGAAGCACCTCGCGCTATACAGGATCCGGCGGAAGGTCACGGTGGAGCCGCACCCGGAGCTGCGAGTGTGGGCGGTGTTGCCCAGTTCCCCTGAGGCCTGCGGGGCTGCATCGCTGCAGGAGAGGGCAGGGGCTGCCGCCATCCTCATCCGCGACCCGCGAACAGCACGCATGGGGTGGCGGCTCCTCACCCAGGATGAAGGCCCAGCCCTGGTGCCCGGGGGCCGGCTCGGGGACTTGTGGGATTATCACCAGCACCGATACCTGCAAGGTATGGGTGGGGTGGGCACGCTGGGCTGGATTGCACGGGTGGAGCTGGACGATGTTCAATTCTCGCTGGTTTCCCCCCTCCAATCCCTGCAGGCGTTCCTGAGGGGGTCCGAGACTTGCCTCCTGGGGTGGCCCTGCCCCTGGAGTCCAACCTGGCCTTCATGAACGGCGTGAGCTTCACCAAAGGCTGCTACATTGGCCAGGAGCTGACGGCCCGCACCCACCACATGGGCGTCATCCGCAAGCGCCTCTTCCCTGTCCGGTTCTTGGACCCCCTTCCCACCAGTGGCATCACCCCTGGTGCCACGGTGCTGACTGCCTCAGGACAGACTGTGGGCAAGTTCAGGGCTGGCCAGGGCAACGTGGGGCTGGCCCTGCTGTGGTCAGAGAAGATCAAGGGTCCTCTGCACATCAGAGCCTCTGAGGGTGCCCAGGTGGCCTTAGCCGCATCTGTGCCAGACTGGTGGCCTACAGTCTCCAAGTAGTCCGAAGCCTTGGCTGGCGCAGGCTGATGGGGAGGCTGGGGCCTGGGGCCTTTGGCCTCTGTCCAGGGTCTTCCCGTCCCATCTGTCTGCTGCGCCTACTGGGTGGGAGCCCTGGTTTCCATCTGGGAAAGTCCCCCTTGTAGGTGCCCTGCCTGGCCCCACCCATGCTCAGGGGCCCCAGGCACGTGGGTTGTTTTCTCCCTGGACTTCCTGTGGCCCCAGAGGAGCCCACCGTGTGAGTGCTGGGCTCCAGATGGCGCCGGGTCCCAATCGTGGCTCCACACAGGGTTGTCTGGGAGGACGGGACGGTGTCTCTGGCCAGCACTGGCAGCTTCCGGGCCTTGTACCCCACTCTGCCTGGCATGAGCCTCATGGGGGGTTGGTCCCTGTGCCTGGAAGCGGGGTGGTGTCCAGGGTCTGCAGGCTGGGGCTCGGGCTTTGGGAGTTGTTTCACTGTGCTTGCTTCCAGCATGTCTCAGGGTGGGGCTATGCGTGGTCTAGAGGGGTCTGGGGCATTGGATCAGGTGGCATGTGGGTGTCTACACATCGAGAAGCACACAGGGATGAGCCACTAGGTATCCCATGCTGGAGGCTTGTGGAAGGCTGTGCCCATCTCCCATGTTTCCCCACCTCTGTTCCTCCTCAGAGCCCTCCAGGAGCGTGGGGTGGGGGCCAGCGCAGGGCTCAGGAGCCAGCAGGGCAGAGTTCTGCCTGTGTGTGCTGGGTTTTGGCATAGCCTGTGTTTGCAGTGAGAGTGACTTGCTGTCAGTCACGGGGCACAGCCTCCTGTTCACCCACTGGCTTCCCCCTTCCCACTGAAGTGTGAGCTCTATGTTTCAGGGCATCTATTAAAGAGTGAGCCACAGGCAGCCCCTTGGGAGCTCTGGTTTCATTTGGGGGAGAGGGAGGTGGGGGCTTAGTTTTTGTGATCTGGCTGACTGGACCCCGGGAACAGCGCTCCTTTGAGAACGCCCAGACCTACCAGATGAAGCACTTGGCATGGCTGCAGGCCAGCAGGGGAGGCCTCAGAGGCCCAGGCTGGGCACGTGGGTGCCGAGTCTGCAAAGGACAGCCCCATGGCTGTGAGCTGTCGGCTGCAGGGCGCAGGGCCTGGGGGGCAGGCGTTTGGGCCACCAAGCTGGACGTTAGGGTGGCCACAGAGGGCCAAGCAGGCAGGGAGCCTGTGCCGCCATCCTGGGGGGCCACAGGTGCTCTCTAGAAATCTGCAGCCATGGCGGTTTTGGGGTCAGGGGTCTAAAGGCAGCTCTGAGCTGCAGTGTAGTTTGTGATCACCCAGGAGGAGGGTGTAGAGCGGATGGACGGGAGGAAGCGGCTGCAGCTGGAGGGAAGAGAGGGGCCGTCCAGCCTCACCCGCTGCAGTCAGCTCTCCTATGGGCAAGGAAACAGCTAGGTGGCCCTGACCCCTGCGGTCCTGAGAGCCGGTGGCCTTCAGCCCCTCTTGGACAGGTCATGGTCTGGAAGCGCCCAGCGCAGGATGGATTCCAGACCAGCATCCCTGCAACCTTTTCAGCCCCACTGGCTGCTGCTTTAAACTGGCATGGAGACATTTGATCAGCTTCCCAGCCAGTTTTCTCTCCAGCTCAGCCAGGAGTGGGTGCCTGTGGCCTGTGTCACCAAGAGCTGGTGTCTCCTGCATGAGGGGCATGCACCCCTGGAATGAGGGTCTGTGCCTCGAGCTCAAAGTGTCCCGGCTCTGTCATCTGCCTGAAGTTGCCTGGCTTTTCCAGTGGGGCCTCCTTGAGTGCTGCAGCATCTGGGAGCATCCTAGCCTGTCCCGTGGGTGTGGCTGGGTGAGGGCTAGGAGGTGAGCCAGGAAGGAAGCACTCCACTCCAGAGTGAGGTGCCGCCTGAGCCATCCTGTGCCCCCTCAGTGTCTTCAGGTCTCTGCAGGTGTCAGGATCTCAAAATACTTGGTTCAGATCAAACACATTTCGTGTTCTTCTGTGTCCTTTTTTTTTTTTTTTTTTTTTTTTGAGATGGAGTCTTGCTCTGTTGGCCAGGCTGGAGCTCAGTGGCACAATCTCTGCTCACTGCAACCTCTGCCTCCCAGGTTCCAGTGATTTTCCTGCCTCAGCCTCCTGGGTAGCTGGGACTACAGGCACATGCCCCATGCCCGGCTAATTTTTGTATTTTTAGTAGAGATGGGGTTTTACCATGTTGGCCAGGATGGTCTCAATTACAGGCATGAGCCACTGTGCCCAGCCTCTTCTGTGTCTTTAAAAAGGAAAGTGTCAGTCAACAAAAGAGCCCCTCTGTCATACAAACCAAATCAGTTTTCACCAAAATGTCCTTAGTCCTCTCAGAAAGGCCTGGCCTTTAGGACCTTGGAAGCAGGCCCTAAAGCGCATCGGCAGGGTCAGAGCTTTGTGTTCAGGAACACTGGGATCTGCTGAGAGCTGGTGTAGCCGCTCCAAAACTGCACACTGCTTTTCCTGTCTGCTTTAGTTTGTGTTGTAAAAACATAGGAAGTTCGTGTGTGTGTGTGTGTGTGTGAATTCAAGGCATAAGGTGCAGTTGTGTTATGTGGGTATAGTGCATGGTGGTGCAGTCTGGGCTTCTTACCCTCACACCTCCTGCCTCCCCTCGTTAGAGTCCCCCACATCCGCCTTCCACTTTCTGAGCCCACATTGCCTGTTGGGCAGCTCCTGGTTATGAGGCAGGACGTGTGGTGTTTGACTGTCTGTTTCTGAGCTGTTTTACTTAACACAGTGTATATGGTGCATCTTTAGGAAAGCATGCTTGTATTTTCCTTTCAAAGCCAGATATGGGCGGGTGTGGTGGCTCATGCCTGTGATCCCAGCACTTTGGGAGGCCGAGGCAGGAGGATTGCTTGAGCCCAGGAGTTTGAGAGCAGCCTGGGCAACATATCAAGACTCTGTCTCTTAAAAAAAAAAAAATTAGCCAGGCATGGTGGTCCACACCTGTGGTCCCACCTATTCGGGAGGCTGAAGTGCGAGGATCACTTGAGCCCAGGAGGTTGAGGCTGCAGTGAGCTGTGATTGTGCCACTGCACTCCAGCCTGGGCAACAGAGCAAGACCCTGTCTTAAAACAAAGAAAGAATAAAAAAGAAGAGAAGTTGCAGTTGGTAGTATTTCCAGAGCCCGGCAGACAGTGTAGAAACTGTGAGAAACCCACCTCCAAATCAGGCCTTAGATAGAAAACATCCTAAGAAGTATACGTTCATTGTAAAATCATTATCATCATCATCTTCTAATCCCCAAGGAGACAAGCTCCCTGTTCTGTGTTCTTGTATGAGGCGGTCAGTCAAGCGCAGCCCGAGAGGAGAGGCAGGAGCCTGGGAGAGCCTCTGCTAGACCTTTCCTGGCACTTCCCCAGGAAAGGCAAGGCAGGGCAGATGTGCGGCTGGCCAGCTGGAGTGATTTCCATGGGCTCCAAGCTGTAGGAGTGGTCCCTGGCTGCCAGAGTGCTCTGGCCAGATAGAGGTGGGCTCTGGACTGGTGAGGCTGCATTGCGGAGGCGCGCACACCCAGCTGGGCCCTTATCTGTAAGGACTGGCTGGCCTGGGAGGGGCAGTCTCCCAGCCAGAAGGTGGAATTTTTTTTTTTTTTTGAGATACCAAAACATCCTAAGGTACAGGAAAGAAATTGTCAACACACACACACAGTACCATAAACAAGGCCCAGCAGAAAGGCAGACAGAAGCACACACACCAATGTTCTGATCTTAGAGTAAGCAGACACATCACATGGAATGAGGATGTTTAATATATTTAAAGAAAACAATTTATGCACAGGAAGCAAGAGACTATAAAAATGACCAAGCAGATTTTAAAAAGAGAACTTGTTGAAATAAAAATAAAATACTCTAAAAAATATTCCATGATGTGTTTCCTGAAGAATCGGGAACTGTTTGAAGAAATGACCCAAAGTGCAGCACAGAAAGACAGAGCTGGAAAATATGAGATGGGATGAGACAAGAAGATGGAGAGTTTAGTATGACATCCGCAATTTACGAGTAATTCCAGAAGGAGGGGAAAGAGAATATGGGGTGGAGGCAAGTATTCAGAGAAATACGGCTGAGAACTTTCCCAAACCAACAGGAGCCCCTGCTCCTTAGGTTCAGGAACCAGCAGCTCCCAAGCAGCATAGTTAAAAAGCTCTACCCAAACAGTCACGTCTTGGTGAAAGTACAGAATCTCATGACAAAGAGATCTTAAGGCAGAAAAGAAAGAGATTATCTGGAAAGAAGAAAATAAGTAGTTGATTAAAAGCAACAGTGGAAGCCAGAAAGATAGTAAATAATATCTTCAAAGTCCTGGGAGAAAATAGTGATAGCCTAGAATTGTGTACCCAGAAAATCCGTCTTTCAAGAATGAGGGGCCAGGCGCAGTGGCTCACGTCTGTATTCCCAGCACTTTGGGAGGCCAAGGCAGGTGGATCACCTGAGGTCAGGAGTTCAAGACCAGCCTGATCAACATGGTGAAACCCTGTCTCTACTAAAAATATAAAAATTAGCTGGGTGTGGTGGCATATTCCTGTAATCCCAGCTACTCGGGAGGCTGAGGCAGGAGAATCACTTGAACCCAGGAGGCAGAGGTTGCAGTGAGCCAAGATTGTGCCATTGCACTCCAGCCTGGGCAATAGAATGAGACTCTGTCTCAAAAAAAAAAAAAAAAAAAAAAAAAAAAAGAGGGCTAAACGCATTTTCATACCACGAAACTGCCCTCACTCCGGAGTTTGCTGCCAGCAGAGCCTAGAGCGTCTAAGGCATGTCTGGGCTTCTGGCGAGGGATCCTGTGGGGAAGCTGGAGATGGAAGAAGGAGTGAATAGGCAGGAAGGTGGATTTGTGGGCATGTCTAAAACACCACATCTAGAAGCTTCTACTTAGAATGCCTACTTTTGGAGTTTATAAAAAAGATGCCACATGTTGAGTTGGGAGAGAGGTGCCCAAACCTACAGTGTTCTAAAGTCCCCCTACTGGTCGGAAGGAGGGCACGGACACTGACTTCAGCATCTGTTACAAGGCTTATCAGAGTTTTCAGATAATCTCTAAAAGAATGGAAATATATCTTCCAAACTATAGAGGGAAGACCATGGAATTTAAAAGCCAGTCCTTCAAGGAGAAATGAACAAACTCAAAATCGTAGTTGGGAGTGTTTTTTTTTTTTTTGAGACAGAGTCTCACTCTTGCCCAGGCTGGAGTGGAGTGGCATAAACACAGCTCACTACAGCCTCAACCTTCTGGGCTCAGATGATTCTCCTGCCTCAGCCTCCTGAGTAGCAGGAACTACAGGTGTGAGTCATCACACTCAGCTAATTTTTTTTTTTTTTTTTTACTTTTTGTAGAGATGGGGTTCTCACTGCATTGCCCAGGCTGGTCTTGAATTTCTGGGCTCAGGTGATCTTCCCACCTCAGCCTCCTGAGTAGCTGGGACCACAGGTGCATGCTAATTTTTAAAATTTTTTGTTTTTAAATGCTGGTCTTCAACTCTTGTCCCCAAGTAGCTGGGATTGGGGCATGAGGCACTGTGCTAACTTCATGTTGAAATTGAATTGCCATTCTAACAGTGTTAAGAGATGGGGCCTGTAAGAGGTGATTAGGCTGTGAGGGCTCCACTCTCCAAGGGCGGAGTTAATGTTATGAAAGGGTAAGTCCAGCCCGCTTGTGCCTCTCTTGCCCTCCAGTGTTCAAAGCACCATCTTGGAGGTGGAATTCCCAAGTCGGCCAGTTCCTGGATCTTGGACTGTCCGGTCTCCAGAACCGTGAGCCAATAAACCTCTGTTCCTTGTAAATGAGTCAGCCTCAGGTATTCTCTTGTAGCAGCACAAATGGAGGCAGACACTTCCTTCACCAATCTCATGGGAGGCCCACTCCTGTGAGCTGCCTCTAGTTCCCCAGGCCACAGACTCCATCAGGGCTCACCTGGAGCCGTCCCTGTCTCACCTGGAAGCTCTCCCACTCCTCTGGCCAGCCTGGGCATCTCCACCCAATATGAGTGATGGCGACTGATTCCCTTACTTTAGCAAGCTGGGAATAAGGAATGTTTGCCTGTTCTTATTCAGGGGTCTCTGCATCTCCACACTTGCACAGGTTGTGTGTACATACATTTTCCTGTCTTTCTGGTAAGCCCCTGGGGTGGAGCTCTGGGCCACAGGGCAGGAAAACTCAGTGTTGCTAGGAACTGCCAGACATTTTCCCGGAGTGAGTGCAGCATTTACATTCCCACCAGAAGTGTGCCAGGTTCTTGTCATACTGCGTCCTCGCCAGCGCTTGGTGCTGTCAGTCTTCTTAGTTTCCATTTAGAGATTCAGTGTTTAAATTTTGAACGTCTTGGGTGAACACCTTGGTTTGAGAAAAGTAAGAAAAAGGGTCTGTCTGGCTATGGGCCATGGAGACCCAGGGCAGTGCTCCACGTGCCAACCCTGGGGCAGGGAGCCCAAGCTAGGACTGTGACTGTCTGGGCTGTGGGCATCTGACCATCTCCAGTGTCCCCGTCTTTGATTTCCCTGGCGATGGTGCTAGCTTAGTTTGTGCGCATCGGCATTTGTGGGAGAAATGAAGGATTAATACATTTTGTTTTATGTCAGACTCTCTCAGTGAGAAGTTCTCAGGGACAATAATAGCAGGGGGTCCTGCTGAAGAAAAACTGGGAGATGGCTGAGCTCTGGTCCATCTTTCATTGATTCATTCATTTCTTCATTCATTCAACCATGTATTGAATGCTTATAGCCAATGAAAATAAAGTACACAGTATATTTTATTGCTACGGGCTCTATGGTGAAAAATGAAGCAGGAAAGCGGGACAGGGTGTGTGTGGTGGGGACGGGGTGTGTATGGTGGGGACGGGGTGTGTGGTGGGGGGACGGGAAGTGTGTGGTGGGGACGAGGTGTGTGGTGGGGACGGGGTGTGTGTGGTGGGGACGGGGTGTGTGCGGTGGGGATGGGGTGTGCGGTGGGGACGGGGTGTGTGTGGTGGGGAGATGGGGTGTGTGTGGTGGGGACGAGGTGTGCGGTGGGGACGGGGTGTGTGTGGTGGGGAGATGAGGTGTGTGCGCTGGGGACGGGGTGTGTGCGGTGGGGACGGGGTGTGTGTGCTGGGGACGGGGTGTGTGCGGTGGGGACGGGGTGTGTGCGGTGGGGACGGGGTGTGTGCGGTGGGGACGGGGTGTGTGCGGTGGGGACGGGGTGTGTGTGGGGGGATGGGGTGTGTGGGGGAGGACGGGGTTTGTATGGTGGGGACGGGGTGTGTGGTGGGTGGGGTGTTTGTGGTGGAGACAGGGATGGGGCGTGTGAGGGCACTGGAGGTGTGGATAGCAGTTGGATGCCCAGCTGGGGGTAGGCAGTCTGGAGGGTCCTGAATTTGGGAGCTCAGATGTGTGGGCCACCCGGACATGCTGGAGAAGGGCATTTGGGGAAAACGGCTCTGAGGGGTGGACACCTGCCCTCTGGCCTCACCAGCTGTGGACAGGTGTGTGCTGATTGTGTTTCTGGTCTTTTAAGGACATCGTGCTGGGCTGCAGATGTTGCTGTTTTTTAATTGAAACTTTATTGCCCGCTGGACATGGTGGCTCATGCCCCCTAATCCCCACCTAACCCTAATCCTAATCACAGCACTTTGGGAGGCTGTGGTGGGAGGATCACTTAAGCCTAGGAGGTTAAGACTGGAGTGCTGTACAATCGCACCACTGCATTCCACAGCCTGGGCAACAGAGGGGGACCCTGTCTCAAAAAAAAGAGAAACTGCTGTTGCCATAATAGTTGTAAGAAATAATACAGAGCGATCCCTTGTTCCCTCTGCCCAACTTTTCCTAACAGTGAGTCTTTGCAGAACACCACAGTCTCACACAAGGACATGGACTTTGATGCCATCCGGTGGCCTTACTTAGCCTCCGCCCATCTTGCTTAGCATCCCCAGGAAGATCCCTGTGTGGCCCTTTCACACCTATGTCTCTAACGCCATCTTATCCCTAATCCCTGGCAACCATAGCCCATCTTCCGTTTCTAGAATTTTGTCATCTCAGAAATATCATATCCAGCTGGGCATGGTGGCTCACACTTGTAATCCCAGCACTTTGGGAGACTGAGGTGGGCAGATCACTTGAGGTCAGGAGTTCGAGACCAGCCTGGCCAACATGGTGAAATTCCGTCTGTACTAAATATACAAAAATTAGTCGGGCGTGGTGGCGCACGCCTGTAATCCAGCTACTCAGGAGGCTGAGGCAGGAGAATTGCTTGAACCCGGGAGACAGAGGTTGCAGTGAGCCAAGATCGTGCCACTGTACTCCAGCCTGGGTGACAGAGTGAGTGAGACTCTGTCTCCAAAAAAAAAAAAAAAAAAGAAACGTCATATCCGTGGGGTCATCCAGGTGCTGCCTCTGGCACGAGGACATGTGCTGGAGCTCTCTTCCAGCTGTTGCGTAGTTCGTTCCTTTTTATTTCTGAGTTGTTTTTCCTAGGGTGTGAGCCACGTCTCTTTGCCCATCTGCCCATTTGTTTTGGGCTGAATCATGTCCCCCCAACAATGTCACAGGCTGAAGCCATCATCCCCAGGGACTCGGAATGTAACTGTGTTTGTAGATACGATGTTCACAAACGTTGATTAAGTTAAAATGGGGTCATATGGGAGGGCCCTAATTTAATCTGACTGTGTCCTGATAAAAAGAAGAAATCTGGACACACAAAAAGACCCCCTGGGGTGCACACAGGGAGTAAAGGCCAAGTGAGGGCACAGGGAGAAGGCAGGGGCTGCCAGCTGCGGAGAGAGGCCTCGGAGGAACCAGTCCTGCCCCCTTGATCTCGGACTCCTGCCTCCAGGACTGTGGGAAAATCAGTGTGCTGGTGGCTCAAGCCGGTCGAGGCAGCACTGAAGACACGTGGGTTGTTTGCAATTGTTGCTGTTACACCTAAAACTGCCATAAATATTCATGGTCAATTTACTGTGTGAACATGCGTTTTCATTTCTCTGGGCCTGGAAATGTGATTGCTGGGCCATATAGTAACTGCCTGTTCTGTTTTGTAAAAAACTGCTCAGCTGCTTTCTAGAGTGGCAGTCTGGTTTCACCTTCCACCAGCAGTGTGTGAGTGATCTGGTTTCTCCATGTCCTCCCCAGCACATGGGGTGGTCACTGCTTTTTGGTTCTCCCCCTTCTGATCTAAGTGTGGTGACCTCATGCTGTGATTTCAGTTTGTATTGTGTTGATGGCCAATGCCACCGAACACCTTTTCATGTGCTTACTTGCCATCTGTACATCCTCTTTGGCGAAACGTTTTTTGCCCATTCTCTCTGTTTTTTTTTTTGAGACGGAGTCTTGCTCTGTCGCCCAGGCTGGAGTGCAGTGGCACAATCTCAGCTCATTACAACCTCCGCCTCCCAGGATCAAGTGATTCTCCTGCCTCAGTCTCCCAAGTAGCTGGGACTACAGGCGCCTGCCACCACACCTGGCTAATTTTGTATTTTTAGTAGAGACTGGGTTTTGCCATGTTGGCCAGGCTGGGCTCGAATTGCTAACCTCAGGTGATCCGCCTGCCTGGGCCTCCCAAAGTGCTGGGATTATAGGCACAAGCCACTGCACCTGGCCATTTTTTGCCCACTTTCTAATTGGATTGTTCATTTAATTCTCGTTGTTTAGCATGTCTTTTTTATTTCTTTATTTTTTTGAGACAGGGTCTGGCTCTGTTGCCCAGGCTAGAGTGCAGTGGTGTGATCTTGGCTCACTGCAGCCTCAACCTCCTGGGCTCAAGCGATCCTCCTGAGTCACTGGGACTACAGGTATGAGGTGCCACACCCCGCTAATTTTTGATTTTGTAGAGATGGGGTCTCACTCTATTGCCCAGGCTGGTCTTGAACTCCTAGGCTCAGACAGTCTTCTCACCTTGGCCTCCTAAAGTGCTGGGATCACAGGAGTGAGCCCCCATACCTGGCCTCAGTAGATACTGTGATACCATATGTCAGATCCAGTCGATTCTCATTATTTGGCAGTAGTTACATCCGTGAAGTCACCAGGATTGCCAAAATAGCAAATTATCATCTATCTCTCAGCAGAGAAATACTGGGAAGGCTCCTGGGAGCCTCTGGTCACATTTTCATCACCTAATCAATGCATAACCTTGCTTTAGGTGTGTTTTGTTTGAAGATACCTGGTTTAATACAGATTGCTGGTGCGTTCACGTGGTGCTCACGGCCTGGGGCACTGTAACTCCTGCTTATCTAACACGATCTTCACCAGGCTTGTCACGGCCTTCCTGCACCTAGACGCCAGACAGCACTTCAGCACTGTGCTGGGAGGCACCTTTAAACAGCGAAATCGCCCACAAAAAGCACAAACGTGGAAAATGTGGCACCAAATAGACCATTAAATGATGCTTCACAAGTCAAAAACCACAGGCAGGGCACAACCTTCTCCACCTGAGCTGGGAAGGAGTGCACTGGGCCACGCAGAGGTTCTCACTGTGCCTAAGTCCACAGACGACTCTGAACGCTCCCAGAGGATTGATTTCGGGGTTACAAATATATTTTATTGAACAGAATGCACAAATGACAATGGGGGATGGTGTCTGGGTTGCAGTATTTCTTCCTGTCGGCAGGATGTCCTCTAGTCCTCTTCACTGAGGCTTTCACAGAGCAAACGCTGTTAACATTTTGATGAGGTCCAGTTGATTAAATTTCCCTTTTATGGATCAAGCTTTAGGTGTCAGCTTTAAGAACTCTTTGCCTAGGCCTAGATTCTGACCATTTTCTTCTTCTTTTTTTTTTTTCTTGAGATGGAGTCTGGCTCTTGTCACCCAGGCTGGAGTACAACAGCGGCATGCTCTTGGCTCACTGCAACCTCCGCCTCCCGGGTTCAAGCGATTCTCCTGCCTCAGCCTCCTGAGTAGTTGGAATTAAACAGGTGCCCACCACCACAGCCCGGCAATTTTTGTATTTTTAGTAGAGATGGGGTTTCACCATGTTGGACAGGCTAGTCTCGAACTCCTGACCTCAGGTGATCTGCCCGTCTCGGCCTCCCCAAAGTGCCGGGATTACAGGCGTGAGCCACTGCACCCAGCCTCTTCTATGTTTTTTCTACAAGCTTTGTAGTTTTATATTTTCCATTTAAGCCTGTGATCCTTTTTTTTTCAGTTGATGCATATTTTTGGGGTACATGTTATAATTTAATACATTCATACAAGTTGTAGAGATCAAACCAGTATACTTGGGGTGTCTTCATCATCTGCACGATTTGCCTTTATGCTAGAAACATTTGAATTACTCTCTTATAGCTATTTGGAAATGTACAATTGATTATTGTAAAGTACAGTCACCCTACTGCTCTCTGAAACAGTAAGTCTTATTCTGTCAAATCATGTATTTGTACCCATTCATCAACTTCTCTTATCTCTACCTCCCCACCCTCCCTGGCCTCTGGGACCCACTAGTCCTCTCCATCTCCACGAGGTCCACTGTTTCAGCTCCCACGTGAAAGCGAGAACACACGAAGTTGTCTTTCTGTGTCCGGCTTATTTCACTCAACGTAAAGACCTCCAGTTCTGGGCTGGGCACAGTGGCTCATGCCTCTAATCCCAGCACTTTGGGAGGCTGAGGCGGGCAGATCACAAGGTCAGGAGATGGAGACCATCCTGGTTAACACGGTGAAACCCTATCTCTACTAAAAATACAAAAAATTAGCCGGGCATGGTGGCACACGCCTGTGGTCCCAGCTAATTAGGAGGCTGAGGCAGGAGAATCGCTTGAACCCGGGAGGTGGAGGTTGCAGTAAGCCGAGATCGTGCCACTGTAGTGGCACGATCTCGGCTTACTGTATCACTCTAGCCTGGGTGACAGAGTGAGACTCTGTCTCAAAAAAAAAAAAAAAAAAAAAGACCTTCAGTTCCATTCATGTTGCTGCTAGTGACAGGATTTCCTTCTTTTTTATGAGTGAATAATGTAGTATACATCCACTGAATATAAGTACCATATTTTCTTTTTGTTTGACCTGGAGGCTCACTCTATCATCCAGGCTGGAGTGCAATGGTGATCTCGGCTCACTGCAACCTCCACCTCCTGGGTTCAAGTAATTCTCCTACCTCAGCCTTCCGAGTAGCTGGGATTACAGGCACCTGCCACCATGCCCAGCTAATTTTGTATTTTTAGTAAAGACATGGTTTCACCATGTTGGCCTGGGTGGTCTCGAACTTCTGACCTGAGGTGATCCTCCCACCTCAGCCTCCCCAAGTGCTGGGATTATAGTTTCTTTATAATGTGTATATAATGATGTGTATAAATACCATATTTTTAGATATAAGCCATTTTCACTGCAGTGAGATGGTACTTTGGTATAGTTTTGATGTGCATTTTTCTGATGATCAGTGATGTTGAATATTTTTCTGTATACCTATTGGTCATTTGTATGTCTTCTTTTGAAGAATGTCTATTTGGATCTTTTGCCCATTTTTAAATCAGATTACTATATTTTTTTCCTGTTGAGTTGTTTGAGCTTCTTATATATTCTGATTATTACTCCCTTGTCTGATGGGTAGTTTGTAAATATTTTCTCCCATTCTGTGGGTTGTCTCTCCATTTTGTTTCCTTCGCTGTGCAGAAGCTTTTTAGCTTCTTGTTTGCTTTCGTTGCCTGTGCTTTTGAGATCTTACACAGGAAGCATTTGCCCACACCGATGTCCTGCAGAGTTTCTCCAATGTTTTCTTCTAGCAGTTTCATAATTTCAGTTCTTACATTTAAGTCTTTAATCCATTTCGAGTTGATTTTTGTATATGGTGAGAGATAGGGGTCTAGTTTCATTCTTCTGCATATGGATATCCAGTTTATTGAAGAGACTGTCTTTTCCCCAGTGTATGTTCTTGGCACCTTTGTCAAAGATGAGTTGGTTGTAAACGGTTGGATTTCTATCTGGGTTTTCTATTCTGTTTCAATTGGCCTATGTGTCTATTTTTATGCCAGTACCATGCTGTTTTGGTTATTATAACTCTGTAGTATAGTTTGAAGTCTGGTAATGTGATGCCTCCAGTTTTGTTCTTTTTTCTCAGGATAGCTTTGGCTATCCTCGGTCTTTAGCTGGGTCTTTTGTGGTTCTATGTAAATTTTAAGATTTTTTTTCTATTTCTGTGCAGAATGTCATTGGTATTTTGATAGGGATTGCATCAAATCTGTAAATTGTTTTGGCTAGTACTGTCATTTTAACAATATTAATTCTTCCAATCCATCATCAGGGAATATCTTCCCATTATTTGGTGTCCCCTTCAGTTTCTTTCATCAGTGTTTTATAGTTTTCCTTTTATAGATCTTTCACTTTGGTAAAATTGATTTCTAGGTATTTTATATTCTTTGTAGCTATTATTATCCATGGGATTGTTTTCTTGATTTCTTTTTCAGATTGTTTGCTATTGGCCATGATCCATTTGGAGGTAATTTTTGTATAAGGTGCAGCAAGGTTTAGGCTGAGGTTCACTTTTTCCCTTTTGTGGGTATCTAGTTGCTCTGGCACCATTTGCTGAAAGGGCTGCCCTTCTCCACTGAATTGGAGCTGCACCTTTATAGAAAGGAATCAGTCTTGCATATTTGAGGGGGCTTTTTCTGGGCTCTCTATTCTGTTCCATTGATATGTGTGTCTGTCCCTCAGTGGATGCCACACTGCCCTGTTTCTGTGGCCATGTACGGTAGGAAGACTCACCAGCAGGTACAGCAATTCCTCCCACTTCCTTTTCTTTCAAGATGGTTTTAGCTGCTGGGGGTGGTGGTGGCTCACATCTGTAACCCCAGCACTTTGGGAGGCTGAGGCAGGTAGATTGCTTGAGCCCAGGAGTTCGAGAGCAGCCTGGCCAACATAGTGAGACCCCGTCTCTACAAAAAAATACAACAAAAACAATAAAAATTAGCCTGGCATGGTGGCAAACACCTGTAGTCCCAGCTTCTTGGGAGGCTGAGGTGGGAGAATTGCTTGAGCCCGGGAGGTCAAGGCTGCAGTGAGCCGAGACTGCGCCACTACATTCTAGCCTGGGTGACAGAGTGAGACCCTGCCTCAGGAAAAACAAACAAACAAAACAAAAAACAAACAAAAAAAAGCCCCAGAAACAAAAAAATAAATAGTTTTAGCAACTGTTGTGCCTGTGCCTTTCCATATAAATTCTAGAAGTAGCTTGTCTATGCCCATGAAAACCCTTGCTGGAATTGTGATAGGAATTGAATTAAGTGTGTAGATCCTTTTGGGGAGCACTGGCTTATTCTGTGAAGTAGGTAATAGTCGTGGCTCTTCATGGCTCCCGTGTGGCCCCGGTGGAGTCCCAAGATCCATGACACAGTCTTCCTTTTCTTTTAGGCTCCGATTCTTGAAGTGCTACCAGATAGGCAGCATCCCTATGGGGTCCTTGCCAACAAAGCCCCTCTGTGACCGTATTGTGGTCTTTAGGTAAGAAAAGACTGGGGCTGTGTGGCCGTGGCTGAACTGGAGTGCCACGTGGCCTCAACAACTCTCAGGACGTCCTCTGGATCCCTGTGGCCTATGTCCTGGCCATGTGCCCCAGAGTTGGTCCTCATGCCTCATGGCCCTGCTTATTATTTCTGCATGGGGAGAGCCAACCTGTGGGGCCCAGGCGTTGTGGGCAAGATCATGGTCCCTTCCTTCACCCAGCATTCAGATCAGGGACAATAACAGGCGTGGCCATGGTCCAGCAGAGGACCAACAGTTACAGCTGGGAGAATTAATTTAATGTGAACGCTGACCTTCCTCCCCTGACCCTTCTGAGAAATCTCAGAGCAGCGTCTTCTGAACCAGCGGCTTCTCTGGTTCATTTTGCTCTGATACAACAGGATGGGCTTCCAGGGCATGAGTCCCGGACGTGAGTCCCGGGCATTTGGCTGCGTTTCTGAGGCTGTGGTCACCAGGGAGCAGCCACGTTCTCCCGACGAGTCCCTGCGAGTCTGAGCCCAGCTTTGTGGTCTCAGCTCACTCGGGGTCAGTTGAGGAGGCCTCTGGGTGGGGACGTACCAGTGCCCATGAGAACGGAGCCCTGTGTGTCTGATGGTGACCATGGGGTGGCATTGAACAGAGGCATGTCCCATGTGCCTGGCTGGAATGCAGGAGGAAGAGTTCTCAGAATTGATGAAATATGAGAAATTAGTTTAAAAAATTTTTATTTTTAAAAATTGTGGTGAAATACACATAAAAAGTACCCTTTTAAACCATGTTTAAATGTCTCATTCAGTGGTATTCAGCACATTCACGGGGTTGTGCAGCCACCACCCATCTCTAGACCTCCTTTGTTTTCCCAGCCTGAAATTGTTCCCATCAAACACCAACTCCCCATACCCTCCTCAGCCCCTGGAACCACCATTCTCTCTTCTGCCTCTGTGACTGTGACGACTCCAGGGGCCTCTTATGAGTGGAATCACATGGGATTTGTCCTTTTGTGTCTGCTGCATTTCATTCAGCATGTTGTCATAGCTCGTGTCAGCATCCCTTTCCTTTTCAAGGCTGAATACTATTCCATCGTGTGGATGGCCGGCATTGTTTTTATCCATTCATCTGTGGGTATACATGTGGGTTGTTTCCACCTTTGGTTACTGTGTATAGTGGTGCTGTAAACATGGGTGTGTTAATATCTCTTCAAGACCCTGCTTTCCATTCTTCTGGGCAAGGCTGGGCATGTTGGCTCACATGTGTAATCCCAACGCTTTGGGAGGCTGAGATGGGCGGATCACTTGAGGCCAGGAGTTTGAGACCAGCCCAGGCACCATAGTAAGACCCCACTGCTACAAAAATAGAATAAAATTCCTCTGGGTATCTATCCAGAAGTGGAATGGCTGGATTATGTGGGAGTTTTGTGTGTCATTTTTTGAGGAACCTCCATACTGTTTTTCATTATAGCTGCAGCATTTTACATTCCCAGCAGCAGTGTGCAAGCATTCCCGTTTCTCCACATCCTTGCCAACACTTGTTATTTTCTGCTTTTGGATAGTGGCCATCCTAATGGATACGAGGTAATTTCTTTTTTATTTTATTATTGTTATTTTTTTGAGCCTGGGTTTCACACTATCACCCAGGCTGGAGTGCAACCTCTGCCTCCCAGGTTCCTGCCTCAGCCTCTTGAGTATCTGGGACTACAGGCGTGTGCCACCATGCCTGGCTAATTTTTGTATTTTTAGTAGAGATGGGGTTTCACCATGTGGCCAGGCTGGTCTCAAACTTCTGAGCTCAAGCTCACCTGCCTCAGCCTCCCAAAGTGTTGGGATTACAGGCGTGAGCCACTGTGCCTGGCCTGGTACAAGGTAATTTCTCATTGTGGTTTGATTTGCATTTCTCTAGTTACTATGTTGAGCACCTTCCCATGTACTTTTTGGTTGGTTGTGTGTCTTCTCTGGAGAAGTGTTTGAGTCATTTGTCCGTTTTAAGATCAGATTGTTTGTCATTTTGTTTATCCATTCATCTGATGCCTGGGCTGCTTCCACCTCGTGTCCATTGTGAGTAGTGCTACTCACATCACCTGGGTGGACAGACAGTTCATTCCGTTTTCAAGCAGTCACTGACAGTGTCGCAACTGGCCCTCCTCACAGCGTCGCAATGTACTCGAGGCCAAACCCAACCAGCCCAGGAAGGACCCCCGGCTGGGGGCCCATAGGGTGCTGGGTCTGCAGTCTTCCACTGTGGGGCAGGGCGGGGGCACTGTTCAGAAACTGTCCTTAGTGGAGGAAAATGACGCTTTTTTCCCTGCAGTCCCCAATAAGCGTTCTGCTGCAGAGAATGGAGGGCCGCTGCGAGGGGATACCAAGTGGTGAGGGTTTGCATTCCTCCTGCAGGCACACAGCCTGCGGGCACATGGCCTGTGGACACACGGCCTGCAGCCCAGGCGCCAGGTGGACGGGTCAGCAGAGGCGTTTCTTGGATTTAATTTCCCGACTGGGAATGGGTTGAGCCCCGTCTGTCCCTCTGTGTATTGGCCACACCCGTTTCTTTCCTGTCCCAGGCCTTTCCAAGTCCCTTGTCCTTCTTGCTGATTTTGTAGGCGTTATCTGCGTATCCTTGTCAGTTCTATGTATTGCCTGTATTTTCTATCAGTGTGAGGCTTGTCTTTCTTTAATGGTGTCTTTTGGGACAGGAGTTTTTAATTCCAGTGCAGTGAACTTTTATTTATTTTTCTTAAGGTTTGTGCTTTCTGTGCCTTGCTTAAAAATTCTTTCCCCGCCCTAACCTCATGATAAGAACTTCTGTAGTTATACCTTTCTATGAATGAATGAATGAGAGGGTATCGTTCTGTCACCCAGGTTGGAGTGCAGTGGCGTGATTATGGCTCATTGTAGCCTTAAATTCTTGGCCTCAAGCAATTCTCCCACCTCAGCCACCCAAGTGGCTGGGACCACAGGCATTGCGCCACCATGCCTGGCTAATTTTTGTAGTTTTTGTAGAGACGGGGGTTCGCCATGTTGTCTAGGTTGGTCTTGAACTCCTGGGCACAAGCAATCTGCCTGCCTTGGCCTCCCAGAGAGCTGGGATTCCAGGTGTGAGCCACAGCGCCTGGCCTGGACCTTTCTTCTGTAGATTTTTAATCTACTTGGGGTTGGTGTGGATGTATGGTGTGAGGTGGGAATTAACATTTTCTGGTTGACATAACTAGCTGTCCTAACACGATTCACTGAAAGTTCGTCTTTCCCCACTGACCCAGGGTGCCACTTTGGTCAGACTCCATGCGTTCACCTGTGTGAGTTTCTTTCTAGACTTCTCATTCTGCTCCACCCTGTCTGTTTGTCTGCTTCTGTGCTGGTACCGTGATGTCTTAATTACTGTACCATAAGGATCATTCTTAGTAACTGGCATGATGCTATCACAAGCTAAGGTCTTCTTCAAATAACATTTTGACTTATCTGTGTGAATTTTCGAGTCAGCCTGTTTACACACATAGTCATGCACACACACAATAGCATTTTGATCAGCATTGCATTAAATGTGTAGGTCAAGTTGGGGAGAACTGATGTCTTTGTGTTACTGAGTTTTCAAGTCCAAAAACATTACATGTCTCTCGCTTATTTTTTTTTTTTTTTTTTTGAGACGGAGTCTCGCTCTGTCGCCCAGGCTGGAGTGCAGTGGCGGGATCTCGGCTCACTGCAAGCTCCGCCTCCCGGGTTCATGCCATTCTCCTGCCTCAGCCTCCCAAGTAGCTGGGACTACAGGCGCCCGCCACTACGCCCGGCTAATTTTTTGTATTTTTAGTAGAGACGGGGTTTCACCGTTTTAGCCGGGATGGTCTCGATCTCCTGACCTCGTGATCCGCCCGCCTCGGCCTCCCAAAGTGCTGGGATTACAGGCGTGAGCCACCGCGCCTGGCCGTCTCTCGCTTATTTATGCCTACTTTAATTCTGCAAAGTTTGTATAATTTTTCTGAAGTCCTTATATATCTTTTGTTAAATGTATTTATTTAAAATAATTTTAATACTGTGGCAAAAGGCATCCTTGCGAAATTGCATTTATCTAATTTTTTGTTACTGATGTTTAGAAATAAATTTGCTAAATTTTAATTGTTCCTAGTAATTATTTTTATATAGGTAGCTTGGGGCTTTTACTTTAGACAATCATATGATCTTAAATTAATGACAGTTTTGTTTGTTTTTGGTAATCCATAAATGTTTAGTTTTTTTCCCATTCCTTTCTCTGATGGGTCAGGTTAAACAGGGGTGCTGGTGCCTCACTTGGCTCTTGATCTTAAAGGAAAGTTCATCATTGTTTTACCACTTGGTCTGGTGGTTGTTGACATTTCTTGGTAGGTACTCTTTTTGAGGTTGAGAAAGTTCTTATAACTGGAAATCCTAGTTTGCTAAGATTTTTTTTTTTTTAAATCACAAAAGTTTGTTGAAATTTATCAGTTTTGGGGAGTATGAATTGAAATGATGATTATGTTTTTCGAGGAACTTGTCCATATCACCTGTTTTCAAATTTATTTTTATAACATTTGATACAGTTTGGATCTGTGTTCCCACTAAATCTCACATTGAAATGTAGTCCCCAGTGTTGGAGGCGGGGCCTGGTAGGGGGTGTTTGGATCATGAGGGCAAATCTCTTTAACATCTAGCTTTGATCCTCTGAACTGGAGTCCTGCATCCTTGAGATAACTCTACACTCATGATGGAGTGAGAATGACAAAGGCAAACAATACCTCAGCATCACCATGGAAACCACTGGGACCTCGGGGGTCATAAGAGGGCCCCAGGGACCCACAGGCTGCTGGGATCACACTTTTGAGAACCACTGCTCTGCTGCTCTGATCAGCTCCTTATACTTGCTGCTCGGTAAGTGTTTAAGGCTGCTCCTGTCCTCAACCCAGCTGGGACCTGTTATTTTTTAACTGGAAATGGGATGTGTATTTGTTGAATAAAATTTAACAGTACAGAAGCACATGGAGTAAGAAGCCTGTCCATTTTCCATCTTCTTGAAGGTCACCATGGTCAGCAGTCTGTGCTCACCTCCAGATGCATCTGTGCTTGCAGACATAGATGTCTCTACTCACACACTTATATCCACACACAACACTTTCAAGTAGCCCTTTTCCCAGCTTAGCTGGGGTTGCACCCTCGATGTTCTGCAGCTTGCCTTTCCATGCTGGGTACAGGTGTCATGATGGTGAATTTTACGTGTCAGCTTCACTGGGCCACGGGATGCCCAAACATTTAGTCAGACATCATTTCTGGTGTATCTGTGAGGATGTTTTTGGAAGAAATTAGCATTTGAGTCAGTGACTGAGTAAAGCAGATTGCTTTTCCAAAGATGGGTGGGCCTTGTCCGATCAGTTGAAAACCTGAATAGAACAGAAAGGCTGAGTAAGAGGGAACTCCTCCTGCCCAAATGTTTTGAGGTGGGACGTTGGTCTTTTCCTGCCTTTGGACACAAACTGAGACATTGGCTCTTCCTGGATCTTGAGCCTGCTGAGTTTCAGGCTAGAATGGTACTGTGGGCTCCCTGGGTCTTCAGCCTGCTGACCGCAGATTTTAGGACTTCTCAGCCTCCATAGTCGTGTGAGCCAGTTCCTTATAATCACTCAGTCTGTTGGTCTGTCATCTATCTATCAATATCTGTCAGTCATCCATCTCCATCCATGTATCCAATCTATCTAGATCCATCTATCAATCTTCTGTACCTACCTGTCAATCATCTATTTATCTTATCTATCCATCCATCCATCCATCTCATGTATCATGTATCTTACTGGTTCATACAGAACCAATGAGAGACACTTATATCCATCTCCTGTTGTTTCTGTTTCTCTGGAGAATCCGGAGTAATACAGGTGTCATCCCCCATCAGTGCATGAGGGTCCACTGCATTTTTTCCTGTGATTGCCCCCACCTTTGACAGACCTGTCCTGTGATTCATTTGATTCTTCCCTTGGTGATTGAGTTTGTTGCCAGTTTTTTTTTTTTTTTTGCCACCATCAGCTGTCTTGAATATTCTGTTTTTAAAAACCTTATTTTGTAGAGACAGAGTCTCCCCATGTTGCCCAGGGTGGTCTGGACCTCCTGGCCTTATGCAGTCCTCCTGCCTCAGACTCCCAAAGTGCTGGGATTACAGGCATGAGCCACTGTGCCTGGCCTTGAATATTCTTGCATCTGTATCGTAATGCATGGGTAAGAATTTCTGTAAGTCACCTGTGTAACAGACATCTTTTTCAACATTTGTTTTTGGTGTCTTTTGTTGGATAGTCATTTTACATTTTAATGTAATTAAATTTATTTTTTTCCTTATTTGGGATATGTGTTTTTTTGGTGTGTCTTGTTGAAGAAATACTTGCTTGAAAATGTTCTCAATTGTATCCTAAAAGAGTTTGTTTTGCTTTTTTTTCCAGTTGAGTTTTAAAATTCATCTCAGCTTAATTTTAAAAAATTCCATCCCCTACTCCCCCTGCAGACCCTGGCAACCATCAGTCTACTTCCTGTTTTTATGGATTTACATTTTCTGGATATTTCATATAAATGGAAGCATACAGTATATAGCCTTTTGTGTCTGGCTTCTTTCACTGAGCATAATGTTTTCAAGGTTCATCCATTTTGTAGCATGGATCAATACTTCATTCCCATCTGTGGCTTACTAATATTCCATTGCATGAATATACCATATCTTGTTTATCCATTTGTCTGTTGATAGACATTTGGGTTGTTTTCATCTTTTGACTATTGTAAATCATGCTGCTGTGGACAAGCAAGCATGTATAAATTTTTGTGTGGACATATGTTTCAATTCTCTTGGGTATTTATCAAGCAGTAGAAGTGATGGATTATATGGCAACTCCACGTTTAATCAGCTTGAGTTTCGTGTATGGCATTGTATTTATTTCCTATATCTGTTGTAATAAATAACCACAAATTGAATGGCTTAAAAAAATAGACTTTACTCTTCCATAGAGGTCTGAAATCAAGGGGTGGGCAGGGTCATGGTCCCTTCAGAGGTTCCAGGGGACGATCCTTCGTTGCCTCTTCCAACTCTCAGTGGCTCCAGGTGCCCCTGGGCTTGTGGCCACATCCCTCCAGTCTCTGCCTCTGTCTTCACATGGCCACTCTCTTCCTGTCTGTCTCTATATCATCTCATCTCTGTGTATGTCTGTCTCTGTGACTAAATTTCTCCTTCTTATGAGGACACCAGTGGTTGGATTAGAGCCCACCCTGAGGACAGCATCTTAACTTCATTGTATCTGCATAGCCCCTGTCCCTCAGTAAGGTCCCATCCACAGATTCTGGGAATGAGGAGTTCAACATATCTTTTTGGGAGGACACCACTCAACCCATGATAAGTGTGAAGTAGTACTCCAGTTTTCTTTCTTTTTAGAAGAAATAAAAGATATCTTGTTATCCAGAACATTTTTCTCACTCCTCCACAGGGTCACCTTGGTATCTAAATGTGTGAGGGCCTGTTTCCAGGCTCTCTTTACTTTCGTTGGCCTGTTTTTCTAACCCCGAGTGACTGTCTTAATTACTACAGCTTCCTGAGTAGGTTCTTAGCACATTCAAGAGTCAATGCTTAGAGAGTAGAGACTGTTTCTTGCTGGGACTGTTTTCTCTGCACACTGTCCTTAATGGCCTGTTCTCTTGACTCTTCTAGATGTGCTAGCCCTGGCGCTGGCTATTGAAGAGCTAGCAGTGGCCACATGGAAGCCCTGGACAGCTTAGTGGTGTGCTCTACAAATGACTCTGTCCAGGGCATCTCCCAACACAGCAGTGGGACAAGAAGACAATGACGGGATGTTGCATGAACTGACCCTCAGAACCCAATGTCCAGGAGAACATGAACTGGGATCTTGAAGTTCTTCAGAAAGATCAGAGTGAGCGGTGGCCCTGAGTCACTCTGTAGCAGTCATGGCAGTGAGAAGAGCCACTCTCTAATCATAATGGAATTGCAAGATTGCCAAATTAAGTCACCCAGTTAATTGTGGCCCTTAATTTTACTCTAGGAATCTGTGCTGTCCTAATCTTAGCATTTCCAGGGAGACATGGCAGCTGTTGGGGGCAGGAGGAATCACCGTGTTCCATGTGACCACCAGGCTCTACAGGCTCTAATTTTAAATTATGACAGGGAGGGAGAAGGCTGAGAACCATGCTGCTGACACTGAGACAAGGGTTCCCAGAGGTTCATTTTCCCTGGACATGGCAAAAAGACTTTGCATAGCCTTTTCAAAGATTTGGCAAATACTATGGGCCAATTTTTTTTTTTTTTTTTTGAGATGGAGTCTCGCTCTGTCGCCCAGGCTGGAGTGCAGTGGCGCGATGGGCCAATTTTTATATGCATTTTCTGGCATTTATTTCAGTGGATGCAGGATAGATTATTAAAATTCCTGCACTTTACATTTTTAAAAATCCTTTTTTTTTTTTTTTTTTTTTTTGGAGACAGAGTCTCACTGTGTCGCCTAGGCTGGAGTGCAGTGGCACGATCTTGGCTCTCTGCAAGCTTTGCCTTCTGGGTTCACACCATTCTCCTGCCTCAGCCTCCCTGGTAGCTGGGACTACAGGTGCCCGCCACCACGCCCAGCTAATTTTTTGTATTTTTAGTAGAGACGGAGTTCCACTGTGTTAGCCAGGATGGTCTCGATCTCCCGACCTCATGATCTGCCCACCTTGGCCTCCCAAAGTGCTGGGATTACAGGCGCAAGCCGCCATGCCCGGCCTAAAAATTCTTACACAGGCTTTGCTTCATGAAACCCTTTATCAAACTGTTTGGTCATTTTTTGATTTTCACCTGAGTTGATAATTGCAACTGAATTCATCTTGAACATTGAGAAAACAGTAAGGACCCATGAGAGAATTTTTAAAAGTCAACCAACAATATCCCAGTCCTCACCAGCAGGTGGTTTAAAGCATCTTTCAGAATTTGAAATCAGTTTTAATGATGGTCACTAACATGAATCATGTTAACATAATTTTAAGCATGTTGTACTTAATGTTCTGATTGAGATTTTTTAAAGTTTCTGTTTTAATTGCTGTTTTGGTGAGAAGAAATGATTCAGGAGGTCTGTGCTTTGTTACCTGTACCCACATGGTGCTCAAGGTTGGGTGAGGGAAAGATGAGCAGTTAAACACACAAAAGTAGGAATTCCAGATCATCAGAGTCATTTAATTTTGTTTTGGACAAGAAACGTTTACATGCTGAATCACTCTGCCTTGTTGTTTTTTTTTTTATCCCATTGTCTCCTGGTATCCATTGTTTCCAATGAGAAATCAGCTGTTAATCTCAGTGGGCTGCCCTTGTATGTGAGGAGCTGGTTTTCTCATGTGTATGTTGGTGTGCCTAATGGTGTCCCACATTTCTTTAAGGCTCTGTTCATTTTCTTCATTCTCTCTGTTTTTTAGATTGCAGAATCTCTATCAATCTATCCTTAAGTTCTGACTCTTTTTTTTTTCCCTGCCAGTTAAAAACCTACCATTGAGCTTCTCTATTGAGTGTTTTATTTCATACATTGTACTTTTCAACTTCAGAATTTCCATTTGGTTGTTTTTATAATTTCTGTTTCTTTATTCTGTATTTGATGAGACATCATCATCGTACCTCCCTTTGCTTCTTTAAGTGTGGTTTCCCTAAGTTCTCTGAACATATTTATAATAGCTGCTTTGAAGCCTTTGCAAAGTCCAACATCTGGATCCTCTCACAGTTTATGTTGTCTGTTCTCCCTCTCCCTCCAGTATAGGTCATACTTTCCTGTTCTTTACATGCCTCGTAATTTTAATTTTTGTTGAAAACTGGATATTTCAGGCAATATATTCTATCAACTCTGGATTCTGATTCAATTCCTCCCTCTCTTGGATTTCTTTTTCAATTGTTTGCTTATGTATTTGTTTAGTGATACATATAACTGGGTATTTATCCAAAGGAAAGGAAATTAGTATATCAAAGGGCTTCCTGCACCCCCATGTTTATTGCAGCAGTATTCATAATAGCCAAGATGTAGAACCAACCTAAGTGCCTAGCAGTACCTGAATGGATAAAGAACATGTGGCATATATACACAATGGAATATAATTCAGCCATCAAAAAGAATGAAATCATGTCATTTGCAGTAACACGGATGGAACTGGAGGTTATTATGTTGAGTGAATAAACCAGGCATGGGGGTCATTTTGACCCAGTCTTTGAGGTTTGTTTTGACCCAGGACATTCTTCTTAGCTGTGTCCTGCTGAAGTTCCTCTGGTGAACTAGCTGGCCTGAGGTTGAGCTTGTTGGTCTTAAGTAAGAGGAACAGTTGTTTTCAAGAGCACCCTTAGGGTTGAACTTCCTTTCCCATGTGCTATTTCAAATAAAGTCAGTTCCTATGGGGAGCGCTTTAGAACTTTCTCTCCTTGTGAACTTCTTTTCCCCTTTGGCAAATCTTGGAGTCAGTTTTCTGGGCAGTGGCAGCCTGTGGTCTTCTTGGATTGCATCAAAGACCCAGATATACATGTCCTATGATTCCACAGACCCTGAACTGTTCCAGTAACCCAGCTGTGGAGTATCTGACTGGGAGCTCCGTGACAAGGCTTGGTGGTGTGCAGACTTGGTTTCCAGTAAGATTCTGCAACTATTTTTCTAAAGACACACACATACCTGTTTGAGCGGGAGCCAGGCATGGCTGACCTCCCCACAGAAGGGATAGGGCTGGGTGTCACTAAAGGCCAGGCCCTCTGCTCATGATGCTTTCACACCATCTTAGGAGTGAAGCTGATGGGCATCTCAGATTTGGCTTTCTCTGGCACAGGTAGGATTTAAAAATGAGGCATAGACTTTTCCTATGCATGTGTGACATGCTAGACATATGGCCTTTAAGACCACATTCAGGTCCGGGTGTGATGGCTCATGCCTGTAATCCCAGCACTTTGGGAGGCTGAGGTAGGCAGATCATGAGGTCAGGAGTTTGAGACCAGCCTGGCCAATATGGTGAAACCCCATCTCTACTGAAAATACAAAAATTAGCCAGGTGTGGGTAGCATGCTCCTGTAGTCCCAGATACTCAGGAGGCTGAGGCAGAAGAATTGCTTGAATCCAGGAGGTGAAGGTTGCAGTGAGCCTAGATTGCACCACTGCACTCCAGCCTGGGCGACAGAGCGAGACTCCATCTCAAAAATGAAACAAAACAAAACAAAAACCAAACCAAACAAACAAAAAACACATTCAGAAACCATCAGGGAGATTAAAAGAGGCACAAATACATCAAAACCAAGGTAATTACTGACCCTGTCTGCTGAGGCAACATACAGTGGCATTGTGAAGAAATGCGCTCACTGCAGCAGAAAGCCACTTCCTTACAGAGTCCCATCCTTGGGGATGGGTTTCCCAGCGCTCCTGCACTCAGGTCTCACGTGTCTGTCCCCAGATCTGCTCTTTTCATTCATGATGCAAACTCTGCAGGGTTCTTACCACAGGCTCGCCTTTGCAAAGACAACGTGATTTTCCTTCTAAAGCTCAGCCAGAGCTACCCCTGTGCTTCAGAGGAACTGGTCCCAGCCTTGTGATCAGTGGGCACCGAGTCCTGGCATGCCGAGCCCTTGCCGTGTTGTGATTGGTTGTCTCAGTGGCTAGCTCTTCACTTTCCCCCATTCTTCTTATTGTGTTAAAATACAGAGAACACAACATTTACCATTTTGACCATTTTAAGTGTCCAGTTCAGTGGCATTAAGCGCATTCATGTGGTTGTGCAGCCATCACCATCACCCATCTCCAGAGCTTCTTCATGTTCCAAACCTGACAATCTGTCCCCATGACACACCAATCCCCTTACCCCGACCCGAGCCCTTGAACCCCCATTCTACCCTCTGTCTCCATGTGTATGAATCCTCTGGGGACCTCACAGGAGTGGAATCAGTCTTTGTCTTTCTGTGCCTGGCTTATTTACTCAGCATAATGTCCTCAAGAATTATCTCTATTGTAGATGTTACAAATGTCCTGCTTTTAAAAGCTGAATTAAAAATAAACTGAAGGCCCGGTGCGGTGGCTCCCACCTGTAATCCCAGCACTTTGGGAGGCCGAGGTGGGTGGATCACCTGAGGTCAGCAGTTCGAGACCAGCCTGACCAACATGGTGAAACCCTGTCTCTACTAAAATACAAAATTAGCTGGGTGTGGTGGTGCATGCCTATAATTCCAACTACTCGGGAGGCCGAGGCAGGAGAATCGGTTGAACCTGGGAGGTGGAGGTTGCAGTGAGCTGAGATTGCGCCATTGCACTCTAGCCTGGGCAACAAGAGCGAAACTCCGTCTCAATAAATAAATAAATAAATAAATAAAATAAACTGAATAGCCGTCCTTTGTGTGTATCCACCACCTTTTGTTCATCCACTCATCTGTTGATGGACACTTGGGTTGCTTCCAGCTCTTGGCTGTTGGGAATAGTGCTGCAATAAATATGGGTGGGCCGGCTGCGGTGGCTCACATCTGTAACCTTGGTGCTTTGGGAGGCTGCAGCAGGAGGATCACTTGAGCCCAGGAGGTCAAGACCAGCCTGGGCAACATAGTGAGACCCTATCTCTATTAAAAAATGTTTTAAAATTAAAAATAAAATGGGTGTACTAATATCTTTTCGAGACCCTGCTTTCAGTTCTTTTGGGTGCATACTGATAGATGGAATTGCTGGGTCACATGGGGATTCTACATTTAATTTTTTAGGAACCATCATACTGTTTTCCACAGCGGCTGTGCACCAACTCTTTATTTTAATAAACCTTCTACCATGTAGAAGTGAAATAAATGATCGTATTTAGTAATTATCATTTTTTTCTCTACAATTTACCTTATCTAAAAAGGTAGGATTTTCCATTTTATTTCCCATTTTTGATGTGACTTTGCCTAATTTTGTAATAGATGATTTTAAAAATATGTTTTGTCACCATAGAATAGAATTTTTTTTTCTTTTTCTTTTTTTTTTTTTTTTTGCAGCACAAACAGAAAAACCAAGAGCTTCTACCCCTTGGTCTTGAAATAGAAACAAAATGAACAAACCCATTTCAAATTAGGAGAACAAGAGAATTGAAATAAGAGATCTTTTCCTCCATAATAGCATTTCTTGTTGTCAGACCAGCTTTACAAAGTAGCCTAACATGTGATCTAAAGAGGAACGTGCTGAGGTAGGCCCAGGAGAAAAATCCCAGGAAGACAAAGGCCCTGTTATTTTTATGGTGCAATTTAATACACATGAATAACTTTGAAAATTAGGTGTTTTTCAAAACAGCTTTAGTCTGTTTCTAATATATAAGGAAAATAACTTTCTTTTGTTTTATGCTACCTAAGTGTGTGGTGTCTATCCAATATGTTACTAGGGTACATGTTCACTGTAGCTATTCATGATAGCCAAGATATGGAATCAACTTGAATGTCCAAGAAAACATGGTACATATACACAATGGAGTATTATTCAGCCATCAAAAGAATGAGATCCTGTCATTAGCAGCAACGTGGATGGAACTAGAGGCCATTATGTTAAGTGAAATAAGCCAGGCACAGAAAGGGAAATATTGCATGTTGTCATTTGTATGTGGGAGCTAATTTGCACTATGTAGACATATATCAAAGCATCACATTGTACACTTTAAATATGTACAATTTTTATTTGTTATGCATCAATAAAGCTGGGATTGGGGATGCGATGGTATAAAAACTAACTCTCCTCTCTACTTGTGCAAGTGCAAGATTCTCATCTGGACAGTTGTCTTCAGACTTTTTTGTGTCCTCCTCAAGAATGTTTAGCCTCTTACAGTTAAAAAAAAAAAAAAAGCTAAATTCGAGACTATGTTTGGGTTTCACCAGTTCTTACTCATGTTGATTTCACGGAGGTAGAGAACTGAATGATGGTTACCAGAGGCTGGGGAGGGAAGCGGGAAGGGAGATGAAGAGGGGCTGGTTAATGGGTAGAGACACACAGTCAGAGAAAATGAATCAGTTCTAGTGTTTAGTAGCATGGTAGAGTGACTGTAGGTAACAATAATTCATCATATATAGTTGACCCTTGAACAACATAGGTTTGCACCACTGAGTCCACTTATACGCAGATTTTCTGGAACCAAATGGGAAGGGAACCAGCAGTGTTCTCAGGATGTCAAACCTGTGTGTATAGGGAGGGCCGGCTTGTCCTATGCTTGGGTTCCACAGGGCTGACCGTAGAACTTGAGTATGCACAGATTTTGGTATATGCGGGGGTCCAGGAACCAGCTTCCCATGTATGCTTCAAAATAGCTAGAAGAGAAGATTTGGAGTGTGAAGAAATGATCAGTGTTTGAGGGAATGGTGTCATAAACCCTGACTTGATCATTACACATTGTATGCAGGCATCAGGACATCATATGTGCCCTGTAAATATGTACAGTTATATATCAATAACAAGTAAGTAAAATTAAAACAATAACTTACTGGGGTAGCAGTCAGATTTACTTGCTCCAAATAGATTTTACTTTGCTTCTGATATGCTACTAGAGAAAGTTTACTTTGAAGTAGTGTATTTGTAAGCAACCCAGCTGCAATGAAAGGAGGTATTTCCATTAAAATATGACAGCATGACTTACAGAAGCCTTTAATTATAATTTACCATTTCTGGCCAGGCACAGTAGCTCATGCCTGTAACACCATCACTTTGGGAGGCTGAGGCGGGATGATTACTTGAGCCCGGGAGTTCAAGACCAGCCTGGGAAACAGGGAGACCCCTGTCTCTTAAAAAAAGAAAATCAAAAAATGAGCCAGGCATGGTGGCTCACACCTGTGGTTCTAGCTACTGAGGAGGCTGAGGAAGGAGGATGATGAGCCTGCGCAGTTTAAACTGCGCCACTTCACTCCAGCCTGGGTGATAAGATTATGTCTCAAAACAAAACAAAAAGGCCACATCACATTGTACACTTTAAATATAAACAATTTTTGCTTGTCAATTATAACTCAATAAAGCTGGGGCAGGTAGGGGACACGGCAGTACAGTAAAAATCCCTCACCTATCTGCTTGCACAAATGCAAGCAGATTTCCATCTGGGCAGCTTTTTTCAAACTTTTGGCAGTTGCATCCTCACAACTGCCTTATTACTTAATTACATAATATTTAACCCCTTATGCTTAAAAAAAAAACCCACGAAACTACAGACTTCATCAGTCTTTGCACTAATGTCCTCTTGTTGAGGAAGAATCTCCTTCAGGGTGGGACGATGCACTTAGCAGTCACATCTCTGTGGCCACAAAGGCTGCTTCTCATTTATACCGGGAGAAACGTTGCCAGCACAGCTGCTGTGCAGGCTTAAGCAAATTGTTTTCACCCTGTGAGCCTCAGGCCTCTCTTCTATAAGATGAGAAAACACCCTTGTTTGGGAATATCTAATAAGATACTGACATGAAAAGGCCTTATGAACGCAAAAGCGTGACACACCTGTGTGTTCTCTCGGTGCTGCTGGGATGTGCGTTTGCTGAATGTGTGTCATCTACAAGCTGGTCAAGGATGGAAAATGCCTTCCCTCCTAACATTCAGAAGGGAATGAAAACCCTCTTTCCTCCTGGAATACAGAGGAGGAAAGAACTTCATCTTTACACCCAAGCCAAGGCACCAGAGATTCTTGACATGTTCAGATACGACTTGGGGATCATAAAATGTTCAGGAAACCCTGCAGGACTGACTTACAGTTTTTTTTGCCTATAGTTTGTGGGCACCCGGGGCCCAGCCACCCCATCGCCTGGGCAGCAGGTGCAGGTCTGAGGCCTCCGGGCCCACCATCCCCCAGGCCTTGGGAGATGGCTGTGAGAACACCCCCTTCAGTTAAACTGCACCCAGGATGCCAGCCCACCCAGCTGTGAAAGCCCCTGGGAGGAGGGCTCATGGCGGGACATCCCTGTGGAAGCTGGCAACTCAAGGGACACAGTGACATTTGCTTTCCTCAGGAAATTGTGTCTGCTCCTCCTCCACCTGTACCCCTTTGAACAGACAGCAGCTCCATGAAAGTTCTCTTTGCAGTGGATTCCAGCCAGGAATAGGCAAGGTCCATGGCCAGCCACTGCATCCTGTGGCCTCCCGTGGTGTGAAGGACACCCTGGGCACAGTGCCTCCGGAAGCTCTGTAGTGTGAATATCCCACTGTCTTCAACAAATACGTTGCAGGGAAATAAGGAACAACAGGGGTCCTGTGAAGGAGGCAGAAAATCCAGCCTGAAGGCTGGCAGTGGTGTTTGGAGATGCAGCGGAGCAGGCAGCAGTGAAGAGGGTCAGGAGGGCAGGCCACTCCTGGAGGCTGTGGGGGCATTGCTTCTCCCAGGTCCAGGAGGCCCTGCAAGGGGCTGGCCCGCACAGCCATCTTCTCTGCACCCTCCACGGCCCTGTCCGGGAGGGGGTGGGGCACGTATTCGAGCACACACAATGCACACACACTTCTGCATGGCTGGGGCAGCTCAGGGCCAAGCTCCTGGTGGGGGAGTGGGCTCTCCTTCCAGCCTTTCCTTTCTCCCTGGTGCTGTGGACTGAATGTGTGTCCCGGAGATTCACACGTTGAAATGCTCACCCCCAAGGTGACAGGATTAGAACGTGAGCTTTTGGAAGTGATCAGTCATGAGATAAGGCTGCAGAATGGCATAACCGTTACTCCAGAGACCCCTCACCCTCCTTCTGATTGAGGACACATGAGAGATGTTGGCCATTGCCCGGAAGAGCCTGAGGTACGCTGTGAGGACACATAGAGGCCTGGCACTGGATCAGGGATGGGGCGAAGCCTGGAGGCACAGAGCAGATTCTGAGCACCCCCATCTTCCCCACCCTCCCTCCTGCCACAGCCTGAGCTGTCCTCCTGGGCCCAGCTCCAGATCCTGCCCGGCCGGCCCCTTCTTTGGCTCCCTGGTGCTGGTAGCTGGGGCCCTGTTGGCAGCACACCGCAGGATAAATGCCCCCAGGTGCGGGGTGCAGGGTCCCGCCTCACATGCCGTCCTGGCTCCCTCCTCCCTCCATGGAGGCCTCTGTGGGTAGAGACTCGGCTCCTCCTCTGGACCTGGGCCCTCCATGGAAAGGCACAGGGCTCCCACTGGGTGGCCCTCTCTGGCTGCTCTTCCCCCGTTGGGGCCTGCCCAGTGCCCGGTCCACACTTCTTCCTGGCCAGGGCCGTGGGGACAGGGCCAGCCCCTCTTGGGTATGAAGCAGGGTGCCATCAGCATCCCCTCCCCAGGGCTGGTCCCTCCCCCCGGTCAGGCTGGGTTCTCACAGGACACTCCTGTGCTCCCATGTAAGGATGACTCTGAGACCCAGCTGAGTGTTCCAGGAGAGCCCCCGGGTGGGCAGTGGCCTGGGCCTGGCCAAGCAGGGTGCACCAGGCTCCTGCCCCCATCCCTCCACCGCTGGCCCTCAGGTGGGTCCTGGGTCCCCTCTGGGGGCAGTACTGGGGCTGCCTCAAGATCCATCCTGGGCTCCTCTTGGGGTGGTCCCTTGTCTCCCTCAGAGCCTTCCTGGGTCCCCCAGGCTCCTTCCTGCCCCACATGCCAGGATGCTGGTTTGAAGGGGAGAGTAGGCCAGCTACGGCCCCTGGCCCGCATCACTGCTAAGGACATGGGGTCCCCCCATCCCTGGCTGTGGTCCCCAGCCCGCATCACTGCTAAGGACAAGGGTCTCTCGGTCCCTGGCTGTGGGCCCTGGCCTGCATCACTGCTGAGAACACAGGCAACCCTGGCCTCCATCACTGCTGAGGACACAGGGTCCCCCCGTCCCTGGCTGTGGCCCCCGGCCTGCATCACTGCTGAGGACACAGGTGTTCCCTGTCCCTGGCCATGGCCCCCGACCTTCATCACTGCTGAGGACACAGGTGTCTGTTCCCCATCCCTGGCCGTTGCCCCCTGGCTGGCATCACTGCTGAGGACACAGGGTCCCCCATCCCTGGCTGTGACCCCTGGCCTCCATCATTGCTAAGGACACAGGCATTTGTCCCCCTCTCCCTTGCTGTGGCCCCAAGCATCTGCCCTTTGCCTCCCACAGGGCCGAGGGTGAAACTGAATCCGGGACAGTGACACCCGGGCTATTTTGGGGCTGGGCTGGGCCGGCCTGGCCGGCACAGGGGGTGGGGTGGGGGCGGGCCCAGGCTTCTCCAGCTGACAGTGTCCGCCTGTCCTTTTGTCCCCGTCCAGTTTGAGGAGCGGCCGGAGTGTGGGCTGCTGGTAGGCAGCCTGCTGGTCCTGGGCCCTCGGAGGGAGGTGAGACCCGGCAGCCCCTGCCTCCCAGCCTGTGCCCCCAGCCTGCGTGCTGCCCAGAGCCCCCATAGAGAGAGGTGAGGAGACAGAGCCGGGCAGGGTGGGGGCTGTTCTGTGCCCTGGAGGGTGGCTCCACTAAAGGTCATGTCTGGGGAGTGGGGAAGCCTTCAGGGTCTGGCCACAGTGCAGCTCCCTGTGGCGGGGCTGGGGTTCCAGCCTCTGCTCCCTCTGAGCCCCGGAGCTGGGCTGCTCACATGGGGATGGAGCCACTAGGCTGGCCTGGGGCTGCGGGGTAGCCGGGGCGGTGCCCTGCACCCACCGTCCCCTCTACCCCGGAGTTGACCCTTGCTCAGAGAGCGGCCTGGGGGTCTGGCTGGCCCTGCCCCCAGCACTGCTGAGATAGATGCCCGCTGACAGCTGGGGCTATTTTAGGCCTGTTGGCTCAGCAGAGGGGACAGCCAGAGGGGCGCTGACACCTGACTCCAGGAAAAAATTTCCCCAGAACGCTTGAAGCCTCCGGTGGGGTCTAAGGTGAAGCACAGCCCTGGGGCGCTGCCCTTGGAACTTCATGCTGGAAGGGCACGGGAGCACAGGCTGCCCAGGTTGTCTGTCAGTGTAGGGGTGGGGAGGGCCAGCGAGGTGGCACCCTGGGAGCTGCCTCCCACTCTGGACTCTTCCCTGTGATGGTCCCGGGCCCCTGGAAGACCAGAGTGGCAAAGTTCTGCAACAGTCAGGGTGGAGGGGCTGCTGAGGGGTGGGCGGCTGTGGGTGGGGCCTGTCACCCGGGGCATGGTTTGGTGGGGGGGGGGGGAGCGTCCCACAGCGTTGGAATGAGGCCTCAAGGGGCTGAGGAGCCCAAGTGTGGTCCATGGTGGGTAAAAGGCTTTCCTGGGAGGCTGAAGTCTCCCCCTCCTGGGGAAGCTCGTGGGGTGCCCAGACCCAAAACGTGGCAGAGAAAAAAGACAGCCTCTGCAGATGTCCCAGTGCCCGATGGATTCCTGGGAGCCCCACGGGTGACCGTGGTGGCCCCCTTCCTGCTCGGCCTGTTTCTTCATCTGTGATACGGGTTGTCAGGGAGGAGGATGACTCCTGAACCCTCAAGTGTCTTTGCTTGGTGAGCCCCTCTCTGGCCCTAGGCCTGCTGACCGGTGGGGACGCCTCCTGATGGGGCTGCCATGAGCCCCCCAGACCCTGCAGTCGGCCTCCTGGGCCTGCACCAGGCGACAGAATGCAGGGCTATAGTGCCGTCCCTGGCAGCTGATGAGGACCTCAGTCTCTACCCGCTCTTCCCAGGCCAAGGTCAGCCTGTGCACCTCTGTCCCTTCAGCACAGGCAGTAACGGGAGCTCCCTGACCTGTCCCGGTCCTCTAGGCCCAGAGAGGCTACCCACACATGCTGCCTCATCTGTTCCACTGTGACCCTGGCAGGGCCAGCTGGGGATCTGGGTGTGGCAGAGGTTGGGGGAGAGGATGCCCCGTTCTGCTTTTGGGGAACCCACAGACCTGCTATATGATTTTTTTTTTTTAAGAGACTGGGCCTTGCTCTGTTGCCCAGGCTGGAGGGCAGTGGCATACTCACAGCTCACTGCAGCTTTGACCTCCTGGGCTCAAGCCATCCTCCTGCTTCAGTCTCTTGAGTAGCTGGGACAGCAGGCACCTGCCACCATGTCGAGTTAATTTGTTTTAATTGTTTTTGTAGAGATGGGGGTCTCACATGTTGCCCAGGCTGGCCTCGAACTCCTGGGCTCAAGGGATCCTCCCACCTCTGCCTCCCACAGTGCTGGGATTACATGTGCTTGCCACCACACCTGGCCTGACTGTATGACTTTGGAGAGTGCTGGGGACAGCCCAGAGCTCATGGGCCCTGCAGAGTTGATGTCAAAGTAGCCCTTTTGAGTCCTGGGAGGAGCCCATAGAGGCAAATTCCCAGAAAGGGTGAAACTCGGACCCCGGTCCCTGCTGTGGGCAGGCCCCTGCCCAGGTCCTCCCCAGCCCCAGAGCCCTGCTGTGGGTGGGGAGGCTGGGCTGCAGCATAGGTGCTGCCTGCACAGTGAGTCAGCAGACTGGTGCCCGCTGCGCAGTCCAGCCCTGCTCCAGCCTCAGACTGCCCAAGGGGATTAAGGGGGATTAACTACCTGAATCACAGGACCAGGAGGAGGGCCTGGGAACGTTGCCCTGGCTCAGCCCACAGTGGGCAGCCCAGGCCCAGAAGCTGGTGGCTCTGGCCTGAGAGAGAGTACAGGCGAGGTGCCCTGGCGGGGGCCTCTCCACCATGGGGTGGTTGTGCCTGCCAGGGCTGGAGGGAGTTAAGGCGCCCCGGGCCAGCCCAGTGCCAGTGGGGCCCACTCACACCCGCTGTTCCTACAGAAGAGCTGCATAGGCACGGTAGTGTCAACCCACACCATCTATATGGGGGGATCTGTACTGGGGCGGCTGGCCTGCTGGGCTCCGCCTGGGGTGGTCAAAGGACAGCATCACCTGGGGCCTTTGGCACTGGTGTCCACCCTCAGCCCTGCAGCATGTCCAGCTGGCCAGTGTGGCTGAGAACTGTGGGGTGACCAAGTTGGGCCTGGCTGACCCAGCCCAGCTGGTCTCAGCCTGGAGGTCTCTAGCCCTTCCAGGGGGATGTTACTGGCCTTGCCAGCTCCAGACTCTGGGGTCCCCCAGCTATGCTCCCAAGCCAGATCCCTGACTGTGCCCTGCCCTTGCATCCCAATCCCACCCTGGGGCTCAGTGGGGGGGCCTGGGAGCAAGCAGCTAAGTGGTTTCCAGTCCTTCCCGCTCATGGATAAAGAGCATGCCCCTGGGGAGGAGGGAGGTGTGTGACCCTGCAGAAGAGGTGAGGCCCCTCTGCAACAAGGGCAGCTTCAGGCCGGACTGGCCCCTCAGTGCAACCTGGAGGGGCTGCTGAAGGAGAGCTGCGTAGGGGTCGGGGGGAAGAGGAGGGAGTAAGGGCTTTGCCCAGGGCGGAGGGTGCATCTCACCTAGAAGAGGCTCAAAGGGGAGCCTGCCAGGGTGGAGAACCGGTGACCTCCTTGTGCGATAGGCAGAGGAGACGGGCATGAGACCGGTGCCCATGGTGGGCCTCCTGCACCCAGGCCTGCCGGGGCTCAGCGAGCCTCCCCTTCTTGATGTGGGGGACACACAGGCCAGCTGAAGTTTTAGGCCCGAGAGGCAGCAGTGTGTGCGGTAGGAGAAAGGATACCACCCCGCAGGTAGGGAGTGGCCTACAGTGCACCAGGCAGGTCTGCCTGCCTCAGGAAGGTGCAGCAAAGCTTGTAGGCTGGGAGGAACCAAAAATAGCGGGCACTGCGAGGGAGGGGGCCCTGCCTGGTTGCTAGGGGGTGTAGGTTTGGGACATGTGCTCCAGTAACTGCAGCTGAGGCAGTGGGTCCCTGTAGGTAGGGAGAGGGAAGGAGATGTTCTCAGCGGCTAGAAGAGCCGTTTGCAGGTGAGGTTACCAAACCCCAAATGCCCAGAAAGGGGCAAGTCTGCACTTCTGGGTCACGGTGCCAACCGGTGATGCTTCCTCAGGGCGCGGGGAGTGGGGGGGAAATAGGATGTGTGGAGGTGTTGAACTGGGTTCCTCAGGCGGCACGGTGGGGTGCACCCGGGCCTCATTCCAATCCCCACTAAGGCCATCCCCACCTACTTGCAGGTCCCCGCCGCCACCCTCATGGATCAGCCACAGTTCAGCGGGGCGCCCCGCTTTCTCACCCGGCCCAAGGCCTTCGTGGTGTCGGTGGGCAAGGACGCCACCCTCAGCTGCCAGATCGTGGGTAATCCCACGCCACAGGTGAGCTGGGAGAAGGACCAGCAGCCGGTGGCGGCCGGCGCGCGCTTCCGTCTGGCCCAGGACGGCGACCTCTACCGCCTCACTATCCTGGACCTGGCGCTGGGCGACAGTGGGCAATACGTGTGCCGCGCGCGCAATGCCATAGGCGAGGCCTTCGCTGCTGTGGGCCTGCAGGTGGACGCGGAGGCCGCGTGCGCCGAGCAGGCGCCGCACTTCCTGCTGCGGCCCACGTCCATCCGCGTGCGCGAGGGCTCAGAGGCCACCTTCCGCTGCCGCGTGGGTGGCTCCCCGAGGCCGGCAGTGAGCTGGTCCAAGGACGGGCGGCGCCTGGGTGAGCCCGACGGCCCCCGCGTGCGCGTGGAGGAGCTCGGCGAGGCAAGTGCGCTGCGCATTCGGGCGGCGCGGCCGCGCGACGGCGGCACTTACGAGGTCCGCGCCGAGAACCCGCTGGGCGCTGCCAGCGCCGCCGCGGCGCTAGTGGTGGACTCGGACGCCGCGGACACGGCCAGCCGGCCCGGGACCTCCACGGCCGCGCTCCTGGCGCACCTGCAGCGGCGGCGCGAGGCTATGCGCGCCGAGGGCGCCCCCGCCTCACCGCCCAGCACCGGCACGCGCACCTGCACGGTGACTGAAGGCAAGCACGCGCGCCTCAGCTGCTACGTGACCGGCGAGCCCAAGCCCGAGACGGTGTGGAAGAAGGACGGCCAGCTGGTGACCGAGGGCCGGCGCCACGTGGTGTACGAGGACGCGCAGGAGAACTTCGTGCTCAAGATCCTCTTCTGCAAGCAGTCGGACCGCGGCCTCTACACCTGCACGGCGTCCAACCTCGTGGGCCAGACCTACAGCTCTGTGCTGGTCGTAGTGCGCGGTGAGCTCCTGGGTGCGGGGCGCGCGGGCCCAGGCTCCTCCGCAACCCGTGCACCTGGGTCCTTTCGCCCTTGCGGTCTGCCGTTTCCCACCCGCGTCTGTCCGGTCGTGGAATCCAGGGTTGCAGGTGTCCGTTCCTGGTGCGCAAAATGCGGGCGACGCCCCACGACCTATTCTAAACACCCGCAACCCGCTTTCCCCACCCAGTCCCCTGCCCGCCCCGCCCCCTTTGCATGCCGCGCCCCCAACCCGCCACCGCTGGCCCACAGACAGGGGCGAGAGGTGTGAGAGGGGCGGGGCCGCAGGGGATCCCACCTCCTCAGCCCCGCCCTCTCCCTCCCGCTGCTCCCAACCCAACCTCCACCACTCTGCCTTCTGCTCTTCTACTCCCCCGCCCCCCAACTTCCTGTCTCCTCCCCTGCGCCCTTCCCAACCCTTAGCCCCTCTGCCTCCTGCTCGCTCCTCTCCCCAGCCCACTCCTCTACCCTGCACCCTCTCCTTTCCAGCCTCCCAGCCCCTCTGCTCCTGTCCCCTATTCCTTCCCACACCCTCACCTCTGCATCCTCCAGTCTCCTTTCCCGCCCACAATCCCCCAATTTCCCCCTTCCCACCCCGCCGTCGTCCTGCACCCTCCGGCCCCGCCCCTCTCACCAGTCTTCTCTCCTGGCAGAGCCCGCGGTTCCCTTCAAAAAGCGGCTGCAAGATCTGGAGGTGCGGGAGAAGGAGTCGGCCACGTTCCTATGTGAGGTGCCCCAGCCGTCCACTGAGGCCGCGTGGTTCAAGGAGGAGACGCGGTTGTGGGCGAGCGCCAAGTACGGCATCGAGGAGGAGGGCACCGAGCGCCGCCTGACCGTGCGCAATGTCTCGGCCGACGACGACGCGGTGTACATCTGCGAGACGCCAGAGGGCAGCCGCACGGTGGCGGAGCTCGCAGTCCAAGGCAGGCGGGGCGGGGCACGGGGCGGGGCACAGGGCGGCTTCGGGGAGGTAGCGGGGGCAAGGAGGCACCGAGAAGGGAGCCGGGGGCGGGGGAGGGGGGAGCCAGGCCGCACGGGCTGGGCGGGCACGGGGGCGGGCAGGGTGCAGACGGACTGGGCTTGCGAGGTACGAGTTGGGACTGGGGCAGGCAGGGGCGGGACTGGGGCGGGAAGGGCAGGTAAGGTGGGGGCGGAGGAGCAAGCTCGGGCCGGGCACGGGGTGGTGATTAGGGGGAAGGGGAGACGGAGTGGGCAGGGGTCTTGTGGGACCGAGCTGGGACTTGGGCCGGCGGGACAGGTAAGGGGTTGCGCGGGGGAGTGAATCGGAGGCAGTTGGGAACCGGGAGACAGGGGGCAAGCGGAGGAGCGAGTCTGGAGCGGGGCGTGCAGGGGCTGGTCTGACTGGCCCGGCTCCCTCCACCCCAGGAAACCTCCTCCGAAAGCTCCCTCGGAAGACGGCGGTGCGCGTGGGCGACACGGCTATGTTTTGCGTGGAGCTGGCGGTCCCGGTGGGCCCCGTCCACTGGCTGCGGAACCAGGAGGAAGTGGTGGCGGGGGGCCGCGTGGCCATCTCCGCGGAGGGCACGCGCCACACACTAACCATCTCCCAGTGCTGCCTGGAGGATGTGGGCCAGGTGGCCTTTATGGCTGGCGACTGCCAGACGTCCACCCAGTTCTGCGTGTCGGGTGAGGGCCTGAGGGTGCTCCCAGGATGGCATCGCTTCCCTGCTGTCTCCCTGGTCCCAGTCCCCTGCCCTCCATTACCTCAGCTCTCTGGGCTTCAGCCTGCTGTACCGAGGGCCGCCGGGCAAGACCATAGCCCTGGCCCTCCAACGTTAGGCTCCCTGAGCCCCCGCGCAGTCTTTCAGCTGCAACCAGAGAAGTGGCTGCAGGTCTGGGGCTGGAGGTTGTGGCCAGTGGTCCAGGTCCCCAGAGCAGCCCCAAGAGAGCTGGGGATCCTGTGACACCCCTCCAGGTGATTCCAGACCCAGGGCTCAGGAAGAGGCTCCCAGTAGTTGACCTCTGCCCACCCTCTACACAGCCCCCAGGAAGCCTCCCCTGCAACCCCCTGTGGATCCTGTGGTAAAGGCCAGGATGGAGAGTTCCGTGATTCTCAGCTGGTCCCCACCACCCCATGGGGAACGCCCTGTCACTATCGACGGCTACCTGGTAGAGAAGAAGAAGCTTGGCACCTACACCTGGATCAGGTGCCACGAGGCTGAATGGGTGGCTACACCTGAGCTGACCGTGGCTGATGTGGCGGAGGAGGGGAACTTCCAGTTCCGAGTGTCCGCTCTCAACAGCTTTGGTCAGAGTCCCTACCTCGAGTTCCCGGGGACTGTCCACCTGGGTAAGTGGGACCTCCCTGTTACAACCTACGGGGCTGCTCACCTGCCCCGGAATCCCCCAGGTCCAGCTTCAGGGGAGGCCAGAGTGGCCTCATGGGGACCTTCTGTGGGGAGGGGGGCTGCCAAGGCCTTGCCCTGGTGCAGTGTCCGTGGTGGGAAGGATAGGTGACCCCACTACAGGGCCCCTGGGAGCCTGCCTGTCTCCAGCAGACCCAGGGGACGGGGCTCCAGGGCTGCCCCACTCTGGTGGGGCTTGTAGGATGCTGGAGGGGTCTCAGGGCAGCTGTACCTTGTCCTTGTTCCTTCATGAGCCTGACTCATGCTATGGTCGCTCTGTGTGTTGGCTGGGCTTCCTGGAGGAGGAACATTTAGGTCTAGGCTCTGTAGGAAGAGAAGGGGAAGGCAGAGACCTCCTCAGCACTCCCCACTCCTCCTCGGCCCCTTTCTGACGCTGCCCGCCCCACAGCCCCCAAGCTGGCCGTGAGGACACCGCTGAAGGCGGTGCAGGCGGTAGAGGGTGGCGAGGTCACTTTCTCCGTGGACCTCACGGTGGCCTCAGCGGGTGAGTGGTTCCTGGATGGGCAGGCCCTGAAGGCCAGCAGTGTGTATGAGATCCACTGTGATCGCACCCGGCACACGCTCACCATCCGGGAGGTGCCCGCCAGCCTGCACGGGGCGCAGCTGAAGTTCGTGGCCAACGGCATTGAGAGCAGCATCCGGATGGAGGTCCGGGGTAGGTGGAGGGCCCCAGCTTGGGACCCTGAGCCTCATTTCTCCAGGGTGGGCGGTGTCAGGGCTCCAGGTAGGGCTGCTACAGGTCTGAGGGCCCCAGGACACCCTGTCAGCCTGCAGGTCACTGGGATGAAGCAGGCAGGGTGGTGGGCGTGTGAGGACTCACCCAGGCTGGCTGGTGGCACTGGTCCCTGGTGTCTGGGTGAGGGCCTGGGGCTGCAGGGGTCCTGCTGGGCAGAGCCTCATGTCTGTCTCCCCACTTTCCTCCTTTCCCCCTCCTGCCTCCTCTATCTTGTTAATCTTTTCCCTTCCGTTTCTTTCCTGCTTTTTTCTGTCTCTGCCATCCCATGCCTGGCTGTTCCACCTCTGTCTCCCCTGCTTCTCTGGTGTATCTGTGACCTCTGTTCTGCCATTGTCTCCCCTGCCTGCCTCTCCCTCGCTGTCCTCCTGTGCTGTTCTCCTGGGTCCCTCCCTTTATCTTTCTCTGCCCCGTGTCTGTCTCTCCTTGTCTCCCCTTCCGTCCATTCCCCTCTGTTCACCTTTCTGTGCCCCTCCGTCCATTCCCCTCTGGCCACGCATACCTGGCCCCCAGCGGCCCCAGGGCTGACTGCCAACAAGCCGCCAGCCGCAGCTGCCCGGGAGGTGCTGGCTCGGCTGCACGAGGAGGCGCAGCTGCTGGCTGAGCTGTCAGATCAGGCTGCGGCTGTGACGTGGCTGAAGGATGGTCGCACACTGTCCCCAGGCCCCAAGTATGAGGTGCAGGCATCGGCCGGGCGGCGGGTGCTCCTTGTGCGAGATGTGGCCCGGGACGATGCAGGCCTCTACGAGTGCGTCAGCCGCGGGGGCCGCATCGCCTACCAGCTCTCCGTGCAAGGTGGGAGCAGCTGGCAGCCTCTGCGGGGTTCTCTGACTTTGTGGGGAGGGTGAGGGACAGGGCAGTGGAGGCGAGCCCAGCTTGGTAGGGGGAGGGACTCCATAACTGGGTGGTTGCTCTGGTGGGCACAAGTCCCAAGGTTAGAGTCAGTAGGCCGCACTGGCTGCTTGCCCAAGCAGGGTCCCTCTAGCCTGGTGAGCCTGGGTGTCCTGTGTGGTCCCAGAAGCCGGACCAGCTCCAGCTTGTGAGCACTGTGGCCAAGTTTGTGCTCAGGGCCTCTGCAGTGCCTGACCCAGCCTGTGTCCTGCAGGCCTCGCGCGCTTTCTGCACAAGGACATGGCGGGCAGCTGTGTGGATGCCGTGGCTGGGGGCCCGGCGCAGTTTGAGTGTGAGACCTCCGAAGCCCACGTCCACGTGCACTGGTACAAGGATGGCATGGAGCTGGGCCACTCCGGTGAGCGCTTCTTGCAGGAGGATGTGGGGACGCGGCACCGGCTGGTGGCAGCCACAGTCACCAGGCAGGATGAAGGCACCTACTCCTGCCGCGTGGGCGAGGACTCTGTGGACTTCCGGCTCCGCGTCTCTGGTGAGCACGCTGTGTGTGCATGCGTCCAGGCCCATGTGGGGTGGGGAGCAGGTCCGGCTGCCTCCAGCAGAGCAGGATTGACCTTCCTGACCCTTCTTTTCTCCAGCAAATGGTTGACAGTGTCAACTGAAAAAAAAAATCAAGGTTTTAAAAGAATTAGTTTTATTCAGAAGGCTCGAGGATTGCGGCCCAGGAGTCTTTCAGACTTTCTGTTAAGCTGCTCCAAAGCAGAGTTTCAGTCTGCAGCTCATACATAGGTGGGGAAGGCTCTGCAGCTGCTCAGAAGGTACCTTTAGAGCCAGAGCTCCTCACAGCCTGGGTGCACCTTGTTACAGATGACAGAGGCACAGTCATGAATACTGCCAGACGTTATCTCATGTGCAGGGAGAAGAAGGGGCCAGCACCATTGAACTTACCTTTCCTAAAATTGCCGTACTTCAGGCTAGAGACATGGGAACCTGCACTGTGTCCCCCAGGGCTGCACTCATTCACCGGGCCAGGATTGGTGAATTCTGCTGGCAGACCAGGATGAGCAAACACAGCTTCTTATGTTTGCTGCCTCGTCCCAGAGAACATTTGCTTCTCTGTTTGGGAAAAGAAATGACTGACTAACTTCTTCTCTGTTTGGGAAAAACAGAGTTAGACTAACTAACTAACTTCTCTGTTTGGGAAAAACTAACGTTTACGTGGGTAAAGAATCTAAATGTAGAAAATAAGAAAAGATAACATGAAGGAAATTGTGGAAAGTGGACGTGGACCTGGTTTTCTTAGGCTTTAGGATAATCTTTTCCATCTGTACATGGGCCTCTGTCTCCTGCTGTGTCTCGTCCTCGCCGCCAGGGCTCACTCACAGCTCTGCAGACGCTTTTGTGTATTGTGTGTTTGTGGGCCAGGGTTAGGGCTGGCACTTCATTTAAAATGTGTTTTTATTTTATTTTGTATTTTATTTATTTTATTATTTTATTTCTTTTGAGACAGGGTCCGCCTAGGCTGGGGTACAGTGGCACCATCTCGGCTCACTGAAGCCTCAACTTCGCAGACTCAAGCAATCCTCCCACCTCAGTCTCCCAAGTAGCTGGGACCATAGGCGCGCACTATCAAGCCCAGCTAATTTTTGTATTTTTTGTAGAGATGAGGTCCTGCTATGTTGCCCAGGCTTGTCTCAAGCAATCCTCCCAGCTCAGCCTCCCAAAGTGCTTGGGCCAGAAATGTTTCTAAAGCCCTTCTCTTCGTTTTTAGGATGAGGGGACTGAGGTTGAGCAGAGCCACAGACTGGAGTGTCTCTGACAGGTTAAGATTTGAATGTAGGGGGCTCTGAGCCCTGGCTCTTTCTGGAAGCCTCCTGGGCTCAGAGATGTTGGCTGGGAGGCTGAAGGAGGAGCACAGAGGGCTTCTCAAGGAGCATGGCTGCCGGGCCTCTGTGGGCCGGATTCCGCTCACAGACCCCACAACAGGGAAGGCCCCAAGGCCAGGCTCTGGAAAACTATCCGGCTGGCTTCCAGGGGGAAATATGTGGGCGTTTAACATATAAAAGTTTAAAAATCATGCCAGCCCAGCCCTCCTAACTTTCACAGTCCAATGGCCAATTCATCCACAATGTAGAACACACCCTGTGCCTGCTCTCTGTTGTTTGAATAATCAGGGGAGTGTCTGTGAAGCTGAACCCTCTCTCTGTCTTGGTCCACATGATGGCCCGTGTCCATAGGCGGTGGACTTCCAGGACAGGCAGAAGTTTAGGGGAGAGAGAGACAGCATGCTGGGTCTGCGAAGGACACTCAGGCCACCAGGCCCTATTGATAGCTTCTCGTAGGCACACGCCCTGCCCTCCTGGCACATGCCAGGGCCCTCACTGGGCAGGGGTTGGGCATCACAGCTGCCTGTGCATGGGAAGAGCTACGCCTGAGCACACGGACCATGGAGGAGCCCATGGCAGGACTGTTCGTGCCTGGGGTACAGAATCTGATAACCTGAACCAGGCCCTGCAAACCTCACTTGGAAGGGCCTCTGACCCCACCTCCCCCCTTATGCATCCCAGAGCCCAAGGCGGTGTTTGCCAAGGAGCAGCCGGCGTGCAGGGAGGTGCAGGCTGAGGTGGGGGCCAGCGCCACGCTGAGCTGTGAGGTGGCCCAGGACCAGATGGAGGTGACGTGGTACAAGGACGGGAAGAAGTTGAGCTCCAGCTCGAAAGTGCACGTGGAGGCTGTGGGCTGTATGCGGAGGCTGGTGGTGCAGCAGGTGGGCCAGGCAGACTCCGGAGAGTACAGCTGTGAGGCCAGGGGACAGAGGGTCTCCTTCCGCCTGGACGTTGCAGGTGGGTCCCTAGTGGCATGGTCAGCACCTGTCCAGGCGGTGGAGCATGTGCTGCACTGGTACTCAGCACCTCTGCCCCTCTCTGCGTCACCTGTTCCTGGCCTGTAAGGGATGGCTGTGCTGCCCGCAGTGGTTCTGTTAGAAAATCCAGCATTCTTGTGCACACCCACAGAGCACTGTGCTGCACTAGCCAGGATCCCTTGTGTGTTTATTCAGAAGCCTGTTTTCTGCTCCTGGTTGAGACCTTGCACAGACCTGTGGCTTTTGTCTTTGTTCTGAGGGAGCTGCAGTTGTGCCTTCTGTTTAGGGCACTGCAGTCTCAGCTGACCATGGAGTCTCCTCTCCCTTGGGGACCCTTAGTGTGTCCCCTCTGCTCCCAGACTCAGTGTGTGGGGACGGCGTTCCTTGTCTTCCCCTCCTGGCCGCGCTACTGCCTGTAGCTTCTGCCTCTAGAGTAGAAAGAACCAGGAAGGTGCCGGAAGCTCATGCTTGACTGGAGTTGCGTGAAGATGACCTTGTGTGGGCCCCGCCAGGGCTTTAGAGTGAGCCCCCCAGGTGGGTTCGTCGGCAGCCCCATCACCTGCCCCTGAGGGTCCACATGCCTGTGCCCTGCCGAGGTCATGCTTTCCTCCGGGCCACCTCGTTCTCTTCCTCTGCTTCCTAAAACACCGGACATCTTCATCTTCTTCCTGCAGAGGACGCTGGGACTTCTGGGCAGTCCTGTCGCTCCTGCAGACCCCTACTGCTGCCTCGGCTCAGCCCGATCCTGGCCGAGGAAGCCCTGTGCATCTGTCACCTGCGTGATGCGGGGAGGCCTCTGGCCGCTCCCACCTTAGTGTTTAGGCTTTTTGGTGGGAGGCAGAATGCCCCTGTGGTTGGCCACCAGCTCTGGGACAGCTTTGGCACCACTCCCCATGGGGTAAATGAACCCATCCCTGCCCATCTCAAGCTACACACGTGGCTTTGCTGAGTTTGGGGTTGGGAAGGACGGTGGTGGCTCTCAGGAGCATGTGAGCAGCTCTGGCCGCTGTGGTGCCTTGGTGCCTACAGGTGCTCCGTGTGTCCCCTGGAGGTGCTGGTCTTGGTTGTAGGGGGAGCAGCCCTCTCCTCTCGGTGCTCCATGGGTGGGGCATGGGACGCAGGGATGCAGCATGTCCCTATCCAGCGAGGTCTTTCCCAAGACCCTGCTCTGTAGCTGCCATGCTACTGTGGCTGCTACCCTGTATGCAGGGAGAGGGTCAAATCAGCAAAACTGGTTTCTTGTTTTTTGGTAATTTTTTGTTGGTTTTGCTTTTTGCTAACTTCTTTCAAGATTTGTCTCTCCTCCCGGCTTCCTATGTTGGAGTATCATATCTACATTGTCTTGGTGCCTGAGTTAAAATTTCCAGTGTAATATTTGATCGCACATATGAAGTTGTCTTTGTTATCATGAAATTAAGGAAGCTCTGGTGCCAACAGTTTTTTTATTTTGTTTTGTTTTGAGACGGAGTCTCATTGTGTCACCTAGGCTGGAGTGCAGTGGTGTGATCTTGGCTCACTGCAGCCTCAACCTTTTGGGTTCAAGTGATCCTCCCGACTTGGCCTCCTGAGTTGCCGGAACCACAGGCATGTGCCACCACACGTGGTTATTTTTTAAGAATTTTTTTGTAGAGATGGGGTCTTGCTGTGTTGCCCAGGCTGGTCTTGAACTCCTGGCCTCAAGCAGTCCGCCTGCCTCGGCCTCCCAAAATGCTGGGATTACAGGTGTGAGCCACTGCACCTGACCAACAACTTTTTTTTCTTTTTGAGGTGGAGTCTTGCTCTGTCGCCCAGGCTGGAATGCAGTGGCACAGTCTCAGCTCACTGCACCCTCCGCCTCCTGGGTTCAAGCGACTCTCCTGCCTCAGCCTCCCGAGTAGCTGGGATTACAGGCACATGCCACTACGCCCAGCTAATTTTTTTATTTTTAGTAGAGACAAGGGTTTTGCCGTGTTTGCTAGGTTGGTCTCGAACTCTTGACCTCAAATGATCTGTCCACCTCGGCCTCCCAATGTGCTGGGATTACAGGCATGAGCCACTGCGCCTGGCCCAACAATTTTTTAATAATGACATTTGAGATGTAATTGATGCACAGATTTTAAGTGTATCATTTGAGGGATTTTGGAAAATGTGGATACCATGCACCACCATGTCTGCATCAAGGTACTGAGCATCTCCATCCCTCTAGAAAATTCCCTCATGCAGTCCACCCTCCACCCTGCCCCAGGCAGCTGCTGCCCTGATTCTCTCCCCATAGGTCAGTTGTGCCTTTTCTTTCTTTCTTTTCTTTCTTTTCTTTTTTTTTGAGATGGAGTCTCACTCTGTCTTCCAGGCTGGAGTGCAGTGGCGCAATCCCAGCTCACTGCAAGCTCTACCTCTCTGGTTCATGCCATTCTTCTGCCTCAGCCTCCCGAGTAACTGGGACTACAGGCGCCCGCCACCACGCCTGGCTAATTTTTTGTATTTTTAGTAGAGACAGGGTTTCACCATGTTAGCCAGGTTGGTCTTGATCTCCTGACCTCATGATCTGCCTGCCTTGGCCTCCCAAAGTGCTAGGATTACAGGCGTGAGCCACCGCGCCTGGCACAGTTATGTCTTTTCTAGAACGTCATTGAAATGTTCAGAAACCTACCCTCTACAAAATGACTTGAAATGGGACATCAAATGTATAAAGAACTTTGAAAAAAGGGATTGCCCAGGGACCAAAAAATAAGAGGGAACTGTAGGATGGGTGCAGTGGCTCACTTGTAGTCCCAACATTTTGGTGGGCCAAGAAGGGAGGATCACTTGAGCCAGAAATTTCAAGACTAGCCTGGGCAACATAGTGAGACCCCGCCTTTACAAAACATGAAAAAGTAGAATAATAATAATAATAAAACACAAAAGAATGACTGGGTGAAGTTGGGGTCTGCGTGTGCCTTGCAGTACCATAGAGCAGTCAAAACGAGCAGGAGCACAGGGCTCTGCATTGCAGCTGAAGAAGGGCGATTGACGCATGCAGCATTGTGCTGGAAAAGCAGGTTACAAAGCACAGAATGACGTTATGTGTTTAGTGGTTAACAACACGCAGTGGCAGCAACACATGGCAGCTGTGGTTTGTCTCCTGCCTGGAATCTCCGGAGATGCTCTTCTTAGCGTGCCACACACCTCACCTGTGTGAATCCTTGGTCATTCTATTTCAGACAGCAGGAAGTCGACGCACAGAGGTGAAGTCACTTTGTCCAAGGTCACACAGTGGGTAAACGGTTGAGCAGAGCAGCCTGACTTGCACATTCACCCTCAATAAACACACGTACTGAGATAATAAAAGGAGATTCCAAAACCAGGATTCAGGCTGGGGTTACCTCTGAGGGGCTGGGAACTAGTGGTGATGGCGTTCTTCTTTCTTTAGCAGGTGGGGAGTGTGTGGGTGTTCATTGTATTGGTTTTTTCTTTATTTTCTGCGTATTCTTTCTTACCCACTGATCAATAGCATGTACATATTGTTTAGAAATAGGAAGGCAGAACCCAGGGGAAAAATGAAGGGACTTTAAACTGGAGTTTCTGCAGAGCCAAGTAGGGTGTGGGGACAGGTGGAGGGGTAGGGCATGGTGTGTTTTGGTGTGTTTTAGCTTATTTTTTATTGTGGTATTCTAGTTTTTAATACTATTTTGTCTGCATGTGTATTTGTAGCTAGTTAATGGGCACAGATAGCACCTAAAGAGAAAACTGTTCTGATTTCATTTATTCAGAGTTCGAAGACAGGTTCTACGGTTAGGAATGAGAATGGTGGTCGCTTTTGTGGGGGAGGCAGCTGGGAGCTGTGTGGGTGTGGGGTGTGGGTTACACAGGTGCAGATAGCTGTCAGAACTCATAGAATTGTGCACCAGATCTGTGCATATCACTGTGCATACATGTTTGTGCATATCACTGTGCGTACATGTTATCCTAGTTAAGAGGTAGCATAAGAGATTTTTGTTTTTAGAGACAGGAATTTGTTCTGTTGCCCAGGCTGGAGTGCAGTGGTGCAGTCATGGCTTACTGCAACTTTGACCTCTCAGGCTCAAGCAATCCTCCCGCCTCAGCCTCCTGAGGAGCTGGGTACTCGCATACCACCATGCTTAGCAAATTTTTTAATTTTTTGTAGAGACAGGGTCTCACAATGTTGTCTTGGCTGGTCTTGAACTCCTGGGCTCAAGCAATCCACCTAGCTTGCCCTCCCAAAGTGCCAGGATTACAGGCGTGAGCCACTGTGCCCGGCCTCATAAGCAATTTTTCGATGTATGAGTTTCCTCTTTGTGTTGAGGGAAACCCCAGACAGGTATAGGGCAACTCTGGCTTTAGTGCAAACCAGGGGAGAAGTGGCCGGGGGATGGTCTGTTTGGGTCATGGTTTTGTGGGAGAGAGGTTCCCACATCTCCTGTGATTTTCAGCGTGAACCCAAGAGGGTGTTTGTGTTTGCTATTTCTCCAGGCTTTCTGGGTTCTCAGGCAGAGTTTTCGTAAGTGCTGAGGGCGTGATGTGGGCATTTCACACAGTATCAGCAGCTTTTCCTTTCAAAGGGGCACTCTGCCAGGGTGGTGCTTTTCTCTAAGGTGTTGTGGAATGTTTGGACTCCAGAGTATCTGCTGCATGTTGCTGATGGGCCTTGGGAAGTTCTTCCCCATGCTGATGCTTGAAGCTTCCAATATGCATTCTCTTTTGCTCAAACCCATGTCCGGCTGGCGGTTGGTGAGGCCACTGTTCATGGGCCACAGACAGCCCGTCATCAGTGGGCTCCAGCCTGAGCAGCCTCTGCATCTGAAACTTTAGTTTCTGTGCTCTGGAGTCTCTGACTGTGCATCCTTCCCTGTCCATCCCCAGAGCCCAAGGTGGTGTTTGCTAAGGAGCAGCTGGCACGCAGGAAGCTGCAGGCAGAGGCAGGAGCCAGTGCCACACTGAGCTGCGAGGTGGCCCAGGCCCAGACGGAGGTGACGTGGTACAAGGATGGGAAGAAGCTGAGCTCCAGCTCGAAAGTGTGCATGGAGGCCACAGGCTGCACGCGCAGGCTGGTTGTGCAGCAGGCAGGCCAGGCGGATGCCGGGGAGTATAGCTGCGAGGCTGGGGGCCAGCGGCTCTCCTTCCATCTGGATGTCAAAGGTCAGTTGATAGAGCAGACATTTGAGCATCTCATGGGAGCAGGTCTGGGGGCAGTGTTTCAGCGTAGGCTGGGACAGTGCTTGGCGGCCTCCTGAGGGCCTGTTTCAGTTAATTATCTGCTGCTGTGTAACAGATCACTCCAAACTTAGAGGCCTGAAAGAATGATCAGTTTACCTGTCACCATTCTGCAGGTTGAGAATTTGGTCAGGGCTCAGCAGGGGTGGCTCATCTGTATTTCATGTGGTGTTGGCTGGGGCTGGGGGATCTGACTGGCCTCATTGGTGCACCTGACTGAGGTCCAAGCTGGGATGGCTCCAGTGGATGGGGGATGGCCAGGACAATGGACCTGTCTCTTCTTGTGCTGTCAGCTGGCTTCATTTCCATGCCTGCAACCTCATTCCTCCATGGTTGCTCTCTTTTTGGACTTCTTTCCATGGTGACTGGATTCTTTTCCTAGGGAATGGTAGAAACTATGAGGCTTGTTAAGCTGGGTTCTCAGGACTCCCAGAGTGTTACTTTCCCCCATGTCCTGTTGCTCAAAGCTAAGCATAAGGCCAGCTTAGTCTGCAGGAACTAGGGTGTAGAGAAGTAGACCCTACTGTCAGTGGGGGAGTGGCATGTCCTGTTGTAGAACATTGTGCACCCAGGGTGTCTTGACTCATCACAACCTTTTTAACAGTCTATCATAAGGACATGGGATCTGTTTAATTCTCTGCCATCCTGAACATGTTACCTTTTTCTTTCAAATGCTTGCCTCATGGTCACAAGGTGGCTTCCATAGCTCCAGCCATCATGTTCAAGATGGGAAGATGTGGAAAGGGTGTGTATTAGTTTTTTTGTTTTCTGCTTATTTTTTTAACTGCTTTGTAACAAATTATCACCAACTTAGTGGCTTGAAACAATGCTCACTGAGTAGCTCACAGTTCTGTAAGTCAGAAGTGCAGGCGTGGCGTGCCTGGGTTCTCTGTTCAGGGTCTCAGAAGCTGAAGTCAGGTGCCTGCTGATTAGTTCTCTTGGTTCCTATTTCCAGCTTACCCAATTTGTTGGCAGAATTCAGTTCCTTGCAATTGTGGGTCTGTGAGCCCATGGGTCCAAGGCCCTATTTCTTGGCTGGCTGTCAGCCAGGGAGCTGCTGTCAGATCCTAGAGGCCACCTCATTCTTTGCCATGTGGCCTTCATCGTCAGGCCAGTAATGGGTAATCTCCCTTGTGTCAAGTCACTCTCAGACTTCAAATCTCTTTTGCCAGGGAAGAGACCCCTCCCATTTATGGCCTCACCTGATTAGGTCCAGCCCACTCAAGGTCATCATCCTTTCGAGGAACTTAAAGTCAACTGATATGAGACCTCATTCCATCTGCAGGCTTCCTTCACAGCAGCACCTAGATTTAGTGTTTGGGCATTCTTAGAATTCTGCCTCCCTCATTATGGATGTTTCTGGCTGTCTCTTCTGTTTGGAAAACAAAAACTTTTCTTGAAGTTGGGAGTACACCAACCCCCATGCCTCCCTGACTTGGTGGGGGTCTTGCAAGACCTTGCTCAGCTCCAGGTAGCCTGGAGAATGTGCCTATGGCCTTATAGCCTTGGCAGGGGGACGTAGAGGAGGAGGAGGTGGACCTGGGATGGGAGAAGCTGGCCTGGGACTGGCCCCACAGCCCATACCCCACAGCCTGGGTTTCCACCCCTTTCTGAGGCAGGCTGGCGGTAGGATCGGTGCATGTGTGGGGTCATACTGCCACGTGTGTCTCATTCCTGTCTGTCTGCTGAGTGACCTTGGGTGAGTTGTTGATGTTGTATCATCCCCAAATTCACATCCACCTAGAACCTCAGAATGGGGCCTCATTTGGAAACAGGGTCTTTGCAGATGTAATTAAGTAAAGCACCTTGTGATGAGGTCATGGACTAGGGTGGGCCCTGAATCCAGTGACACTGTCCTTAGGCAGACCGGGAGACACACACAGAGGAGGCAACCATGGGAGATGGAGGCTGACTCTGGAGTGATGCGGCCACAAGCCCAGAGACTCCGGGAGCCCCCAGGAGCTGGGAGAGGCAGGGTGGGTCCTCCCCTAGAGCCTCCTGAGGGAGCACAGCCCTGCTACACCTTGATCTCAGATTTCTGGCCTCCAGAACTGTAAGAGGATGATTTTCTGTCATTCTGAGCCACTTAGCTTATGGTGAGCTCTTACGGCAGCCCCCAGAAACTCAGACAGTTGGCCTCTCTGTGCCTCAGTTTCCTCATCTGTAACATGGGATTCATGATTGTGGCATCTGGGGACTGTGCTTGTGTAGGGCACTGTGAATTATAGCTGCTGGGATTGGGTTTTGGGGGATAAATAGGTCAAGGAAGGAGGGCAGGGCCAGCTTGGTGGTGTAGACACTGGCTAGCCTTCACCCCAGAGGGCCGTGGTGCAGGGTGGGAGGGGACAGAGGTGTGCCAGGCTGCAGGAGCTCAGAGGCACTAGCTGCCAGCAGAGTGGGCACCAGGGTGTCTGGAAAGGTGTCAGTGGCAGTGGCTCATCCAGCCTGTTTCCCTGTCTGTAAAATGCGGATCCCAAAGTGCACCCAGCTCTTAGGGCAGGAGAGGGGATTAACATGAGATGGTGCTTGGCAGGGGTGCACTAATTGCTTTATCCCATCTTCCTGCTGCTGTTTTTATCCCTAGGGTGACACACGACTCAGACACTAGGGGGCCCAGGCTTGCACATCTGCGGGCTCTGTCACATTTGTGCTCCAGGGAGAGAAGCAGACAATGTCTGCAGCGTGGGCCAGGGGTCCTGTGTGGCCACACAGAGGAATGCTGACGTTCAGCAAGTGCCTGGGTCCATGAGGGCTGCTAGAGCAGAACACCATAGCCTGGGTGGCTCAGGAACCACGGAAGTGTGAAGTGTGCTGCTTGCAGCTCTGGAGGTCAGAAGTCCAAGAGCAAGGTGCCAGCAGATTCCGTGTCTGGTGAGGCCGCTTCCTGTTTCATAGACGGTGCCTTCTAACTGAGTCTTCACAGTGGAAGGGGTGAGGGAGCTTTTGAGGTCTCTTTTATAAGGGCATTGATCTCATTCATGACCCAAGTGATTCCTAAAGGCTCCTCCTCCTAACACCATGACCTTGGGGATAAGGATTTCAACGTGGGAATTTTGGGGGCCACAGACATTCCAACCATAGCAGTGAGAATGTGGGAGCTAGGTTTTGTGATGCTCTCAGGGTTTTACCCCAAAGGCAGGACTGGCAGGCTAGCGTGTTCTCTGTGTAAGTGCTTTTGTTAAATTGACTTCTTAACATATTGTATCACGCCTATCTGCTGTTCGTGGAATGTTGTGTCCCCTCCACAGTTTATGTTGAAACTTAGTCCCCTGAGCAACAGTATTAAGAGGGGGCCTTTGGGAGGTGATTAGGCGTCGAAGGCTCCACCCTCGCGAATGGATGAGTACCCCTAGATTATAAAAGGGCAAGTTCACCACTTCCATCCTGTCTCGCATGTGAGACACAGCAATAATGTGCTGTCTTGGAAGCAGAGAGCAGCCCTCACCAGGCAGCTGAACCTGCTGGCACCTTTTCATTTGTTTGGTTTTTGAGACAGGGTCCTGCTCTGTCACCCAGACTGGAGTGCAGTGGTGTGACCATGACTCACTGCAGCCTCGACCGCCTGGGCTCAAGCAGTCCTCCCGCCTCAGCCTCCTGAGTAGCTGGAACTACAGGCACGTGCCACCATACCTGGCTAATTTTCTCAATTTTTTGTTTGTAGAGATGGGGTCTTGCTATGTTGCCCAGGCTGATCTCAAACTTCTGGGCTCAAGCAATCCTCCCACCTCAGCTTCCCAAAGTGCTGAGATTACAGGAATGAACCACTGTACCGGACCTGACTGATTTTTTAGAGTACGTAATTCAAGTAACATAAAATTCACCCTTTTACAGTGTACGATTTGGTGGTTTTTAGGTTGCGTAACCACACCACAGTCTAATTCCAGAACATTTTCATCAACCCTAAAAGAAACTCTATGCCCCTTCATAGTCACTCCCCATTCCCCTTCTCCTCAGCACTTAGCAACCACTAATGTGCTTTTTGTCTCCCTGGATTTGCCTGTTCCGGACATTTCATTTAAACAGAATCATATAATATGTGGCCTTTTATGTCTGTCTTTTTTTTACTGGGCATGATGTTTTCAAGGCTCATGATGTTGTAACATGTATCAGTACTTCCTTTTCATAGCTGAGTCACATTCCATTGTATGAACAGATCACATTTTGTTTATCTATGCATCAGTGGACAGGCATTTGAACTGTTGCCACTCTGGCAACTATACATAATGCTGCTATAAACGTTTGTATGCAGGCTTTGTGTGAATGTATGTTGTCAGTTCTCTTGAGTAGATACCTAAAGAGTAGGGTTGCCAGGTCATACGATAATATTATTTACCTTAGTGAGGAACTGTCAGACTGTTTTCTAGAGTGGCTGCACCATTTTACATTCTTCAATCAGCAATGTATGAAGGTTCCAGTTTCTCTACATCCTCACCAACTCTTCTTGTTTTTATTTATTTATATTTTATTTATTCTTTTTTTAGAGACAGGGTCTCACTCTATTGCCCAGGCTGGAATGCAACGGTGTGATCATGGTTCACTGTAGCATTGAACTCCTGGGATCAAGCAATCCTCCCATCTCAGCCTCCTGAGGAGCTGGGACTACAGGTGTGCACCACCACACCCAGCTAATTTTTGTATTTTTAGTAGAGATGGGGTTTCACCATGCTGGTCTTGAACTCCTCACCTCAAGTGATCCATCCACCTCAGCCTCCCAAAGTGCTGGGATTATAGGCGTGAGCTACCATGTCTAGCCATGATGCTAGACCTTTTTTTTAGATAAATGATTTGCAAATATTTTCTTTCTTTTTTTTTGATTATGTCTTTTGCTGCATGAAGGTTTTAATTTTGATAAAGTTTAGGCTGGACATAGTGATGTGTGCCTGTAATCCCACCTACTTGGGAGGCTGAGGTGGGAGGATTGCTTGAGCCCAGGAGACTGAAGCTGCAGTGAGCTGTGATTGCACCACTTTACTCCAGCCTGGGCAACAGAGTGAGACCCTGTCTAAAAAAAAATTTTTTTTTAAATAAAGCTTAATTTATCCTCTTTTGTTGCTTGTGTGTTAGGTGTCATTTCTAAGAAATCATTGCCCAATCCAAGGTCACGAGATATACACCTCTGTTTTCTTCTAAGATTTTAGTAATTTTAGCTGTTACATTTAGGGCTTTGATCCATTTTAAGTTAATTTTTGAATATGATGTGAAATAGTGGTCCAACTTCATCATTTGCATGTGGAAATGCAGCTGTCCTAGCATCATTTGTTGAAGACATTTTTCTCCATTGAATTTTCTTGGCACCCTTGACCATAAATGTAAAGGGTTTATTTCTGGATTCTCAATTCTGTTCCATTGATTTCTAAGTTTATCCTTATGTTAATACCACAGTCTTAATTACCATATCTTTGTAGTAAGTTTTGAAATTAGAAAGTGTGAGTTTTCCAACTTTGTGTGTTTTCAAGATTGTTTTGGCTATTCAAGGTCTACTGCATTTCCATATGAATTTTAGAATCAGCTTTTCAAATTTTGGAAAAAAGGTAGGTGGGATTTTGATAGGGTTTGCATTGAATGTGTAGATCGATTTGGAGAGTATTGCTGTTTCTTCTAATCCATGAGTATGGGATACATTTCTATTTATCTGGGTCTTTTAAGATTTCTTTCAATGGTGTTTTCTAATTGTCAACATATAAAGTTTGCAGTTCCTTTGTAAATTTATTGCTAAGTAGTTAATACTTTGGATGCTACTGTCCATGGAACTGTTTTCATAATTTCAGTTTTGGAGTGCCATTGCTAAGGTACAGAAAGAGAATTGACTTTTGTATATTGGTCTTTTATCCTGCAACCTTGTTGAACTTGTTGATTAGCTCTAATATTTCTTTTGTGGATTCCTGAGGATTTTCTGTACACAAGATCGTGCTATCTCTGAATAGAGACAGTTTTACTTCCCAATGACGTTTCTTCCTTTTAAAGTGTAGGCATTTACGGCTGTGCATGTCCCCTGAGCAGTGCTTTCACTGCATCCCATAGTTTGGTATGTTGTGTTTTCATTTCCATTCATCTTAAAGTATTTTCTAATTTTTCTTTTAATTTCTTTTTTAAAAGTGTGTTGCTTTATTTCCACATATTTGTGTATTTTCCAGTTTTCTTTCTGTTTTCTAGCTTTATTCCATTATGGTCAGAGAAGATACTTTGCCTGAATTCAACTTTTAAAAATGTATTGACACTTATTTTGTGGCCTAATAGATGGCCTATCCTGGACAGTGTTCCATACACACTTGAGGAAAATGTGTATTCTTCTCCTGTTGATTGGAATATTCTATACAGTCTCATGTTGACTGGAATATTCTATAGAGTGTTCTCCCTGTGGGGGATAGGTTCCAGGACTCCTGTAGATACCAAAATCCATGGATCATCAAGTTCTTTATATAGAATGATGTAGTATTTGCATATAACCTACACATATCCTTCCTTATATTTTAAATCATCTCTAGATTACTCATAGTACCTAATACAATGTAAATGCTATATAAATGCTTGTTATACTGTATTTCTAAAAATTTATATTACTTTTATTGTTGTGTCATCATTTTTTTTCCAGAATATTTTTGATCCTCGGTTGGCTGAATCTGCACACGTGTAACCTGTGAATTTGGAGGGCTGACTGTATAAATCAGTTAGGTCTAGTTGATTTATAGCATTGTTCAAGTCCTCTTGGTTTTAACAGATCTTTTTTCTAGTCATTCTATTATTGAAAGTGGGGTATTGAAGTCTCTAATATTGTAGACATTTTTTCTTTCTTTAATTCTGTTGATTTTTGCTTCTCATATATTGCCCTCTGCTTTAGGTTAGTATATGTTTATAACTGTGATATCTTACTGAGAGATTGGCCCTTTCACAGTGTGTAGTGTTGTTTGTTTCCTCTGGCGGTTTGGTTTCAGGTCTGCCTTGCCTGGTGTTTGGGAGCCATTCCTGCTCTTTTGGCTGCTATGGTTTATGAAGCATCTTCGAGCCTTCCACCTGTTTGCGTCTTTGGCTCTAAAGTGTATGTCTTATAGATAGGTGAATAATGACTTTTTAATTAAGAATTAGTTTTATAATTGAGCTGAAATTCATATAACATACAGTTAACCATTTTGAAGTGTATACTTCAGTGGCATTTAATGCATTCTCAATGTTGTGCAACCACCACCTCTGTCTAATTTCAAAATTTTTCATCAGAAATTTTTCGCCAGAACACCCCATAGTCATTGGGTTATTACTTTACATTCTTCCTTCCCCCCACCATCTGGCCACCCTGCGTTTTGCTCGTTGTCTCTACAGATTCGTTTGTTCTGGATACTTCATGTAATAGAAATCATGCAATATGTGTCGCTTGTATCTGGTTCTTTTACTTTGTGTAAACTTTTCAAGATTCCTCCAAGTTGTGCGTAACATGTTCCAGTGCTTCATTACTTTTTATGGCTGAATAATGTTCCATTGGATGTGTATATCACAGCATATCACAGATGCTGTTAATTTTTGTTGCTGTTTCTGTTGCTTTTGTTTGTGTATGTTTAGTGACTTTTCTGAACCAATTCTGTAAAGTCTATGTTCCTTATCATGGGTGGCCACTGAAGCCTCTGCTCAGTGAGCTTATTGGCCAGCTGATGATTAGAACAGTGATTTTAATAGATGTCTCCAACAATAAGTCTGCCTGTCTTTGGGGCCTGTGTGTGGAAATTGGCCCATGCATTCAACACAGCTAGGCAGACGACAGCTCTACCTGTGCCTTTACTTCTGGCCTCACAGAACCTCAAGGCTAGCCAGCTGTGTGAGTGTTAGGCCTTCTCAGGCATTACCTGAGTGTGCACACAGCCTGTGCATATGTGTGACCCTCTCTGTGCCCAGGAGTGTGTTGTTGGAGCTTTCCAAAGCCTCCTGTGGATGTCTTGTTCTCCAGCATTTCCTTTTAGGCTAGAGACTTTTGGTTAGACTATTGTTCATTGCAACCGTTCTCCACTGCTTCAAGCAGCCATTGTGTTTGTAATTACCTCTGATATTTTTTCAAAAAATGCTTCTTGAGAAAATGCTTTTGCACTGGGTGAACTACTCAGGCCAAACAAATTCAGCCCTGGTGAGCGAGTTTTCCAGGGAGCTACCAAACAGGTGAAATAATGACAGTGCTCTAGGAATGGCCCTCTCTGCGGGTTGCCAGGGTGCTGGTCTTCATCCTGATTGTGGACTGTTGGTTTTCACAGTTATCTCAGAGCTAGAGTCTGGTAGGTTTAAGAATTGGGTGGGTTAAAACACCACACATCTAGCTATTCTTACTGAGATGCAGTTGTTTTTCATGGGTGAATGCTCCCCAGATTGCTGCAAGTCTTTGATTAATTTTCAGACTTCTGAAAAGTTGATTTCAACATTTTTTTTGGCCAGTGCTTTTCTTTCTTTTGTGGAGGAGAGGTTTTTCAGAAGTTATTATTTTGTCATTTTTGCTGACATCTCTGCCAGGGGTTTTTGAATATTGAACCAGCCTTGCATTCTTTGGATGTGTTTGGGTTTGTGGTGTGTTATTCTTCTTACATACTGGATTCAGTCGGCTGATATGTTGCTGAGTATTTTTATTTTTATGTTAATGGAGAATTTTAGTTTGTGGTTTTCATATACTGTCTTTGTCTGGTTTTGATATCAGGGTAATGCTGTCCTCAAAAAAATGGGATGGAAAGCATTTCCCTTCTCTTCTGTTTTCAAGAAGATATTGTGTAGAATTGATGTTATTTCTGTTACTTTTAAAACATCTTTTTAAGTTATTTCATTGACGAAGCAAGTAATGCCATCTTGGCCTAGAGATTTCTTTTTGTGGAATATTTAAATCACCAAGACAATTTATTTAATAGATGTGGGACTGTACAAGTTGTCTATTTTATCTTGGGTGAGTATTGGTAATTTGTGGTTTCTGGGGAATTGGTCCATTTATTCAAATGGATTTAATTTATGTGCATGGAGTTGTTTGTAGTGTTTCCTTATTACCATAGTGTCTGTAGGGTCTGCAGGGATAGCCTTGTTTCATTACTGATATTGTTAGTTTGTCTTTTCTCTCTCTTTTTTTCTTTGTCTTGTTAGAGGTTTGTCAGTTTTATTGATCTTTTCAAGGAACCAGTTTTAGGTTTCATTGATTTTCTCTATTTTCATCAATGTTATTGATTTCTGCTTTTTTCTTTATTTCCATCCTTCATCTTGCTCTGGGTTTATTTTGCTCTTCCTTACCTAATTTCTTAAGGTAGACTATTAGTTTCCTGATTGAAATACTTCTTGCTAATATAAATATTTCATACAGCAATTTTTTCTCTAAGCACTGCTTTAGCTTTATCACACACATTCTGATGTGGTATTTTCTTTTTTTTTTTTTTTTTGGAGACGAAGTCTCACTCTTATCCCCCAGGCTGGAGTGCGATGGCATGATCTCAGCTCACTGCAACCTCCGCCTCCCAGATTCAAGCGATTCTCCTGCCTCAGCCTCCCATGTAGCTGGGATTACAGGCATGCACCACCATATCTGGCTAATTTTTGTGTTTTTAGTAGAGACGGGGTTTCACCATGTTGGCCAGGCTGGTCTTGAACTCCTGACCTCAGGTGATCCGCCCGCCTCAGCCTCCCAAAGTGCTAGGATTACAGGCATGAGCCACCACACCTGGCCCTGATGTGGTATTTTCATTGTTGTCCAGTTGAAGATAATTTCTAATTTCCCTTGATACTGCCTCTTAAATGTGTAGATTATTCAGAAGTGGGTTTAATTTCCATGTGTTCAGAGATTTTACTGTTACCTTTCTGTTACTGATTTGTAGTCTAATTCCATTTTGGTCAGAGAACATAACTTTGAAACATTTCAATTCTCTTAAATTTGTTTCCTGAACCAGAATATGTCCTAGGTGGGCGAACATTCTATGTGTTCTGGAAAGGAGTGTTTTCTGCTGTTGTTGGGTGGATCCTACCAGTGTCACTTAGGTCATGATGGCTCATGGTTCAGTTCATCTGTATCCTTGATGCTTTTCTGTCTGCCAGTTTTATCAGTTATTGAGAGAAGAGTGTTGAAATCCTCAGCTATGATTGTGGATTTGTCTGTTTTTACTTTCAGTGCTATCGATTTTTGCAGCATGTATTTTGAAGTTACATTGTGAAGATCATTTTGTCTTCTTTGCAAACTGACATCTTTATCCTTATGTAATGTCCCTCTTTCTCCCTGGTAATTTTCTTTGTTCTGAAATTTTCGTTGTTTGATATTAATATGAACAAACAATCCAGACTTGTATTATTAGTGTTTGTATTACATGTATTTTGCCATTCTTGTACTTTGAACCTGCCCATATAATTATATTGGAGGTGAGTTTCTTGTAGATAACATGTAGTTGGCTCACTACTTTCCAACTGATAATCTCTGTCCTACTATGGATGTATTTATTCTATTTTCATTTATGTTGTGATTAATATATTTGGATCCAGGTTGACTATTTTATTACATTTTTCTGTTTTTTCCCCTTTTTTTCGGTTCTTCTGTTTCAACTTTTCTGCCCATTTTGGGTTATTTAGATTTTTTTTTTTAGTATTTCTTTTTAATGTATCTATTGTGATTTTTTTTGGTCACCTATGGATTGCACTTAACATACTTAACTCTTCATCATCTACTTAAGATCAGTATTTTATCACCTCCACTGGAATAGAGAACTCCTACCATCACATAGGTCTCTTTTACTCCCTGACCTTTAAATTATTATGGTAGTTATCTTACGTATTATCTCTACATTCACTGAAAACCTCATCAGATAATATAATTTTTGTTTTTTAACTATGAAATTTATTTTAAAGAACTCAAGAGGAGGAATATAATCTGTTTTATTTGCCTAGATGTTCAGCATTTCTGTTACTCTTGCCTCATTCCTGCTGTTGCAAGTTTCCCTGAGATATCATTTCCCTTCTGTCTGAAGGACATCCTTTAGCAATTCTTTTAGAGCAGCTCTGCCATCAGTGCATCTTCTTAGTTTTCCTTTATTCAGAATGTGTCTATTTCACCTGCATTCCTGAAAGATATTTTTGGAAAATTGAGAATTCTGGGTTGATGGTTCTTTTCTTTTAGCACTTGAAAAAATGTTCCACTTATTCTGGCCTTCATGATTAAAAAAATATTTAATTGACAAATAAAGATTGAATATATTTAAGCTGTACAACATCATGATTTTACACACACACACACACACACACACACACACACACACACAGGGTGAGAAATTAACAGTCATTCAAACTGTTCCCCTACAAATAATGTGTTGGTCTTCTCTGCTTGCTTTCAAAATTTTTTTCTTTGTCTTTAATTTTTAACTCTTTTAAAATGATACATGTGGGTGTGGATTTTTTGGGGTTTATTCTGTTTGGGGCTTGCCAAATTCATCTAATCTGGTTTATGTCTTCTTCCAAATTTGGGAGATTTTTAGTCATTATTTCTTCAGATTATTGTTTCTGAACTATATTTTATCTTCTGCTTCTAGGGATAATGACTTCAATGTTAGATCTTTCAGAATCATCTTACAGGTCCCTGAGGCTCTGTTTTTTTGTTTTGTTTTAAATCCCTTTCTCTCTGTTGTTTGGATTGGATAATTTCTATTGATCTGTCTTCAATTTCACTAACTTTCTTCTGTTATTGATATTCAACTATTGAGCCTATACAGTGAATTATTTCAATTACTATCTTTTCTTCTTATAAACTTTCCACTCAGTTTTTCTTTATATCTTCTCTTTCTTTGCTGAGACTTTTTAATGTTCCCATTCCTTTCAAGGGTATTTGCTTTTACTTGTTGAAGCATTTTTGTATTAACTGCTTGAAAATCGTCAGATAATTCCAGCATTGGTGTCATCTTGACGGTGGTATCTGTTGGTAGTCTTTTCATGTGCATGCTACTTGATTCTTCCTATGCCCCGTAATTTCAGATGGTGTCCTGGGTATTTTGAAGACTATGTTACATGACTTCAGGTCTTCTTTACATACTAGGGGAATGTTGATTTTTTTTTTCAAGCTGGAAATCAGCCTAGTTGACTTCTGTGGGTTGATGTCTTCAAAGCCTGTGTGGTTTGATCTGTCCTGCCCGTGCACCTCCTGTGGTCGTGTGTATGTGGGCAGTGCTTTGTCCCCGAGTACAGTGATGTGTGCCTCTAGGGGGAGCCCTGGAGTTCTTGAACAACTTTGTGTTCTATTTTTCGAGCATCTCCCTTTCCAGGATCCTCTCCAGGACTTTCTGCTTTCCTGGAGCTTGCCTTTCAGTTCTACAGACAAAAAACTGGAGCTTTGTGTTTGCTGCCCTGATCCTGCTTCTTATGGTTGCAACTGTATGTGCCAGAGCTGAGCGCCAGGAGGACAGAGAAAAAAAAAATCAACAGTGCTTACCCTTGAGATCAGAGCCCCTTCCATTGAAGAGGAGTGTTTCCCTTTTTTTTTTTTTTTTTTTTTGAGATGGAGTCTCGCTCTGTCACCCAGGCTGTAGTGCAGTGGCACAATCTTGGCTCACTGCAACCTCCACCTCCTGGGTTCAAGTGATTCTCCTGCCTCAGCCTCCCAAGTATCTGGGACTACAGGCACCTGCTACCACACCCGACTAATTTGTATTTTTTGCTTTTTGATTTTTTTTTTTTTAATTGAGACAGGGTCTCACTCTGTTGCCCAGGCTGGAGTGCAGTGGTGCGATCTTGGCTCACTGCAACCTCTGCCTCCCAGGTTCAAGTGATTCTCCTGTCTCAGCCTCCCGAGTAGCTGGGATTACAGGCATGTGCCACCATGCCTGGCTAATTTTTGTGTTTTTAGTAGAGACGGGATTTTGCCATGTTAGCCAGGCTGATCAGGTGATCCATCCGCCTCAGCCTCCCAAAGTGCTAGGATTACAGGCGTGAGCCACTGTGCCTGGCCACATATGGCTAATTTTTGTATTTTTAGTAGAGGCGGGGTTTCACCATGTGGCTAGGCTGGTCTTGAACTAACCTCAAATGATCCACCCACTTCAACCTCCCAAAGTGCTGGGATTACTGGCATGAGCCATTGTGCCTGGACAGAGTGTTTCCTTTATCAGGAGTTTAGTTGTTCACACCTGCATGGTCTGGGGTGTGAGAAAGAAGAAGAAACAGGGGTGTCTTCTGTCCTCTCTGAGCACTTGTGCTTCCCTCTTCCATACCTTGAGGGAGGCTACAGGATTCACTGGGAGCCCGCTCTGCACAAATGCCCGCCTCTGGGTTTTGGGTGCACAGGTCATGGGATGAAGGGTGCTGGGACTTTGAATGCTGTTCCTCTGCCGCCCCCATCCACCTGCTGCTCTCCTTTCTGAGTGTTCAGATAGCAGCTCCTTGGTCTCACAGGTGAGATGTGGGGTGTGCACCTCCAAGAGTGGAGCCACCAGTAGGTGCTTTTGAAAACTGCAAGTTTTATTATAAATATGCAAATGAACCCAGACCTTGGCATTTCTTGCGTGAGACAAGTCTAAGCATCCTTGCGAGGGTATTTGTATCTCATTCAGGCGAATGTCGCAGGTAAACCACCAGGTAGGTAGCTGGGGACCTGATTCAGTGGCTTAGCTGCACTGAGGGGCCACCGAGACTGCTGCATGCCTCCTCCCTAGTGCAGCTGCAGGCAGGCAGTCACCTGTGCACTCACACACACATGCATGCATACAGTGCACTTACACACACATACTCTCACACACGCCTACACATACATGTGCACACACATGCTCACAATGCACTCATATGCACACACACATTCTAACATGCACACCTACACACACATGCACTCACACGTATGAATGTACACACATGCACACGTGCACTCACATGCACCTACACACACTTGCACAACATACACATGCACTCACACATACACCACCCACACATGAACACACACACATATAAACTCACACACACACACTTGCACATACATGCATACATATCCCAACAACACATTTACATATGCATAAATACATTTAAATACACACAAACAACACACAAGACATATATACACACACATACATAGACACACACAAACCTAAACATAATACACACACAATACCTACATATGCACTCACCTACATATATACACGCACAGACACCTCACTCCCACATACACCTATATACACATATACCCCCATACACACTTATACCATATACATACATTCAAACACATGTACACTTGCACACATACATATACACATTTAAACACATATACACAAACGTACACACATGTGCATACACATGCTTCATCTCATACACACAAATACATGCATGATACACATACACATGAAAACACACTTAAACATACACACTTGCTCATACATATTACATACACATATTAAAACACATTCCCATTCTCAAACACATCCACATGCAGTGTGATTGTGAGTGATTTTGTGAAGTGCATATCAAAGAGACACAGTTTCCCTGAAAGTACTTTGTGAGTCCTTCTCTAAAGCAAACATAACAAATGTCAAAGAGCTTGGGGAAGCCCTCCCTTGGTGATCAGGCAGATTCGAGGGCCATGGAATGAGCAGCAGATGTAGCTGCCCAGCTGGTTGAGTATGCTGCGGCTGTGTGACTGGATTTGCATCTGTGCTCATGCTTAGAGGTGCTCATGCGGGATGCTGGTCTGCCACATGCCCAGTGCTAGCACCGCTGCTGAAGACACGTTGCTGACAGGCTGCTGTGTGGGTCCTTGCAAGATCCTCGCAGTGCCTGAATCCATACCCGGGTCCCTGAGAACATCTGGCTGCAGAGGTTCGGCTCTGGGACTCCTCAGCATGCTCAGTGAGGCGGTAACACTTAGTCAACTTGGTTTAAAAACACAGCAGCTCTTTTAGTGATCGTTTTGAAGACAGGTGTGGACTTGGAGGTGCATTTGAAAGCTGGTGTCCACTCACTTGGGCTGTCCTGTACACCTCCGGAGTGGACTTTGGTCCTTAATTCCTGGGGATGAAAACATAGAAGTTTCACAGTTAGACTTTGACTGCACCATGGAGACTAGATTAGGATGGGGGGGATCAGAGGCGGGAGGCTCTGCCCTGCCTGGTCCAGGGAGGGGAGGGCCGGGCCTACAGAGGGACAGTGGTCCCGTGGGTGGAGGAGAGGGCTGGGTCTGCAGAGGGCCCGAGGTCCCGAGGGTGGAGAGGAGGCCATAGGCTCAAGAGCCATTTAAGAGGTGGAGCACAGGCTGGGGCGCGGTGGCCCGAAGTGTAGTCCCAGCACTTCGGGAGGCCGAGGCGGGCGGATCGCGAGGTCAGGAGATTGAGACCATCCTGGCTAACACGGTGAAACCCTGTCTCTACTAAAAATACAAAAAGTTAGCCAGGCATGGTGGTGGGCACCTGTAGTCCCAGCTACTTGGGAGGCTGAGGCAGGAGAATGGCATGAACCCAGGAGGCGGAGCTTGCAGTGAGCCAAGATTGCGCCACTGCACTCCAGCCTGGGCAACAGAGCAAGACTCCGTCTCAAAAAAAAAAAAAAGAAAAAAAAAACCAGAGGTGGAGCACAACAGAGTGGTGGCCAGGTGGGTTCAGGGTTGAGAACAGAGGAGATGGGAGGTGAACTGCAAGCTTGGGCAGATGCGTAGATGCAGGGGCTGTATCTGAGATGGGGCAGTAGGCAAGGAGTAGGTGTGCGGGGAGAAATGGGTGAGGAGCTGTTCCGTCCTGTCCAACCTGGGGCTGGAGTTGCCACAAAGGCAGTGGCAAGGAGTTCCCACAAGGGAGTGCCCCAAACCGTCCCACAGTGGGATGCTTAGGATTCCACAGAAAGAAGCACCAAACCCCAGGGCGATCAGTCCAGAGCTTTATTAGAGGAACTTGCTTACAGAGGAGGACTGCAGCATATTCTTGTAACAGACAGCAAGAAGGCAGATGTCCCACCCAGGCATGTCTGCCATGAGGGGTCAGGGTATGGAGTTTATCTCAGGGATGAGGACTCTGGCTCAGGGCCAAGCAGGGTGGCTTTCTCTGTATTTAGCAAGATGGCGGATTTCTCAGAGTCTTGAGCAACAGCCTAAACACCTTTATCCATGCCTGGTTCAAGCCTGGAGGGGAAAACTTGCAGGTGGGTCAGGACAGATAAAGAAAGTGCTGGGGATGTTGGGGGTTGCTATATTAGCCTATGTGGGACATCCAGGAGGGAGTAGCTCTCTGGGCTGGACCTCGGTCGATGCTGAGCTGACAAGGGAGCTTTGGGATTTGTTGGCATGTCAACGGCAGGAGAGGGTGGGCGTGCACCAGGACACCATGGGCAAGGGACCGTGATAACAAGGCTCGCCCTGGGGCAACACTGAGGAGGCTGAGACCACCAAGGAAGAGGCCCAAAGGAGCAGGAAGAGAATCTAGAGAGTCGTATTTTGGGGTCAGTGAAGACTTTGATGCATAAGTGACGTGCAGGTGTGAATGCCATGGTGAAGCAGGAGCGGCTGGGGAAGGGCTGAAGGACCGCAGCCCCAGTGGGCACAGGTGACCTTAGCAGGAGCAAGGGCTCCATGGCTGCTAAGCAGATCTGAGATGAGGATGTGGACACAGCTGGTGTCTACAGCTGTTTCCCCAACCAGGCTTTGAAGGGCAAGAGAGAGAGCAGGGGTAAGATGCAGGGCTGGTTCTGGCCTCTGTGGCCTCCGGTTACTGCTGTGACATGAGGGGGTGTCAGAGCCTCACCACCTGCTGCTGTCCATCTGCCAGCCCTAGCAGAGCCACCAGGTCACCAAGGATGAGCTAGTGAAAGGCAGGCAGCTGGATGCATCATTATTTCCTTTGTAAAAATTAATTTACAACATAAAAACACCATCTTTTGTATGTTGGGCACAAATATGTTTTTAAAAAGATTTTTAAAAAATCTAAGTGTCCAACAGCAGATGAATGGATGAAGAATATGTGTTGTATATTATGGTATGCAGGGGGATGCTATTCAGCTGCCACTCAACTACATGGGTGAAGCTGGAGGATGTTATGTTAAGTGAAATAAAACATAAAGACAGTTACTGCACAGTCTCACTTATATGTGGAATCCAAAAATGTTGAACTCGTAGAAGTGGAGAGTAAAGTACCGGAGGCTTGAGGGGGAGCTAGGTCATGGAGATGTTGGTCAAAGTGTACAAAGTTTCAGTTTGGAGGAATAAGTTCAAGAGATCTATTGTACAACATGGTGACTGTAGTTAATAACAATGTATTGTATTCTTGAAAATTGCTAAGAGAGTGGATTTTTAGTGTTCTCACCATAAAACGATACATATATGAGGTAATGCATATGTTAACTAGCACAATTTAGCAATTCCACAGTATATACATATTTCAAAACACATTGTTCATAATAAATGTATACGTTTTTAGTAAATTTAAAAAAGGACTTTTAGGATAAACTACAGAGAGTGAGGAAGAAGCAAAAATAATAAAAGAGGCCATGCAGAAAAATTTCAGAAATGATAAACAACATGAATCCTAAATTTATAGACTCACAAGGAATCATTGTAAGTGTAAAGAAGATAAATTCTCGGCTAGACATATCATAGTGAATTGTAGAAGGCCAAAAACCAAGAGGAGAGCCTTAAAACTACCAGACAGAAGAATATATTAACAGAACAACAGTTACCTTTCCTATAGATTTTTCAGCAGCAATGAGGAGCCCAGAAATGAAATAATGGCATAATGTCCAAATTAGCAAGGGAAAACAGCTGTCAACCTAGAATTCTATACCCAGCTAAGCTATCATTCAAAAGTGAGTGTGAAATAAAGACATTTTCAGGAAGTAGATTGACAGAGTTTACCATTCACAAAACCTTCCTGAGAGAATTACCAATAGATACACTTCATAAGAGGAAAATGTCATCTAAAGTAACATAATAGGTGCTGAAAGTAGTGATATGAGGAAACCAAAATAATGAAAAGATCCAATCCCAAGGCCTAGGATTAGATTATACCAATGGCAATTGGCCCTCTAGAAGTTGTAGGCTGCATTAGCAGTCCTTTGTGAGTCAGTGCTACTGCCCATTTTGCCAGTGTTACTTAAGGAATTATGTCTGAAAATACCTATGCATTGGTGTGCAGGTCACAAACTGTCCTTCTCTTTGTTTGTATACTTAGGAGATCACAGCTGGTAAATAAATGCCAGAGCCTGAATTGCAGCATATACCAGTCTGAAAATTATCTAACTGGGAGGCTTCAGATTCTGAGAACTAACCTATTGCCTGCCCTGTGCATCTTCAAAACGTAAAGTTCTTTTTGTTGAGAAATCCAGGAACAGGGCAGGCTTGTGGCTGAACCATCAGAGTTTTGAGATCAAGAAGGTGGGCCCTCATTCAGTTCTAGTAATTGGAATATGTCTGACCCTGTGTGTCCCACTCTGTCCCCAGAGCCCAAGGTGGTGTTTGCCAAGGACCAGGTGGCACACAGTGAGGTGCAGGCTGAGGCAGGGGCCAGTGCCACGCTGAGCTGCGAGGTGGCCCAGGCCCAGACGGAGGTGATGTGGTACAAAGATGGGAAGAAGCTGAGCTCCAGCTTGAAAGTGCATGTAGAGGCCAAGGGCTGCAGACGGAGGCTGGTGGTGCAGCAGGCAGGCAAGACAGATGCCGGGGACTACAGCTGCGAGGCCAGGGGCCAGAGGGTCTCCTTCCGCCTGCACATCACAGGTGGGTTTCTTGAGATCTTTCTTATGTTCCTTAGGATAATTTTTAGTGACATTAGCGTGGAGGTGCCACCTAATTGCCTCTTTTCTTACAAAGCTTCCCCTAAAATAACAACTAGCAGGTATTAATTTTGTGCCAAGGGGCATAGATTTTGTGAATGCTACTTGTCTTTCGGCTTGCTTAAACTTCAAAACAATCCTATGAGGAGGAACTCTGATTATTCCCATTTTAAGATAACACACAAGGAAGTAATTTACCACAGTTCACAAAGCCAGAAAATTGCAGTCAAGATTTGGACCCAGTATTCTGGGATTATTATTCCTTTTTTTCTTCTTGAAGAGTATTATCTTCAGTATTTATGTAAGCTGCTCTGCTGGTTATATATATTCTCATTTTTTTCTCATATGAAAACATATTTGTTTTCCCTTTGATTCTGAGGGCTGTTTTATGTGGGTATAACGTTACAGTTTAGCAGCTACCCCTCCACCCCCATAATATTTTAAAGAGGTCATTCCATTGTCTTCTGGCGTCCATATTTCCTTTGAAATATCAACTGTAAGATTTATTTTGGATATTTTAAGGGTCATGTATCTTTTTTCATCCTGTTGCTTTTAAGATTTTCTTTTTGAATTTGCTTCATGGCATTTTTTTCTTTGATGAACCTAGGTGTGGTTTCCTTTGTCTTCATCCGTGTTGGGATTGTAGAGCATCTTGAGTCTGTGGGTTTATGTCTCTCATCAGCTGTTTGCTGTTACTGAATCCCGAATCTTCAGCGCCTGTGAAATGGGTTGGTCCCAGATTTGTGTCTCTGACTGTGCGTCTCTCCTTGTCCACCCTCAGAGCCCAAGATGATGTTTGCAAAGGAGCAGTCAGTGCATAATGAGGTGCAGGCTGAGGCGGGGGCCAGTGCCATGCTGAGCTGTGAGGTGGCCCAGGCCCAGACGGAGGTGACGTGGTACAAGGATGGGAAGAAGCTGAGCTCCAGCTCAAAAGTGGGCATGGAGGTCAAAGGGTGCACACGGAGGCTGGTGCTGCCACAGGCGGGCAAAGCAGATGCTGGGGAGTACAGCTGTGAGGCTGGGGGCCAGAGAGTCTCCTTCCACCTGCACATCACAGGTGAGTTTTTTGAGGCCTTTCTTGTGCTTTTAGGATAGTTTTTAGGGACTTTGGGTACATATGGAGGTCTCACCCAAGGACCTTTTTTTCTCATAGAGCTTCCCCTGTAATAACAACTAGCAGGTATTAATTTTGTGCTGAAGGCCTAGATTTTGTGAAATGCTTCTTGTCTTTCTGCTTGCTTAAAATTCAAAACTATTCTGTGAGGAGTAACTTTGATTATTCCCATTTTAAGATAACACACAAGGAAGTAACTTACCACAGTTCACAAAGTCAGAAAGTTGTAGTCAGAATTTGGACCCAGTATTCTGGGATTATTATTATTTTTTTCTTCTTGAAGAATTCTGTCTTCAGTATTTATGTTAGCAGCTCTGCTGGTTATACATATTCTATCTTTTTTTCTCATACGAAAATATATTTGTTCTCCCTTTGATTCTGAGGACTGTTTTATCTGGGTATAACATTACAGTTTATCAGCTATTCCTCCACTCCCTAACATTTTAAAGAGGTCATTCCATTGTCTTCTGGCGTCCATATTTCCTTTGAAATATCAACTGTAAGATTTATTGTGGACATTTTAAGGGTCATGTATCTTTTTTCATCCTGTTGCTTTTAAGATTTTCTTTTTGAATTTGTTTCATGGCATTTTTTTCTTTGATGAACCTAGGTGTGGTTTCCTTTGTCTTCATCCGTGTTGGGATTGTAGAGCATCTTGAGTCTGTGGATTTATGTCTTTCATCAGCTGTTTGCTATTACTGAATCCTGAAGCTTCAGTGCCTGTGAAATGGGTTGGTCCCAGATCTGTGTCTCTGACTGTGCATCCTTCCTTGTCCACCCTCAGAGCCCAAGGGGGTGTTTGCGAAGGAGCAGTCAGTGCATAATGAGGTGCAGGCTGAGGCGGGGACCACTGCCATGCTGAGCTGTGAGGTGGCCCAGCCCCAGACAGAGGTGACGTGGTACAAGGACGGGAAGAAGCTGAGCTCCAGCTCAAAAGTACGCATGGAGGTCAAGGGCTGCACACGAAGGCTGGTAGTGCAGCAGGTGGGCAAAGCAGATGCTGGGGAGTACAGCTGCGAGGCTGGGGGCCAGAGAGTCTCCTTTCAACTGCACATCACAGGTGAGTTTTTTGAGGCCTTTCTTATGCTATTAGGATAATCTTTACAGACTTAGGGTGTGTATGGAAGTCCCGCCCAAGGGCCTTTTTTCTCATAAAGCTTCTCCTGTAATAACAACTAACAGGTATTAATTTTGTGCTGAGGACCTAGATTTTGTGAAGCGCTTCTAGTCTTTCTGCTTGCTTAAACTTCAAAACAATTTGCGAGGAGGAACTCTGATTATTCTCATTTTAAGATAACACACAGGGAAGTAACTCACCACAGTTCACAAAGCCAGAAAATTGCAGTCAGAATTTGGACCCAGTATTCTGGGATTACTATTCTTTTTTCTTCTTGTAGAACTATGTCTTCAGTATTTATGTTAGCAGGTCAGCTGGTCATATGCATTCTCTTACTTTTTATTTCTCTTGTGAACACATATTTGTTCCCCCTTTGATTCTGAGGGCTGTTTTATCTGGGTATAACATTACAGTTTAGCAGCTACTCCCCACTCCCTAACATTTTAAAGAGGTCATTCCATTATCTTCTGGTGTTCATATTTTCTTTGAAATATGAACTGTGAAATTTGTTATGGATATTTTGAGGGTCATGTACCTTTTTTCATCCTGTTGCTTTTAAGATTTTCTTCTTGATTTTGCTTTGTGGTAGTATTTCTTTGATGAATGTAGGTGTGGTTTCCTTTGTCTTCATCCTGGTTGGGATTGTAGAACATCTTGAGTCTGTGGGTTTATGTCTTTCATCAGTTGTTTGTTGTTACTGAATCCTGAATCTTTGGTGCCTGTGAAATGGGTTGGTCCCAGATTTGTGTCTCTGACTGCGCATCCCTCCTGTCCACCCTCAGAGCCCAAGGCAGTGTTTGCCAAGGAGCAGTTGGTGCATAATGAGGTGCGGACTGAGGCAGGGGCCAGTGCCACACTGAGCTGTGAGGTGGCCCAGGCCCAGACAGAGGTGACGTGGTACAAGGATGGGAAGAAGCTGAGCTCCAGTTCGAAAGTGCGCATAGAGGCTGCGGGCTGCATGCGGCAGCTGGTGGTGCAGCAGGCAGGCCAGGCAGATGCTGGGGAGTACACCTGTGAGGCTGGGGGCCAGCGGCTCTCCTTCCACCTGGATGTTTCAGGTCAGTGCTTTGGGGGTACTAACTTTGTAGAGGTGATGATGAGACTGGCTGATAGACTCTGGTGCTCTTCCCATTAGCCTTTACCTCTGTTGTTTCCAACCCTCCCAATTCTTATTTCATAACTGGTGTGGTTAAGGGAGGCCAAATGGGAAGGATATGTGTGGAGGGAGAGGGGCTGTTGCTGTGTACCTGGAGTGGTGTTTTCATGTGATAATGCTCAATCATACGTTCCCATCATCTGCCTAGAACCTTGCTGCTGTTCCTTCTCTACCAGGCCCCTGTGGTCCAAGGTAGACCAGGTGTCTCCACCTGGGGTTGTGTGAATTTCCTTCTACTGAATGTCTGGCAGCTCTCACATGCCTGCACCCCATACCTCATGCTTGTTCTCCCTAGTGACAGATGTTTGAATTTAACTTATCTGGGAGAAGGGGAAATTTCAGCCACACAACCGTACATAGAATTATCTCAAGATCACACTGTGGATTATCTGATTTTCTATGTCCTGGGACCTTCTCCCCTCCTTTTTATGGACATGGAAGCTGCCTGTGCACCCACAGGTAGCAAAACCTAGATCCATGTTTGTTGCAATGTCTGTGTCAAGTAAAACAGCAGCATGGATTGGTACATATGAGCCTGTGATATGCACCCATGAGGTCTGGAATTCTCTTCCAAGAACAACTCTTGTTTTCCATTGTTTTTAGTTAGAACATGTCAGATTCTCCTTGGAGCTTGATTTTTAAATTTAGAAATGGAAAGGAATAAGTAGCTTAGGTGACATTACCAGGTGCTGATACAACTGAGATGCAATAGTAGCAGTATATTAGTCTGTTCTCACACTGCTAATGAAGACATACCCAAGAGTAGGTAATTTATAAAGGAAAGAGGTTGAATTGACTCACAGTTCCCCATGGCTGGGAAGGCCTCAGGAAACTTGCAAGGCCTTAGGAAACTTACAATCATGGCGGAAGGCACCTCTTCACAGGGCTGCAGGAGAAAGAATGAGTGCTGAGTAAAGAAGCGAGCTCCTTATAAAACCATCAGATCTTGGTGGTAGTAGTCACTCACTATTACAAGAACAGCATGAGGGAAACTGCCCCCATGATTCAATTATCCCCACCTGGTCCCACCATTGACACCTGGTGATTATTACTATTCAAGGTGAGATTTGGGTGGGGACACTGAGGCAAACCATATCAGGCAGCCCCTGACTGGCAAAAGCAGTATTTATTCAGTAGCATTTCCCAGTAATTATGTTGTGCCTGTGGCTTTTCCTGACTGGGTCATAGAGAATTCTGAAACTACATTTATTTTCTTTTCATTAAGAGAATCTTAACATCAGAGATCTGTGGGCTGCAGCCTCATGTTGACGCCTGGGGGCCAACACATAACAGTCTGTTATTACCACCGTGCAGTGGTTTGTGGGTGGGTATAGATGCCAGTAAACCCACTATATATCTTTCTAAAATGCTATTTTAGGAGAGTATGACAAATATTTACTGGTATTAAATATGAACAGGTTCAACAAATTGTTAAATTGCTTAAAAAGTATATAAAAAGTAACATAAAAAGAAATACACAACTCAGATAGTCCTATAACTTTTAAATAAATGGGACTAGTAACAAAAATATTTTCAGTAAGAAATTTCTAAGCAATATCTAACAACTTTACAGTAAATTATACCAAACAATCTGCAAATAAATTATTCCATGTTCATGGAGATTCTTCTAGAGAATACAATGAAGAGAGACACTCTCTGATTTGTTTCATGTAGATAGCATAACATTGATACAAAGTAGGAAGAATTAAAAATATAGGCCAACCTATTATGGATAGCAAGGACAAAATCTTAAACAACATATTATTCATATATATTTAGCAATATACTAAGAGAATAGTATGCTATGAAGAAAGTCGTATTACCCAGGCATGGTGGTGTGCACCTGTAAGTCCCTGCTACTTGGGAGGCTGAGGCAGGAGGATATTTGAGCCCCAGGAGTTGGAGGCTGCAGTTAGCTATAATCACGTCACTGCATTCCTGCCTAGGGCAACAGAGCAAGATCCCATCTCTCAAGAAATTGAAAAACAATTAGCTGGCTGTGGTGGCATGTACCTGTAGTCCCAGCTACTTGGGAAGCTGAGGTGGGAGGATGGCTTGAACTCAGGAGACTGAAGCTGCAGTTAGCTATGATGGCATCACTGCACTCCACTCTGGGTGACAGAGTGATACCCTGTCTCAGAAAAAAAAAAAGAAGAAGAAAAACAGATTTTGGGCAATTAAACCATATGGGAAAAAAAATCAGACCAGGATCTCAACCACACACAAAGTCAACTCCAGTTGGTTAGAGATGTCAGAATCCCGGGGAAACCCATACAAGCCTTAGAGGAAAAGAGAGATGTTTCTAGTGACTTCACAGTAAAGCATGACTTCCTAAACAGAACACACATGCCCTGACCACAAAGAAACACATTTGATATATTTGAATACATTAAAATTAAAAATTTTGATTCTTTGGAAGACACCATAAGAGAATGAAAAGGCAAGCTACACAGAAAAGGAAGATATTTCTAACATGCTAACGCTCTAGTATGCTAGAGCTCACTGCTGTAGTATTTAGATGTAAAAAGAGATCCTAAAATGAAGGTGTAAAAGAAAGACAGTGCTATTGAAAGTCAGACAAAGCACTTGCACAGTGACACCATAGAAGAGTGAGGACTCCGTCCCCAGACCATCAGAAGGCGCCCAGCTGACAGTCCTCCTGACATGGCCCCAGGAAGACATGGGAGGCCCAGGCCCTCCTCCAAGAGGCCAGAGCTGACCCTCCTGACTGGCAGGAGCAGGAGCTTCAGACTCTGGGGCCCTGGGGTGAGGACGCACCCTGCACAGTCCCATGGGGAGACCCCGGCACATCTATGAGGGGAGCTGTGCAGGCGTCAGGACTCCAGTCCCTGCCCTGGAGGATCTGTCATGGTGGCCCTGCCTGGGACAGCCCATGGCACCATGCAGAATGGATGGAAAAACTATGTTTCTTGTGCTGGGAGGCAGTGGTGCAGCCTGGAGAGCATCTGTCCCTCCCACTTCCCCTCCCAGGCCTTGTCTTCCCAGTGCTGCCTTCCTGACCTAGATGGTGGTGGTAACCCTGTGCATCCCTGCCTTCCCCAGAGCCCAAGGCGGTGTTTGCAAAGGAGCAGCTGGCACACAGGAAGGTGCAGGCCGAGGCGGGGGCCATTGCCACGCTGAGCTGCGAGGTGGCCCAGGCCCAGACAGAGGTGACGTGGTACAAGGACGGGAAGAAGCTGAGCTCCAGCTCGAAAGTTCGAATGGAGGCTGTGGGCTGCACACGGAGGCTGGTGGTGCAGCAGGCATGCCAGGCGGACACCGGGGAGTATAGCTGCGAGGCCGGGGGCCAGCGGCTCTCCTTCAGCCTGGACGTGGCAGGTCAGTGCTTTGTGGGCACCGAGGAGCCTCTTCGGAGGTGATGGTGGTTCTGGCTCGTAGCACCAGCATATCTCTGTGCACTTTCCTTCCACCTTCATGTCTCGGGCTTCCCATCCTCCTGCTCCCATTTCCATCCCTGTGGCTGGGCCAAGGGAGGGGTGTGCATGGGAGGGAGAGGGGCTATTCCTGCAAACCTGGAGGTGTGTTTGCACTTTGTAATGCTCAGTCACTCATTCCTAGCACCTGCCCAGAGCCTTCCTGGTGCTCCTTGGCTTCTGGGACTCTGGATCTCCCTTGTCTTGGGTTCTGAGGTTGACCAGGCATCTCTTTCCTGGGGCTCTGTGAATATCCTGTCAGTATATGTTCTGGAAGCTACCATATGCCCTCACCCAGCAGCACATGCTAGTTCTGGTCAGCGAGAGATATTTTGATTTTTTTCCTGGTGGAGTGACCCAAACCTTCATTCCTGAAGGGTCTAGGTCATTTGTAGTCCTGCCTGGATTGGGTTGTCGTAGTTTCCCATTGACCTTAATCGCAGGGCATGATAATACTGAGAGATGTCCTAAGAGATTGCCTGTATTCCACGCATATGCCTCCTTACCTCCATTGTGAAGTAGTAGACTGATTTCATCTTGATAGTTCGGGTCAGTCACCCCAACCAACAATGTAACTCCCTTAGCCTGTTGACTTAAAGGTAGGAGGAGCCCAAAGTGGCCAGGTGGCAATCTTAACTTCCAGTTTAATGGGATCGTTGTTGTGTCTCCTGGTGGCAGCATTCCTCCTTCAGGAACTAAGACCTCTAAGCCGGCAGAACGTAATGTCATGGGAACAGGAAGCAAAAATTTTGCTAGTGGGTCACTAGGGGTGATGGTGAGTGGTGCCACTTCCACTTCCATCCCTTGATTCCTGGATTCGTGAATCCTGGCTATGGGAAAAACAGTGCCATATATTGGACACCGATTCAGAGCACAGACAGCCTCTGGAGAACTTTGCCCCAGCCCTGCAAAGTATTGACACCTAGTTGGCATTGGAATTGTGACTTCAAAAAGCTATTGCACTGTTCTATCAATCCACTTGCTTCAGGATGATGGGGAACATGGTAAGACCAGTGAATTCCATGAGCATAAGCCCACTGCCACACTTTTTTAACCATAGAGTGCTTTGGTCAGAGGCAGTGCTGTGTGAAATACCATGACGGTGGATAAGACATTCTGTGAATCCATGGATGGTAGTCTTGGTCAAAGTGTTGTGTGCAGGATAGACAAACCCATATCTGGATAAGTGTCTATTCTGGTGAGGACAAACCATTGCCCTTTCTATGATGGAAGAGGTCCAATATAATCAACCTGCCATCAAGTAGATGTCTGATCACCCTGAGAAATGGTGCCATATCGAGGGCTCATTGTTGGTCTCTGCTGCTGGCAAATTGGGCACTCAGCAGTGGCCTTAGTCAGGACTGCCTTGGTGAGTGGAAGTCCATGCTGCTGAGCACATGTGTAACCTCCATCCCTGCCACCATGGCTGCTTTGTTCATGGACCCATTGGGTGATGACAGGGGTGGCTGGGGAAGGAGGCTGAGTGGTGTCCACAGTCATCCTATTCACTTGATTATTAAAATCCTCCTCTGCTGAGGTCACCCTTTGGTGAGCACTCGCATGAGATACAAATATCTTCACAATTTTTGACCACTCAGAGAGGTCCATCCACACACCTCTTCCTCAATTTTCCAATCATGCTTCTTCCAAGTCCCTGACCATCCAGCCAAACCATTGTCTACAGCCCATGAATCAGTGTATAATCGCTCATCTGGCCATTTCTCCTTCAAGCAAAGTGCACAACGAGGTGCACTGCTTGAAGTTCTGCCCACTGGGAAGATTTCCATTTGCCCCTGTTCTTCAGGGATGTCCTAGAAAGGGGCTGTAGTGCTGCAGCTCTCCGCTTTTGGGTAGTGCCCGCATATCGTACAGAACCGTCTGTGAACCAGGCCCTAGTCTTCTCTTCCTCTGTCAGTTGATCATAGGGAACTCTCCATGAGGCCATTGGTGCAGGCTGGAGGAGAGAAGGCAGGGTGGCAGGAGTGGGGACCATGGGCATTTGAGCCACTTCCTCATGTAACTTACTTGGGCCTTCAGGACCTACTTGAGCCCGATCATGTATATACCACTTCCATTTGATGATAGAATGCTGTTGTGCATGCCCAACTTTATGGCTAGGTGGGTCAGAAAGCACCCAGGTTATGACAAGCAGTTCAAGTCACATGGTGACTTGATGATCCATAGTCAATTGTTCAGTTTCCACCAAAGCTCAGTAACAGGCCAAGAGCTGTCTCTCAAAATGAGAGTAGTTATCTGCAGAAGATGACAGGGTGTTGTTCCAAAATCCTAAAGGCCTCCACTCTGATTCACCCGTGGGGGCTGCCAAAGGCTCCAGACAGCATCCCTATCTGCCACTGGCACCTTAAGCACCACTGGATCTGCTGAGTCATATGGCCCAAGTGGCAGAGCAGCTTGCACAGCAGCCTGGACCTGTTGCAGACCCTTCTCCTGTTCTGGACCCCACTCAAAACTGGCAGCCTTTTGGGTCACTTGATAAATGATCCAGAGTAACACACCCACATGAGGAATGTGTTGCCTCCAAAATCCAAATAGACATTGTGCCTCTTTCTTGGTTGTAGGAGGGGCCAAATGCAGCAACTTATCCTTCACCTTAGAAGGAATATCTTGACAGGCCCCACACCACTCGACCCCTAGACATTTTACTGAGGTGGGAGGTCCCTGAATTTTAGTCAGATTTATTTCCCATCCTCTGGAATGCAAATGTCTCACCAGCAAGTCCAGTGTGTTTGCTGCTGTGTATATCTGTGTTCCCTTGGCTGATACATAGGGAAGCCTGAGAAATACAATTAATTTCCTTTTTTTTTTTTTTTTTAAAATAAAGAGAGTGTTGATGCCAAATAGGGGTGGGCTGAAGTCCCATGGTGACCTCTGGGTGCTAACACATAAGTTTGGTATTACATCAGCATCAGTGTTATGTGGATGTGTATAGATAACAGAAATCCCACTGTATATTTCTGTGAAGTTATTTTCAGAGAATATGACAAAATGTTTTATGTAATAAATTTGAAAAGTTGTGACAATTTGGCTAATTCCTAGTAAATTACATGAAAACTCACATAAAAGGTTACAGAAAACTTAGTCCTATAAGTTTTAAATAGATGGAGGCAGTAGTAAAAAAATCTTTTAAACCCAATAATTTTCTAGTAAACTGTTTCAAATATTCTGGAAAGCAGTTACTCCATATTCATGAATATTGTTCTGGAGAATAGAAAAAGGAGATTGACTCCATATGCCATTTTATGGTTTTTTTTTTTTGTTTGTTTGTTTGTTTGAGACAGGGCCTCACTCTATTGTCCAGGCTGGAGTACAGTGGCATGATCTTGGCTCACTGCACCCTCTGCCTCCCAGGTTCAAGTGATTTTCCTACCTCAGCCCCCCAAGTAGCTGGGATTACAGGGATGCACCACCACCACAAAAATAGCATGTGTGCCAGCTATTTTTTTGTATTTTTTTTTTTCAGTAGAGACGGGGTTTTGCCATGTTGCCCAGGCTAGTCTCAAACTTCTGGGCTCAAGCTATCCACCCGCCTTGGCCTCCCACAGTGCTGGTATTACAGGCATGAGCCACCATGCCCAGGCCATCATTTTATGTAGATAGCGTAACATTAATACCAAAATCTGACAAAGGAAGTAGGAAGAATTAAATTGTCGACCAATCTATATGGATTTGTCATTATGGATATCAAGAACACAATCATAAACAAAGTATTAGCAAATGGAATTCAGCAATGTATCAAGAAGACAGTGCACTCTGTTGAAGATCCTGGTCCCAGAATGCAAGGCTGGTTTGGCTTTAGAAGCATTAGATCAGTATAATAAGCTTGACCTTAACAGATTGAATGAAAAATGATGTAATTATCTCAATAAATGCAGATTAAAAGTATTTGATAAAATCTAGAAGATATATTTGAGAAAATTTAGCATCAACTCATTTCATAGGATTCTTAACAAACTTTATAGAAGTGTTCTTCCTTAATTTGATAAATGGTACTAGAGAAGCACCACTAGGATCCCACTCAGAGCAAACCTTGAAAGGTTTGGTTCAGAGAAGGAGACAGGGCAGTGTCACCACTTGTATCCAACATTGTACATAAGGGTAAGGAGGAAAATAACGCAAAAGGCATGGCACTTGGAAAAAGTAAAAGTGAAATTTACTGATGATATGGCCATCCACTTGGAAAATCCAATAGAGAACTTAGTAGACTAAGTAACATTGAGAATGATTATTCTGTTAAAAAAAAAAATCAACACACAGACAATACTTCTGTATCTATATACAGCAGTAAACAGTTGCAAAATGAAATTTGAAAAGACTTACAGTAGCATCAAAATTACAGTGTTTCTAATTCAAAGTCTAATAAAGATGTTTAAAGCCTGGGGAGGGGCTAGGAAATTGTTGTATATTTTGCAAGACAATTAAGAGATCTAATTAAATGGATAGAAATTCATGAAACATTAAAATATATTCATTAACAATCAGGATCCAAACAATTTTTTTTTGTGGGGGAATGAAAAGAAAATCAAAGTATGAACATTACTCTACCAGATGTCAAAAATTATCATAAAGTTACAGTAATTAAGACAATGGATTTCAATGAATGGTTAGATATCAGAACAAAGAAATGGAATAGTGAGCTCAGGAACAGTTCTATGCATCAGTGATCTCTGGATGTCCCCCTTCCTTTTTTTTTTTTTTTTTTTTTTTTAACCATGGCATCTGTGCAAGAAGTAGAGAAAGGATAGTGTTTTCTTTTTTTTTTGTTTTGAGATGGAGTCTAGCTCTGTTGTCCAGGCTGGAGTGCAGTGGCGCCATCTTGGCTCACTGCAAGCTCTGCCTCCCGGGTTCATGCCATTCTCCTGCCTCAGCCTCCCGAGTAGCTGGGACTTCAGGTGCCCGCCACCACACCCGGCTAATTTTTTTGTATTTTTAGTAGAGACGGGGTTTCACTGTGTTAGCCAGGATGGTCTTGATCTCTTGATCTCCTGACCTCGTGATCCGCCCGCCTCAGCCTCCCAAAGTGCTGGGATTACAGGCATGAGCCACTGTGCCCAGCCAAGGATAGTGTTTTCATAACTAGTGTGTGGACCATTTTAAACATATGGGAAGAATTAAAGCATATTGGTAATTCATAGCATGCGCGAGAGTCAGCTCCTGGTGGGTTAGAGACCTCAGGGTAAAAGGTAAAACAATAAACCCCAAGATGGTAAGCATAGGCTATCTACAGAATTTAGGGTAAGGAAGTGTTTAAATAGAACACAAATGCCCTAACCACAATGGACAAGATTGATATATTTGAGTACATTAAAACTAAAAGGTCTGATTCATCAGAAGGTGCCATAAGAGATGAAAACCCAAGTCACACAGGTAGGGAAGATACAAAGTGCATAATTGTGACCTCTCTAACATTAAAATATATGAAGAAGACCTTAAAGCCAGGGTCCCCAACCCCCAGGCTGTGGACCAGTACTGTTCTGTGGCCTGTTAGGAACTGGGCCGCACAGCAGGAGGTGAGTGGCAGGTGAGCATTCCCGCCTGAGCTCTGCCTCCTGTCAGATCAGCAGCAGCATTAGATTCTCATAGGAGCATGAACCCTATTGTGAACTGTGCATTGGAGGAATCTAGGTTGTGCTCCTTATGAGAATCTAATGCCTGATGATCTGAGGTGGAACAGTTTCATCCTGAAACTATCCCACCAACCCCCATCTGTGGAAAAATTGCCTTCCATGAAGCTAGTCCCTGCTGCCAAAAATGTTGGGGACTGCCTTCTTAAACTGAATAAAGACAACAAGACAGTGCTATTGATAATGGGACGGAATTGAGTAGTGACACCACAGAGGAGCAAACAGGAATGGCCAATCCTCTAGAAAGATGCTCAGCCCTGTGAGCCATCAAACAATGAAGAAAGCCACAGCGACACACCCCGCTGAGGCCAAAGCTGACCGTCCTGACAGTGGCAGAAGCGGGAGCCTCAAGACTGGGGTTCTGTGGTGAGGATGCGTCTTGCACAGCCGCATTGGGAGACCCTTGCTCCATTCATGAGGGGAAGGGTGCAGGCGTCAGGACCCCAATCCCTGCCCCAGATGAGCTTGTGTGGGCAAGATCTGTCAGCCACCCCACCAAAGACAGCCTGTGGCACCATGCAGAATGGATGGAGAAACTTCCTTGTGCTGGGAGGTGGTGGTGCAGCCTGGAGAGCGTCTGTCCCTTGCGCCTCCCCTTCCAGGCCTTCTCTCCCCAGTTCTGCCTTCCTGACCTAGATGTTGGTGGTCACCGTGTGCATCTTGCCTTCCCCAGAGCCCAAGGTGGTGTTTGCCAAGGAGCAGCCAGTGCACAGGGAGGTGCAGGCCCAGGCGGGGGCCAGCACCACACTCAGCTGCGAGGTGGCTCAGGCCCAGACGGAGGTGATGTGGTACAAGGACGGGAAGAAGCTGAGCTTCAGCTCGAAAGTGCGCATGGAGGCTGTGGGCTGCACACGGAGGCTGGTGGTGCAGCAGGCGGGCCAGGCGGTCGCCGGGGAGTACAGCTGCGAGGCGGGGAGCCAGCGGCTCTCCTTCCACCTGCACGTGGCAGGTCAGTGCTTTGGGGGTTGGAGAGTGACTTTGTGTGGAGGTGATGATGAGACTGGCTGATGGACTCCACGGCCTCCAGTGCCCTTTCCATGAGACTCCACCTCTCCACTTCTCCATGCCCTCACTTCCCGGTTTCATACCCTTGGCTGCGCCAGGCTTGGCCGGATGGGAAGGTGCAGGGAGGCCAGGCCCTGTGGTGCACCTGGAGCAGTGCTCCCATGCAGTGCAGCCTCATCACACTGAGCCCCTACTCCAAACCCCCATGCTCTTTGGTGTCCAGGCCCCTGGCGCTGTCTGGACCTGTGGTCTGAGGTGGACCAGGTGCCTCCCCTGGGAAAGTGGGGATGTCCTTTCTGTCATTCAGTACCTGCCTCCCTTCCGCACCACGTGGGGCTTCTAGCCCATGAGAGACGTTTCAAATTCATATGACCCACATAAGGGGAAATTCTGCCCATGCAGTCCCACTTGGAATTCTTTCCAGACTGAACTTCGGGGCATCAAAGCTTTTGGTGTCCCGGCAGCCTCTTTCCTTTTTTTTATTTTATTTATTTTATGGATCTAGAAGCTTTAGAAGCTCACTGTGCACCCATATGTGGCAAAATCTCGGTCCTTGTTTTCTTGCAGTGTCTGTGCAAAAAATCCCAGCCCAGAGGGCTGGTGACTGTGCCCCTGGGATACAACTGCAAGATTCCAAGTGCTTTTCTTTTTTTCTTTTTCTTTTTTTTTTTGAGACGGAGTCTCGCTCGGTCGCCCAGGCTGGAGTGCAGTGGCGCCATCTCGGCTCACTGCAAGCTCCGCCTCCTGGGTTCACGCCATTCTCCAGCCTCAGCCTCCTGAGTAGCTGGGACTACAGGCACCCGCCACCACATCAGGCTAATTTTTGTATTTTTAATAGAGACGGGTTTCACTGTGGTCTCGATCTCCTGACTTCATGATCTGCCTGCCTTGGCCTCCCAAAGTGCTGGGATTACAGGCATGAGCCTCTGTTCCCGGCCTCTTCTTAAGGCTATTCTGGCTTTCCTTTTGTCTCCAGTTAACAACTTTCTGAGTCAGAATTCCCCCTTGGAGTCTGATTTATGAATTTAGCAGTGGAAAGGAAGAAAGAGCTTAAGCTATCTCAGCACACCTAATATATGTATATATTTTGTTAAGAGAGTCTGGGCACAGTGGCTCATGCCTGTTGTAGTCCCAGCACTTTGGGAGGTCGAGGCAGGAGGATTGCTTGATCCCAGCAGTTTGAGACCAGATTAGGCACTATAGCGAGACCTCGTCTCTACAAAAACTACAGAAATTAGCTGGATGAAGTGGCACACGCCTGTAGTCCCAGCTACTCAGGAGGCTGAGGCAGGAGGATCACTTGGGCCCAGGAGTTCCAGGCTGCAGTGAGCCATGATCACACCACTGCACTCCAGCCTGGGCAACAGAGTGAGACCCTGTTTCTGGAAAAAAAAATAAAAGCAACAACAACAACAACAACAAAACAGGCTAAATGTCAGAGAGAAAAAGGTTGTGGTACTACATTGACTCCCAAATGCCAACCCATGACAGCTTGGCATTCTATCAGTATATAATCATTTGTAGTTGTGTATATATAGATACCAAAAAATCCCACTGTGTATCTTTCTAAAATATTGTGTTAAGAGAGTGCGATAAATTCTTTAATGGTAATACATTTTATAAGTTTTGGAGAATTGCCAATTTGTTAGAGAAAACTATGAAAAAGTTACACAGGAAGAAACAGACAACTCAGATAGTCCTATAGCTTTTAATTAAGTGGAACCAGTAATAAACAATATTTTTATAAAAGGTCTAAGCCCAGTGGATCTACTGATAAATTATACCAAATATTCTCAAAACAAATTATTGAATGTTCTTAGAGATCCTTTCAGAGAATAGAATGAGAAGATACACTCTTGAACCTGTTTTATGTGGATAGCATAACATAGATACCAATTATGACAACAGTATAAAGATTTGAAATTACAGGCCAGTCATTATGGATATCCAGGCCAATGCTTCAACAATATATTTTCAAAGTGGTATGACCAGTATGTCAAAAGGAAAATGCACTATGATAAAAGGCATAATTTAGAAATGCTATACTCAATATATTCAATATTCAAAACATCAGAAAATGTCATGCATGACATTAACAGATTGAAAGAGAAAATCTCAATAAATGCAGAAGAAAAGTTTGATGAAATTTAACATCATAAATTCTGAACAGCTGTTTGATAAAGTTTAGCATCAGGCCTGGCACGGTGCCTCATACCTGTAATCCCAGCACTTTGAGAGGCTGAGGCAGAAGGATTGCTTGAGCTCAGGCATTCGAGACCAGCCTCCCAAGCAGCAGGGACCACAGGAACATGCCACCATTCTGCAGGGTGCCCTGGGGATGTGACAGATCCTGCATGCAGAATGGATGGAGAAACTGTGTTCCTTGTACTGGGAGGCGGTGGTGCAGAGCCTGGAGAGCATCTGTCCCTCGCACTTCCCCTTCCAGGCCTTCTCTCCCCAGTGCTGCCTTCCTGACCTAGATGGTGGTGGCCACCCTGTGCATCCCTGCCTTCCCCAGAGCCCAAGGCGGTGTTTGCTAAGGAGCAGCCAGCACACAGGGAGGTGCAGGCTGAAGCAGGGGCTAGCGCCACACTGAGCTGTGAGGTGGCCCAGGCCCAGACAGAGGTGACTTGGTACAAGGACGGGAAGAAGCTGAGCTCCAGCTTGAAAGTGCATGTGGAGGCTGCAGGCTGTACACGGAGGCTGGTGGTGCAGCAGGCAGGCCAGGCAGACACCGGAGAGTATAGCTGTGAGGCTGGGGGCCAGCAGCTCTCCTTCCGCCTGCAAGTGGCAGGTCAGTGGTTTGGGGATGCTGAGTTACCTTGTGTGTAGGTGTTGATGAGATTGGCTGATAGACCCCAGTACTCTTTCCATTAGAGTTCATCTCTGGAAGTCTCTCGTAATCCTACCTGCCATTTTCCTACCCATGGCTGGCCCGAGGTTGGCCAGAAGGGATAAATGCATACAGGAGACACTGTGAGTTGTGTTTCCAGGCAGTAATGCTGTTCACATATTCCCAGCACCCAGTCAGAACCCACAGGTGCTCCCAGGTGTCCAGCCCTTTGGCTCAATTGAACTGAGGGGCTGCTACTGGAGGCTGAAGTAGACCAGATGTCTCTCACCTGAGGCCATCCGAGAGCTTGCACCCAGCCTCACCAGCCCGACCTGAGGGCTCCCCCTGTGGAGAGATGGTTGAATTCCATTGAACAAGGATAAGGGCAAATTTCAGCCACACAATCATTCTTGGAATTATCTCATGATTGAACTTTGGATTATCCAAGTTTTAGGTGTTCGGGGACCCTCTTCTCATCTTTCTTATGGGCATAAAAAGTCTCTGTGCACCCACATGTGGCAAAATCTATATCCTGGGTTTTTTTATTTTGTTGTTGTTGTTGTTTTTGAGACAGAGTCTGTCACCTAGGCTGGAGTACAGTGGCACGATCTCAGCTCACTGAAACCTCTGCCTCCTGGGTTCAAGCAATTCTCCTGCCTGAGCCTCCCAAGTAGCCAAGATTACAGGCGCCTGCCACCACACCTGGCTAATTTTTGTATTTTCAGTGGAGATGGGGTTTCACCATGCTAGTCAGGCTGGTCTCAAACTTCTGGCTTCAAGTGATCCACCCGCCTTGGCCTCCCAAAGTGTTGGGATTACAGGTGTGAGCCACTGCACCTGGCTTGTTTTTATTACACTGCCTACAGAATAAATGCAGAACTGGGAATTGGTGGCTCTGGACTGCGATACACCACTGTGAGGTTTGGAATTATCTTCTGAAAGTATATGTTGTTTTCATTTGCTCTTATGTCAGAACATTCTGTGACTGAACTTCCCTTAGTTTAATTTTGTATATTTAAAACTGAAGAGGAATAAACAAATCAAGCTACATCAGCACACATTTTAAAGATGAATTACTATACAGCAGCCACTGACAGATAAAGCAGTATGTGTTTCATACCGTTCTAATAATTCATGGCTAGTTGATAGAGAAATCTGAGAACGAGTTCTATTTTCCTTTAGTAAGAGAGTCTTTTGTCGGATGGAGGTGGAGTGCAGTCACACACTTGTTCATAGGTACCGACACTTAACATTGGTGTCACATCAGCATGTAGGAGTTCTTGGGGGTGTACAGATGCCAGAAACCCCACTTTGTAGGTACTTGAAATGTTGTTATTTGAGAACATGCCATTATTATTATCATTATTTTGAGACGGAGTCTCACTCTGTCACCCAGGCTGGAGTGCAGTGGTGCGATCTTCGATCTTGTCTCACTGCAACCTCCTCATCCTGGGTTCGAGCGATTCTCCCACCTCAGCCTCCCGAGTAGCTGGGACTACAGGCGCGCGCCACCATACCTGGCTAATTTTTTTGTATTTTTAGTAGAAACAAGGCTTCATTATGTTGACCGGGCTGGTCTTGAGCTCCTGACCTCAGGTGATCCACCCACCTCAGCCTCCCAAAGTGCTCTGATTACAGGTGTGAGCCACCATGCCTAACCCTATATTTATGCAAGTAAATTTGAAAAGTTTTGGCAAATTGATCAATTTCTTCAAAACTATATCAAAAGTAGAAATAGGCAAGTTGAACAGTCCTATAACCTTTTATAGAAATGCAACAAATAATCATCTTATAGAAGGTTACCCCAGTGCTCTACTGTAAACTGTACCAAATATTCTGGAAAGAAATTATTCTGTGTTCATAGACATTCCTCTAGAGTATTGAAAAAGGACCTCAGTGCTCTATCTCATTTTATGTAGGTAATAAATATCATTAATACCAAGCTCTGACAGGGTGAATATGAAGAATTAAAATTGGTCAATCTCTTATCAATATCAAGGCTCACTATCTTAAACTAAATATAGCACCCTGAATTCAGCAATTTATCAAGAGGATAACACACAATGACAAAAGTCATAGTCCAGTAATGCAAGGATGGTTTAACATGAGAAACATTAGAAAATCAGTACAAAATGTGACATTAACAGATTGAAAGAAAAACGAATGTGATTACTCCAATATGGAGACTAAAAGCATTGGATAAAATACAACATCATAAATATGCCAAAAATATTTGGAAAAATTTAGCATCAATTCATGTCATACAATTCTTAACAAACTCTAAATAAAAACATTTTTCCTTAATTTCATAAGCAATAGTATAAAGAAAACAAGCTAACATTACACAAACATGAAACCTTGAAAGCGTTGCCTTTGAGATTGGAAACAGAACAAGGACACCATCCATCACCACTTCTTCCAACATTGTATAGCAGACAGAGGAGGAAAAGAAAGTACAAGGTGGAAAACTTGGAAAATAAAACATGCACCTCACAGATGATATGGTTATTAATTTAGAAAGCCCCAAAAAAGTAATTATTAGTAAGAGATTTGGGAATGGTTACCACATAAAAGAATCAATATACAGAAAACATTTCTAGATCTATGTACCAGAAACAAGCAGATGGAAAATAATGTTTTAAGAGATTTCCAGTACCATCCAAAATCTTGTAGTTACCAACTGCAAGCCTAACAAAAGACCTTTAGATGGTTTGTGGGGGGAAATTATTAAACATTGTTGAGAGACAGTAAAAAATATCTCAATAAATGGTTAGAAAGCTGTAGGAGACCTGAAAGTGTAAATCCCAGTCAACCATAGTTCTGTTGGGTAAGAGAATGCTGACAAGCGCATAGCAAAGGCCAAGCTGCCCTTGAGGAATGCAGTGTGGGGGCCTTTGCTGTACCAGACAGCAGGGTGTCCTCTAAAGCAGCAGTGCTCCAGATACCTGGACCCAAAGGCAGGAAGAGATGAACAGATCAAAATATTTGAATACTGAGCTCAAAACAGCTTTGATGGAATCAGATTCCTCCTCCCTTTCTTTATTTTTTACCCTGGTGCTAGGAGGTGGTGTAGAGGAAGGGTGATCTTTTCACAAATGGTGCTAAGACGATTAACAGTTTACAAAAATAAAATAAAATTGGGTGTCTACCTCCCCATACAAGAAATCAACTCAATGTATGGGTAGTATAGCTCTTACCAGATAATATAGATAATATAGATTATCTGGTGACCTGTGGGTAATAGAAGATGTTTTGAACAGAACATGAATGCACTAGCCACACAGGATGAATGATATATTTGCCTGCAATAAAACTGATCACTTTATTTCATCAGAGGACCTTCATACAGGAGTGAAAGGGCAAGGCACGGAGATGGAGAAGATGTTTGTAACATACATAGCATTTAATTATATGAAGTTCCTAAAAATAAATATGTAAAAGACAGTGCTATTGAAAATTGGAGTTGGGCGTGGTGGCTCATGCCTGTAACCCAAACGCTTTGGGAGGCCAAGGCAGGAGGATTGCTTGAGCCCTGGAATTTGAGACCAGTCTGGGCAACATAGCAAGACCCTGCCTCTAGAAAATGAAAAATTAAAGAGCTAGGCATAGTGGTACATGCCTGTAGTCCCAAGCTCCTTGGGAGGTTGAGTTGGGAGGATGTCTTGAGCCTAAGGATTGAGCCTGCAGTGGGCTATGATCACACCAATGCACTCTAGCGTGGGCGACAGAGTGAGACCCTGTCTCAAAAAAAAAAAAAAAAAGAAAGAAAGAAAATTGGGCAAAACACTTTAATAGTGACATCACAGAAGAGTGAAGACTCCGTCCCCAAACCATCAGAAGGTGCCCAGCTTGACAGTCCTCCCGACAGGGACCCAGGAAGCCACAGGAGGCCCAGGCCCTCTCCGAAGAGGCCAGAGCTGACCCTCCTGACAGTGGCAGGAGCGGGAGTCTCAGACTCTGGGGCCCTGGGGTGAGGACGTGCCCTGCACAGTCCCCTGGGGAGACCCCGGCACATCCATGAGCGGAGATGTGCAGGTGTCAGGACCCCAGTCCCTGCCCTGGAGGATCTGTCATGGCGGCCCTGCCTGGGGCAGCCCTTGGTGCCGTGCGAAATGGAAGGAGAAACTGTGTTCCTTGTGCTGGGAGGTGGTGGGGCTTCTCCTGACCACACAGCCAGTGCAGAGCCTGAGGCTGGTGAAGGTTCTCTTGCTCCCTCCTCCCTGCCCAGGCCTTCTCTCCCCAGTGCTGCCTTCCTGACCTTGATGGTGGTGGTCACCCTATGCATCCCTGCCTTCCCCAGAGCCCAAGGCGGTGTTTGCCAAGGAGCAGCCAGCGAGCAGGGAGGTGCAGGCTGAGGCGGGGACCAGTGCCACGCTGAGCTGCGAGGTGGCCCAGGCCCAGACAGAGGTGACGTGGTACAAGGACGGGAAGAAACTGAGCTCCAGCTCGAAAGTGCGAATGGAGGCCGTGGGCTGCACACGGAGGCTGGTGGTGCAGGAGGCAGGCCAGGCGGACGCCGGGGAGTACAGCTGCAAGGCCGGGGATCAGCGGCTGTCCTTCCACCTGCACGTGGCAGGTCAGTGCTTTGGAGGTCCTGAGGAGCCTCTTCAGAGGTGATGGTGCTTCTGGCTCGTAGCCCCAGCATATCTCTGTGCACTTTCCTTCAGCCTTCATGTCTCGGGCTTCCCATCTTTCCACTCCCATTTCCATCCCTGTGGCTGGGCCAAGGGAGGGGTGTGCATGGGAGGGAGAGGGGCTGTTCCTGCAAACCCGGAGGCATGTTTGTACTTGGTAGTGCGCAGTCACACCTGCGGGGCACCTTCCTGGTTTTCTTAGTGTCCAAGGAGGCTCGCTGCCCCTGGCACTGGGGGTTGAGGTGGACCGGGTGTCTGTCACATGCACAGAGGTGAATGTGCTGTTGTTGAATGTCTGGTAGCTCCTGAGTCCTCACCCTATGGAGCATATGGCTCTTGCCAGGGGGAGGGGAGATGCCTCCATTTCATCCAACCAAGATCATGGGAGTTTTCAGTCACCGAATTGTCCTTGGAATTTTCCCAAAACTAAAATTTGGCTTATCATAGTTTTAGAGAAAGGGGAACACTCTTCCCTCTTCCCATATGTTACAAAATGTAGATCCCTGATTTGTTGTGATTGTGTGAATCGTAAGGAGTGGCGCCCCAGTGGAGATGTGCCTGCAGTGCATCCATGGGCTTAGAATACTATTTCTAAAACAAAGCATGTTTTCCTTTTGTCCTCAATTGGAGTATTTGGTGTCAGTGTTCTTGTAGTTTGATTTAGAAATGGAAAAGAATAAGTAGAGTAGGTGACACCACCACACTTCGTCAAAGGCGAGTTCCCTTCATAGCAGCCTCTGTTTGACATGTGTATTTACTTTATAGAATTTCCTAATGGTTACTGTGTTTGAGCCTCCATGGCTGCTTCATAGAGAAGTCTGAGAAACAAATTTATTTTCCTTTCATTAAGACAGTCTTACTGTCCAGTAACCCTGGCTGTAGGTACTACACTGACCTCTAGATGCCACCACATAACAGTTTGTTATTGCATCAGCATAGAGTGGTTTTGGGGGTGTATATACACCCAAAACCTCACTCTGTATTTTTGTCAAATTTTAAGAGAATATGACAAATTATTTTATAGAAATACATTTGTGGTAATAAATTTTATAGTAATAAATTTGAAAATATTGACAATTTGGCCAGTTCCTAGAAATATATCAAAAGTGACACAAAAATAAGTAGATAACTCTAGTAGTCCTAGAAACTTAAAAAAATGGAACCATGAAAACCATCTGCTCATAGCAAAAGATGTAAGCCTGGTGGCTCTAATTGCTAAATTATACTAAATATTTAGGAAAGAAATTATTCTATGTTCATACAGATTCTTCTACTAGGGAACAGAAAAGCAGATATACTCCCCAGATAGTCTTGTAGAAACATGATATAGCCTAGGGCAGTGGCTCATGCCTGTAATCCCAACACTTTGGGAGGCCAAGGTAGAAGGATCACTTGAGCTCAGGAGTTCGAGATCATCCTGGGCAACATAGCAAAACCCTGTCTCTAAAAAACAATTAAAAAATTAGCTGGGTGTTGTAGTGGGTGCCTGTAAGTCCTAGCTACTTGGGAGGCTGAGGTGGGAGGACTGCTTGAGCCCAGGAGGTTGAGGTTATAGTGAACTATGATGGCACCACTGCACTCCAGCTAGGTCAACAGATTGAGACTCTTGTCTCAAAAAAGAAAAAAAAAGAAAAATAAGAAATATAATATGGATATCAAAATATGACAAGGAATGTTAACAAGGATTAAAATTTTAGACCAATCTATTATGGATATCAAGGCAAAATATTAGCAACTGAATTTAGCTATCTATCAAGAGGATAAGACCCTCTAAGGAAGGATGTAGTCCCAGAATGCAAGGCTGGTTTAGTTTTAGAAACAAGTGCATCTATATAAAGGATGATGGAATTGGATGCAATGAAAAAATTATGTGATCTCAATAAATACAGAATACAATGTTTGATTAAATTTAATATTAAAGTTCAGAGGTAATATTTGATAAAATTCAGCATCAATTCATGCCATGAAATTCTTAACAAATTATAAAGTATCGTTCTTTAATCTGGTCAGTGGTACTGCAGAAAACACCAGGTAACTGCATATTTAAAGAGAACCTTGAAAGCTTTGCCTTTGAGATAGGAATCAGCACGTAGAAGCCAACCATCCCAACTTCCATTCAGCACTGTACAGCAGAGAAAGGAGGAAAAGAAAAGAAAAGGTATAACACTTGGAGAAAAACATAAGTGGGATTCACAGATTATATGAGTATCAATTCAGAAAATCCAAAAGATAGATAAATAATAAGATAAATAATAAGTTATAACAAATAATATGAGAGTTGAGAAACATCACATAGAAATTCAACATGCAGAATACACATATATATGTATGTATGTATATACGCATACACACACACACTAGCAACACAGTTGTAAAATGAAATTTTAAAAGATTTACAAGAGCGTGAAAAGCATCAAGTATAGTAAAGATGTCTGATACCTCAGTGGAGGAAAATTGTCAGATATTTTTGTTGTTGAGTCAGGATCTCACTCTGTCACCCAGAGTGGAGTTCAGTCGTGCAATCATGGCTCACTGCAGCCTCAACCTCCTGGGCTCAAGAGATCCTCCCACCTCGGCCTCCTGACTTGATGAGAATACAGGCGTGCACCACCATGCCTAGCTAATTTTTTAAGGAATTTTTTTGGTAGCGACAGGGTCTCACTATTTCGCCCAGGCTGGGCTCAAACTCCTGACCTCAAGCAATCCTCCCACCTCAGCCTCCCAAAGTGCTGGGATTACAGGTGTGAGCCACTGTGCCTGGCCATTGTGAAACATTTTTGACAGACAGTAAGAAGACCTAAATAAATAGAAACCCATGGAAGACTCAAATATGTTAATGCCCAGTCAAAACCCAAGCAAATGTTTCTCTTTGGGGAGGTGAACGTTGAGAAGCAGATTCTGAAGGCCAAGTGGAGTAACACACTCTTGAAGAGCCACTTGTGAGCATTTGTCTACCAGATATCAAGAACATTCAGCTGCAGGAATGGAGACAGCCAGGCACAACACAAGGACAGTTGTCAGACCAAAGGGACAGAATCGTGAGCTCATGATCAGACCCAAATACATGGATTCTCCCTTTTATTGCTTCTTGTTTTTTTTGTGTGTGTGTGTTTTGTGTGTTTTTTTTTTAACCTTCACACCTGCACAGGCAGTGGAGAAAGGATGATCTTCTAAAAAAAAAATAGTTCTTTGATTGTTTAACCTTACAAAAATTTAGACTAGTAACTTATTTCACACTGAAAAGTGAGTTCCAGGAAGGTTAGAGGCCACAGAGTATAAAAGGTAAAACCATAAAGCCTCTAGATGCTAACATAGATTGCTAAAAACTTCAGGGAAAGGAAAGATTTCTTAAAACTAAACAGTGGAACAATGGTATATTTAACTACATTAAAACTAAAACTTTAATTTGTCAAGACATCATTTGAGAGCGAAAAGGCCGGTCAAGGACATGGGTAAGATGTTTACAAATACACAGTTATCATTTGCTAGCATTTAAAATATATAAAGAGTTCCTAAAAATAAGGAAGGAAAAGACAGAAAAGGCTACTGAAAATTGGACAGAAGCCTGAAGAGCGACACCCCAGAAGAGCTGACGTAATGGCCAGAAGTGGTGGAAAGGGCTCCACCTTGCATGTCACCAGGCAATGCATGACAAAGCCCAGGCCTTCCCCGCAGAGGCCAACGCTGACCCTCCTGACAGTGGCAGGACTGGAAGCCTCAGTACTCTGGGGCCCTGCAGTGAGGACACGCCCTGCCCAGTCCCATGGGGAGACCCTAGCATATCCTTGAAGGGAGCTGTGTAAGCATTAGGAACCCAGTCCCTGCACTGGAGGAGCTCGTGCACGGAGGGTTTGTCACAACTGCCCCGCCTGGAATAGCCCATGGCACTGCACAGTGGATGGAGAAACTGTGATTCTTGTGCTGGGAGGTGGTGGGGCTTCTCCCAGCTACATGGCCAGTGCCAAGCTTGGGAAGGTTCTGTTTCTCCTACTTTCTTGTCTAGGCCCTCCTACCCTAGGGTGGTCTTCCTGACCTGGGCAGTATCTTTGACCTCGTGTGTCCCTCCTTGTCCATCCCCAGAGCCCAAGGTGGTGTTTGCCAAGGAGCAGCCAGCACACAGGGAGGTGCAGGCTGAGGCGGGGGCCAGTGCCACGCTGAGCTGCGAGGTGGCCCAGGCCCAGACAGAGGTGACGTGGTACAAGGATGGGAAGAAGCTGAGTTCCAGCTCGAAAGTGCGCGTGGAGGCCGTGGGCTGCACACGGAGGCTGGTGGTGCAGCAGGCGGGCCAGGCAGAGGCCGGGGAGTACAGCTGCGAGGCAGGGGGTCAGCAGCTCTCCTTCCGCCTGCAGGTGGCAGGTCAGTGCTTTGGGGATGCTGAGTGAGCCCTGTTTGTAGCTGCTGCTGTGACTGGAGTAGAACCACTGCTGACCCAGTGGGCTTTCCATTAGACTCCATCCCTCAACTTCTCCCATCCTCTCACCTCCTATTTTTATGCCTGTGGTGGAGCTGGGCTGCTTAGTGGGGAAGGGAGTGAACGGAAGGGTCAGGGCCCTCCTTGTCCATGTTGGGTGGTGTTTCTGTGCAGACATGCTGGGTCACATTTTCCCAGTACCTTCTCCAAACTACCGATGTCCCGAGGTGTCCAGGACTCTGGTCCTATCTAATGCATGAGATGGCGGTAAGCCAGACGTCCCTCCCTCGGGGATACTCCTGCAGTCCCTGCACGGCCTCATCTGGCCCCATGTGAGGGCTCTCCCTGTGGAAAGAGATTTTAATTCGTTGAGTCAGGGTGTAGGGAAATTCCAGCCACACAGTCTTATTTGGAATTATATCAACACTGAACACTGGGTTCCCAAAGTTTTCAGTGTTCTGGGACACACTTCTGTCCTTCCCTGTGGATGTAGAAGCCCTGTCAGAGCCCTGACTAAAACCCAGATCCACAGCGTTAGTGTGTGCAAAACGAGTAAAGAGCAGCACATTGGCAGGTGCGCACACGTGACGTTGGAATTCCATTTCGGAAGCCAATCTCACTTTCCTTTTGCATTCTGTTAGAATGTTCTGTGTCTGAATTCCCCTTGGAATTTGGATAGATTTAAAAGTGATAGGAATAAGTAGCTGGTGTTTCTAGCCTCCGCCTCCAGGCGGGTGAGGAGGTGACACCTGAGAATTCCTCCCTCTCACCCCTGACCCTGCCGGAAAGCGAAACTGAGATGCGGGCATTGGGCCCTGGGAAGCGTGGGGAAGGGGAAAGGAGAAAGCCAGGTGGGTTTTTAGGTCCCTTCCAGTGCCACACTGTGGGGTGTTGAGGGGCCGCGCGAGGCAGGCCCTTCCATGAGGCCTGGACTGGAGGCCTTCTCTAGGCGCCGGCGTGGCCTGGGCCGCCTGCCGCCACGCAGGGGCCGCACGCCTGGGCCCCAGGGCCCCTTTGCCGGCGGGAGGCCGGGGGGACCGACTGCTCTTGGCGCCCGGGGTCAGGGGAGGCCGGGAAACCTCGGCTCCCGGGCGACAGGCACCCAGGCCCTTCTCAGCCCCCCGGCCGCGGCCGCGCCGGGCCTCGCTTCAGCCGGGCGATTCTTCCCCTCATTTGTTGCATTGTTTGCATTAATATGAATATCTTGTTCTGTTTGTTTTGTCTCCTGAGAGCCAATAAAGCTGTGTTTTTTCTTTACACCAAAAAAAAAAAAAAAAAAAAAAAGGAATAAGTAGCTTATGGCACAGTGACACACTGGTAGAATTAAGTTATGGTGGTAGCAGTCGCTGACTGGGGAAGCCATATTTACATCATCCTGTTTCCTTGATGAGTCCTGTGCCTGCCCCCTCTCCAGCTGATTCATAGGAAGTCTGAGAATGACCTTTACTTTCCTATTGTTTGTTAGGAGAGTTTAACTTCAAACTCCAACCCTGAGCCCTGAGTGCCACCACATAACAGTTGGTGTTATATATATCTAAAATGGTTTACAAATGTGTAGATACCAAAAATACTCACTGCAAGTAAATTTGAAAAGTGTTAACAAATTATATAATTTCTAGAAACCAAAAACAGACTTAAGAAATAGATAACCTATATGCAGTTATCTACTGTTACTGAAGTTATCTCAGTTACTACAACCTAGTAAAAACTAGAACCGGTAGCGAAAAATCTTCTCATCAAACATGTGGCCCTACTGAGAAATTCTTCCAAACGTTCTGGCCAGAAATTCTTCCATGTTCATGGAAATTCTTCTGGAGAATGGAAAAAGGAAGATATACCCTCTAACTCATTATATGCAGATAGCTTAATGCCATGACTAAAATCTGGCCAGAAGATAGGAAGTTTGCACATTGTAGATCAAAGAATTATGGATATCATGGCCAATTTTTTAAACAAAACATTAGTAAACTGAATTCAGCAATACATCAAGACAATCATACAGGATGATGAAATTCATAGTCTAGGAATGAGGGCTGCTTTCATGTTAAAAACATTAGAAAATCATGATATGTGATTGAAATTTGAAAACAATGTAATTATCTTAAACTCAGAATAAAGTACCATATTTGATAAAAATTTAACCTCATATATTCAGAAGAAATGTCTGGCAAAATTTAGCATCCATCATGCCATAAAATTCTTAACAAAGTATAAATAAAAGTTTTTTTTTCCTAATTTGACACAGGGTATTACACAAAAATCACAAAGGGAGACTTTGTAAGCTTTGCCTCTGAGCCAGGGGACAGCATGAGGAAGCCAGTGGTCAACACTTCCATCCAGCATTGGATGGCACAGTTAGGAGGAAAGTAAAACGAAAGGTGTAAAAGTTAGAAAAAAGTGAATTGACAGAATATACGGTTTACCTAGAAGATAAATTATTAGAGAGTTGAGAAAGATCAACCCTTGCAAGATCTGTGTGAAGAAACTTCCGTACATGTAGACTAGCAGCAAGCAGTTGGAAAATGAAAACGTAAAAGATTGACAGACGCCTCAAAGGCATCATGTTTATGATCCCAGTCTAATAAAAGATGTCGAGAGGTTCTGTGGGGGAAGCTATGAAACACTTTTGAGAGACAGTAAAGATCTAAAGTGGATAGAAGCCATGGAAGAATGAAAGACGTTCAGTCTCAATCAAAATCCAAACAAATGTGGTTTTGGGGGATGCAAGGTTGAAAAATGACAAGTGGATTTAAAGCTCCATACATGCTTGAAGAAGAGCCGCATGTGCAGGTACCCTAGTCCCTGCCCTGGAGGAGCTCATGCATGGAGGGTTTGTCATAGCTGCCCCACCTGTGATAGCCCATGGCGCCGTGCACAGTGGATAGACAAACTGTGATTCTTGCGCTGGGAGGTGGCAGGACTTCTCCTGGCCACGCAGCCAGTGCAGAGCCTGGGGAAGGTTCTGTTTCTCCTACTTCCTCATCCAGGCCCTCCTATCCTAGGGTGGTCTTCCTGACCTAGGCTGTATCTTTGACCTCGTATGTCCTTCCTTGTCCATCCCCAGAGCCCAAGGCGGTGTTTGCCAAGGAGCAGGTGGTGTTTGCCAAGGATCAGCCGGTGCACAGGGAGGTGCAGGCTGAGGCAGGGACCAGCACCATGCTGAGCTGCGAGGTGGCCCAAGCCCAGACGGAGGTTATGTGGTACAAGGACGGGAAGAAGCTGAGCTCCAGCTCGAAAATGCGTGTGGAGGCCGTGGGCTGCACACGGAGGCTGGTGGTGCAGGAGGCAGGCCAGGCGGACGCCGGGGAGTACAGCTGCGAGGCTGGGGGCCAGCGGCTCTCCTTCCATCTGCATGTGGCTGGTGGGTGCCAGGGTTAGGCAAAATGGAGGTGATGCTGAGTGTCGGGTGTGAAACTACAAGGGCATGTTTGGGCGGCCCAAGGTGCTGTGGGCCCTGGCACCTTCCCTCTATGTAGGCCTCAGAATCTGTGTCCCCAGCTCTCCCCAGCAGCTCTCAGGCCAGTGTCCTTATGTCATGAGACTAGAGCAGGCCCATGGGCTGAGTTGACCATGGTGTGTGCCCTGCAGTGGCTGAGCCGGGGGTGGTAGGGACAGTAGCATGATGTCCTTGGGGTGTGGGTCTGGGGTCTGGGTCCGGTCTCATGTGAGGACCCCTGTCTGGGTGGTAGGGACAGTAGCGTGATGTCCTCGGGGGTCTGGGGTCCGGGTCTGGTCAGATGTGATGATTTCTGTCTGGGTGGTGGGGACAGTGGTGTGATGTCCTTGGGGTGGGGGTCTGGGTCTGGTCTAATGTGATCTGCTGACTCCTCTGTGGGTGCTGGGCCATGGGAGGGCCCGGCAGTGACTGGAGAGCGTGTACTGGGTGGTGGGGGCTTGTCTCTGTGCTCTGGGCCCTAGATCTCTGTAAGCCTGTGCTGGGCCCCTTGGTCATCACCATGTGTCCACCTGTCTTTCTGATATCCATCTCCCTTCCACCCTGTCCCTGAGCTGGGGACAACAGACCACACTCAGCTTGGCACCCTCTTTCCAATGGCCCTGCCAACACTCCGCTGCCTCTGGGCTGGCCCAGGTTGCTGGTCCATCTCTCCTGACCCTTCACGTCCTACTGCCTGTGGCCCTGCGTGGTGGGGAGGGCTGGCGACAGGTGAGGGCCCCAGGGCCCTGGAAGACCGAGGCAGGGAAGGGGCCGCATCCTGTTCCCAAGGGACATGATGATGGTGCTGCCAACATGCAGCCTTAGACCTTTGGCTCTGGTAGTGCCGGGGGGAGCTCTGTGCGTCACCGTGCACTGCTTAATGATGGACAGCCCTGCCTGGCTGTCACTGGGCTGACACATGGGCTGTGTCTGCTCTGGAGCCTCTGACCCTGCATCCCTCCTTGTCCATCCCAGAGCCCAAGGTGGTGTTTGCCAAGGAGCAGCCGGCATGCAGGGAGGTGCAGGCGGAGGCGGGGGCCAGTGCCACGCTGAGCTGTGAGGTGGCCCAGGGCCAGATGGAGGTGACATGGTACAAGGACGGGAAGAAGCTGAGCTCCAGCTCAAAAGTGCACATGGAGGCCAGCGGCTACACACGGAGGCTGGTAGTGCAGCAGGCGGGCCAGGCGGATGCTGGGGAGTACAGCTGTGAGGCGGGGGGCCAACGGCTGTCCTTCCGCCTGCACGTGGCAGGTCAGTGCTTTGGGTGAATCCACCTCGCCTGAAGCTGATGGCCACACTGTATGGTCCCTGGGATTCTGGATGGTAGTTGATGGTGCTCAGGACTGCACTGGGCCATCCTTGAAGAGCAATGGGTATCAGGGGTGCCAGGTAGCATTAGGGTGGCCCTGAAGGGAGCGGGGCCGGTCCAGGGATGACAGGGTCCCCCTCTCATGCCAACTCACCTCTACCCAGAGCTGGAGCCCCAAATTTCAGAGAGACCCTGCCGCAGGGAGCCTCTGGTGGTCAAGGAGCATGAAGACATCATCCTGACCGCCACACTGGCCACACCCTCTGCGGCCACGGTGACCTGGCTCAAGGATGGTGTGGAGATTCGCCGCAGCAAGCGGCATGAGACAGCCAGCCAGGGGGACACCCACACCCTGACCGTGCATGGCGCCCAGGTTCTGGACAGCGCCATCTACAGCTGCCGTGTGGGCGCAGAGGGGCAGGACTTCCCAGTGCAGGTGGAAGGTGAGCCGGGCATGGGGCGTGGGGCGGGGACTCCTCCAGACACCTCTGTCCCAGAGCTGGACAGGGGCGAAGCTGGGGCTCAAGTCTGGTCTGTTAAGAGCCCGGCTGATGTCCCCTTTGTGCCCACAGAGGTGGCCGCCAAGTTCTGCCGGCTGCTGGAGCCTGTGTGCGGCGAGCTGGGTGGCACGGTGACACTGGCCTGCGAGCTAAGCCCAGCGTGTGCAGAGGTGGTGTGGCGCTGCGGCAACACGCAGCTTCGGGTGGGCAAGCGCTTCCAGATGGTGGCCGAGGGGCCCGTGCGCTCACTCACTGTGTTGGGGCTGCGCGCAGAGGACGCAGGGGAGTACGTGTGTGAGAGCCGTGATGACCACACCAGTGCGCAGCTCACCGTCAGTGGTATGTAAGGGGTCGAGTGTCCCTATCCAGGGCAGCCTCCTGGAGGAGGCGGCCTTTGGTACTCCTGCAGCGTAAGGGCTCTGCCAGTCCTGTGCGCCCGCCTCTTAAGCAGTGCTCCTGTCTGCAGTGCCCCGAGTGGTGAAGTTTATGTCTGGGCTGAGCACCGTGGTCGCAGAGGAGGGCGGCGAGGCCACCTTCCAGTGCGTGGTGTCCCCCAGTGATGTGGCAGTCGTGTGGTTCCGGGACGGTGCCCTGCTTCAGCCCAGCGAGAAGTTTGCCATATCACAGAGTGGCGCCAGCCACAGCCTGACCATCTCAGACCTGGTGCTGGAGGACGCGGGCCAGATCACCGTGGAGGCTGAGGGCGCCTCATCCTCTGCTGCCCTGAGGGTCCGAGGTGAGTGTGGGGGGCAGCAGGATTTGCCTGGCTGGCCAGGGCTCCTTGCACAGGCACCTCCCCTGTGGGCTGGTTCTGAGTGGGCACCTGGAACTGCTGTCCTGTTACGGCTGGTCCGGCTGACCTCAGGAGACACGGGGTGTGTGGGCTGCAGAGAGGAGACTCCGGTAGGCTGGATGGGCCAGGTGCCTTCTCTTGGTATAGAGAAGATACAATCCTGCAGTTGCACCTGGTGGGGAATGGGGGGAGGCTGAGGCAATCCAGGGAGGCTTTCTGGAGTAGGTGGGTGCATACTTAGCCTGATGGATGGCAGGGAAGAGAGAGTGGGGTTAGCACCAGTGCAAGCAGTGACATGGGCTTCCCATGCTGCTGAAGCCAGAAGCCAGAACTTGCCCTGAAGGGAAGTGGGAGTCATGGCAGGTTCTAGAGTAAGGGAGTGATGCAGCAGATTCACCTTCTGCGGAGTTGACGGGTGGCCTGAGGCAGAGAGGCCCGCCAGCGCCTCTTCCTTAACCTGCGCAGGAGTCCTGGGCTTTGCTAAACCGCCGTTGCGCCTGGGGAAGCTCTGTCTTCCCCCCTCTGCAGTTCCTGCCAGTGCTACTAGTGGGGATCACGTCTAGGATTTCGAGGCACAAGGGCCTGGCGTCTTGTTCAGAGCAGGGGAGCTGGAGGTGGGAGCGGGGCTTAAGGAAGCTTCCTGGTTTCCTCGCTTAAAGTCGCACCCGGGAGGGTGCGCAGCTGCGGCCCGCGTGTGGCCAGGGCCGCGCTGTTTGGATTGGGATCCCGGGGCGCGGTGCCGGCAGCTCTGCCTGGGCCCGGCTCAGGGCAGGCGCCGGGGCTGTGCGGGCCCTCTGTACCTTGGCTTGTCCGTGGAGGAGGGCGAGGGCCGCCGTGACCTCCCCTCTCCTGCGACCCCAGAGGCGCCTGTGCTGTTCAAAAAGAAGCTGGAGCCGCAGACGGTGGAGGAGCGGAGCTCGGTGACCCTGGAGGTGGAGCTGACGCGGCCGTGGCCGGAGCTGAGGTGGACACGGAACGCGACGGCCCTGGCGCCGGGAAAGAACGTGGAGATCCACGCCGAGGGCGCCCGCCACCGCCTGGTTCTGCACAACGTAGGTTTTGCCGACCGTGGCTTCTTTGGCTGCGAGACGCCGGATGACAAGACACAGGCCAAACTCACCGTGGAGAGTGAGCCGCGGGCGGGAAGGGCGGGGCATCGAGGAGGAGTGAGGAGGGAGGCGGGGCATTGAGGATTAGTGAGGACGTAGGCGGGGTGCTGAGGGGAGGAGGGAGGAGGGGCACTGAGGAAGAGGGAGCGGAAAAGAGAGGAGGGAGGTGGGGCGCTGAGGGGAAGAGAGAGGAGGGAGGTGGGGCACTGAGGGGAGGAGGGAGGAGCGAGGTGGGACACTGAGGGGAGTGGCGGGCCCTCTGGAAGGGCCGTAGGGTTGGGAGAGGGGCAGGTCTCCCGCCCGAGGGGCGAGCGGTGGGGGTAGGCGTGGGGCGGCTTCCCGGCCCTCCCCGAGCTCCTGGGGAAGCCGGCTGTGCCCCAGGGTTCTAAAGGCGGTGGTCTCAGAGCAGCGGCTGACCCGTGACACCGCGTGTGCACCGCAGTGCGCCAGGTACGGCTCGTACGGGGCCTGCAGGCAGTGGAGGCACGGGAGCAGGGCACGGCTACCATGGAGGTGCAGCTGTCGCATGCGGACGTGGATGGCAGCTGGACTCGTGACGGTCTGCGGTTCCAGCAGGGGCCCACGTGCCACCTGGCTGTGCGGGGCCCCATGCACACCCTCACACTCTCGGGGCTGCGGCCAGAGGATAGTGGCCTTATGGTCTTCAAGGCCGAAGGAGTGCACACGTCGGCGCGGCTCGTGGTCACCGGTGCGTTGGGGGGCCGGCAGGGCACAGCACAGAGCACGCCTGCCTGTCCCGAGGGGGCCCCGGGAAGGTCGGTGGGTTCTCTGGGGACCTAGATGAGCCAGCTCCGTATAACTCCGTCCAGCTGGGGCACTGCCCCACCCCTGTCCCTGTCCCCATCCTGAAGGCTTCTCCAAGCCCTTTTTCTCTTCCCACCTCCTCCTTCCTCCTCCCCAGAGCTTCCCGTGAGCTTCAGCCGCCCGCTGCAGGACGTGGTGACCACTGAGAAGGAGAAGGTTACCCTGGAGTGCGAGCTGTCGCGTCCTAATGTGGATGTGCGCTGGCTGAAGGTGCCTCCCTGCCGACCCCACTCGGTTGCCTCCTCCCCTCCTCTCATGTGGGCGGGCCCAAGCAGAACCCCAGGGCTGGACCACCTGAGTGCCTGACTCGGCCTCTGCCCTGCACAGGACGGTGTGGAGCTGCGGGCAGGCAAGACGATGGCCATCGCAGCCCAGGGCGCCTGCAGGAGCCTCACCATTTACCGGTGCGAGTTCGCGGATCAGGGAGTGTATGTGTGTGATGCCCATGATGCCCAGAGCTCTGCCTCCGTGAAGGTACAAGGTGAGGGCTGCGTGGGGCATGTGGGGCATGGCAGGTATGGGCACCTCCTCCTGTCCTCCGTGTCCCCCAGCCAGGGGCTTGGCAGCTCTACTTTCACCTGCACAACCCTTGGCATGCTGGGGCACTGGGTGGGGGGTGCTGGGAGCAGCTCTGTGTGTCCGGGTGTGGCAGGGCCTCCCTTGCCACCCTAGGCCGCAACATCCAGATCGTGAGGCCCCTGGAGGATGTGGAAGTGATGGAGAAGGACGGTGCCACCTTCTCCTGTGAGGTCTCCCACGACGAAGTGCCTGGCCAGTGGTTCTGGGAGGGCAGTAAACTGCGGCCCACTGACAACGTGCGCATCCGCCAGGAAGGTTCGAGGACAGGCGGCTGTAGCAGGCACGGCCCGGCCCCCAGGTCTTCCTCTGCCCCCGCCCATACTGAGCCGCCTTTGTCCCCAGGAAGGACATACACTCTCATCTACCGGAGAGTCCTGGCGGAAGATGCAGGAGAGATCCAATTTGTAGCCGAAAATGCAGAATCGCGAGCCCAGCTCCGAGTGAAGGGTGAGGTGGGGGCTGAGGGGAGGGCGGGGCTGGACGGTGTGCATGTGTGGCCAGCTGGCTCAGCACAGGCCCGGACGCCCCAGGCCTGCTCTCAGGACGAGGACAGCAGGGACTCAGGAGGGAAGGGGGCGTCACCTCCTTGGCAGGAAGATAGGGGCCAGAGAAGCGGCCATGAGGGGCTTCTCCCTTCCTTAAAACAGATCCTGAAGAATTCTCCCTCGGGCTGCAGCGAGTGCTGGAGAGGCCAGGCATGAGGTCCTGTGGGGGAGGCATGGCAGGGGCGGGGGGTTCTACCTGGTGGCAGCGAGGAGGAGGATCAGGGAAAGTGGTGCTGGGGTGGCAGGGAGGGAGGCTCTGCAGACAGGTGGGGTGGGGATGGGCCAGTAGGGCTAATCAGAGGTATGCGGGGAGGGACATGAGTTCCTGGGACTGAGCTAGGGTATGTGGTTATGGTTCGGAAGTGGGGGTTTGGGGAGAGGACTGCAGGGGGTGGGGCTACATGGGGCAGGACCTACCCTGCTCTTGGTGGGCCGGGACAGCGGGTAGGACCTGGGCAGTGGAAGTGGGAGTGTGGGATATGGGAGGGCAGGGCGGGCAGAGGTGGGCGCACTCCCCTTGCTTGTGGTCTGCTCTGTGGAGCAGGTCCTAGCACAGCTCCAAGGGGGACACTTGGCCTGACCACCTGCTGGCCCCTGGCGGGCAGACATGGGCTGTTGGGGCCTAGTGGGGTCCAACTGAGGGCCCAAGACCCTCAGTGCCTTGTCGGAGCCTGGGCCTGGGAGCCTGGAGCACCATCTCTGATCCACCCCATGCCCCCACCACGTTCACAGAGCTGCCAGTGACCCTCGTGCGCCCGCTGCGGGACAAGATTGCCATGGAGAAGCACCGCGGTGTGCTGGAGTGTCAGGTGTCCCGGGCCAGCGCCCAGGTGCGGTGGTTCAAGGGCAGTCAGGAGCTGCAGCCCGGGCCCAAGTACGAGCTGGTCAGTGATGGCCTCTACCGCAAGCTGATCATCAGTGATGTCCACGCAGAGGACGAGGACACCTACACCTGTGACGCCGGTGATGTCAAGACCAGTGCACAGTTCTTCGTGGAAGGTGCAGGCAGGGAGGGCAGCTCTGCAGGTTGCTTTTGTTGGGGGGAGTCTCCCAGGTCCATGGTTTGCCCTACACTCCTGGAGACGCTGGGTCTGGGCAGCTCAGGAGGATGCTAGCATGCATCTAGCAGGGCGGGGGCTTGTTCCCAGGAAGGAACCCTGCCGGAGGGGCAGCATGTCCTATCCGCGGGATCCGCCAGCGACTGCTCCTCCCCAACAGAGCAATCCATCACCATTGTGCGGGGTCTGCAGGACGTGACAGTGATGGAGCCCGCTCCTGCCTGGTTTGAGTGTGAGACCTCCATCCCCTCAGTGCGGCCACCTAAGTGGCTCCTGGGGAAGACGGTGTTGCAGGCTGGGGGGAACGTGGGCCTGGAGCAGGAGGGCACGGTGCACCGGCTGATGCTGCGGCGGACCTGCTCCACCATGACCGGGCCCGTGCACTTCACCGTTGGCAAGTCGCGCTCCTCTGCCCGCCTGGTGGTCTCAGGTGAGCACTCCCGCCCCGGTGGGTGGACGTGGGGCAGAGCCACAAGAGGACAAGGTTCAGGGCTGTTGGGAGGCCTGGACAGGGCTGTGGGTGGGTACAGGGCAGGGCCATGGGAGGAGAAGGCTCAGGGCAGTGACAACACAGTTCAGGGCCACAGATGGATATCAATTAGGGCCAGGGGAGGACACAGTTCAGGACTGCAGAGGACACAGCTCAGGGCCAGGGGAAGACATAGTTCAGGGAATGGTGGACACAGCTCAGGGCCAGGGGCGGACACAGTTCAAGGCCATAGGTGAGCAGGCTCAGGGCTTGGCAGGCAGGGCAGGGTGATTGGTTCCTGTGGTGCCGTGGCCCAGCCTCTCCCCACTCCCTGCAGACATCCCCGTAGTCCTCACACGGCCGTTGGAGCCCAAGACAGGGCGTGAGCTGCAGTCAGTGGTCCTGTCCTGCGACTTCCGGCCAGCCCCCAAGGCTGTGCAGTGGTACAAGGATGACACGCCCCTGTCTCCCTCTGAGAAGTTTAAGATGAGCCTGGAGGGTCAGATGGCTGAGCTGCGCATCCTCCGGCTCATGCCTGCTGATGCTGGTGTCTACCGGTGCCAGGCGGGCAGTGCCCACAGCAGCACTGAGGTCACTGTGGAAGGTGGGGCATGAGGGGCATGGGGCTACTGAGAGGGTTTTGGGGAGGGGTTGCCTGGTGATGTGGACACTGAGGCCCGGTGTGTCTCTTGCAGCGCGGGAGGTGACAGTGACAGGGCCGCTACAGGATGCAGAGGCCACGGAGGAGGGCTGGGCCAGCTTCTCCTGTGAGCTGTCCCACGAGGATGAGGAGGTCGAGTGGTCGCTCAACGGGATGCCCCTGTACAACGACAGCTTCCATGAGATCTCACACAAGGGCCGGCGCCACACGCTGGTACTGAAGAGCATCCAGCGGGCTGATGCGGGCATAGTACGCGCCTCCTCCCTGAAGGTGTCGACCTCTGCCCGCCTGGAGGTCCGAGGTGAGTCATCCCACGAGTCTTCGGGACTCCCCACTAGGAATGGGACAGGCGCTGGCCTCCCTCACCCTCCTATCCCTCCTGCAGTGAAGCCGGTGGTGTTCCTGAAGGCGCTGGATGACCTGTCCGCAGAGGAGCGCGGCACCCTGGCCCTGCAGTGTGAAGTCTCTGACCCCGAGGCCCATGTGGTGTGGCGCAAAGATGGCGTGCAGCTGGGCCCCAGTGACAAGTATGACTTCCTGCACACGGCGGGCACGCGGGGGCTCGTGGTGCATGACGTGAGCCCTGAAGACGCCGGCCTGTACACCTGCCACGTGGGCTCCGAGGAGACCCGGGCCCGGGTCCGCGTGCACGGTGTGTGGCTGCAGGCACGGCAGAGCTCAGGGAAGGGAGGCGTGCTGGGTGGGCATGGATGTGGGGCCAGCCACTACCTGGGTGGCCCACATCATTCTCTGAGATTGAAGGGCTGCTCTGCTGAGCCGGGGAGGTCAGGGGAGCCTTCTGGGGGAGCCATGGCTTGATGTGGTCCTGTGAGGCCTGGGTGCAAGCAGGTGGACCCGGGGACAGTGGGTCCCGGAGCCAGAAATTGTCCCCGGAGCCAGGGTTGGAGGCTGTGCTGTCCCTGCCCGCTGGTCCCGACGACATAGCCTGGGGATGTTGCCCTGTACCAGGGGACGTGTCTGCATGGAAGTCATCAGGCCACTGTGGGGACACCAGTGGGGATAGCCAGGGAGAAGCCGAGATGCCAGGCAGGGGCTGTGAGTAGGCCACGTCTCTGTCCTTCACGGGGCCCCAGCAAGGCCCTAAGGCCACTGGGCTGGCAGGGTAGAGCCATCCCTGAACCCAGCCCTGCAGCCTTGGGGGCGTGCGTGCCCTGGAACCTGTCCTGCTTTTCAGGGGAAGTTCCCTCAACTGCAGGGTGGCTACCTGGCCCCCTCTGTGTGTGTGCCCGGTCCCAGTGGCATCCTGGTGTGGGTGACAGGTGGTGTAACCAGCCTGTTTGCTGGTCCTTGACAGTCTTGTAACGAGATGGGAAGGGGCAGGAGGCATGGTGAGTTTGTCCTGGAGCTGGGACTAGCCTGCCTGGAGGCCCCTCATCCGGGGTCCTGTGCCTCCTCTCCTCCCTGTGATGACCATGGGTTCTCCCTCTCCCTGCCACACTGATTGGATCAGAGCTGTTGGTTATGCAGATGCCAGGGGCAGCCAGCTCCAGCAGAGGGGCATCTACTCATTGGCTGGTGCAATGTGGCACCCTGTCCCCCAGGGCCTGGCCTCTCCCAGGGTCTGGCACCTCCCAGGGTTTGGTCCCTGTGGGGTCTGGTCCCTCTAAGGAATCCAGCTCCTCCTGGCGTCTGGTCCCTGTGGGCTCTGATCCCTCCTAGGGTCTGGTCCCTTGGGCTCTGATCCCTCCCAGGGTCTGGCCCTTCCTAGGTCTGGCCCAGGGCAGTGCTGTCCTCTTGCCTGGCCTGACAGTCTCTGATGGCCCGCAGATCTGCACGTGGGCATCACCAAGAGGCTGAAGACAATGGAGGTGCTGGAAGGGGAAAGCTGCAGCTTTGAGTGCGTCCTGTCCCACGAGAGTGCCAGCGACCCGGCCATGTGGACAGTCGGTGGGAAGACAGTGGGCAGCTCCAGCCGCTTCCAGGCCACACGTCAGGGCCGAAAATACATCCTGGTGGTCCGGGAGGCTGCACCAAGTGATGCCGGGGAGGTGGTCTTCTCTGTGCGGGGCCTCACCTCCAAGGCCTCACTCATTGTCAGAGGTAGGCAGGGCCTGCCGGACGGGGGCTTATCACCTGGGCTGAGGAGTGGGGACCCTGGGCCTGTCCCCAGGAGTCCAGGAGCTGGGCCCCCCTGGCTACAGAAGCTGGTGGGGGGGGCTTTTGGGGCCTGCCTCCCCCAGCTGCTGCAGAGCACCCCTTCTAGAAGCCGCAGGGCCTGAGTCACCTGCTGGATGCTGGGGGCGGTTCTCGAGTGGAATTGGGGTTGCACTCTTTTCTGAGCTCTGATATAGGCCTGGATTCTTTTCCAATCCGTGGTCTGAGTGCCCTGAGCACTTGGTAGCTCCCAGAGCTGTGACTCACAGGGCCAGTCTGGCAGCACTGGCCTGAGGCCCCAGCCACCTGCTCTGCTGACATCACCGCCAGCGCCCGAGTTCGCGCCCCTGACGAGCACACTTGGTGCAGCTCGGTGGGGCACACTCAGAGGATGCCAGTGTGGGCCTGAAAGATGCCAGGGGATAAAATTCTGTAGTTTTTGATCTTCCTGCCTCCCAAGTCCCACCGTGGTGACAGTGGGGACACTAACATTCCAGGACTCTGAAGCTCCTGAGGGCCGAGGTCCCAGAGTTTGGGGGTTGCAGGTTCTATTGTCTTGGTCACCAGAGAGTGAATGTTGTCAAACGCTTGTCCTTGCCCCAATCCTGGTCATGGTGGAGGTGGTAGGTTTTGGCTGGGTCTGTGCCTGGGGCTATGGCTGTAGCCCAGATGGTGGCTGGGGCTGTGGCTGCAGTCATCTGTGGCTGGTGCCGTGGCCCTGGCTGTGCTTCAAGGGCAGCTGTCCCTGCTCCCTTCAGAGAGGCCGGCCGCCATCATCAAGCCCCTGGAAGACCAGTGGGTGGCGCCAGGGGAGGACGTGGAGCTGCGCTGTGAGCTGTCACGGGCGGGAACGCCCGTGCACTGGCTGAAGGACAGGAAGGCCATCCGCAAGAGCCAGAAGTATGATGTGGTCTGCGAGGGCACGATGGCCATGCTGGTCATCCGCGGGGCCTCGCTCAAGGACGCGGGCGAGTACACGTGTGAGGTGGAGGCTTCCAAGAGCACAGCCAGCCTCCATGTGGAAGGTAAATGCCGCAGGAGCCCCACGCGTGGCCCTGGAGTGGCCTCTCTGCCCTAGCGGGGCACGGGGCCACCCCTGGAGCCTGAGCTGCTCTGTCTCAGGTGGAAGGGCTCAACTCAGGTCCCAGAGCTTCTGCAGCCGGGCCTGGAAGATAACGGGGCCGGCCTGGGGTCTGTGCAGGCCTCACGCCCCACCTATTCTGCCTCCATCTCCCTGCCCCAGAAAAAGCAAACTGCTTCACAGAGGAGCTGACCAATCTGCAGGTGGAGGAGAAAGGCACAGCTGTGTTCACGTGCAAGACGGAGCACCCCGCGGCCACAGTGACCTGGCGCAAGGGCCTCTTGGAGCTACGGGCCTCAGGGAAGCACCAGCCCAGCCAGGAGGGCCTGACCCTGCGGCTCACCATCAGTGCCCTGGAGAAGGCAGACAGCGACACCTATACCTGCGACATTGGCCAGGCCCAGTCCCGGGCCCAGCTCCTAGTGCAAGGTGAGGCGGCCAAGTGTGCTCGGGCCTAGGCTTTGAATGGCACGGAGACTTGGAGGTGGACAGGCCCAGCCTCAGTTTCTTATCATGAGGGTATAGGGGGTGCACCCTGGGTGGTCACTGAGGCTCCCCAGCATGGCTGTGAATGAGCTGCTGGTGCTCACTTACTCGTGTGTTTATTTGGTCACTGTGTGTTTCTCCCACATGCCCCGTGTGCCTGGCCCCCATGCGTAAGCTCAGCGTGTATCCGTACATAAAACGTGTCACCCTTATCCCAGAGGGACAGCCTGACTCAGCCGTGCCAGGCAGCCTCAGGTGCTCCCAGGGAAGAACTGATGGTCATTAGGGTTGTCATTGAGAGTTACAGTGGCATTTTAGTCTTTTTCTTGTTGTTTACAACAGAATACCTGAAACTGGGTAATTTATAAAGGAAATAAATTTACTTCTTACAGCTCTGGAGGCTGGGAAGTCCAAGGTCAAGGGGCCACATCTGGTGAGGGCCCTTTTGCTGACAGGAACTCTCTGCAGAGTCCCCAAGGGACGGCACAGGGCATCCCATGGGGAGGGGGCTGAGTGTGCTAGCTTGGGCCTCTCTTCATCTTCTTTTAAAGCCACCACTCATATGGAAGCACTTTAACCCATTAACCTGTTAACCCGTTGATCCATGAATGGGTTAATCCATTCCCGCCTTGGACCCAATCCCCTCTTAAAGGCTCCACCTCTTAATATTGCCACATTGGGATTAAGTTTCAACATGAGTTTCCAGGGGGACATTCAGATCATAGTAGGTGGCTGTTCGATCTTACTGTTTGGCTCCACATTTGAGTGGCAGGCAGAGTGAGAGCTGTCATTCTCTCAACTCTGTAGATAAGAAAACTGAAGCTTTAGTGGGTCCATGGCCAGGGCAAGGTCATCAGGCACATTGGGATCAGAGCAGGCGAGGCCCAGCCCCATCACCGCAGCCTTCACTTGGCTCTGAAGTCCCGGGCTGGTGTCCAGAGCTGAGTTTGCAGGAGGTCCCTACTGGGGTCTGACCACAGGGCGTTCACAGGGTTCAGTATTTGAAAGGCCCCAGTTGTGATCATCAGAAGTAACGTAAACCAGGAATCATCACTGATTTTTTCTCTCCAATGGATTTGGTGACCCTGGTGAAAGTATTCTGTTAGCACAGTAACGCCCCATGATCTAATAAAGTTGGTACCCAGAGTTAATTTTTAAAAAAGTCATCAAGAGTGAGAGTCATAAGATAACAAAAGATGCTCTTTTAAAGTTTAACATGGCTGGGCTCAGTGGCTCACGCCTGTAATCCCAGCACTTTGGGAGTCTGAGGCAGGTGGATCAAGAGGTCAGGGGTTCTAGACCAGCCTGGCCAACATGGTGAAACCCCATCTCTATTAAAAATACAAAATTAGCCAGGCATGGTGGCGCGTGCTTGTATTCTCAGCTACTCAGGAGGCTGAGGCAGGAGCGTTGCTTGAACCCGGGAGGCGGAGGTTGCAGTGAGCCAAGATCGCGCCACTGCACTCCAGCCTGGGAGACAGAGTGAGATTCCGTCTCTACAAAAATAAAATAAAATAAAATAAAAATTTAACATATGAGGATGTCGACTGGCCTGGTCTGGGAGTCCAAGCCATTTCCCTGTTTGCCATCCACTGATGGGAGCTCTTCCTCCGTGTGCATTGCCCGGGCTGGGGTCAGCTTCTTTGAGGTGGAGTTGTGCCTGCAGGACACTCGTGCATGCAGAAGGAATCTGAACGCAGGACCTGTCTCTATATTCATAAACGCTCATCTCTTACCATCCCTAATTCAACAGCCAAAAAACCTTGTTTCTAGGAATTCACATTTCCTATCTTCCAAGCATTTGATTTAAATTTCAACATAAATGTAGCCATTTTTTTTTCACACTCCTGTTTCATCTGTTACTACAAGAGTTAATTTCATGGCACAATTGTAATGATACACACAGCTGTGTAAGCAGGTTTGGGAGCCAACCGCTCCTGGGAGCACAGCTTGGAAAGGGGGCAGGAGTGTGCTCTCCTGGGTTCTCAGCAGGCTGCAGACTCACCCAGCAAGCCTTGCAGAAGGACCTCCAAGGTGCAGAGAGGTGGGCTCGGGGCTCCGAGTGGCCCTCAAACAAGTACCTTTGGACCATTCAAGCTCTGACCCACTTACTGTTTCCAGAGTTCTGTCCCTGCAAACTTGTTAAAACACAGCCACCTTGCTCTGTCCTGGGGAGCGTCTGTCCTGGGGAGCACTGCTGGCCAAGCCTGCCCAGGACGGTGGGGCCCCTGAGCAGTCTGTGCCTTTGCAGGCCGGAGAGTGCACATCATCGAGGACCTGGAGGATGTGGATGTGCAGGAGGGCTCCTCGGCCACCTTCCGTTGCCGGATCTCCCCGGCCAACTACGAGCCTGTGCACTGGTTCCTGGACAAGACACCCCTGCATGCCAACGAGCTCAATGAGATCGATGCCCAGCCCGGGGGCTACCACGTGCTGACCCTGCGGCAGCTGGCGCTCAAGGACTCGGGCACCATCTACTTTGAGGCGGGTGACCAGCGGGCCTCGGCCGCCCTGCGGGTCACTGGTGGGTTGCATGCCCGCATTGCACATGTTGCTCAGAGCTGCAGACAGGTGGAGAGGTGGATGGCAGCTCAGCCATGTGCCCAGTATCCCTGGGCTCACAGAGAAAGCACCATTGGCTTACTGTGGGGTGGGGGCTCGGAAGGCTGAATTGGGCTCTTTCAGGATGGATGCTTCTGCATGGTTTGCAGAACTGTGCTTGGCGTGGCCCGAGCCAGGCTGCATCCCCACTGGGGCAGGAGCCGCACGGAGCCTGCCCTGTTCCCTCTGCAGCCTTTTGCGTGGCCCCAGCGTGAGGGTGGCTGGTGGGTGCTGAGCCAGGGTGTTGCCTGGTCTGCAGTGAGACCCAGGGTTTCTCCCCGTTGGCCCCTCCAGCGGCAGCACGACAGGATCCCACATGCTCCTGCTTCTCTCTCTGTCCCCCAGAGAAGCCAAGCGTCTTCTCCCGGGAGCTCACAGATGCCACCATCACAGAGGGTGAGGACTTGACCCTGGTGTGCGAGACCAGCACCTGCGACATTCCTGTGTGCTGGACCAAGGATGGGAAGACCCTGCGGGGGTCTGCCCGGTGCCAGCTGAGCCATGAGGGCCACCGGGCCCAGCTGCTCATCACTGGGGCCACCCTGCAGGACAGTGGACGCTACAAGTGTGAGGCTGGGGGCGCCTGCAGCAGCTCCATTGTCAGGGTGCATGGTGAGCCCCAGCAGCCCCAAAGCCCAGCCACAGGCCAGGTGCCTATAGCTCTCTTCTCAGGCAGCACCGTCTTCAGGGCAGGGCATGTGCGCCCACAAGGAGCCCAAGGCAGGAGCACCCAGGCTCCCGTACATCCTGTATGGGGCACCCATGGCTCCCCATGTCCTTCCTGGCTCTCCCTGGCACCTTGTCCACCCTGCTCGGCTTCCGCCCTGGCCTCTGCCACCTGCAGGAGCCGCCCCGCAGAGCTGTCTCCTCTGCGTCCCTGAGGGGACGTTCCCTCTGTGCATGCCTGTGTCCCTGACCTCCCATCTTAGGAGGTGCCAGCCACAGTGGCTTAGGGCCCACCGTGACCTCATTTGACCTTACTTTCCTCATCACAGCCACGCTTTGAGGTCTGGGCTAGGGCTTCCAACTGTGAATTTGGCGGGCACAGGTCCCTGACACCCCACTCTTCTGTTCTCCTGCTTGGTTCACCCTTTCTATCCCTCACCCTCAGAGCTGCCCCTTTCCAGAAGTCTCAAGGTCGCTGCCACAGGCCCCAAAGGAGAAGGGGGACCCTGCAGCTGATGTCCCCAGCCCTCCACCACCTATAGGGGACCCCTAGTGGACTTCAGTCGGGGGAGGGCAAGCTGAGCCTGTGCCTGTCTGCAGCGCGGCCAGTGCGGTTCCAGGAGGCCCTGAAGGACCTGGAGGTGCTGGAGGGTGGTGCTGCCACACTGCGCTGTGTGCTGTCATCTGTGGCTGCGCCCGTGAAGTGGTGCTATGGAAACAACGTCCTGAGGCCAGGTGACAAATACAGCCTACGCCAGGAGGGTGCCATGCTGGAGCTGGTGGTCCGGAACCTCCGGCCGCAGGACAGCGGGCGGTACTCATGCTCCTTCGGGGACCAGACTACTTCTGCCACCCTCACAGTGACTGGTAAGTGTCTCTGTCCACCCTGCCCATGTGGCCCAAAGATGCCTCTTCCTCCAATGCAGGGGAGCAAAGACGATGCTCTCTGTGTCTGACTTTCCTGCAGCCCTGCCTGCCCAGTTCATCGGGAAACTGAGAAACAAGGAGGCCACAGAAGGGGCCACGGCCACGCTGCGGTGTGAGCTGAGCAAGGCAGCCCCTGTGGAGTGGAGAAAGGGGTCCGAGACCCTCAGAGATGGGGACAGATACTGTCTGAGGCAGGACGGGGCCATGTGTGAGCTGCAGATCCGTGGCCTGGCCATGGTGGATGCCGCGGAGTACTCGTGTGTGTGTGGAGAGGAGAGGACCTCAGCCTCACTCACCATCAGGCGTAAGACCGTGTATCCAGAGCCGTGTCCGGTGTCCAATTTTTTACCTCTGCTGTCAGTCGTACCCATTCTAGTCTACCCTGACTGTGCCATGCCCTTCCCAGCACATCACGGAATCCCTTCCAGCTTTCTGGGCTGTGGAAGGAACCAGGAGAACCCGGCATTTGCAGCCAGACTCCCACCCTCGAGGCACCCTGGGACCTGTCCTGTGGGAGTCTGTCTTATCCTCCGTCTTGCCATGGCCTGTCCCCCTGTGCTTCCCAGAATCTGATCTCCATGTCTGTCTGTCCATCTCTCCCCAGCCATGCCTGCCCACTTCATAGGAAGACTGAGACACCAAGAGAGCATAGAAGGGGCCACAGCCACGCTGCGGTGTGAGCTGAGCAAGGCGGCCCCCGTGGAGTGGAGGAAGGGGCGTGAGAGCCTCAGAGATGGGGACAGACATAGCCTGAGGCAGGACGGGGCTGTGTGCGAGCTGCAGATCTGTGGCCTGGCTGTGGCAGATGCTGGGGAGTACTCCTGTGTGTGTGGGGAGGAGAGGACCTCTGCCACTCTCACCGTGAAGGGTAATGACTGCTCCTGGCCACGTGCATGGGTGGCTATGTCTGAGCGGGTGTGCACATTCCTGCTTTGTGCTCACGTCTGCGCTGTGGCCTTCCCTGTCTTTCTGCGTGTGGTTCCTTCATTCCTTCAGTAGGGATTCCCCACACCTGCTGCGTGTTACCCGTCTCAGGAGCAGGAAGACAGCAGAGAAGAGAGGGCTGTTTGAGCCCTACAGAGTTGTAGGCAGAGACAGAGGATGTGGGGAGAACCAAATCATTACAAAAGTGAGATCACAGATCTTCTCCAGGGTAAACACTAGGAAGGCAGGAAGGCAATCAGGAGGAGCCCCAGAAGCGGAACACAGACGGGAGTGGGGGGATGGCAGGTGGGCTGGAGTGCACAGCCAGGAAGGGGAGGGTCCATTGTGAGGAGGAGAGAGGCAGGGTGACTGTGGGGAGGAGGTGATGGGGGTGACTGTGGAGAGGAGGTGATGGGGGTGACTGTGGGGAGGAGGTGATGGGGGTGACTGTGGGGAGGAGGTGATGGGGGTGACTGTGGGGAGGAGCAGCCACAGTGACTCTTTGTGTGTCAGCCAAGCAGAGCAGCTGTGTGGAGTGGCAGAAGGGGCCCAAGACAATCTGAAATGGAGGCTTTGACCAGGACAGAACGTCTGGAGCCCTGTGGTCCGCCTACGGCAGATCTAGGGTGTCCTCACGTGTGGGCGGTGGGAGTGGATCTCAGCCATGGCTGGGTCCCCTAGGGATGTGAGACTGCAGAACTCGCCCTGGGCCCTGAACCTCTCAGTCACAGCAAGGAGAGGATTCTAGCCTCAAGCCACCAGTGTTCTCAGCAGAAGGGGCAGAGCCCTGCAGGCCTGGCCTTGTGTGTCTGTGGAGCCGGGACCCATGGCCCGGTGTGGCTGGTGGCGTGGTGTGGCGTGGCGTGTTCAGGTGCTCGGGGCCTTGAAGGGCCTGGCTCACTTCCGTCAGGGAAAGCACATGGGATAAAGCCGGCCCAGGTGGAGGGCTCGGGCACCTTACAGGGAATGCAGGGAAGGACTCTCCCAAGCTCAAGGGCCTTCTCGCCCAGGACTGGTGGGCTCCCCTCACACCACAAGGAGTGAACCCTCAGCCAGTGAAGGGGCAGGTTCTGGGGGCCAGGCACAGCCATCTGGATGCCAGTGCCTGAAGCAGGTAGCTCCGGTCACAGGCACAAGTGTTGTAGACCTTTGCGGAGAGGCCGGGCCTCCATGCACCTCCAGCGGTGTCGACAGAGCACAGACAGCTTCCAAGGCATGGAGGCACCACACTACCAGGCTTGCCAGGACACCCCAGAGGGGCACAGACTTCGGGCTCTGTCACATGGCTGTGTAGCATGTTGGAGAGACACAGAGACCACAGGCGCCCGGGGGCTAATCTGTGTCCTCCTCAGACCGGTGGCTGAAGAGCAGATGACCAGAGTGGACCCCTGCCGGCTGCCTGAGGCAGTTGCTTCCAGAAGTGGGCGAGTTCCGGGAAAGCTTCAGGTGGTGGGTGCCCTGCTGGACCCCCTCTGGTGCCTGCTAAGAGGGCACCCTTGCATGCTGGAAGTTTCCACCGGACCCTGAAGCCCCAAGGATGCTCCGAGCTGCAGTTCCCCAGGGGGCGTCCAGGGGATGAAGCTGAGCACTCTGAGGCTCCAGTCTCCATCTGGTGGGCTGGGAAGCCACCCAGCCTCAGTGCACAGGAGACAGTGGCCCTCGTCTGTCCCTGTGATCCATGGCTATCTCCTGCATGCAGGGCATGTCCGGGTGGACGGTTCCTTCATGTATTCAGTTAGTTGTTTCTTATCTGCTGGACCCATGCACCAGGGCACCTGCTGCGTGGGGTTCCTGCTTGCATCATGAACACAGGGTGACAGTCAAGGTGGAGGGCGGCACCCTCCTCTCTCCCAGCAGCAGGCTCCTTACTCCCTGTCTGCCCTGGGCCCTGGCCGCCGGAGCAGCAGGAACTGATGAGAAGCAGGAGCTTGGATGATTTTGTGGGAGATTTTTAGGCAGCTGATTTTGTGTCTTTTTTCTCCAGCTATTCATCAAGATCATGAGGCTGGGTGTGGTGGCTCACACCTGTAAACCCAGCACTTTGGGAGGCCAAGGCAGGAGGATCATTTGAGCTCAGGAGTTTCAGGCCAACCTGGGCAACCCAGGGAGACCCTATCTCTACAAAAAATATAAAAATTAGCTGGTTGTGGTGGTGTGCACCTGTGGTCCCAGCTACTCAGGTGGGAGGATTGGTTGAGGCCAGAAGTTTGAGGCTGCAGTGAGCTGTGATGGCACCACTGCACTCCAGCCTAGGCGACACACTGAGACCCTGTCTGAAAAAGAAAAAAAAATTATGAAGGAGCTATGAAATAGGGAGCCACAGAATGAGGCCAGGGCCACAGTATAGTGTGAGCCACCAGGCTGGTCTTGGGCCCTTGAGCATGATGACAAATTCAGTCTGAGCCAGGATGGGCTACGGAAGACCCTGGGGATGGGGAGATGTGGTTTGGTTCCGTCTCTGCCTCCCCATCTCATGGGTCCTGTGGCCACTGCATGTGTCTGCCATCATCTTGGGGTCCCTGCTAGGATTCCAGCTCCTCTGTGTCCTGGGCGGCTTTCCCCTGTGTGTCCATGGCCAGTCTGTTCTCTGTTCCCAGGGCACTGTTTCACGTCCACATGTCCATGCTTTAATTCCTAGTTTCCTCCAGAGCGGGAGTGTGTCCTTGCTGAGTGTCCCCAGGTGTCTCCAGAGGGCCTCATGGTTTTTGTGTCCTCTCCAGCCTTGCCAGCCAGGTTCATAGAAAGTATGAGGCCTGAGGATGCCTCAAAAGGGGCCATACCGTGGTGCTGGTGGGCTGGACCGTGGGAAGCCGCAGTGCACAGCCTGTACTCAGCACACCCCAGGAGCAGCCCATGTTCAGATGGCTTCCCTGTCTTCTCAGTGTTGTCCATGTCCTGTCTCTTCTGTGGGCTCAGAGGGTGTGACTGTGGCCATCTCTTTCTGATCCCTCAGCCCTGCCAGCCAAGTTCACAGAGGGTCTGAGGAATGAAGAGGCCGTGGAAGGGGCCACAGCCATGTTGTGGTGTGAACTGAGCAAGGTGGCCCCTGTGGAGTGGAGGAAGGGGCCCGAGAACCTCAGAGATGGGGACAGATACATCCTGAGGCAGGAGGGGACCAGGTGTGAGCTGCAGATCTGTGGCCTGGCCATGGCGGACGCCGGGGAGTACTTGTGTGTGTGCGGGCAGGAGAGGACCTCAGCCACGCTCACCATCAGGGGTAAAGATCATGTGTGGCCTTGTGGACCCGTGGCTTGGTGTCTACATGTCACTGAGTCATCCTCATCTTCCAATGTGGCACAGCCCCTGTGGCAATCCCGGGGTTGTCTTTTCTCCAACTGAGGTCCTCCGGTTGTCTCCCGCCTACTCTTCTTGTCCAGGAGGTGTCCTCATGCTCATGTTCATCCCTTTGTGTTCTCTGTTCTTCCCGGGCCATTTGCTTCCTCCCCGTGTGAATGTTTATTTGCTCCTTCACATGTGGTCCTTTGGCGGTTTGTGTGGCTCCTTGTGGGTGTCCATGTCCCGTCCACAGAGTCTTCCAGACAGTCTGATGATCTCAGCGACTGCTTGGTCCTTCCCAGCTCTGCCTGCCAGGTTCATAGAAGATGTGAAAAACCAGGAGGCCAGAGAAGGGGCCACAGCTGTGCTGCAGTGTGAGCTGAACAGTGCAGCCCCTGTGGAGTGGAGAAAGGGGTCTGAGACCCTTAGAGATGGGGACAGATACAGCCTGAGGCAGGACGGGACTAAATGTGAGCTGCAGATTCGTGGCCTGGCCATGGCAGACACTGGGGAGTACTCGTGCGTGTGCGGGCAGGAGAGGACCTCGGCTATGCTCACCGTCAGGGGTAAAAGCCACATGTGGCCAAGGAGAGCCCTCTTCTGGTGTCCATGTACTGATGTCATGCCGTCTGTCTGTACTCACCCCATGTGCTCTCCCTGCATCTGCGCCACCCTGTTCCCATCACTCTGCGGAGTCCCTTCCAGCCTCTAGAGCTATTGTGGGAACCAGGAGAAACTGGCCTTGCAGCCAGCTTCCACCCCATGTGCCTCCAAAGATGGGCTCCATCATGTTGTCCTGTTGGCTTCTGCACCTTGTCCTTCATGCTGTCCTGTCCTCCCCCCACAGAGTGCTCCAGAGACTCTCACGGTCCTCATGTGTGTCTGACATACTCTGGCTCTGGCAGCCAGAGTTACATAAAGTGTGAGGACTCAGGAGGCCATGGAAGGAGCCACAGCTACAGCGCTGACAGGCTGGAGCATGGGAAGCCCCAGTCCACAGCCTGTGCTCAGCACACCCCACATGTGGCCTGTGTCCAGTTGGATTCTGTGTCTTCTCTGTGCCATCCATGTTCTGTATCTTCCATGTTCTCAGAGAGCATGATTGTGTTCATATATTCTGACCCTCCCCCAGCTCTACCCATCAAGTTCACAGAGGGTCTGAGGAACGAAGAGGCCACAGAAGGGGCAACAGCCGTGCTGCGGTGTGAGCTGAGCAAGATGGCCCCCGTGGAGTGGTGGAAGGGGCATGAGACCCTCAGAGATGGAGACAGACACAGCCTGAGGCAGGACGGGGCCAGGTGTGAGCTGCAGATCCGCGGCCTCGTGGCAGAGGACGCTGGGGAGTACCTGTGCATGTGCGGGAAGGAGAGGACCTCAGCCATGCTCACCGTCAGGGGTAAAGGCCACATGCAGCCAAGCAGCACCATGCTCTCATGTCCACGTGTTGACTTGACGCCATCCGTCTCTGCCTATGCTGCGTTCTCTCCCCATGTCTGTGCCTGCCTGTGTAACTGCACGAGCTTCTTCCAGCCTCCAGGGCTGTTGTAGGAAGCAGGAGGAAGCAGCCTCTCTAGCGGGCTCCCACTGTGTGCCTCCGAGGACTCTGTCAACATTGTCACGTTGGATTCTATGTCTTCCATCCTGTCACATTCTTTCCCCTGATGTTCTCCATGTGTTTCTGACCCTCTCTGGGCCTGGGTGCCAGAGATTCCTATAAAGCCTGAGATGTGAGGAGGCCACAGGAGGGGCCATGGCCATGTGCTGTACAGTCTGTACTGAGGGAAGTCCCAGTCCACAGCCTGTGCTCAGCACACCCCCATGCGGCCTGTGCCCAGTTGGGTTCTGTGTCTTGTCTCTGCCATCCATGTCTTTCCTATCTCTTCCAGGTACTCAGAGAATGTGATTATATCTGTGTCTTTTGACCTCCCCAGCCATGCCTTCCAAGTTCATAGAGGGTCTGAGGAATGAAGAGGCCACAGAAGGGGACACGGCCACGCTGTGGTGTGAGCTGAGCAAGGCGGCACCGGTGGAGTGGAGGAAGGGGCATGAGACCCTCAGAGATGGGGACAGACACAGCCTGAGGCAGGACGGGTCCAGGTGTGAGCTGCAGATCCGTGGCCTGGCTGTGGTGGATGCCGGGGAGTACTCGTGTGTGTGCGGGCAGGAGAGGACCTCAGCCACACTCACTGTCAGGGGTAAAGATCGTGTGTAGCTATGTGGACCATGGCTTGGTGTCTACGCATCTCTGTGTCACCACCTTCTGCCTTCAAATGTGGCATGGTTCTGTGGCAACCCCATGGTTGTCTGTCCTTTAACCAGGGTCCTCTGGGCATCTCCCTCCTCCCTTCTTATCCAGGAGGTGTTCTCATGCTCATGTCCTTCTCCTTTTGTGTTCTCTGTTCCTCTGGGGCCATTTGCTTCCTCCCCATGTGTACGTTTGTTTGCTCTTTCACGTGTGGTCCTTTGATGGTTTGTGTGGCTCCTTGTGGGTGACCATGTCTCGTCCATAGAGTCCTCCAGACGGTCTGATAATCACAATGACTGCTTGGTTCTTCCCAGCCCTGCCTGCCAGATTCATAGAAGATGTGAAAAACCAGGAGGCCAGAGAAGGGGCCACGGCCGTGCTGCAATGTGAGCTGAGCAAGGCGGCCCCCGTGGAGTGGAGGAAGGGGTCTGAGACCCTCAGAGGTGGGGACAGATACAGCCTGAGGCAGGATGGGACCAGATGTGAGCTGCAGATTCATGGCCTGTCTGTGGCAGACACTGGGGAGTACTCGTGTGTGTGCGGGCAGGAGAGGACCTCGGCCACACTCACCGTCAGGGGTAAAGACCACATGTGGCCACCTGAGTGATTCCTGTCTCCTCCCACCTAACCCACATGATCTGTGCTCTCCCAGTTCCTCTTGATGTCATTGCCATCTCATTCAGTCACTCCCCTGTGTGATACATCCCACAAATGCACTTGGAACCCACTTGGATGACCTAATCTAGGGCCTGGGAATATGGACCTCAGGAGTGAATAGGGCAGGGACCCAAAGGAGAGCCCCACAGACAGACATCAGGGTCCAGGAGAGCTGTCTGGGGCCACTGGCATCTTGCTGGGGCTTGCACATGTGCGTGGGCTCTGGGGCCCCAGGCCTAGAGGTGAGGGCCTGTGTTTCTGCTGATGGACATGCACAGTAGGGTTGGGGGCTCACCGAGGAGGTGGTCAGGCCAGGCCCCACTAAATCTGCTGAGAGTGTTTGAGTGGTTCTTGTGGTCATGCCAGGCTCCTGAAGGACTGCTGCCTTTATCTGCTCGGCGGACACAGCAGAGCACGGCATCTGGGTAACTTCACAGCAGATATTTATTTTCTCAGACTTCTGGAGTCTGAAATTCCAAGATCAAGGAGTCACTTGGTTGGTTTCTCCTTAGGCCTCTTTTCTTGGCTTGTAGATACTCTGGTCACATTGGATTGGGCCCTTCATAACAACCTCATTTTACCTTTCAAAGATACCATTTCAATACAGTGACATTGTGAAGTACTAGGGGTTAGGATTTCAACATACATGGATTTGGTGAGGGGACTCAATTCAGACCATGACATTCTGCCCTCTGGCTTCCCACAATTAATTACCGTCTAACATGCAAAATAAACTTACTCCTTCCTAACAGCCCGTAATCTTAACCCATTCCAGCATCAACTCAAAATCAAAATCTCATCTGAACGCATCTAAGTCAAGCATGAGGGAGGTGAAGTATGAGTCATTCCAAGGCAAAATTCTTCTTCAGTTGTGAAGCATGGAACCAGACAAGTTTTGTGCTTCCAAAATGCAGTGGTGGTGCAGGCATAGGATAGACGTTCCTGTTCAAAAGAGGGGAAGTTGGAAAGAAAAAACAGGTCAGGATCTTATGCAGGTCTGAACCTAGCAGAGCAAATTTCACTAGATTTTAAGGCTGGTGACTCAGTACAGTGGCTCATCTCTATAATCCTAGCACATTGGGTGGCCGAGGCAGGAGGATTACTTGAGGCCAGGTGTTCTAGACCAGCCTGGAAATATAGCAAGACCCTTTTCCTAAAAGAAAAAAGAAATTGTTAGGTTTGGTGGTACACATCTGGGGTTCCAGTTACTAGGGAGGCTGAGGCATGAAGATCACTTGAGCCTGGGAGTTTGAGGTTGCAGTGAGCTATAATTGTACCACTGCACTCCAGCCTGGGTAACAGTGAGACCCCATCTCTACCTTTTTTTTTAAAGTCTGAAAAATAATTCTCTTTGACTTAATTCCAGTCCTCCATGCCAACCAGAGTGTTATCCCCAATCTCTCAGACCTGGGTAATATCTTATCCACTCATCCTTGGGTAACAGCCTCTCCCCCTCCATTCTGGGAAGAGGTGGTCCTGATCCCTGGACCTGTAGTGGCAGTGGAAGCCCTGCTGATGCCTTTGGGGTCATTCTTTTATTTTGAAGGATAAGACATGTTTGCAGCCATATAGTGATATTAGCTCATTCTGTTGAATCCCAGAAGTCTGATAGCCTTCCTTCATTTTATCCCACCTCAATCCAGTTCACTCGAATCTGCTGGTATAAGATTATCAGAAACTGAGTTGGCCTCCCATGCAATTCATGGAGGTCCACACCATCAGACAAGAGGCTTTTCCAGATAACTGCATCTCTATTCCTGGCTTCTGTTGAGATGACTAATTGGATCCATAAATTGCACACCTGGTGCTTTAGCAAATGGTTGTCTAGCCACACCCTTGATGTTCTCTTCAGAACAGTTTCTCATTTTTTACCATGTGGTTAGGCTGAAGAATTTCCAAAGCTTCAAGTATTGGTTCCTTTTTTATTTACAATTCCTTCTTCAATTTATTTCCCTCCTCTTGCACTTTACAATAAGCAGCAAAGAGAAAACAGGTTTCATCTTCAACACTTTACTTAGAAATTTCCTCAACTAAACATGCAAAATTTTATTGTTTCTTAGTCCTACCTTCCACACACAACACAATTCGGACAAGTTCTTTGCCACTTAATAATGAGGATCGCCTTTCCTCCCCTTTTCAATAACCTGTTCTTTATTTCCATCTGAGGTCTGACCAGATGTCCATCTTTTTTAATGTCCATCTTTCCATGAACAGGTTGTTCACAGCAATCTAGGTTTTTTCCAACATGCACTTCAAATATCATCCAGCCTCCATCCATTACCCAGTTCCAAAGCCACTTCCACATTTTTAGATAATTGTTACAATGGCACCCTACTCCTGGTACCAATATTTGTGTTAGTTTTCTGACTAGATGTCTGAGGTGAAGTGTTATTAGGTTGACTTCCTCTGAGGCTTCTCTCCTTGGCTTGTTGATGCGGTCTTCTGTTTTTTCACATGGTCACTCCTCAGTGTGTCTCTGTGTCCTAATATCTGCTTTTTATAAGGACACCAGTCATATTGGAGTTGGGCACACCCTGACAACCTCATTTAACCTTAGTTACCACTTTAAAGGCCCTATCTTTAATACAGTCATGCTCTGAGGTTCTAGAGGTTAGGTTTGAATGTATTAATTTGGGGGGACACAATCAGACCATAACGGGGTAACCAGGGTGGGGCTTGCTCCATTGTACCTTGTGAGCTCTCACTTTGCTTAGAGTCAGGAGGGAAGAGAGGACAGCAGGTTGAAGGGTCAGAGGTGTGATGTAGAAGCCGCATCTGGAGTCTGTTGGGGGTTTTGGTGATTGAGCCAAGGCAATGTGTATCCAGTAAAGTCAGGACAGGAGCAGTGAGGTGGAGACAGCAGGTCCTTGTGTGGGCTGGGATGGTTGGCAGTGAGCCGAGGTATGCCCATGCATGAGCAGTGCTGGATGGAAGCCCTGCCTGGGATGGGTATCTCCTGTATGAGAATGGGAAGCAGGTGTCAGGACAAGGAGGTGCCTCCTGTGAGGCTGGAGAAAGAGAGAGAGAGAAGAGAGAGATGTATCACATTATTGCATATGTGGAAGTTGCAGGAGCCTGTCTTGCTTCCTAGTAATGATAGGACATGGGTAGGACAAGATGCCCTTTGAGAAGAGATCCAGGATGGAGCCCATCTCTCAGCCAATCTGCACCTCATAGGCAGAACACAGGAAGACCTCAGTCTCACATGGTCTTTGGTCCGCCTTATCCCATGTCTTCGAGATCTGCTTCTGTTTCCTTCCTAGATAATCAGGTTGCGTCCCTCAGATCCTCCAGAGGGTTTGATGGCTTCTGTCCATGTGACCCTTCCTAGCCCTGCCTGCACGATTCACTCAAGATCTGAAGACCAAGGAGGCCTCAGAAGGGGCCACAGCTACACTGCAGTGTGAGCTGAGCAAGGTGGCCCCTGTGGAATGGAAGAAGGGTCCTGAGACCCTCAGAGATGGGGGCAGATACAGCCTGAAGCAGGATGGGACGAGGTGTGAGCTGCAGATCCATGACCTGTCTGTGGCGGATGCTGGGGAATACTCATGCATGTGTGGACAAGAGAGGACCTCGGCCACGCTCACTGTCAGGGGTAAAGTCCATCTGTCCAGATCTGCGTTCTGGTGTCCAGTTGTTCACTTCTTGCCATCAATCTCTGCTCATTGCATGGTCTCCCCCAGACTGCCACACTCTTCACGTCATGCCACACTATCCCTTCCAGCTTCCTGGGCTGCTGAAGGAACCAGAAGAAACTCTCATCTACATCCAGATTCCCTCTCCTGTGATACTGTGGGCCCTGTTCTATTGGATTGTGTCTTGTCTTTCATCTTGTCATGTCCTATCTACCAGCGCTTTCCAAGGAATTTAATGTTCTTTGTGTTTTCTGACCCTCTCTGGCCCTGCATGGCAGATTCACGTTATCTCTGAGGCCTGAGGAGCCCACGAAGGGGCTCCTTCGTGGTTACTTCGTGATGTTACCAGGCTGAACAGAGGGAATCTACAGCCTGTGCTTGGCATACCCTGCATGTGGTCTGTGTCCAGTTGGGCTTTGTGTCTTCTCTGTGCCATCCATGTCCTGTCTCTTTCATGTGCTCAATGTAATTGTGTCCATGTCTTTCTGATCCCTCCACCAGCCCTGCCTGCCAGGTTCACAGAGGGTCTGAGGAATGAAGAGGCCATGGAAGGGGCCACAGCCACACTGCAATGTGAGCTGAGCAAGGCAGCCCCTGTGGAGTGGAGGAAAGGCCTTGAGGCTCTCAGAGATGGGGACAAATACAGCCTGAGACAAGACGGGGCTGTGTGTGAGCTGCAGATTCATGGCCTGGCTATGGCAGATAACGGGGTGTACTCATGTGTGTGTGGGCAGGAGAGGACCTCAGCTACACTCACTGTCAGGGGTAAAGATCCTATGTGGCCATGTGGGCTTGTGGCTTGGTGTATACACCTCTCTGTGTCACCACCTTCTGCCTCCAAATGTGGCACATCTCCTGTGGAAACCCTGTGATTGTCTGTCCTCTAACTGGGGCCCTCTAGGTATCTCCTGCCTCCCCTTCTCATCAGTAGATGTCCTCCTGCTCATGCATGTCCCTGTGTGTTCTCTGTGCCTCCTGGGCCATTTGCCTTCTCATTGTTTATATATTGCTCATCTAGCTATGGTCCTTTGGTGGTTTGTGTGGCTCCTTATTGGTGTCCATGTTCTGTCCGAAAAATCCTCCAGACAGTCTGATGATATCAGTGACTGTTTGGTCCTTCTCAGCCCTGCCTGCCAGATTCATAGAGGATATGAGAAACCAGAAGGCCACAGAAGGGGCTACAGTCACATTGCAATGTAAGCTGAGAAAGGCGGCCCCCGTGGAGTGGAGAAAGGGGCCCAACACCCTCAAAGATGGGGACAGGTACAGCCTGAAGCAGGATGGGACCAGTTGTGAGCTGCAGATTCGTGGCCTGGTCATAGCAGATGCTGGAGAATACTCGTGCATATGTGAGCAGGAGAGGACCTCGGCCACGCTCACTGTCAGGGGTAAAGACCACATGTGACCACCTGAGTGACTTCTGTCTTCCCCCACTTAACCCACATGTTCTGTGCTCTCCCAGTGTCTCTCAGTGTCGTTGACATTTTATTCAGTCACTCATCTTTGTGGTCCATCTCACAAATGCATGCTGAGGACCCACTTGGATGGCCTAATCTAGGGCCTGGGCATACAGACCCCAAGGGTGAATAGTGCAGGGTCCCCAGGTGTCAGGACAGGGAGAGCAGCAGGCAGGTGTCAGGGTCCAGGAGAGCTGTCTGGGGCCCCTGCCATCTTGCAAAGGCCTGTGGATGTCCACCAGCTCTTGAGCCTCAGGCATGGAGGTCAGGAAATGTATGTCCTTTGACAGACATAGCGATGGCTCAGGCCAGGCCCCTCTTCAGGCTGGTGAGTGTTCTGATTGATCCTTGTGGTCATTCCAAGCTTCTAAAGGAGTATTGTCTTCATCTGCTCAGGCTAACGTAACAAAGCACTGCAGACAGGGTGGCTCAAATAACACAGATTTATTTTCTCAGAAGTATGGGGCTGAAATCTCAAGATCAAGATGTCAGCTCCTCTCTTCTTGTAGACAGCTGTCTTCTCCCCATGTCTTCACATGGATGTCCCTCTGTGTGCATGTGTGTGTCCTAACCTCTTTTTATAAGAGCACCAGTCATACTGGATTTGGAACCACCCTAACAACCTCATTTTTCCTTTCAATGATTGTCTTTAAATACAGTGATATTCTGACGTGTACTGGGGGTTAGGACTTCAACATATGCATTTTTTCTGAGGCACAATTCAGACCATAACACTCCACCATCTGGATTCTCAAAATTCATGGCCTTCTCACGTGCAAAATATGTTTACTTCTTCCTAACAGTCCCAAATCTTAGCCCATTTCAATATCAACTAGTCCAAATCACCTCTAAATATCATCTGAGTCAACTGTGAGGGAGATAAAGTGTGACTTATACAGAGGCAAAATTTTTCTTCATCTGTGAGGCTGTGAAATCAGACAAGTTATTTGTTTTGAAGTCACAATGGTGGGACAGGCATAGGATGGACATTCTGAATCAGGGAGAAACTGGAAAGGAGGAATGAGTCACGGGTCCCAAGTAAGGTGTAACCCTAGCAGGACAAATATTATTAGGTTTTAAGGCTTTGGATTAATACCTAGTCCTCTCGACCCAACAGGGTTGCAACTCTACCCCCTCAGCCCTGAGTGGAGGTGTCTGGCTCTCTGTAACTGAGGAGGAGACAGCCTTACTTCCAGGCCTGTGCCCTCTACCCTCTGGTTATAATGCCATTCCTGTCAACTCCTGAACTAACTTTTGGGTCATTATTCCTTTTTCTTACAGAATATCTTGTTTATATCCATGTAGCTCTATTGGCCCATCCTGTGGATTCTCAGAAGTCTGACATCCTTCCTTCATTTTGTCCCATCTCTGTTCGAATCAGTTCAAGCTAGCAGCATTTCCTCTGGTATAAAGGTCTCAAAAACTTTGTCCCATGTGATCCATGTGGGTCAAAGCCACCAGACAAAAGAATTCTCCACAGATCTTTCCTTGATAATCTTATTTTTATTACTGGCTTCTGCTGAGAGGGCTGAATGGATCCATAAACCACACACCTGATCTGTTTAGCAAATGGTTGTCCAGTGTGGATATTCTCCCCAGAATAATGCTTTCTCATTTTTTTTTGCAGTATGTATAGCCTGAAAATTTTTCTGTATCTTCAAGCTCTGGTTCCTTTTTGCTTAACAAATCCTTTTTGAATTTATCTCTCTCCTCTCACATTTTCATATTAGAGAGAAATCAGGCTATGGTTTCAATTCTTTGGTTAGAAACTTCCTCAGGTAAATATATCCAATTTTGTTGTTTGCAAGTCCTATCTTCCACAAAACACTAGAATAAAATTTGACCAGGTTTTTGGCTACTTTATAACAGTGATTGTCTTTCTCCAGTTTTTAATAATATGTCCCCCGTTGTCATCTGAGGCTTGACCAGAATCACTTTTAACACCCATGTTTTCACCGACAATTGCTGCCTGCAAACACTGTTTTTTGGCATGCACCTGAAATATCTTTCAGCTACCTCCCATTACCGAGTTCTAAAGCCACATCCACATTTATAGGTATTTGTTCCTTTGGCACCCCACTCCTGGTACCAAAGTCTGAATTTGTTTGCTTGGGTTGCCATAAAGAAAGTGTCATAGACTGGGTGGTATAAATAACAGAAATCTATTTCCTCACCATTCTGGAGGCTAGATGGTTGAGATCCAGGTGTCAGTACGGTTGGCTCCTTCTGAGGCCTCTCTCCTTTGCTTGTAGACAGCCATTTTCTCTGTGTCTTCACTGGTCCTTCTCTGTTTGTGTCCTAATCTCCTTTTCTTATAAGGACAGCATTTATATTGGATTAGATACCACCCTTGTGATCCCATTTAGCATTAATCACCTCTTTAAAGGCCCTATCTCAAAAACAGTCATATTCTGAAATAGTGGAAGTTAGGACTTCAACATTTGACTTCTGTAGAAACACAACCCATAGCAGTCTATGGCTATGTAATTGGGTTAGGCCCTGCTCTGCTAACTTGTGAGCCCCCTGCCTGGAGTCAGGAGGCAAGAGAGAATGGTAGATTGGAGGTTCAGAGGTGTGGTTCAAGGCCACATCTGGTGTCTGTCATGATCTAGGTGATATGAGTCAGGGTAATATGTGGGAATGTGGATTCAGTAGGGTCAGTCTAGCAGTATGTTGGATGGAGGTAGCAGGGCCTTGTGTGGGCTGGGATGTTGTGCGGTGCGCCAGGTATATCTAGGCATGGGCACTGCTGGATGGAAGCCCTGTCTGGTCAGGCTATCTCTTGTGTGAGGGATGACAACGGGGCAGTGGATGTTGGGACCTGAAGGTGTCTGCTGTGTCATCATAGAGAGATGTCCATCACATTATTGCATATGTGGGTTGCAAGTTGGAGGAGCCTGTCTTGCTTCCCCATAATGAAAGTTCACAGGTAGGATAAGATGCCCTCTGAGAAGAGATCCAGGATGGAGCCCATCTCCCACCCAATCTGCACCTCACAGGCAGAATGCAGGAAGTCCTCACTGTCAAATGCACTTTGGTCCGCCTCATCCCAAGTCCCTCCAGCCTTCCTGCTTCTGTTTTCTTCCTGGATGTTCAGGTGTGTCCCTCAGATCCTCCAGAGGGCTTGATGGCTTCTGTCCATGTGACCCTTCCTACCTCTGCCTACCCAGTTCACTCAAGATCTGAAGACCAACGAGGCCTCAGAAGGGGCCACAGCCACATTGCAGTGTGAACTAAGCAAGGTGTCGCTGTGGAGTGGAAGAAGGGACCTGAGACCCTCAGAGATGGGGACTGTGTTCTCTGTTCCTGGGCCGTGTGCTTTCTCACCATCTGTATATTCATTTGCTTATTCTGCCATGGTCCTGTGGTGGTTTGTGTGCCTCCTTGTGTGTGTCTGTGTTCTGTCCACAGAGTTGTCCAGTTAGTCTGATGATCTCAGTGTCTGCTTGGTCCTTTCCAGCCCTGCCGGCCAGATTCATAGAAGATGTGAGAAATCACGAGGCCACAGAAGGGGCCACAGCTGTGCTGCAGTGTGAGCTGAGCAAGGCGGCCCCCGTGGAGTGGCGGAAGGGGTCTGAGACCCTCAGAGATGGGGACAGATATAGCCTGAGGCAGGACGGGACGAGGTGTGAGCTGCAGATTCGTGGCCTGGCTGTGGAGGACACTGGAGAGTATTTGTGTGTGTGCGGGCAGGAGAGAACCTCAGCTACACTCACTGTCAGGGGTAAAGATCCTGTGTGGTCACATGGACTTGTGGCTTGGAATCTAAGTGTCTCTGTGTCACCACCTTCTACTTCCAAATGTGGCACCCCTGTGGGAACCCTGAGGTTGTGTGTCCTCTAACTGGGGTCTTCTGGGCATCTCCTGCCTCTGCTTCTCCTCATCAGGAGATGTCCTCCTGTTCATCCCCATCCCTGCGTGTTCTCTGTTCCTCTTGGGCCATGTGCTTTCTCGCCTTCCGTACATTCATTTGCTTATTCTGCCATGGTCCTTTGGTGGTTTGTGTGGCTCCTCGTGTGTGTCTGTGTCCTGTCCACAGAGTTGTCCAGACAGTCTGATGATCTCAGTGACTGCTTGGTCCTTCCCAGCCCTGCCAGCCAGATTCATAGACAACATGACAAACCAGGAGGCCAGAGAAGGGGCCACGGCCACACTGCACTGTGAACTGAGCAAGGTGGCCCCTGTGGAGTGGAGGAAGGGACCTGAAACCCTCCGAGATGGGGACAGACACAGCCTGAGGCAGGATGGGACCAGGTGTGAGCTGCAGATTCGTGGCCTGTCTGTGGCAGATGCCGGGGAGTACTCGTGCGTGTGTGGGCAGGAGAGGACCTCAGCCACACTCACGATCAGGGGTAAAGATCACATGTGGCCAAGCAAAGCCATGTTCTGGTGTGCCAGTATTGATTTCATGCCATCCGTCTCCACTCATTCCGTGTTGTCTCCCTGTGTCCATGTCATCCTGTTCCCATAATTCCCCAGAATCCCTTCCAGCCTCCCGGACTGTTGCAGAAACCAGGAGAAAGCAGCATCTCTAGCCAGCTCCCACCTGTGTATCAGCATGGGCTCAGTCACATTGCCCTGTTGGGCTCTATGTCTTGTCCTCCATTCCCTCATATTCTGTCTACTGAAGTGCTCCAGATGATCTGATTTCCATGTGTGTCTGGCCCTCTTCAGCTCTATATGTGCCAGATTCATATAAAGACTGAGGTGTGAGGAGGCCACAGAGGGGGCCATGGTCATGTGCTGTACAGCCTGGACTGAGGGAAGCCACAGTGCACAGCCTGTGCTCAGCACATCCCGATGTGGCTCATGTCCATTTGGGTTCTGTGTCTTTTCTGTGTCATCCATGTCCTGTCTCTTCTGTGGGCTCAGAGGCATGATTGTGTCCATATCTTCTGACCTCCCCAGCCCTGCCCGCCAAGTTCACAAAGGGTCTGAGGAATGAAGAGGCCACAGAAGGGGCCACGGCTATGTTGCAGTGTGAGCTGAGCAAGGTGGCCCCTGTTGAGTGGAGGAAGGGACCTGAAACCCTCAGAGATGGGGACAGATACAACCTGAGGCAGGATGGGACCAGATGTGAGCTGCAGATTCATGGCCTGTCCGTGGCAGACACTGGGGAGTACTCATGTGTATGTGGTCAGGAGAAGACGTCGGCCACTCTCACTGTCAAGGGTAATGACCACACGTGGCCACATGGACTGATGTGGGTGTGTGTCCTTCCTCTGTGTGCAGTTGCAGGCACCGCACACCTTCTCCTTGTGGATGCTCCTTTCCTCTTCCTCCTGCTGTTTCCTCTGTCCCCTCTGCTCATGGGTTCCAGCGTTATCCTGTGCCCTGGTGTCTGTACTGAGCTTCAGCCATGTGACCTTGTGTACCAGTCATGGTTGTAGGGAAGGAATTCCCACCTTGTTTCCCTCCCACTGCCTCCCATCACCACCTAATCAATCCAACTTTCTGCCATCCTTCATTTGAGACCTGGAGTCTTTTAGCCACAGGGTCTCATGTCCTTCTCGGAGGGAGGCCTCTGGCGCCCAGGAAAGGGAGGCAGGACCTAGAGCCCTGGGCCCTGCAGGCTGGCCCTGGTTCTCAGTGTAGCCTTGTAGGGCAAACAGCCCCTGTGGCACTTGAGGGTCTAAGGGAACCTGGTCCCTGCCCTGGAGTCTGGGGGACACGGCCCTGTCCTGGGGTCTGGAAGACACGGCCCCACTCTGGAGTCTGAATACACATCCCTGCCCTGGGATTTGGGTGCCCACAGAAGGGAGGTGGAACCTATAGCCCTGGGCCCTGGCCTCGCCCTGGGATCTGGGGGACTCAGCTCTGCTCTCGGGTCTTGGGTACAGGGCCTCACCCTGGGTTCTGAAGTACACATCCCTGCCCTGGGCTCTGGGGTGTGTGGCCCTTTGGGGGCTGGGTGGGGGGGGCCCTGGGTGAGAGGACAGCCTCCTAAGCCCTGGGTAGATGTAGCCCCTCCGTGCTTTCCCACCACACTGCCTCCTCACTCCTGAATCACAGACTGGTGGTCCCCAGTACCATCTGAGGCAGCACTGCCTGTGGAGCCAGGCCAGGGAGCTGGGAGGAGCCCAGGCCCTCATCTGCTGGCCTGGAGAGTGATGCCTGGTATAGATCTGGAGCTGACCCTGCCCCCTGCCCCCTGCAGCCCCACAGCCAGTGTTCCGGGAGCCGCTGCAGAGTCTGCAGGCGGAGGAGGGCTCCACGGCCACCCTGCAGTGTGAGCTGTCTGAGCCCACTGCTACAGTGGTCTGGAGCAAGGGTGGCCTGCAGCTGCAGGCCAATGGGCGCCGGGAGCCACGGCTTCAGGGCTGCACCGCGGAGCTGGTGTTACAGGACCTACAACGTGAAGACACTGGCGAATACACTTGCACCTGTGGCTCCCAGGCCACCAGTGCCACCCTCACTGTCACAGGTGGGCTCCCAGGCTAGCGTGGCCCAGGATATAGCGCAGTTCTTGTGCTTTGGGCGGACCCTCGGGGCTGCCTTCCCACCTGGGGCTCCCAACTGAGACGGCTCCACAGGGTGGGGGTCCTACCTGCCTTGAGGCCCTGCCTCCTTCCTCGTAGCTGCTCTGATGCGGTTCCCCCTCCCCACTCTGCCATGCATTACACCTGTTAGTTCCCCCTTGTAGCTCCTCAGGGACCTGCCCTCATGCCCTGCTCCCTCCCCTGCAGCTGCGCCTGTGCGGTTCCTCCGAGAGCTGCAGCACCAGGAGGTGGATGAGGGAGGCACCGCACACTTATGCTGCGAGCTGAGCCGGGCGGGTGCGAGCGTGGAGTGGCGCAAGGGCTCCCTACAGCTCTTCCCTTGTGCCAAGTACCAGATGGTGCAGGATGGTGCAGCTGCAGAGCTGCTGGTACGCGGAGTGGAGCAGGAGGATGCGGGTGACTACACGTGTGACACGGGCCACACGCAGAGCATGGCCAGCCTCTCTGTCCGTGGTGAGCTGCTCACCAGCCCCTGCCTCCCACAGCCCCTCATTCTTGGTCAGCGGCAAGGGGCACTAAGCATCCCTTCCTGCATACTCCGCAGTCCCCAGGCCCAAGTTCAAGACCCGGCTTCAGAGTCTGGAGCAGGAGACAGGTGACATAGCCCGGCTGTGCTGTCAGCTGAGTGATGCAGAGTCGGGGGCCGTGGTGCAATGGCTCAAGGAGGGCGTGGAGCTGCATGCGGGCCCCAAGTACGAGATGCGGAGCCAGGGGGCCACGCGGGAGCTGCTGATCCACCAACTGGAGGCCAAGGACACGGGCGAGTATGCCTGTGTGACAGGCGGCCAGAAAACCGCTGCCTCCCTCAGGGTCACAGGTGAGTGGTGGGGCCTCCCAGAGGAGAGGGTGAGCCTGCCATCCCACTCCCTTATGGTTGCCTTCTGGGTGCACCTGAGTCCCCTGCTCTCATGCTGTCTTCCTCCTCACCCCTGCACCTCCCGGTGTACCTGTCAGGGCTCTCTGAGAGAACCTGGGCAGCAAGGAAACAGGCTGCAGCCCCTCAAGCCCACCCCTGAGGCCGGTGTGTGGGTGCCCTGCTGAGCCCCCACCTGTTTCTTCTGCAAGCCTTGCCTCCCTGCTGTGCTAGCCAGGGAGGAGCTGGCTGCAGTGTGGGAGTAGACAGGCAGTCGAGTGTCCCACGACCCCTTCCCATTCCTGAGACACAACTGCCCTCTTGGCCCACACCTCCAGCCCAGTTTCTGTCCCCAAAGAGCTCAGTGTCATGGCGGGATCTGTGCTTGTGAGCACTTCGGGACAAAAGCCATGTGGGACAGATGGGCTATGGCAAAAGAGTGTGAGAGTGCCCAGGAAGGCTTCCTGGAGGAGGGGGCGTGGGATCTTGGCCTGGGTTCTTTTACTTGGCTGGTAAAGGGAACCATCTCGCCCCACCCCTCAGAGCCTGAGGTGACCATTGTACGGGGGCTGGTTGATGCGGAGGTGACGGCCGATGAGGATGTTGAGTTCAGCTGTGAGGTGTCCAGGGCTGGAGCCACAGGCGTGCAGTGGTGCCTACAGGGCCTGCCACTGCAAAGCAATGAGGTGACAGAGGTGGCTGTGCGGGATGGCCGCATCCACACCCTGCGGCTGAAGGGCGTGACGCCCGAGGACGCTGGCACTGTCTCCTTCCATTTGGGAAACCATGCTTCCTCTGCCCAGCTCACCGTCAGAGGTAGCCACAGGCGGGCCCCACCAGTGACTGCATGGGGTGAGAATGTCTGGGCCCTGCTGGATACGGAGACATACGGCAAAGGTTCCTGCCTTTGGAGGCTGGGGGCCTGGCAGGGAGGTGGACCTGTGAGCTGGCATTTCAGGGCGGCCCTAGGATGTCAGAGGAGAGTGGGCTGAGCCAGGCTGGTGGGGCAGGTTGTCTTGGGCTTCCAGTAGGCTGACACAGTGTTGGAGTTTGGGTCTTGGCCCTTGCAGGGGGGCCACTTCAAACCATAGCCCACTCCCAGCCCTCAGTCATCTGCACCATCTCCTCTAGTTCTCACACTAGTCCCATTTACCCACCTGTCATCCATCCTTTCGTTCATCTGTTTATCCATTCACCCATCCATCCACCCATTCACTATCCATCCATCCATCATCCATCCATTATCCATCGATCCATCCACAATCCATCTATTTATCCACTGATCAGCCATCCATCCATCCACCCATTATCCATCCATTCATTCTTCCATTGATCCATTCACCCATCCACTGTCCATTAGAGAAGACTCTGCCTGCAACTGGAATGGGGAGCTGAGAACAGGCCCCCATGTGCATGTCTTTGTGCACTAGGGGAGGATACCCAGGGATGGACTCCTGGGACGATGAGACTGGGTTGATTGAGGGGGCACCTCAGACGCTGAGGCTGACACCCATGCCTCCCCTGTGTCCAGCTCCTGAGGTGACCATCCTGGAGCCCCTGCAGGACGTGCAGCTCAGTGAGGGCCAGGATGCCAGCTTCCAGTGCCGGCTATCCAGAGCTTCAGGCCAGGAGGCCCGCTGGGCTTTAGGAGGGGTGCCCCTGCAGGCCAACGAGATGAATGACATCACTGTGGAGCAGGGCACACTCCACCTGCTCACCCTGCACAAGGTGAGGCCTCTGGGACCTGAGTGTACCAGGATGGGGATGCTTCCAACTCCATTCAGAAAGGCCTTCCACAAGGGGGTTGTGCTGGGGAGGTGATGAGCTCCTGTCATTGAGGTCTGGCAAGCTGACTGGGCTCCTTCTGGTCGGGATGGGGGCTCCCAGGGCCAAGCATGTCTCTCCCTGCTTCCTAGGTGACCCTTGAGGATGCTGGAACTGTCAGTTTCCACGTGGGCACGTGTAGCTCTGAGGCCCAGCTGAAAGTCACAGGTGGGCAGCCCCTTTCCACACTGGTCGCTCTGCCTGCAGATGCCCAGTTTCCTGGGCACCAGCACAACCTACCCAGTGGCAGCTGTCAGCGGGCAGGGGGCAGAAACCCAAGACTTCCAACAGTGATCTTGTCTTGGGGCTGGCAATTTTCCAACCCCTGGCCACTGAAGCCATGGACCAGAGAGGTCACTGGGGGGTAGGCTGGTAGAAGTAGTCTTGAGAAATTCCAGGGTGTGTGTAGGGTCCCTGTCCAGGATTAATGCCACCTGCGGGAGGGAGATGGGGGGCCCAGCTGCCATAGGCTTGGGCCCTAAGGTGGAGGCAGGACCTTCCTGACTTCCACCCTCCAAACGCCTACTCCTATGATATGGATGCACGCACATGCCAAAGCATCCATGTTTATACACATCTGCATGCCTGGACAGGCTCAAAGGTGCAGATGCAAAAGCATGCCTATGACAAGTATATGGATTTGGGCAACCATGCAAACAAGATTTTAGGAACCTTCAGCTTGGCTCATACCTTGCCCCCAGAGCTGGTCATCCCTGAGTGCTAGTTCTTGAGTGCTCTTCCCCTACTGTCCTACCTTTAGGTCTCAAACGGGTCCCATCTGTGTACTCATCATCCATCTATTCATTCATCCATTTATCCATTTACCTATCCACCTTCCACCCATCTGCTATCCACCATCCATCCATCCATCCATCCATCATCTGTCCATTCATCTATCATCCATCCTTCTATCGTCTGTCCATCAATCCATTCATAATCCATCCATTCATCCATTTATCATCCATACAGCTACCATCCATCCATTCACCATCCACCATCCATCCATTCACCATCCACTCATCCACCATCCATCCATTTACTATTCATCTATCCATCCTGCTGTTCATCCATATATCCATCCATCGGCCCATTCACACATTCACCATCCATACATCATTTATACATCATCCACTCATCTATTCATTATCCATTCACACACCCACCATCCATCCACCCACCCACTGATCCATCCGCTATCCATCCATTTACTATCCATCTATCCATCCACTGTCCATTCACCCATCCTTCCATTCATCTACCATCCACCCATCCATCCATCTACCATCATCTACCCTTCCCCCATCCACTCATGTATTCATCACTCACTCATCCACTATTCACCTATCTTTTCATTCATCCACCACCTATCCACCATCTGTCATACATTCACAATCCACTTGCTATCCATTCATTCACTGTAGAATATACCCTCTAAGCTCCTACCCTTAACCAAGTCCTGAACCTCATGATGGGCCAGATGCAGTCTGCCTTCAGGGGGTCTCCAATCTGTTGGAGGAGTTGGACATGGAGATAGTGTGTCCTTCATCCTAGATGCCACCTCCCACTCCCAAGTCCTTAAAAGGAGACAGATGCAGTCAGTTCTGTTGCCTGTGGGTTTGGGAAAGGTTCCAGATGCTAGTGCCCTCAAGTTGAGTGATGAAGACGGGAAGTTTCCCAGGTGTCCTGAGCAGGGGCAGGATAGCAGGGGCCTGGTGTATTCATCAGAGTGGGCAACTGTATGGAGCAGCATGGAGCTGGGCTGTGCTTTGGCCCCTCTCTAGGTGAGGTATTCTCAGCCTGGGTGAGCTGGCTCATGTACAGACACCTGGCTATGACCTTTTGGTGAGGGCCCTGGCACAGGTGTGTAAATGGGTGCCCATCCCAGGCCCAGGTAGGTGTTGTGGTGGAAGAGCTTGGGAACTTGCTGGAGACAAGAATGAAGAGTTGGTGGGGCAAGATGAGGAGGTGGTCAGATGTGCACTTGGGGAAGACAGTCAAGGGAAGATTGGGAGCTGGTGCTGGGGTGTCAGTGGTGCACACGAGGAAGCGCACGGAGAGGCTTCCAGTGGAGGGCCTGCTTGGGTGGGCACAGGGGCTGATTTGCCTGGTGTTGTCCTGATGGGTGGCTGGTATCTCTGTAAGTTCTCCCTACTCACGCTTCCTCACCCCATAGGATGGAAGTGTCTGGGCTTTGCCAACTGCAGTTTCTCTCTCTTTGTGAGGAGGCTCACAGGATGGTCTCAGAAAGTTTCTTGGGCAAGCAAGGATGGAGGGCATCTCTGTTGCCCGATCCCAGGCAGCAGGTGGTGGAATAAGCCTTTGGTTCTGTCTTCCTCCCTTGCCTGTGGGGTGTGGGGTTCAACTCTGTGGGCAGCAGTAGCCTGGGCACATTCTCCTATCTGCCGTGACCACCCTGAGTTTCCATCTGAGAAGTGGGTGGGAGGGAGGAGGAGAGTGTGGAAGGCACAGGGCAGGCAGTGACCACAAACATGTCTGGGAAGCTCCTTGAGTTTGGGCCCTGCTGTGTGACCAGGCAGGGAGCAGTTGCCACTCAACATAAGGGCCCTGGAATTCTGGGCTGAAGGGACCTTGGAGGACATCTGGACAGAATGCCCTCTTGGGATGGGAGAAGCGTCCGCTTCCACACCCCCAGGGACAGGGAACTCACTTTCTGAGGTGAACTCCCATCCACTCACAGTAGCAGGCCCTGTGGCTTCTCCTTCCCAACCCACATTGGGTCAGATAAGGCACCAAAGGCCAGAAAGAACTCCAGCCATGGGGCTTAGAGCTTGTCCATTCTGCCTTCTGAGAAGGGCACGTGTGCCTGTCATCAGCCTCCTGTGGGTGAAACCAGGCATGTTCTGAAGGGGTGTGTGGGGGTGCGGGTCTATGAGCTGGGGCTGAGCCACTCTCCACAGGCTCACTGTGGGTGGCCTCTGTGTCTCCCTCTGTGATCAGGGTGGGCCAACTTGCCTGGGTGGATTTCTATTCCCTAACCCTAGGTCACCCTCCTGGTCTGGGTGATGTCTGCTCTGGCAGACCCGAGGGTGGCCCCTGTACCAGTTACTAGCCCCGAGGCTATTCTAGCAAGTCCCACTTTTGGTGGGGGTGAGGGGACAGGGTCTCCTGCTGCCTAGGCTGGAATGCAGTGATGTGAACATAGGTCAGTGTAGCCTCCACCCCCTGGGCTCAAGCGATCCTCCCACCGCAGCTTTGCAAGTAGCTGGGATTACAGGCACATGCCTCCACAGGGTCTCACTATGTTGCCCAGGCTGGTCTTGAACTCCTGGGCTCAAACAGTCCTCCCACCTTGACCTCCCAAAGTGCTGGGATTACAGACATGAGCCATGGTGCCTGGCCAAGTCCCACTTCTGACACCAATTCTAGAGAACAACACACTCACTGTTTTTCTCCTATTATACTCTCACAGCACAGAACACTCTGTGACCAGATGTGTGGGGGCCAAACACCAAGCAATTCTCTAGCAGACAGCAACTGGCTGTCCACACTTCAATTCAATTCTGATACTTTCTATGTGGAGTTAGAGTCAGATTTCATAGATGAAGAGCTCAGTCCCACAAGACTGCCCCACTTCAGATGCCAGTGGGAAGTCCCAAGCCACCCACACTTCTGACTGAACAGCTATGAAATGGGGTTCCCACTACCCCTCCTTGAGTTTGATTAACTTGCTAAGACAGCTCCCAGAATTCATAGAAATACTTGTATTGAGCAGCTGTTATAAAGGATACAGCTCAGGAATAGCCATGTGGAAAAGATTTAAAGGGCAAAGGATGGGGGTGGGGGTGGGCATAGACCTTCCATGTCCTCTCTGGGCGTGCCATGCTCCCAGCACTTGCATATCTTCACCAACCTGGGAACTCATCAAATCTCATTTAAGAGCTTTTATAGAGCATAATCTCTGTTCCCCTCTCCCCTTCCTAGAGGTGGGAGGGTGGGAAAATTCCAACCCTCTGAACACTTGGCCTTTCTAGAGGCCCATTCTGATGTTGTCCAGGACCCCTACCTGAGTGACCTCATTAGCATAAACTGAGATGTAGTCAAAGGAGTACATTATGAACACTCAGGAATTTCTGAGGGCTTTAGGAGCAGAGACACAATCTATTCTTGTGCCACACCCCCACACCAGTGAACCCTAAAGTAGCCCAGTCCTGTGGACTCCAGGGTGTCCCAGCCTCGCCCTCCTTCTTACCCTCTTGTGCAGAGGCAGTGCCGTGCCTGGTACGTGGCTTGCAGAATGTGGATGTCTTCGCGGGGGAGGTGGCCACGTTCTCCTGTGAGGTGTCTCACGCGGGTGGGCCGGAGGCCCGCTGGTGGCTGGATGGGACCCTGCTACAGGATGGCCCCCAGAGCGCCATCGCTGTGCGAGATGGGATCTTTCACTCCCTCATGCTCTCGGGCCTGGGGGTGGCCGACTCCGGCACTGTCATCTTCCGCGCAGGGCCCCTGGTCTCCACGGCCAAGTTGTTGATCAAAGGTATTGGCCGATGGGAACCTCTGCCATGCTGGCACTTTTGTATGCTTCCTGCGGGCTCCTGGGATCAGGAATTGGCCCCCAGGGCCACAGAGTGGGCACCACTCTATGCATGCTGTCTGCCTGCAGTGGCACAGGTGGGCATGGAGGGTGGATGAGAAGTCTGGGCTTAGGGAGTGGTATAGCTGGACACCAACCTGTGCCCTGCTGGCTACCACCTTGCTGGCCGCACGTGCCCAGCCATGAAACCCAGTCCCTTGTGAAGGCAAGAGCAGCCCCTGCTGAGCCTACCCCTGCTGTCACCTGCTTCCTCCGCTGTGGGCTCAGGCTGGGTTTCTGCCCTTCTGGGAAAGAGCTGGCCGTATGGGAGCCCCCTACCAGTGACTCACATGGTGCCTTTGTCCCCTGTGCGCCCTCAAAGAAAATGTGGAAGGTTCACCTGGGTCCTGGGGCAAACAGCCATTTATGGAGTAGGATTTGGACAGTGGAGATGGGACGGGGACCCCAAGAGAGATGGCAGAGTCCTTGCAGAAGGGGCGAGCTGGGCTGGGGCTCTGGCTCCTGAGCCAGGGCCAGAGGGCATGGGGTAGGGGGACTTTGGAGGGTGTGTGTCCCTGTTGGGGCCATGTGCCCAGGGCTAGAGGGAGGTAGGGGCAAAGGGGACCAGGAGGGGCCCCCCTGAAAAGAGACCAAGCCTGACAGTGCTATCTCCCATGGGTGGGGGTGAGGTGTGTCTGCAGTGGATAGCCCTGGGCTGTCGTGGTGGGCCCCCTTCCCTGGGCCATGTGCCAGATGGTCACTGCTCTGCCATTGCCTGCCACAGCTCTGCGCTTACTGCCGCTGAAGCCTCTAACACTGACAGCAGAGGGTGGGATGGCTGCGGTGGCTCAGCTCCGGGGGCTGACATGTGTCCGGCATGTTGGCCGACAGATCCCGTGGTGGAGGTGGTCAGTGCCATGCAGGACTTGGCCGTGGAGGAGGGTGGCTCGGCTGAGCTCCTCTGCCAGTATTCACGGCCCGTGCAGGCCACGTGGAAGATGGACGAGCGGGAGGTGCACACGGATGGGCACCGTGTCATCATAGAGCAGGACTGGAACGTGGCCAGGCTGACCTTCAGGCCGGCCTTGCCCTGTGACAGTGGCATCTATTCTTGTGAGGCTGCGGGCACCCGCGTAGTGGCCCTGCTGCAAGTGCAAGGTGAGGCCGCCTGGTGAGCAGCCCTAGGCCCGGGGCAGCTTTGGCACAGCTTGGGCTGTGCAGTGATAGTGGAATGGCAGGCAGTGTCCGGTGGCGCTGGGACACAGGTGGCTCGGACAGGTGGGAACAGGCCCCGTAGGTGGCAAGCTCGCTGCACCAGGAGCTGAGCTGTGAGTAGGCACGGCATGCACAGCTGCTGAACTTGTGGCTTCCATGAAGAATGTGTGGCCAAATTCAAGACTCCTACACGTGAACCCACAAGAGAATGAGAAAGGGAGGGGAGAGCGGAGGGCAGTGGATTAGGGAGGAGGTCTCTGGTTGTTGTGAGTCTGAGCATGGCATTCCAGGGACCAGGCAGCAGGTCTGGTAGCTCTGTTGGGGGGTGCAGAGAAAGGGGGATGTTCCCAGACCGTGAAGCTGCAGCAGGGCCATGGCGGGTAAAGCATGGCTCTGAGCCTCATGGCTGTGTTTGAGCCTGGTTGTGCGGTTGGCGAGTTTCTAGTCTTGTGAACACCTGTGAGGTTTCTCACCTGTGAGGTCAGAAGCCCAGTGCCAAAGTGGGCAGGGCATAGTGGTGGTGGTGGGGGGTGCTGGGTGACCACAGAGGCAAGCATGGGTGGCTCCACCCTGGACGCTGAGTGCCCACCTCCACATAGCTTCTGGGGAGGGGGCATTTTGTTTGGCTCTTTGTAGTTTTCAGGGCACTCCCAAGGGACGTGGGGACCCTGGAAGCGCGGGCATGGTCTGATCCTCCCTCTCCCCACAGCCAAGAACACGGTGGTGCGGGGGCTGGAGAATGTGGAGGCGCTGGAGGGCGGCGAGGCGCTGTTCGAGTGCCAGCTGTCCCAGCCCGAGGTGGCCGCCCACACCTGGCTGCTGGACGACGAACCCGTGCACACCTCGGAGAACGCCGAGGTGGTCTTCTTCGAGAACGGCCTGCGCCACCTGCTGCTGCTCAAAAACTTGCGGCCACAAGACAGCTGCCGGGTGACCTTCCTGGCTGGGGATATGGTGACGTCCGCATTCCTCACGGTCCGAGGTGACTGCGCTGTGCTGGTGCAGGGTGGGGTCAGATCCTTCCCACTAGAGACTGGGGTAGGCGGGCGGCAGAGGGGGCGGGGCTGCGGGCTGCAGCTGCAGAGGGGACGTCAGTCTCCGAGACCCTCCCGCAGGAGGCTGGGCCGCCGGAGCTGCAGAGGGGCTGAGGCCCTGGGAGCGGCACAAGGGGCAGGGTTCGCCAGGGGCCGGCCCATCCCACCTGAGGCCGGGAGCCACCCGCTTCGCAGTGGGTAGAAGCCCCCGGGGCCGAGGCCCAGGAAGGGTGGAACGGTGTGGGGCGCCGTGCGCTGAGACCAGAGGCTCTCCGGAGCCAGGAGGGGGACCTGTTGGTCTCTGGGACCCACAGGAGGCTGGGTTGAAGGCAGGCAGGACTGGGGGCCAGATGAGAGGTGTCTCTCGCAGGAGGCTGGGCTGTCTTCTGGAGAGGGGCTTGCTGGGGCCGCAGGTGGGGAGCTTCGGCCTCCCAGACCCCTCCCACCCACGCAGGTGGGACGAAGCGAGGGTATGAAGCCCAGGCCCTCCCTGCTCCGGCGCTTGCCCTCACAACCCTTCCTTGGGCACATCTGCAGGCTGGCGCCTGGAGATCCTGGAGCCTCTGAAAAACGCGGCGGTCCGGGCCGGCGCACAGGCATGCTTCACCTGCACGCTCAGCGAGGCGGTGCCCGTGGGAGAGGCGTCCTGGTACATCAATGGCGCGGCAGTGCAGCCGGATGACAGCGACTGGACTGTCACCGCCGACGGCAGTCACCACGCCCTACTGCTGCGCAGCGCCCAGCCCCACCACGCCGGGGAGGTCACCTTCGCTTGCCGCGACGCCGTGGCCTCTGCGCGGCTCACCGTGCTGGGTGGGTGGTGGGCGAGCTTTTCCCTCCCCTGCAGGTCGGGTCTGGGGCGCGCCCCGCCTCCAGAGCTTGCGAGTGCGTGGGTGACCATCCTGGGCTGGGTTCTGCAGCATCTGCCCACTCCAGAGCCTGGGGTTGACTGCCTGCGGATATGGGCCTGACCATGGGAGTCTGGGAGGCTGCTCTTGGCCAGGCATAACCATGCATGAGCCTACCACCCTGTGGATTCCTAAGGCCAAGGTCCCTTCATCCTGCCCCATCTCCCCCTCAGCTCCCCGGACTCCTAATGCAGATCTGAGCCCAGCTCTGGGGAGACAGGAGGTACAGAGACTGCCAGGGGCTCTCCATGCTGGGTGGGCTCTGGGCACATATAGTCTCCATGTGACATGCACCTGCAGCCAGTATCAGAGCCCAGTGGCTTCCAGAGGGACTGTTGGTGCCGACAGGGAGCCACCCCCCTGACCAGTCCCCCTTTTCCCCAGGCCTCCCTGATCCCCCAGAGGATGCTGAGGTGGTGGCTCGCAGCAGCCACACTGTGACACTGTCTTGGGCAGCTCCCATGAGTGATGGAGGCGGTGGTCTCTGTGGCTACCGCGTGGAGGTGAAGGAGGGGGCCACAGGCCAGTGGCGGCTGTGCCACGAGCTGGTGCCTGGACCCGAGTGTGTGGTGGATGGCCTGGCCCCCGGGGAGACCTACCGCTTCCGTGTGGCAGCTGTGGGCCCTGTGGGTGCTGGGGAACCGGTTCACCTGCCCCAGACAGTGCGGCTTGGTGAGTTGCTTCATTGGGGTCTGGGGAGTTCACAGCCCCCACAAGCTGGAGGAGGGAGGGATCCCCGGGAGTGGGGCCTGCACCCTGGGTGCATCTTTGCTGATGGGGCCTGTCCTCTGTCCGTGGACGCTGTTCCCCAGCAGAGCCACCGAAGCCTGTGCCTCCCCAGCCCTCAGCCCCTGAGAGCCGGCAGGTGGCAGCTGGTGAAGATGTCTCTCTGGAGCTTGAGGTGGTGGCTGAGGCTGGTGAGGTCATCTGGCACAAGGGAATGGAGCGCATCCAGCCCGGTGGGCGGTTCGAGGTGGTCTCCCAGGGTCGGCAACAGATGCTGGTGATCAAGGGCTTCACGGCAGAAGACCAGGGCGAGTACCACTGTGGCCTGGCTCAGGGCTCCATCTGCCCTGCGGCTGCCACCTTCCAGGGTGCGTTGTCCCTGTCCTTCCAGGTTCCAGGGTGGGGAGCTCTGGTGTGGGGGTGCAGCTTGGCCTTCCTCTCACAGGCTCTCTCAGGGAAGGGCTGAGGGTCCTTTTGAGGACCCCATCACATGGGAGAGACTGAGGCTCCACAGGGAGATGCGGCAAACCCCATGTTGCAGAGCCTTGATGGCGTAGGCCAACCTGCCTGTCCCTGAGCAGGTCCTGGGTGGTGCAGCCCTTGGTTCTCCTATTCTGGTCCCTTTAAGCTTCTGGGCCCCTGCACACAGACATCCCCTGTACTCTGAACCCCCTGAAACCCCCGGTGCTCTGATCCCTCCCACACTCTGAGGCCTGTTCCCTGAACTCTGAGCCTAATCCTCCCTGCATGGCAGCCAGCACCCCCATAAGTCTAGGCGCTCTATCCCAGAAGCAGGGCCAGAAGGGCTCAAATCAGCCCAATTTGCTTTTGCAGAGTCCTTTCCTGTTCCGGTCATCACATACCCTATGCAGGGAGGTAGACTGAGGCCTCACTCAAAGTGGGGGAGCTGAGGCTCAGGGGCTCTGAGACTTGCAAAGATTGTGCCATCTGAAGTAGCTAGTGCCAGGTGGGGAGAGAGGCCTAGCAAGGCCACAGCCCAGCTGCATACTGATAAGCAGCTGAGGTCTGGGGTGATGGCTCTGAACTAGCCCACTGACTAGTCTTTTGCCTTCCTCAGTGGCACTGAGCCCAGCCTCTGTGGATGAGGCCCCTCAGCCCAGCTTGCCCCCCGAGGCAGCCCAGGAGGGTGACCTGCACCTACTGTGGGAGGCCCTGGCTCGGAAACGTCGCATGAGCCGTGAGCCCACGCTGGACTCCATTAGCGAGCTGCCAGAGGAGGACGGCCGCTCGCAGCGCCTGCCACAGGAGGCAGAGGAGGTGGCACCTGATCTCTCTGAAGGCTACTCCACGGCCGATGAGCTGGCCCGCACTGGAGATGCTGACCTCTCACACACCAGCTCTGATGATGAGTCCCGGGCAGGCACCCCTTCCCTGGTCACCTACCTCAAGAAGGCTGGGAGGCCAGGCACCTCACCACTGGCCAGCAAGGTGAGCCCCCCCAACTTGGCCTGCAAGGAGAGGTCTGAGACCTTCATCATCTATCCATCCATCCATCCCTCCATCCACTATTCATCCATTTGCCATTCATCCACCCATCTGTGCATCTACTCATCTATCCATCTTTTCTTCCATTCATCCACTCATCTGCCATTCATCCATCTATCCATGCATCCATTCGTCCATCTTTCCTTTCTTCCTTCCATGTATCCATCCATGCATCTTTCTGTCCATCCATTCATCCATACACCATTCATCTATCCATCCATTCATGCATCCATCCACCATTCATCCACCCATCCATGCATCCATCCATCCATCCACCATTCATCCATCCATCCATGAATGCATCTTTCTAGCCATCGTTCATCCATCCATCCACCATTCATCTATCCATCCATCCATGCATCCGTCCACCATTCATCCATCCATCCATGCATCCATCCACCTGCCATCCACCCATCCATGCATGCATCCATCCACCATTCATCCATTCATTCATGCATCCATCCATCTAAACCACTCATCTACCCATCTATGCATCCATCCATCCATCCTTCCTTCCATCCACCCATCCACCCATCCACCATCCATCCATCTATGCATCCATCCATGCATGCATCCACCCATCCTTTAATTCATCCAACTGCCATCCATCTCTTCAGGCAACCGTTTTTCCATCCTTCCATCCTTCTACCTAATCAATCCATTTATACATCTGTCTTTGCTTACTTTCATCTGTTTATGCATCATCCATCTACCATCCATCCATCCATCCATTCATCCATCCTTCTATCCATCCATACATGATCCATCCATCAGTGCATGCATTTATTCTCTTCTGTCTGTCCACCATCCATCCTTCAATCCATGCATCTGTCTATTCTTCTATCTATCCATCCATCCATGTATCCATTCTTCCTTTCATTCGTTCATCCATTCATGCATTCATTCTTTCTTCTTTTCATCCACCCATTTATTTATGTGTCCATCTTTGTTTCCTTTCATCTATTCATCTGCCATCTATTCATCCATATGTTCATCTTTCTTTCCTTTCTTCCATCTATCCATCTATCCATCCACCATCTATCCATCCATGCACACATTCCTCCTTCCATCTAGTCATCCATCCACCCATCTGCCATCTACATACTCATCCATCTATCATCTATTCACCATTCTGCCATCTTTCCGTAATTCTTCCATCCATGCTTGTATCCATTCATCATCCATCTACCATCCTTCCATTTGTCCATGTATGCTTCCGTCCGTCCTTGTTTTCATCTATTCACCCATCCTCCTATCTGACATGCATCCATCTACCCACTATCCATTCATGTATCTACTCACCATCCTGTTATTCATCCATCTACCATCCACCCACCATCCTTCCATTCCATTCCATTCATCCATCCATCTACTATCCATCTGCCACTCCTGCACCTGTTCACCTGTTCATTCATTTATCTGTCAGCCTGTTTACCCACCTATACAACCATACAACTCCATCCATCTGCTGTTTATCATCCATCCACCTACTCATTCACCCATCCATCCACCATTTGTCCATGATCTATTCCTGTACTTGCTCACCTGTTTGTCTGTTTATCTGTCAGCCTGTTTCCATACCACCATCTGTCTAACCATTCACTTATCCACCAGTCACCCACCCACTCACTCATCCATGCAGCCATCCATACACCTGTTCTCCCATTCAACCATCCATTCATCGATGTATCTCTCCATCCACCCTGCATCCATCCATTCATATACACATCTGACAGTTAAAACTTTTGCCTGAAAAGTTGGAACTGGTCTCTTTATGGTGTTCTTCACAACCCTGTTCATCCTGGTCTGAGTTACTGTGTAAAGCGATTTCCAGGAAGTGGGCTTGCTTTTTGGAAGGTGCTGTCAGACATCTAGGTCAGTTGAAGCTAGAGTGGGTCCAATTGGTAGGAGGAAAAAGGGCATACTGGAGCAAGACCTGGAGCTGCCCCTGCCATGTGCTTGACACCTGTTGTGCCCTGTTCCTGGCCTCAGATTCCCTATCTCACCATGACGTCAGGCTCTGTGCCCACAGGTTGGGGCCCCAGCAGCCCCCTCTGTGAAGCCACAGCAGCAGCAGGAGCCACTGGCTGCTGTGCGCCCACCACTGGGAGACCTGAGCACCAAAGACCTGGGTGATCCCTCAATGGACAAGGCAGCTGTGAAGATCCAGGCTGCCTTTAAGGGCTACAAGGTCCGGAAGGAGATGAAGCAGCAGGAAGGGCCCATGTTCTCCCACACATTTGGGGACACCGAGGCACAGGTGGGGGATGCCCTGCGGCTGGAGTGTGTCGTGGCCAGCAAGGCAGATGTGCGAGCCCGCTGGCTGAAGGATGGTGTGGAGCTGACCGATGGGCGGCACCATCACATCGACCAGCTTGGGGATGGCACCTGCTCTCTGCTGATCACTGGCCTGGACCGTGCTGATGCTGGCTGCTACACCTGTCAGGTGAGCAACAAGTTTGGCCAGGTGACCCACAGTGCCTGTGTGGTGGTCAGTGGGTCAGAGAGTGAAGCCGAGAGCTCCTCTGGGGGTGAGCTGGACGATGCCTTCCGCCGGGCTGCCCGTCGGCTGCACCGGCTCTTCCGCACCAAAAGTCCGGCTGAAGTTTCAGATGAGGAGCTCTTCCTGAGTGCAGACGAGGGCCCTGCAGAGCCAGAGGAGCCCGCGGACTGGCAGACATACCGCGAAGATGAGCATTTCATCTGCATCCGTTTTGAGGCGCTCACTGAGGCCCGCCAGGCGGTAACTCGCTTCCAGGAGATGTTTGCCACACTGGGCATTGGGGTGGAGATCAAGCTGGTGGAACAGGGGCCTCGGAGGGTAGAGATGTGCATCAGCAAAGAGACTCCTGCCCCTGTGGTGCCTCCAGAGCCATTGCCCAGCCTACTGACTTCTGACGCTGGTGAGTCTGCACACAGCCTTGGTCTGGGGTCACGAGCCAGGGTGCAGAGGCAGGGAGAGGCAGGGGAGAAGGATCCAGGCTAGTCGTAGCTAGAGTCTGCTGCAAGCTCAAGGGGTTACCTGTGCCCACCACTGGGCTCTTCGCAGGTGCAGCCCACTGAGGTGTGAAAAGCCCTGACTTTGAGGTTAAATAGAGCTGAATTTGAACTCCAACCCTGTCTCTTACTAGCTATGTGCTTTGGGGGAAGCTGCTTAGCATCTCTGTACCTCAGCTTTCACATCTGTGAAATGAGAATGGGAATGCAGTTGTACCTTGGTATACACAGAGGATGGATTTCAGAACCCTCATGTGTACCCAAATCCACACATACTCAATCCCCAAATCAGCCCTGCAGAACCTATATATATGAAAAGTCAGCCCTCCCTATACAGGGTTTTGCATCCCACAGATGCTGTATTCTTTGATCCACATTTGGTTGAAAAATATCCACATATAAGTGGACCCATGCAGTTCAAATGCATGTTGTTCAAAGGTCGTTTGTATTCACTCTCTAGAATTTTTTAAAAATGAGACTCTGAAATGTAACCTGTATAAAATGCTGCACTCCTCATGGTCCAGTCTGCATACCATTTCCCATTCCAGCATCTAGGAGTAATTAAAAAGCCATTTCCTTATTTACTTGTGTCTCTCTAGGAATGTTAAAGAGGGTATGATGAATGACCCACAGTGTTACTTCTTGAAACTTCTCTCCAATTTTGAGCCTCTCCCTTGCTTCAAATCCCTCACCTGCTCCTCCTGGACTTACAGGCCACACAGTCTTTATCTTTGCTTTACCTCCCTTTTCCTCCCTGTTTCCAGCCCTTTATCCCTTTTGCCTCAAAGTAGCTTGGGAACCAAGCTGGCAAACAGAATTCTTAGAGAACAAGGAAGAGAGAGAGGCTTAGTAGGCAAAGATACCATTCTGTTTAGCTGTCAGTGTCTGTGAATGCTCCCATATGAATGATTGTTCCGTACATCATATGTGTCAAACCATTCATCTGGTGGCAACTTGCATGTATGTGGCAGCCGGACGTGATCATTGTTCCCTGGGGCTAACTCACCCATCTATCCCAGCCCCAGTGTTCCTGACTGAGTTGCAGAACCAAGAAGTGCAGGATGGGTATCCTGTGAGCTTTGACTGCGTGGTGACAGGTCAGCCCATGCCCAGTGTGCGCTGGTTCAAGGATGGGAAGTTGTTGGAGGAGGATGATCACTACATGATTAATGAAGACCAACAGGGTGGCCATCAGCTCATCATCACAGCCGTGGTGCCAGCAGACATGGGCGTCTACCGCTGCCTGGCCGAGAACAGCATGGGTGTCTCCTCCACCAAGGCTGAGCTCCGTGTGGACTGTGAGTACTGCGTCTGGTTTGGTGTCTCCAGGGTGGGTGGTGTAGGGGCTCCTGAGTTGGTCTTGAGGATAGTTCAGAGAGCATTCGTCTCAGCCCAGGCAGGATTTGGGGCCTCACTGTCTTGTGGCTGATGGAAAGCTGTCTGGGAGCTAGGGCCAAGACACGCCCCTAGTCTGGAGCCCCTTGGGGTAAGGGGTTGAGGGATCTCATCTCTGTGAGAGGCATCCTGGCTGGGACAGAGGCTCAGGAAGATTTGGAAGTGGACCTCATGGAGTAAGGTGAGGGGGTCAAGAAGGGTGAGTCCAGCCTACCCCAACCACTCCCTTGAGGTCCCTTTTGAAGGCTGTCAGATGGCTTGATCAGGAAGCCTCTCAGGAGAAGCTCAAGGGCATGGTGAATGGTTTGTGGCACTGTGGCATTATGAGAAATATTTATTTGACCTTTGTCCTCAGTTCCTGACACAGAGCTTCTAAATCCCTTGGAATTTCCTGGGTGATAGGAGCATCTTTTGTTCTAATAAGGTGACTCTTGGTGGGCCCCTAGTTAACTTCAGGATGAGGGGTGGTTTCCAGAAAGACCAAGCCTTTATTAGAAGCCCAAAACTGTCAGCACTACCTCCATCCTCTCGGGAGGGTGGGGATGCTGGAGATTAAGTAATTTATCATGCCTATGTGATGCAGCCTCCATACAAACCCATAAACTAAGATGTTTGGGCAGCTTGCGGGCTGTTGAACACGTGGAGGTGCCAGGATAGTTGTGCAAAGTGCCGCTCCTCTCCCTCACACCTTGCCCTATGTATCTTTTCCATGAGGCCATTCCTGAGTTATATCCTTTATAGTAAACCATTAGTAGTAAGTAAAGCACTTTTCTGAGTTCTGCGAGCCATTGTTGCAAATTATCAAACACAAGGAAGAGGGTTGTAGGAACCTCCAATTTACAGCCATTCAGTCAAAAGTATGGGTGGAAATCTGGGACTTACAACTGGCATCTAAAGTGAGAACATACTTGTGAGATTGATTCTGTTAATGTTTAGGGTCTGTGCTAACTTTGGGCAGTTAATGTCAGAATTGAATGGATGTGTTGTACATCCAGTTGGCATCAGATGTGTTGTGAGTGAAAACAGCTCAGGGACAGACTCTGGAGCCACAGAGTTGGGTAAAATCCTGGATCTGCTACTTACCAGCTATGTGATCTGGTAGAAGTGACTTTATCACTCAATGCCTCAGCCTCCTCATCTGGAAAATGGAGATCATGGAAACTGTCTTGTGGTATAGCTATGAGAGTTAAGTGAGTTGATTCATGTAAAACATTTAGTAGAACAGGCTGGGTACATAGTTAAGCACAAATTGTTAGCTGGTTTGCAAGGCAGTTGTTGGGACAGGAGAAGGATGCTGTATCTTTCAGCCTGATAAAGTCTCACTGAGTCCTCCAGCCTCTGGCTGGTACAGGCTGTGAGATGCTAAAGAAAGATTTCTTTTCTCTTTCCTGCCATCCCCTTCCATGTTGAGCCTGATGCCACAGGCCAGGCAGACAGTTTTGGAGGTGCTTTGGGGCTGGATGGGCAGCCATGGGATGGCCCTAAGATAGAACTAATAAATGGTTTCAAGAAGATCACAAGATACTAGATTGACATGCAAAAATCAGTAGTATTTGTATATACTTAAAATGAACACGTGGAAACCAAAATTAAAAACACAATAATATTTATAATAGCTTAAAATAAAAAAATTTTTTTAACTTAGATGTAAATACAACAAAACATCTACTGGATCTGTGTCCTGAAAATTACAAAATGCTGATGAAAGACAACAGAAAGGACCTAAACAAGCAGAGAGACATACCATGTTCATGGATTGGAACTCAACATAGCTAAGATGCCAAATTGATATGTAGGTTTAATGCAGTTCCTATAAAAATCCCAACAAGATTTTTTTATATACACAGATGAGCTTGTTCTAAAATGTATATGGGAAGGCACAGAACTTAAAATAGCTAAAAACCATTTTGAAAAACAAGAATAAAATGGGAAGGACCATTCTACTTAATGTTAAGATTTACTATTTAGCTTAAGTATTAAAGACAGTGTGGAATTTGTAGAGGGATTGACACATAAATCAGTGGGACAAAATGGAGAATACAGATTTAGACTCATACAAATATGTCCAAGTGATTTTTGACAAAAGTGCAAAAGCAATTAAATGGAGGAAGGATAGAATTTCAACAAATTTGGTGCTGGAGAAATTTGGACATGCATAGGCAAAAAATGACCCTTAACCTAAACTTCACACCTTATATGAAAATTAACTCAAAATCAATTGCATCCTTAAATATAAAACTTTTAGGGGAAAAAAATGGCAGAGAATCTTTAGGATCTTAGGCTATGAAAAGACTTCTTAGACTTGACAGTTAAAGCACCATCCATAAAAGGAAAAACTGGTAAACTGGATCTCACCAAAATTGAAAACTTTTGCTCTGAGAAAAACCCTGCTGTGTAGAGGATGAAATGTTACAGATTGGAAGAACATGTTCACAAATTATGTATCTTGTAAGGGACTTTTATCTAAATAAATACAAAGAATGCTCAAAATTAAGCAGTAAAGAATTTTAAAAATCCAGTTGTAACATGGGCAAAAGACTATCCAGTCATTTCATGGGAGAGGATATGCAGAAGGTAAATTAGCATATGAAAGATGTTCAACATCATTAGCCATTAGAGATAGTCAAGTTAAAACCCCAATGAGATATCACTGCATAACTACCAGAATGGCTAAAATTAAAAATGGTGATAGCACCAAATGCAAGTGAGGATACAGAGAAACTGGGTCACTCATACATTGCTGGTGGGAAAGTAAAATGGGCCAGCCACTCTGAAAACTGTGGCAGCCTCTTACAAAACTAACCATGTGCTTACCATATAACCCAACAATTTCTCTCTTTTTTTGGCATTTATATCAGAGAAATGAAAAAATTGCATTCAAACTAAAACCTGCACCCAAATGTTCATAGCACCTTTATTCCTAACAGAGCCAAGGGCTGGTAACACCCGAAATGTCCTTCAATGGGTAAATGGTTAAACAAACCACCTATGTACATCTATTCTATGGAATGCTACTCAGCCATAAAAAGGAACTATTGATGTATAATAACTGTGATAAAATTGCATCTTACTACATAAAATTAAATATATAAACATACACTCAATTGTGTTCTTGTAAAACTTTTGAAATCTCAACAAAATCAATGGATTGCATCAATGTCAGTCTTCTAGTTGTGATATTGCACTGTAGTTGGTGAGATGTTGACATTGCAGGAAGGTGGATAAAGAATAAATGGGATCTCTATATCGCTTCTTAGAACCGCGTGTGAATTTACAGTTATTCCAAAGTAAAAAGGAAAAGGAACTATTAAAGAAAAGTCAATGATCTTAAATAAGAACTTATATATTTATCCACATCATTCCATTTCTGAGTGCATCATTCCATTGTGTAGATCTAGATTTCCATCTGATACCATTTTCCTTCTGCCTGAGGACATCTTTTAATATTTCTTATAGTGTGGGTATGCTGGAATTCCTTCAGATTTTGTGTGTCAGAAAATGTCTCTACTTCACTTTTGTTTTTGAAAGATGTTTTTCCTAGGACGGTTTTTTTCTTTCCACATTTTAAAGATGTTGCTCCACTGTCTTCTAGCTTGCATTGTTTCCAGTGAGAATTAGAATGTCATTCTTGTCGTTGATTTTCTGTACATAACTTGTCTTTGTATAAGGATTTAAAACTTTTTACATATTTGCACACCATAAAATTCATCATTTACCAATGTTCAATTTAGTGGGTTTTAGTATATTCACAAGGTCTGTGCAACCATCACTTCTGTCTAATAATATGTTCTGGAATATCTGATTCTGGAACATTTTCATCATGCCTGAAAAGAAACCATTAGCAGTTACTCCCCATTCTCCCATTCCCCCAGCCCCAGGAAATAACTAATCTACTTTCTGTCTCTATGGGATAACCTATTCTGGACATTTCCTATAAATAGAATCCTACAATACATGGCCATTTCTGTCTGCCTTCTTTCACTGAGCATACTGTTTACAAAGTCCATCCATGTAGTGGCATATATTATTATCGTACACATTTTTTATGGCTGAAAAATATTCCATGGTATGTGGAGTATTTATGCATTTATCAGGTGGCATTTATCCATTGGTTGTTTTGGCTGTTATGAACAATGCTGCAGTGAACATTTGTATATGAGTGTTTGTGTGAGCATGTTTTTAATTCTCTCATGTATATACACCTAGGAGTGGAATTCCTTGGTCATGTGGCAACTTGGTTGAACTCCTAGAGGGACTACCAAGCTTTTCCACAGTAGCCACATCATTTTACATTCCCATCAGCAATGTACAAGGGTTTCAATATTGCCACATCCTTGCCAGGGCTTGTTATTGTTCATCTTTTTGATTATAGCCATCTTAATGGATATGAAGTGGTATCTCATTGTAGTTTTGATTTGCATTTCCCTAGTGACTAACTTTTCATGTGCTGGTTGGTCATTTGTATATCTTTGGAGAAATGTCTATTCAAATTTTTTGGACATTTTAAAATTGGGTAATTTGTCTTTTATTTTTGAGTTGTAAGAGTTCTTCATATATTCTTGATACTAGAGTCTTATCAGATAAAAGATTTTCAAATATGTTCTCATTCTGTGCGTGTCTTTTTACTTTCTTGAGAGTGTTCTTTGAGGCACAAAAGTGTTAAATTTTTTTTGAGATAAGGTCTTACTCTGTTGCCCAGGCTAGAGTGCAATAGCATGATCCTAGCTCACTGTAGTCTTGAACTTCTGGGCTCAAGTGATCCCCCTGACTCACCCTCCCAAGTAGCTGGGACCATAGGTGTGTGCCATTATGCCCAGCTAATTTTTTAATTTTTTTTTGTAGAGGCAGGGTCTTGCTATGTAGCCCAGGCTGGAGGGCAGTGGTCTAATTATAGCTCACTGTAACCTCAAACTCCTGGCCTCAAGTGATCCTCCTGCCTCAACAAAGGTTTTAAATTTTAATAAAGTACAATTTATCTACTTGTTCTTTGGTTGCTTGTGCTTTAGCTGTCATTTCTAAGAAACTATTGCCTAATCCAGGGTTATAAAGAGTTACACCTATGCCTATAGTAACTCATATATTTAAGTGTTTGGTCCATTTTGAGGTTTTTTTTTTTTTTTTTTTTGTATATGATATGAAGTAAGGGCCCAAGTTTGTTCTTTTAATGTGGATACCCAGTTGTCTCAGCACCATTTGTTGAAAAGACTATTTCCCCATTGAATTGTCTTGGAATTCTTGTCAAAATTTGATTTTCTCTAAATGTATGGGTTTATTTATGGACTCTAAATTCTGTTTCATTGATCTAAATGTCTTTCATTATGCCAGCACCACACTGTCCTGATTGCAGTAGCTCTGTAGTGGGTTTTGGAATTGGGAGGGTAAGTCCTCCAACTTCCTTCTTTTTCAAGATTGTTTTGCCTTTTCTGGGTGCCTTGCATTTTCATAGGAATTTTAGGATCAGCTTATCACTTTCTTCGCAAAAATTCTCTAGGTATTTTTAAAGATTTAAAAAAATAACTGGTTATGAGTAATTTGATTATGATTTTCTTTGGTGTACTTTTCTTCATGTTTGTTGAGGTTGGACTTTGTTAACCCTCTTAGAACTGTGAGTTTAGAGTTTTCATTAAGTTTGGAATTTCTGTGACCATTATTGCTTCAAATATTCTTTTCTTCAATTACAGGTATATTAAGCCATATTATTATTATCGCTTCAAATATTCTTTTCTTCAATTACCTGTATATTAAGTCACATGGAGTGTATACAGTTCACTAATGCTCTTTTCACTTTTAAAAATTCCTGTGTCTTTCATTTTGCATAGTTTTTATTCATGCCTTTATGTCTACTATCTTTTCTTCTGTAATATCTATCCTATGAATCTCATTCATTTTATTATTTGTCTCTATAAGTTCTACTTGAGTCTTTTAAAATATATTCTACATCTCTACTTAACGTTTTGAATGCAGAGAATACAATTCTAATACCTGTTTTCATGTCTCCTCTACCAGTTCTAACATCTGCATCAGTTCCGGGTTGGTTTCAGTTGATTATTTTCTACTTTATGGGTCATCTTTTCCTGTCTCTTGGTATGTCTGGTGATATTTGATTGAGTGCCTGACATTGTAAACTTTACCCTATTAGGATATTTTGTATTTCTGCATATCTTCTTGAGCTTTGTTCTGGGATACAGTGAAGATACTTGGATGCGATTTTATTCTTTGGGGCCTAGCTTTTATGATTTCTTTGGTGGCTCCAGAGCAGTGCTCAGTCTAGGGCTAATTATTTCCCACTACTGAGGCAAGAACTTTCCTGAGTATTCTACTCAATGCCCTTTGAGTTAGGAATTTTTCTAGTCTGACTGGTGGAACCAGGAGCTATTCCTGGTACTGTTTCCCCTAATCCTTTCACGTGGGTCTTTCCTCACATGCAGATACTAATCAGTATTCTGCTGAGTCCTTGAGGCAGGTCCTTTCTCTGTACAGCTTTCTTTTCTCCAGTACTTTGTCTGTGAACTCTAGCTGCCTTAGTCTCCCAGGACTCTGAGCTCCATCTTCCCATCTCAAGGAGTCTGCTGGGCCCTACCTCAGTTTCCCTTCCCTGAGCCTACAAATTCAAGGCAGGAAACTGGAGCAATCATAGGGCTCATGTTTGTTTCCTGTGTTTAAGAAATCACTGTCCTGGCCTGGTGCACTTTGGCTCATGACTGTAATCCCAGCATTTTGGGAGGCTTAGGCAGGAGGATCACTTGAGCCTGGAAGTTCACGACTAGCCTGGGCAACACAGTGAGACCCTGTCTCTACAAAAAAAAAAAATACAAAAAAATTAGCCAGGCATGGTGGTGTATATCTGTAGTCCCAGCTACTTGGGAAGCTAAGGCAAGAGGATTGCTTGAGCCTGGGAGGTTGAGGCTGCAGTGAGCTATGATTGCACCGCTGCACTCCAGCCTGGGTGACAGAGTGAGACTCTGTCTCAAAAAAAAAGAAAAGTAGAGACATAGAATATATTTTATTTAATGTTTTTATCTCTCAATATTTATTTTTCAGTTCTTTATTTTTTCCATAAGTTATTGGGGTACAGGTGGTATTTGGTTACATGAGTAAGTTCTTTAGTGGTGATTTGTGAGATTTTGGTGCACCCATCACCTGAACAGTATACACTGCACCATATTTTTAGTCCCTCGCCGCCACTCCCACGCTTCCCCCCAAGTCCCCAAAGTCCACTGAAACATTCTTTTTCTTTTTTTTTTTTTTTTGAGATGGAGTTTTGCTTTGTCGCCCAGGCTGGAGTGCAGTGGCGCGATCTCGTCTGACTGCAAGCTCCACCTCCTGGGTTCACGCCATTCTCCTGCCTCAGCCTCCAGAGTAGCTGGGATTACAGGCTCCGGCAACCACACCAGGCTAATTTTTTGTATTTTTAGTAGAGACGAGGTTTCACCGTGGTCTCGATCTCCTGACCTTGTGATCCACCCACCTCGGCCTCCCAAAGTGCTGGGATTACAGGCATGAGCCACCGTACCCAGTCAGTCCGTTGTATCATTCTTATGCCTTTGCATCCTCATAGCTTAGTTCCCACATATCAGGGAGAACATATGATGTTTGGTTTTCCATTGCTGAGTTACCTTACTTAGAATGATAGTCTCCAGTCTCATCCAGGTCACTGCAAATGCTGTTAATCCATTCCTTTTTATGGTTGTATAGTATTCCACCATATATATATATATATATATATATATATATATATATATATATATATATACCACAGTTTATTTGTCCACTCGTTGATTGACGGGCATTTGGGGTTGGTTCCATGATTTTGCAGTTGTGAACTGTGCTGCTATAAACATGCATATGCAAGTGTCTTTTTCAAATAATGACTTATTTTCCTCTGGGTAGATACCCAGTAGTGAGATTGCCAGAGCAAATGATAGTTCTACCTTTAGTCCTTTAAGGAATCTCCACACTGTACCACAGTGGCTATACTAGTTTACATTCCCACCAGCAGTGTAGAAGTGTTTCCTGATCACTGCATCCACACCAACATCTGCTGTTTTTTAACTTTTTTATTATGACCATCCTTGCAGAAGTTAGGTGGTATCACATTGTGGTTTTGATTTGCATTTCCCTGATGATTAGTGATGTTGAGACAGAATATATTTTAAAAACCCAAGTAGAACTTCCAGAGATAAAAAAATCCAATTGATAGGATTAATAGCAAGTACAGAAGAAGATTATAAATTTATTACAGAAGAGGCCGGGCGTGGTGGCTCACGCCTGTAATCCCAGCACTTTGGGAGGCCGAGGCGGGTGGATCACCAGGTCAGGAGATCAAGACCATCCTGGCTAACACAGTGAAAGCCCGTCTCTACTAAATATACAAAAAAATTAGCCGGGCATGGTGGCAGGCACCTGTGGTCCCAGCTTGGGAGGCTGAGGCAGGAGAAAGGCATGAACCCACGAGGTGGAGCTTGCAGTGAGCCGAGATTGTGCCACTGCACTCCAGCCTGGGCGACAGAGCGAGACTCCGTCTCAAAAAAAAAAATAAAATAAAATAAAATAAAATTGTTACAGAAGAAAAAATACATCATGCAAGGACATGATAGAAAGAGGATGAGGGAGCTCTCTGGGGTCCCATGGAAGTTCCACCCTCATCACCTAATACCTCCCAAGGGCCCACCTCTTCATCCATAGGGGGTTAGTATTTCAGCATATGGTCTTTGGGGGGCATCTCAACATTTAGTCCATAAGAGAGGGTAAGTCCAGCCTCAGTCACTCCATCTTGACTAGAAACACTAGTCCTAGCTTCTGGTTTTGAGGCCTGTATCTTTTCATCCCATTATTCCCTAGTAGGATGGAACTGGAAGGTTCTACCACTATCACTGTTTCTTCTGAGGCCCCTGGATCATTCGGTATTAGTTTGTTGTGTCAAAGAGGCTTGTAGTTAGTTATAGGCCTTGAAGAATGGGGCTAGTAATAGCCTGAGGTGGAGAGGCTACAATGTTGCTGTTTCCCCTGTGACTTCCTAGCTCCCAAGTCTAAGTGGCTCCCGGGCAAGGCTCTGTAGTCAGGACCTCTGAGGGCCGAGGCCATCCTGGTGCGGTAGCTTATGCTGGGGCAGATGGGATGGCAGACCTTGCTCCAGCTCCCCTCTTCCTTCCCCAGTGACAAGCACAGACTATGACACTGCAGCAGATGCCACGGAGTCCTCATCCTACTTCAGTGCCCAAGGCTACCTGTCCAGGTAGGGGCTGCCAGAGGTGGGCTGTGCCCCATGGACTGACGTCGCAGGGCCTCTCGGGGAGTGATGCTGCTGGGTGAGGGCAGGGCTTGGTCTGACAGCATCCAATCCTGGAGCCTTCCTCCAGGCCCTGGCGGTCTCTGTCCACTCAGTCAGCAAACAGGGGCTTCCAGCGTCATCCATGCCCAAGCCCCTCAGCACCCCTCCCGCCCTGCTCCCCTCGATGCCCTGCTTTATGGCTGACCCCTTTTCTGTTCTGCCAGCCGGGAGCAGGAGGGAACAGAGTCCACCACTGATGAGGGCCAGCTGCCCCAGGTGGTGGAGGAGCTGAGAGACCTCCAGGTGGCCCCTGGCACACGCCTGGCCAAGTTCCAGCTCAAGGTGAAAGGTGAGAAGGAGAGGGAGTGGGGACACAGCCATGGCAGGATGGAGGCCAAGGAGCCATACCCCATCAGCCACAATTGAAAGGAGACCCCAGCAGCGGGGTCAGGCAGTCACTCATCCCTGCTGCCTGGGTGCAGGAGGCTGACACTCTGTCACTGGTGGTGTGGGGACCCTCTCTCCAGGCCTTCATCTGTCTCCCATCTGGAGGGCACAGTGCCCGTGGGTGGTAGCCCAGGCTGACCACTCCTCCTCCCGTGGCCCAGGCTACCCTGCTCCCAGATTATACTGGTTCAAAGATGGCCAGCCCCTGACCGCATCTGCCCACATCCGCATGACTGACAAGAAGATCCTGCACACCCTGGAGATCATCTCCGTCACCCGGGAGGACTCTGGCCAGTATGCAGCCTATATCAGCAATGCCATGGGTGCTGCCTACTCGTCTGCCCGGCTGCTGGTTCGAGGTGGGTGCTCTGAGGGGCCGGGCAGAGACTTGGGCCCTGGGCAGCATCCTGGCCAGGGCTGACATCCCCTGCACACCCTGCCATATCAGGCCCTCAGCGAGGATCATTGGTCATTGCCCCTTGGTACACAGTGGCACAGGCGGCCGGAAGTTGGCCCTTCCAGGAGTGGGTGTGCAGCCCTCTGTCCTGACTGATGGGCAGGCTGGAGGTTGAAGTTGACCCAGGAAAGTGGGTCAACACTGCGGCTCTAGGTAGATCCACGCACAGCCAGAGCCGGTGGTAGCTTGGGACTAGAGGACCCTACTTCCTTATTGTTCAAAAAGTTCTGATCACTGAGAGTTCATTCCAAGTTTCACCCAAACCCGTCCTGCCACTGCTGCAGCTTTCCCCAGCGTCTCCAGGTGTGAGTCCTCTGCTGCTCTGGGCAGCATTATTTGGTTGTGTGCTGATTCCAGTGTGGGGCCACAGAGTCTGTGGCAGGGCGAGGGTGGGTGGTGGGTCATCGGGTCTGGTCCATGCGGCCTGTTGCCTCTGTCACCTGAGTGTGTAGAGTTCCAGGGCTCCAAGGCCCAGGTTTCAGGCAGGGGTTAGGGCGTTTGCTTGGGGAGCAGCGCTGCCCTTGGGTTCCCTCACTGTAGGGGGCAGAACTGCCAGGCACCCGCACAGCGCCGGGTAGGAGCCACGGTGGGGGCCTGTGTGTGCTGGGTGTCTGACTCTAGTGCCTCTTTCAGGCCCTGATGAGCCAGAAGAGAAGCCTGCATCAGGTGAGGCAGCCCCAGACAGGCAGGGAGAGGCCAGGTGGCCATGGGTGCTGAGGGCCTGAGCCTAGGGCTGGCTGCAGTGGAGGTGTGGGTGGCCATGGGCTGGCTCAGGGAGGGCGCAGCAAGGAGACAGCCCGGCCGAGGGGGAAGCGTGGTGCTGTCCAGGTGCTGGCTGTGGAGAGCCACCTGGGCGTCTGCAGACATCATCCGGGGCCAGGAGGCGGGCGGTGGGGGCTGTGCCGAGGTCTCTGCCAGCCAGCCTGTGTCCCCTAGATGTGCATGAGCAGCTGGTGCCGCCCCGAATGCTGGAGAGGTTCACCCCCAAGAAAGTGAAGAAAGGCTCCAGCATCACCTTCTCTGTGAAGGTAGAAGGTAAGGCGTTTCCTGCCCGCAGCTATGGAAAGATCACCCCTGGGGGATGGGACAGAGGTGCCCCCTCCCCACTCACATCATCCCGAGGGAAGGCCTGTGGCAGGGCTTTATCTCCAGAGACCCCGCTCCTGGCGGGGTGCACCCACCACCTCCTGCCTGCCCCTAGGACGCCCGGTGCCCACCGTGCACTGGCTCAGGGAGGAGGCTGAGAGAGGCGTGCTGTGGATTGGCCCTGACACACCGGGCTACACCGTGGCCAGCTCTGCGCAGCAGCACAGCCTGGTCCTGCTGGACGTGGGCCGGCAGCACCAGGGCACCTACACATGCATTGCCAGCAACGCTGCCGGCCAGGCCCTCTGCTCCGCCAGCCTGCACGTCTCGGGCCGTGAGTGGGGGTGGGGGGATGGGGGGATGGGGGGCTGGGGCATGGGGGGTGGGCACTGGGTGGCTTTGGGGTCTCCTTGGGGCACACTGCCCATCACCACCATCTTGGCTGGGACCCTGTGGGACCCCCTCCTTCCTCTTTTCATTCTCTGACAGCACCAGGGAGACCCCAAAATGGGTCAGGCCCTGGTGGTGCTGGTGGTTTTGAGCCTCAGAGTCGCCTCTGGGCCCAGGCCCCGTGGGTTCTGCACCGCTGGCTCCAGAGACATTTCCTGAAGCCCCCTGCATCCTGGGCCTTGCTTAGCCCCTCTGAGGACAGGAACCCCTGTTCTCCTCCCATCACTGTCAGGGTGACCACGGGCCAAGAGTGGGATGGGGAGGTGAGCTCGGGCACAGCCCCTGCTCAGGGCTTCGGAGGGACCCAGTCCAGATCTGGAATCAGATGTGCTGGGGTTGGGAGCACCGTCTGATGGCTTGCCGGTCCTCCTGACAGTGCCTAAGGTGGAGGAGCAGGAGAAAGTGAAGGAAGCGCTGATTTCCACTTTCCTGCAGGGGTGAGTGAGGGTTGCCCCTCCAGGCCAGTCCGGTCAGGGCCAGGGAGGACGCTCTAGGAGTGGGGGACAGGACAGCGCTGCCCCTGGGGAGAGCACCTGTCCCGGAGCGTGTCCTGGCTCTGCCCCATGCAGGCCATGTGGTTTGGGCCAGCTCTCTTCCTTCTCTGCATCTCAGTTTCCCCATTGTAAAGTGAGGGCTTCTGTTGGGCCTCTCTGGTATGGAGCCTCTTTCTCTGGTATCTTGGTTTGTTGCCCCCAGACCCTCTTTTTGTCAGGAGCTTCTGCATAAGGACAGAGGGTGGTGGGGTCCAGCCCAGGCCTCTCAGGACACCCCCTTCACCTGTTTAGGACCACACAAGCCATCTCAGCACAGGGGTTGGAAACTGCGAGTTTTGCTGACCTTGGTGGGCAGAGGAAAGGTACAGTCAGGGTGGGTGCATGCTTGTGAGGGGCCAGGGTGGCTGATCCCCTGATGCTTGGGGGCAGGGAGGAGGCTGCCCAGGGGTGGCTCCTGGCCTCAGAGGCCCCTCCTGAGCAGCACAGCCTTGGGACACCTGCTCACACAGCCAGGACCAACCCATGTTCTCTTAGGCCTGGACTTGAGGCTTGGTTAGTGTCAGAACCATGTCTGATCCCCGTGGATCCGGGAGCCTGTGGGGTCCCTGGGCCGGCCCTGGGCACAGAGCTCACATCCAGCAGGCTGTGTAGATACCTGGGTCTGGGTAGAACTCCTAGGTGCTGGGCACTGAGAACAGAGGCAGCACAGCCCCGCTTTGGACCCACGGCTCCTCCTGCAGCCTGATGCGCAGGTCTGGCCTCTGCTGACTCTGTCCCCAGTGCCCCTCGTCCACTGTCCACTGGCGGCCCCTGCTGTGCCCTCTGTCTCTGGACATTCTCAGCCCATTGGTCACGCCTCGGCTTGACGCTCATGAGCCAGAGTGACTCCTCATCCTGGCCAGTTCCCACTGGCCTCCTGCCCTGCCGGCCACTGAGTCTCATCATCTCCCTGCTGGACATCAGCACTATGCGGGGGAGGCCTTGGCTCTTTGTTCACCATCGGCTCCCAGGGCCCAACATGGGCCTATGGCATGGGGTGCCTGGTATACATCCGAGGGGCACGCAGCCACCTGAGCAGAGCGTTTGTATCCGCAGAAGAGCCTCTGGCTGCCAAGGAGGCCCTCGGCCACCTGTCCCTCGCTGAGGTGGGCACAGAGGAGTTCCTGCAGAAACTGACCTCCCAGATCACTGAGATGGTATCGGCCAAGATCACGCAGGGTGAGGGGCAGCAGCCCATGTGCCAGGGTCCCTGGGGTGTGTCTGGGGTGTTTGCCCTTCCCCTGAGCCCTGGAGAGCCAGAGGCAGGCCAGGGTGTCATGATCCTTGCACCCCCAGCCAAGCTGCAGGTGCCCGGAGGTGACAGTGATGAGGACTCCAAGACACCATCTGCATCCCCCCGCCATGGCCGATCACGGCCATCCTCCAGCATCCAGGAGTCTTCCTCAGAGTCAGAGGACGGCGATGCCCGAGGCGAGGTGGGCGGCTGGAACCCTCTGGGAGCAGGGCAGGGAGAGGCCCTGACCTTCCTGAAGAGAAGGTGCAGGGTGGAGAGGGACTCAGGAGGCAGGACCCCCATGGGACTCTAGGGAGGTGGGACCGCACCAAGGTGCATAGGAGGCAGGAACTGGTGAGAACAGGGTCTTCTCCTCACGGGGCCCGGCAGAGACTTGCCTTCTGGGAGAGCCATTTGTTTGATTCATTCATTCACTCCTTTGTTCCTTCAATGGAGAATGTGTCTCAGGCCTCAGTGTACCAGGCACCCTGTTAGGGCTTGGGGTGGGTGTGGAGATGGGGAGAAGGTAAACAAGTAACTGAGTGTAGGCAGTCCAGGCCTGGAGACCCTGGGGCTGTGGTGACCTCTAAGGTTGGGGGTGGGGCAGGGGAGGTCTCCCACATTCCCGCTGTTCTGCGTGGAGGGGGAACTGGGCGTGTGCACGCTGACTCTGGGGATCCCTGCCCTGTGGCTTAGGATCTCGGCAGGCCCGGCTGGCACCTCCCGGGTCTCACCACTTCAGCACCCCCATCCCTCTCTCAGATCTTTGACATCTACGTGGTCACCGCTGACTACCTGCCCCTAGGGGCTGAGCAGGATGCCATCACGCTGCGGGAAGGCCAGTATGTGGAGGTCCTGGATGCAGCCCACCCACTGCGCTGGCTTGTCCGCACCAAGCCCACCAAGTCCAGCCCCTCACGGCAGGGCTGGGTGTCACCAGCCTACCTGGACAGGAGGCTCAAGGTATCTGAATGGCCAGGCAGGAGGGGTCCTCAGGGGTCCCGGAGGCCCCTAGCAGGGTCGTCCCAATTTGAGGGGCGAGAGCCCGATCCCCGCGGGGCAGGGCCAGAGCTCAGTACCCCAACAGAAAACTCCTGTCCCTCACCAGCTGTCACCTGAGTGGGGGGCCGCTGAGGCCCCTGAGTTCCCTGGGGAGGCTGTGTCTGAAGACGAATACAAGGCAAGGCTGAGGTGAGTGACTGCCGGGCCGGAGGTGGTGGCACTGGCATCCCACCAGCTGGACAGTCTCCCAAAGAAGCAGGCCGCTTGCCCTGGCTCTGGGTCCAGGACCTAACCCTGGAGGTCTTGGGGTCATGGCCATGCTGATTCCTCTGCGGGGGCCTCTGAAACAGCGCTCCTGTGTGAGCCTGTTAGGGACGGGTGGGGGCCGAGGACAGCAGAGCAGGCCCAGAGCTGCCTGGGTTCCCGCAGCTGCCCTCCCAGCCTCGTGCTGGCAGGACCCATCTGGGTGGCTTCCTGATGTTGGGGCCGGCCTTGTCCAAGAGGGAGCCTCTCTCCACCTGCTCTCCCACTTCCTGCGAGCAGGCAACAGGCTGCGCAGCAGGAGGCGCTCCCATCTAGCAGCTGAGGGAGTGGGGGCCTCGTGGCCCACAGTCCCTGCACGGGAAGCAGGAGCTCCGTGGTCCCTTACGGCAGCCCCCTCCTGCCCAGCTCTGTGATCCAGGAGCTGCTGAGTTCTGAGCAGGCCTTCGTGGAGGAGCTGCAGTTCCTGCAGAGCCACCACCTGCAGCACCTGGAGCGCTGCCCCCACGTGCCCATAGCTGTGGCCGGCCAGAAGGCAGTCATCTTCCGCAATGTGCGGGACATCGGCCGCTTCCACAGCAGGTGGGTGGGTGGGGCCACACACACACACACACACACACACACACACACACGTCCATGCATGGACACACTGTAGGGCCAGGCCTCCTGCAGGTGGGTTGGAGCCAAGGGGGGAGAGAACCTGTGCTGACTTGATTTATCCCTCAGCACCCCTCCCCTCAGAAACCCAGACATGTGTACCTGGCTTACTCATGGGAAGGCCTGCGGTGCACCAACTGCTAACTGGCATGTGCGCAGGCCCAAGTGCATGCACACCCTCACACGTGTGCACACATGAACACATACATGTGTACAGGTGCAGCCTTTAACAGCATACACCCATGTGCATGGCACATGTGCACATCTGTAAATGCACACACATGCACACAGTACATACACCCACATACACGTGCACATCACCTATGTGCACACAGTGCATGCCTATAGACGTGCACACGCATATATGCCTGTGTACATGTATATATGTTATACACATGGACACACATATGTACATGCCCCCACACTATCTCTGCACATCTATGCATATGCACTTCTGCACACATGTGCACACCCAGCATGTACATGCACACCCTTTTATCTGCACACTTTAATACATGCACGCATGCGTATAGCATACAACACCTCCTTCCTCCACCACCTGCCTGTGTATGCAACCACATGTGTGCTCATACACATTTACATGCCTCCACAAATGTGCACGCCCACATACATGTACATATGTAATATTCATGTGAGCTTTCATACACGGCACACAAGCACTTATTTGCATGCCCACACATGTCTGCACGCACACTCTCACAGACCCCAGGAGCCACAGGGCCCCAGCCCTTGTGCAGGGGCCAGCTTCCTCCCAGAGGTGAGGGCTCAGGGCCAGGCTATGGGGCGCAGGCTGAGTCCTGATGCCATCCCCCTTCACAGCAGCTTCCTGCAGGAGTTGCAGCAGTGCGACACGGACGACGACGTGGCCATGTGCTTCATCAAGAACCAGGCGGCCTTTGAGCAGTACCTGGAGTTCCTGGTGGGGCGTGTGCAGGCTGAGTCGGTGGTCGTCAGCACGGCCATCCAGGAGTTCTACAAGGTGCCCATGCCTGAACTCATGGGCTCCTGAACCTCAGTGCCTGCCCTTGGCTCCCTTTGAAGGCTCACTGAGCCCAGGCGTCCTCCAAGGTTCATCCTGTTCTGCCCACATCAGAGCCTGCGCTCATCTTCCCCGACCTCGCCACTGCCCACAGCCTCCCTGCACCCCCCTTGGGCCTCAGTTCAGAAATGCGGGTGGAGCTGCTTTTGCAGCCCTGTGCTTCTGGGAAGGCCACTTCAGCAGCCCAAGTCCTGTGCTTGTCACCTGTCAGGAGGTGATGACAGCTGTCACCTGGGGTGTAGGCTGTGTGTGCACCCTGGGGACCCACCCTCCAGCTCTCAGGGACACAGCCATCAGTGGGCCTTGCACTCCTGCCCTAAAACCCACCCTCCTGGTTCCCACAGAAATACGCGGAGGAGGCCCTGTTGGCAGGGGACCCCTCTCAGCCCCCGCCACCACCTCTGCAGCACTACCTGGAGCAGCCAGTGGAGCGGGTGCAGCGCTACCAGGCCTTGCTGAAGGTGGGCACCACCTCCCCTGCCCCGCCTCCTCTGCCCAGGCTGGGTCTCTTGGGTTCCAGCCTGTGGAGCATTCTAAGCCCTGACCTTCGCCCCGGCCCCAGGAGCTGATCCGCAACAAGGCGCGGAACAGACAGAACTGCGCGCTGCTGGAGCAGGCCTATGCCGTGGTGTCTGCCCTGCCACAGCGCGCTGAGAACAAGCTGCACGTGTCCCTCATGGAGAACTACCCAGGCACCCTGCAGGCCCTGGGCGAGCCCATCCGCCAGGTTGGGGAGGGCCAGGGGCCGGGGCCGGGAGATGCATGTGATGTGGGTGGGTATTGGGGTGCTGGGGGCTTGTATCTGGGGCTGCCAGGAGGTGGCGGTGTGTGCATGAGTTGGGCAGAGCACTGGGTACCTGGGTGGCTGTGGGGCCTGCACCGCTGGGCAATCTGGCCCACCACAGGCTGACCGCAGCCCACACCCTCCCCCAGGGCCACTTCATCGTGTGGGAGGGTGCACCGGGGGCCCGCATGCCCTGGAAGGGCCACAACCGTCACGTGTTCCTCTTCCGCAACCACCTGGTAATCTGCAAGCCCCGGCGAGACTCCCGCACCGATACCGTCAGCTACGTGTTCCGGAACATGATGAAGGTCTGCAGGCTCTGGGCTGCTGGGCGGGGCTCCCTGTCCCTCAGCGCCGGGGTGGATGCCAGTGGCCACACCTGCAGCCGCTGGTCCAGGGTGGCCTGAATGTTTCCTCGTCGGGTCCCACATCTGTTGAGGATGGTCAGCCCGTGTCCCCCTCCCTGTGCTGACACCCTCCCCCACCCACAGCTGAGCAGCATCGACCTGAACGACCAGGTGGAGGGGGATGACCGCGCCTTCGAGGTGTGGCAGGAGCGGGAGGACTCGGTGCGCAAGTACCTGCTGCAGGCACGGACAGCCATTATCAAGAGCTCGTGGGTGAAGGAGATCTGTGGCATCCAGCAGCGTCTGGCCCTGCCTGTGTGGCGTGAGTGTCCACCTTCCCGGGGGCCCAGGTGGCTGAGCCAGGATGGGGCACCCGGCTGCAGCCGCACAGGTCCCTGCCTGGGTGGGTGTGAGGGGTGGGCTCGTTCCTGGGACAGACGGCTACAGCCTCATGGGGAGCCCCTGGGCTGGGTGTTGGGTTGGCCCTGATCCAAGGTCGGGGATACCATGGGGTCCCCAAGCTCAAGGCACCCATCCGGATCATGTCAGGGGCTGTGAAGGGTCTGGCAGCCCGGGGTCTGCTTCCTCAACCAGAACAGAATCTTCCCCCGAGCCCCCACTGCTCTCCATTTAACATGCACCTGCCTCACTCACCTGACTCCAGGTGGGGACCTTGGATGAGGGGTGACAAGGGACAGTCCCCATAGGGGCCACACCATCAGATGTGGGGCTCATGGTGCAGGGCAGGTGACCTGCCAGGTGCACCTGGGGGTGCCGCAGCCCGATGTCCCCCCACAGAGCACTCAGGGCTGTTGTGTGTCCTCAGGGCCCCCGGACTTTGAAGAGGAGCTGGCCGACTGCACAGCCGAGCTGGGTGAGACAGTCAAGCTGGCCTGCCGCGTGACGGGCACACCCAAGCCTGTCATCAGCTGGTACAAAGGTAAACCCCGGGGCCAGGGGCTGTGGCCTTCCTGTCCAGGATGCAGGCCCTGCAACAGAAAAGAGCTGCCCGAGAGAAACAGGCTGTGAGGGCTGGGGACCCAATATGGGATTTGGCTGGGAGTCTGGGGCATGGACAGGCCTTATATGTTCACTTGCCACCCGCCTTCCGAATCAAAGACAGCATGGTTGGGGACACGGAGATGCCGAGGCTTGGAGAGGAGGGAGTTCAGTGGGGGCACTCGGCTCTGCAAAGCTGCTAGTCCCATAGTCAGGGCTGATTGTGGCCAAAGGGCCCAGGTTAAATTAGCTGCCGGGAGAGCCACCTAGGGAAAGGTCCAGGCGGCACTATGCATGAACTTCCAGTTGTCCCCTCCTGGGGGGAATCATTTCTGCCAGTGACAGCACGTGACGACATGCACGGGATGGTGCCAACCAGGTGCTTCCCTGGCCATGGTGTCCAGGGTTTTGCAGGCTCAGCTGTGGAATCCTGGCTCACTGCTCTGTGGTGGGCCTTGGGCTCCAGCCCTTCTGGAGGCCAAGTTGATGCTGCGTGGCCCAGGGACCCCTAGGAATCTCAGAAATCTCACGGTCAGCATAGATGATCCCATGTGGCCCAGGGCTCCCAAGGAGAACAGATGCTTTTACCAGACAGGATATCCTAAGAGCCTGAGATCACCTCCCAGGAGCTGGGGGCCTCTCCCTGGGGAGCATCAATCCTCCCTTGTGCTGGAGCCATGTTGGGTTTCAGCAGCAGAGGGACACAGTTTGGCTCTGTCATCTGTCACCTTGTCTGTAATGCCAGGAACCTGCTGGGGAGGGCCAAGAGGGGACCTGGGACACCAGCCTGGGAGCCACCGTGCTGGAGCTGGGGACCCAGGCTCAGGGGTGGCTGTGGATTCCAGGGCCGTGTTGAAGGCTGAACTGGCCCGATTTGCTGATGGGGTGGCTGGCTGTGTGGAAAGAGCTTGGCATCCAGATGCTCACACAGTTGGGGCTGGACATCCACCAGGGTGGTTCCTTTTACAAAGGTGGAAGGCTGGGGAGAGGCGGGGTGATGTGCAGACAGGGCTGGGTGGGAGGAGGAAGCACCAGGCCTGGGAGGACCCTGCAGAATCGAGGTGCCTGCAGGGATGCAGGCGGAGGCGCTGAGGGGCGGTCGGAGAAATACAAGTAGGGCTCAGGAGAGGGATGTGGCCGGAAACGATGAATGGAACGTCGTCAGCTCACGGAGCGTCTGACCTGCCAGTCGATGCAGACGCAGAGTGCGTGTGGAGGGGTGAGGCCCAAGCACCCAGGCTTGAGAGCCCCCACTTCCAGAGTCTGCAGAGATGAGGGGACACGAACCCAGGGGAAGGAGCGGCCAGGGAGGTGGGGGCCCAGGAAGCCAGCCAGGGAGAAGCCAACGGGGAGTGGGCAGGGGGCGTCCAGGGCTGCCAGGGTCCCCAGAACTGTGGAATCTCCCATTCTACCCCTCACACATGTGCAAGTCAGCCTGTCACGGTTTACACACATACACATTACACACACTTGTACGCACACGTACATAGCGACACATAGATACATGCTACACACTCATGCATATGTACATACACACCATATATATGCATTACACGTGCATGTACATTAACACTATATGTGTAATATACATAGATGCACGTCACACATACAGATACTACACATACATGCATAGTATACAATACATATACACAAATACATACCACACACATGAATATGTACATAGATACACATTATACAGGTACACATATATGCACACATAGCACATGCACATGGATCATGCACAAGTGCACACTACATGCACCTATACAGCTACATAGATATATACACAGATACATGCAAACATGCACTATACACATACAGAGATGTATGCACATTACACACACAAGTACATACTTTACATATGCACACACACTTTATACACAGCTACACATGTGCATATATGCACACACTGTACACATATAAATATACATATTAGAGACCACACATATGTGCACACATAGATAATACTGCACACATATACATATGTACATAGCCACATACCATACACAATACACATGCACAGATACATGCAACACACATACATGCTACACGCAGACACCACACATGTATATTCATAAATACTACACATTCATGTGCATGCATACATACACAGTACACATATATACACATAGACCCACCATATACATAGGTACACACAGTCATATGTACTACACACATATCTGCATGTAAACATGCACAAATGGTACATATACACATATATACATGTATAGTTACTTGCACACACACACAAGACACAAGACCTGTTGGTCCAAGACAGAAATGGTTCATCACTCAACATGAGGCAGCAGCCAGGACAGGCTCTTGCCGCAGCTCTCAGGGGTGGTGTGGGAGAAACCTGCACATGCATGCGCTGCACCATGGATTTCAGGGGCTGCATCTCACCACCTCGGGTGTCTCCAGGGAGGGAGGCATCTCTGCTCCACTGTCCTGGAATGTCTCCTTGTGTGAGCGCTGCTGTCTGGAGCATCTGGGCTGGCCAACTGTGGGCCATTGTGCCCCAAGAGACCCAGCTCCACCCTACTTCCACAGGCTCCAGCCCCTGGGGGATTTTCCCACACTTGTGCCCAGCCCTCAGCCATCCTGGCTAATCTGACTGATGCTGGCTGGTATGCCGTCCTTCCGGTGTGACTCAGGCTGCATTTACTCAAGCCTCTCAGCAGGGGAGATGCCAGCCTGTGGGACTGCCCTGGACCACCCCAAGGCACCAGCCAACATGTGTGTGGCTCCCACACAGGAAGTCTTGAGAACACAGTTATTGTTTACAATTTGGGGGCTCCTACGAAGGCACACATCAGTACTGATTGATGGTACCTCCCAGATGACCCCCCAGGGGGTCACCTGGGCTGTCAGGTGAACCTCATCTGGCCTGGCTGACCGGCCTCCAAGCCCCCAGTTCAGTCCTTATAACCGAGTGCTGTCCTGGTGTTGCAGGCACCATCTGGGCACTCAGCCCTTCCTGTTCTCCCTGTCCATAGCAGCCGGGCCCGCGGGTCTGCCCATGACTGAGGACGGGGCTGGAGAGGAAGGACTCCAGGGAGTTTTGCCGGGGTGTGTGGGAGGGGCCATCCCAGTGTCCACTGGTCGGAGCTGATGAACGCAATGGCTTGGAGGGCTGCCCTGGGATACTTCTGGAGGAAGGCTTGGGTGGGTCATTAACGCCTGCTCCCTGGGGTCTTAGGAGCTCCCCTCCTGCCACCTGTCCAGACCTCTCCTCCGGGAGGTTAGGTTCAAGAGGAACAAAAGCTTTTTTATCAAAGCCTGCCAGAAGCCAGTTGAATGCCCTGAGCCCCGCTCCCTTTGGACCAGGCTGCCACCAAGGGGTGGTCATGGCAGAGCCTGGGTTTCCCTGTGGATGGAGGCCCTCCCCTGTCCCTTGCTTCCTAACCACCAGCCCAGTAGGCAGCTTGCAGGAGATAGCTCCTCTCTGGGGACAGCTGCACTTGGTGACCGGACTGCCTTCCAAAGGTCCGCAGGCCAGTAGGAGGTGGGCGCAGTCAGACCGCCATCCCCTTGCTGAGTGGCTCTTGTGGTAGATGTCATAGGACATCAAACTGCAGGGGGTGTGTGTGGCACACGTGGCTCATGTTAGCCACACGCTTTCATGGTGTGGCTGGAGACCCAAAGCAGCCTCACAGCAGGTGGCCTCCACAGAGACCCTGGAGAGGGACAGCTGGCCTAAGGGCCATGGAGAACATTCCCCTCGGCCCTCTGCAGGTTCACTAAACAATCACTTGCAAAAGGCAGACAGATAGGAGGAAAGGCAGACACACTTATTGAATGTGTAGACACTGGATCCTTCAGAATGAAGACCCAAAGACCCAGAAGAAGCTGTCCATTTTAATGCTTAGGTTCCATAAAGTATGGACAACTGTGTGGAAATAGGATTGGGCAAATAGGGTTGGATCTAGTGAGAACAGACTGAGTGGGGACACCCCGCTAGGCCTGTCTGTCTGGATTCTTCTTGGCCTTCTGAGCAGTGCCCTTTTCTTCTGGGTGAGAAGCAGGACCCTTGCTGGAATGGGGGTCTTGGATCCACAGCCAAACAAAGTAGGTCAGATCATTTCTTCATGGCCAGGTTTTACACAGAACGATGGAGAGAAAATTGGAGTCCTATTTTTAGGCTTTCTGGCTGGCTTTAGAGAAAAAGGTGTCCTGGTTTCTATGACCCACCTTGGGGAAGAGGGATTCTGTTTCTATGTCAGCCTGGGAGGAGAATGAGGGGCTAGAGACAGGAGGGGAGGAGAAGGTCAGAGATAAAATTTTGCTTCTGAGGCTGCTTGGGAAGCCCTCATTTTGGGGTCTTGTTTTCTGAGCCCCAACACTGGGTTCATAGGAGCGGTATGCCAGGATGGAGAGTGGGTTCACCATGTGTACTGTGTCTTCCTTTCCTGTAGGCTTGAGAATGTCTCTCCAGGATGTCCCCAGTCTGACATGTGATGTAGATTTCTGCATCTGTGCCCTGCCTGTGGTGGGGCTCAGCGATGTGGTGTCCTGGGGGCTCTGCACAGGAGCCTTGGCGGTCTGGCCGGGGTGTCCCCATCAGCAGCCTTGATTCACTTCATTGTTCATTGCCCCAGGAAGAGGTGTCTTTAACTTGCCAGCCTATTTAAAATTATCTCTGATCCTGGCATGGTGTCGCATGACTGTGATCCTGGCTGCTTGGCAGGCCGTAGCGGGAGGAGTCCATGCACTCCCTGCCGTGTCCCCTCTGCCTTCCCTTGGGGGAGTTTGTTGTCTCGGGGAAATTGCTTGAGCCAGGAAAGGATCTGTGGTATAGAGGGGATGGAAGGGGTCAGAGGACAATGACGGAACAAGGCACCCCTCTGTGGCTCAGCCAACCATGGAGGTAGGACCCCGTCTCTACCGCAAACACAGAGATCCTCTACTGTCACCCCCAGAAGAATGGAAGGCCAGCATGGTGGATGCAGGAGGCTGCTCCACAAGACGCCCAAGCTGTGGCCGTTCTTCCTTAGTGCAGGCTCGGTGCCCATCCTCTCCCCTCCAAACCAGCCAGACCTAGATGGGCTGAGCCCTCTCCTGCCTCTGCCCATCGTGGCTGCTGGTGGCCCTCCCCAAGCACTCAGTTCAGGCACGAGTGTCCGTGGCTGTGGTCTGAACAGGGTTAGAATCTTCCTCAGATCCAGCGCTGGCTCTGGCATTTATTGTGAAATGGCTGAACTGAGGCTGAACCAGCAAAGTCCCTGGCAGGGATTGGAGAAAGAGTGCCAACCAAGGCACTGCCCAGGTGTCTGTGTTTGAACCCACTTCTCAGTGCTCAGCATGCAACTACCTGCCTAGTTTCTCTCCTTAGCAGGGCAACAAAGTAGAGAAAGAGATCCACAGGGCCGCTTCTTCTTTCCCTTCCAGAAGGCCATGCCTCTGACAGTGTCACTTCCCTGTCCCCAAAATTGTAAACCAAAAACTGTGAAGGGCCCAAAATTTTACCCCACTTGCAATCTTGCAAGCCAGCCTGCCAGCCAGATATAGACAAAAGACACAAGACTCATGGGTCAGAGACAAAGACTTTTTACCAGCAGTGCCTCAGTGTCTCTCATCATTGCCCCCACCCGTTTCTGTGAGGAGGTGATGGAGCTAGGTGTTAGTTGCATGCAGGGGTTGTCCCATGAGAGAGAAACCGTGAATCTTAGGAGACATGGAGCTCTTTTTATGCGGCTGCTGGTATATCTGCCCATGCTTCACTCCAGAGATAGGGGGTGACTTCCTACCCTGGGATGCAGAAATGTCTCCCAGGAAAGGAATGGAAGGGTTTTGTCTCTGTTGTCCTGGAACACAGCCAGGCAGATGGGCATCTTCTGCTTCACTCTCCTTACTTTCTACTCTACTCTCTTCTTCTTCTTCTATTCTAAACCTGGCTGTGAGTGCCTTTGCTCAGAGGGCTGAAATGTGGAATCTGAATTCCAGGGAGAATTGTTTTCCCACAGCAAGATGAGGACAGAGCTGCTGGTAGCGTGGCGGCCCTGACAGGAGCTTTGGGGGAGAGAACTGGGGCCCAGGGGATGGGCTTAGTGGGGATGGGAAGAGACGCCTTGGAGGGTGTGAGCACAGCTCCTTTCTGGAGTTGCCATAAAGGGGTGTGGAGATCTGAGGTGGTAACCAGAAGGTTTTTGAAAAAAATTATTTAAAATTATTTCTGAGCTGGGTGGGGTGGCTCACACCTATAGTCCCAGCTACTCAGGAGGCCAAGGTGGGAGGATCACTTGAGCCCAGAAGTTTGAGACCAGCATGGGCAACAGAGTGAGGCCCTGTCTCTACAGAAAGTTAAAAAATTAGCCAGGCATGGTGGTGCACCTGAGGCGGGAGGATCACTTTTGCCCATAAGGTCGAGGCAGCAGTGAGCTGTGATGGCCCCACTGCACTCCAGCCTGGGCAACAGAGCAAGACTCCGTCTCCACAAATATATATGTGTATATGTGTGTGTGTGTATGTGTGTGTATAATGTATATATATCTTATAGTTCTATACAAATCATAAGTCGGTGCTGGTTGTGACCTTTGTGATTTAAGCAATCTGTGGGGCACACCCGGCACTATTGGAATGTGAATCGATGCCGTTTTATGTATTTAGACATTATGTGGGAAGGAGTTCTCCACAGTGAGAGGCCGTGCCTTCCCATCCCTCACCCGGGAAGGAAGCATTCCTTGGCCAGAGGTGTAGTCGGTTGTGTGTTCATACCAGGGTGATTTACTTCACATTCTTCAGTCTTCAGATTTTCGTATTAGAAAGCCGTGCGTTTGGAGGCACGAGGATGTGGCCTGGGAGAGGAGAGTGGAGTTGAGGGTGAGACTTTGGGCTGCTGTGTCCTCTGCAGGGGCAGGTTTAGGGAGAGGAGGCATGGAGGGCTGTGGGCAGTGATTTTGAGAAGGGGCTGCAGGCCCTAGGCTGGGCAGGCAGGGGTGAAGAGGGGATCAAGGTGCTGTGAGCTGGGGTGCAGTCAGTGCATTAGAGGTCCTCAGAGTATCACAGGACTGCTGAGAGCTGGGGTGACCAAGGACTCAGCTGCCCATAGAGGATGTTCTCTGTGGGGCTCAGGTCCCTTGGCCTGCCCCCTGCCTCTAGCTAGTGTCCAAAGTGGACAGAGAAAGAGACAGACAGTGAGAGACAGAGAGACAGAGACAGACACAGAGACAGAAAGGTGCAAAAGGCACAGACAGAAAAACAGACAAAGACAGAGACATGGAGTCAGAGACAGAGATACAAAGGCAGAGACAACAAGGAGACAGAAAGAGAGATAGAGACAGAAAACAGAAACAGACACAGAGATAGAGACAAAGAAAGAAACTGAGTCTAAGACAGAGGGACAAAGAAAGATGGAGATAGAGAGGCAGAGACACAGAGAGAAGGTGAGCTCGTGTCAGCCTCTCCCTCCAGGGTTGCAGGTCAGCCTGGAAGCTGGACCTGGCAGGGAGCCTGTGCCTGGCCCTTGTGCTACAAGCGTGGCCCCTCCATCCCCTCCCCGACCATAACTGCAGCCCCCAGGCCAGGCCCAGCTTCTCCCCGCTGATGAGGTGAGCCCTTGGGTCCCCACCTGGGTGACGGCCCCCGCTCGTCCTTTCCAGATGGGAAAGCAGTGCAGGTGGACCCCCACCACATCCTCATTGAAGACCCTGATGGCTCGTGTGCACTCATCCTGGACAGCCTGACCGGTGTGGACTCTGGCCAGTACATGTGCTTCGCGGCCAGCGCCGCTGGCAACTGCAGTACCCTGGGCAAGATCCTGGTGCAAGGTTAGCCTGAAGGCCTTCCTGGGGGAGGAGCCGCCCTGAGCCTCCCACCATGGCAGGCCCAGCTGCGGCGGGGTGGTGGGACAGTGGGGTGGACACATCTGACCATGTTCTGAGGGGATCATTGGGGGATCATAGAGGGCACTGGGAGGGGTGGGGATCCTGCAGCCCCTTCCCTGGCATCACTCTCAGCTCCATCATGGCATCTCTCTGTCTCTCTGTATGTCTCTGTGTCTGATGCACTGTATCTATCTCTTTCTGTCTTTGTCTCTCCTTGTCTGTATGTCTCTATCTCTGTCTTTGTCCTTTGATCTCTGTCTCTGTCACCCTGTCTCTGTATGTCTTTTTCTGTCTCTGTCCTTCTGTTTCTGTCTGTCCATCTCTATCTGTGTGTCTCTCTGTCTTTCTGTTTCTCTGTTTCTCCATCTCTGTCTGTCTCTGTTTCTTTATCTTTGTCTCCGTGTCTATGTCTCTGTCTCTTTCTGTCTCTATCTCTGTTTCAATTTCTCTTTCTCTGTCTCTTTCTGTCTCTGTTTTTCCATCTCTGTCTCTTTGTCTCTCTCTATCTCTATTTCTCTCTGTCTCTATATTTCTCTGTCTCTCTGTCTCTGTATCTTTATCTCTGTCTCTCTGTTTCTCCATCTCTTTCTTTCTGTCTCTGTGTCTCTTTCTTTGTAAGTCTTTCTGTCTCTATCTCTGTCTCTGTGTCTGTCTCTGTCTCTCTGTCTCTGTCTCTAATGTTTCTATCTGTCTCTCTCTCTGTCTCTTCCCTCCACAACCCCACAGTCCCACCACGGTTCGTGAACAAGGTCCGGGCCTCACCCTTTGTGGAGGGAGAGGACGCCCAGTTCACCTGCACCATCGAAGGCGCCCCGTACCCGCAGATCAGGTGGGGCCCAGGCCTGCCCGGGGATGGGGCATGAGGGGGTCGGCTCCCACCTGGAGCATGGGGCACGGGCCATGTGTTCCCGTGTCAGGGTGGGCTAGACATGGCCACTGGCCTTCAGCTGAGAATGGGCTTCGTGGGGCTCTGGTTCATTCTGGATGTGCGGCCCCCCTCAGCCGGGAGGACACGGCCAGGCTCTGTCTTGGCTTCTGGAAGGGTGGGCTCTCTGAGGACCCCTGGGGTCTGAGGGCAGGGCAACCGGGTCGTGAGCACAGGTAGCACAGCTGGGCGTGGCCCTGAGATAGGACATAGGAGGATGTCGCCGGCGGGGTAGAGCATGGCCCAAGTCCTGCCTCACGTGCCCTCCGGGTGGATTCCAGGTGGTACAAGGACGGGGCCCTGCTGACCACTGGCAACAAGTTCCAGACACTGAGTGAGCCTCGCAGCGGCCTGCTAGTGCTGGTGATCCGGGCGGCCAGCAAGGAGGACCTGGGGCTCTACGAGTGTGAGGTGAGGAGTGCAGGAGTGGGGACCGGCCTCGGGACCCAGGCCATCCTTGCTGGCCATCCTCTGGGGTCTGATTGTGGAGGGGCTTAAGAGCCCGGTCCCTGTCCTCAAGGTAGGGGGCTCTCGGCAGAGGCCAGGGGACACCATACCCGCTGCTACACCCTTGATGACAGGCCAGAGGCCACCATGCCACTGTCACCCCCCCATCACAGGCCGGGGGCCACCAGGCCACTGTCACCCCCCATCACAGGCCGGGGGCCACCATGCCACTGTCACTGTCATCCCTGGCCACACCACTGCCCCATGCCCTGGCCTCATTCTTCCTCTGCCTCTAAGCCTCTTCTCTGCTCCCATGTCAATCTGGATGCCTTCCTTGACTTCCCTGGCCATTTCAAGGATGCCGCTTGGTTTTTGCCTTTGGGGGACCCGGCTGGCCTCATGAATTTTGTCATTCGTGTCAAATGGAGTGTCAGTCATCCAGTGTAGCCCGGCCCTGCTCAGGTACCTTTTACCTGTGGAGACATCCAGCCTACGGGTGGACAGAGCTGCCTTCTGCTCCAGCCACTGTGTCTGCAGGGCCGGGGCAAGGGCTCCTCAGGGTGGGGCCCAGGCCCAGTTCCAGTCCTCCGGTCCTTCAAAGCCTGCAGTGCTCGTGGTGGTCGTGGTGGCTGTGTGCCAACTACGGGTGCCCCAGGCTCCAGGCGCTAGCTTCTGTCCAGTTCCTCCAGGGGCACTTGTCCGGCCACCACCTCCCGCCGTGTGGCTGCTGCTGTGAGCCTGTGGGGAGCCTGCCCCACACCACTCTGGCTGGAGAAGCCAGAGACCCAAGTGAGCTCTTGATTTGCACTGTCTGATACCATCACTAGCCACACACGGGGATTTAAATTTAAATTTAAGTCAACTAAAGTTAAATCCAAAGCTAGGTGCTGTGGCTCACGTCAGTAATCTCAACAATTTGGGAAGCCAAGGCAGGAAAATCACTTGAGCCCAGGAGTTTGAGACCAGCCTGGGCAACATATTGAAACCCTGACTCTGAAAAAAAAAGAAAAGCTAAAAAATTAGCCAGGCACAGTGGTGCACACTTGTGATCCCAGCTACTCGAAAGGTTGAGGTGGGAGGATCCCTTGAGCCCAGGAGGTGAAGGCTGTAGTGAGCTGAGATCGTGCCATTGCACTCCAGCCTGGGTCACAGAGCGAGACCCAGCTTTAAAAAATACATAAAATGAAGTTAAGTTCAGTTAAAGATTCAGTTCCCTGGCTGCTCTGGCCCCATGTCCCATGCTCAGAGCCGCACGTGGACAGGGCAGATGGAGAGCATCCTCATCACTGCAGGGGGCCCTAAGGCCGTGTGGGTCCCCCAGGGATGCTGTGGCGGGGCTGGGGCCCTTCCCCTTGTGGGAGACACACCAGGATGGGGGCTGCCCGTGCTCCCAACATGGCCACAGGGAGAGGGCCCTACCCGTGGGGAGCCTTGGGCTCTGAGCCGGCCCTGCCGTCCTTGCAGCTGGTGAACCGGCTGGGCTCCGCGCGGGCTAGTGCGGAGCTGCGCATTCAGAGCCCCATGCTGCAGGCCCAGGAGCAGTGTCACAGGGAGCAGCTCGTGGCTGCAGTGGAAGGTAAGTCCCACCCCTGTCCTCGCCACCAAGGCGGCTCCCCACGGCCCAGACCCAGGCTGGACCCTCACAGGCCTGGCCGTGTCCAGGAGGACAAGACTCTCACCCTTCCCAGTCAGGGTCTGCTGCCTGGAGGACCCTGGAGGAGGGGCTGGGCTGGCACCGTGGGGCAGGGAGAGCCACAGATGGTAGACGGGGAGGCTGCTGTGGGCCAGGCACAGGTCCCAGCCCCCTGCTGGAGGCAGCACCTGTGTGGGCTGGTGGAGGGTAGCCCCTGAGCCCAGGGCTTGGATGGAGGCTGGAGAGGTCACTCTGGGTGGGCGGGGTTCCCAAAGCCGCTGCGTTCCGGAGAGGGGAAGCCTGTGCGCAGAGGCCAGGCCTACACCCAGGGCAGCTCGCCGGTGGCAGACAGGAGGCGGTGGGCCTAAGGCAGTGGGGAGGTTGCAGCAGGAACAATAGGAAGGACATCTCTGCAGAGGGCCAGGCCGCTGGGCCCCAGCTTGGCTCCCAGGAGAAGGAGCAAGTGTCAGGGGCCTGGCCCCTCTATTCAGGGTAGGGCTGGCTGTGGAGATACCTGGCCTGGTTTGGGGCTGCTCCTGGGGTCCTGGGAGGGCCTTGGGCTGCAGAATGACTTCACTAGGGATGAAAGGTAAGGGGTGGAGGGAGAGGTGGGGCACATCACCTCATTTCTCCAGGCTCCCGGATGCTTTGTTCAGGGCAGGGGCAGCCAGGATGGGAAGAGGGTCATCGGGCATCCGTCTTGGGCTCCCAGTTGGAGCTGCCCGTCTGGACAGGTTTTGAGCCTTCCATCCCTGGGGACATGCAAGTGGAGGCTGGCCCAACACCTGGCAGAGCTGCAGCTGCCACTGTGGGAGTGGTTGGAATACATGTCCTCCAAGTCTTAAACATTGGCTCCTGCAACCCCACCTCAACTGTCTCTCCCAGTGCCCAGTGTCTGAAAGCCAGTTGCCCATCTGGACCCCACAGAGCTGGGCCATCTTTGATGCCCTCCATGACCCTCAGGGAGACCCCTCCCCTGCTGGGCAGAGGTCCTTGTTCCTCAGCCCACACGGTGCCACTGGCACTGGCCAACCTCCGACTGTGAGTGCCCCATGTCTGACGTGTCTCTGGGGGCCCTGAGACCTCCGTCAGCCCCACAACTGGTGGCCATAGCACCACACAGAACTGCTTCTGGAGCCGCCAGCACCTCAGCCTCCCATGAGTCTTGTGTCTCATGGCCAGCTGGGACACCCAGGGCTGCCTCTTGCTGGTGACAGGAGCGTCCTCCACAGTCGTTCACTTGGCTGTCACAACAAGTCTTTCTCTGGGTCTGGAGGAGGGGGTGGCAGGGGAGAGAGGCCACCAGTGCTGGACAGAGTGTCAGCGCCTCAGCAAGGTGAGAATGCAGGTCCTTGAAGAGCCTGGAGCTGGAGCCAACGCCTCCCCGCTTCTAACTCCTATCCTGCTGCTTCATCTTTAACCCAGCAGCTCTGCAGCCCAAACAGGCCCTGGCAGGCCTCTGCGGGGTGGGCGCTGCCCCCTCACTTGTGAATCATGCTGCGCACGGCTGCATCCCTCCTGTAGTCGCAAATACTCACTCTGGCCCACAGCCGATCAGGTGACAGTTTAGGTCCATGAATGAAGGTGCCAGAGAGTGTATGGGCCCAGAGGTGCCTGGCTGTCAGCCCCAAGTGCAGGGAGGATGAGTGGGGAGGCCCCGGGTTTTCCCATCACTCTGTGCAGTTCCCATCACTGGCCTGCAGGTAGTGGACACATTGGCTTTCTCTGGGGTCAGCTTAGTCTAAACACACAGAGCCTTTTGGTTGGATCTCATTCTCTCCTCACATGGGCTCTCCTCTCTCCAGGGGGAGCCTGTGAAATACACACCTACACATATGTATACACGTGCATGCACACACGTATGCATGCACATACATCTGTGCACATACACACACTTGCACATGTGTGTGCACAGAAATGCACAGTACTGTGGCTCCCAAGTGCACATATAGACGCAGGCAGTCCCTGAAATTCACGTGCTCCTCACCTGAGACAGGTGTAAAGCCTTTCTCCACATGGCAGTCTAGCAAAGCAGATGGTGTCCCACCCCCTGACCCGGAGCTGTGAGGCCATGTGCCCCAGGCCACGTCACTTGACTTCTGGGCCTCCTGCTCGTTTTTTTCCCTCAGGGTGCTGGGGAGGGTCACTGAGATGTGAAGGTGCTGGTGGCCCGTGGACTGCCCGCTGGCCAGCTGGCTTGGGCTGGGAGGGGGCCATCTTTGTGCCCTGATGATTCTGCCCGGGAGCTGCAGGGGAGAGTCCTTGAGGTGACTGGGAGGAGGAGCTGCCTGATCCCAGATGCGTCCCATCCGATCACTGGAACCACAGGCCCCATCCTGCTGGCTCTGGGGAGGGAGGCAGCTAGGAAAACCTGGAGAGACCATGGAGTGTGTGGACTGAGGATGCTCCTATAGGGAGATTTGGGCTGACGCTCACTCAGAGCTCAGCACCCTGCCCAGGCATCCCCTGGGGCTGTTCTTGGTAGGACTTCTGTGGCTTTGCGCCACAAAGCTCAGTTGTGCCACTTTCAGGACTCCAGAGTCCCTCTCTCCTGAGGATTTTTTGTAACAGAGTCCCCAGCTGCCTCAGCCTCAGTGTGGCCGCTGGCTCCCTGTGCAGCCACAGGCCATTTATTCCCTTCTAGGACTCGGTTTCTATGTCTGAGAAGTGGGATTGTAGGTCTGACAAATTCACGGGGCTCCCTTGGCACATGGGTTGAAGGAGAAGCTGGAATTTCTGTGCAGGGAGCGTAGGTAGGGTCCTCATTCTCCCCCCAGTCCCTGCAAGACCCTCGAGAGGGACAGTGGGTCCTGCCTTCACGAGGGGAAGCATTGTCCTCAGCCCTCATTCCGCAGCCACTCAGGACAGGCATCGTCACCTCCATGTCAGAGGCCCAGGAACTGGGGCTCTGAGTAGACAGGCTGCCCAGGGGCAGCTTAGCAGGTGACTACAACGCTGTGCCACTCCGATAGCTCAGCCCCTAGCACTGGCTGGTCTGTAACCCTCGCTATTCCGACTGTTTTCTTTGTAGTCACTGAGCAAGAGACTAAAGTCCCCAAGAAAACCGTCATCATGTAAGTGCAGGCGTGTTCCTAACCTTCCTTCTGACTGCAGTGCCTCCTGCATGCCACTGACCTGCCTGGATCATGCCTGTGTGGCCCAGCCACCTGCTTGCTGCCTGTCTGCTCACATAACATGCACCCTCTGACTGCCAGCACCTTACAGGTACTTGCAGTTACCTTGCATAGGCACCTTCCCCTGGGGCCTCGATTACTTCCACACTTCACAGCGCTCTCTTCCAGGGCCTCAGTACACTCCGTGGTCCCACTGTTTCAGCAGAGTAGACTTATTCCACACACTTCACAGTGGTTCATCCAGGGGTTCATCAGGAGCTAGGCCTGAGACCTGCTTTCCTCAGTGGGCCAGAGACAGAATTCTAATCCTCAGCACCCTGGGATTTACGACAGTGTTGTCCAACAGAACTTTCTGTGGTAACAGAAATGTTCTATATCTGCCAGGCGCAGTGGCGCAGGCCTGTAATACCAGCACTTTGGGAGGCCAAGGCAGGTAGATCCCCTGAGGTCAGGAGTTTGAGACCAGCCTGGCCAACATGGTGAAACCCCATCTCTACTAAAAACACAAAAATCAGCCGGGTGTGGTGGCGGGCCCCTGTAATCCCAGCCACTCAGGAGGCTGAGGCAGGAGAATTGCTTGAACCCGGGAGGCAGAGGTTGCAGTGAGCCAAGATCGTGCCACTGCACTCCAGCCTGGGTAATAGAGCAAGCTCTGTCGCGAAGAAAACAAAAAGAAATGTTCTATATCTCCCCTGTCCACCACAGTAGCCACTAGCCACTTGCGTCTGTTGAAGCATCCGGAATGTTGTCCAGTGTGATTGAAGGACAAATTTTAAATTTTAATTTTTGTTCATTTGAATTTAATTTACATAGTGCATTCATAGTGGACAGCACAGCCTTAGGGCCCTTAGAGGTCCCCAAGCCCGATTTTCACATTTGGAAGATGGGGAAACTGAAGTTCAGGGAAGAGAGGAGGTTAGCTCTGGGTGGCTAATGACTGGAAGCCACTTCCCCAGTGCCACACCCACTGTCCTTTTCTTCATCCTTCAGTGCCTCAAGGATTTAGGAAAATCACACATGCTGCTGCTGCTGAGGTAACACAAGAGGACCAGAACTGGGTGAACCCATAAATGTAGAGTTGGTTTTGACCTGAATAATCTGAGAGGACTTCCAATAGAAGGTGTGTGCAGGCGGGAGTGATGGAAGAGCTTGCAAAAGCCAGGAGGCAGGAAAGACTGTGGTTTCCTAAGGCCAGATGGCTGAGAAGCTCCAGGATGGGAAAACTCTTAGTTCTCAAGGGGCCTTCAGTTGGCCGTATTGTGGGAAAATCCCATTGCCAGACATTTGTTGAGATCCTGGGTTAACCCTTCCTTGGCTTTCTCCCTCCTCCCCTAAAACAAGTTGCTCCTATGATGCCACCCCACAATAGATGGGGCTGCCTGGATGCTGGTGAGCACCCCACTCCTGGAGGTATGCAACGGTGCCAGAGCCTCACATAGAGTAGGTCTACATTTTGTCCCTTTGGGAGCACTATTATTATCTACATTTTATGGATAAGAAAATGGAGGAGCAGAGATGGAGCCAGAATGCCCCACTGGCAAAGCTTCAGAGGCGACTCACGCCTAGGGAAAGGAGGACCAGGTGATTTACAAGCATACAAGTCCAGTCTGTTCCAGGCTTAGGAAGGTGGCAACCCTCACTCTGCAAAGCGTAATTTACCCACTCAGCTTGAGGATTGGAGGGAGCCAACTGCATAGGCATAGCGCTGAACCCAAGGGTGGACCACACAGGCAGAGGCACTGGGGAGGCAGTAGGCCTGAGAAGGAAACAGGGCTTGGAGACAGACCCCATATGCTGTGCTTGCAGTCTCAGTACAGGATGCCCATGTGTCCTTGTGGGGGTGGCAGTGAGTCCAGCATTTGGGGGATATTTAGGAGTCCCCATCCACCTGTTGGGCTGCACTCAACTTACCACCCTGCATCAGCAGATCAGGCAACATGAGGTGAGCAGATGGGGTTAGGCCCAGGCTGTCAGCAACAAGCCTACTGCCCTAGAGCCTGGGTGTGAGGCAGGAAATCAGGCCTGTGGGCACAAGTGGGCCACATCTCTGAGCCTCAGCTTCCCCATCAGTTAAGTGGAATATATCACTCCCTCCTTAATAGCTGAGGGCTGGAGGAGGCAGGACCTGTCATTGCTGTGCACCCCAAGGGGTGGTCACACATCTCTGGGCTCATGCCTGGGAGCAACTGCTTCCAGATGGAGCCCTGAGTTAGATGAAAGCAAAACTAAATGAGAGAGAGACAGTACTTTGGACAAAGCAGACAGCTGGCAGTAGCTCACTTGGTGACGACTTTGTCACCTCATACATGCCACATCCCTTGTCTTGAGCCTGAGGGAAGTGCAAGGCTGAGGGCAAAATGAGTAACAGGCAGGGAACTGGTATGTGTTGTGTGTTACTCAGCACGTTCTGCTTCCCTACGTGTTAACTCAGTTTGCTCTCAGTGCTCAGCAAGGTCAGGGGCACCGGGCACCAGAGGAGGACCTGGGCTGACTGCTCTGCTTCTCCCTCTTGGCCCCAGGCAGATTTTCAGCCTCTTTGACCCTCTCTGTCCCCTATAAAGTGGGATCAGACCCTCTCCCAGGTTACTGCAGAGTCAGACAAGAGAGCTTGCAAAGTTCCCAGCCAGTGCCCCACGCACAGCCACGTACAGCCAACCTTGCATTCTGCCTCCGTCACTCCTCCCCCATCCCATTTTGGGAGATGGAGCCAGGCAGGAGGAGGGGCTTGTCTGATGTCACACGGCTCATCATGGCCAAGCCAAGTCTGGGGCCACGTATCAGCCAGGTTTCTCCCTTGGCCTGCCTAAAGCCTTTCTGGGCCTCACACTTTCAGACCCAAAGGCCAGGAGAACAGGTCTGAGCTCAGCCCCCACCCCACCCCCACGGCATAAGCTGTCCAGCCCGTCCCTGGCTGAGGATTTTCAGGGTGTGCAGGCCCTGCCCTCTGAGAGTTGGCCACGCACCATCCCCCGTGATACAAAGCACAAAGGTGGGATGGACCTGGAGGGGAGACGGGCACCGGGGCCACTGCAATCAGGATGTGACCCGGTTTTTGGAGGCGCTTGCCTATGCAGTGCGGCACGGGCCTCCCCACGTACCTCACCTCTTGTTTTCAGATCTGCACACCAGAGACAGATTGGCCACATGGGACCTTGTGCTTTGTTTCTTTAGTTCTGTGGCAGGGGGTGGGGGACTCTGTAGGTTGGGCTCACATGCATGTGTAAGAGTTCTTTGTGCACTCTCACTGCTGGCTTGCTGGTACAATAACCTGAGCTCTCACGCTGCCCTGGCAATCCTGGGCGCTGTGCCCATCTTTTCTCGGGCCCTCTCCTCCCTCCCCCAGAGAAGAGACCATCACCACTGTGGTGAAGAGCCCACGTGGCCAACGACGGTCCCCCAGCAAGTCCCCCTCCCGCTCACCTTCCCGCTGCTCTGCCAGCCCGCTGAGGCCAGGCCTACTGGCCCCCGACCTGCTGTACCTGCCAGGTGCTGGCCAGCCCCGCAGGCCGGAGGCAGAACCAGGCCAGAAGCCCGTGGTGCCCACACTGTATGTGACGGAGGCCGAGGCCCACTCTCCAGCTCTGCCCGGACTCTCGGGGCCCCAGCCCAAGTGGGTGGAGGTGGAGGAGACCATTGAAGTCCGGGTGAAGAAGATGGGCCCGCAGGGTGTGTCTCCCACCACAGAGGTGCCCAGGAGCTCATCGGGGCATCTCTTCACACTGCCCGGTGCGACCCCCGGAGGGGACCCCAATTCCAACAACTCCAACAACAAGCTGCTGGCCCAGGAGGCCTGGGCCCAGGGCACAGCCATGGTCGGCGTCAGAGAGCCCCTTGTCTTCCGCGTGGATGCCAGAGGCAGTGTGGACTGGGCTGCTTCTGGCATGGGCAGCCTGGAGGAGGAGGGCACCATGGAGGAGGCGGGAGAGGAAGAGGGGGAAGACGGAGACGCCTTTGTGACGGAGGAGTCCCAGGACACACACAGCCTTGGGGATCGTGACCCCAAGATCCTCACGCACAACGGCCGCATGCTGACACTGGCTGACCTGGAAGATTACGTGCCTGGGGAAGGGGAGACCTTCCACTGTGGTGGCCCTGGGCCTGGCGCCCCTGATGACCCTCCCTGCGAGGTCTCGGTGATCCAGAGAGAGATCGGGGAGCCCACGGTGGGGCAGCCTGTGCTGCTCAGCGTGGGGCATGCACTGGGTCCCCGAGGCCCTCTCGGCCTCTTTAGGCCTGAGCCCCGTGGGGCGTCACCACCGGGACCCCAGGTCCGTAGCCTTGAGGGCACCTCCTTCCTCTTGCGGGAGGCCCCGGCTCGGCCTGTGGGCAGTGCTCCCTGGACGCAGTCTTTCTGCACCCGCATCCGGCGTTCTGCGGACAGTGGCCAGAGCAGCTTCACCACAGAGCTTTCCACCCAGACCGTCAACTTCGGGACAGTGGGGGAGACGGTCACCCTTCACATCTGCCCAGACAGGGATGGGGATGAGGCGGCACAGCCCTGATGCTGCTGCCATGGTGGCTTGGGGCAGCGGGGAGAAAGGAGTGTCCTTGAGGCCTAGGACGCTGCCCGGCCTCAGCAGCAGCCCTGGGAGCCTCCTGAGGGCCCTCCCTGTCCCTGGCCACGGGCCCTTCTTACCTCACTCAACTTCAGCCAGGAGGACTGGGTGGTGCTTGCAATGTTGGAATGACCGGCTCAAAGACCTCAGCTCTGGGCTGTTTCCTGTCAGCCTGGCAGGAGCCTCAGGACTGTGGACGAAGGATGTGGCCTTGGGCATTTGTCCTGTTCCCACATGGGCCTGGTCCCTCCCTCCTGGCCCCAGCCACAGCTGCCAGGCCTGACATGGCCTTGCCTCTCCTGCAGTCTTGGTGACTGAGACCCTTGGGTGGCGCTTCCCAGCTCTGCAGGCCCTCCTGGCCTTTTCTGCAGGGTGGACACAGGGTCTGTGTGTGGGCAGCAGCCCCTGTCTCTCAGCAAGAATAAAGCAGCTTCCTGTGCACCTCTCTGATTCTCCTTGCCTCTCCACTGGGCAGCCCTGGGTCCCCTCTACCTGCAGCCCTCAGGGGAGCCCCTACCCTCATCTGCCCTTGACTGTGAGGTCCCCTGGCTGGCCACTGCCTGTGGAGTCCCGGCCCACCCTGGGGTCCCTGAGTGGACCTGCGGCAGCTGGTTCCCATCATGGAGGGGCCACTCACAGGGGCACATGGCATGGCCAGAACAGCCAATCATGCTCCTTCCTGGTATGCGGGGTGCCAGGCAGGCCTTCCCCAGCCCTGGGCAGCTGGGACTGTTGTCATGGCAGACGTGGGGATGTGGTGACCCCGTGGGGCTCAGGATCTCAGCATCAGGGGTCAACTTCATTGTCTCTGGCCGGACGATCCCAGCACCATTAGCGTAAAACCCGAAGCCCTCCAGCCCCGAGGCTGGCTCAGGGGTCCTGCTGACTGCCTTGGAGTGAGGAGGGTGGAGAGGAGGGTGCCCTGGCAGTGTAGAGAGCAGCCCGGGTGTCCTCTCCTGGCTGGCGACTGGGGATGCAGCAGGGGTCCTCAGCAAGGGCTTGAAGACACAAGCAAGGCGGGAGGGTTGGGGCAGGTGACCTGCTGGACCCACGTGTGAGGTGCCTGGCTGATGACCAGGTGGACGGGGAGGCTGCTGAGGGGGAGCTGCCAGTGGGGACCACGCCCAGCAGGGCTCTGCAGGAGTCTCTTGCAGCCAGCAAGGGGCCAGGTGGGGCGGCCGGGGCCGGGGTTGCAGGTGGAGGGTAGGGCAGATTTGGGTCACAGGTGGAGGAGAGAAAGACGCCCGACAGGCGGGTGCAGGCAGGGGCTGCCCTGGGAGGGAGGGCCCATCCCCGGGGAAGGGTCCACAGTCACGGCCGCCTGGACGCCCACGGAACCCAAGCTTCCTCTGGTTCTCACCTTGGCACTAGGCTGTGCCCAGGTTTGAGGAGAGGCCAGCCCTGGTGGGGGGTTGTGATCAGTGGCAGAGCCAGGGCCTGGGGTGGGTATCCAGGCCTGGCTGCTCCCTGGAGGTGGCGACACTCTCCCGAAGGTTCCCGGGGAGGACGAGGCTGAGCTCGCGGGGGGTCTAGGAGGAGGAAGTGCCTGCCTGCAGCATGGGTCTGTGGTTTTTTCCTTTCTGTGTCCCAGGCCTCCACCTCCAGGCAGCCTCCTGAGAGGGGAGTGGGTGGGGAGCAGCCCAGTGTCGGCCCACCTGGGCGGTCTCTGAGGAGGGGGATGGGGTTCCTGGAGACCCCTCCGCAGGCTGCAGCTATCCCAGACCCCTGGGCCTCACCCCCTCTGCACTCATTTGCCCCTTCTACAGACACCACCCTGGAGCGAGCGGACCAGGAGGTCACATCTGTCCTGAAGAGACTGCTGGGCCCCAAGGCGCCAGGCCCCTCCACAGGGGACCTCACTGGCCCTGGCCCCTGCCCCAGGGGGGCACCCGCACTCCAGGAAACCGGCTCCCAGCCCCCAGTCACCGGAACTTCGGAGGCACCTGGTGAGGCCCAGATGCATGCTGATGACAAAGACCCCCAGGGATTGACCCCAACCCTGGCTGTGCAACATGAGGGGTGCCCATCCCATGGGCATTAACTGGCCAGGCCCCAGTGACCCCGATTTGGAATCCCAGTGGCTCCATGCACTGGGGGTCCTGGGCAAAGCCTACCTCTTGCTTGGCCTCAGTTTCCCCATCTGAATCTGGCACAGAATGGGTTCTGGAAGGTTCCTCCTGCTCTAAATCTGTTCCAGGAGCCAGAGGCTTCCCATGCTTGGCCTGTGATGGCCAATTCAGGTGCCCTGTGCTCCTCAGTGGACAGGGAGGAGGGGGAGCAGGGGGTGAGAAAGGAGAGGAGGAGAGAGAGGAGAAGAGGGAGAGGAGGAGAGGGGCAGAGGGGGAAGAAGACAGAAAAGGAGGAGGAGGTGGAGGAGGGAGGGGCAGAAGCAGCCAGTACCCCAGACAGACCAGACCAAACTGGCTGCTACAAGAGCCAGCTCTGTGGGTCACTCAAGCCCTTTCCCCCAGGTGTTATGATCACCTAAGCCCCTTCCCCCAGGTGTTGGGGGTCTCCTGTTATGAAGCACTTTAACGGCTTTTTTGTCTTTGGAACGGGGTCTCACTCTGTCACCTACGCTGGAGTGCAGTGTGCAGGGATACGACCACAGCTCACTGCAGCCTCAACCTCCTGGGTTTAAGCGATTCTCTCACCTCAGCCTCCCAAGTAGCTGGGACTACAGGTTCATGGCACCATGCCCGGCTAGCTTTTTTATTTTTGGGTAGAGATGGGGTATTGCTGTGTTGCCCAGGCTGCTCTCAAACTCCTGGGCTCAAGCCTTTTTCCTACCTCAGCTTCCCAAAGTGCTGGGATTACAGGTGTGAGCCTGGCCACCAACCTGCTCGAGCCCTGGCCTCGCTCCAGCCCAGTCCTCAGCTCCCTGATCAAGGACCTTTTCCTAAAGGGACAGATGGTGCATCTGGGGAAACTGAGGCCTGGGTTGGGGGAAATCTCATCCCAGGCCCTGCTGCTCACCGCAGGTGGATGGGGGCCCTGGAGTCAGGCGTCCAGAAAGCCATGAGGACAGGGCTGGAGCGAGGCCAGAGCTAGGGCAGGATGGCAGCCAGACTCCTCCCCTGCCCCGTCCAGCGTCCTCTGCATCCTGCTTGTGTAGGCTTCTCGGGTCCATGCCCTTCTCCTTCTCCTTGTTTGGCCCAGACCCTGCCTTGGTTATCTTCACACAAAGGACCATCACGGCCTTGCGTCCTGCGTGTCTACCCACTCTGGTCACCCCACCCCATCTTGCAGGGCCTTCCCTGATGCACCCTCCCCAGCCACCCCTACCTGGTCCCATCACCTTGGAGAAAGGCCGTCAGGCTGGAGCCAAGCAGGATGAGACCTCCAGGGCACAGCCCCCCACCATGGTCTCACGCTTAATTCCCTAAACACATGCTCCAACTGGAGTTTCCAACAGTCCCATAGTCCCTGTGCTGCTTCTGTGGCCTCCCGCAGGGCCAGGGGGCATAGGGTTCGGGGCAAGCAGGCCACCTTCCCCCATGAGATGAGAGGGCCACCCCTCGGGTCTGCTTTCCCACAACAGGCACGGAAGCCCCCAGGCCTTCAATGAGCTCAGGCTCCTCCCTCTAGCTGCCTGGGCACCCTGGGGCCACCTAGGGCCAAGGGGCGTCCCTCTAGGCCCCACCTTGGTGTACATTTGCTCCGTGCACCTATCACGGGGCTGGCTGGGTGCAGGGCCTGGCCCAGGAGAAGGGGCACAGCATCCCTGTCACCCTGGGAAGTGGTCTCTTCTCATTCTTCTGGCCTGTCACCCTTCCCCCCGCAGTGATCGAGGGCTGGTGTCTGCAAGGGAAGGACAGGTCAAGGTTGGGGCGGGGGTCTGGGAGGACTGGCCCTGACCCTCACTCTCACTCTGCCTCCTGGGTGGAGTGCACCCCGCCACATCCAATGGCCTGTGTGCCAGGGCCACAGTGGCTGAGCAGACAAACCTGCCCCAGGTGCCGTTTGGCCCATCCTGGGCAGATCGCGGGCTCCTTCACAGGCCTGACGCTCGTTCACTCTGTCCGATGCCTCTGCAGAGTGGGCATGGGTTGTCCTGCTCTGGCCATGACCCCACCCACCCTGCCTGTGGCAGGCATCCGTCCCACTCGTCCACCTGCTTGAAGCTCACGTGTACCCGACTCCTACAGCCACCTGCCCTGTCTCCCAGCAGCCGTGCCCCCGAGGGTGCCACAGCCCCTCCTCCACGAAGGCCCAGAGCAGGAGCCGGAGGCCATTGCCAGAGCCCAGGAATGGACTGTGCCCATTCGGTAACCTCCCCAGACTGCTGGGTCCTGCAGTGGGGGCCAACCCCCATGGGACATCCCAGGGCAGGCAGGGCAGGGCACGAGTTACCGCGGTGGCCTCACAGCCCTCACTCCACTCCTTGCCAGCAGCCACCCCGGACAGGGCAGGGCAGGGAGGAGAGGCCACCCTTGGGATGAGAGGTGTTGGGGGGCCCCCTCCACACTAAGGGTTGGGCCCCCATCTGTACATCTCATCCCAGAGAGGCTTTGCTGCAGCCTCTTCCGAGTAGTGGTGAGCAGGGATCCCCTATCTCACTGGGAGGCCTGGCTGCTCAGAACGTGTGGCGGCCCGGCAGAGCCTCACCCCACTTCCTAACCCCAGGATGGAGGGTGCAGCCTGGCCCGGGGCAGGCACAGGGGAGCTGCTCTGGGACGTCCACAGCCACGTGGTCAGAGAGACCACACAGAGGACCTACACATACCAGGCCATCGACACGCACACCGCACGTACGGGGTTGGGCCCAGCTGGGTTATAAGCGTGATCCCCATGCCCCCTGCCCAGGGCTGGGGGGCATTTGCACATCTGCAAAGGCCTCCCAGCCTGTCCCAGCCCTGCCCCAGCCTGGGACCCCCACATTCTACTCACCGTGTCTCCTCAGAGGGGCCAGAACCCTCCACTGGGGAGAGGCAAGTGGCGGTGAACTTGGTGTCCATAGGACCCTGTCCCTGAGAGCGACAGCTGAGTTAGTGAGCTCCACCGGCCCCACCAACTCCTTCTGATCACCTGGCCAGCTGAGGTCAGAGTGGGAGAGGCAGTGGTTCCATTGAAGGAGTACTCCTAACTGTCAGAAGCCTGGGCGGTCAGGATGGGGTGCTGTCGCTTGGGCTGCGGGGGGTGTTCAGTTGCCCACAGTGTATCTCAGGGTCTCACCAACCATCCAAGCATGGTAGGCTGTGGCTGGCACCCAGGGTTGTGTGGCTGGGGAGGTGGTCTCCACAGTTCCCTCCCTGCCCTCCCAGGGCCCCCATCCATGCAGGTAACCATCGAGGATGTGCAGGCACAGACAGGCGGAACGGCCCAATTCGAGGCTATCATTGAGGGCGACCCACAGCCCTCGGTGACCTGGTACAAGGTAGGCGCGCAGGTCCAAGTGGGTGAGATTCTGGGATGGCCCCAGGAGCTGGGGGGCCCACGGGAGGTGGGTGCAGTCCACACCGTGCACTTCCCCCACATCCCCCCTAGACTGGACACACAGCAGGTGTCGGAAGCACTGCTCAGTGAAGGGTGGGGTGACGGGGTCCCCCAGAGTGGGCTGATAGCAGCCCTGCCGGTCCTGTGCCTCCAGGACAGCGTCCAGCTGGTGGACAGCACCCGGCTTAGCCAGCAGCAAGAAGGCACCACATACTCCCTGGTGCTGAGGCATGTGGCCTCGAAGGATGCCGGCGTTTACACCTGCCTGGCCCAAAACACTGGTGGCCAGGTGCTCTGCAAGGCAGAGCTGCTGGTGCTTGGGGGTGAGTTGGTCTACCCCTCCTGGGCCCCAGGCTCTGCAGCCGGGCTGGCTGGGTACAGGTCTTGGCTCCATGGGGCAACCTCTCTTCCCATGGTGGTACCTGGGTGGGTGTGGTACCTGGGTGAGTGTGGTTCCATAGTCTTGGGTCCATGGAGCAGCTCCCGTCAACACCACAGCATTGGGTTCCATGGGGATCAGGGTGGTCACCTTTGCCCATACCAGCCGCTTCCCACTCCTTAGGGGACAATGAGCCGGACTCAGAGAAGCAAAGCCACCGGAGGAAGCTGCACTCCTTCTATGAGGTCAAGGAGGAGATTGGAAGGTAGCACCCAGCCCCCTTTCCCCTGGACTGCCGGATGGCTCCTTTCCCCAGGCCACCTGGGCTTCCCTCACTCCCTCCTTCCTAGGGGCGTGTTTGGCTTCGTAAAAAGAGTGCAGCACAAAGGAAACAAGATCTTGTGCGCTGCCAAGTTCATCCCCCTACGGAGCAGAACTCGGGCCCAGGCATACAGGGAGCGAGACATCCTGGCCGCGCTGAGCCACCCGCTGGTCACGGGGCTGCTGGACCAGTTTGAGACCCGCAAGACCCTCATCCTCATCCTGGAGCTGTATCCTGCCCTCAGCCCCTGAGACGGCTTGAGGAGGGGCAGGCAGGGCCAGGCCGGGGCTCAGAGGAGCCATGTGCACGGTGTCCCCTGCCTGGCTGGGTGGTGGCGACAGCCACCCAGCCAGGAATTTGGGTGGGGAGGCTTCTGTTCCACGGAGCAGTAACTGGAGTCCCCAGGGGCTACTGGTGGCTAGCTGGCCCTGATGACCTGATGCCCTCAGCAGGGATGGCGGGGGTCCTCTCCCACTCTGTAGATGGCCTCTTAGAGAGAAAGGAGCTGCCTGGCCCGGCTACTCTGGGGCTCACCCCGCCACCCACATGGCCTTGTCTTGGGGGGTCTCCTCTGGTGCTCTTGACAGGGCGTCAGCTGGACACATGGCCCCCTGCCCAAAGTCGGTGTCCTCTTTGCAGGGAGAGGGTGCTGGATGGGCTCTGTACAGAGGGGACAGGATGCCCCCTCCCACCGTGCCACTGCAGTGAGTGGCCTTGGTCCCCAGGGTCAGCCTGCAGCCCCTCCCTCTCCTCAGGGCTGGGTGCCATCTGGGGTTCAGAGGGGTCCCCGCTCCACCCTCCTCAACCCTGAGCATCATCCCCTGCTGCCTCCAGAGATCAGATGTACCCATAGACCTGGCTGCCTCACTGTGAGTGTGGGTTTCTGGGGACAGGCAGGTTTCAGCCTCCCAAGCCTGCTTTTCCTTGATGGGATCCCAGGTGCTCATCCGAGGAGCTGCTGGACCGCCTGTACAGGAAGGGCGTGGTGACGGAGGCCGAGGTGACTGGGCTGCCGCCCGCCACTGCCCCAGCCATGCACCCTGCCCCAGCCCCCGCTCAGACATCCGGTCCCTGCAGATACAGTCCCAGCCACAGCCTTCTCTAGCTCAGGGGCCTCTGGGGCTCCCCAGGGCGTGTTGACCCCTCATTGGGCTCTACACAGCCTGCCACCCCGCCTCACCTGGCCAGCTGACCAGCCCTGCCTGCCCCTCCCCCACTGAGGTTCACAAGTCCATTGTATCCTCCCCACCTTTGAGGGATCTCCTGGCTTAGGGGCACACGGGGCCCAGGAGCGCTTTGCATATCAGCTGCCGAAGCCAGGAGGAGGCTGGGCTTAAAGTGGAGAGGGAGGCTGGGGCTGGGCTCCCGCCTGAATAGCGGCCCTTGCCGCAGGTCAAGGTCTACATCCAGCAGCTGGTGGAGGGGCTGCACTACCTGCACAGCCATGGCGTTCTCCACCTGGACATAAAGGTTCGCATGTCCTCACCCCTGCACCCCAGAGCCTGGGGCCTGCAGGCCAGGTGGGGCAGGCCCACCACTCCCAGTCTGAGAGGACTTGCTTGCCTCCAGGGACAGGGAGCTCACCACCTCTAGGCAGCCCTTTCAGGTGGGGCGTGGCTCTGGTGGAGCAGAGGCTGTCCCCAAATGGCTGCACCGGGTGCTCCCCACTGTCCCACCCTGCCCCCGGGCCTCTGGGTGTCCCCACCAGGCCTATCAGCCCCAGGAGTCACCCCCTTAGGGCACGGCTCTCACCCACTCCCAACTCTCCCCAACAGCCCTCTAACATCCTGATGGTGCATCCTGCCCGGGAAGACATTAAAATCTGCGACTTTGGCTTTGCCCAGAACATCACCCCAGCAGAGCTGCAGTTCAGCCAGTACGGCTCCCCTGAGTTCGTCTCCCCCGAGATCATCCAGCAGAACCCTGTGAGCGAAGCCTCCGACATTTGGTGAGTGGGTGGCTGGGCCAACGGGTCTGGGTCTGCAACTTCTCCGGGAAGCCAGTTCCCACAGATGGCTGGGCCCTCTCCTCTGCCCCGGGGAGGCAGCAGGCAGCCTACTGGTCAGCCAAGGGGTCCTCCCTGAACCTGTCTCCTCCTGCAGCCCTGGGCTCCCCACTTCCCTGTGTGTGTGCCTCTTACCTGACAGCCAGGCCTGGGGTGACACACAGTGTGCGCTTTTGTCTTGCAGGGCCATGGGTGTCATCTCCTACCTCAGGTGAGCAGAGCCCTGCCCCATCAGCTGCCTCCTCCAAAGCTGACATGAGACCCCTCCCTTGTAGGCCCACCGAGGGCATGTGCACTGCTGGCTGCTCCCCATATCAGAAACCTGAGACCCAAGGGGCTACTATCTTGGGAACAGGCGGTCAGCCAACCCTGATAAGAGGTTCCTGCCCGGAGTGTCTCACAAACACCCTGTCATCAGAGGGCTGTGCTGGGTCACGAGGCAGCCAAACCACTGCCCTGCAGGACTGGGGGTTGTCCAGCAGCCGCTCATAACAGCCACTGCTGCCCTGAGGATGATGGTGGTATGGTATAGACTGAGCCTGGACCTCCTCAGCAGGCTGATCCTTAATTCCTAACTCAGGCTGATCTTGATCCCTGCCCCAGACTAAGCCTGGATCCCGATTTCAGACTAAGGCTGGTGCCACCCAGGCTGATTCTAGATGCCTGCCCCAGCCTGAGCCTGGATCCCCATCTTAGACTAAGGCTGGAGCCTACCCAGGCTGACCCTACATCCCTGCCCCAGCCTGAGTCTGGATCCCTACCTCAGACTAAGGCTAGTGCCCACTTAAGCTGACCCTAGATCCCGTCTGCTACTTGAGCCCAGATACTCACCCCAGGCTCAGTCTGGGTCCCTGTTCCAAGCTGAGCCTGGATCTCACTGGGGAAATGAGAGAAACTTGCTGGGATACTCAGAGCTAGATGGGAGTGGGACTAAGAGCCCATCTGCGGTCAGGGCCTCATCTGAGGGCTGGACCCTCCCTCTGTCTTCAGCCTGACCTGCTCATCCCCATTTGCCGGCGAGAGTGACCGTGCCACCCTCCTGAACGTCCTGGAGGGGCGCGTGTCATGGAGCAGCCCCATGGCTGCCCACCTCAGCGAAGACGCCAAAGACTTCATCAAGGCTACGCTGCAGAGAGCCCCTCAGTGAGTGCACCCCCAGGCTTCTCCTGCCCGGGGCCAGTCAGCCCTGCCCCGGGGGCAGCTGACCACCTGGCCCCTCCTGAGCCTTCCTCTCCCTGTAGGGCCCGGCCTAGTGCGGCCCAGTGCCTCTCCCACCCCTGGTTCCTGGTGAGTATCAGGGTCAGCCCCACACTATGCAGGGGGAGCCTGAGGCCAACAGGGGCAGGGCCTCTGGGCAACAGGGCATGTGAGCACAGAACTGTGGCTGTGGCCCGACCTCTGCCCAGCCCAGAGGACGTTTGTCCCTGTGCGTTAGTGAGAGGGCTGTGGGAACCTCAGGCTGGAACCACATTTCAGTGCCCCAGCCCCCAACCCCCAGCAGGAGGCAGGGAGAACTGCAAGGAGCTCAGGGACAGGGGGTCGCTGTCACCTCTGACCTCTGGCCTTTGCCATCTGCCCCACCTGGACATCTTGGGTGAGGGCTGTGGTGTCCTGGATCCAGGGAATCCCAGGGCTGGGGCTGCCCAGAAGGGCTTCCATCATGGGAGGGGCCCCTATCAGGGCACCATGGTCTCCCTGCCATGTGGCTGCCCACCTCGGTCTCCCAGAAATCCATGCCTGCGGAGGAGGCCCACTTCATCAACACCAAGCAGCTCAAGTTCCTCCTGGCCCGAAGTCGCTGGCAGGTGAGCCGTGACCATCTGAGTAGGGACCAGTGAAGGGGAAACTGAGGCCCCACGGGGCCAGCTGCGCACCCAGAAGTGCAGGGAAGCGGGGCTGGGCTCCTTTGAGCATGCTGAAAGGAGGCAGGAGTCATCTGCTGGGCACAGCGGGGTTGGGTGCACACAATCCCATGGGGCAGGAGGGTGGAATGACTGCACCCTGGGGGCAGAGGACCCCAGAGCTCCTGGGTCTCCCCACCTGATGCCTGCTGCCCCCCATGCGGTTCCAGCGTTCCCTGATGAGCTACAAGTCCATCCTGGTGATGCGCTCCATCCCTGAGCTGCTGCGGGGCCCACCCGACAGCCCCTCCCTCGGCGTAGCCCGGCACCTCTGCAGGGACACTGGTGGCTCCTCCAGTTCCTCCTCCTCCTCTGACAACGAGCTCGCCCCATTTGCCCGGGCTAAGTCACTGCCACCCTCCCCGGTGACACACTCACCACTGCTGCACCCCCGGGGCTTCCTGCGGCCCTCGGCCAGCCTGCCTGAGGAAGCCGAGGCCAGTGAGCGCTCCACCGAGGCCCCAGCTCCGCCTGCATCTCCCGAGGGTGCCGGGCCACCGGCCGCCCAGGGCTGCGTGCCCCGGCACAGCGTCATCCGCAGCCTGTTCTACCACCAGGCGGGTGAGAGCCCTGAGCACGGGGCCCTGGCCCCGGGGAGCAGGCGGCACCCGGCCCGGCGGCGGCACCTGCTGAAGGGCGGGTACATTGCGGGGGCGCTGCCAGGCCTGCGCGAGCCACTGATGGAGCACCGCGTGCTGGAGGAGGAGGCCGCCAGGGAGGAGCAGGCCACCCTCCTGGCCAAAGCCCCCTCATTCGAGACTGCCCTCCGGCTGCCTGCCTCTGGCACCCACTTGGCCCCTGGCCACAGCCACTCCCTGGAACATGACTCTCCGAGCACCCCCCGCCCCTCCTCGGAGGCCTGCGGTGAGGCACAGCGACTGCCTTCAGCCCCCTCCGGGGGGGCCCCTATCAGGGACATGGGGCACCCTCAGGGCTCCAAGCAGCTTCCATCCACTGGTGGCCACCCAGGCACTGCTCAGCCAGAGAGGCCATCCCCGGACAGCCCTTGGGGGCAGCCAGCCCCTTTCTGCCACCCCAAGCAGGGTTCTGCCCCCCAGGAGGGCTGCAGCCCCCACCCAGCAGTTGCCCCATGCCCTCCTGGCTCCTTCCCTCCAGGATCTTGCAAAGAGGCCCCCTTAGTACCCTCAAGCCCCTTCTTGGGACAGCCCCAGGCACCCCCTGCCCCTGCCAAAGCAAGCCCCCCATTGGACTCTAAGATGGGGCCTGGAGACATCTCTCTTCCTGGGAGGCCAAAACCCGGCCCCTGCAGTTCCCCAGGGTCAGCCTCCCAGGCGAGCTCTTCCCAAGTGAGCTCCCTCAGGGTGGGCTCCTCCCAGGTGGGCACAGAGCCTGGCCCCTCCCTGGATGCGGAGGGCTGGACCCAGGAGGCTGAGGATCTGTCCGACTCCACACCCACCTTGCAGCGGCCTCAGGAACAGGCGACCATGCGCAAGTTCTCCCTGGGTGGTCGCGGGGGCTACGCAGGCGTGGCTGGCTATGGCACCTTTGCCTTTGGTGGAGATGCAGGGGGCATGCTGGGGCAGGGGCCCATGTGGGCCAGGATAGCCTGGGCTGTGTCCCAGTCAGAGGAGGAGGAGCAGGAGGAGGCCAGGGCTGAGTCCCAGTCGGAGGAGCAGCAGGAGGCCAGGGCTGAGAGCCCACTGCCCCAGGTCAGTGCAAGGCCTGTGCCTGAGGTCGGCAGGGCTCCCACCAGGAGCTCTCCAGAGCCCACCCCATGGGAGGACATCGGGCAGGTCTCCCTGGTGCAGATCCGGGACCTGTCAGGTGATGCGGAGGCGGCCGACACAATATCCCTGGACATTTCCGAGGTGGACCCCGCCTACCTCAACCTCTCAGACCTGTACGATATCAAGTACCTCCCATTCGAGTTTATGATCTTCAGGAAAGTCCCCAAGTCCGCTCAGCCAGAGCCGCCCTCCCCCATGGCTGAGGAGGAGCTGGCCGAGTTCCCGGAGCCCACGTGGCCCTGGCCAGGTGAACTGGGCCCCCACGCAGGCCTGGAGATCACAGAGGAGTCAGAGGATGTGGACGCGCTGCTGGCAGAGGCTGCCGTGGGCAGGAAGCGCAAGTGGTCCTCGCCGTCACGCAGCCTCTTCCACTTCCCTGGGAGGCACCTGCCGCTGGATGAGCCTGCAGAGCTGGGGCTGCGTGAGAGAGTGAAGGCCTCCGTGGAGCACATCTCCCGGATCCTGAAGGGCAGGCCGGAAGGTGAACCCCCACCCCACCCCAAGCATCCTGCATGTCCAGGGGCCCCCATTCTGTACCTAAGGTTACTGCACTCCAGGTGACGGCAGGAGGCTCCCAGGGGCCCCCCGCTGGTGTCCAGGTGCTGCCCACACCTCCTGTCCCTGCCTCAGGCCTCTGAATCTTGGGATCACCTCTACAGCCCTGACAACCCTCCCCACAGGGCAGCTGGGACCCAGCCCTGGGACCTAACATAGCGGTGGAGGTCTGGGGAGGCTGTAGGTGGTATGCCCCTGGGGAAAGCATTTGAAGGGGCCAGAGTCTTCCTGAACCATAATCCTCCCTGAACCGAGTCCTCCCGAACGGCCCCAGGCCCTCCCTGACCCCAGACACCCCAACGCTGCACTCTCCCAACCCCAGATCCTGCCTGACTGCAGACCTTCCTAACCCCAGATCCTCCTGAGTCCTCCTTGACCCCATAGTCCTCTCTGACCCCAGACCCTACCTTACCCCAGACCCTCCCCAACTCCATACCCTACCTGACCCCAGACCCTCCTGACCTCAGGCCCTCCCTGACCCCAAAACCCTTCCAGACCCCCAAACCGTTCACAACCCCATAGTTCTCCCCAACCACATAGTCCTCCCTGGCCCTGGACCCTCCTGACCCCGTGCCTGGAGGTGGGGAGGGTGCCTGGTCTTCATGTTTCCTCTGTCCTCTGTGGCCTGGAAGTCTGGGGAGTGGGCAGCGGGCCAGCCGACCCCAATTTCTTCCTGTCCCAGCTGCTCGGGGTCCTTGCAGCCAGAGGCAGCTGGTACTACCCAGAGGGGCCAGGCCTCCTGACCATGACCTTCACTGGCCCTCTTCCTCCTGCAGGTCTGGAGAAGGAGGGGCCCCCCAGGAAGAAGCCAGGCCTTGCTTCCTTCCGGCTCTCAGGTCTGAAGAGCTGGGACCGAGGTGAGCAGGCCCAACACAGAGACCAGGCCCCACTGCCTCTCAGGGTCCCACCAGCGTGGCCAGACCGGTGGGGAGCAAGCTTGCACTCACATGGGTGCGGGAACAGATGAGGGGTCCTGGTGGGTGTAGTGAACTGAGCAGTCTTGGAGGACTTCCTGGAGGAGGTGATGGTGGTACAGATGGGCCAGGCTGGGGAGTTGGCAGTGGTGGGGCAGGGCTCCTCCTGGTGTCTCCAGGGTCCAGGCCATGCTCTGGGGCCTGGAGGTCACCCCTGAAGGCTGACCTCACCCTCCCTCCTCAGCGCCGACATTCCTAAGGGAGCTCTCAGATGAGACTGTGGTCCTGGGCCAGTCAGTGACACTGGCCTGCCAGGTGTCAGCCCAGCCAGCTGCCCAGGCCACCTGGAGCAAAGGTAAGAAGCTGTCCCAGGGGCTGGGGGCTGTGTGAAATCGGGTGAGTGGCCATCCTGTGAGCTGGCCCCACGGGATGCCTCGCTGTCTGGAGGAAAACTGAGGCCCAGGGAGAGGTGTGAGGCCTGGCTGTGGCATGAGGCTTGCTCTGTCCTTTTGCAGACGGAGCCCCCCTGGAGAGCAGCAGCCGTGTCCTCATCTCTGCCACCCTCAAGAACTTCCAGCTTCTGACCATCCTGGTGGTGGTGGCTGAGGACCTGGGTGTGTACACCTGCAGCGTGAGCAATGCGCTGGGGACAGTGACCACCACGGGCGTCCTCCGGAAGGCAGGTACGTGGGCCACACTGGGGGTCCCACCAGGCCAGGGAGGCTGGGCTGGGGCTGCTGGGAAGCCTCATCCTGCGTGGAATGCTTCCGGGCCCGTGCATTGGCCGCTGAGGCATCCGCTCCCTGACCCTGAGCAGCCCACATCCCTATGGGGCCAGGCACCACACATGGCCAGGGCTGCAGGAGGCCTGAGAAGGTCAACACAGAGTTCTGACCGCCCAGGCTGCCTTGGGCTGGCAGGAGGCCCTGAGCTGGTCCCAGCAGAAACAACCAGCCTTGGGAAGGATGGCCGGACGCAGCTGCTGACGTTACAGGGCTTGGAAGGAAGCCTGTTCATCCACGCTCCCTGCCAGGGAGAAAGCCCATCCCATTGGCCACTTGCCGGGAGAACTGAGTTTCTCGGGCGCATGACCCATTGCACCATCTTCCCACGTTCCTTCCATGCCCATCCCTCCAGCCTATGCAGGAGTGGGCTGCTTCCCGTTCCATGCCTCAATCAAAGTCGAGTTACAAGCACAACACAGTTCCCTGGGGCGTGTTTCTGAGGTGGTCAGGATGGGGGCTACAGGCCTAGCTCTGGGACCCCTGGCCCAATGCCCAGAGTGGGCCGGCCTGCTTGAACCTGTGCAGGGCAACCCAGTGAAGCCCAGCAGCCCCACCAAGGGCCCTTCTGACCAGAGGCTCGGCCCCTGCACAGGGTTCTGGTCACACCCAGGTGGATGGGCCAGCCCAGGAGTGGGATCTGGCAGGGCAGACACCTCCCCAGCCCCTCGCCAGGAGAGGCCCCTCCTACCATTCCTCACTGTGACTGGACCCTGAATGAACAGGACCAGGGAGGGTGGGCTCCAGAGCCCTGGTGGCTGCCAGGGTGAGGCAGGCGCCAGCCAGATATTGGCCCCTGGAGGCTGGGTGCCCACCCTGGAGTCACTGACCATTGGGCAGTGCCTTGCAGAGCGCCCCTCATCTTCGCCATGCCCGGATATCGGGGAGGTGTACGCGGATGGGGTGCTGCTGGTCTGGAAGCCCGTGGAATCCTACGGCCCTGTGACCTACATTGTGCAGTGCAGCCTAGAAGGTATGAGGTGGCCCCTGTACCCGAGGCTCCGGCCACCCCTCCCGGGAGCCATGTCTAGGGGCCCTTGGGGAGATGCCTGGCCTGCTGTGTTCCCATGGGTGGCCTCAGGGAAGGGTTTCTCCACCCCCACTGACGTGGTGTGTGGAGGCCTCAGTGGCCCCTCACGTGCTCCTGTGTGGCCAGGCGGCAGCTGGACCACACTGGCCTCCGACATCTTTGACTGCTGCTACCTGACCAGCAAGCTCTCCCGGGGTGGCACCTACACCTTCCGCACGGCATGTGTCAGCAAGGCAGGAATGGGTCCCTACAGCAGCCCCTCGGAGCAAGTCCTCCTGGGAGGGCCCAGCCACCTGGGTGAGCCACACCACACTCGGGGCTTGGAGGGTGGGAACAGCAGCTAGAAGACCCAGATTACGCTCCCTCCTGTGCAGGGTCTCCATAGCTGTCCACTTCCTTCTGGGGAGACAGCTGCTCCTGGGCTTGGCATTCGAGGCCTACACACTTTAGGGGCCGCCTCACCCCCAGGCCCCCCCTTCACTCACCTACACTCCCATGCACTCATTGACGAGCACACAAGTCCATTCTGCTTCATTCTGAGTGTTGGTAGTGAGAGTTGGTAGTGACTGGCCTGTGCTGCCTCTAGCTTTGGTGGAGGAATGCTAGGGTTGATTAGTAATGTCTGCCCTGGGCTCAAGGGAGGAAGAGAGGGCATGATTGCTATGGGTGGTCCATTCTCAAATGCCCCTGCAGCCCTCACACACACCCTCACTCAGGTTGCCTCTCACTGCTTGCTGTACCCCCTCCCTGTCCCCATACCCCCAGAACCTGAGGAACAAGAGGTGGGAGTGCGTAACTCAAAGTCCCAGCTGTCAAGGTGCCTGGGAAGGGGTGATGGGAGACGTGGGGAGAGCTGGGGCTGTGGGGATGCCCTCTTCACCCCCTCTTATCATCTGCCCCTCCTCCCACAGCCTCTGAGGAGGAGAGCCAGGGGCGGTCAGCCCAACCCCTGCCCAGCACAAAGACCTTCGCATTCCAGACACAGATCCAGAGGTGCAGTGGCCTGGGGGGCTGCAGGCGGGTGGGGCCAGGGCCTGGACCCCCCCTTGTTGACCACCCATGCCCCCACACCCACCATCTCGCTGAACTGGGCTCCTGCTGCTCTGAGTGTTGGGAATCGGGGAATGGGAGGGGACCACCCACCAGCCTGACCGCTGTCCCCTTGAGCAGGGGCCGCTTCAGCGTGGTGCGGCAATGCTGGGAGAAGGCCAGCGGGCGGGCGCTGGCCGCCAAGATCATCCCCTACCACCCCAAGGACAAGACAGCAGTGCTGCGCGAATACGAGGCCCTCAAGGGCCTGCGCCACCCGCACCTGGCCCAGCTGCACGCAGCCTACCTCAGCCCCCGGCACCTGGTGCTCATCTTGGAGCTGTGCTCTGGGCCCGAGCTGCTCCCCTGCCTGGCCGAGAGGTGAGGGTGGCCTGGGGTGGTGTGGTTGAGCTGATGGACGGACTGATGGACTGATGGACCCAGGCCTCTGGGGTGGGGCTGGAGGACCAGGCCCCTCTGCACAGCCAGTGCCCCTCCCAGTCCACGGGGAGTAGTCTCAGCCCTGGCCCTGGTGGCCCCCACCCCGGAGCCTGGGCTGAGCAGCTTCTGCCCCCCAGGGCCTCCTACTCAGAATCCGAGGTGAAGGACTACCTGTGGCAGATGTTGAGTGCCACCCAGTACCTGCACAACCAGCACATCCTGCACCTGGACCTGAGGTCCGAGAACATGATCATCACCGAATACAACCTGCTCAAGGTCGTGGACCTGGGCAATGCACAGAGCCTCAGCCAGGAGAAGGTGCTGCCCTCAGACAAGTTCAAGGACTACCTAGAGACCATGGGTGCGTGTGTGGACAGTTGGGGGGACCTCACCTGGGGCGGGGGGCAGGAAGAAGCCCCCTCTCCTCCAGTGCTGTCCTCTCTCCCAGCTCCACTGCCACCCACTCAGCCACACACCTGGCCCACACACCTGTGCCCCACCTATCCCACCTGGGACCACTCACTCATGCCCACCACCTGTGTCCCTCCACCTGAGCCCAACCACATGTGCCCCTCCCAGCTCCAGAGCTCCTGGAGGGCCAGGGGGCTGTTCCACAGACAGACATCTGGGCCATCGGTGTGACAGCCTTCATCATGTGAGTCCTCCAACCTGTCTGGGGGTTGCTAGGTGGGCGGGGCAGTCTCCCCCCTCCACCCGAGGGTGACCTCAGGGCCCCTGCACCCCCGTCCACCTGAGGGTGACCTCACGGCCCCTGCACCCTCGTCCACCCGAGGATGACCTCACGGCCCCTGCACCGGCCACCCGAGGGTGACCTCAGTGCTCCTGCATCCCCTCCCCCTCCGCCCTGGTCTACCCAAGGAGGGTGACCTCAGGGCCCGTGCACCCGCCACCTGCGCAGGCTGAGCGCCGAGTACCCGGTGAGCAGCGAGGGTGCACGCGACCTGCAGAGAGGACTGCGCAAGGGGCTGGTCCGGCTGAGCCGCTGCTACGCGGGGCTGTCCGGGGGCGCCGTGGCCTTCCTGCGCAGCACTCTGTGCGCCCAGCCCTGGTAAGGCGCGCCCCTCTCCTCCTCCTTCTCCCCGCCCCCTCCTCCCGTCCCGCCCCCTCCTCCTTCCGTCCCGCCCCGCCCCGCCCCCCCACTCCCTTTCCCCTCGGTACTCTCCCTTCCCCCTCTCCCCTTTTCCACTTGCCTTCCCCACACCCCTCCCGCCGCTGGGCCACGTGCTGAGCCTATGTCCGTCCCAGGGGCCGGCCCTGCGCGTCCAGCTGCCTGCAGTGCCCGTGGCTAACAGAGGAGGGCCCGGCCTGTTCGCGGCCCGCGCCCGTGACCTTCCCTACCGCGCGGCTGCGCGTCTTCGTGCGCAATCGCGAGAAGAGACGCGCGCTGCTGTACAAGAGGCACAACCTGGCCCAGGTGCGCTGAGGGTCGCCCCGGCCACACCCTTGGTCTCCCCGCTGGGGGTCGCTGCAGACGCGCCAATAAAAACGCACAGCCGGGCGAGAAGTCTTCCGTCTCGTTGCATTATTTTCTTTTGGGGAGGAGAGGGAGTGAGGGCTCTGTCCCCGCCTTTCTGGCTGGGGCGCCGATCAGGCTGCCCCGCTGTGTTTGGGCCTGTGAGCCCCTTAGAAGGCGTCCTTAGGGGTCGCTCCCTCACTCCGATGCTCCGCGCGTTCAGCCCCTCGGGGCGTCTCCGTCCTCACACCCATGCGCGTTTATTCCACCCGCCGTGCGCCTTCCTCTCTTCCATCACGCTGACCTGCAGCCCCGCAGCCCGCTTTCTCCGCCGTCGGGCCAGCCGCTTGTTTCCACAACTTCTCTGCCCCGGGAAGAGTTCTTGGGCAAAGCGTGCAAGCGAGGGCGAGAAGCCGCGGGCCACGATCCGCTGGAGGAGAGGAGGCTTCAGAGTCGCTGGCGCGTGGCCTCGGTGAAAAGCAACCCAGTGTTTGAGATTCCATGGGCAATGACTACGCTGGCCGAGCCCCGCCCTGCCCCTTGCCAGGAGTGCAGGAAGCCTGGGCCGTGGGGTGCGCGCGTTGTCTCTCAAACGCTGCTGAATGTCCTTTCTCCTATTCTTTGACGTGGGAAAGGGAACTTGAGATAGGTGCAGCCCAGGAGACCTGGGAGCTGGCAGGGAGGGCCTTCTCCTCTTGCACATAAAACCTTTTGCAGAGGTCCCTCAGACACAAGGCCAGGCCCCTCATACCTATGTCTAAGCATAGATGGAGAGGAGGCTAACCGACCCCTCTTGGCTAAAATGGGTCATGCTGATTCCTGGCCAGCTTAGATTTATGGGGACATCCAGTGATGGAGTTGTCCTGGCTCTCTCTGACAGCATGCAACCCAGAATGAGGCCCGGTTGTTTTAAACACTCCTTTTAATCACCAAAACAGTCAGCTCTTCATAGCATCCTCTTCTCGAGCAGCCCCAGGGTTCCCGGGGTGGGGATATGATCTCCACTGTCCCCAGCAACAAGGCTGACGTTGGACGACAGCTTCGTTCCTGGGGGGCTGGGGCTGCAGGGTGTAGACAGCAGTCTCTACCCTCCTGATTCTCAGCTCATCTCAGGGGCCCAATGACGACCACATGCTGATGGGTCCATTCTGCAATGTCCAAATGCTGAACACCTCCCCTGAAATCTTACTGAGCCCAGGACACTTTGAATCAAAATCCAAGCATCGGCCAGGCACAGTGGCTCACACCTGTAATCCCAGCACTTTGGGAGGCTGAGGTAGGAGGATCACTGGAGCCCAGGAGTTCAAGACAAGCCTGGGCAATAATAGGGAGACTCTTGTCTCTACAAAAAATAAAAAATTAGCTTGGCATGGTGGTGCATGCCACCAGCATGGTACCAGCTACTCGGGAGGTGAGCCCAGAGGTCAAGGCTGCAGTGAGCTGTGATTGTGCCACTGCACTCTAGCCTGGACCACAGAGCAAGACCCTGTCTCTAAAAAGAAAACAAACATCTTCTAACTTGAACTGACTGCCCTCACTCCCTCTGCCCCCACACTGCCTCTGACTTTACCTTCCTCCTCCTTTACGACCTCCTGAGAGTCAGCATGTCACCACTCAATGCATCACAAAGGGTACAGGCACCGTGCACTCACTTTCCCAGGACACTGATGTCAGGGCGGGGTGGGGGGGAAGGTAGTATCTTTTCCTCACCCATTGCAAGGCGCATGGATGAACCTTGCACGTATGGCCCCAATCACAAAGACAGGTTAATAAGATAAAGCATGACACACATCTATTTAACAAAAGGTTTTATGTGACAAGTGAGCCTTCAGAAACAAAAACCCAAAGAAACAGGCAAATCTGTCTATTTTTTATGCTTGGGTTTGATGAAGAATGAACAGTCATGTAAAAATATGCTTAGACAAAAAGCAGGTGCAACTTAATGGTAATAAACTGGGGGCAACTTGCCAAGGCCCGTTTGTTCAGATTCTTCTTGGCCTCTGGAATGAGGATCCTATGACCCGCTTTTGGGGGAGGTAGGTCAGAGAATTCTCTTATGGCTTCCTTCAAGGCAGAAAAGCAGGAGACGGTCAGAGAGACACAATTTCCTTCAGCTTGAGATACTCAGCATGCCAAGGTGCCGTAATTTGGGGTATTGCATTCTGAGCCCCATCACTGACATCTCACAAAACTGTAGTACAATATGACGACCATTAAGACTGGTACAGTCAAGACAGAGAACATTTCCATCTCGAGGAAACCCTTATGCTGCCCAAAAAGGCATAAAAATAACCACATCCACTTTCCTCCCACAGTAACACTCCTTAACCCTGGCACCCAACAATTTGTTCTGCACTAATATAACTTTGTCATTTTAGGAACGTTCTATAAATGGAATAATCCTATATGTGGTATCTTTTGCCTGACATCTCTGGAAATTCATGAAGACTGCTGTATGTGTCAATAGTTCATTCCTTTGTATTGCTGCAGAATATTCCATGTTACGGATGCACCACTGTTTGTTTAACCACTTATCCATTGAAGGACATTTGGGTCATTCCCAGTTTTGGGCAATTACAAATAAAGCTGCTATAATCATTCATGTACACAGGTTGCTGTGTGACTGTAAATCTTTATTACTCTAGGATAAATGCCCAAGAATGCAATGGCTGCGTCGTGTTGTCATTTCATTGGCCAGCTTTATATCCTCATGGGTGAAATATCCATTCATGTCTTTTGCCCATTTTCTAACCAGATGGTTTGTTTACTTAAATGTTGAGGATGAAGAGTTCTGTGTATATTCTGGAGACCAGCCATTTGCCATATATGTGGTTTTCAAATATGTTCTCCCACTTTTGGGCTTGTCTTTTCTTCCTCCTAACAGAGCCTTTTGTCTTTTTTGAGGCAGCATTTCAGTCTGTTGCCCAGGCTGGAGTGCAGTGGCACAACCATGGCCCATTGCAGTCTTGAACTCCTGGGCTCAAGAAATCCTCCCACCTCAGGCTCCTGAGTAGCTGGAACTAAAGGTGTATGCCATCACATCTGGCTAATTTACTTTTTTTTTTTTTTTTTTTAGAGATGGGGTCTCACTATGTTGCCCAGGCTGGTCTCAAACTCCTGGGCTCAAGAGATTTTCCCACCTCAGCCTCCCAAAGTGCTGGGATTACAGGCGTGAGCCACCTCACCTTAACAGGGTCTTTCACAGGGCAAAAGTTGTTAAAAAAGTTTTAAGCTGTGATAAAATACACATAACATTTATCATTCAACCATTTTCAAGTATACAGTTCTTTTTTTTTTTTTTTTGAGACAGAGTCTTGCTCTGTTGCCCAGGCTGGAGTGCAGTGGCACAATCTCGGCTCACTGCAACCTCCGCCTCCTGGGTTCAAGCAGTTCTCCTGCCTCAGCCTCCCAAGTAGCTGTCACTACAGGCATGTGCCACCAAACCCAGCTAATTTTTTGTATTTTTGGTAGAGACAGGGTTTCACCATGTTGGCCAGGTTGTTCTCAAACTCCTGACCTCAGGTGATCCGCCTGCCTCGGCCTCCCAAAATGCTGGGATTACAGGCATGAGCCACCGTGCCCAGCCAAGTGTACAGTTCTGTATTTTTAATTATATTCACATGTGGTGCAACCATTATCATCGTCCATCTCCAGAACTCTTCATCTTGCAAAACTGAAACTCTGTCCTCATTAAAACCCATTCTCCCTCCTCCCAGGCCCTGGTAGCCCCTATTCTACTTTCTGTCGTTATGAACTTGACTTCCTTTGATACCTCACGTAAGGAGAATGCTGTGGCATTTGCCTTCTGTGACCAGCTTATCTCACTTAGCATAGTGTCTTCCAGGTTCATCCATGGTGGTTTTGCTTGATTGCAAGACTAGGCTGTGCAGTGCCAACATTCAGACTGATCAGGAGTTCCCGAATAGTTCTCAGGGCTGTTTTATTGCTCACAGGTCTCACTCATATTGGGGGAGTCAGAAAATCACAGTGGATAAGGGGGAAGGACAAAATGTGTTTGAACCAGAGCAAGAACTGTAGGAATGAGCATGAGTCGCCATAGGAGTTGCTGGACCGTCCACTCAGAGAGTTATGTGTGAAATAAACATGGTCTGAATCTGAAACCCCTCAAGGACCAGAACACTGGACACATAGTATGGATTAGGTCTGTGTCTCTTCTCCCAAGTAACTTTCCAGTAAGGACAAATACAACATAGCCTGGGCACCAACCAACCAAAATGATGGTGAATAATAACAATTAACACTAACAACAGGGCTTAACACCATTTATAGTGCCTGTTATGCTTTAGGCATTACTGCAGGGAAATTACTCATATTATCCTAATATATCAAAACTATACAAGGGAAAAGCTCTCTTAAATGGCGTTTCTCCTCTGCTCTCACACCACAGCAGCAATCAACACAGAAGAAGATTCTGTGGCCAAACCTGTGAGGTTTCTCCCCACCACCAAGCAGCAGACACCAGCTGGGTGTCCTCAGTCCAATTCCAACACTGTCTACCTGGAGATAGTGTCAGACCCCACAGGATTGGGGCTCACTTCCCAAGACTGCCCCCCACACAGACACCAGTCAAAAGTCCAGGCCTCTGGAACATCTGACCAACTGGCTTTAAGTTGGGGTTCCCACAAACCCCTGTTTGGGTTCCATTAATATGCTACAGCGGCTCACAGAACTCAGTGAAACACTTACTTATGTTTACTGCTTTATTAAGAAGGATGTTACAAAGGATACAGACACATAGGGCAAAGTATGAAGGAAGGAAGAGGCGTGGAGCCACCCTGCCCTCCCTGGGCGTACCGTTTCCCAGGAACCTCCACATGTTCAGCTACCCGGAAGCTCTCTGAACCCAGTCCTTTTGGATTATGGAAGCTTTGTTACATAGGCATGATTGATTAAACCATTGGCCATTGGTGAACAACTTGACCTTCAGCCCCTATCCCTTCCCTGGAGATTGGGTGTGGGGCTGAAAGTCCCAACTCTCTACTCCTGCCTTTGTCTTTCCAGGGACCAGCCCCACCCTGGAACCTATCAGACAAAAGGTATTCTAAAGAAAACACTTCGGCGATCCCAAGGATTTTATGAGTTAAGAGCCAATAACTGTGGGTGAAAATCTATCAATCAATCTATCTATCTATCTATCTATCTATCTATCTATCTATATAAAATCACAACAACTTAGTATCTAGGAAACAGAAAGCTATGGCAATAAAAGGCAAAATTGATAACTGGTACATTGGTAATCATAGTAGAAGATTTTAATATATTGTGTTTAGAAATCAATAGGTCAGATATATAAAAATCAATCAATTTCTGTAACTATTGATGGCATCACTGGAAACATTTATGTGATAGACAGGAAGATAGGTAGATAGTACTTTGAAACCAGCAAATGAAGGATTCATATTACTTTCAGATATCCAGAGGCCAGCCACATAAATGACCCAGGCATTGGGTCAAAATCCTCTCAAAGTGGAGATCATACAGCCCACATTTCCTGGCCACTGTGAAATGACATTAGTCACTGTCAATCAAAGAATAAACAGCAAGTTATAGCTAGCTACTTGGACATTTTAGAAAACATCCTAAATAATTTCTCTATTAAATGGGAAAACCAAACTAATAATTAATTTTTTTTTTTTTTTTTTTTTTTTTTTTTTTTTTTTTTGAGACGGAGTCTCGCTCTGTCGCCCAGGCTGGAGTGCAGTGGCGGGATCTCGGCTCACTGCAAGCTCCGCCTCCCGGGTTCACGCCATTCTCCTGCCTCAGCCTCCCAAGTAGCTGGGACTACAGGCGCCCGCCACTACGCCCGGCTAATTTTTTGTATTTTTAGTAGAGACGGGGTTTCACCGTTTTAGCTGGGATGGTCTCGATCTCCTGACCTCGTGATCCGCCCGCCTCGGCCTCCCAAAGTGCTGGGATTACAGGCGTGAGCCACCGCGCCCGGCCTAATAATTAATTTTAAAGAGGTATCCTAAGGAGGAAGGAAGGAGGCTGGCAGCAAAGGACATTCCTTTATTTCCCCAGCTCTAGGAATTCTTAGTTCAATGTTGGGAAAATAATTTATTCTGGTCATAACAGGTTTCCTTTGGTAACATGAAAATGAGATTACTACAGAACATAGAACATTAAGTTAAAAATTCAAGTTTTTAAAATCATACCATGCAAATTTTTACTACCATATGGTATAGAAACAGATAGCATTCAAAATGCAAATAATTGGCCTATCTCCTGAGACTCTGCATTCTGTATCCAAAGGTTGATGTGTCTTCAACACAGAGGTCCTCATGCTCACCTGCAGATAAGGATACTGGTACCTTGGGCAACTGGGCTAAGAGATAAGATAGGTAGATAGATATACACAGATATAAATATATGATAGAGATATAAAGATACAGATAGAGGCAGATATAGAAATGATAGATGATATGATAGAGATCTAGAAGATAGAGAAGATAAATAGATGATATAGGTAGAGATAGAGACAAAGATATATTGAAAAATAGATAATAGAGCTATAGAAGATAGATATCTACAGATATAGATAAATGGATTGATAGAGATAGAAGATAGACACAGATAGGTAGCTAGATATGCTAGATAGAGATATGGATGGATGGATATAAATACTACAGATAGAAGAGATAGGTATAGAGATAGAAGATAGAGACAGAGTTAGATGATAGGTAGATGTAATAGAATAGATAGACATGATAGATATACAGAGATACAGAAGATAGAGATGTAGAGATAGATATACAAAGATAGATAGTTAGATAGATGCATACATTTAAGGCAACTGCATAATTTAGAGTATGTTCTCTGCCCATAACATAATTAAATTGAAAACCAGTAACCAGTTAAATATATCTGAAAAATCTCCAAGTGTTTGACATAAACAATACACTTCCAAGTAATCCATGAGTCAGAGAAGAAATGACAAAGGAGACCAAATGAGAATGAAAAAAAACTATGTCAAAATTTGTGCGATATAAAAATGAATCAAACAGGAATTCAGCTGAGGAATACAATAAGTGGACTGAAAAGTTCACTAGAGGAATTCAAGAGTAGACTTGATCAAATAGAAAAATCAGCAAACTCAAAGACAGGTCATTTAAAATTATCCAGTTAGAGGAGCAAAAAAATAATAATAAAAAGGAATAAAGAAAGCCTAAGGGAATCCTAGAACAGAGAGAGAAAGGGGCAGAATGCTTATTTAAAGAAATAATGCCCTAAAAACCAAAAAAGAAATAATGCCTTAAAACTCCCCAAATCTGGGGAGGCAAATAAACATCTAGATTTGTGAAGTCTAAACGGCCCCCAATATGATAAACCAAAGAAGTCTACACTAAGACACATTATAATCAGATTGCCAAAGTCAAAGACAAAAAGAGAATTTTGAAAGCAGCATGAGGAAAGTGACATACATGGGAGCTCCAATCAGATTACTGGGGGACTTCTCAGCAGAAACCTTGCAGGCTGAAAGAGAGTGGGATAGTATTTTCAAAGTGCTGAAGGAAAAAAAAACTGCTAACCAAGAATCTTATTCCTAGCAAAGCTTTCATTTGAAAATAAAGGCAAGATGAAGACTTTCCCAGACAAACAAAAGCTGAGGGAGTTCATCACCACTAGACCTTCTTTACAAGAAATGCTAAATGGCATTTTCCCACCTAACAGCCGAGCAAACATGAACAGAACTAAAGGAAGAAACAATAACACAATAATAGTAAGAGATTTCAATACCCCACTTTCAATAATGAATAGAACAACCAGAAGATCAATAAGCAAACAGAAAACTTGAACAACATTATACACCAATTAGATCTAAAAGACACATACAAATATTCTACCTAACAACAGCAGAAGACGCATTCTTCTCAAGCACATAGGGAACATTCTCAAGATAAACCACGTTGGGCCACAAAACAAGTATTAATAAATTTAGGAAGATTGGAATCGCCTCATAAACATACACACACCTGACAACAGAGTCTCAAAATCCATGAGGCAAAAGCTATCAGAACTAAAGGGAAAAATGGACAATTCAACAATAATGGTTAATGATTCCAATAGCACTTCCTCAATAATGAACAAAATAACTAGAAAAAATGACCAAGAATATAGAAGACTTACAAAACACTATCAGCCAATTGGGCAAAACTGACATCCATAAATGTTCTGTGTTTTCTTTTTTTTTTTGAGACGGAGTTTCGCTCTTGTTGCCCAGGCTGGAGTGCAACGGCATGATCTTGGCTCACTGCAACATCCGCCTCCCAGGTTCAAGCAATTCTCCTGCCTCAGCCTCCCTAGTAGCTGGGATTACAGGCACGCACCACCATGCCTGGCTAATTTTTTGTATTTAGTAGAGATGGGATTTTACTATGTTGGTCAGGCTGGTCTCGAACTCCTGGGCTCAGGCAATCTGCCTGCCTTGGCCTCCCAAAGTGCTGGAATTACAGGTGTGAGCCATCATGCCTGGCCACAACTGTGTGTTCTAAGATTCTAGATTTGTCTATTTGGCAACCTGTCATCACAGTGCCAACTGTATTCACTATATATTTTTATTTTCTATATTCTTGTTGCTCTGAACATGTGGCCTAGATGGCAGGGGAGAGACAGCCTCCTCCTCCCAGGGCAGGCCATTTCTCAGAGACAGCCAGAGGGCTTGCCCAGAACCACACCTTTAACCTTCAGACCAACCAATCCAGAGCCCAGATCCCAACAAGCTCCTTATCAAACCCTCAGCACAAGCCAATATGCCTAAATTAACCCAGGGCCAGGCACCTGGCAGCTAGGGATGGTCTCTGAGCCCAAAGCCCACCAGAATTATAGAGTCACCAGTCCTAAGTGTTACCCTGTCCTGCCTTGTCTTTCCCACAGAAATCCCATCAAAGGTTCTGGCCCAGGCTTGCCCCTGCTCCTTTATACCCCCTGGCTGACCCTGGTGTTTCCTCAGGTGGCCCTGGTGTCCTGGCATGCTCCTTCTCTTGGGAAAAGTAAGTGATAAATTCTTCTTTCTTTTTTTTTTTTTTTCTCTTTTTGAGATGGAGTCTCGCTCTTTCACCTAGGCTGGAGTGCATGGTGTGATCTTGGCTCACTGCAACCTCTGCCTTCCAGGTTCAAGTGATTCTCCTGCCTCCTAAGTAGCTGAGATTATAGGTGTGTGCCACCACCCCAGACTAATTTTTGTATTTTTAGTAGAGACAGGGTTTCAACATGTTAGCCAGGCTGGTCTCAAACTCCTGACCTCAAGTGATCTGCCTGCCTCGGCCTCCCAAAGTGCTGGGATTACAGATGTGTGCCACAATGCCCAGCCATAAATTCTTCTTTCAATAACATTAGGCTCTCCATGTTGTCATTCAGTCATCTCCATAAATTAAACTCTCGTGGGTATAGTCATGGACAGAACAGAACCCTCCAATGGATAACAGCAGAATGAATGTTCTTCCCAATGCACGTGGAGCCTTCTCCGGATTGGCAATCCACTAGGCTGTAAAACCGGTCTCAGCTGACACCACACAAAGAACATTTTCTGACCAAAATGGAGTTTAATTAAAGTCAACAATAGAAGGAAACTTGGAAAATTTACAAATATTTGAAAATTAAACAATGCACTTTAAAATAAACTGTGTGTCAAAGAAGAAATCTCAAACACAATTAGGAAGTATTTTGGCCAAGTGAAAATGAAAATGGCATACTGAAAGTCATGGGGTGCAGCTCAAGTAGTGCCTAAAGGGAAATGTATAGCCATAAATCCCTGCATTAGAAAAGAAGAGGCTGGGCGGCTTACGCCTGTAAGCCCAGCACTTTGGGAGGCCAAGGCGGGTGGATAACTTGAGGTCAGGGGTTTGAGACCAGCCTAGCCAACGTGGTGAAAACCCGTCTCTACTAAAAATACAAAAATTAGCTGGGTATGGTGGCAGGCACCTGTAATCCCAGCTGCTTGGGAAGCTGAGGCAGAAGAATTGCTTGAACCTGGGAGGCAGAGGTTGCAGTGAGCAGAGATCATGCCATTGCACTACAGCCTGGGTGACAAGAGCAAAACTCCATCTCAAAAAAAAAAAAAAAAAAGAAAAAAGAAGAAAGGGTTGGGTGTTGGCTCATGCCTGTAATCCCAACACTTTGGGAGGCCGAGGCAGGTGGATCACCTGAGATCAGGAGTTCAAGACCAGCCTGGCCAACATGGCGAAACCCCATCTCTACTAAAAATACAAAAATTAGCTGGGTGTGGTGGTGCACACCTGTAATCCCAGCTACTCAGGAGGCTGAGGCAGGAGACTCCCTTGAACCCAGGGGCAGAGGTTGCAGTGAGCCCAGATTGCACCACTGCACTCCAACCTGGGCGACAAGAGTGAGACTCCACCTCAAAAATAAATAAATAGAAAAGAAGAAAGATCAGAAATCAATAACCTAAGCTTCTTTTTTTTTTGAGATGGAGTCTCCCTCTGTTGCCAGGCTGGAGTGCAGTGGCGTGATCTCTCGGCTCACTGCAATCTCTGCCTCCCAGGTTCAAGTGATTCCCCTGCCTCAGCCTCCCGAGTAGCTGGGATTACAGGCACGCGCCACCACGCCTGGCTAATTTTTTGTATTTTAGTAGAGACCAGGTTTCACCATATTGGCTAGGATGGTCTCAATCTCCTGACCTCGTGATCCACTTGCCTGGGCCTCCCAAAGTGCTGGGATTACAGGCATGACCCACCGTGCCTGGCCTAAGCTTCAATTTTAAGAAAGCAGAAAAAGGCTGGGTGCAGTGGTTCATGTCTTCAATCCCAGTGCTTTGGGAGGCTGAGGTGGGAGGATTGCTTAAGCCTAGCAGATAGAAGTTGCAGTGAGCTTTGATCATGCCACTAGACTCCAGCCTGGGCAACAGAAAGAGACCCTGTATCCCCAAAAAAAAAAAAAAAAAAAAAAAAAAAAAGAGGCTGGGCACAGTGGCTCACACCTGTAATGCCAACATTTTGGGGAGGCCGAGGAGGGAGGATTACTGGAGTCCAGGAGTTTGGGACCAGCCTGGGCAACACAGGGAGACCCTGTCTCTACAAAAAAATTTAAAAATTAGCTGGGCATGGTGGTGTGCACTGGTGGTCCTAGCTACTTAGGAGGCTGAGGTGGGAAGGCTGCTTGAGCCCGCTGCAGATTGAGACTTGCAGTGGCCACAGACTGAGAGACTGAGACTTGCAGTGAGCTGAGATCATGCCACTGCACTCCAGCCTGGGCTACAGAATGAGATGCTATCTCAAAAAAAAAGAGGAGCAAACTAAACTCAAAGCATGAAAAATAAAGAAAACAATAAAGAGGAAGGTGAAAATTATTGAAATAAAAAACAGAAACATAATAGAGAAAATTAAATGCAACAAAAAGTTGTGGCCGTGTGCTGTGGCTCACGCCTGTAATCCCAGCACTTTGGGAGGCTGAGGTGGGTGGATCATGAGGTCAGGAGTTCGAGGCCAGCCTGGCAATATGGAGAAATCCTGTCTCTACTAAAAATGCAAAAATTAGCCAGGCATGGTGGCACATGCCTGTAGTCCCAGCTACTTGAGAGGCTGAGGAAGAAGAATTGCTTGAACCTGGGAGGCGGAGGTTGCAGTGAGCCGAGATTGTGGCACTGCACTCCAGCCTGGGCAAAAGAGCAAGACTGTTTCAAAAAAAGAAAAAAAATCAATTTGTGACCAAACGTTAGTTTTACTGACCAAGAGAAAATAAGCAAATATCTAGAAAGACAAAAGTTACCAAAACTGACATAACAAATGAACTATCTGACCAGTCCCATAACAAGTAAAGCAATTGAGCTAGTAATTTAAAATCCACTACAAGGGAAAGGCTGGGATCACACGGCTTCACTGGAGATTACAGAATATTAAATAAAGGGAGAAAGCGACCCTCCCAAACTCTTTCAGGACAGTGGGGGAGGGCGCTTCCTAACTCAGGAGTCCAGCATCACCCTGGTACCAAAGCCACACAAACACACCACGAAAACACTATGGACCACAGCCCAGTGGGTGGCTCAGGCCTGTAGTCCCAGCAACCGGGGAGGCAGGCGGGAGGATCGTTTGAGGCTGGGGGTTCGAGACCTCTGGGAAACATAGTGAGACCCCGTCCTTTTAGAAAACTGCAGAGCAATATCCCTCACGAGTACAGGTGTAAAAATCTTGAAGTATTAGTGAACTGCAATAGAGCAAGACAGTAAAAGGACCAAGTGGGATTTACCCCAGGAACCTAAGACTGGTTCAGTGGTGGAAAAGCAGGTAATGAAATATGCTATATTAGGAGACTAGAAATAGGCCAGAGGCGTGTTTCTGAGGAATGAAAATGTTCTAAAATTGAATCATGACAACGGTGGATTTAGTAAAAATCATTTTAATGGTACACTTGAAATAGCTGAATTTTACTGCGTGAAAACTATACCACAATTAAGTTGTTACAAAAAGTCAGGGTGGTCGGGAGAGGTGACTCCGGGCTGGGGAGGGCAGGGTAGGGCAGGGAAAGCACAGGGATCCGGGGCACGGCGGGGACAAAGCTCCACACCAGCACCAGGAGGCCTTCCTCCAGATGGCAGGGTTGCCCAAGCGAACACAGGGCACCTGGGAAGGGACAGGACATGGGAGGCGTGGAAGCAAACAGGGTGTGCGGGGCTTCTCTGGGTGCCTGGAGTGCACGGGGCTGGGTGTGGGGTGACCAGAGGCTCCGGGCACTGCTAACATGGGAGGCAATGGGCTCCGTGGCCACCCAGGGCATAAGGGGATCTAGGGTGCGTGGGTGACCCATGGGCCCTGGGGGGTCTGCTCACTGGGAGGCTGCAGGTGTGGGAGGATGGCATTGGGCACACAGGGGGCATGTGGTGGGCAAGGGTGAGATGGGGAGGGTGCAGCATGCAAGATGGGCACTGGGGTGCAGGGGGCTCAAGGGCGCAGGGGGGCACCAGGACGGTTGGGTGCTGCACAGGTGGTGCTGGGCACCCTGCATGCAGCCCACGGCATGACAATGTCCCGCAGCTCTTGGGACATCATGGGCACTCTGAGGGTGGCCAGCTACTGTCAGGTGGGCACAGCAGGTGTGGAGGAGAACATGCAATGGGAGCCTGCACAACAACCCTGTCTTTGGACCATGCTTGACGGTGCATTGGTGATGTACTGTGCAGACCTCCAGACCTGGTCCCATTGCAGAGGGCCTAATCTCATTCATGAGGGCACCACTTTCATGAACTAATTACATCCCCAAAGCCCCATCTCCTCATAACATGAACTTGCGGTGAGGATTTCAACATATGAATTTGGGGGAACCTAAATATTTGGTCAACTGCAAGCTGCACACAGTGGGGCTCCCTGACAGTGCAGGACACAGTTGTTCAGGCCGTTCACTGTCACCTCCTCTGAGAGACTGGCTCCCTGCTCAGGGTCCTGCATGTTCCCATCATCTTTCCACTGCCTGGAAGCATGGGTGACACCCACAGGGCCTCAGCACTCAGCAGGGGGACATCCGGAAAGATGAGTCATGAAGTCTGCCCTTCTCTTATGGAGTGTGCAGCTTTATTTTAAAGCTATGGCCAGAACTATCCTGGGTGCACACCCGTGGTCTCACCCACAAGGCTGCCCCCGGCTGTTACCACCAGCCAGATGGGCTCTCCGCTCTTTGCTCAGGTGTATGGTCCTTATGTGGAGCTGCTGAAGGAATTGTTTTTTGAGATAACCTGGTAAATGTTTCGTGTTCCACTGTGCTTCATTACAGTCTCCTGAGTATCATTTATTTAGTCATTCTCCCATTCTTGTCTTTTTTTTTGGTAGGGGGATAGGTGGCATTACCTAATACCATGTTGAACAAGATCAGCAATTCTGAGGTGGCGGGGGCTGCCTCACTCCAGGAGGCACAAACGCAGCAGACGGAGTCTTCAATTGGAGGGAAGCCCTGGACACAGCCGCTTGGAAACAGGCTATGGCAATACTCACCGCACCAGGCCTGGTGGCTCAGCCTGAAATCCCAGCACTTTGGAGGCCAAGATGGGTAGATCGCTTGAGCCCAGGAGTTTGAGACCAGCCTGGCCAATAGTGAGATTCCCACCTCTCCAAAAAAAAAAAAAATTAGTTGGGTATGGTGGTGTGCGCCTGTAGTCCCTCCCAGCTACTTGGGAGGCTGAGGCAGGAGGATCTCTTGAGCCCAGGAGTTCAATACCAGCTTGTATAACATGGCAAAACCCCATCTTTACAAAAATTAGCTGGGCATGGCCCCATCTGTAGCGTGCACCTGTAGTCCCAGCTACCCGAAAGGCTGAGGTGTGAGGATCAGCTGAGCCTGGGAAGTCGAGGCTGCAGTGAGTGAGCCGTGATTGCACCACTGCACTCCAGCATGGGTGACCCTGTCTCAAAAAACAACAAACAAACAAACAAAAACCCCACCCCAACACAGAGAAATGCCCAGTCCCCTGGTTTCCACTCAGACTTCTCTTTGTTGCAGCTGAATGAAACTGCTGATCTTGTTCAACATGGTATTACATAATGCCCCCCCAGGCCCCTGCCAAAAAAAAGACAAGAATGGGAGAGTGACTGAATAAATGATAATCAGGAGACTACTCGTTAAGCACAATGGAATGCAGGAAACATTTACCAGGATATCTCGAAAAAAACATTCCGGCAATAGCTCCACATAAGGAACATATATATTGAGCACAGAAAGTGGAGAGCCCATCTGTGCCTGGGTGTGGGAAGTGGCTGCCCGTCCCGGCCCTTACTTTGCCTGAGCTTCCCGCCTGCCCCGTCAACAGCCTCCCTGGGGCTCTGCCCTCTGCTGGGCAGTGGGGCACCCGCTATTGTTCCTGGACTAAGCAGGCACCAGCAGGATGACTTGTAGACAACAGCCAAAGTTTATTTAACGTGGGAATGCTTACAATAAATAAAGCAGAGGGGTAAAGAGAAACAGAACAGTACCTTGAGGACAAAGAAACCCCAAACCCAACACAAAAATCAACTCCTGCCTTCTTCTGTATGCCCCAGGCTCTGAGAAGCCACTGTTCCTCCCCAGGGTAGAGAGACTGCAAGGCCGGCGGCCAGCAGTGCACATCCCCAAGCAGCAGCTGGGACCCTGGGTCCTGAGGGGCCACTGGAGACCTAGGAAGCCTTTGCAAGGGCAAAACCCAATGGCAACATGCCCACGAAAGCTTCAAGTCAGAACGTGGGCCTGCAAAAGACATTTCTGGGCTCTGCTCTCTCCTCTAGGCCCACACACCTGCTGAACAGACATCTGTGCCCAGGCACCTCCCAGAAGCCCCTTTATTATAGGACATCTACTCTCTGTTCCTGTCCTCACTGGCCCCTCCCATCATCTCTCTGAAGACTCTTATTATGGCTGCCTCCTAATTCTTCCAGAGCAGCCACACCCAGGACTGTGACGGGCTCTCACCCACTGTGGGGTCACAGACAGGCATGGGGCTGGCTCCCATCCCAGCTGCCTCCCCCAGCATCTTCAGAGGTGGGGTACACAAGACTTTCAGGGGGCTGGCAAAGCTGCAGGAACTGTGCAGCTTAGGTGAACCCTGGATTCTGCAAGCCCCAGTGGAGTTTTCTCAGCTTCTGGAACCACAGGCCAGAGCTGCCGGGGCAATGGGGCTCCCAGCTTTGGTAAGGGCTGTTGGCATTAAGTGGCACCCGGTGGCTGGAGGGGTCTCCCAGGGAGGACGGAGCCTGCCCCACACTCTCCCACAGTTTCCTGGAGTGCTAGAATTGGGGTTCTCCCACGCAGGCTCAGAAAGGCACCAGGAGTTCCTCCTCTTGCTCAAAGGACACACTCCCTCCTCCCAGGTCCTCCAAGTGGCCAAAACACTCAGTGGCCTGGAGGGGCAGGAGAGGCAACAGGACTCCTCCAGGAGGGCCCGAGTCACTGGGGAGCCAGGGTGTCCCCGGACCCACCTTTCGGCCGGCAGATAGTCATCGGGGTCGGGCTGCTGGACAGGGGTGAGAAGAGGGGCCGCAGCGTCCCCGAGAAGGGGATCTCGGGAAAGATGAATAGCAGTGACCCATCGGTGGCACTGTAGAAAGAGAGATGTCCAGCCTCGTAGTCCAGAAAGATCCCCACGCGCCTGGGTGGGTCCCGGAGTGGAGCCAAGGCCCGTTCCGAGGAATTGTAATAGCTCCCCAGGAAGACCAGGATCCAGAAGCCGTTGCCCGCGGACAGCTCGCCCTTCTCCTTCCTGTTCACGTTCTCCCTGCACACCCCCAGGGCCCAGCTGGTGCGGTCCCCAACCTCCACCTCCCAGTAGTGGCGGCCTGAGGTGAAGCGCTCCTGGCCCAGCACGCAGGGGCCGGGGTCAAAGCGCTCTGGGCTGTCCGGCAGGGCCTGCCGTAGGTCCCCCCGCTGCACGCTCCGCCTGTCTTCAGACAGGATCAGCTCAGGGTTGGCGGTGTCCGGGTCCAAGGTCACGTCCCCTGCAGAGAGAGGCCCAAGGTCACCCAGGCACAGCCACAGGCAAGCTGGGGCCATCTGCCCATGTCCTGGGCATGTAGGTACAATCCTCCCAGTCGGACGGCCTGGCTCTCTGCCCTGGGCCTGTAGCCTCACAACCTCCTGGAGTAACTAACTGTCTCCAAGTGGACATCCTCTCCCCACTTAGCTACGTCCAGTTGCAACTTACAATGTCCTACAAATTGGTCCATGTTTTGCCTTCAGATATCAAGAGGGAATCTTGGTTGCTTTTTTTTTTTTTTTTAAAGAGGCAGGGTCTTGCTCTGTGGCCCCAGGCTGCAGTGCAGTGGTGCGATCATGGCTCACTGCAGCCTTGATCTCCTGGGCTCAAATGATCCTCCCGCCTCAGATCCTCCCAAGCTGCTGGGATTACAGGCGTGTGCCACCATGGCTGGCTCATTTTTTTGTTTTTTATTTGTAGAGATGGGAGTCTTGCTATGTTTCCCGGGTTGGTCTTGAACTGATGGCCTCAAGCAATCCTCCCGCCTGAGCCTCTCAAAGTGCTGGGATTACAGAGGTGAGCCAATGCATCCAGTCTGTTTTTCCTTTCAATCTCCAAATGAAGGATGTGAATTAGGGCAGCTGTCCCAACCCTGACCACTCCGATTTCAGATCTATCCACCTCTGGAGGCCTGCACACAGTTCCTACACAACAGGCTCCTGACCTGCTAGCAAGAGCTGAGGATAGTACTTCCTTTGGGTGACTGTGATACAAGACTCAGATTTGGGTTTTGTGCCCAGTTCCTGGCGCAGAGCTCACAGAACCCTGGGAATTTCCTGACTGATAGAAGCATCTTGTGCTATCATAAGATGCCCCTTTCCATCACACCTGAGTTGATGCCACTGCAGTGGCTGAGGTGGGGACCTGAGAGCCCAGCATAAGGCCAGCCACCAGAAAGACCAATCCTGTCAGTAGAGGGCGGGAACACTCAGCCCCAGCCTCTGACCTCAGGAAGGGGAAAGGGGTCTGAGGTTGAGCCCCATCACCAATGACCAATGATTTAATCAATCATAACCATGTAATGGAACCTCCACAAAGACACCTAAACAGCTCTTGGGGCTCAGGGAGTTTCCAGGTTGGTGAGCACACTGAGGTGCTGGGAAGGTGCACCCAGGGAGGGTGGGAAAGCTCTGAGCCCTTCCCCAGGCTTTGCCCATGTGTCTCTTCCATTTGGCTCTTCCTGAGTGGTATCCTTCACAATAAACCAATGACAGTAAGTAAAGTGCTCTTCTGAGTTCCATGGGCTGTGCTAGCGAATGCTCACATCTGCAGAGGCGCTGAGGGAACAGAAGTATGGGCAGCCCCTGGAAGTTGTGACTGGCATCTGAAGTGGGGGCAGTCTTATGGGACTGAGCCCTTAATCTGTGGGGTCTGTACTAACTCCTGTAGTGTCAGCACTGGCAATTCTGTTCAATGCTGAATGGAATCCTTGGATACCCAATTCGTTTCCAGAAGTTGAAGAATTGTTTGGTGTGAAAATACCCACACAACTGATGTCAGAAGTATGAGCAGAGGACGTTTTCCCAACAACCCACCACCATGACACTGTGAGTTTGGAGCTGGCAGTGGCAGGGCACAGAACACGTGGCTGGCTGCCCAGGTCCTTGGCAGGTCCCCTCCTGGAGTCATCTCCCCACCTGGGGCCTCCACACCTACCTCGAAACCTCCGCAGTGTCTCTACCAGTCCCGGGACCCTGCACACGGTCCTCAGCTCCATAGGCACAACTTCTGGGGGCTGCAGCTTCACATCCTGGACCCTAGAGGGGACAACCCAGGTGTTGTCGCCATGGCCAACAGCTGGGTCCCACCCCACTCCCTCCTGCCCCCCCTCCAGGAGAGGCTGGGTTCGTACCTGCGCAGGGCGTCCTTGATGTCCTATGTGGGGAGGAGAAACAGCACACTCGGTGTCAGTGACCATCGCTTGCTCCTGGAGTCCCCTCCCCGCCCCTGGAGCCTCGCCCCGTCCCCCTCTCCTACATTTGAGCGTCAGGCAGCAAAAACACACACAGGGGGCCATAAACCACCCGCAGCAAGGCTCAGACACAGGAATGCTGGACAGAGGCTCTGACATGTGTGCCAGGAGGCATCACCAATGGGGTGCAGCCCAGCCCTGCGGACCAAGGCCCACTTCTGCCTGACACTTGGATGTAGGGCATCTGGCTGTTGGCTCACTCACCCAGAGCCCCAAGTGGGCGCCTCTGGGTGCCAAGGACAGGACAGGCACACATCCCAGCCTTCAGCATAGGGGCACCTCCACCCCAGCTGGAGCCCAACCCTGTGGTTGCACTGCTTCCTCTCCCAGCTCCACCTGCCCTGCAGGCTCCCTGCTCAGCCCCACTCTTGGGCGTGCGTCCTTCCTGTGTCACTGCCTGATACGTGATAGCATCTGACTCCATGTTAGGGCCCGAATTGTGTCCATCCCGCCAAATCCGTATGTTGAAGCCAGAAACTTCAGGACTTCAGAACTTGACTATTAGAAAAAAGGGCTTTTAAAGAGGAAATCATAGTAAAATGAGGCCATTAGGGTGGGCTGCAATCCAAAATAACTTGAGTCTCATAAGAAGGGGCGACTAGGACACAGACACCCACAGAGGGGAGACCCTGTGAGGATACAGGGAAGAAAAGGCATCTACAGGCCCAAGAGATAGGCCTCAGGGGGAACCAGCTTTGACCTCAGTCTTCCAGTGTGCAGGACTGGGAGACAATCAGTCTCTGCTGGGGAAGCCTCCTGGCAGGTGGTACTAAATGTGGCAGCCCGAGCTGGCGTGATACACCCAGGTATTGGAACATCAGCTCTTAGGAGACACGGTCTTGTATCTCTTAGAGCAGTCTTCAGTGCACTGCAAGGATTTAACCCACACTGTCAAATAGACGATCCCACACCATGTTCATTCTAACACACGTGGTGCCAGCTACCAGGCCAGGATGCAGAGGTCAGTAAGACATAATCCCAGACAAGGGTTTCCCTACATGTAGGAGAAATGGCAAAGGAAGATTTCCACACATACGGGTAGTTAATTCTGTCTAGGGGGACAACAACACACTCTAGGCCCCAAAAATTTTTTAAAAAGGAGGCCAGCACTTTGGGAGGCCAAGGCAGGCAGATCACTTGAGTCCAGGAGTTCAAGACCAGCCTGGGCAACACAGCAAGGTCCCATCTCTAAAAAAAAATTTTAAAATTAGCTGAGCTTGGTGGTGTGTGCCTACAGTCCCACCTACTCAGGGGACTGAGATGGAAGGATCGCTTCAGCCCAGGACATCGAGGCTGCAGTCATAATCACATCACTGTACTCTAGCCTGGGCGACAGAGTGAGACCCTGTCTCAATAAATAATTCATAAATAAATAAATAAAGAGGAGACTCTTGGTAGGGTTCTGAAGCCCAAGAAGAATTTGTTGGTAGACACAGGGGGAGTGCGCAGGGTGAGGGAGGGGTGTGCACAGGGCAGGGGCAGATGGTGCTGGTGTGAGCAAGGCAGCTGGGAGCAGCTCCACCTTGGTTATTCTACCTGGGGTGGGCGGCCCACCCCTGGTGTCATTTGGAAACAGGTGGTGGCTGTCACAAGGCCGGGTGCAGGGGCGGCAGGAGAAGGGCTTGGGGGTAGAGGAGAACCTTGGCCTCGACAAGGGGGTTTGGTCTCTGCACAGAACACGGGCCCTCCAGGGGCAGCATTGACTTGAACAAAACCACTCTGCGGCTACAAGCAGGGCCTGCTGAAGGGGGCAGCCAGGACCCCAGAGTCCATAGCAGCCAGGGCCCCAGAGTCCACAGCAGCCAGAGCCCCAGTGGGTGGATTCCTGGGAGTCACTCAAGCCTTTACCTCCACTGTGCAACCCCTGTCCATTCGGCCTGGGTGCTGGGAACCCGGGTTGGGTTCCCCTACCCAACCGGGGGCCAAGGGTGCAAAGCCATCCCCACCTGTCCCTCTCAAACCAGCACACAGCTCACATCAACACAGAGCTGCTGAGGCTGCTCTCCTGCAACCCCCATGTGGGCAGACCCCCACAGCATGCAGGCCATGTGCTGGCAGGTTGGGGGGACAGGAGGGACCTCCCTGAAGCCTTGTAGCCAGGCCAAACCTGGGCAGGGAGCTTGGCCAAGGCATGGACGGGTGGGCCACTCAGCGGGGTGAATGCAGGTGGGTGTATGAGACCCAACACCCACCCACCCGCCCACATGCCACAATGTCTCAGCTGAAAGCCCAAATTGCATCTTCACACAAACCCTGTGGGTCCCCATTTCCAGGTCAACTCACCTTCCTTCTAAACCCTTCCTGGCTTCTCCAACACCTGTCCTCTCTGCCCTCCCTGAGGGCTCCTCCTCAGTCTTCTGGGTACCTCCCCACCCCACAATTTACTGACCACAGGACCCTCTCCTAATATTCCTCAGTCTTTCTACAGACGCTAGCCGAGCGTCCTTCCCGCTTCCCAGGCTCAAAGCCAGCTGATGTCCAAGCTGGTGCACGCGGCACACGGAGTGGAGGAGCAGATGCTGCAGACTTGGAGGTGGGGGAAACTACCTACTGGGTACAGTGTGCACCATTCGGGTGATGGCTACACTCTGACTGCACTTGTACCCCTTAAATCTACAAAAAAAAAAACAAAAAAAAAAAAACAAAAAACAAAAAAACAGAAAAAAGCTTACAATAGAAATGACAATCGAAACCAGGAGCCGGTGCCTGGACTGATGTTCTGCTGGGCTCCAGAGGCCGGCAGCAGGTCACCCCCTGTGCAAAGCCGCCCAGCCACATCTGCAGCATTGTGGGCTCCACCTGGGTCTGGCAGCCCTGCCCCACCAGTGGCTGAATTCACTCACACACGGCCTCTCTCCTCTGTGGGAGCCAGAATTGCCCAGGGGCCCATTTCCCTCTGAATCTTGGGGCCCCTTGAGTCTACACCATGCTGGGCATGGAACACGTTCTCCATTTTGTGGGAAAAACATCCAGCTGAACCCCACGGGAAGATGATAGCAGACACTCCCAGCCCACACGGGGCCTCTCAGCATGGGAGTGCCGTCAGTCCTCATCAGTGCACGCTTGCCAAGCGGAGAGAGCTGACTCCAGGCCCCCTGACCTGCCGCCAGGCCACAGGCCAGGGCGTCCACTGGTTCTGGTTTGGGGGTGCACCAAGGAAAGCCCAGGCCCAGGGGGCCGGCTCAGGGAGTGGAGCCCACACATGGGAAAAGACTCTCCTGGAAGCAGAGGAGGAGGAGACTGCCCCCCATAATGGAGATGCATGGGGTGTGCCAGCGGGGTGAAGACAGAGTGAAGGGCGAGGACTTCCTGCTGGGGACACCATGGCAGGAATCCTATGGGAGGCCCAAGGTGGTCCCAGCGAGCACATGCCCACTCTGCTGTGCCCACAGGGAGCAGCAGTGTCAGTCAGGACGAGATGGAGTGACCTTATGTAATCACTTAAGAAACATCAACTGTTTACATCTACAGAGGAAAATTGATTTTCCCTTTCTCGGCACGTGGGTTTTGGGGGTGGGACATCTGTCCTGCTGCTGACTCAGCATTTCACAGGCAACAGCCAGGCACATCCAGCCATGCCATTCACCTCTCAGCCCAGACAACCTCTCTGCCCCTGCTTCTTGCACTTTCTGGTTCTCCCTCCCCCAGTGTGGCCAGGCCATGCCCGTGTGGCCACCATGGCTGCTCCCCGCCCAGCTCACCTGCAGCAGCCCCAGAGCAGGCAGCTGGCAGCGGCCCTCGAGCTCGGCGATGAGCTCAGCTAGGTGGGCGCTCTGCTGGCCTAGGTGGGCTGCGCCCTCCCGCAGCCGGGGCAGCACCTCCAGCTCCTCCTCCTCCAGCCTCTGCAGCAGCTGCTGCTCCTCCTCTGCCAGCAAACGGCGAAGACGCTCGAACTCACCCAGCACGTTCTGCCGCTGGCTCTCCACCATCTTCTGTGGAGCCCAGGGAGAAGGACAGCTGAGGCCAGACCCCAGGCCCAGCCAGACCCCAAGTTTGGTCAGACCCCAAGCCCACCCAGAGGCCTGGCTGCACCCAACCCCACCCCCGGGGCCTGCTAAAGCCAAAGCACAGCACCAGGTGTGGCAGGACCCCAAACCCACCACCTGGTGCTGGCCAGACCCCAAACCCACCTGTGGCACCTCCCAAACCCCAAATCCACCACTCAGGGAGAGCCAAATCCCATTCTACCACACAGGACTGGCTAGACCCCAAATCTAAACCCAGGGCCGACTAGATCCCAAATCCACTATCTAGTCCCTCCCCAACTTCCAAATCCACCCATTGGCTTGGTAGAACCCTGCATCTACCACCTGGGGCCAGCTGGACTACAAATCTACCACCCAGGGTCCCTCCTGACCTCCAAATTCTCCCCTGGGGCTTCCCAGATCCCAAATCCACCACCCAGAGCCTCCCAGACCCCAAATCTACCCCAGAACTGGACAGATCCCAAATCTACTCCTCAGGATGGCTGAATCCCACATCTATGACCTAGTCCCTCAAAACCTCCAAATTTACCTCCAGGGCCCAGACCCTAAATACACCTGAGAGTTGCCACCCAAGCATGCTGGGACCCCAGGATGGGGCCCTTGCAGTATGGGAGCCCACGCCCACGACCTGGCAGGACAGGTGCACGTGGGAAAGGACCAGCCCTTCAGTGGGCTCGGTGGGGCCAGGCTGAAGCAGTGACTGGTCCTGGGGCGCCAAGGGCAAGTGTGCCTGGCCAGCATCGCCCCCTGGGGTCTCCTATACAGGACCTTCACCCCCTACCCTGCCACCCAGGACCCTGGGAGCCCCAGCACCTGCCTGCCACAAGACGCAGGTCTCATCCGCCTGGGCTTGGAACAGCAACGCATCCTGCATCTGCTTCCGGAGATGCTCCAGTGACTTCTCCAGCTTCGCCTGCGGGAGAGGCCAGGCAGGACCATGAGACATGAGTCCTGTCACAGAAGCCTGCCCTTTTGCACCTGACACCCTGTCCCCTCCTCAAAGACAATGGGGACAAACTGAAATCTGCCTGGTGAATCAGGGAACTCAATGCCCTCCAATAAGCGTGAGCCCTCATGGTAGGTGGGCAGCCTCTTGCCAGAGGCTGACAGCCCCAGCCACATTCTTTCCTTTTTCTCATATGGGGCATTTCTAGTCCTCGACCTTGCTACCCTAGCCCAGGCCTCACCCCCCTTTGCAAAGCTACCTCAAGGGTTCTGGCTGCCCACCCCATCTGTCCCCAAGCTGGCTCTGAAGGTGCTGAGCTCTCCTGTTCCCAAGCCAGTGTCTACTCCTCCTCCTCTTCCTTCTCACCTGCTGGCTCACATAAGGGCCTTGGACCAAGCCTATGCTGGGGTCCAAAAATTCTGCCCTATGCCCCCACAAATTCATAGGTTGAAATCCCAACACCCAGTGTGATGATGTTAGGAGGCGGGGGCTTTGGGAGGTGACTAGGTCAGGAGGGCAGTGCCGCCACAATGGGATTAGTGTTATAAAGGAACCCTCGCCCCTTTCACCATATGACAACACAGTGAGAGGGTGTTGTCTGTGAACCAGGAAGCACCCTCACCAGACACCAAACCTGCCAGGGCTTGATCTTAGACTTCCAGCCTCCAGAGCTGTGAGTCTCCAGCTTGTATACATCTGCCATGTGCAAACCATGGTGTTTTGGTAGGACAGTCAGCACGGACAGACATGCCTGGCTACCCACCCTATCTTTTCTCCAAGCCACTCGGGACCTTGTGCATTTTCAGCTTCATCAGCTATCACTGTAATAAGCTCCAGGATGGGTACACCTCCATTCTGCTTTCTTGGTCCTTAATTCTCATTCCCACGGTTCCTCATGCTGTGCATACCAGGAAGCAGTGAAAATCCTGTACACAAGCTCACTGTACTGTGTGTGCTTGGGGTGCCCTGAACCCACTTCTCGAAGGGTCTGCTCACTTCCACCCCATCTGACACCCTTATCAGCAACGGGCCCTGTGCTGGCCACACCTCTTTGCTTCTCAGCCACCCCAAGTCTTGGCTCTCATCTCTCGCTATCCACGCTCTGGAAGGATGGAGGTGCTGGGAGGGTCCAGAAGTCTGCCCCGGTAGCAGAGCCAGGACTTCAGCCCAGCTGCCTGGCTCCAGGTGCTCACTTTAGTTCACCACTTGGCCTCACGATTCGGGAAGACCGCTGGAGCACCAAGGACATGTCCAACTGCTTTACTGTCTCTGCCTAGGCTCAGCTCTCACGTGAGCTACAAGAACCCCAAATGGCGGTCCCTGTCCCCAGGCCTCTCTCCTCACTGCTGCCGACCTGTTCCAGAAAACTCAGGCCTGGCCCCTGTGACCCCAACCCCACCTCAAACACTTGGCCCAGTGCCTCTCACTTCTCCCTCAATGCCTCAGTCCCTACGGGACATTTTCAGTTTTCTTTTTTTGAGACGGAGTCTCGCTTTGTCCCCCAAGCTGGAGTGCAGTGGCACGATCTCGGCTCACTGCAACCTCTGCCTCCTGTGTTCAAGTGATTCTTCTGCCTCAGCCCCCTGAGTAGCTGGGATTACAGGTGCCCATCACCACACCCAGCTAATTTTTGTATTTTTTGTACAGATGGGATTTCACCATGTTGGCCAGGGTGGTCTCAAACTCCTGACCTCAGGTGATCCGCCCACCTCGGCCTCCCAAATTGCTGGGATTACAGGCGTGAGCCACCACACCTGGCCAACGTTTTCAGTTTTCAACACTAAGGTTACAAACAGCATTTGATCAGATGGAATGGGCTGTAAAGCAGCACAACATACCCAGCATGGCAAAGATCTTGCATTTCAGGTACCTGCATCTTTGTGTCTCTGGCCAGATCAGAACAGAAACCTCTTACCCTGCGTGTAGTCAGAACTGGGATGCTGGGGCTTGGTGCAGGCCTGGGATCTTCCCTGGCCTCCTCCTTCCTGTGGCAAACCCCCTCCCCACACAAGTGCCATCTGACACACAACCCAGAGAGATCTGGGGGCCATCTTCTCTCTCCCATGGTGCTGCTTCCTGGAACTGGAGCTTACTGGGACTTCCCTGTTTACCACCTCGGGGCAACCCAGCCTGGGGCTTGTTCAGCTGTCATGACCCCAGGTCAGGGCCAGGCAAGGAGTGAACCTGTCATGGAGCTAATGGGCCCCAGCTCTGGCAAGTGGACACACAGCCCCATAGGTGGGACTGAGCTTTCTAGGCCCATGGGGGCAGGTAAAAGCAGTTTGCTGTGGTTAACATAACCTAGGCTCTAAGGCAGTGAAGAACAGGATGTCATCCCCAAATATACCGCTGTGGTACAAGAATTATTCTGAGTAAAAGCAGATGCAGGAAGAGCTCTCTGTACTCCTATCTGCCTAAAAGTAGGGTATTCATTCCCCATGAGAAAGGCACCCTCTCTCTACCAGGAAGAGGAGGGCACTCTAATCCTGGGAGATGATTCTGCCTAAACAGACCTTACTACAATGACCATTATCTTGTGTTAATTCTTCCCATCTATTTCCTAGTCACTTTCCCACAATTTATCAGTCCTAGACGCCCAATCCCATTTCTGTGTCCAGTCACTTCTCCACAATTCACAAACCTTTGCTGAAATACGCTTTTCTATGAAGTTCTTGTGCATGTGAAACTTAAAATATTAATCAAATTGTATGATTTTTTTTCCTGTTAATTTGTCTTGTGCCAGTTTAATTTGCAGCCCTGAGCCACTGAACCTAACAGGGTAGAGGGAAATTTTTTTCTTCACCTGCAAAAGAAAGGGTTAAGTGCTATCCCATGAAACTATATCGAGTCAACTCTATAGAGCTATTGGGCACTCTCTGCACCCATTGGGGTAATTGGTGTCACAAGGGTAATTCTGCTGGGCTAACATGTTTCAGGTGTAGACATTCCTGCATGGGCAAAGAAAAGAAAACCCAAATGAATCTGTGTCTGAACAAGCCCACGGATATGGCTCTAAACCACCTTTCTGCTAAAATCCAAAGCAGAAGGGGACAGATTCAGATTTATTCTAGTATCCCAGAAGTTTGCTCTGTGATAGGGACAGATCAAGCTCAGTACTGATTCTAACACTGCCTTAACTGCTCATCTGGCACACACAAGTGACCATGATGCAACACACAAAGTGCAATCAAGAAAGCTCCAAAGATGCTGCCATCTGCCCCACACGTAGGCTCCCAGGAGCACACCTGCAGCAGGTCAGCGAGGAAAGAGGACAGCGGGAGGGAGCGCAGGCCAGGGAACGTGTGCCCCAGGCCCTTCAGCTCGGGTTTTATTTGGGTTTTAAGCAGCAAGACAAGGGGAGAAAAGGCAGGCTGAGCCCTGGCATCTCAGATGGCAGAGATGGCTCCCAGTACCCCACCCAGAAATGCAGGGCAGCCCTGGAGGGGAGGTTAGAGAGGAAACGACTGTGTCCCCCTCATCCTGCCCAGTCTGGGGCTTTCCCAGGACTTAAGTACTGACCTGCTAACACAGTCCCTGCAGGGAGTCCATCTAGGATCGGCCACCTCTGAGGTTCTCCCACTTTCCTCTGATTCCAGCTCCTTGCTGGCCAGGGTATGGCCACATTTTCCTTGCCCCCACTCCACCACCTTCCACCTTCCACCTTCCTCTCTTAGCCTCTATCTATGAGAGGTACGCCCCTCACCCCCGAGAGCAGGGTCTCATTGGCGGCCATGGTCCCAGCCTCAAGGGGCCTGGTTGAAACAGGCTGTGTCATGAGCCCCCACAGCCACCCTGCGCGACACCCCCCTCACAGGCCCACAGCAGGCTGCATCCTGAGCTCCCCGCCCTAGACAGAGACAGATTACTCCCGGAGCAGTCCCCCAAACCTCCCACCCGCCCAGGCCTCCCCAGTCCCCGGCTCCCCGACGCCCCTGCACGCCACCCCCGCCCAGGAGCACCTTGAGGTCTTCGGCCGCGTCCTGCAGCGGCCGCACGCGGTGCGCCCAGTGCTCCCCAGAGCGCTCGCAGGCCGCACACAGGAGGCGCAGCTCGTCGCCACAGAAGGCGGCCAGTGGCTCGCGGTGCGCGGGGCACACGCCCTGCGGGACCGGCGACGGCGGGTGCAGGCGCCGCGCCATCTCGGCCATCTTAGCAAGCGGGCGGTTGGGCCGCAGGTTCCTCTGCGGGGACAGCTCGCGGCACTCGGGGCACGCGTACGGGCCCTCGGGCTGGCCCCAGCAGCGCCGGATGCACTCGCGGCAGAAGTTGTGGCCGCAGTCGGTCATCACCGGATCCGTGAAGTAGTCGAGGCAGATGGCGCAGGTGGCCTCCTCCTGGAGGTTGGTGGACAGGTCGGGGGCGGCCATGGCGCGGACAGAGGGGAGGAAGGCGGTACTGTCCGCGGGGCGGCGGCGGGCGGCCTCGGCAGCTCGCGGGGACGCGGGGTATCCGGGTGCGGCGGCGCAGGCTCGGGCACTCCGGGGCGCGAGGCTCGGGACTCCCGGGTGCTCGGGCTCCGGGGCGCGGGGACTCCAGGGCGCAGGACTCTGGGTTTCGGTAGCGCTGGGCGCGTAGGCTCCGAGCGCTCGGGGGACGCGGGACGTAGGGATCCCGGATGCCGGCAGGAAGAGGAGCCGAGGCGGAAGCAGGAAGCGACTGGGTGGGTTTTGTGTGTTTTTTTTTTTTTTTTTTTTTTTTTTTTTTTTTTTTTGGAACAACCCGCTTTTGCCTCCGATTGGCCGCTGCCAGTCACGCGGCCCGCGGGCGGGACGGAATTGGAGAGCTTTCACTTGCTGACCTGGCGTCACCACCGCTCCGGTTCTTGTGGCCAGGTCTTTTACCCCTGCCCTGGGGAGGACTCAGGCGCAGGGGAGGGATGGGGACAGGGGGCGGGGCGCAGGGGAGGGATGGGGACAGGGGGCGGGGCGCAGGGGAGGGATGGAGCAGGGGGCAGGGCAAGGAGGGATGGGGACTCAGGGCGGGGCACACGGAAGCAACTGCAAGGACTAAGGGAGTCCGCAGCCTGGGGCATTGGAGCCCTTCGCCATACCCCTAGTGCGTCCTCACCCCCTCAGCCCGTGCTTCCCAGGGCGGGTATCCTCGGAAGGCCCGGCCCTCACAGCCTTGGCAGGCCAAGGTCAGAATGATTGGAGTTGGGGGATGGGACGGGGGCATCCCTCCAGGACCAGCTCTCCAGGAGGCCCACATTCTTTCTGCGGGAACCACTCCAAAGGGGCATGCTGTTCCAGGCAGCCCCTCGCGCAGACACTCCGGCTTTGTCGAGGTAGGAGTACGCTTACTCTGGAATTCTGCCTTGCTAGTGACTGACACAGGCTGTTAAAGTGCTTGACCCTGCAGGGGTGGGTGGGGGGTTCCTTGGAAAAGGTAAGGGCGCTGTGGAAAAGAGGCCCCTACATAAATCCTAATCTCTTTGGGATTTTGCCCCTGCTCGTGCAACTTTGGGGATCGAACGGGATGGGGGTGGGCAGCTCTGAGGCTTTTTACGGGTTCAGCCTTTCCCATTTTCCCCCATCGAAGGACCCAATAGGATGCATAGGACATTTCTATGGGCAGCCTGGGACCATCCCTGACACAGCAACCACCCCCGCTCCTCCCCACCATAGGATATTTCTACTTCTTTGACAGAGTAACCTAAACCCCTGGGGGGGCTGGGAGCCACAGATTCCTGTCATTCCAAAGTGGGGGTGGGGGCATGGCTAAAAAAAACGTGACCACGCTGTTCCTGGTGTGTAGGTATGGATTTAGAAATCGGTCCACTCAGAACGCAGGGGCTTTCAAAAGTTTCCTCTAGGAAGCATCTGTCAGTATACCCTCTTAATGTTTGACAGTTCTAATCACAATTATATTTAGAATTTGAGAAACCCCCCTGTGTGTCTAATGGCTGCCAGCGTGATGCCAGAGAACCCTGGCAGGTGGCCTGCAGTAAGCAGAAGGCCCACACCTTCTGCAGAGCCAGGAGCAGTGCCCGAGTCCCCCGGTCTGTGTCTATCCTTTCACCCACATGGTCACTGTGGAGATGACCATCTGACCAGACTTCGGAGCCCCCAGGCAGAAGAAAGGCTGCAGGGGGCCTGGGAAGGTGGCCTGGGAGTAGGTGTGCAGGTGGGACCCATCGCTTACACTGTAGAAGGACACTTCCCCGGCTTCGAAGTCCAGGAAGATGCCCATGTGGCTGGGAGGCTCCATCAGCATGACCGGGGTTAGGGCAGAGAAGGTGGATAAGTACTTGGTCCCCTTGGACAGCTGCACCACCCAGAAGCCGTTTTCGGGGCACTTGGGGACCCTGTCTTTCCGGCTCACGTTGTCCCTGCACACACCCAGGGCCCACAACGCGTCCCCGGTGATGTTCATGCCCACCTCCCAGTAGTGCCTCCCAGAGGAGAAGGCCGTCTGGCCCACAGCACAGGGGTAAGCCACAAATCGGTCCTTGCTGCAGAACCCACTGCCCTCCGGCGAAGAGCCGAGGTAGCGCCTCTGGCGGCTCTCATACAGGAGGAGGTAGGGGTACGCGGAGGTGGCATCAGGCACCACATCCTCTGTAGATGGGCGTGGTGGTGGAGAGATGGGGAGAGGTGTGGGGCATTCAGGGTCAAAGGTGGGAGTCCCCGGGCCCTAGTGGTGGATGTGGCCAATGGTCCCCTAACTCCGCAGAGGCCTCCCCTGCTGTGAATCTGGGGTTACTTGATGCTTCCACACACCAATTGTGTGTGGGCCTTGGTGGCAATAAGGTACAGGGGGCTGGGCAGAGAGACCACTGGGAACTCAACAAGATTCATCCCATGAATTAGAACCACCAGTAACGCCGCCCTACGAAGGCACAGTGAATAGCCAGTGACCGTCACCAGGCAGTGCACTTGTAGAACCCCCCCCATTGGTGGCTTCCGAGGCTAGGGGGTACAGTGGGGCATCGCCAAGAGATCCTGGGTCAGAGGTCCTGGCCCTGGGTGCCCACTTACCTAGAAAGCCTCTTAGCACTTCAATCTGTCCGGGAACTCTGCACACAGTCCTGGGTCTGGTTGGGGGGGCAACCTCTGGGCACTGCACACTCACGTTGTTCTTCCTCCGGTGGGCACACACAGGGGAGTCTTATTGACTCCCCTGGCCCGACAGTCTTATTGTCCCCCCCGCCCACCGCTGCCACTGCCCCCGCCCCTGCCTGAGGGGACCACATACCTGCTCAGGGGTTCCTTCATGTCCTGCAAAAGACAGGGACGGAGGGTGGGGAGTGAGCCAAGCTCCTGGCTCACCTCAATGTCCCTGCTCCCTTCTTGTCCGTGTCTTAGGGCAAGACCCATCCTGTCCCCTGGGCATTCCCTTCCCACAATTGAGCTTCATGGCACTCCTGAGCCTTCCCCACTGCCCTAGCTCCCACTACCACCAGAGCCCCCAGTGCCTCACCTAAGCTGAGCTACCCTGTCAGCCCACGGCCACACGCCTGAGGTCCTGCAACTCAGGAGAGGCGGAGGGACCCCTTCCAGGCAAGTGGCCACTCAACACTGACCCTCCTCTCCCATTTCAGGTGGGTGCAGCCCACTCAGCAGGAATGGGGTGGGGGCGCAATTGGGTGCAGTTTGGGGAGGGAGGGGGGTGGGTAAGAGACTGAGGCACCTGGGGATTTTCTGTAGCCTCTTTAGGGATTCAGAGTTCCCTAAAGAGATCACTGTTTACTTCTCTGGCCTGGAAGCTACAAGGGACTTGTTTTCCAAAGGCCATATTTCTAGTTGCCAGAGCGTGACCCTAACTCTAGGCAGGGACTCTCATGCAGGTGGCGCGCTTGGCCCTCTGCTCATAGGAGCACCCTTCTACCAGCTGCAGGGGCTTTTCCCTCAGTTGGTCAGCAAACCAATGTAGTGGGTTGTGAACAGGCTGCTTTGTTTTTCCTTTTCCTTTTTTTTTTTTTTCCTAGATGTGATCTCACCATCACCCAGGGTGGAGTGCAGTGGCGCAATAGCTCACTACAGCCTTGAACTCACGGGCTCAAGCAGTCTTCCTGCCTCAGCCTCCTGAGTCCTGGGACCACAGGCGCACGCCACCATGCCCTGCTAATATTTTTAAGTTTTTGTAGAGATGGCGTCTTATCAGCCGTAATCAAGCCCCCTCTCCAGGGCCATGGCACACAGGCTGGTCCCGGCAGACAGGCTGGCTGCTTCACCTCCCCACTGCCGTTGCCACACAACTCACTCCTGGGACAGTGCACCTCCTCCACACCGAGACATGGAGTCCCTGTCCCAAAGCCACACCTGGCTGCCAGGTGTCCCAAGCCACCTCTCTGGACTTGGAAGGAAATGGGGACACTGTCTCAGGTTGGAACCTGTAAGGGGCTGACTTGTGTCCCCACTAATTCACAGGTTGAAGCCTGAACCCTCAGGACCTCAGAATGTGACTGTGTTTGGAGATAGCATCTTTAAGGAGGGAGTTGAGGTCACTGGGGTGGGCCCTAATCCAGTCTGACTGGTGTCTTTATACAAGGAGATGATTAGGACAGAGACGTGCATAGAGAGATGATGCCATGAGGACGCGGGGAGGAGACGGCATCTTCAGGCCTAGGAGAGAGGCTCAGGAGGAACCAGGCCTGCCCGCACCTTGGCCTCAGCCACCCAGCCTCCAGGACTAGCAGACTGGGAGCTAACAGCCCTTTCCCGTTGGCTGCCTCTTCCCCAAGCCCAGCGCCCCCTGCCCATGCCTGTCAGAGCTCACATCCCACCCTGCCTGCCAAGCCTACTGGCTCACCTGCAGCATCTGGAGGGGCCCCTGTGTGCTCCGCTCCTCCAGCTGCAGCAGCAGCAGCTCCAGAGAGTGACCCTGCCGGTCCAGGCAGGCCACGCTCTCCCGGAGCCTGCTGGCAGTCTCCTCTTCTTCCGTCTCCAGAGCCTGGAGGAGCCTCTGCTCTTCTTCCACCAGGTAGAGGTTCATCTTCTCAAACTCCAGCACAATGCGTTCTCTCCGCTCCTTCACCTTGCCCTGCAGGAGTGGAGAAGCCCAGCATGTTGCCAGCAGGTGGCTCAGCTCCAGGGATGCTGGCACCTCTCCCCAGGGCCCTGGTGACCCACAAGATCACCAGCAACTGGAGCTTTAGTTGGGGACCAGGAACTGTGACAGAGGCCCCCACCTCTGCCATCCTGTGATACACTGAGTGTAACCCTCCGAGCCCCGAACTGCAACTTCTACACATCCAAACACCCATGCACCCTTGCTCTGAGGAGGTTCAGAATGTCCACCCCCAGATAAGCCTCTTGGGCATGTTAAACAAAATTTATGGGTGGCCATTGTTTTTTGTTTTGTTTTGTTTGAGACAGGGTCTCGCTCAGTTGCCCAGGCTGGAATGCAGTGGCACTTATTGCAACCTTGACCTCCTGGGCTCAAGTCATCTGAGTAGCTGGGACCACAGGCATGCACCACCACATCCAGCTAGTTTTTAAATTTTGTGTAGGGACAGGGTCTTGCTCTGTTGCCCAGGCTGGAGTGCAATGGCACAACCACAACTCACTGCAACTTTGACCTCCTGGCCTCAAGTGACCCTCCCACCTCAGCCTTCCAAGGAAGTGGGACGACAGACATGTGTCACCACCACCATGCCCAGCTAATTTTTAATTTTTTTGTAGAGACAGGGTCTTGCTATGTTGCCCAGGCTGGGGTTCAGTGGCATGATCATGGTTCACTGCTGTCTCAGACTCCTGGGCTCAGGTGATCCTCAGGGGCCACTGTTTTGAACTGGGCTCCTGCGCTGGGTCCTAGAAGACCAGACCCAACCAGAATGGAGTCACTGGTGCTAATGAAACCAAGGGGTTCACTGATCAGGTCAGCCTGCCCTGATTGCTTTTTGTTATTTTGTTTTTCCTTTTTCCATGAAGCTGAAGGCTGTGCCTCTGAATGCTGACGCCCACCCTTCACTGGCTCTTTATAGATAATATTCACAGGTCACCATGGGACTGGTCGCTTCAGGAATGTGGGGCAGCTCCTGTCCAGCTGAAACCAGTTGAGACCATCTGCCCTTCAAGTGGACCTGTCCCAGTGCCCGAGGTGGCCTTTTGATGTGAGAGGGCCAAAACTTCCAACCTCAGATCATGCTAAGGCTGCCGTTTCTGGTACCTGTGTCCTGTGAAATGCCATGCACCCCGACGACACCTGCACAGAATGGGCCTGCTGGACCACCCTGCCTCCGTAGTTCATAAAGACTCCCAAGCTGTATCACTTGGGAGGCAGGTTTAAGAGCTGTTCTCCCTCCTCTTCACTCAGTGGCCTTGCAAATAAATCTTTTCTCTTAGCTGGGTGCAGTGGCTAACGCCTGTAATCCCAGTGCTTTGGGAGGCTGAGGCGGGAAGATAGTTTGAGCTCAGGAGTTCAAGGCCAGCCTGGGCAATAGCAAGACCTTGTCTCTACAAAAAAAAAAAAAAAAAAAAAAAAAAAAGCTGGTCTTGGTGGCAAGTGCCTGTAGTCCCAGCTACTCAGGAGGTTGAAGCAGGAGGATCACTTGAGTCCAGGAATTTGAGGCTGCAGTGAGCTATGATTGCATCACTGTGCTCCAGCCTGGGCCACAGAGCGACTCTGACTCAAGAAAAAAACAAAAAATAACAACAAAGATCTCTAAATCTGTTTTAATTTTGTGTTTTGACAGGCATTAGGATTAAGGTTAACTAAAGGCCATTGAGAACCCGCAGAAGCAGGAAAACCTGTTTGCCTCCCCCATTAGCTGCCTAAAAAAATAAAGTGCCTGGCCTGGCGCGATGACTTATGCCTGTAATCCCAGCACTTTGGGAGGCCGAGGCAGGCAGATCACCTGAGGTCAGGAGTTCAAGACCAGCCTGACCAACATGGTGAAACCCCATCTCTACTAAAAGTACAAAAGTTAGTCGGGCATGGTGGTGGGCACCTATAGTCCCAGCTGCTTGGGAGGCTGAGGCAGAAGAATTGCTTGAACCCGGGAGGCAGAGGTTGCAGTGAACTGACACCGCACCATTGGATTCCAGCCTGGGCAACAAGAGTGAAACTCCATCTCAAAAAAAAAAAAAAAAAAAATTAAAAAGTGCCCTTTCATGAAGGAATTTCCAGTGGTCAAGGCATCTATACCAGAAAGAGAGTTCCAAAAACAACTCTTCACCTGAGACACTTGTTTAAATACTTAACCAACATCACCTGCCTCCCCAGCCCAGAGGCCCCCAAGCCCTATTCCTTTGTGGTGCTGACCTACGCCCCTGCCCTCTGGCTGCCTCCTTTGTGGTATTGAGCCCCCACCTTCTGGCTGCCTCCTTTGTGGTACTGAGCCCCCGCCCTCTGGCTGCCTCCTTTGTGGTACTGAGCCCCTACCCTCTGGCTGCCTCTTTGAGTCTGATTTTTGAGGCCCCTTCTCTCCACCCTATGTGTGCATCTGTAATTTAAAATTGCCTTTTTATCTTTTTCTCTGCTGTTCATCTGTCTTAAGTCAGTTTCATTCTGAGGCCAGCCACAGAACCTAGAAGGGTAGAGGCAACTTTCTTCTTTTCCTGCCACTGCGGCAGCATATCCCCACGGGCAGACACAGACGTGGAAATGCAGGAAGATGGAGCAGCAGCAGGAAAGGGACTGGACAGCCCTGGGCACCCACCTGCCACTCGGCTAAGCTCTGCTCCTCCCTGGCCTGCAGATTCCCTGTCCTGGTGATCTGCTCCCGAAGGTACTCCATGTCCTCCTCCAGCTTCAACTGTGGGACACACAAACCGCAGGATTTGGGATCAGCGATCCCCCTACCTCCTGCCTAGAGTCCAGTTGTGCTCGCTGAAACTGCACCCACCCCAGAGACCCTCCTCAGGAGGGGCAGGGGATCAAAATACGTCACCCAGAATGTGCCACCTTGGATTATTTTGAGCTGAAGGCACTTAAAAAAGGGCAGGTGTAAGAATTGCTGTGACCCTCGGCCTTCCTAAGAGCAGAAGGCACAGCCACCATGCCAGAGAGGACTGCCCTAGGCCAGGAGGAAAGCCATGTTCTTACCAAGGGCGGGAAAGCCGAAACCAGAGAAATCTGTGCAAAGGGACCCTGCTAAACTAACCCTCATCCTCCTCAGGTACATGTTTGGCTCTAACATGCTTCCATGGGCCTCTGGCTCCTTGGGAGCGACTCCTGGGTCATGGAAAGCTTACAGGGAATGAATTTCAGTGCTTTGCTTCTGCTTATCTGTCTCAAATCAGTTTGGTTCTCAGAGCCACCCAAAATACTCTGAGAGGAGAGGTAAGATTTTGCAATGCCTGCATCATACAGTGTAGGCCCACATTGTCCCCAGGGACACCCCTACCCAGCCACAGGCCACCTTGTCCCCTGGATGCCTCCTCCCCAGCCCCTGACTCGGGCCACTTTGTCCCTGGACACCTCCTCCCTCCCCCATGATCTGGGTCACCTTGTCCCCCTGGATGCCTCCTCCCCGGCCCCTTGACCTGGGCCCCGATGTGGCCTACCTTGTACCCCTGCACTGCCTCCTCGGCGGGCAGCACCCTGTGCAGCCGGTGCTCCCGGGACTCCCTGCACACCACACAGATGGGGCTCTGGTCCTTCTGGCAGAAAAGCTTGAGGGGCTCGTGGTGCTCCTGGCACAGGTCTTGCTTCTGCAGACCAGGATGCTGCTGCGCCATCTCGGCCACCTTGGTCAGCAGCCGGTTGGGCAGCAGGTTCCTCTGCGGGGACATCTCTCTGCACTCGGGGCAGGGGAAGGAGCCCTTCCGCTTCCGCCTCCCCTTCTTGCCCCTCGCCTTTTCCCAGCTCAGCTGGATGCAGGCTCGGCAGAAGTTGTGGCCACAGGTGGTCATCACAGGGTCTGTGAAGTAATCCAGACAGATGGAGCACGTAGCTTCCTCCTGCAGTTTTCTGGCGAGTTCCACAGCCTCCATGGCTCCTGGGAGACACGAGGCAGGTTCCCGCTTGAGGGACTCTGGAGAGAGTTGGAGGGAGCAGCCCGATGATCTGGGCGCCGGCAGTGTGCAACCGTCCTGTACAGCCTCCCTTTACAGAGGAGGGCTAGGACTGCAGTCCAGTTAGAGAGTCCAGAGTCATCATTTTTAGCCTTGTCAACAACAGACACAGATGCCTCCCCAGAAACTACACAGACCCTCCCTGACCAATGCTCTGCAGGCCCCTCCGCCTCTCCTCTCCACTGGGCCTGGACCCTACCCGTCCACTTCCGCCTGCTGCTGGCTACCCCCAGCTCCACATCTCATCAGCTCCTCCTCCCCGACAGACCGTTGCCGGCTAGGCCTTCAACCTGCCTTTCTGGAGAAGCCTGCTAGGTCAGCTTAGGGAGAAGCCCCTACCCTTGGAGCCTTCCCTTAATCACTTTCCATCCACTGACCCCACCCAGATCCCCACTCCAACTCCCCCATACATCCCCAGCTGTCTTTGCTGGCGCAACTCTCCCATTGCAAGTAGCCTGACTAAAGAGCCTTTCAAATGTCAGAATTTTTTCTTTAACAAAACCCCGTACACCAAAGGAAGAAGGGATGGGCTATCAGAGGAAAAAAGCTCTCTTCCATTCGGTAGTGAGGTGGGGTTCAGAAAAAACACGCGTGTGCATGTACGCACAGACGAACACCCATACACATACCCATGTATGTATACAAACGTGCATGTGCACACACGCATACCCACGCATACACACCACACAAATACAAACATGTACGCACAGAAACACTGATCCACAAACACAGCACACACAGGCACAGATGCACATATCGGTAAACATACATGCATGTACACACAGGTACACGCGCGCACACACGCACAGGCACACAAGCATGCACATAGATGCCCCCTGCAATCTCAACACTCGCGACCCCACGCAGTGGAGATCTACAGACTTTCGCCTACGCCACGGGGTTGCTATGGGGACCGAGTTGCAGAAGGAGTTGAAAATCGCGTCTACACTGCAAGCACGATTCTCCCCTTCCGTTCTGCCATCCCCTAAAGCGAGGGCGTCTAGGGGTCTCAGACTTCCCCGGCTCTGTCCCACGTCCAGTTTCTCGGAGCTTTCTGCACGCCAACCACCCGGCGCCAGCCCTCCGACTCCCCCCAAGAGCCCTAACGGAGGCACCCAGCCCACCCTGACCGAAGCCGGGCAGGGACAGCGGCAGCGGGCCTGGGGCTCTGGCTCTGGCTGCCGGGATGGCTGTCCTTCCCGCTCTGGTCCGCTAGGGTCCCGGTAGAGTTACCTTGTTGAAGCGCGCTAGCCCCTCCAGGGACGCGGCGGCCGGCGGAGGCGGGAAGGCCGGGCGTTGGAGGGCGAGGAGGACCGGGTTAGGCTTAGGTCGTGGCCCAGGCGCCACAGGAGGGTAGCCTAGGCGGCGGGGTGGGGGCTACTCACCGCGGGGAAGGGGGGCCCGCACAGCGCCTAGTGCACCTGGCCGAGCGCTCGCTGCCGGGAAAGGCTGGGTCTGCCCCCACGAAGCCCAGGAGGCTGCGGCCCGGCCCGGGGCGTGGGGACCTGGGGTCGGGAGGCCTAGGGACTTTGTGGCGTCAGCGGGGGCTGGGGGGCGGCGGGGGAGGGGAATGCTGGGCGAGGGAGTGTTCGGCGGCCGGGACTGGGGCGGCGCCTCTTAGGAGAGGTTGGGGGTGGCTTGGGGAAGGAAGGCGGCAGGGGGTGGAAGGCTCTGGACGAGCCGGGGACAGGCGCAGCGGGTGCTGACTGGGCGGTGGGGAGGATGTGGTCCACAGCCCAGCGAAGGGAGGAGTCTTGTTGGCCTGGGGTGGGACTTTTAGGGGAGGTTAAGGGAGTGTGGAGGGTGGGGAGTTGGGGGGTTACTTGGGGGTGGGGAGTGGAATGGGGACAGCTGGTGGGGCTAGGGGCGGGCAGGCGAGCGTCAGGGTGGGGGGAGTGGGATTGGAAGAGGCTTCTCAACCTGGGGTTGGGGCTGCGGGAGGGCACGCGAGCCCCAGGCTGGAGGGTTAGGTGAGGGGCTAAGTTGGTCGGGGTAGGGGATGGAGAGGAGTTTGTGTGGGCTGGGGTGGGGGCGAGGCAGCAGGAGCGAGTGCCTGTTGAGAAGCTATGAAGGGGGTCCCCAGGAGCAGCCAGTCAGCCGCCAGGTCTGCCCACATGGTTGGCAGTCAGCATCAGGCTGAGGGTACAGGGAGGGGCGTCCCAATCCTGTGGGCGGACCAGTTTGGAGGGACCACCTGGCAGGTCAGGTCCCCTAGAACCAGGCGGGACGGGGTGGGTCTTGCCGACACCCCAGGTGGTTTTGTTACCAGAAACAGGTCCTGATCCAGACCCCAAGAGAGGGTTTTGGATCTTGGGCAAGAAAGAATTCGGGGCAAATCCATAGAGTAAAGTGAAAGCAAGTTTATTAAGAAAGTAAAGGAATAAAGAGTGGCTACTCCATGGGCAGACCAGCCCCCAGGGCTACAGGTTGCCCATTTTTATGGCTATTTACTGATTATATGCTAAATAAGGGGTGGGGTATTCATGAGTTTCCCAGAAAAGGAAGGGCAATTCCAGAAACTGAGGGCTCCTCCCCTTCTTAGACCATATAGGGTAACTGTGACCTTGTCTTGGCATCTGTAAACTGTTGTGGCACTGGTGAGGGTATCTCATAGCATGCTAACGTATTAAAATTAGCATATAATGAGCAGTCATGATAACCAGAGGTTATTCTGGTCGCCATCTAGGTTTTGGTGGGATTTTGCTGGCCTCTTCACCACATACTGTTTCATCAGCAAGGTCTTTATGACGTGTATCTTGTGCCAACCTCCTATCCCATCCTGTGACTTGGAATGTCTAACCTCTGGGGAATGCAGCCCAGCAGGTCTCAGAATTATTTTACCCAGCCTCTATACAAGATGGAGTTGCTCTGGTTTAAAAGTCTCTTACGGTTTCAGCCAAAATGCCGCCCCCAGCCCTGCCCAGGTCCTGACTGGTGGCCATTTCTCCTGGCCTTGAGTCCCCACGCCTAGTCATCACGCTTCATCCTCCAGTAGAGGGATGCACCTTTCACATGGAGGGTTCATCTCCTGCTTTCAGGAACAGGAGCCAGAGGCCTGCGTGCCCTGAGTCAGAGTCCTGGGATTGGAGAGAGAGGACAGATGAAGAAACTAAGGCTTGGCCCACACAGGGGGTGCAGACAGGCAGGAAAACAGGGCCTTGAAGGCTAAGAGGCACCATTCTGCAATCTCCTGGGTGTGCGGGTGTAGACAGCTGGCCACAGGCATAGATGGCTGGCTTTCCCTGGGCTCACTCGGTAGAGTGTTTCTTCTGTGGTCTCTCATCACTCGCACACACAAAGGGGTCTGTGTGCTGTCAGGTGCGGGCTGGCTGCGCACACTGGCCGATTAAGTGAATTACCCTTGTGAACCCAGAATATCTGAGGCTAGTTTAAGTCAATTAGGAAGTTTATTTTGCCAAAGTTAAGGACACACGCCCATGACACAGCCATGTGCCCAAGGTGGTCCGAGCACAGCTTGGTTTTATACATTTTAGGGAGACATGAGACATCGATCAATATATGTAAGATGAACATTGGTTCCATCCAGAAAGGCGGGACAACTGGAAGTGGGGAGGGGGCTTCCAGGTCATAGGTAGATAAGAGACAAATGTTTGCATTCTTTTGAGTTTCTGATTAGCCTTTCCAAAAGAGGCAATCAGATATACATTTATCTCAGTGAGCAGAGATATGACTTTGAATAGAATGGGACGCAGGTTTGCTCTAAGCAGTTCCCAGCTTGACTTTTCCTTTTAGCTAGTGATTTTGGGGCCCAAGATTTATTTTCCCCAATAAATTGGGGATTGGGCAGACCCAATCCTCTGCCTGTCATTTGCATCAGTGAGGGGATTGTGAGCTGCAGGTTTCCTTCAATTGGGAAAACAGAATCACAGAATTAGAGGGGAAATGGAATATATCTATATCTTGCATAGCACCACACATGTCCTAGTCACCTGCTGACACGTTATCACCCTTTGTTACAAATGGTTTACAAGCAGCTGAGCCTAACAACTTCTTTGGGTTTTCACTTCTTTCCTGTACACCCCATGCATATAAAAATATTAAGATCAATACAACATGGATGCCTTTCTCCTGTTCGTCTGTCTTTGGTCAATTTAATTCACAGTCTCCTCCCATACTAGCATGATGTGGGGAATTCAACAAATACTTGTTAAAATGTGGCATCAGCCCAGGATGCTCATTATTAATGCTTTTTAGGCTCACCTGGTTATTGAGCTGAGAAATCTATCATCATGATAAAACAATTGGAATAACCTTCATATCCTCAAGTCATTAAGAAAAAATCAGATAGCAGTTATGTGTCCTGATAAATTGTTAGGTTTAATAAAAGGCAGGATGTACAGTATATGTAGTCTGCCACTATTTAGGTAAACATAATTACTGTATATGTATCTCTTGGAAAATATACAAGAAATAAACAAGAAACTCCATCTGATGAGGGAAATTAAGGGCTGAGGAACCCCCTAATTGAGGGAGGCTCAATTTTCACTATATATCCTTTTGGAATTCTTAAATTGAATTCTACTTTAATAATTTAATTCTTAAATTAAATACCACTGCTGTGGATTGTGGTTTTTTTTTTCAAATTATTTAAGCAAAGGATCAGCAATGTCAGTCTTGAAACACAAGTCTTACTTACACTGCTACAAGGTAAATATCCTTTGCCCTTACTGAATGCAGCCCCCACTAAGTTATTAACATTGTAGAAAAGATTCGAGAGCAAAATTTAAGTGCTCATGCAATTTAAAATAGGCTGAATTAAATGGAAAAGAAGAGGGGCTCCTGAAAATAGGGTAAGAGAGCCATGGCCTCTTTATGTCTTCAATTCAGACTGCTCAACAGGAGAGTCCACTGAGCCACAGAAAAACAAATCCGGATTGTTATGAACTGAATGTCTGTCTCCAAAATTCACATTTTGAAATCCTCACCTCCAAGGTGATGGTGTTAGGAGATGGAGTTCTTTGGAAAGTAATTATGCCATAAGGGTGGAGCCTTCATGAATAGGATTGGTGCCTTTCCAGAGATTTATTTTCACCTTACCCCTTGCACCACATGAGGACGCAGTGAGAAGGCCCTGTCTGTGAACCAGAAAGCAGAATCTCACCAGAAGCTCAATCTGTTGGCACCGTGACCTTGGACTTGCCAGCCACCAGATCTGTGAACAATAAATTCCTGTCGCTTATAAACCACCAAGCCATAGCATTTTGTTATAGCAGCCTGCATAGACTAAAACGAAAGAAGACAGATTAATGGGAGAAAGCATACACATTTCATTTGTACATGTACATGGGAGCCTTCACAGCAAAATGAAGACCTCAAGAGTAGTTAGGCCTAAGTGCTTATCCACTGGATGGAACAAAGGGTAGTAATTGTGAGAAAGCAACTGGAATACCTAGGGAGGCTGGGGAAGGTAAGAGCTATTTTTGTTTGTTTGTTTGTTTGTTGGAGACAGAGTCTCACTCTGTCACCCAGCCTGGAGTGCAGTGATGTGATCGTGGCTCATTGCAACCTCCACCTCCTGGGTTCAAGCAATTCTTCTGCCTCAGCCTCCCAAGTAGCTGGGACTACAGGTGCGCGCCACCACACCTGGCTGATTTTTTTTGTTTGTTTTGTTTTTTTAGTAGATACGGGGTTTCACGTTGGCCAGGCTGGTCTGGAACTCCTGACCTCAGGTGATCTGCCTGCCTTGGCCTCCCAAAGTGCTGGGATTACAGGCATGAGCCACTCTACCTGGCGATAAGAGCTACTTTAACAAAGCCTGTTTGTATACATTTTGCTGCACTTCAGTCCCCATGCCTAGTCATGCTGTTTCTCCCTGCTGGTAGAGGCAAGCACCTTTCCCATGGAGGGTTCATCACCTGCTTTCAGGAAAAGGGGTCAGAGGGCCCTTCTTACACCTGCTGTTCTTCAAGTGCCTTCAGCTCAAAATAATTCTTATATCAAATCTGCATATTTTGGGGAGGTCTATTCTGCTATCTTGTTGGGAGCTGAAAGCCTGAGGGTCGTGACCAACTCAGCATTCCACTGGAGGCTATATGACTAAACAGCAAACTGTTTATCATGAATGCAGGATGTGGGCAAACTCGCATCTGTGCCTGCCACCAGAAGGTACGCTGAGGGCCTCATTCCCTGGCTCTGTGCTCCTTGAGGTTATCTACTGGGACATCTGGAGCCTACTGTTCAAAGAATGCAGTCATGCAGGCCTGCACTAAGTCAAGCAGCTGACCACAACCACCCCCTTATCCCTGTCTCCTTTACTTAATAAGAAGGGCTCTAGAAGCTCAGGGCCCTTGTTCACTAGAAGCAAGGAGCCCCCTGACCCCTTTTTCCAAATATACTCTTTTGTCTTTGTCTTTATTCCCACTTTTGTCCTCCTTTGTTCAGTCCACCAAGGCCCATAGCACTATCTCTTAATGCCTAACTCTCCTTTCTATTATTTCTGGAATTTTAACTTTTTGATATTTAGAACCACTCTTTCCACTTTTATAAACACTGCATGCTCAGGCTACCTCCATAGTGTACATGCGCTCGAAGAGTTGAGTACACAGTGAACAGATATCCACATTTCAGTTACTATCTCACATCGTTAGAACCCACAGGATACAGAAGCAAAGGCTCTGGTCGTAATTGTAAGGGTCTGGCTCTGTTGCCCAGAATGGAGTGCAGTGGTGTGATCACGGCTTACTGCTCACTGTAACCTGGAACTCTTGGGCTCAAGCGATCTTCCCACCTCAGCCTTCTAAGTAGTTAAGACCACAGGCACACGCCATCATGCCCAGATAATTTTTGTATTTTTTGTAGAGACAGAGTCTTGCCATGTTGTCCAGGCTGGTCTTGAACTCCTTGGCCTCAAGAAATCCTCCCATCTCAGCCTCCCAAAAAGCTGGGATTATAGGCATGAGCCACTATGCCTGGCTGGAAAGACTTCCTCAAGTGCCCACTTACACGACCCAGAAAGACTTCAGTTACTTTTTTCCTGTGTCTAAACTTCCTTCCTTAGCTCCTCACCTTAGGTCCTCAGCAATCAGTTCTGAGATACAAATTGCCCTGTATTGCCTTGCTGTATCTTTATAGGGCACAATTAGTGCACTATCCACTCCATTAATCAGTGAAAACAAGGAACATATAAGGCCAAGCTCTTGTTTTTTGTTGTTGTTGTTGTTGTTTTTGTTATTGTTGTTGTTTTTGACAGGGTCTGTTGCCCAGATTGGCCTCAAAAACTCCTGGGCTCAAGCCATCCTCTCGCCTCCCCAGTAGCTAGGATTACAGGCATGTGCCACACTGCCCAACTTAGACTCTGTTCTTCATACAAAGACCAGAATGACAGGGGGCTGCTTAAGTGGCTTGGTCTCCTACAGAAGGCAAAGCTTGATCATGATCCTGTCAAGAATGCATTATCTGCATCCAGTTCCGCAAATGTAGCTAACTGCCCAAATTCCTGCTCCCTCCAGGCTATCCAGCAAGATCATCAGCAAGGTTACATAGGTTTAGCTCTCCACCACTGGGCAAGACTTTGTTAGGACAAGGGCTTTGTAAAGCACAGAAGACTTGAACTTCACCTGCTCGGGAGGCTAAGGCAGGAAGATGGCTTGAGCCCAGGAGTTCAAGGCTGGCCACTATGCTCACGTCTGTGAATAGCCACTGTACTCTAGCCTGGGCAGCATGGCAAGACCCTGTCTCTGAAAAAACAAAACAAAAAGGGAAAACTTAAATTTATCCCAAAGGAGTCTAGTATTGAAAGTCAGAGCTGACTTTCAAAACCAGAACATAGCTGTCCCTGAATATTCTAGGCTTTCTGGATAGCCCTCCAAGGATCTGGCACTCATAAGTTTAAATACATCCTGAGATTTAAAGGGTATGATGTTCAGTTGTGTGTGTACTAATAAATTGATGAAGCTTTTGAATTTTGAGTCAACAGGCTATAAATTGGGTTCAAAGAGACTTATAAAATCCACTGTTGCCTATTGATAGCACTTTATGCACATCCCTTGCTATGTATAAGAGCACCTTTTACTATCATTGCTTCTACACACAATACAGGCCCCCTTCACTCAAGCATAAGCACCTTGAAAGCAGAGTGGGCAGCAGCCACAGGAAATGGATTTTATTCCCTCCATGATCCCAGCATGGGGTAGTGCTTGGCCTCATTCAATTTAATAAAGCCTTTCACAAATAAATGATTCCAACCTGTACCAGAGGGAGACAATCCCTACATCCTTATCCTCACAGCCATCCTCAGGTTTTCCTGACATAAGTCTACTATTGGATCTGTGGCCTGCTGCCCTAGCTGTAGGATTTCTCAGCAAGTTGGTCTCTGTGTCTCTCATCCCCAGAGCACTGCCAGACTACTTTGTGGCGCTGGGAAGCCTGTTTCAAAGTGCTGGGCACATGGGCCACGCCTGTCTGCGACTGCTCAGTAAACTGACTTCCAGGGCAGAGTGCCCTCTTTGAACTTTGGGCTGGGGTTTCCCAGTATTGATTTCACTTAGGAATTAACAATGCACATGCCTAGCTGGGCTTCTCACACACAACTAGCTAGTCATCTACCCTAACAGAAGACAGGGTGAATTTACAACATACATGACTAGCCAGCCTTTTAACTGAATGGGAGATTGGGTATGTTAACACATACAATGAGATGGACTTCTAACCCGAGATGGGCCAACACCACAGCTACATATGTGTGCACATGGGTGCACGTGCACACACACACACCCCTAGCCAGCCTTCTAACCTAATGGGAGATAGCCCAAGTTAAAAAGATACACAACTAGCCAGCCTTCTAAATTAACAGGAGGTAGGCTGAGTTAAAACACACAAGTAGCTGGACTTTTTTTTGTTTTTTTTTTTGAGATTGAGTCTCGTTCTGTTGCCCACGCTGCAGTGCAGTGGCATGATCTTGGCTCACTGCAACCTCCGCCCCCTGGGTTCAAGCAGTTCTCCTGCCTCAGCCTCCCAAGTAGCTGGGATTACAGGTATGCGCCACCAAACCCGGCTAATTTTAGAGATGGGGTTTCACCATGTTGGCCAGGCTGGTCTGGAACTCCTGACCTCAGGTGATACACCCGCCTCGGCCTCCCAAAGTGCTGGGATTACAGGCGTAAGCTGCTATGCTGGTGAAGTAGCTGGACTTCTAACTTAAAATAGGCCAAGATAATACATACTACTTGCTGGCCTTAACAGGAGATGGGCTGTCAAGGCAGAAGACTAGCTGGACTGGTAACCTCACTGGAAACAAGCTGCGTGTACACACACACACACACACGCAGGACTTCTAACCTAATTTGAAAGAGGCTGAGCTGAGAACACACAAGACCAGCCAGCCTTCCAACCTAACTGTAGATAGGCTGAGTTGACACAACTAGCTGGGGTTGCTTACCTAACTGGAGATAGACCAATTAGGCTACCCTCAACACCCCGTCCCCAAAACAGACCAACCATGATTCTTATCTAAACGGATAGGCCAAGTTAGCCCCACACACTACTAGCTGGATTTGTGACTGGAGACAGGCTGAGAGGTAACGCGTGTGAGTAGCTGGCCTCCTAACTGGACAGGGTGAACACAGGATTCACCAGCCTCCCACCCTAATCAGAAGTAGGTAAGCCAGCACAGGCCAGCGGAAGGAACCCCCCGAAACCCAAGAGACTAGCTTGCTACAGCAACTCTTCGACCAGGTGGGTGGCTCTTAAAAGAGCCTTTGGGGTGAACGTTGCGCAACCTCTCAGGTGGCGAGATAGCCCTCCTAGGCCCGCTCCCCGCGGATACGGCGTGCCAGCTGGATGTCCTTAGGCATGATGGTGACCCGTTTGGCATGGATGACACACAGGTTGGTGTCCTCAAACAGCCCCACCAGGTAAGACTCGCACGCCTCCTGCAGCGCCATCACGGCCGAGCTCTGGAAGCGCAGGTCGGTCTTAAAGTCCTGAGCGATCTCGCGCATCAGCCGCTGGAAGGGCAACTTGCGGATTAGCAGCTCAGTGGACTTCTGGTAGCGGCGGATCTCGCGAAGCGCCACCGTGCCGGGCCGGTAGCGGTGCGGCTTCTTCACGCCGCCAGTGGCAGGTGCGCTCTTGCGAGCCACCTTGGTGGCCAGCTGCTTGCGCGGCGCCTTGCCACCCGTTGACTTGCGCGCAGTCTGCTTGGTTCGGGCCATGAATCCGAAACTGTTGGCCCCGCGGTGTCCTCTGCCCAGACCTCAGCGGATTGCTCGCTTTTATAGAGCTTGCCGCGTTCCCATTGGCTGGCCTCAGGTGGCGTGATGGCCCACTGCTCTCTGATTGGCCCACAGGGAACTCCACTCGGGCGCCTCTCCCTTATATTCATGCCTGTTGGTCGTGGCCACCAGAGCTGGCACCAGCATTGTGAAGGGTTGATGCGGGTAGGCCGCGGTGGTGGGGATCATCTCTCTCCAGCACAAGCTTCCTCATGTCTTCTCAGCGCTCCTCTTCTCCCTTCCCCATGACTTGGGTGGCAAGAGCCTTCCAGAAGCCAGCACATGGCATTCCACTTTTTTAAAAAATTAATTTATTTTTTTATTTTTTGAGATGGAGTTTCACTCTTGTTGCCCAGGCTGGAGTGCAATAGCGTGATCTCTGCTTACTGCAACCTCCACCTCCCAGGTTCAAGCGATTCTCCTGCCTCAGCCTCCCGAGTAACTGGAATTACAGGGATTACAGGTGTCCGCCACCATGCCTGGCTAATTTTTTGTGTTTTTAATAGAGATGGGGTTTCACCATATTGGCCAGGCTGGTCTCGAACTCCTGACCTCAGGTGATCCACCCGCCTCGGCCTCCCAAAGTGCTGGGATTACAGGCATGAGCCACCAGGCCCAGCTGGCATTTCACTTTTTTTTTTTTTTTTTTGAGACGGAGTCTCTCTCTGTCGCCCAGGCTGGAGTGCAGTGGCGCAATCCCAGCTCACTGCAAGCTCCGCCTCCCGGGTTCACGCCATTCTCCTGCCTCAGCCTACAGAGTAGCTGGGACTACAGGTGCCCGCCATCATGCCTGGCTAATTTTGTTTTGTATTTTTAGTAGAGACGGGGTTTCACCATGTTAGCCAGGATGGTCTCGATCTCCTGACCTCGTGATCCGCCCGCCTCGGCCTCCCAAAGTGTTGGGATTACAGGCGTGAGCCAGCGTGCCCGGCCGGCATTCCACTTTTACACAGTGACAAAGCTCTGGGATGCAGCCAGAGTTAAAGGAATCTCCCACTTTTTATGACCTGCAAAGAACTCCCTTACCTGTACGGCTTAGATGAGCCTTAGGATTCTGAAGAAGGTAAAGATGTGCCTTTCTGGCATATTGTCTATTTTGAGATAAAGGCACTTAAAAAAAAAAAAGAAGAAGCAGGTGTAGGAAGATCATTCTGAATTTCTTGTTGTTTCTTAAATACAAGAGATGAAATTCCCATATGAAAGATGTTCTCCTTATAGTAAAAGCAAGGGAACGTTCTTATCATCAAGGACGGGAGGTGGAAGCTTCCAAATCTCCTCCAACTCTCAAGTTGAAATTTGATCCCTAAAGTTGGAGCCCAGGGAGGGGGGGGCCAGTGGGAGGTGTGTGGGTCCTGGGGTGTCACCCTCTGAATAGAGTCCTGCCCTCCTTTAGGGTGAGTTTTCACTCTGTTGGTTCCCTGAAGAGCTGGTGTTGAAAAGAGCCTGGCACCCCTCTCCCCTCTCTCTCTGGCGTCCTCTCTCGCGGCAGCCCTGTGACCTCTGCACATACATGGGTTCCCCTTCACCTTCCACCATGAGCAGAAGCAGCCAGAGGCCCTCACCAGAAGCAGAGGTGGGCCCTATGCTTGCTTCCTTCCTTTCTCCCTCCCTCCCTTCCTTTCTCCTTCCCTCCCTTCCTCACTCCCTCCCTTCCTTTCTCCTTCCCTCCCTTCCTTTCTCCTTCCCTCCCTTCCTTTCTCCTTCCCTCCCTTCCTTTCTCCTTCCCTCCCTTCCTCACTCCCTCCCTCCCTTCCTTTTTTTCTTCTCCCTTCCCCTCCCCTCCTTTCCCTCCTTTTTTCATCTTGCTCTGTTGCCCAGGCCCCTCTTACCTCAGCCTCCCAAGTAGCTGGGACCACATCCAGCTAATTTTTAAATTTTTAATTTTTTTGTAGAGATGGGCTGTCATTATGTTGCCCAAGCTGGTCTTGAATTCCTGAGTTCAACTGATCCCCCGACCTTGGCCTCCCAAAGTGCTAGGATTACACCGTGCCCGGCCACTATGCTTTTTTTTTTTTAATTTTTTGACCTGAGTCTCACTCTGTTGCCCAGGCTGGAGTGCAGTGATGTGATCTCAGCCCACTGCAACATCCGCCTCCCGGGAAGTTCAAGCGACTCTCCTGCCTCAGCCTCCTGAGTAGCTGGGATTACAGGCGTGAGCCACTGCGCCCAGCCACTGTGCTTCTTGTACAGCCTGCGAAACCATAAGCCAAATAAACCTTTTTTTTTTTTAATAAATCATCCAGCCTCAGGTATTCCTTTAACAACATGAAACAGACCAAGATAGAAGCCAAGAGAAATCTATACAAACAAACTTTATTAAACTAACCCTTATCTTCCTAGTTGTTGCCACAGTTACTACTCTTTGTTCAACCTAGTGTGTAAGTATTTTGACTTAGTCATTTCTTCACCCCATTAACTATCCTCACTCAAGCCCCGTGGCCGTATCAAATCTCACAACTTAATAGTGTTTGTCCACCTCTGTATATAAGTGACTCTAACTGCCTCTTTGCATCTTCATTTCCTTATGAGGGCTCCTGTACCACATTAAATTTGTATTAAATAACTGTATGTTTTTCTCCTGCTCATCTCTCTAATGTCAGTCTAATTCTTGGGCCCACCCTGGACCCTAAGATAATGGAGGTAGAATTCTGCCTCCCCTACAGCGCCCCTTGTTGATGCATGACAGGCCCACTGTCTTTGTCTGTTTTGCGTTGCTGTAAAGGAATACTAGAAGCTGGGTAATTTATCAAAACTTTTTTTGGCTTATGGTTCTGCAGGCTGTATAAGAAGCAAGGCTTCAGCATCTGCTTCTGATGAGGACCTCAGGAAGCCTCCATTCATGGTGGAAGATGAAGGGGAGCCCCTGTGTGCAGAGGTCACAGGGAAAGAGAGAGGAGGAGGTGCCGGGCTGTTTTTAACAACCAGCTTTGGCAGGAACTAATAGAGCAAGAACTCCACTCCCTACAAGGGAGGGCAGGAGTCTATTCATGAAGGATCTGCCCCCAGGACCCAAGCACCTCCCACCAGGCTGCACCTCCAACACTGGAGATTAAATTTCAACATGAGAATTAATGAGACAAACACCTTATTCAAACTATAGCACCCACTACATTGCCATCTTTGCCTTATCAATGATTACCTGAACTCCTTGTCCCCATGCGTCAATCCACACAAGATGCTTGTTTGCCCAGCCTTGGTTCAGCTTCTCCCCTCCCCCAACGCCCTGATGTTTGGCCTCTCCTGGAGCAGGCCAGGCTCAGGGTAAAGTATCCTCAATCTCTTGTCCCCTCAGCCACCCTTCATCCCACTTCCCCAGACGTGGTTCTTTCCAGCCTCATTCATTCCTCCCTATATAAGAAAACTCCTTCTCTGCGTCACCTTTGGGAGCTTGCAGACATTAAGGTCAATGCTTTCTCCCTATTGCAGTATTCTGGTATCTCCTATTGCAATATCCTTTTGCATAAAGATATCTCCTTACTAAATCTGGATTGGTTTTTTTATTGGACAGTGGTTGTTACACAGAAGGCCTGCTGCCCTCTGCTCATCGGGTCTGGTTGGCTGGGCAGACAGATGGAAGGACCCTAGGACCATCCACCTGTGAAGTCCACCCAGGCTCGCCCCTGGTGTAAATGATGTGGGGTCTGACCTGGCCAGACCAGATGCTGCTCAACCCTTTAACTGCCTGGGAGGATTTGGACACGTTCCATCTTCCTGGAGCTGTCCCTCACTCGAGAGAGGCAGCCTTGGGACTCTCCAGGTGTCCTTAGGGCTAACGGGGCTGATGATGGGCGGATGATGGATTCCAGGCACCTGCTGCGACCTCCCCAGGAGCACCTGCAAAGCAGCCCTTTCTGCCTCGTGACTCTACCCAGGCCTCCCTGTGGAGTGTGGCACAGGCTTGGCCAGTTCTCCGAGTGCAGCCAAGAGGCTCATAGGTTTTGGGCACATGTCTGCGACCTCACTTTTCCAGTCATAAGGGCTTTTGCTTTTAGATTCTCAGGGGCTTTGAGCTCCCAAACCACCCAGACATAGCACAGGATGCCACCTGGTTCTATGTGTCTGAGCAAACAAATGCACTCACATGAAGCACAGAATAAAGGGCTGCCTAAATGCGGACCCACCCACCCCTGGCAAGGCTTGAAAATAGCCTCTATATTACATGTAAAAGCGCTTTTTAGATGATTAGCTGAACAGTTCATTTTCTTGATCTCCAATCATTGAGTTCTATGTCGTTAAAACCCCTAGAAGGACCAAGACGTAGAGAAAAATGTCCCCTGAAAACTTCCCAAGAGAGATTTCCTCTGCAAACTGAAGAGAATGTGAGATACAAACATTCCCCACAAGGAACTGGTCTGTCGAGGCCACACGCATTCTGTAAATCAGTGCTTTTTCTCTGTCTCCTCGTTTTCTCTCCTTATGGTCTTTGCATGTACAGCTGAGGCAGTAACGGGACTTGTATCCTCGTGTTAAAGTTCTTTGAGATTTGGGGGTCGTACGTGGTTGGTCATATTGCATCATCTCTGTAGGAGCATTCCCATCAGCAAACAATATGCTATCGCTTCTCCAATTTATAAATTGGCTTTTCTCCTTAGTCTGGGCAGCAGCAAGCCTGAAACCATCTGGACTTTCACAAACTCACTGTAAGGGCAGAGATGGGGGTCTTACAGGAACAGGCACTCCTTCTAGGTCTGGGGTAAACAGTGCACAAAGCGATGGTGAGCTCTGTCCTCCTAAGACTCTTCCAAAGCCAGTGTGCACTAGGGTTTCCCACTGTTTGTTAGAAAGAACGCCTTCCCTCTCCATCCAATGTGCCCTTCCATCTGGCATCCCACTTCTCTGGCCCACTCTGCAGGAAACTCCTCACAAGTCCTGTCCATACTGACCATCCCCAAGTTCCATCTTCCCATTCTGTGGGCCTGGTGCATGGTGAGTGCTCCATGTGTGTCCAGGAGGGTGCCAGTGGGAGACGACTTTCAGTACGGTCTGTGGGATGAACCAGTCAGTCCACAGTCACATCATCAATTGGGACGGAGCCAAGTGCCAGTCATCTACCTTGGAGCTTCCAGAAGCTGCAGGAAACACTGACATATCTCTAAAGCAGGGGAGTATGTTGGCTGTAGCCAGTTTTTTTTACAATCGGATCTTTGCTGTGTTCATAGCCACTTTCTAAGGGCCCCAGCGTGGGTGTGTCTCCACTGTCCTGATTCCCCACCGCCTCAATAGTAAAAAAGAATCCTGCCATGTGTTCAGTGTTTTTCTGAAGGATCCTTTATAATGTCTTCTTCTTTCTTTCTTTACTTTTTAAATTTGTCTGCAAAACAAGGTATTAATCTATCCATGATAGAACACACTAAAGCAAATTTTTCTCCTTAAACAGGTAAGATGAACTTCCATCCAGATTGGGTGCTCTAGAATATTTTCTTATTAAGGAGATTTCTTTTCTTGTTCAGTTTGAATAGATGGCAAGAATTCCTCACACCATGAGCTTTTTTTGTTGTCCCATGAACCCCTGTCGCAGTTTGATGAAGCCTATGGATTCTGTCTTAGAAAGACTTTTTTTTTTTGAGATGGAGTCTCACTCTGTCACCCAGGCTGGAGTGCAGTGGTGTGATCTCTGCTCATTGCAACCTCTGCCTCCTGGGTTCAAGCAATTCTCCTGCCTTGGCCTCCTTAGTAGTTGGGACTACAGGGACCAGCCACCACACCTGGCTAATTTTTTTTTTTTATTTTTAGTAGAGACAGGGTTTCACCATGTTGGTCAGGCTGGTCTTGAACTCCTCACCTCAAGTGATCCACCCACCTCAGCTTCCCAAAGTGCTGGGATTACAGGCATGAGCCACCATGCCAGGCCAAAAAGTTTTTAAATGCACAAAAATGTTAAAAAATTATTAATACAAAGGAAATCAATTATATTGAAATAAGTTGTGAAAACATATAAAATTAACTTGTCATAGAGTTATAAATGTGCATCTTTATGAATGCATTAAATAACATTTGAATTAGGAAGTATTTGTAGCTACTGTCATTTCAAAGTCGTGATGGGTGTTAAGGGTCTTCAAAGATATTTGCCATGACTGCACTGTAATAAAACTCCATCCTCTCTCCGCACATCAATTATACTTCTTTCTCAATGTTTTCATGATTGCCCTGGAGTTTGTAATATACATTTACAACCTAAGTCTACTTTTAATAACACTATCCTGCTTCATGATCAGGAGTGGTAGCTCATGCCTGTAATAAATCTCAGCACTTTGGGAGGCCAAGGCCAGCAATGGCTTGAGCCCAGGAGTTTGAGATCAGGGCAACATAGTGGGACCCCGTCTCTACAAAAAATACGAAAAAATAGCCGGGCATGGTGTCATGCAACTGTAGTCCCAGCTACTTGGGAAGCTGAGGTGGGAGGATTCCTTGAGCCTGGGAAGTTGAAGCTGCAGTGAGCTGAGACTGTGCCACTGCACTCCAGCCTGGGCAACAGAGCGAGACCCTGCCTCAAAAAAAAAAAAAAAAAGAGAAGGAGCCAAACGCTGATGCCCCCTAGGCCCAGTGACAGTGCCAGCACAAGGCCTATACAGGCACTTGGCAAATGCGCTGTGTTCTTATTGTTGCAAATGGCCTGTTAGCTTCCCAGGTCACAACGACCCCAAATAACTCCCACACCTGCACCATGCACCCAGTAGGCACTCAATAAACATTGACGTCAGGAATGGTCCGTGTGGGTCTGGTTCTGGTTCTCGTTTGTCTCTTCAGATTGTGTGTTCTTGCCTTTTGGCACGTCTTGTCATTTTGTGTTGAAGCTGGAGATAAAGTATCAGGTAATCAGAACTCTGGTATGGCTGGGGGTGGTGGCTCATGCCTGTAATCCCAACACTTTGGGAGACTAAGGTAGGAGGACTGCTTGAGGCCAGGAGTTCAAGATCAGCCTGGGCAGCATATCAAGACCCCGTCTCTAAAAGAAAAAAAAAATTAAAAAAAAAAAAAACTTAGCTGGGCATGTTCGTGTGTGCCTGTAATCCCAGCACGTTGGGAGGCCAAGGTGAGAGAATCGCTTGAGCCCAGGAGTTTGAGTCTGCAGTGATCTATGACTGTGCCACTGCACTCCAGCCTGGGCCACAGAGTGAGACCCTGTTTAAAAAAAAAAAATCGGGAACATAGGCCGTTAGCGTGAGCATTTACATCATCTGGCTCGAAACTGGGCTCTTTTTCATGTTTATTATAGCCGAAGTTTTGTTTACCTAGGGTCCTTGTTCTCATCTCCCCTCCTGACTTTAAACTTCCCTAAGAGCTCCTTCACACACTGTCCGGTGTATCATAGTGAGGACTAAGCACTGACCTTTTATCTTACCCAAATAAGCTCTCACCTTTTATCTTACCCAAATTCCCACCTACGGGGTCTAGGGAGTCAACCCCTACAAACCATAAATTCTCATCAGATGGGTTTTATTTGACCCTATATATTGTGACTGACTTTTCAATCTGACTCTGGCATAAAATTTTGAGACAAGGAAAAAATATTCAACCCCAAAATATATATTCCTTGCCATGCCTTGAAATTGCCCTGAAAAATCTCTTGTGGGAAAAATCCACATTCTATAGAGAATCCCCTTTCCCCTTTGTTTTCCTTCCTTTCTTTCCAGATCCAGGAGATAATCAACTAAGAGCCAGGCACCCTTTTAAGTCCCATAAGAAACAATTTACAACCTGCTGTCTCTGAAGTTGGCTATCTGAGCACTTCCTCTGCACAATAAAACTTGGTCTCCACAATCCTTTATTTTTAACCTGAACATTTCCTTTCTATCGATCCCAGGTCTTTAGACAAGCTCAACCAATTATCTGCCAGAAAATGTTTACATTTACTTATAGCCCGGAAGCACTTGCTTTGAGTTGTCCTGCCTTTCTGAACCAAACCAATATATTTCTTAATATTTGATTAATGTCTCATGCCTTCCTAAAATATATAAAACCAAGCTGTACCTCAACCACCTTGGGCACATGTTCTCAGGACCTCCTGAGGGCTGTGTCATGGGCCATGGTCACTCATATTTGGCTCAGAATAAATCTCTTAAAATATTTTATGGAGTTTGACTCGCTTGATCAACAGTAGCTCTTTCTGTCAGACTGTACTCACACTGGAGCCTTATGGCGTGGTGGCCGGCCTGGGGTGGAGGAAGCATTCCATAGTGTTATGATGAAATCTCAGCCTCTTATTTGGCCTGTGCCCCTGGACTGTGACCTTCACAGGTGTTTCCTAGCTGCTTTTGTCTCCTTAAGGCTAGAGGTGGCTGAAGTGGAGGGAATACCTTTCTCGAAAGGAAAATAAATCTGAAAGGAAAATAAATCTTGGTGCCCCAGAATCACTAAGCTAAAGAGAAAAGTCAAGCTGGGAACTGCTTAGGGCAAACCTACCTCTCATTCTATTCAAAGTCACCCCTCTGCTCCCTGAGATAAATGCATATCTGATGGCCTCATTTGGAGAGGCTAATCAGAAACTCAAAAGAATGCAACCATTTGTCTCTTATCTACCTATGACCTAGAAGCGCCCTCCCTGCTTCAAATTGTCCTGCCTTTGCCTCGAGTTGTCCCACCTTTCCGGACTGAACCAATGTACATATTACACATAATGATTGATGTCTCATATTTCCCTAAAATGTATAAAACCAAGCTGTGCTGAGACCACCTTGGGCACATGTCGTCAGGACCTCCTGAGGCTGTGTCACAGATGCACATCCTCAACCTTGGCAAAATAAACTCTCTAAACTAATTGAGACCTGTCTCAGACATTTGGGGGTCACACCTCCCCCAGCTGGATTAAGCCTGTTAGTGTCTCTCCCCTGAAGGGTAGGCCTTTCTTGGGGGCATGTCCTGAGTGTACTTCACCATGGTTGCTTTCCCGCCTCCTGCCACAGCCTGGAGGGGTCTTTTCTATTGCACCAAGAGAACCTAGTGGGGTTCCTACAGGTAAAAACCAAGAAAAGAGTGGGCCACCCACACCCATACTGTTGGAATTCAATTTTCCACAAATTGAAAAAAATTAAAATTCCCAAAATGGAAACACCTTCAGTCCCCAGGAAATTCTTACTCTCAGGCTGTTCCACACTGATGGCTGGAGATTTCCTGCCAGTCAAAGGCTCCGGAAGCTTCTGCTCCAGGTAATCCTGGGCTTCCTTCTCACTGGGGAAGGATGTATTTCATCATCACACAGGACGCTGGGGTTTGGTGTGCGTTGTTTTATCATAATAAGAAATGATCAATTTATTTTATCCAAACTTTGCTATTTACTTAAAAAGATAACTATCCAATATTAGCAAAAATAATTTTAGAACTAAGAATTTTTGCTTTTCAAAATTTATGAACATAATGAGTCACATTTACAGATTTCCCAATGGTTACAAGCCCTCCCATTCCCGAGAGTAGCCCCGCTTCATTCTGGCGGTGGAGAGGGCTTGGCAGGCTGGTATGTGCATTCTGATTGGCTGACATCCTGCAGTGGTTTGGTCCAATTAGAGAGCTGAACTGGCAGCATCTTATTTAAATGTGCACTTTAATCCAATCAGATGCTGGATTTCTCTAAGCCCTCATTTGAATGTAAGCCATACAAATGGGACCAGCTGTGCAAATGACATTTGCAAGGCAATGCCTTGTCTCCCACTCAAACTCCATTTCTCCACCTAGGAGGAGAACTTGACCGCTAGATGTGGTTTGTGTTCAGAATAATCAGGGGCGGGTTACAAGCTCCCCCATCACGCACCTAGTGTCCACAAGTGTGCACATCTCCACTAAGTTCCCCAGCTGCAAGGAAGCAGCTTGTATTTGCAGTAAAAGCTGTAGTTGGCAGTGTCAGCTCTTTTTGCCAGCCTAAAGCTTGTGAGAGACACTCAACTCAATTCCACCTGAGTCTGATGAATTTAATGGAAGAAAACTGAATTCCCAGGAAGTGTGGTGGTCTAACAAATTCCATCAATAGGAAGCATTTTCTTGAGTTCTGTACTTCAAATATGCTATGGAAGCAGCCACATTCCTTGTTGATGATAGTCAGGGTTAGTTTCAAAGGGTTCTAGTTGGCACAGGGATTTCTGAATCTAAAAGACAAAAATGTGGAGAGAAAATAAGTTAGTATGAAAAGACAAGGGGAATAGCTGACAATACCAGCTCCTAGTGTCACTGTCATTTTGTACATTCGGGCCGACCCCCTCCTGCCCCTCAATGGTATAATAACATGGTAACTACGATGGGATTCTTGATTGAAAGGAGGTGAGGAGGAATTTCATTCTTTCTGAAAGTCTGAACTATTGACACAGAGTATGCAATCTTATGTCCTCTCCTGAGTCTTAGAAATCCCAGAAAGGCTACTCGATAGAAATCAGTGTCCTCACCTGGAACTGTACTAAATGGATACAGCCTGGATGAGCACAGCAAGGTAAAAGGGTTGAAGCACTCATCTCTTTTTCATGTCAGAGGAGTGCTGAAGCTCTTATATAGTAACTTTCTCCTTCTTTACACAGATTATGTGTATTTAGCAGTTAACTGTGCACCGTCAATTCATAATGCCAACGAAAATGTTGTCTAGACAGGGCTTCAGTATGCTCTGTCTATTCTTACGAATTCCAGAAGCCGGCTGGGCATGGTGGCTCACACCTGTAATCCCAGCACTTTGGGAGGCCGAGGAGGGCGGATCACGAGGTCAGGAGTTTGAGACCAGCCTGGCCAACATAGTGAAACCCCGTCTCTAGTAAAAATACCAAACTTAGCTGGGCGTGGTGGTGCGTGCCTGTAATCCCAGCTACTCAGGAAGCTGAGGCAGGAGAATTGCTTGAACCCGGGAGGCGGAGGTCACAGTGAGCAGGGATAATGCCACTGCACTCCAGCCTGGGCGACAGAGCAAGATTCCGTCTCAAAAAAAAAAGAATTCCAGAAGCCTCTATTAACCCAAACTATCCTGGCTACCTCTAAAACAGACTTTGCATTCATTTTCTATTGTTGCCATAACACGTTACCACAAATACAGTGGGTTAAACCAAAGTCCATTTATTGTCATACAGCCCTGAAGGTGAGAAGTACAGATCACCCTGTGGGCAGCGCTGGTACCCTCTGAGGTCTCTCTCCTTGGCTTGCAGGTGGCTGTGTTCTCTCTGTGGCTCCTCACATTGTCTTCCTTCTGAGCGTGTCTCTGTGTCCAAATTTCCCTTTTATCAGGACACAAGTCCCACTGGATTAGGACCTACCCTAATGACCTCCTTTCAGCTACCTCTGTGAACATCCTATCTCTAAATAAGGTCACATTGTGAGGTGATGGGGGCCAGGACATATTATTTCCAATATTCATATGAATTTTGGGGTGTGACATAATTCAGCGTATAGCACACAGTCACTATAGATGTGAGATCTCATAGAATCACCACAAACTGCAAAACTGACCCCTGATCACAGTTGTCAAACAAACTTAGCCATGGGCCTTTGAGGGAATCCCCTGTGGTCAGCTGCCTCTAAAATGCCTGAAGGATTCCTGCCTCTTGGTGTTTGTGCCTGTGGGCGGTCCACACCCCTCGATTTACTGACTGGTTTGAACAAGTGGGTTCTGGCAGCAGTGATGACACTTGTGGGATTAGGTTATAGAAAGACCTCGGCTTCTCACTGGGGGTTCCCTCCTGCTCTCCCTGTGCGGCTCCGTCTGGGGAAGCTGGTGGCCAGGCTGTGTGCAGCGCAGAACAGAAGCCCACAGGAAAGAATCTAAAAGTGGATCTTGGCCGGGCCTGGTGGCTCATGCCTGTAATCCCAGCACTTTGGGAAGCCGAGGCAGGTGGATCACCTGAGGTCAGGAGTTCGAGACCAGCCTGGCTAACATGGTGAAACCCCATCTCTACTAAAAATACAAAAATTAGCCGGGTGTGATAATTACGTCTGTAATCTCAGCCACTTGGGAGGCTGAGGCAGGAGAATCACTTAAACATGGGAGGCGGAGGTTGCAGTGAGCCGAGATCACACCACTGCACTCCAGCCTGGGCAACAGACTGGGGACTCCATCTCAAAAAGCAAATTAAATAAAGTAAAAAATAAAATAAATAAATAAAACTGGATCTTGAATCTGCTGACAGTCACATGCCAGAGCCTGGGGGCAGGTTCTGCCCGAGTCAGGTCTGAGATGACTCCAGCCCTGGACAGCGCTGATGGTAGCCTTCTGACAGGCCCCAACTAGGCAGCACTGCGATTCCCGACTGCCACACAGACACTGTGGGACAATATGCATATGTTGTCTGGAGCTGCTAAGTTTTGAGGATAATTTCTTAGGCAAATATCACCTCCCTTCCGGACCAGGTCAGCCATATGTTGGATCTCTATTTGGTTAAAACCGCGAGTCACTTTGTAAGTATCAAAATCTGCCTTATGTAGCCTTTGGCCCCTAAATCAAGCTGTTAAGCAATGAGAACCTGAAACTTCAAGGAGTTTTATAGCCAGTGAATAGAAGAAAGTTCCTTTTAGGATAGTTGGGATAATAAAATAATGTCAGCTTTTTATTGTAGACTTCTAAATATCTCTAGTGTACTAAATCAGGGACTTGGATTCCCACATTAGCCAGGATTTAGGGGTGAACTGCCAACAAACAACCCCACAACCGCAAATTGGCCTTTCCTGCCTGTGGGTCTGTGAGTGGCTACAGGGCCCCCAAATGAAAGGGGGGTGCTCAGGTGCAATTAGTGCACCTCTCATTTGGGGATTCTTAGTTTAAGAGTGAGGGAATGCTATTCATCCCATTGAAAGAGGTGGGGAGTCAGCATTAGCTGGACCATATTAAATCTAAAACAGCCCAAATCCTTGTCATAATAATTCATTATTCTTCATTCCACACTCAACGTACATTGCTCTTGAAAGATAGGAGAATATCCTCCCCAAAGGATACCACCCCCTCCCCAAAGGATGCCACACCCTCCCCAAAGGATGCCACCCCTCCACAAAACAATGCCACACCCTCTCCAAAGGATGCCACCCCTCCCCAAAGGATGCCATACCCTCCCCCAAACGATGCCACACCCTCTCCAAAGGATGCCATACCCTCTTCAAAGGATGCCACCCCTCTTCAAATGACACCACTCCCTCCCCAGATGATGCCACACCCTCTCTGAAGGGTGCCACCACCTCTCCAAAGGATACCACACCCTCTCCAAAGGATGCCACCCCCTCTCCAAAGGATGCCACACCCTCCCCAAAGGATGCCACACCCTCCCCAAAGGATGCCACTCCTCTCCAAAGGATGCCACACCCTCCCCAAAGGATGCCACCCCTCCCCAAAGGGTGCCGTGCCCTCCCCAAAGGTTGCCACCTCTCTCCAAAGGATGCCACACACTTTCCAAAGGATGTCATACCCTCTCCAAAGGATGCCAGCCCTTCCCAAATGATGCCACCCCTCCCCCAAAGATGCCACACCCTCTTCAAAGGGTGCCACCCCTCCCCAAACAATGCCACCCCCTCCCCAAAGGATGCCAACTCTCCCCAAACAATGCCACCTCTCCTCAAAAATGCCACACCTTCTCCAAAGGATGCCACCCTTCCTCAAACGATGCTATCCCCTCCCCAAAGGATGCCAGCCCTCCTCAAACGATGCTACCCCCCTCCAAAGGATGCCACCCCTCCCCAAATGATGCCACCCAAAGGATGCCCCCTCCTCTCCAAAGGGTGCCATTCCCTCCCCAAATGATGCCACCGACTCTCCAAAGGATGGCACCTCCTCTGTAGAGTGTGCTATCCCCTCCCGAAAGGATGCCACCCCCTCCAAAGGATGCCACCCCTTCCAAAATGATGCCACACCCTCTCCAAAGGATGCCACCCCCTCCTTAAACAATGCCACCCCTCCCCAAAGGATACCACCCTCTCTCCAAAGGAAGCCACCCATCTCTAAAAGGTGCCACCCCCTCCTCAAGGGATGCCACCTCTTCCCCAAAGGATGCCACTTTGGCACAAGGATTATTTGGAGCTGAAGGCCAATAATAATCCATTGTTGAGAAACAACGGATGTAAAAAAGCTTTCTGCTTGCCCCTATTTTCCTAAAAGCAGGACAAAATGGACAAAGTTGTCTTTGCCTCTCCACCAGGAAGGAATCAATTTAATCATGTGAGATGATTTTAGATGCTTATCAGCCAGGAGACAGCACCAGTGAAATCTACATGCCAGGCCTTAACTCGCCGGCCCTCTCCACCACTGCTTCTCATAACTCCCCTCCTCCACATCTTTCACTGTTCGCCTTAGCTGAAGGCACTACACAGGCCGGAGTTCTCTAGCTGAACTAAGGAAAAGTCCTGCAGCAACAGTATTTGTTAGAATGTTGGGGTGCTCAGGCCTCCAAAACAGAACCTATCTCTCCGACCTTCTCCCACCCTCCTTTTACCTACTCGTTTTGCTCCCCAGGCAGGCCACAGAAATGAAAACTGTAGTCTTTCCCCACCTTTCTGTCTCGGACCTGGCCATAAGGACATTTTCTGACTTCCCTTTTCTGATTGTGGGTCATAAGACTCCCAGTTCAGAGAGGGTCCTGCCCCATACCCAGGAGGAAGGATGCTGCCCAGAGAGGCCAAGAAGAGTCTGAACACATGGGCTCTGCTGGGGTTCCCCGCTCAGTCTGTTGGGGTTACATCCACACTTTCTGTCCGGTCACATTTCTACATGGCTGTCTTCTATCATGTCCATCCAATGAAGTCTCCATAAAAGGCCCAAGGGGACAGGTTTTGGGGGCTTCTGGAGGGCTGAACTCGTGGGGGCTTGCAGGAAGGGTGAGGGAGAATTCATTTGCAGGCTGGGAGGGTGGCGCAGCCCAACTCCGCTGGGTCAGAAGGCCCTGCGCTTGGACCTTTGCAGAACTCTCCCTCTGCATTCCTTCATCTGGCTATTTATTTGTAGCCTTAAACTATTCTTTAAATAAACAGGTAAATGTAAGTAAGTGTTTCTCTAGTTTTATGAGCTGCTCTAACAAATTAATCAAGCTTAAAGAGGGAGTCGAGGGAACTCCAAGTTACAGCTGGTCAGAAGTTCTGGAGGCTTGGACTTGCCCATGGTGTCTGAAGTAGAGGCAGCCTCGGGGACTGAGCCCTCAACCTATAGGATCTGATGCAATCTCCAGGTAGATACTGTCAGAATTTGTTTATTTATTTAGTTTTTTTATTGTTATGATTATTTGAGATGGGGTCTTGCTCTGTTGCCGAGGCTGGAATGCAGTGGTGAGACCCTAGCTCACTGCAGCCTGGAACTCCTGGGCTCAAGCAATCCTACTTCAGTCTCCTGAGCAGCTGGGACTACAGGCATGCACCATCGTGCTCAGCTACTTATTTCATTCTTGTAGAGACAGAGTCTTGCTATGTTGCCCAGACTGGTCTCCAGTTCCTGGGCTCAAGCAATTCCCTCCCACCTCTGCCTCCCAACGCTGGGATTACCAAGGCATGAGCCACTGTGCCTGGCTGAAGTCGGAATTAAATTGGGTTCAAGGACACCTAACTGGTGCCCACTAAAACATTGGTTGCTTGCTTGCTTGCTGATAGGGAGAAATCCTCACATGTTTGGTCACAGATGTCTTCTGTGTTCATTGTTGTGTTGTGAGATCAGAGGAAAAACAGTTGTTTTTTTTCTACATCAGAGGACACAAATATTCAGACCATAGCAGCTGTGGCAGGAATTTGCTGTTCTATTCCAGCCAACACCTGAAGACTGGTCCAGGCTCTTCCTTTCCTAGAGCATTTACTGAAACCAGCTCACAACTGGGAATGCTTCCTTTGGCGTGTTGAGATGTCCATGTGTCTCCTACAATCTAGCAGTGGCTCCTCGAGGAACCCAGAGCCATTCCTTTGAAACCAGGAGGGAGAAGGCCTTAGTCTCTGCCAGAAGGTAGAATCCTGACTTTGGGCCTGGCTGACTAGCAGACACAGATGGTCTCATCTGATTGGCACGGAGCCCCCGCTCACCCCATCTCCTTCCCTTTAAGACACCCCGCCACCCCTACACAAATTACAATGGAGGCGACTCTGTACTGACTGCAGCTGGCACTGAATGGAAATCTGTTTTCACTGCTTTAATGTCCAGCTTTATCTTTGCGTTAACTGAAAAAATCACAGGATCTATAAATTGGAAAAGCAGATTTCACTTCTTGTAGAGGGTTACAGCCTGCAAAGTGGCCATCCCTCGGGCAGGGAAGCACAGCCTTGGCCAAACCCAGTGCCTGGGCCAAGCCCAGGCACTTTGGGGGAGGGAGGAGTTGGGGCAGGAGCTCTGTGCTTGTTTGGCTTTGCCAAACACACATATTCCACAGCCTACGGGAGGACTATGGAGATCCATGAGGGTAGCCTTCACACATGTTCACGGAACACACATGCACATGACATGTGATGCATGCTTACCTTGAGGTGGAGGCTTCACATGTAAATGTATTCCAATTAGGTCTTTCCAGGACTCAAAGGTGCTCAAGTGCACAGCGTCTGTAAACTGGCCAGGACTAGCCCAAGGTCGTGGTCTCTCATCAGCAGAAAGCTCTTGAAGTCAGTGTCTTGTCCAGTGAATGCTGCCATCATGGCTGGTGGAGCAGGGGGTCGGAGAGTCAGCCTCTGTGAGCTGGGTAAGCTGCAATTGTCTTAATGTTGCTTAGCTGGAGGCCAGTGCTTGGTTAGCTGCTGGAGTAAAAGAAAACCCTTGCAGCAGTGAAAACATGGTTTATTCTTTAAGTGTAGGGTGCTGACTTAACCCTTAGGTCTTGTTTATAATTTGTCACCTTATTGCCACAAAGACTCCATCCTGTGTCTGTGTTTTTTTAAAAAATTCTCTTAACCTCACCTGGACTGTCTCTATGTTAACATGAATGCTGTCAGTTGTGTCTAAACCTCAACAGAAAGGGGTATAATGAGATGTGTCTGACTCCCACCCTATCATGGCCAGAAACTCAGTTTTTAAGGTTCTATGGGGTCCCTTTTACCAACAGAGTGTCTGTGCAGTTGGTTAGGGGTGCTTAGGATTTTATTTTTAGTTTACAGTCTCTAAATCAGGAGACACAGACCGGCTGGCCTATTTGTAGATATGCCAATTAGCATCCAGTGAAGGCTGGCCCCGGGTTTATGTGAAATGAGGAGGGTGAAACCCCAACCTGCAAGACCCTGGGCCCAAATTGCAGTAGCAACAATGCCAAAGTTGCAGCATTTTTCACAAAACAACTCTCACCTATTATTTTCCTTGAATTTCTTGTCATAGCAAGTGCGGAAGATTCACCAGAACCATCAGGCAGAACCACACATTTGTTTTCAGAAATGTCTTTCCTTTCTTTCCACAATGTTGCTTTGGCTTAAATGTTTGTGTCAGAGACGTGTGAACCAGAGCAACTCCATCTTGAATAGGGGCTGGGTAAAATAAGGCTGAGACCTGCTGGGCTGCATTCCCAGGAGATTAAGGAGGTTAAGGCATTCTAAGTCACAGGATGAGACAGGAGGTTAGCACAAGATACAGGTCATAAAGACGCTGCTCATAAAACAGGTTGCAGTAAACAAGCTGCCCCAAACCCACCAAAACCAAGATGGCGATGAGAGTGACCTCTGGTCATCCTCACCACTACACTCCCACCAGTGCTATGACAGTTTACAAATGCCATGGCAACATCCAGAAGTTACCCTATATGGTCTAAAAAGAGGAGAAACCCTCAGCTCTGGGAATTGCCCACACCTTTCCTGGGAGACTCATGAATAATCCCCACCTTATTTAGCATATAATCAAGAAATAAACATAAAAATGGGCAACCAGCGCACCATGCCACTGCTCTGCCTATGGATTAGTCATTTTTTATTCCTTTACTTTCTTAATAAACTTGCTTTCACTTTATGGATTTGCCTCAAATTCTTTCTTGCACCAGATCCAAGAACCCTTTTTTGGGGTTTGGACTGGGACCCCTTTCGGGTAACATTTGTGTCCCCAGCCCAAACTCATCTGTGGAAGCCCCAACCCTCAATGTGAGGATGGCATAGGAGGTGGGGCCTTGGGGAGATAATTAGGTCATCAAGGTGGAGCCCTCACTGATGGGATTAGGGCCACTGTAAAATGGACTCCAGAGAGCTGCCTCACCCCTTCCATCACATGAGGTTGCAACCACAAGACTGCACTCTACAGCCCAGAAGAGGACCCTCACCAGACCCCAGCCCTGCTGACACCTTCATCTTGAACTTTCAGCCTCCAGACTGTGATCAAAAATTCTATTGTCTACAAATTGCTCAGTCTCTGGTGTTTTGTCATAGCAGCTTGAAGTGACTGAGACAAATGTCCTCACTTGAGGATGAGGCATCAGCATTATCATGGAAGGACTACCAATGATCATGGTGACTTTTTTTCTTCTTTATTTCTTTAAACTGACAAAAATTGTATATATGGTGTACAAGGTACTGTTTTGAAATATGTATTGTGTTGGGAATATGGATTGGGGAATGGCTAAATCAAGCTAATTAACATAGACATTACCTCACATATTTATTTGTGGTGAGAACACCTAAAATCTACTCTCTTAGCAATTTTCATGTACTACATTGCTGTGAATTATAGTCATTGTGTTGTACATTAGATGTCTTGAACTGACTCCTCCTGTGTCAGCGTGCCCTAGCCCCCTCCTGTGCCCTTTAGTCAGCGTCTCTGGCCCCCAGATCCTGGTGACCATCATTCCACTCTCTGCTTTATGATATCAACCTCTTTAGATTCCGCATAGAAGTGAGATTATGCAGTGTTTGTCTTTCCATATCTGGCTAATTTCACTTAACGTAATGTTCTCATTTCACCCCTGTTGTCACAAATGAGGGAATTTCATTATGTTTTAAGGCCGGAATAGTATTTCATTGTACATATGTACCATATTTTCTTTACTCATTCATCCGACAATGGATACTTAGGTTAACTCCATGTCTTGGTTATTGTAAATGGTGCTGCAGTGAACATGGTGCAGATCTCTCTTCTGGATACGGATTTCATTTCCTTTAGATATATCCCCAGCAGTGGGGTTGCTATATCGTTTGGGAATTCTATTTTGAATTTAATAATGTTTTCCATAATAACTGTACTATCACGGTGATTTTGAAGATCAATATATCTCCACAGGGTAGACAGCTACACCATCATTAAAAAAAGAGAACAGTGGCCGGGCGTGGTGGCTCATGCCTGTAATCCCAGCACTTTGGGAGGCCAAGGCGGGCAGATCACAAGGTCAGGGATTCGAGACCAGCCCGGCCAACATGGTGAAACCCCATCTCTACTAAAGATACAAAAAATTAGCCAGGCATGGTGACGCAGCGCCTGTACTCCCAGCTACTTGGGAGGCTGAGGCAGGAGAATCGCTTGAACCCAGGAGGCAGAGGTTGCAGTGAGCCGAGATCGCACCATTGCACTCCAGCCTGGGGGACAGGGTGAGACTCCATCTAAAAAAAAAAGAGAACAGTGAAAATGAGAGACAAAAGTAGCTGATTCCCAGCTTCAATTTTGTCTATAATACTAATTTTCATGAAGAGCAACATAAACTCCTTGGAGTGCAGTTAAGTCCATATCTGGAGTCAAAAAAACAAAAATTCAAAACAAAACAAAACACCCATGATAGGTCTGAAATAACTTTTTGCTGTCAGAAAGCAAAGATGAGCCGGGTGCCAGTGGCTCACACCTGTAATCCCAGCACTTTGGGAGGCCGAGGTTAGAGTTCAAGGCCATCCTGGGCAATATAGGGAGAACCTGCCTACAAAACAAAACAAAACAAAAACAAAAACAAACAAACAAAAAAAACCAAAAACACGCACACACACACAAAACAAAAAACCAATTAGGCGCTGTGGTACTCACCTGTAGTACCAGCTACTTGGGAGGCTGAGGCGGGAGGATTGCTTGAGCCAGGAGTTTTGAAGCCACAGTGAGCCTGATTAGGCGGCAGAGCTAGACCCCGTCTCAGCAAAACAAAAACAAAACAAAAACAAAAGCAAAGGTGCTTCCAACAATCAGGGTGATCCTAAAATGACAGAGCAGCGTTTTGAAAATACCTCCCCGGGGCTGCAATGTGACCATTTGAGCACTAAAAACAACCATACAAATGGTTAATTAGAACATGCCCCATTTATAAAAGGAGGAAAGTTAACATACACGTTTCTAATAAGACAACAAAAGGATGGAAATAACATTGTGTTGAATTTTTGTTGATTTTGTTAAAAAGGAGCGCGTTGACACATAGGGGGATTTTGTTTCTTTAAGTTCATGTCTGTTTATATAAAGTTTAGGTCTGGGTGTGTGTGTGTACCTGTGTAAGCAGGAAAGAGTAAACAAAATCGAGAGCCCGGGACAAATGCACTTAAGAAGGGGCGACGGGAGGGCCAGGCTCGCCGGGCTGAGTGCTGAGGAGGGGGCGCGTCCCACCCATGCAAGCCCGGAACAAAGGCGCCTGTCACTCGTCACTCTCCACGCGGGCTGGCTCTGGAAAGCCCAAAGGAAAAAACCCTCACTTTCAGGAAGAATAAGCCTCAGCCCATGTATCTAGGGAACACGTGATGCTGCAAGAAACCAGTGACTTAACGCGTGTAAAAGCAGGAGAGCGTCAGAGGTTCTGACCCCGGGGGAGGAGCAGACCCGCGGCAGCGTGCGGAGACTTAGCGGGCGGAATCTGCCACCAACGCAACCTGGCCCAGAGGTTTTGAACTGACCAACTGGGAGACGTCCCCGAGCTTGAATAAGGGCCTCAAAAGCTTAGCGTTTTATGCAGAGTCGCAACCACCCAGCGCTGGGAACCTGAGCCTGCACAACCCACTAGAAAGCACCCGTGACCGTCCCCTGCGCCCGTTATCCCTGCGCCCCGCACCCCTGTATCCCCGGCTTCTCTGCAGCTGTACACCCTGCACTGCGGCGCCCCCCAGTCCCGCTGTCCGCTCCATCGCGCAGGTCTCCAAAACGAATCCCGGCTTGGAGGGGCTCAGCGGCCCTGGGCCTGTGCGCCGTTGCGGCCGGGAGGGTCATTTTCATGCCTAAGGACCCGCCCCTTGCACGCAACCTCGGGTAGCCAGCCGGAAACGGCGTCCCGGGCTCCAAAGGACATCTCTTTTTACATTTCAGCAAAACAGCCGCACACCTTCTCCCCAGATGGCCTCTGTGCAGCCTGAAAATGCCCGCTCCCTCCAAGTCCCTGGGCAATTGCTGGGACGCATCTCAGAGACTGCGCGGGGCGGAGAAGGGGTATGTGTTTGGGCCACTAATTTGATTTTCTTGGAAACTTTCTTCCAGTCCAAACCGGAGTCAGCTCCTCTCACCCTTGTAGAAAAGCATCCCGTGGGGGCGGGGCGGGGTGGGTTGGGGCCCAGCGTTGGGGGGTTGGGGGGGCGGTCAACACACCACCCTCCCGCCCTTTGTTAAGCTATTGAAGTTCAATTTCATTCCTTCTCCGTCTTCCATTGACCAGAGAGGAAAGGAATCCTTTGAATTTTTTTTTTAAGTTCATCAAATATCCATTTAGCATCTACTATGTGCCAGGCATAGCTGTTAGTACTTGGGGTGAACGCATCAGATGAAAACATGCCTCCCTGGAGCTTGCAATTTAGTGGAGGAGGAGGTGAGAGTAAACGTGAGGTGATGGCACGGTGTTGGAGGGGTGTTCACTATAGGCAGAGGGCGCCAGGAGGCCGGTGGTCGCGTAGGACAGGGAAGGCTGCAGTTGGAGAGCAAACCTGGAGGAGCAGCCGCGGTAAGGCCCAGAGTGCGAAGACGCCGCGTCTAAGGGCAGCAGAGGGGACCTGGAACTGGAGGGTTGGAAGAAGGGTGGTCACAGGCAAGCAGAAGGGGGCCTCAGAAAGACTGGACCTTGTTTTGAGTTTTTGGAGGAACCTCCGTCCTATTTTCCGTGATGGCTGCACCAGTTTACATTCCCCTCAACAGCGTGCGAAGGGTCCCTTTTCTCCACATCGTGACCAACACTTGTTGTCTCTTGTCTTTTTGATATTAGCCATTCTAACAGGTGTTCGGAGACATTTCATTCTGATTCTGATTTGCATTTTCCTGAATTTTATTTATTTATTTATTTTTTGCGACAGGGTCTCCCTCTGTGGCCCAGGCTGGAGTGCAGTGGTGCAATCTCGGCTCACTGCAACCTAGACTTCCCGGGCTCGAGGGATACTCCCGCCTCAGCCTCTGGACTAGATGGGACCTCAGGAACGACCACGCCCCGCTGATTTTTAAAAATTTTTTGTACAGACGGAGTCTTCCTATGTTGCCCAGGCTGGTCTCCAAAGCCTGGGCTCTAGCAATCCTCCCACCTTAGGCTCTGGGATTAGAGGCATGAGCCACCCTACCGACCCTCCTAGATTAGTAATGTTGAACACCTATTCATATGCCTGTTGGCCATATGTATGCCTTCTTGGGAGAAATGCCTATTTAGGTCCTTTGTCTATTTTTAAAGTTAGGTTATTTGGTTCTTGTTTTGGTTTTGTTTTTTGCTAATAAGTTGTAGGAGCTCTTATATATTTTGGGTATTAACCCCTTACCAGATGTTTGGTTTGCAAATGTTTTCACCCATCCATAGGTTGCCTTTTAATTTTGTTGATCCAGCCATCTCACTTCTGAGTATGCCCAATGGAAATAAAATCACTGTCATAAAGAGATACTTGCACTCCCATGTTAATTACAGCACTATTCATAATAGCTGAGATACAGAAACAACCTAAATGTCCATCAGTGAATGAATAAAGAAAACGTGGTATAGATATTAGTGTTACATGCTATACTACACTATAATAATGAAAATTATTCAGGTCTAAAAAAGAAGGAAACCATGTCAACAACATGGATGAACCCAGAGGACATTATGCTAAGTGAAATAAGCCAGGCACAGAAAGACAAATAATACTGCATGAGCCAACTTATATATGGAATCTAAAAAAGTCAGGGGCTGGGTGAGGAGGAGTACAAAGCTTCAGCTATAAGATAAGTAGTTCTGGAGACCTGAAGCACAGCATGGAGACTCTGGTTAATAACATATCATGGACATAAAATTTACTGAGTAGATCTTACATGTTGTCACCGCACACACAGACACATGCACACACACACAGGTAACCACATGAGGTGATGTGTGTGTTAATTGATTTGACTGTGGTAATCATTTCACCACGTGACATGTACCAAGACATCATGCTGTGCACCTTGAATATGTACGAGCTTTATTTGTAGATCATACTGTCAGAGGCATTTGAGTTAGAGCAACTCCATCTTGAATAGGGGCTGGGTAAAATAAGGCTGAGACCTGCTGGACTGCATTCCCAGGAGGTTAGGCATTCTAAGTTACAGGATGAGATAGGAGGTCGGCACAAGATATAGGTCACAAAGACCTTGCTAATGAAACAGCACGCGGTAAAGAAGGCAGCCAAATCCCACCAAAACCAAGATGGCGACTAATGTGACCTCTGGTCGTCCTCACTGCTCATTATAATACATTAATTATCATTAATTATAAGTAAAAGATACTCCCAACAGCATCATGACAATTTACAAATGCCATGGAAACATCAGGAAGTTACCCTATATGGTCTATAAAGGGAAGGAACCCTCAGGTCCAAGAATTGCTCACCCCTTTCCTGGGAAACGCATGAATAATTCACCCCTTGTTTAGCATATAATCAAGAAATGACCATAAAAGTGGCCAACCAGTAGCCCTCAGAGCTGCTCTGCCTATGGAGTAGCCATTCTTTTATCCCTTCACTTTCTTCCTTTTTTTTTTAATGGTGAAAATATATGCATATATTTAGAATTAGCCAGCTGGACTCAGTTTAGATGATCCCAATTTTGTTGGTAACATCCAAAGCACTGTAATCAGGAGCCAGTTGAACATATGCTCTCCATCAGGCTGATCAGGGTGTTGACCTTGGCCACATTAATGTCACAGAGCTTCTTCACAGCCTGTTTGATCTGGTGCTTCTTGGCTTTAACATCCACAGTGATCACAAGTGTGTTGCTGTCTTCTATCTTCTTCATGGCAGACTCAGTGGTTAGTGGAAACTTGATGATAGCACAGTGGTCAAGCTTGTTGGGGACAATTTGCCCAGGATATTTGGGCTGCCTCCGGAGTCACAGTGTCTTGGGCCACCAGAAGGTGGGTGACATGCGGATCTTCTTTTTTTGTGTGTGGCTATGGACACCTTTCAACACTGCCTTCTTGGCCTTCAAAGCCTTTGCTTTGGCTTCGGCTTTAGGAAGGGCAGGAGTTTCCTTCTTCGCTTTCAGTGCCATCTTGTGAAAAGCTCCTTTACTTTCTTAATAAACTTGCTTTCACTTTATGGATTTGCCCTGAATTCTTTCTTGTATGAGATCCAAGAACCCTCTCTTGGGGTCTGGATCGAGACCCCTTTCCGGTAACAGTACCTCAATAAAGCTGGGAAAAAATAAAAAGGGACCAGTAAAGCATTCTCAACAACAAAGAGCGTGGGGCTTTTCTTTGTAGGGCCCTGTGAGGCCTCTGGGGGTTTTCCAAGAAGCAAGGGCTTTGAGACTGTGTGGGTAAAGCTCCTGGGGCTGGAAATGTGATAGTTTTATAACTGTGATGATAGGGCCAGGCACAATGGCTCATGCCTGTAATTGGGAGGCCAAGGCGGGAGGAATGCATGAGCACAGGTGTTGGAGACCAGCCTGGGCAATATGGTGAAACCACTGTCTCTACAAAATACAAAAAACTACCCAGGTTTGGGGAGCCTGCCTGTAGTCCCAGCTACTCAGGAGGCTGAGGTGGGAGGATTGCTTGAGGTTGAGACAGCAGTGAGCTGTGATTGTTGCCACTGCACTGCACTCCAGTCTCGGCAACAAATTGAGACGCTGTCTCGAAAAAAAAAATGTGATGATGGCAAGTCTATCATGCACAAGCATGCTGCCCCGCACACCTTCAGGGACGGTCCCACTGGTTGTAGTGATCCACTGTGCAGGTGTCCTTGAGAATGCAGCCAGGCGGGGTTTCTCCTGCCTTCCCAGAGCTCGGCTTGTGGCGGGAGTGACGTGACAGTCACCCACTCAGTGCCACGAAGGGAGGTAAAGTGGTGATTGGATGGAAAGCAGTGTGTCTGGGCTCCCTTGCCTTGGGGTCACCTCCAACAGCTGCTGTGCCCGGAGGACTCGTGAAAAGTCACCTTGAAGCTACAGGTCGTGGCATGGAAGGGCTCACAGACAATTTTAGAGTAAGAGTGTCACACCTACACTAGGTGAGTCAACTTACCCCTCTCCACCCCTCCATCCTGGGTGCACGTGTCCATAGGTGTTGTCTCTCTCTGCTGTCAGACTTTTCCCAGGATAAAGTCCTACTTACGAAGACCAGGCCTCAGGTGCGAGAGCAAGAGTGCCGGGCAATGGCACGCAGGTGTGGCCACTGAGACACAGGATGTCCTGGCCACGCTGCAGAGAAAGGTGGGCTGGAATGGTGATCCCAACGGGAGTGCCTCAAATGAGCCAGGCCTGTTTAGCGTATCCTGAATATTCAGTGCCTATTGTATACTTAGCGTTGTCCTGAATATTTAGTGCCTCTTGCATATCTAGTCATCCTAGATACCTAAGCCTCATGTTTATTTATCTTAATATTTAGTGCCTCTTGTATACTTAGGGATCATTAACATCTAACACGTACTGCATCTTGTATCTATAGTGGTCATAAGTATTCAGTACCTCTCATAAATTTAGCAATCCTGAATATTTAGTGCTTCTTGTATAGTCAGTGATCATGAATATTTAGTGCGTCTTGTACACCTAGTCACCATGAATATTTATGTGCACTTTGTATACCTAGTGATCATGAACACTTAGTGCCTCTCATACATTTATCAATCCTGGATTTTCAACGTCTCTAATATATTTAGTGATCCTGAATATTTAGTGCTTCTTGTATATTTTGTGATCATTAGTATTTAGTTCCTCCTATGCGTTTAGTGATCCTGAATATTTAGTGTCTCTGGTATATATATGTGTGTGTGTATGTATATATATATATATATATATATATATATATATATATACACATTTTTTTTTTGAGATTGAGTCTCGCTCTGTCACCCGGGCTGGAGTGCAGTGGCATGATCTCTGCTCACTGCAAGCTCTGCCCGCCGGGTTCATGCCATTCTCCTGCCTCAGCCTTCTGAGTAGCTGGGACTACAGGTACCCACCAGCACACCTGGCTAATTTTTTTGTATTTTTAATAGAGATGGGGTTTCACCGTGTTCGCCAGGATGGCACGATCTCGATCTGCTGACCTCGTGACCCGCCCGCCTCGGCCTCCCAAAGTGCTAGGATTACAGGTGTGAGCCACCGCCCCGGCCTATTTCGTGATCATTAATATTTATATCCTCCTATGTATTTAGTGATCCTGAATATTTAGTGTCTCTGGTATATTTTATGACTATGAATACTTAGTGCCTTTCTGTTGTATATTTAATGATCATGCATATTAAGTGGTGCTTATATACTTAGCAATCATCAATGTTTAGTGCCCTGAGGCCTTCTGTTTACTCACTGTCTCCTGCATATTCAGTATTTTGGTCCCGCAACCGCCTCTGCCTTTGAGGCCCACAAGCTCTACTTATGACTTACCTCTGGATCTTGTACTCCAGCCTCCAGAGCTGCGAGCCCTAAACCCTGTTGTCTGTAACTTTCCCAGGCTGTGGTATTTTGTTACAGCAGCCTGCATGGGCAACTTTCGTTTGTCTATTTTACTTAACTGAGTGACCAAAGAAGGATGGAGCCATTCCTGGGCTGGGGATGACTGGGGGAAGTCTCAGTGTTCGGTTGGGGCTGGGGCATGGAGAACCTTCTGTGGGATTCTCTGCAGGGTGAAGTCAGGCCCCTTGAACAGGTGCAAGTATCAAGAGGGTGAGTATTAGCCTGGAGCTCTGGGAAATGTCCACAGTCCATGGTTTGTGGTCACTCAAGTCGTGGTTTGGATGAGCTCATGGGAAAAAGGAAGTGTCAGGGTGGAGGCCGCAGGACCTGTGGTGAGTGGTGAGAGGTACCCCCCGCCCTGGCACACACGGTCTTGGAGCTGTCCCTCAGCACACCACACCAGGTTGGCCTGCTGACTTGCTGTGACTCCCAGCGTGCGGCCTGAGGTACAGTGAGCAGCTTCCAGGCGAGGCCCCAGGGGGCCTTGGCCCCACCACCAACCCACTGCTGAGTCACTGGTGACCCCTCCTAACCCTCCCTGACCTACCAGCTGACCCCTCCTGACCCTTTGGGTGACCCCTCATGCCTCCTCCCTGACCCAACCCTGACCCCTCCTGACCTTCCACTGACCCCTTCCTGACTCACCAGCTAACCCATCCCTGACCTTCTGGCTGACCCCCCCGACCCATCAGCTGACTCATCCCTGATCCCTCCTGACCCTCCACTGACCCTTCCCTGACTCACCAGCTGAACCCCTCCCTGAACCCTCCTGACCCTCCACTGGCCCTCAGTGGGTGGCGAATGTCCAGGAGCCAGGTCTAGCCTGTTCACCAGACACCTGCTGTCCAGGAAGCCTGGCTCCCACCCCGGCCCCACAGGCCCACCAGCCACAATGCTTTGGGCTGGTTTGTTATCTTGGCAGGAGACACCTAGAAGGGCCTGGCCAGCAGGTGACCAGCAGGGCCCACTCAGGGCCATGGGTGGGCTGAGAGCACAGCCCACTGGGCAACAAAGGTGGCCTGGGGCCCAAAGGCAGCTCCACGAGGGGTGGCTGCTGGGTCCAGGGTCTGGAAGCCAGGTGTTGCCATGGACTTGGCATCCCCAGCCGCCTGCACAGAAGCAGCTGCCACCAGGCAGTGGTGGGACAGATGTGGCCAGCATCCCACTGCCCCTGACACTTGGTGAGCGGCATGCAGGAAACTAGAGACTCTTCCAGGCAGGCCCAAGACCTGCTCTGGTGATCAGAGTCGGGGCCTCTGTGGGACAGGATAACACACAGACAGGGACAATGAGGACGAGTTCAGCACGACCCACACTGGACAGGGGTCAGAGCAGATACCCAAAACTGCTTCCCTGAAGGACTGGCATCACAAACGCTTCAATGCAGCATCTCAGGAGAGGAAGAAATTGCAGGGAAGAGGGTGGTTGTTTTTTTTGTTTCGTTTTCGTTTTTCAATTGGAAGACTCGAGCATTTTGGTGTTGAGCATGTGGGAACTGACCAGCTGGGGCTGGGGAGAGACCCACAGTCAGGAGAGAGGAGGAGAGGGATGCGGGACAAAGCTGAGCCAAGCCGAGAGTTCTGCAAAACTGCAAGCTCTCTCTGTGGGTTACTCCTGAGGCTGGCTTCAGCTGCATTCTCCTCCTGGGACATATCTCCTTTTCTCTTCCTCCTCCATAAAGTGCCTGCCCATAGGGATGTGTGAAGTGTGATGAGCAAACTTCCAGTGAAGGTGGGTGCATGTTGGGAATGCAGCGGGCGGGGAATGCAACAGGCAGGGAAAAGTCACGATGCATCCACAGGACAGACAGCCAGCCCTGCAGAGATGAGTTGCCCACAGCCACCAAGAGGGCCCTCTTCTCTCCACAAGGTCCCCAAGTGATGGCTGCTGCTGCACCAAGGGCAGTCCCTGCTCCCCCTCTTTATACCTGGGGTAGGCCAGTGGCATCCTGAAAAGCACTAGGATGGGCCTCTCTCCTCTTGGGCATCTGGTCTACCCTCCTCATAGCCCTTCTGGGACCCCAGGCTTTCTTGCCTTTCCTTCTTGTTCTCCTGGTTACGGTGATGATTTGCTACACATTCGTGTATTAGGTTCAGATTTTTAAAAAAATCGAGCGGTGAAAATCACATGACACACAATGTACCATTTTAAAGTACACAATTCAGGTGCATTTAGTACATTCACAATGTTGTGCAGTTACCACCTTTGTCTAGTTCCAGACCATCCTCATCACCCCTAAAGGAAGACCTGTCCCCACTAGGCAGGCACTCCTCTCCTCCAGCCCCTGGCAGCCACCAGTCTGCCTTCAGTCCCTGTGGATTTGCCTGTTTTGGACATTTCGTATCAGTGGACTCAGACAATCTGTGGCCTTTGTATCTGGCTTATCTCACTGAGCATGCTGTCAAGGTTCACCCTGTAGTAGCATGTCAGTGCTTCATTCCTTTTGAATGACTGAATAATATTTCATTGTAATTGGATAGATCCCAATCTGCCTACCCATTCCTCAGTTGATGGACATTTGGGTTGTTTCTACCTTCTGTATTTCATGAAGAATGCTGCCATGAGCATTTGTGTACATGTTTGTGAATAAATGTGTATTTTCATTTCTCTTGGGTATGTATACCTAGGACTGGAATTGCACGGCCATACGGTGATATCTTCTTTATGCGAGAGTCTAATGAAGCTGGGTGCTTCATTACAGGCTCATGCCTGTAATCTCAGCACTTTGGGAGGCCAAGGCGGGCAGATCACTTGAGGTCAGGAGTTCGAGACCAGCCTGGCCAATGTGGGGAAACCCCGTCTCTACTAAAAATACAAAAATTAGCTGGGTGGCCGGGCGCGGTGGCTCACACCTGTAATCCCAGCACTTTGGAAGGCCAAGGTGGGTCGGTCACCTGAGGTCAGGAGTTGTTGACCAGTCTGACCAACAAGGTGGTGAAACCCTGTCTCTACTAAAAATACAAAAATTAGCCGGGCATAGTGGCAGTCGCCTGTAGTCCCAGCTACTCGGGAGGCTGAGACAGGAGAATTGCTTGAACCCTGGAGGCAGAGGTTGCAGTGAGCTGAGATGGCGCCACTGCACCGAGATCACGCCACTGCGCTCCAGCCTGGGCTACAATGCTAAATTCCATCTCAAAAAAAAAAAATAGCTCGGCATGGTGGCAGGCACCTGTAATCCCAGCTACTTGGGAGGCTGAGGCAGAAGAATCACTTGAACCCGGTAGGCAGAAGTTCCAGTGAGCCGAGATCACGCCACTGCACTCCAGCCTGGGACACAGGGCATGGCTTTGTCTTAAAAAAATAAAAAATAAGAAAAGAGTCTAATGAGTTTTCTCTTACCAAAGCAGGCAGCACTGGATAATTTACTACATTTCTGAATCAGATAACCCGATAAAGAACCAGATCTTAGACCAGAGCTGTCCAGTGCAACTTTCTGTGATGCTGGAAACATTCTGTATCTGTGCTAACATGGCATCCACTGGCTACATGTGGTTAGGGTGACTGAGGAACTACATCTTTGTATTAAATTTTAATTATCTGAAAATTAAATAGCTTGTGTGGCTCGTTACTGTCTGTGAAACACCATAGCCTCAGAGATAACAAATGCAGTGCTACCCCAAAGTAGCCCTCCCACCACGCTGCCTCCCCCTTCACCCCATTTGAGCACCTTTTACAAAATCTGGAAATCCATGGTGATAGTTGAAACACCTAAGTCCCCAGACCCTGCAAAAACCTTAAATACCACTAAAGGGTATTTGAAGAGATAGAGTGACCTACATAGATATAAATACATAAAGATAAATTTCAACTGAAAATGAAGGCTTTCACAAGAAAAATAATGAAAAGATCTCTGGAAGGCTACACCCTCTCCTGGCCAGTCCTTGCAGTTTTGTTTTACTGAAATGGTGCCCACTCGTGATACACACTGTGAATATTGTGCTGTTTAGATCCACACTGTTGGAGCAGCTGCTTACCAATTTTTGGTTCAAATAGTTTCATAGCACTGGGATATTTTCTAAAGACATGCAGATTTGTGGTTAGCTGGTGTCCAGGAAGCCCTGACTTGAGTAGACCCAATTTTAGTAGGGTAAATATAAATTATATAATATTCCTGAATAATTTTACTGGCCTGTATTTATTATTACAATAAATACTTAATAATTGCTAATTACCCTGATCTGATAATAAATGTATTCAAAGTATCACTATGTACCCCATATAATATGCAATTGTTAGGTGTCAATTAACTAAATACTAGCACTTTGGGGATTAAAGAAAAAATAAAAACAAAGTAGGAATTATCCATATTTTGAGAAATAGATTAATGAAAACTGTACAGATAACAACAGAAGAATAACACTTTCTGAGCTCTGATTTTGTGGCAAACATTTTTTAAGGGATTATCGTGGATTAAATCAATGAACCTCTCTCCTCCAGGATTTAGGGGCTATTAACACAGCCATTTCAGTTAATTTGCCTGGAGGTCTCCGACGCTCTTAAACCCTCCATTTTATAAGGAAAAATGTAGTTACAAACCGTTATTTTCCTAAAGTCCACATGTATCATCATTCATCTGGTTCTAACAATACTCATTTTAAATTTGCTTAACTCGCAAATTTAGTTTTCCTTTTCAAAAACAGTGTACAAATTATTTTGTTCTCCAATTTTAGCAATCAATTTAAGGGGATCTTTGATTAATGTTTGACCAACCCGAATTAAACAAACTAAATTCCTTTAAATAATTATCCTATTCCAAATTAAGTCTTCTTAAAAGGTTTATACCTTTCAGCATCTACTAATCTGGTTCCTTTTAAGTACTGAAACTTTCCTCATGACCTTTAGAATTCCCAGCCAAATAAATTAAATCTTAACACTGGTGGAGCTCACATTGTTAAAACTTAGCAATTTAAATAGAAATCCATAGACTTACTCTTCAGAATTAAAGTGCAAACTACTTAGAGATCATAAATACTTTTAATATCAGATAAATCATTAAGAAATTGCATTCTGTACTTGATGACCACACGGGAACCTTGCTAGAGTCAAGAGAACTTGTCACTAGTAATTATGAAGACACCTTTACGGTGAGCGTTATTAAAACCCTACTAGAGGTTTTGGGTGGGACTCAAGAGCAAGGGGTGGCCACCTGTGGACGAGGGTTCCCTGTTGTTAACAGAACACGTTGCCCACCTCGCAAGTATGCAGCCCAATCAGTCCCCAGGGTCTCGGTTCCCGTTGCGCCCTTCCCCATGGCCACTGCGCTCATTCATGAGCCTAGGGTGATCAGGCCTCCGGCCTATAAAGAACTGCAGGATCAGTGCGGCTCTTTTCTCGAGATAGTAGGTGGCTCTGAAAAGAGCCTTTATGTCCATCAAAGGGGCCCCGGGGGCGGCGGGCGGCCTCACTTGCCCTTGGCCTTGTGGTGGCTCTCCGTCTTCTTGGGCAGCAGTACGGCCTGGATGTTGGGCAGGACGCCACCCTGCGCGATGGTCACGCGGCCCAGCAGCTTGTTGAGCTCCTCGTCGTTGCGGATGGCCAGCTGCAGGTGGCGCGGGATGATGCGCGTCTTCTTGTTGTCGCGCGCCGCGTTGCCGGCAAGCTCCAGGATCTCGGCAGTCAAGTACTCGAGCACCGCGGCCAGATAGACCGGGGCGCCGGCGCCCACGCGCTCCGAATAGTTGCCCTTGCGGAGCAACCGGTGCACGCGGCCCACGGGGAACTGCAGCCCCGCGCGCGACGAGCGCGACTTAGCCTTGGCGCGCGCCTTGCCACCCTGCTTACCACGACCGGACATTTCCGAGTCAAGGAAAAAAGACAACGGCAACCGAAAAGCGAGACTAAAAACAAGAGGGCAGTGAAGGCCAGCGAGCCCTTATGTATGGTACAGAGGTAGGCTAGACCGCGGCGTTCGATTGGATGGCTATGGTAGCCAATCAGAAAAAGAACCTGGCACTCCTAATTTGCGTATTCCTTTCCCAGCGATGACGTAGAACAACGTTTGATCCAATCAGAAGTGAGCAAATCCTGAGCCTTCATTTGAATACAAAACGTACAAATAGAGTTACTCCGAGCGCCGCGCGTTTCTGTTTGGAGAGACTCAGCCATCATGCCAGACCCGTCCAAATCGGCTCCTGCGCCCAAGAAGGGTTCTAAAAAGGCTGTCACCAAGGCACAGAAGAAGGACGGCAAGAAGCGCAAGCGCGGCCGCAAGGAGAGCTATTCTATCTACGTGTACAAGGTGCTGAAGCAGGTGCACCCCGACACCGGCATCTCGTCCAAGGCCATGGGCATCATGAACTCCTTCGTCAATGACATCTTCGAGCGCATCGCCAGCGAGGCCTCCCGCCTGGCACACTACAACAAGCGCTCCACCATCACGTCCCGCGAAGTGCAGACGGCCGTTCGCCTGCTGCTGCCCGGCGAGCTGGCCAAGCACGCCGTGTCCGAGGGCACCAAGGCTGTCACCAAGTACACCAGCTCCAAGTGAGGCGTTCCTCGGCGTCCTGAACCCAAAGGCTCTTTTCAGAGCCACCCACACGATCAAGAAAGGGTTTCGAACACGGTGAAGGGTTATGTAACCTAATGTGTCTCCATGCACCCTAGCGGTTGCCGGGTGCGGCCGAATCTGAGCCGTGTGTGTGTGTGTGTGTGTGTGTGTGTGCGCGCGCGCGCCGGCACAGAACGAGAAAAACTGCTCGTTACAGAAATCGGGGTAGAAACTGCTCAGGTGATGTAGCTCAGTAATGTTGGGAGGCGATCAAGGACCCCCTCTCCATCCCCTCCCTCCGCGCAGAGCTATTAACTCACGACGAGATTTCTTTTTTTTTTCTTTCTTTCTTTTTTTTTTTTTTTTTTTCTAGAAGAAGTCTCGCTCTGTCTCTAGGCTGGCGTGCAGTGGCGCAATCTGGGCTCACTGCAACCTCCGCCTCCTGGGTTCAAGCGATTCTCCTGCCTCAGCCTTACGAGTAGCTGGGATTACAGGCACGCCCCACCACGCCTGGCTAATTTTTTGTATTTTTAGTAGAGACGGGGTTTCACCATGTTGGCCAGGATAGTCTCGATCTTCTGACCTGGTGATCCATCCGCCTCTGCCTCCCAAAGTGCTGGGATTACAGGCGTGAACCACCGCACCTGGCCCCAAATGTCTTTTATAAGCAAGTGGTGCATTCCTGGATGTTGAGCGCTTGCGCCCGGTTCAGGACCGGGTCCAAATGAGGTTGGCGTGCGCCGTGCAGGTGAGGAGTGCGGGTCACCTCCCCCCAAAAGACCCTGTGCCAACCTCCCCAACCCTACCCGCCCCCCATGGGCGAGGCCAGACGTGGCGCAAGACCACGGGCTCTGAGGCCATGGGTGTTGTCACTTTCCCCTGGCGGTGGTGCCTGGCTCTGCATTTGCTTAAGACTTTTCCATCCCTGCCTGGACCAGACAGACATGTTTAGATTTAAGCAATGAACATTCCGGGAGGATATTTTCCTGGCAGGATACCGCGATGGCAGGATGTTTGATACCGAATCGAAGCACGGCGTCAAAGCAGCGTCCTGCGCGGGGGAGCCGGATGTAATAAGCGACCCCAGCTGCCGGTAACTTTAACCCTTATGGGAGTGGGGGTGGGGGAAGGGGTTAATTTAGGAGGAAAAGAATTCCCTTTTTCTGAGCAAATGTAGCTGCCTCCCTCTTTAGCCACATTATTTTCTGCGAGGCGTTAGCAACGCAGAATTCCTTTCCTACCCCCTCCAAATTCACGGCATTTATTTGGGGAGTGCCATTTTGGCGCAGGAAAGCTCTTTGGCACGAAGAGTTTTCACTTTGGAAAGGGCATCGTTTACGTTTTCATGACTTGGCTTTTCTTCTTTAGAAAAAGAAGATTTCCAGTAATTGCTTCCTCAAACCGTTGTGAAAATTCGAAGTACTGAGCGTTTGTGTCACCATTTCCAGCAGGGAATAAAAATTCAATAAAGTTAAATGAGAAATAATTTTTTTTTTTTTTGAGACGGAGTCTTGCTCTGTCGCCCAGGCTGGAGTGCAATGGCGCGATCTCTGCTCACTGCAACATCGGCCTCCCGGGTTCAAGCGATTCTCCTGCCTCAGCCTCCCGAGTAGCTGGGACTACAGGCGTGCGCCACCCACGCCCAGCTAATTTTTTTAATTTTTAGTAGAGACGGGGTTTCACCATGTTGGCCAGGATGGTCTCGATCTCTTGACCTCGTGATCCACCCTCCTCGGCCTCCCAAAGTGCTGGGATTACAGGCGTGAGCCACTTCTCCTGGCCGAGAAATAATTTTTAAATAAAATTCAATGAAAAATATTTTTCCCCCAAGTCATTTCTCCAAAGGGAACCCGTCGCGTGCCTGGGATGGGGAAAGAAAGGTCACCGTGAACATCCTCGACCAAAACGGCTTTGTCCCCTATTCCCCACCTTTTTTTTCCTGCGTGATTCCTCTACAAGAATCTTTGAGAACCTCGCATGTTTTAAAGCTATCTAAAATATTTTTATTTTCAATTAAAATAGTTGCAAAGATACAAATACCAACGTGGAACTTTTTAAAAATCAAAATTCTCACATCAGTCTCAAGGTGCCTTTTGGAATATCAATATGATAGTATAATCAATTCATAAAATACATGACCAAATTTTTCTTTGTCAATGCGATGTTTCAGATGATTTTTTTCCTCCTGAATGCCTATTTCCATTCTCCATTTGCCTTACAATTTCACCCTACCATAATATATCTATTGTATGTTTAATAGTGTTTTGTCTATTGTTCTCTGCAAAAAAGTCTACATTGAAATTTAAGCATACCTCTGGGTAGTCTCTCACTGTTAAGAAAAATCATCTCGACAGTACACAATTGTTCAAAACATAAATAATTTGATGTTATCAAACAGATAAACTTTTAGTGAAACTGACTCTTAATGAGCTGGATGGTGCACCCACTCTCTTCTCTCCTCTCCTTTCCACCTCAATGACTGCACACATGCAGTGTTCATATTGTTACAGTGTTAGCACAGCATGGGATCATTTCCATATGGTTACAATGCTAGCAGTGCACGGGGTCATTTCCATTCTGTTTTGTTTTGATATATGCTCCAAAAAAAATTTACAAAAAATACACAGGAATGACAATTTTGTCATAGGCACTTTATTCAATTCTTTGCATCCCTAGTTATAATCCAAATATTAAACAGTGATCCATCATCAAAAGTAAGTGGGACTTGTCAACACCCTTAGTACTGTCAAGAAATATAGGATTTGTATGAAAAGCTGTTGAATCCAGTCCTCTCCACTATGAAACAGGTGCCCAATGACTGGAACATCCAAGCCCTCGGCCTCCTACCAGCATGGATTGGAAGTCAATACCTTAAACATTTGCAGCTGTGAAACTACTCTCACAGACCCATATAGTTCTCCACCTTAATGAACTTAAAACATAGGTTTAATAAAGTGAAACCAGTCTCCAGTAGAGAGAGTGAATGATTGTGTTAGCACAAGGCAACAACACTGGTTAGTGCCAGAGATCAAATCAAGGCACAAGATGAACATTTCATGACATTTTCCAAGTGTAATTCTCTAAGAAGGCATTTTGTGATGGATAATGTCAAACGTCAGTCAATTCATGTCTCAGTCCTTCTGATTCCCCTGGCACAAACTTGAAGTAGAAACAGGCTGTCTTTTCCTGCTACATTAGCACCCCCAGGCCCAGAATGAATGGGATTTGTCCGTCTCTCCTAGGACAGGGATCTGTTAAGGGAGAGGCAAAGAAGGTAAAACAGGATCCTTGCTACTAAGATTTTATAATGGAGAAAATTCAGAGCAATCGTGTCCAGAACCCATTTCTCTAATTATAGTGTTACAACAGAGAAAGACAAATGTTAATGATAAATGAAGGCAGTGCACATCAAATATGTGAGAATCCACAGAGACTAAGGGAATTAGGACTCACTCAACAAAATGGAAGCATTTTCTGGGTTGGAGAGACATGCCAAGATTCTTAAACTAAGCCAAATTTTTAAACTAAGCTTCATCTCACCTATCTGAGATGGGTGAGTGACAATCACTTAAATACATGTCAGATTGTATGCCTACAAAATCCCTCCAGACTGGCATACAATCTGACATGTATTTAAGAGATTGCCCCTCACCCATCTCAGATGGAAATTTCAAGTCAGATTTGCTAATTATTATGCAGTAAATAAAATAATTTGGAAGGAATCATCTCCAATTAAACCAACTTTGATTAAAAAACAAAAAATAACAAATGTTGGTGAGAACGCAGGGAAAGGGGATGCTTGTACACTGCTGGTAAGAATGTAAATCAGTACAGCCACTATAGAGACAAATATGGGCATTCTTTAAAAAACTAAAAACAGACTTACCATATGATCCAGCAACCCCATTGCTGGGTATATATCCAAAAGAAAGGAAATCAGTATATCAAAGAGATGTCTGCGGTCTCATGTTCATTGCAGCACTATTTATAATAGCCAAGATAGAAAGTCAACCTTAGTGCCCATCAGTAGATATATGGATAAAGAATATGTGGTACATTTACACATTCGAATACTATTTGGCCATTAAAAAAAATGAAATCCCGTCATCAGCAACATGGATGGAACTGGAGGACATTATGTTAAGTAAAACAAATCAGGCACAGAAAGACAAATACTGCATGATCTCACTCATACGTGGGAGCTAAGAACATGCATCTCATGGAGGTAGAAAGTTGATTGCTGGTTACCAGAAGCTGGGAAGAGTGGTGGGGAAAGGAGGAGATGAAGTTGATTAATGGGTACAAAAATATGCTTAGAAGAAATGGTAACATCTAGTATTGGTTAGAAAAGTAGGGTGACTGTAGTTAACAATAATTAGTTGTATTGCTGGAGGAGAGGAATTGGAATGATCTCGACCTAAAGAGGGTGTGAATATGATGACGGATGTCCCAGTTGCCCTGGTTTGATTGTTAAGCCTATGCGTATATCAAAATATTTGTACCCCCCAAATATGTACAACTATTACGTACTACTAATAAAAAAGCATATTGCTCTGAAAAAGTGCTCTAAAAAATAAAGCCTATTTACAAAAAGAATTTGGAGGAAAGAAAACTCCCTTTAAGAAGAAACTAACCCAAGAAAATGGATTTACTTTATGAGGCCAGAGAGGTTAAATGTTGATAAATGCGTGGCTGTCATTGTGTTGGGAGTGTGCAGTGGGAACTGAGCCTGGGTAGAGTGCATCTTCTACCAGTGGGAACTGAGCCTGGAAACCGAATTCTAATTCCAGGCAACGTTTTTGCTTAGAGGGTGGGTAGCTCTCAGGTATTCGTGGTTGGGGTGTCACCGGTATGGGGTATTTTTAGGGGGAGGACAGCCTGGGCCCCAGTCAGGCCTGCATGCCTTAGTTTTTAATGTGTCATCCAGAGATCATACTTATTTTTCCTATGATTTGCTGGAGTTTTTTTTAAAAAGCACTATATTTGCATTATTCAAAATAATCTTTCACTGTGTAATATGCGTACACACACACACACACACATTTTGGGGGTAAAATACGAGAATCCCTTAATTGGGGAAATTTTAGCTGAGTGATAAGGAGATCTGTGAGCCTGCTGTTTTGATGTTTCAAGCAGGAAGGCGTGGCATAAAGAGCTGCTTAGGCGCAACGCTGCTGAAATGGTTTTGGCTAGAAGCTCACAGTGTCTAGTTGTGGCTAAGGAGGGAGGAAAGGGGCGGGAGAAGAACGGACCCAAGCGCCTCCGCCCAGACGGCGCGATAACCCCCTCACCTCCAACCCCGGACCTCAGTGAGCACGTCCTCCAGTCTCAGCCGCCAGGAGGCACTGGGGGCGGGGACGTGGCACAAGATCTTCCCGGAGGTGACCCACGCTCCTCGCGCGCAGGGCGTAAGCCACACACAGATCTTTGGATGGGATCCATGGCGCAATCGCCTGTACTGCCCCCTCTCTGACTTTGCCTGTGGCCAACACAAGACGAACGCAGCCTTTCTAAGGGAAATATGCCGTTACAAACAAGAAGCCTAATTTTGTCTCTAAGACTTGCGCCCCCACGGCTCAGTCTACTTTCCCTCATTACTCCAATTGAATCACAGGTCACAACCAGACCAGGTGGCACGCTCCTTTTGGAGCTTGGAGGTGGCTCTGAAAAGAGCCTTTGGGTTCGGGGCGCCGGGACGCACCTCACTTGGAGCTGGTGTACTTGGTGACAGCCTTAGTGCCCTCGGACACGGCGTGCTTGGCCAGCTCGCCGGGCAGCAGCAGGCGCACGGCCGTCTGCACTTCGCGGGACGTGATGGTGGAGCGCTTGTTTGTAGTGCGCCAGGCGGGAGGCCTCGCTGGCGATGCGCTCGAAGATGTCATTGACGAAGGAGTTCATGATGCCCATGGCCTTGGACGAGATGCCGGTGTCGGGGTGCACCTGCTTCAGCACCTTGTACACGTAGATAGAATAGCTCTCCTTGCGGCCGCGCTTGCGCTTCTTGCCGTCCTTCTTCTGCGCCTTGGTAATGGCCTTCTTGGAGCCCTTTTTAGAAGCCGGAGCCGCCCGCGATGGCTCCGGCATGGCGAGGTGACAAGAGCGCCTAGACGAACGCGGATGCGGGGCCGGCAGGGCTATTTGCCATCTTTATATTCAAATTAAGGCTCCAAATTTGTAGTGTCTGATTGGACGGCCTGACTCCGCGGCCGCCACTGGGAGGAATTTCTGTAAATAGCAGAGTCCGGTTCTTCTTTCCTATTGGACGGCGGTCCAACCAATCCCAAGGCATATCCGCCGCGCGCCGGAGCTGAGGTTGCGCATCTTTGTTCAAAGCCTTTGTTTTAAACCTGGAGATTTTTGTGTCTGCAGCGGATCTGGAGGTAGCTAAAGAGAAACTGAAAAACGGTTGCAACCCCAAATTGAGGTCTTCTCTGGCTGTGAGGCACATACATGGGGGCATTTTTTTTTTCTGAGGCCCACAGCTAGGGAGGGGTAGTTAGTGCTTATTTAGAAGGGGAGGTGGCGGTGGGAATGGCAGTTTGCAACGACCTTAACCCTTCGTTTCTTGCCCTTCCCTCCATTCCTCCAAAGATCAAAGAGATGCATTCTTCTCAGAATTCAATTGTAAATCCAAACGGTTCGTTAGGAAATACAGAAAATAGTACAGAAAACATGCTAAGGTACTTCAATTGGAATTGTCATGAGGCAGAGTTTTAACTGGAGAAATTGAATGGGTTTCAAATGAAACTTAGTCTTTCCTATTGTTTTTAAGGTCTCCCCAAACCCCTTCGAAGTGACAGCCGTAATGCAAAGGGATTGCTATGGGCGATCTCATTTGTTTCCCGGTATCCCCGAGAGGTGGGTACTGTGATTGCTCTAACTCCGTCAGAGCGCAGGCTTATAGAAGGCACTGTCTCCGAGCTGCGCCCCTCTCCCCGCCATTCTATTAATTCCCAATGAAGAAACGTAAGGTGTTGTGTATTTCAGCTTCAACTGAAGAGCTGGTTAAAAAAGCAGAATCTCAGGCCCACTCCTATCTGATTGAGTTAGAATTTGCATTTTAAATAGACTTGTGTGCACTTGACGATTTGAGAAGCCCTAGTCCGGAGGTCATTTATCTGCCCTAGCTGGGGCAGATAATTTACCTCTCCACACCTCCATATACTCATCTGTGAAATAAGGCTGCCAGTGCCCGCCTGATAGCGTTGCTGAGCATTAATGAGTGTGAAGCAGCGGGCAGGGTGCCCAGCATCTATTTTGTGCTTAATTCCTGTTAGCGCCTTTCCTTCTTAGGACTGATCCAGCCATAAGCAGCTTGGGCTACCTCAGCAGAGCCTGCTCTATGCCCCGGGCAGATCCATCACGTAAATATGTAGCACAAACCTTTCTCTCCCACTAGCATGCTGACTAAGCTTAACTCACAGGGAAGGATGTGGCTTTCATGTCTGAGGCTCCAGAGCACAGAGTGTGGCACCAGCAGGGGCCCAGTCAGTATCTGCTTGTGAATAAGCCTGTGAGCTGAGGCAGTACCCTCTACATTCAAGTCTGTCCTCTGAGGTCTTCTGGGCATCTTGAGACTGTGGGTTCCCTGAATGGCTTTGGGCATACCCAGCATTAAGCACTTTATCTGCTTCCTTTTGAAATATGTGGTTGATTTACCAAGCATTTCTAGAGTGCTCACTAAGAGCTGGCTAGGTAACCACTTAATAAATACTTGATTCAATTTAGTTCTCAAACAGCCCTTTGACAAAGATTCTCTGCTTGGCCAAACTCTGGTCAGGCTCCAGAACCTCCTCCTGGGTCCATCTGTGCACTTTCTTGTGAAATCCAGTTTTAGGAAGAGCCCCGCTAAGTCAGTTTAACTAGAACCCCTGATTCTGAATATCTGATCGCCCTCTGTGCTATCTGATGGGGTTCCTCATCCTCCATCCCCAGGTGATATCTGATCACCCTGCCTGCCTCCAGCAAGAGCCATGTGAGGTTCGTTTACCCAGAATCCCCCTCACACCTGATGTCTTCTTCTTCTTCTTCTTCTTCTTCTTCTTCTTCTTCTTCTTCTTCTTCTTCTTCTTCTTCTTCTTCTTCTTCTTCTTCTTCTTCTTTTTGAGATGGAATCTTGCTCTGTTGCCCAGTAGCACAATCTCAGTTCACTGCAACGTCCACCTCCCGGGTTCAAATGATTTTCCTGCCTCAGCCTCCTGAGTAGCTGGGATTACAGGCATGCCTGACCATGCTAGGCTAAGTTTTGTATTTTTAGTGGAGACAGGGTTTTGCCATATTGGCCAGGCTGGTCTCAAACTGCTGACCTCAAGTGATCCACCCTCCTCAGCCTCCCAAAGTGTTAGGATTACAGGCATGAGCCACCGTACTTGGCCCTGATGTCTCCTCTTAATACTGTTCTATCCACTAATCTACCCTACTCCTGTCTATAAATTTCCACTTGTCAGTGCGGTACTCAGAATTGAGCCCAATCTCTCTACCCTGCTGCAGAATCCCACTGCAATGGTCCTAATCCTACTCCACCGTCCTGAATGAAGCCTTCCTCACCATGGTTTAACAAACGTTAATATATGTACATATATAGCACTGCTTGCCTTGGTCCTGCCAGCCCAGTGAGATGCTGGTCTTCCCACCAGGTTCTTACTAAGGCTTCCTGGCTTCCTACTGGTGTGGAAAGGTTTGAAACAAAACTTGGAGTGGGACAGGAGGTGGGCATTCTAAGGACTTTGGGTAAGAATATGTCTTTCAGGTACTAAGATTTAGGATTTGCTCTGCCCACCATATGGTGGCTGCTTGGTGGTGTCAGGAAATCAGTCCTGGTTCTCATGGGTGGTGATTGCTAGGGACTCAATGTCTGCGTTCCCTCCAAATTTCTAGGTTGAAAACCCCCATCCCCAGGGTGATGGTGTTAGAAGGTGGGGCCTTTGGGGGATGATTATGTCATGAGGGTGGAGTGGCATGGTAGGATTCATGCCCTTATAAGAAGAGACACAAGACAGCTTGCTTTTCTCTTTCTCTCTGCTGCAGGGCCCAAGGAAAAACTTTCCTATTGCCCTCTGAAGATTCACTAAAAATCAGCTGACAAAAGACAGATTAAAAGAGAAAAGGCATACACATTTATTTGATCATAGTTTAGTGTGACAAAAAAGCCTTCAGAATGAATACAGAAGAAGCTGTCTATTTTAATGCTTAGGTTCAACAAAATATGGACTGCTATGTAGAAATAGGATTGGGCATGATCTACTGCTAATACACTGAGTGGGGACATCCAGCAAGCCCTGTCTGTCTAGATTCTTCTTGGCCTCTCTGCGTGGCATTCCTTCCTCTTGGGTATGAGACAGGACCCTCTGTGGAATGGGAGTCTTATGACGTACAACCAGACAAGGTGGCCCAGAGAATTTATGGTCAGCATTTGCACAGAAAGGCAGGAGTTAGAGTAATATTTTTAGGATTTGTGTCTGGCTGTGGGGAAAAGGGGTTGCGGTTTTTATGACCTGCCTTGGGGAAGAGGTATTCTAGTTTCTATGGCCAGTCTGGGGGAGAATGGGACTGAGACAGGAAGGCAGGAGATCAGAGAAAGTTTTTTGCTTCAGAGGTCTTCATTTTAGGATATCGCTTTCTAGCACCATGTGAGGACACAGGGAGAAGATGGCTAGGTGCAAACCAGTAAGAATGACCTCACAAAACCCAACCCTGCTGACACCCTGATCTCAGACTACTAGCCTTGGATAATCAGCACTCTTTGGGGGAAAATAACGACACAAAATGTATGTGTTATGTAACTGTAATGTGCAGTTTGTATTAAATGTCTTTTGTGTGTGTGTGTGTGTGTGTGTGTGTTTTTTTTTTGAGACAGGGTCTTGCTCTGTTGCCCAGGCCAGAGTGCAGTGGTGTGATTCATAGCTCACTGCAGCCTCAAACTCCTGGGTTCAAGCAATCCTCCTATCTCAGCCTCCCAAGTAGCTGGGACTATAGGTACGTGCCACCATGCCTGGCTAATTTTTTTTTTTTTTGTAGAGACAGGGTTTTTCTATGTTTCCCACACAGGTCTCTTTTCCCCCAAAGACTTTGATAAATTTCTGTTGTTTAAGTCTCCCCTTCTGTAGCATTTTGTTAGAACAGCCTGAGCCAATTGAGACAGTGTCTCGGATCAAGACCAACATGATGTATTGGCAGACGGACACTATGGAGTAAACTTGAAGCTTTCCTCATGTGAAGAAAAGAAGGAAAAAAGAAGAGAGGGAAGGAAGGAAAAGAAAGAAAGAAGGAAGTAAAGAAAGAAGAGGGACAGTTGGGGAGACGGAGGGAGGGAAGGACAGGGAAAGAGAAAGAAAAAAGAAAAAGAAACAGTGGCCTCTAGCTTAGTGACCAGGTTTAGATGATTAAGAAAAATAATAAACACCTCCCCCCTGCCCCCCGCACTTCTTTAATCGTTCTAGAGTACAGTACTTGGGCTGGAAGCCAGTCCACAAATGTGTTGAATGAATAACTGAATGCATGAAATCAGTCCATCTTTACACCTTAGATTTTTGTGCAGCTCTAGATGATGTATGCTTCTCTACTAGGATGAGGGCTTCCTGCAGTGAGCGCTTTCCCCACCAGCCAAGAAGCCAGGTCCCTTTAAGTCTTACAAACAAGCATTTAATACAGGTGCAGCACGGTGGCTCAGGCCTGTAATCCTAGCACTTTGAGAGACCCAAGCAGGAGGATCCCTTGAGTCCAGGAGTTTAAGACCAGCCTAGCAAACATAGCGAGACCCCTGTCTCTATTTTTTTAAGCATTTAATAAAATTGCACGTTGCAATGGCAAATGCACATGCTCCATCCAGACCCCACCGGTAGAGTGGGATCTGTGTGAGGGACAGCACCCTACAGATACAGAGAGGACAGGCTTCCAGGCTTCTCAAGGACTAGAGGGAACCTTGTACGATTTAAAGCGGAGGAACTGGGAGTGGCTGAAATGACAGGGTGTGCTATGGAGTTCTGCAGGGAACATTGGGGCCTCCCGTAATGCTTGCAGGATTGCAAAGAAGGAAAAAAGGGTTTGGGCAGCCTTGCGCTTCTCAGGGCTTCCAGTTGACATCCTATGGACAAAGGCCCTCCTGCCACAGCCAAGGCGCGTTTCCATCAGGGGCGACTCCTGGGGCGCCTGAGAGCAACCTCCTCCCGGCGCGCCCCCACCCTGCTTAAAGGCACCGGGTTGCGCCGGGCCAGCACCTGGGAGCTCCCCAGCCCAGCGCTCGGAGCACGGGGGACAAAGGCCGGTGCCCCCGGGGACCTGATGCCCAAGAGGGCAGGCCCTCTGACCAAGTCGAGGAGGCACACCGGCTGATTCCCAGCGCCCACGTCCGCAGGAGCAGCTTTTGTGCTCATTTCCATTGCATTTCAGCACTTAGAAAAGAGCTGCAAATGCCAGCGACAGGTGGTGTGGATGCAGAAGCAAAGCAGGAGCATGAAAGCCAATCAGTGAAACAGAGGCAGGCCCGGGCGAGGGCACCAGCCTGGGAACCCGAGGCGTGCTCCCTGAGCAGCAGGTTTGGGGTAACCTGAACGGCGGCCTTTGGTGGCCCTGTCCACCCAGCGAAGCAGCTCCTGCCCTACAGTAGCTTTTGGCGAAAAGCTCTTCAAGGCCAGTGATCTCCCTTCCCCAAGCTAATATTATACCACAGATTTCTCTTCTTACGTACTGCAATTAAATATCTTACGGGCTGCTGACTGCGAAGCTGGTGGCTTCAAGCAGCATTTGGAGAAGATATGGAAACCGGCAACGTACCTATCACAAGACATAAGGGAATTTTATGTAATAAATAATAAATAATAAATATTTATTATTTAACCAGGAGAGGTGGTTTCCACCAGGGAAGGGAGAGCCGGGGAGTGTGCGGGGAGGGGTGCCCTACGGTGGGCTAGGAGGGGTGCAGGGGGAGTGCAGGAGGAGGTGGGCAAGTGGGGGATACCGGGGTGGGGCGGGTTGGGAGGGGAGGGGCTCTCAGATGGGAGACAAGAAGTATGCGGGGAGGAAGGGGGGTGGGGGAGGGTGGCGGGGAGGGGAGCAGGAGTTGGGGGAGGGGCTCCGGGGGATGGGTGGGGAGGGGAGCTGGACTGATCCCCGATTTACCCTGAGGAACACGCAAGCCGGCCTCCTCCACCCTGTAAACCCCGAAGCAGCCTCATCCCTGTGCCACACGGGGGTCGAGAAATCTTGGTGACATGCAAAGATTGGGGAGAAAACATTAAGGCGCAAACGTGCATGAAATACAACAAATTCCAAACTCAGAAATAAAACCGAGGGTCGCAGAGAGGCAGCGGAATGAAGGGTGGCTTTGGAAAGCTCGAGAAGGCGCATCAGCCAATTGGTTTGTGGTGTGAGGCGGGTGAGAATGAATTTAGAACCAACTGGATACTGCACCCCTCAGTATTGGGGCGTCACAGCACCGCGGCACCCCTGCACTGCGTACCCATCTTCCCCGGCACCCCTGCAGCCCCAGCATCCCAACACTCCTGCACTCTGGTGCCGGGGCTTCCCTCTATCCCTGGCACCCCTGTGAACTCAGCACCACACCATTTGACAACTCTGCTCCCGGCACCCCTGCACTTCTGCACTCGGGTACCACTGCACCCCTGCATTCATATCCTCTGCCCCCACACCCCTGTAACCCCAGCACCCCCAGCATCCCTGCAACTGGTGACCCTTATAATCCCAGCAGCACCCCATCTGACACCCTTGCGTCCGGCACCCCAGCACTGCGGTACCCCGGCATTCGTGAAGCAGAGCACCCTGGCGCCGCATGCCCTGAGCCTGGGCTGCCCCTTCGCGCAGGAACCCAAGACGGAACCCACTCGCGTTGCGCCCGAGGAGGTGCGAGGCTGGTCCGCCAGACCCGCCCAGCACGTCACCAACACACCTAAGGAAGCCGGCTCCGGTGCCGCCTCCGTGGGGCGCAGGCTGGAGATGAAGGTCCAGGTCTCTGGACTGCGCAGAAACGCTTTTCCCAGAACCGCCCAAGACATTAACTAGGTGAAGTGGGTTATTTTCCCGAGTGCATTTGACGCTTCTTTCCCAGGCCGGGATGGGAAAATGGGCTGGCCACCGGGTCCCTGTCCATCTGTGTCCTCCAAAGGAGGCTGGAGGATCACTTGGGGCCAGGAGTTCAAAACCAGCTTGGGTGACACGACATAGCGAGACCTCGTCTCTACAAAAAAATTTAAAAAGTTAACGGGCGTGGTGGCCTGCGCCTATCGTCCCCCAGCTACTTGGGAGGATGAGGCGGGGCCATCGCTTGAGCTTGGGAGTAGGGGGCTGCAGTGAGCTGTGATCGTGCCATTGCAGTCCAGCGTAGGTGACAAAGCAAGATACTGCCTCCAAAAAAAAAAAAAAAAGCTAACCTGAGTCTAGACTGGACTCCCCAGCCAAGTCTTCTAGTCTTGTTTTGTAGCCTCAGATTCTGCACCCTGCTGTCTTCTTAAGTCACCCCTAGGGGGCATTTTGTTCCAGTGGAAGAGCAGAATATGCCTCCTGCAAGATGAGGGATTGTTGGGCTCAGGGCAATGGAGAAGAAAGTATACAGGAGAGCTCACTGCCCTCCCTCTGGGTGGCTAAAAGCAGGACATGGATTTACAGAAGGCATCCAGCCCCCACCCCACTTCACCAGGGAGAAGGGAGGTTAGCACTGAAGACAACTTTGCACCTTTATTGACTGGAGATGCTACCAGGGGATCTGCATTAGCAAGGGCTACTAACTAGACTTCATGTGTCCTTTATGTGCCTTTCTCCAAGTTGCTGTTCCTAGAGACTCAAAGTTCATCTCTCTTATCTTGTCACTTCTCTGCAGATTTACTGTTCTTTGTTGAAGATACCATAAAAGCGGGAATTCAAAGCCACCTCTTTGAGGACTACCCATTCTCTGGGGGCCACGCATGTATCTAGGAAAGGTAGCTGCTAGTAAGCTGCTATTTGTGCCTCTTGCTAATGTGTCTTTTATAACAGGGGTCAGTTTCAACTAAGAATTGATGGGGTGGAGGGTATTTTCCCCCTACATGATGTCATTAATGTGCTGGACCATCAAATAAATTCTAACACGTAATCAAAAAATTCTTCCTTCCAGAAAAGTAAGAAACTCCTATACTTTCTCTAGCAGGAGGGCTGTGGCCTGTTTGGTTTGCTATTTTAACCGTTTATCTACCCTGTGCCTACACCTGCATGGGTTCTCAACTGTACAGCTGACCCTTGAGCAACCAGAGTTTGACCTTTGAGGGTTACCGATACACCGCTTTTCTCCAGCCTTTGCTACCCCTATCCCTGAGACAGCGAGATGAAGCCCTCCTCTCCTTCCTCCTCCTCTGCAGCCTCTCAGTGTGAAGACCACGAGGATGACCTTTATGATGATTCACTTCCTTTTCATGAATAGTAACTACATGTTCTCTTTCTTAGGACTTTCTTAATAACATTTTCTTTCCTCTAGCTTACCGTATTGTAAGGACACAGTATGTAATATATAGAACATTCAAAATTTGCCTCAATCGACTGCTTATGTTATTGGTAAGGCTTCCAACAGTAGCCTATTAGTAGTTAAGTTTTGGGGGAGTCAAATTATATGTGAAGGCCAGGCACCATGGCTCACGCCTGTAATCCCAACATTTTGGGAGGCCAAAGTGGGAGGATTGCTTGAGGCCAGGAGTTTGAGACCAGCCTGGGCAACATAGCAAGATCACATCTGCACAAAAAAATAAAAAATACAAAATTTACCTGGCCATGGTGGCTCAGGCCTGTGGTTCCAGCTATTTGAGAGACTGATGTGGGAAGACTGCTTGGGCTCAGGAGTTCGAGGCTGCAGTGAGCTGTGATTACACTCCAGTATGGGCGACAGAGTGAGACCCCAACTCAAAAAAAAGTTATACTTGGATTTTCAACTGGACAGGGGTCAGCACCCTTAACCCACGCTGCCTTGTCCAAGGGAGAGCTGTGCATCCAATTACACAAGTGCTTTCTGAATGCTTTTCCCTCCTGTTCTTCCTGTCTAGCTTCTAACACCACCCTGTCCCCACCTGTAGTAACAACTTCCCTAAATTCCTCCTTATGGGCTATACAATTTTTGGGGAGAGGGTTTCCCAAAATGTGGTTCTGATATCCACACACCTACCTAACATTTCTTACTCTACATCCTCAGGGGGCTGGTCTCGAACTCCTGACCTCAAGTGATCCTCCTGCCTTGGCCTCCCAAAGTCCTGGGATTACAGGTGTGAGCCACCGTGTCCGGCCCCCAGTGAGATTTAAAAACACTCCTCAAAGGCTCCAGCCTCAAGCTGAATCTTCTACAAAACTGAACTCACCTTCTCACCCCAGCTCTCCACTCCAAGGGACGCACACCACATAGAAACCCTGGTGGTGTCATCTCACTCTTCTCCATTTCTAGTCAATGGCCACACTTCTCTCCCTAGCTCAGCACCATGGTGCTGCTCACACACGGGCAGGCATTCTAGATGAGTCCCCCATCTGGCCTAGGAACTTCCTCCCTGGCACTTGGTCTCCCTCCAACCAGTTCATGTTTCTGCATTGGGGCACTGAGAAATTCCAGCACCTGGTCACATCTCTATTGTGTAAGCCCTCACTATGTACATGGTCCCTGGATGCCCCACCCACAATCCTAATCCTGCAGCCCAGCCAGGACTCCCTGCCATCTCTTCTTCTGGGCCTCCTCTCACTTTTTAAAAATAGAATTAAAGGCCGGGCACGGTGGCTCACACCTGTAATCCCAGCACTTTGGGAGGCTGAGGTGGGTGGATCACGAGGTCAGGAGATCGAGACCATCCTGGCTAACACGATGAAATCCCGTCTCTGCTAAAAAATACAAAAAATTAGCTGGGCATGGTGGTGGGCGCCTGTAGTCCCAACTACTCGGGAGGCTGAGGCAGGAGAATGGTGTGAGCCCAGGAGCTTGCAGTGAGCTGAGATCGTGCCACTGCCCTCCAGAGTGGGAGAGAGAGCTAGACTCCATCTCAAAAAAAATAAAAATAAAAATAAAAAATTAAAAAAAAAATTACTCAGGTACAGTGAGGCCAACAGATCAGGAGACAAACACCATTGAAAAGATAGTTTATTACTCACAGTTCCCAAGAGGAGGGGTTTGCTATTGCTAAGCCTTCGATGCCACGAGGGATAGCGCCAGGGTCAGTTAAGAGGCAGATGGAGGGAGGGGAAAGTGTGGGCAGGAGCCTTTACTGTGGCTTTCACTGGAAGGAGCAGGCAAGGCAGACTAAGCTAGCTCACAATGGCTGGTTTGAATAAGCCCAGCAGGCTCTGGGTACCTAACCTTGGGATGCTTTGGGCCACACACCAAGAAAGCAATTCTATAGATTCCCCAGTGGACACCAGCTGGGTGTCCTCCAATGCAATGCAATTCCGACAGCAGAAAAATGCAAATGGGAAATTTTTAAAAGAGTCTTCAGTTTTGGCAGGTTGGCAATATGTGTAGGTATTAACCTGATGTACTCCTTTTAGTCTCCTTTTATATAAGACACAGGGGCTGGACTGTGCCATTCAAAGACATCTCTCAATTTCAACATTTTGTGATCCCCCTCACCCTTTTTCCATTTACACATAGAAAATTTGGAGTGCCAACCAAAATAACAGAGAGAGAACGATAGTGGCCTGGAGTGTGACAGCTCCATAGATGAGTGGTTGGGGCTGTGGGCTCTGGGTTGGTGAGTTTGTATATGAAATGCACAATCCCAGTAATTTTTTTTTCTAGCTGTAAATTTTTTTTTCTAGCTATAAAATTGTCCCCGGGAGAAGCTGTCCCTCCATGGCCAGTGAGGCCCTGGATGTCAAAGCCTCTGAAAATATAGAAAATCAAAGGCATGGTTACTACACTTGCATTCCTCTATCCTGCCAGGAATGCTGTTTGCTCTTTTTGGGGCTCAGAAACTGATACCCCAGCGCTTTGACATGCTGAACTGAATAAGAAGCCTCCAGGTCTCTCTGACCTTCCCCTCCTTCCTGTCTCCCAATCTTCTGTCTCTCCCAAAGCACTGGATGAAGCTGTTCTCTGAAATTCCCCTATCTGCCTAAAGTGCAGACCTGCTGCAGCAGAAAACAATGGCCTCCGATCCCTTCCCTGAGTTTCAAACGGCTGAACTCTCATCACAGGAATGAGGACTGAAGTCGGTCAACATGCCTGGACAGACCTTTTTTTTCTAGCTGTAAATATATTTTTTAGCTATAAAATTGGCCCTGGTAGAAGCTGTCTTTGTCACAAACCAACAGACTGTCCCAGACCATTGTATGTTCTTCAAGCCCGTTGAATTTCCCTAAAAAATATTTACTATCCCCCTAAAATAATGCACACTTCCTTATCTCCCTTTCCCCTAAGAGGAGAATAAAGGCCTCTGCACCCCATTGCATGGTGGGGTAACCACCCTGTGATTCTCCCCATGCATGTTAATAGATGTGTAAGCCTTTCCTCCTAGCAATCTGCCTTCTGTCAGCTGATTTTATAACAAAACTTCAGAAGATAAAGGGGAAGTTTTCCCTTGGCTCCTAAGCTGTCCACCCTGTTGATCAGAAGCAGGGCAATGCTGATAACACACCAGTAATGTCCTGATCCTTGATGCTCCTGCCCCGCAACTTTCTAGGTCTGTGCAGTTAGCCCACATCTTTTTTTTCTTTCTCTCTCTTTTTTTTTTTTTAGACGGAGTTTAGCTCTTGTTGCCCAGGCTGGAGAGCAATGGCGCGATCTCGGCTCACCGCAACCTCTGCCTCCCAGGTTCTCCTGCCTCAGCCTCCCGAGTAGCTGGGATTACAGGCGTGTGCCACCACACCTGGCTAATTTTGTATTTTTAGTAGAGATGGGGTTTCTCCATGTTGGTCAGGCTTGTCTCAAACTCCCGACTTCAGGTGATCTGCCTGCCTCGGCCTCCCAAAGTGCTGGGATTACAGGCGTGAGCCACCGCACCTGGCTAGCCCACATCTTATGATGTCCCATGTCTAGAGAGAGGGCTGTCGTCAACAATGACCTCAGATGCACACAAACCCTCAGTCAGTGCAAGAATCCAAGTATCCCCAGAGGGCCAGCAAGTCCAGTTCAAACAGGAGCTGGGAGGAAACCTGGCTGGTGCTCACCTGCTTGTTGGGGTAGGGGGCTGTTATAAAGTGAATTATGTCCCTTGAAATTCACAGGTTGAAGTCCTACCCCCAGGACCTCAGAATGTGGCTGTGTTTGGAGACAGAGCCATTAAAGAGGAAATAAAGGTAAATGAGTTCCTTGGGGTGGGCCCTACTCCCATAGGTCTGTTGTCCTCATAAGAAGGGATTAGGGCACAGACTCACAAGGAGGGATGGCCCTATGAGGACCGGGGAGGAGACTGCATCTACAGGCTCAGGAGAGACGCCTCAGGGGGAAATGACCTTGTTCACACCTTGATCTCGGACTCCAGCCTCCAGCACCATGAGAAAGTAAACTTCTATTGTTTATGGCACCCAGTCTCTCTGCTGCAGTGTTATGGTGGTGTGAACCCTAAAAATCTGAGACAGGTCTCAGTTAATTTAGAAAGTTTATTTTGCCAAGGTTGAGGACATGTGCGTGACACAGCCTCAGGAAGTCCTGCCAACACGCGCCCAAGGTGGTTGGGGCACAGCTTGGTTTTATACATTTTAGGGAGACATGAGACATCAATTAATATATTAAGAAGTACATTAGCTCCATCCCAAAAGGCGGAGACAGCTCAAAACAAGGCCGCCCCACCCACACTGTACTGGGGGCTTCCAGGTCACAAGTAGATGAGAGAGACAGATGGTTGCATTCTTTTGAGTGTCTGATAAGTCTTTCCCAAGAGGCAATCAGAATATGCGTCTATCTCTGTGAGCAGAGGGATGACTGAATAGCATGTGAGGTAGATTTGACCTGAGAGGTTCCCAGCCTGAAGGGGTCCAACTATCTTCCTTTCACAGCGGCCTGAACCAATTGAGACAGGGAGGTTGCAAGTTTTAGATGGAAGAAACCACAGAGCTGTAACTTATGTCTGAAGGGTGTGCAAGGCAAGCAAGGCCCTTTTGTGCTCTAGTCCGTATTTTTGTCAACATCCCGGTTCAAGCTGGGAACCAAGTGATAGGATCTGAACAGAGATTATCATTCATTCACTTCAGGGACCTGGGAGAGAAAACCAAATTTGCTTGGGTCAGGATTATGGAATTGCTTTATATATAGTGAATCAAAGGCTTAGAATAATAATAATAATACCTATTATTATTATTACTTTCAGTTTAGAAATATCTTAGCTTCTAGGCCAGGCATGGTGGCTCATGCCTGTAGTCCCAGCACTTTAGAAGGCTGAGGTGGGAGGACCACTTGAGCCCAGGAGTTTGAGACAAGCCTGGGCAACATGGTGAAACCTTTTCTCTACAAAAAATTTTAAAACTTAGCCAGACTTGATGGCACACACCTGTAGTCTCTGCTACTTGGGAGATTGAGGTGGGAAGATTGCTTGAGCCAGGGAGGTGGAGGCTGCAGTGAGCCCTCATTGCGCCATTGAACTCTAGCCTGGGCAACAGAGCAAGAGCAAAGCCCTGTCTCAAAATAATAATAATAATAATAATAATAATAATAATTTTAAAAACATTATGTCTCTAAATTTGTTGTAATTTTGTCTTTTGATAGGCATAAGGATTAGATTGAACTAAAGGACACTGAGAATGCATCTCTTAAGTAAGTAAATAAAATAGAAATACCTTAGGTATTTGAACTCTGAAAATTTGAGACAGGTCTCAGTTAATTTAGAAAGTTTATTTTGCCAAGGTTGAGGACAGGCACTCATGACACAGCCTCAGGAAGTCCTGACGACAAGTGCTCAAGGTGCTCGGGGCACAGCTTGGTTTTATGCATTTTAGGGAGACATGAGACATCAGTCAATATATGTAAGTACATTGGTTCAGTCTGGAAAGGCAGGAAAACCTGAAGCAAAGGCAGAAAGATTCAAAGTGGGGAGGGGCCTTCCTGGTCACAAATAGGTGAAACACAAACAGTTGCATTCTTTTGAGTTTCTGATTTGCCTTTCCAAAGGAGGCAATCAGATATGCATCTATTTCAGTGAGCAGACGGGTGACTTTAAATAGAATGGGAGGCAGGTTGGCCCTAAGCAGTTCCCAGCTTGACTTTTCTCTTTAGCCAAGTGACTTTGGGGCCCCAAGATTTATTTTCCTTTCACGGGTATATTTAGATATTTAGAATCCTAATTTTTTGAGCAATTTTGACATCTGAAATATTGAAAAGATTACCATTACAATTGCATTTAAAATGAAACATTGAGTAATTGGTTTTGACATGAGTTTTTAAGTTGAAAGGTTTAAAAATTATGCAAAGGCTATCCATAATATTGGATAATACAGTTAGCTTAATATTCGCCATCTTTAAGGGTAGCAGTTAATTTTGTGAACGTTATCTCTGCCTGCGTGGAGGGTTGCAGTGAGAGAGGCCAGGGCTCCTGGATGTTGAGGTATGGATGGTAGCCCAGCCCACCCATGCTGTCTCTGGCCCTGCAGGTGACCACAGTCCCTCATTTTTGTCTGTGGTGGCGATGGTATCTGTGCAAGGCTGTGGTTTTTTTTTTTTTTTTTCTTTTTTAATCAGGCCCCTTCGTCATTTCCTTCCTTTTCTCCCTTGGCCCCTAGCTGGTGTGTGGCTCTGGGCTTGGGCCCTGCTCGAATGCATCCTCTTTCTCTGGCCGGAGCTGGTTCCAGCCCATGATGGGAGGTCTGACCACTGGGTCCTCAGGCCCTTCCCTGGTCATGATAATGGCATCAGTGCCTGGCCCAACACCCACCCTGGATATCTGGAGGAGGGGAGCTCTGATTTGCTGGGCTGGAGTGGCTGTCAATGGAAGCCCGACCTGGCCATTTGGCCTTGAGGAGACAATTGCCTGGGGCTGTAGGGGGACCACCCAGGAGGAAGGGGACGGAGGAAGAAGTGTGTGTCCTGGGACATCCCCAGGCTCCCAGGGCTCACACTGCCTGACAGTATCAGGCTGCACTTGCAGTCTCAGGAGCCACAGGCCACCCTCCTCCACTGTCATTTACAGCCATCTGCAGTTAGGTCCTGTCACCCGCAACCTAAAGCTCCTGACACATCAAAGCAGCACACAGAGGCTTGTGGGAGTTGATGCCATCAGCCCATTTGTAATGTGTCCTCGATTTGAGAACCATGTTGGATAAGGTTGTGGTCATCAGTGGGCACTCATTTTAGTGAGGCAAGGGTGGGATTGCCTAAATGCATGTGAGATTGAAGAGCCAAGAAGACATTTTGAATTGTATTATTTATTTGACTGTGGTTGAAACATGCAGCATGAGTTGTGCCCTCCAAACAGATCTGGTGTAGGTACAGAACTGCTCAGGTATCATTTATTGCATGCTACTCTACTCAGGCACAAGGCTCTAGTTAAAAAGCATACATCTCAGCTCAGAGTCCACCTTTATCACCAGCCTGTGTGGGCCCCCTCTTATGTACACACACACACACACACACACACACACACACACACACACACTCCCAAGTACCTTGCCTGTTAAACCCATTTTCCTTGCTTAAAGGAAAGGGGTTTCCATCCCCTGCAACTCAAGACATACAGGAAAAATCAATGGACATGTTTTTTTCCAACTCTCCACTCAACATGACCCTTCTGCCACCAGATGTTGGCAGGAGTGTTTTCCCACACACCAAGCAAGCAACTCTGCAGATTCCCCAGTGGACACCAGCTGGGCGTCCTCCAGTGCAATTCTAACACCAGAACAATGTAGACAGAAATGTTTAAAAAGAGACTTTATTTTCAGCAGGTTGGAGTGTGTGTGTGTGTGTGTGTTTGTGTGTGTGTGTTAACATGCTTAGTCTCCTTTAGTAAGACACAGGGACTGGACTGAACCATCTGGAAGACATCTCTCCATTTTGACACTTTATGATTCCCCCCTACCTTTTTTTCACTTACACATAGAAAATTTGGTGTCAACTGAAATAAACCGAGACAAGCTCTCTAAAAGAAATTTATTTGGGAATAAAGCATTGCAATGGGAATACGTGTGCCATAGTAAAAAGTAAGTGCGTATTCAGAGAGGTAAAGGAAGACAAAGGTTTTTAAAGGAAAAAAATAAGAAGAATTACATAATTGTTTTGAAATAATTATCTGTGGTTAGAAATATCAATAACAAGGGTGACACCAGTCCGAAGTTAAACAGGAGGTTACTGGGGAGATGTCCTTGCAAATGTCTTTTTTGTGTACCCTGGCGATGTCCTCTGAGCAAGGCTGTGGTTTTTGTAGTCTCTTTTTTTTTTTAAATCAGGCATGCAAGCCCAAAAATCTTCTCTTCAGGACTTCTCCAATCCTATTGGTCAGGGTTTTGTGAACATTCGTGACTCCATTTCTATTCTGACAATTTTCTCAGGCAGAAGAGCAGAGTGACTTCATACCACGTAGGAAGTTGTGTTTCTTAGTTGTATTTCGCCTTTTAGGAGCAATGAAAATTAATTACTTCAGATTCCTTTTTCCCTGTGCCGGACATGAGATTTCCCAAGTCATATCTTCCTATCCAAACATCCTTGCATCTCCCATATTTCTTTTAAATACACAGCTTATGGCCTCTTCAACATTCGTTTTTGTACACTCTGATTTGTGAGACTACAATTTTAAACAGGGTAACCCGCAATGCCATAAAATACATATAACAAAAGACACATCAAATATACAAGGGAAATGTGGGATTAAAATTTCCTGTAATTAAGGCTGGGTGTGGTGGCTCTCAACTGTAATCCCAGCACTTTGGTAGGCTGAGGCGGGTGGATCACATGAGGTCACGGGTTCGAGACTAGCCTGGCCAACATGGTGAAACCCCATCTCTACTAAAAATACAAAAATTATCCGGGTGTGGTAGTGTGTGCCTATAGTCCCAGTTACCAGGGAGGCTGAGGCAGGAGAATTGCTTGAGCCCAGGAGGCGGAGGTTGCAGTGAGCCGAGATCATGCTACTGTACTCCAGCCTGGGTGACAGAGTAAGACTGTCTCAAAAATTTCCTATAATTAGAATCGTTTACCTCTCTTCTAGTCATCCATTTTTTGGTTGTTTCTGTTGCCTTACAAAAAAAAAAAAAAGACTGGCCAGGAGTGGTGGCTTACGCCTGTAATCCCAACACTTTGGGAGGCCAAGGCAGGTGCATCACCTGAGGTCAGGTGCATCACCTGAGGTCAGGAGTCTAAGACCAGCCTGATCAACAAGGTGAAACCCTGTCTCTACTAAAAATACAAAAATTAGCTGGGCGTGGTGGCAGGTGCCTTTAGTCCTAGCTACTCGGGAGGCTGAGACAAGAGAATTGCTTGAGCCCAGAAGGCAGAAGTTGCAGTGAGCTGAGATTGTGCCACTGCACCCCAGCCTGGGGGACAGAGTGAGACTCTGTCTCACAAAAAAAAAAAAAAAAAAAAAAAAAAAAGACTTCATCGCACTCTTAGAGAAAATATTCACATGCTTTTGTGGTTGCCAGTGAAATCCCCAAACATTTTACATTAATCAGTTGAAAATATTATCCTGAGAAGATGATGGTTCAGCATCCAGCACCGTTTTGTGGCGGAACAGTGTCTTATTCAGTTCTTTGATGCCAATGCGATGGGAATTCAAGAGCCCAGAGACATCCAAGACTCGTCAATGTTCTTCTGTCTTTGTGGAATCTATGAGATGTCATGCTGAGAAAAAACAAACAAACAAACAAACAAACAAAAAACCCACTGCCCACTTTGATCCTGTCTCTGATCAGAAAGTGAAAGCCTTCAATTTTCCAAACAGTTCAAGAGGCACATGAGGGAGGAGGAGTACTCTTTCCCCACCCAACTGAGTGCTCAAACGGCATCAGGCTCAGTCTCTAATCTGGAGGGTAGAGAGGAGGGAGGCTGGACAGAGAAGTGCCAGGAGGCTCAGAAAACAAGACCCAAAATGAGGACATCCTAAGCAGCCTCAGAAGCAAAAAGTTTTCTCTGACCTTCTCTGGCCCTCTGTCTCTAGCCCCTCATTCTCCCCTGTCTGGCCATAGAAACTAGAATCCCTCTTCCTCAAGGTGAGTCATAGAAACTAGAACCCAAAGCCAGCTATAACACTTAAAAAATATGACTCTAATTTTCTTTCTGCCTTTCTGTGTAAAACCCAGCCATGAAGAAATGATCTGACCTACCTTGTTAGACTGTAGATCTTAAGACCCTCACTCCAGAGAGGGTCCTGGATGGAAGGAAGGAAGGAAGGAAGACTGCTCAGAGAGGCCATAAGAATCTAGACAGACAGGCCTGGCTGGGTGTCCCCACTTAGGCTCTTCTCATTAGCTCCGACCCTATTTGCCCAATTCTATTTCTGCATGGCTGTCCATACCTTGTGGAACCTAAGCATAAAAATGGATGATTTCCCTCATATCTTGGCCAGGCATGGTGGCTCACGCCTCTAATCCCAGAACTTTGGGAGGCCGAAGTGGGCGGATCACAAGGTCAGGAGATCGAGACCATCCTGGCTAACACGGTGAACCCCCGTCTCTACTAAAAATACAAAAACTTAGTCGGGCGGTATGGCACGTGCCTGTAGTCCAGCTACTCGGGAGGCTGAGGCAGGAGAATCGCTTGAACCCGGGAGGCGGAGGTTGCAGCGAGCCGAGATCGCGCCACTGCACTCCAGCCTGGGTGACAGAGCAAGACTCCGTCTCAAAAAAAAAAAAAAAAAGGACGATTTCCCCCATATCTTTAGGTTTGTATAGACACAGTAAATAAATGTGTCTGCCTTTTCTCCAATTGATCTGCCTTTTGCAATTTTTCTTTCTTTTTTTTTTTTTTTTGAGACAGAGTCTGGCTCTGTCACCCAGGCTGGAGTGCAGTGATGCTATGTCAGCTCACTGTAGCCTCCGTCTCCTGGGTTCAAGCGATTCTCCTGCCTCAGCCTCCCGAGTAGCTGGGACTACAGGCATGCAGCACCATGCCCAGCTAATTTTTGTATTTTCAGTAGAGATGGGGTTTCACCGTGTTGGCCAGGATGGTCTCCATCTCCTGGCCTTGTGATCTGCCAGCCTCGGCCTCCCAAAGTGCTGGGATTACAGGCGTGAGCCACCGCGACCAGCCTTTTGCAATTTTTCATCAAAATTTGAGAGGACCAAGGGTTCCCCTTGGCACCTACACCAGCCACCCTGTCTTGGGAAGTGGGGATGCTGGCACCACACAATGTGGATTCTGCTGGTGGTAAGGGAGAGAGGCTTTCAGGCAACAATCTTTGCCAGTGTATACTTCCAAAAGTCTCTAATGCACACATGTGCAAGTTCATGGCTGCTACCATTTGCTAAGCCATGCCCCTAGTATTGGACCTTCAAGGTTTTTTTTTTTTTCTCCAAAATGAATAGTGATATGACATACATTTCTCTTTCTTTCTTCTCTTTCTTCCTCTCCCTTCCTCCCTCCCTCCCTTCCTTTCTCTCTTTCTTTCCTTCCTTCTTTTTCTCCTTCCTTCCTTCCTTTTCTTTCTTTCCTTCCTTTCTTCTTTTTCTTTTCCCTTTCTTCCTTCCTTCCTCTCTCCCTCCACTCCTTCCTTCTCTCCCCCACCCCCCGCCCCCACCTCTCTCTCTCTCTCTCTCTCTCTTTCTTTTTTTTAAGACAAGGTCTTAAAAAATTCTCTCATTTCCCAGGCTGGAGTGCAGTGGCATGATCACGGCTCACTACAGGCTCAATCTCCTGTGCTCGGGTGATCCTCCCACCTCAGCCTCCCAAGTAGTTGGGTCCACAGGTGCGTGCCACCACGCCCAGCTAAATTTTAAAAATTTTCTGTACAGACAGGTTCTTGCCATGTTCCCCAGGCTGGTGTTGAACTACTGGGCTCAAGCTATCCACTCACCTCAGCCTCCCAAAGTGCTGGGATTAACAGGCATGAGCCACCTCTCCCAGCCACATTTCTAAACAAAACAAAACAGCCCAATTTTTTACAACCCAATTTTTATTATTTTCATTTCCTGTTATTTTTATAGTTTGTTTTCTAAGAAAAGGAATTCCAATCAGAAAATCCTTAATCGATACTGCTACGTGGATTACAAGAAGCAGTATTCACAGAATCAAGTGTTTTTTTTGTTTGTTTGTTTTCTGTTTTTTGTTTTTTTGAAATGGAGTTTCACTCTGTTGCCCAGGCTGGAGTGCAGTGGTGTGATCTCGGCTCACTGCAACCTCCACCGCCCAGGTTCAAGCGATTCTCCTGCCTCAGCCACCCAAATAGCTGGGATTACAGGCACGTGCCACCATGCCTGGCTAATTTTTGTATTTTTTTTTTTTTTTTGAAACTGAGGGAGTCTTGCTCTGTCGCCAGGTTGGAGTGTAGTGGCATGATCTCGGCTCACTGCAACCTTCGTCTCCCGGTTCCAGCTATTCTCCTGCCTCAGCCTCTCAAGTAGCTGGGACCACAGGCGTGCACCACCATGCCCAACTAATTTTTGTATTTTTAGTAGAGACGGGGTTTCACCATGTTGGCCAGGATGGTCTCGATCTCTTGATCTTGTGATCCACCTGCCTCAGCCTCCCAAAGTGCTGGGATTACAGGCGTGTGCCACCACATCCAGCCTAATTTTTGTATTTTTAGTAGAGATAGGGTTTCACTATGTTGGCCAGGCTGGTCTTGAACTCCTGACCTCAGATGATTCACCCGCCTCGGCCTCCCAAAGTGCTGTGTTTACAGGCCTGAGCCACGGCTCCCGGCCAAGTTTCCTTTTTTTTGTTTGGTCTGCTTACTTAATAGTGGAAAGAAAGAGAGTCTCGTTTTATTTTCCTCTTTCTTAACTGGGCAGAGTGTACATTTTTTTCTCATGTGTGTTCAATCATTTGTGTGCTTTTTTTTTTGTGATTTGAAAAATCCCATGACAAGGTGTATTTTCCATCATGCTTTTCCTTACCTAATTTTATAAACTCTTTGTATATTTGTGGTTACAATGTTCCTAATTTGGCTATTTGCCTTTAATTATAATTTTTGATATTTTCTCATTCACAAGATTAGTTCATTATGAAGTTTGCTCATTTTTTATATTTTTTACTTTTCTCTCCAGCAAGTTCCTAGTTGACTCAACAATATCAGCAAGGCTCGGCTGGAAGCCTCTAATCTTTACTACACAGAAATAACCTCGGTTTACTATTCATGTTTCCCACGGGCATCTAGTGCATTTCCAAGTCGATTTAAAAAATCTTCACAAAGACAAAAATACCTCATTAGATCCTGCGCTTGCTTGGAATACAGATTTATAAAAATTTTTTTTTGTTTTTGTTTTTTAAGACAGAGTCTCGCTCTGTCGCCAGGCTAGAGTGCAGTGGCACGATCTTGGCTCACCGCAACCTCCGACTCCCTGGTTCAAGTGATTCTCCTGCCTCAGCCTCCTGAGTAGCTGGGATTACAGGCATGCGCCACCACGCCCGGCTAATTTGTGTATTTTTAGTAGAGACGGGGTTTCACCATGAGCCAGGATGGTCTCATATCTTGACCTTGTGATCCGCTCGCCTCGGCCTCGCAAAGTGCTGGGATTAGAGACGTGAGCCACGGCGCCCGGCCCAGATTAATTTTTTAAAATGCAAAACTTGCACAATCTTATTTTAACCATGCTTGCTTGTTTTCAAAATAATTAAAAAACAAAAACACAAGATTGCTCTTCCCAAAGGCTTATTTCTTTCCTTTAAATTTATTTTTTAAAGAAAAGCTAACGGCCGGGTGTAGTGGCTCACGCCTGTAATCCCAGCACTTTGGGAGGCAGAGGCGGGTGGATTACGAGGTCAGGAGTTCGAGGCCAGCCTGGCCAACATGGTGAAACCCCGTCTGTACTAAAAATACAAAAATTAGCCGGGCGTCGTGGCAGGCGCCTGCAATACCGGCTACTCGGGGGGCTGAGGCAGGAGAATCGCTTGAACCCGGGACGCGGAGGTTGCAGTGAGCCGAGATCGCGCCACTGCACTCAAGCCTGCCTGGCAACAGAGCGAGGCTGTCTCAAAAAAGAAAGAAAAGCAAAGCAAAGCTAACAAATGCTCTTCTGTCATGCATCATCACAGAATCAATGAGAGCTCCCCCCAGCCAGGAGACAGCGGACAACCAGGGTAGCTTCCCAGGGGGCCAGAGGGAGGCTGCGCGAGAAGAGGCTCAGCGGGATGGGTCCACGCAGGGAGATCCCACGCAGGGTGGGCGTATACGAGTGTCCACGTCCGGAGGGCCGTTCAAGGGCGGGTCCCTGAAGGAAGGGTGCACGCAGGGCACGTCCACGCGGGCAGGCCCGTGCACGCAGGGCGTGCCCATGCAGGGCGGGTCCGTGCAGGATGAGAGCAGCGGAGGAGGCCCACGCAGGCCATTTCCCGCCCCGTCCCCAGCCCACGCGGGCGAGCTACCGCGGGGGTACGCGCAGCTCAGATCCTAGCAGCTTACAAAAACAACCTTTTAAAAATGGAACCTTCAAGTAAAAATAAAACTTTGTTTCCCTCTTTCGCAGGAGTTACTGAAGTAGGAAGGGACAGCCCAGTAAGATTTCAGGATACGACTTGGGCCGGTCCGCAGGCAGTAGAGTGAAGCGCGCAGCTGCCAGGACTTGCGCGGTGACGTGCGCCGCTGCCAGGACCTTGCAGGTGGAGAGCATAGTTGCCAAAATCAAGGCGGAGGAGCGCACCGCCGCTAGGATCCAGGCGGAGAAGCCCACCGCGGCCAGGACCTAAGGATGCAGTACACTGCTGCCAGGATCTTGTCTGTGGAGCGCAGCGCGGCCAGGACCTCCGGCTGCAGCACACCGCTGCCAGGATCTTATCGGCAGAGCGCTCCGCGGTCCGGACCCCGCCCCGTGCGCGTCCCCGACCCCGCCCCGTGCGCGTCCCCGGCGTTGGCGTCTTCGTCCTGTTGCTGGTCTCCGTCCGGTCGCCGGCCGTCTAGGTCTCCGGCCCTCCCCAGCCGCTCCTGCGCCCTTGCCGGCCCCGCCGCCCGCAGCCCTGGCGCTCCCTGCGGGCCCCGCCGAGGCCGCCTGCGCCCTGTGCCAGCGCGCGCCCCGGGAACCGGTGCGCGCCGACTGCGGCCACCGCTTCTGTCGGGCGTGCGTGGTGCGCTTCTGGGCCGAGGAGGACGGGCCCTTCCCGTGCCCCGAGTGCGCCGACGACTGCTGGCAGCGCGCCGTGGAGCCCGGCAGGCCCCCGCTCAGCCGCCGCCTTCTGGCGCTCGAGGAGGCGGCCGCGGCGCCCGCGCGCGACGGCCCGGCCAGCGAGGCCGCGCTGCAGCTGCTGTGCCGCGCCGACGCCGGCCCGCTCTGCGCCGCCTGCCGTATGGCTGCGGGCCCCGAGCCGCCCGAGTGGGAACCGCGCTGGAGGAAGGCGCTGCGCGGCAAGGTGCGCGCCGCGGGGTCCCGTGCCCCACCCCGGACGGTGCCCTGCGCCTCTCCGCCCCCGCCCCGGTCCCCCTGAGCCCTGGGCCCTTCCCGTCTCCACTGTTCCTGTCCCCGGATTGTCCCCGTCCCCGGATTGTCCCCCTCCCCTCACCGCCACGGGTCCCCTCTCCAGCGTGTGCTGGGCCCCTCCCTCCTGCGGCTTGCCTCCCCATATTTCCTGCGTCTCTTCGGAGTCTGGTCCCCTTCCCCGTCTTGGTGTCCCCTGCTGGGCGGTGCCTTATCTCCCCACCCCCTACCTTCTACGAAGTCCTTCCCCCACCAGCGCCCATCTTTGTGGTCCCATCACTAGCTGTGCCCTGTCTCGCCCTCATAGACCCCCTCTAGTTCCTACAGATTGACTCCTCCACTCACTCTTCCCTTGGGGGAGACATCACGCCTCTTGCCCCTCTGTATTCCACTGTGTCCACAGGCCTGGCCCACCTTCTCGTCTGCTCCCCGGGCCACCCAGCCCTCGCCTGCACCCCCTGTCCCCTCTCCCATCTTTCAGAAACCCGCTCTGAGAGTCTGGCAGCAGCGGGTCCGGGAGTCTGGAGCCTTGCCCATGGCGGGTTGGTTGTGGGACACAGAATAGGAGACAACAGCCAGCCTGGGGTCCTGCTCTTCAATACAGGGGAGGGGAAGCCAGCCAGACTGTGTCCCTGGGTGCTCCTCCTGCATTGGGGGTCCTGCCACCGGGCAGAGCGACCCCCATCCGGCTCAGGCAGGGCAGGGTGTAGGGCAGGCTGTGCAGACCTTTGGTACAGGCCGAACTCACACTGAACAGGGCCACTTACAGACACAGAACTCCTAAACCCACCTAGACAGTCCCCTTAGCCCCAGCACCCAGATCCTTCTGAATAGGTGTGAAGCCCAAGAAACCTTTTGACTGCCTGTGCGTTCCTGCCCTAGACAACCGGGCTTCGAGGTTATCTCTGGGATGGTCAGACTGTGTGCAGTCAGCTGGGGTGATGTCCCTCAGTACTGGGCTGGGTTGGGGGACCCAGAGCTTCTGCCCACCCCTGGTGACCTTCTTTTCTTTACAGGAGAACAAGGGGTCTGTGGAAATCATGAGAAAGGACTTGAATGACGCCCGGGACCTGCATGGCCAGGCAGAGTCAGCAGCTGCAGTGTGGAAGGCAAGTGGGGGGACCTGGGGCAGCCTGGAATGAGGGGACTGTGGGCTCAGGGCTCTAGACAAAGGGACCACCAGGCCAAGTGGGCCAGGCCTCTGAACTGCTCAGCTGGTTGGTTGGAGGAGGGGCCTCTGGACTTAAGTGAGCTTCAGGGTATTTTTTTTAGGATGTGTTTGTATTTCTCAAATAGAATCTAGCCAAAGCCAGTGGAAGCCTCTTTTTCTCCTCACATTTTACCTGTAGGTGATGGCAGCATCAGACTTCTTTTTTTTTTCCCAAGAGACAGAGTCTCACTTCATTACCCAGGCTGAAGTGCAATGGCATGATTGTAGCTCACTGCAGCTCGAACTGGCCTCAGGCGATCCTCCCACCTCAGCCTCTGGGACTATAGGCACGTGCTACCACACCTGGTTAATTTTAAAATGCTTTTCTAGAGGTGGGGGTCTTGCTGTGTTGCCCAGGCTGGTCTCAAACTCCTGACCTTAAGCGGTTCTCCCGCCTTGGCCTCCCAAAGTGCTATTTTTTTTTTCTTTTTTAGAACACATCTGTAATTTTCTGTGGTCCTCTTGTTCTGATCTGAGAGTTGCTCATTATTTTTTAGAGGCTAGAAGTCCAAGATGAAGGAACTGGCAGATTCCCTGTCTGGTGAGGGCGTTTCCTGGTTCATAGATGGTGTCTTCTCACTGTGTCCTCACATGGTGGAAGAAGTGAGGGTGTCTCTGGGGCCTTTGTGTAAGGACACTGATTCCGTTCTTGAGAGTTCCACCCTCACAACCTCATCACCTCCCAAGGGTCCTGCCTCCTAACGCCATCACCTGAGGGATGAGGATTTCAGCATGGGGATTTGGGGAGGACACAGACATTCAGACCAGAGCAGCGTTACTTTCCTTGGGTGCCTTCCACAGTATTATATCCCAAGGGGACATCCCATAGATTCTTTTAGGTTACTCACCAGTAAAGCTCTTTAGTCGTTTAAACTCTATTTGGTGACTTTTTCCTCGTGTAGTAAAAACCTGTGTGCCATTTTCTCTGCGTTTCATAAATTCCTATCTCCTTCTTTTAACCTGAAAGACAGAGTGCTTTTCACAGGTGCAGCAGCTCTTGGGTAACTGGCTGCATCTCGAGGCTGAGGCCCACGTTTTTACCCCAGCTTGAGGCTGAGGTGGGCTCTGTGCTCCTGGTGCTGCCAAGCCCTTGCCTGCTATCCACAGGCCTGAGGTGCAGGCCTCCCTCAGACAGTGACGGGTTACACATGGGGTCCCTGATGCCACTCAGACCCCTGGCACTCCACACTGCCCTTGGGGCTGCTCTGAACTTCTCCTTGCCTTGTGAGTGGTCAACACTGCCCAGTGCAAGTGAGGCTGGAAGGCTTTGGGGACCTCCAAGTTTTCAGTAACCCTGTGTTACCCCAAGGGAATTGTTTTGCCCACAGATTTTAGCAGGTTGGAGCTTTCAATCTGTCCTGTTTTGGGGGTTTGTGGCTTAGATGCTGGGATGAGAGAAGCCACCTAAATCCAAAGGAAGGAGTTTGCAGCGTGTTGCATCAGCCAGCCAGCAGACACCCAGCTGTCATTTGCATTCTCAGCAACAAAAGCCTTGGCCCCTCATGACTATGGGTGTCACCTGCCCTGTGTGGCCCAGGGCCAGGTGGAAGCCATCCATGACTGAGTAAAATCAGAGTAGCATCCTGCTCTGCTCTCCTGTTTGCAAGGTTAGGAGTTGGCTGAAAACCAGCTGAAGAGTGGCAAGTGTGAATGCTGTTTGTTGAAGGCTGATGGGATGGTTTTCAGCCATTGGAGTTCTGGTGTGGGCACAGCAGGGACAGTTGCTGGCAAGATGGGTGTGTGTCCTGCCCTGACAGTCACGTGCCTGACAGGCTCTAGACCTAGCAGGGCCACTCAAGGATTTACTGTCCCCTTGGCCATGGGAGATGGGAGAGGGACAGTCTTCCTGTGCAGCTGAGCACTGCAGTGTAGGGGAGAAAGAACTCTATTTCTCCCCTTTTAGGGCCCCAGGCTGGGCGGGAGAATTAAACTGACATAAGCTAAACTAACAGGGTCAGGTGCAGTGGTTCATGCCTGTAATCCCAGCAACTTGGGAGGCTGAGGTGTAGGAGGATTGCTTGAGGCTAGGAGTTCGAGACCAGCCTGGGTAACATAGTGAGACCACCATCTGTACAAAAATTAATAAATTAGCCAGGTATGGTGTTGCATCTGTGGTCCCAGCTACTTGGGAGGCTGAGGTGGGAGGATCACTTAAGCCCAAGAGGTTGAGGCTGCAGTGAACTGTGATGGCACCACTGCACTCCAACATGGGTGACAGAGTGAGGCCCTATCTCAAAAAAAAAAAAAAAAAAAAAATAAAGGGAGATGGGTTAATGGGAGAAAAAACATAGGATTTTTTTTTTTTGAGATGGAGTCTTGCTCTGTTGCCCAGGCTGGAGTGCAGTGGTGCGATCTTGCCTCACTGCATCCTCCACCTCCTTGGTTCAAGTGGTTCTCCTGCCTCAGCCTCCCGAGTAACTGCGACTACAGGTGTGCACCACCACGCCTGGCTAATCTTGTATTTTTAGTGGAGATGGGGTTTCACCATGTTGGCCAGGCTGGTCTTGAACTCCTGACCTCAAGTGATCCAACCACCTCGGCCTCCCAAAGTGCTGGGATTACAGGTGTGAGCCACCGTGTCCAGCCAGGCATATTAATTTAACACAAGTTTTATACAGCACAGGCTCCCTTATAATGAAATGAAGACTCAAAGTGGCAAAATTAAATCACTTATATACTGACTTGGACAAAGACTAGCCACTTGTAAAAAAGCAACTACATGATGTGGGGATGCTTGAAAGAGTTGTTTTCACAAGGTCTGTACCAAATTCTGTCGGCCTTGACTTCCTGTCGTCCTTGATGATAAAATCATTTTATTTGATATGGGGAGGGCGTCTTTCACTTGGGAATTTCATTTGCTTTTAAGAAGCAGAATGGAGGTCAGGGTGATCTTGCACTGTTTTTTGATTTTTTTTAAAAAAGGCCTTGCTCTGTTGGCCCAGGCTGGAGTGCAGTGGTATGGTCATAGCTCACTGCAGCCTCAAACTCCTGGGCTCAAGCGATCGTCTTACCTCAGCCTCCCGAGTTGCTGGGACCATAGGTGTGCACCACTATGCCTGGCTAATGTTTTTGATTTTTAGTAGAGACAGGTTTTCACTGTTGCCCAGGCTAGTCTCGAACTCCTGGGCTCAAGCAATCCTCCCACCTCAGCCTCCCAAAGTACTGTGATTACAGGCATGAGGCACCGTGCCAGGCCTCTTCTGTTATTGTTTTTTTTTTTGTTTTTTGTTTTTTTTTGGCTCACCGCAACCTCTGCCTCCCAGGTTCAAGCGATTCTCCTGCTTCAGCCTCCCAAGTAGCTGGGACTACAGGCGTGCGCCACCACGCCCAGCTAATTTTTATATTTGTAGTAGAGATGGGGTTTCAGCAGGTTGGCCAGGATGGTCTTAATCTCCGGACCTCATGTTCTGTCTGCCTCAGCCTCCCAAAGTGCTGGGATTATAGGCGTGAGCCCCCGTGCCTGGCTTTTTTTTTTTTTTTTTTTTTTTTTGAGATGGAGTCTCGCTCTGTCGCCCAGGCTGGAGTGCAGTAGCATGAACTCGGGCTCACTGCAACCTCCGCCTCCTGGATTCAAGTGATTCACCTGCCTCAGCCTCCCGATTAGCTGGGATTACAGGCGTGCCACCACGCCTGGCTCATTTTTGTATTTTTAGTAGAGACGGGGTTTCACCATGTTGGTCAGGCTGGTCTTGAACTCCTGACCTCATGATCCGCCCGCCTTGGCCTCCTGGAGTGCTGGGATTACAAGCGTGAGCCACTGTGCCTGGCCTAATAGTCGATGTGCCTGAGCAGCATGTTTTGGAGTGGCATGTTCTTAACTCCTTCAAGAGCAAACAGGTTCCCCTTCCCCTGGGGAGGGTGGGTGAGGACACAGGTCTTTTCCTGCCACCCGTTTGCAGGGACACGTGATGGACCGTAGGAAGAAGGCACTGACCGACTACAAGAAGCTGCGGGCCTTCTTTGTGGAGGAGGAGGAGCATTTCCTGCAGGAGGCTGAGAAGGAGGAGGGGCTCCCTGAGGACGAGCTGGCTGACCCCACTGAGCGGTTCAGGTCACTGCTGCAGGCGGTCTCGGAGCTGGAGAAGAAGCATCGCAACCTGGGCCTCAGCATGCTGCTGCAGGTGCGGGAGCCCCGCTGGGTCTGCCCACCATCGGGCCAGGGTGGACGCAGGCAGCAGCGAGCCATTGGGGGACCATTGCCCGAAGTCAAGGCTTAAAAGCCCAGCCTGACTCCCACTGCCGTGGCCTTGCAGGGCTGAATTTCGGGAATGGGTGGGTGGTCAGGGAAGGTGATGGGAAGGGGTTTTAAGTTGAGGAGGGTCTGAGGTGTCCCTGACCTTCACAAAGGAGGGCACTTGGCATCCCGAGTGCCCGAGCATGGAAGGCTCCTGCCTCGCCCTGGGGTCCTGAAGGCAGAAGCAGCCAAGAAACCCAACCTCAGGGCTTTTCTTCTGCCTCTGCCCAGGGCCTGGCCTGAACCCCAGACCCTGCAGCAACCCAGATGGCCCTGAACGGTTCAGTTGCCCGTGCCAGCCATAGGTGACAAGGCTTTGGCCCTGGGGAGACGGAAGTCTGGGCCAGGCCCTGGGTTTGTTGTGCTCAGGACAGTACCTCATGCGCTGTCTCATGTGCGCTCTCTCTTTCGCTCTCTCCTTTTGCCTCTGTCTCTGACTCTGTGTGTCTCTTTCTCTTTTTGTCTCTCTGTCTTTCCCTCTCCCCTCCCATGCAGTGATGGCGCCAACCCGTGGCAGTCCCAGAGCTGGAGGCAGGAGGATGGATCCTCATCTCCATGGGAAGTGTCAGCGTGTGGCTGCCAGGGAAGCGTGGCAGGCGCCTGGCCTTGGGTCCATCTACATAGTTGCGTGTTTCAACAATGTCCATTTATCCTTCACCCCGAGGCGTGTTTTGGGGGCTGCAAACACCTCCCGGTAGAGGCTGGACCTGAGGACCCTTCCCACCTGTGCCCGTCCCTTCCTGAAGTCCTAGCCACAGCCCATCCTCCATGAGTCCCGGCAGCTCTGGGTCATGCCCTTCCCTGGTCACCCATCTGCCCCTCACCTCGTCATCCAGGGACCCAGACCCTGCACCTTCCATGTGGGCCCACAGATCCTTGGCAGGTACCTGAGGTGCACCATTGAGTGTCGGATTTGGGGTTAGCATCCAGAAAGAAGAATGCGCATGACGCTCTGTGAAGGCTGGAACTCAGGTCTTCAGGGAGAGAAAGGAAGACTGGATTGCACCTTGATGCCTCCTGAGGAGGCGGCCCCCCTCTTGAGGTGGGCGTGGGCCCGGCCCAGCCTTATCCAAGTCGCTCTGTCCACCTCCCCCTTCCTGGCCCCCACCCCACTCCTGTGCCTCCCAGGAGCCCTCCCTGTGCTCCACCTGCCTCCGCAGAAGGAAGCCTCTTTCTCTGTTTCCCTGGGTGAGGGGGCTGGCAGGTGGCTAACCCCATTTAGCATCTCCAGGCCCTGCCATCGTGTCTCATCTTGCTGTTATCTCTAGCTCTTTCCCTCCTCCCATTTCCTTTAGTAGTTGAATTTTGCAAAGCTTGTAGCAGTAGCTCAGTTGCCTGCAGCATCCTTGTGTGTAGATAAATTAGTCGACAGAAACTCAGCACTGGGGACAGGATTGCAAAGTCGGGGACATAGATGCAGACAGTTGTTGAGATTTGGGGATAGCCGGGCTTGTGAGCGGTGCCCATTTCCAGATGAAGCCTTTCAGCCCTTCTGAGTCCCCGGCCCTTGGTGCGATGTCTGTGAGTTTGACCTGCCCAGCGTGTGGGCTGGCTCAATGCTGAATAAAGTGGGTTTGTGTCAGCTCGTTTGCTTCGTCTCCGTGTGTCCACCTGGCCTCTTCCCCCTGCCCTGGCCACCCTCCAGTGTCAAAGGAAACTTCCTCGTGACACGTGCTAAAGCATGGTGAGGAGGACTTTGATTGGGACCATTGAGATGGGTGTGGGACCCTTTCCTTGGGGCCTGGGGGGAGATGGGGCTCCACCCCGACGTAGCAGGGCAGGGGTTGGAGGAGCGAGGAGCAGTATAGGGTCCATGGGTGGGAATGACTGTGAGGAGACATCAGGGCTGAGGGGGCTCTGGCTAAACCCACCTCACAGAGTCCTTGCTGCAGGCAGGCAGGGCGATCAGACATTGGCTGCAAACGGTCAGAGAGGAACCCAGTCAGGTACCATTGAGGGTGGTCAGATATTATGGTTAACCAAATTAGGGTTCTTGCTAAAACTGGATTTCATAAGAAAGGGCAAAGAGGGCCCTAGGAGAAGATTCCAGAGCCTGGCCAGAGTTTGGCCAAGTAGAGAATCTTTGTCAGCACGCCAACAACATCCCGACCCTGAGACCTCCAGTTTGTCTTTCTCACTGTCTCCGCCTGCTGCAGTCTGCTGTCATCCCTGAGCATCCCTGCCCCTGCCCTGCACACCTGTGATGCTTGCCCGGACAGGTCCTGATGGCAGAGTCTCCCACAACATCAGTGTCTCCACATCACCAGGTCCGACAGTGGCTTCACCATCCTCACCTAACCTAGCTGACCAGCAACATCCCACCCTGTCAATCACAACCTCTTTCTATTTAAGAAAATTATATATTTATGGGGCACAGTGTGATGTTTTGATATCTATGTACATTGTGGAGTGACAGATTAATGTATCCATCTCATGTTTTTTTTGGTGGTGAGAATATTTGAAATCTACACTCAGCAATTTCAAATACAGTCATCCCTCTGTGCCTAAGGGGGATTGGTTCCAGGACCCCCTCATGGATACCAAAATCTGCAGATACTCAAGTACCCTGCAGTCAGCCCTCCCTCTGCACATATGTGGGACAGTCAGATACAGAGGGCCAACTGCGTACAGTACACGGTTATCAGCTGAAGTCACCATGCTGTGCAATAGACCTTGAGTTTATTCTTGTATAGCAGGGACTCTGTACCCTCTGACTAGAATTTCCCCAAATCCTCTTGTCTCAGCCCCTGCTAACCACCGTTCTACTCTCTAATTCTATAAATCAACATTTTGATTCCACATATAAGTGAGATCATGTGATATTTGTCCTGTTCCTGGCTTATTTCACTTAATATAAATGTCCTGTAAATTCACCCATGTTGCAAATGGCAGGGTTTCCTTTTTTATGGCCAAATAGTATTCCATGATGTGTATACACCACATTTTCTTAAGCCATTTATCCACTTTATCCCTTTATCACTTTGCTTCTAGACCACGTAGGTTGATTCCGTATCTTGACTGTTGTAAAAGTGCTCTTAAGAAACACAGGAGTGTGGGTATCTCTTCCATATATTCATGTCGTTTCCTTTGGGAAAATACTTAGCAGTAGGATTGCTGGGTCACGGTACTCTTTTTAAGTTTTTGAATAACCTCCATATGCTTCTCCATAATGGCTATAATAATTTACATACTCACCAACATTTATTTTCTTTGAAATTAGTCATTCTAAGAAGTGTGAGATAATCTCATTGTGATTTGGTTTACGTTTCCCTGATGATTAATGATGTTGAGCATTTTTTTATATACCTGTTGGCCATTGGTATGTCTTCTTTTGAGAAGTGTCTCTTCAGGTTCTTTGCTCATTTTTTAGTCGTTTATTTGCTTTCCTGCTATTGAGTTTGAGTTCCATGTATATTTTGGATATTAACCCCCTACTTAATGTATGGTTTGCAAATACTCTATCCCAATTTGTGAGTTGTCTTCACTCTGTTTATGATTTCCTTTGCTGTGCAGAAGCTTTTTAGCTCTATGCAATCATGTATGTTTATTTTTCTTTTGTTGCTTGTGCTTTTAGGGTCATATGCAAGAAGTGATACAACCCTGAAACCTAGGCCAGTGTCATGGAGTTTTTCACCTGTGTTTTCTTCTACTGGCTTTACAGTTTCAGGCCTTACAATTAAGCCCTTGTCTGTTTTGAATGGATTTTTGTGTAGGGACATTCCCTCCACAAGGGCTTTCTCTGGCCTTGCTGATGCTCCTCCGTCTCCCTTGTGTCCTCTCCACTCCACCCTCTTCATGTGGAAGAACCCTTGGCATCCTCGTGTGGCCTCTCTGTCCTATCCAGCCCCCCATGGTGACCTCACACTTGCCTCTCTGACGTGGGTCTCTCTCCCAAACCCTCTTCCAGGTCCAACCACTGCCTCCATCCCAGACTTGCCCAGGGGCCCAATCCCTGCAGTCCTCAGACATCTCAGAGCTGTCTCTGAGTTGTTTTCTCTAACAGTCCACAATAGGTCTGCAAAGGAATCCTGCAGGCTCTTCCTGTAGCCAAAGACCTTGACCTCATCTTACCTGCTCCCCGCCAGTCCCCCACCGTGGCCCACTGGCACTGTCCTCTTCTGCCCAGGAGACCTGGGGACCTCATCTCCTCCCGCTGCTCCAACAATGCATTCTCAACCCAGCAGGTAGATGGGTTTCTACTTTAAAATATGTAGGATGAACCAGTCTGGTGATCCGATGTACAACAGGAGGAATGTAGGTAATAAAATTGCACTGTTTTGGGAGTTCCTGCTAAATGACTAGACTTCAGCTGCTCTTGCCACAAAATCCTAAAAGTGGTTGACTCTGGGAGGTGATGGGAATGTTAATTGCTCCCCTGTAGTGACCATTTTGCTATCTGTTTGTACTTTGTAACATCACGTTGCATACCTTAAATATACACAATGAAATTTATTAAAACAATGAAAATAAAAACTAAGCAAGAGCCTGCCCCTGCTGTACTCAAGGCCCTGCAGCAACTCAGATTCATTCCGGGAAAGCTTCGCAGTGGCCTGGGAAGTGCTACATAATCCACCCCGAGCTCTTCCTCTCTCGTCACCACTGTGCCCCCTGCTCCCTGCAGACCCAGCATGATGGCCTCTCTGTTCTTCAGCAAGCCAGGTGGGCCCTGCCTCGGCCTCTGATCTCCAGGGAACATTTCTCCCCCATACCTGTGTGGCGGTTGCCCCTCTCCTTCAGGTCTGCTCCCACAGGGTGTTTTATAGAAATGGCTTGAAACAGACGCCCTTCCTCAGCCCTTGACCACGCAAGCTCTGAGGAGCCACTGGTGTCCCTGTGGCTTTGCTGCAACCAGATCTCTCTGGTCAAGGGCAGCCCTAGGCAGGAGGATCTCCGAGGCTGGCTGTGGGTGACATGTGGAAGGAAACTGAGGCCAGGCACTGCATAGAAAAGCAACAGTTTGTTTGCTGGAAGGTAGGGGACACATTCTCAAGACACTGATGTATTTGTCCAGTAGCTCAATACTTTTTTCTCAACTCTTATTTTCAGAGCTTTGTGGGAAAGCCGTGGATAGTTGGGACCCAAAGGTCGTTTTCAGTTTCAGGATCCTGTGGCCAAAGAGAGGAGATAAAAATGCTTGGGGCCATTTTACCTTCTACATTACCTAACTGAGTAGCTATTATTTCATGAGGTTGACAGCAGCAAAATATAAGGAGATGCTTAAACTATTTAGTAACTGGAGAATCATAATTAAAACCATAATGAGATACTGCTTTAGCTCGGGGTGGGTTGGGGCGGGGGTGGTTCGGGCGGGTGGTGGGAACTGCAGCACTAGGTGATGTTGAAGTCTGAGTGATGATGGCACATTAGGTGAGCCCAGAGGTGCTGTGAGGAGTGTAGAATAAGGCCGCTGCTTTGGAGTGCAGTCTGGGGTCAAACTAAAAGGCATACCTTGGAGAAACCATGGGTTTGCTTCTAGACCATTGCAATACAGCAAATACTGCAATAAAGCAAGTCCCATGAAATGTTTGGTTTCCAAGTGCATATAAAATGCTTTTATAGGCTGTAATGTAGTCTACTAAGTATGCAGTAGCATTATGTCTAAAAAAGCCAATGTATGTACCTTAATTTTAAAATACTTTGTTGCTAAAAAATGCTAATGATCATCTGAGTGTTCAGTGAATTGCCATCTTTTTGCTGGGGGAGGGTCTTGCCTCAATGTTGGTGGCTGCTGACTAATTAGGGTGGTGGCTGCTGGAGTTTGGGGTTGCTGTGGCAATTTCTTAAAATAAGACAATGAAGTTTGTCACATCAATTGACTTCCATTCAAAAGACTTCTCTGTAGCATGTGTTGCTGTTTGATAGCAGTTTACCCACATAACATCTTTAAAAATTAGAGTCACTCTTCTCAAACCCTGCCACTGCTTTATCAACTAAGTTGATGTCAATTCTAAATCCTTTGTTGTCATTTCAACCGTGTGCACAGCATCTTCACCAGAAGTAGATTCCATCTCAAGAAAACACTTCCTTTGTTCATCCATAAGAAGCAACTTGTCATCCATTCATGTTTTCTCATGAGACTGCAGCAATTCAGTCCCATCTCCAGGCTCCACTTCCAATTCTCGTTCTCTTGCTGTTTCCACCACATCTGCAGTGACTTCCTCCCCTGAAGTCCGGGATCGCTCAGAGTCATCCATGAGGGCTGGAATCAACATCTTCCAAACTCCTGTTCATGTTGCTGTTTTGACCTCCTCCCATGAATCATGAATGTTCTTAAGGCATCTAGAATGGTGAATCCTTTCCAGCAGGTTTTTAAAAATTTTCTCCCAGATCCATCAGAGGAATCATTGTCTAAGGCAGCTGTAGCCTTATGAAATGTCTTAAATAATAAGACTTGAAAGTTAATTATGGAAGTTAACTTGAAAGTTAATAAGACTTGAATGTTGTGTTAATGGCTATTTTAATATTTTAATGGACTTAAAATAGTAAACCATGCAGTAAACAGATGTGCTGTCATGTAGGCTTTGTTGTTTCATTTATACAGCACAGGTAGAGTAGATTGAACATAATTCCTAAGGGCCTTAGAATTGTTGTAATTGGTGAATGAGCATTGGCTTTAATTTGAAGTCGCTAGCTGCATGAGCCCCTAACAAGAGAGTCACCCTGTCCTTTGAAGCTTTGGAGCCAGGCATTGGCTTCTTTCTAGCTATGAGAGTTCTGGATGGCATCTGCTTCTAATAGAAGGCTGTTTTGTGTGCATTGAAAATCCGTTGTTAGTGTGGCCCCCTTCATCAGTGATCTTAGCTGGATCTGCTGGAGAACTTGCTGCAGCGCCTTCATCAGCTCTTGCTGCTTCTCCTTGCATTTTTATGTTACAGTGATGGCTTCTTTTTTTAAACCGCATGAACCAACCCCCGCCAGCTTCAAGCTTTTCTTCTGCAGCTTCCTCGCTTCTCTCAACCTTCATAGAATTGAAGAGAGGATCTTGCTCTGGATTAGGCTTTGGATTAAGGAAATGTTGTGGCTGGTTTGATTTTCTATTCAGACCGTGCACACTTTCTGCATATCTGCAATAAGACTTTCGCTTTTTTATCATTCGTGTGTTCACTGGAGTACTTTCAGTTTCCTTCAAGAACTTCTCCTTTGCATTCACAGCTTGGCTGACTTTGGCACAAGTAGCATCTTTCTGCTTTGGATGTGCCTTCCTCACTAAGATTGATCATCTCTAGCCTTTGCCTTAAAGTGAGAGGTGTGTGACTCTTCCTTTCACTTCAACACTTAGGGGCCATTATAGGGTCATTAATTGGCCCAATTTCAGTATTGTTGTGTGCCAGGGGATAGGGAGGCCTGGGGGGAGAGAGAGAGGCAGGGGAATGGCTGGTCTGGCGAGCAGTGAGGATGTACATGCCATTTTTCCATTAAGTTTGCTGCCTTGTATGGACGCAGTTCTTGGCATCCCTAAAGAATTTCAACGGTAACATGAAAGATCCCTGATCACAGATCACCAGAACAAAAGGAACAATAACAAAAAAGCTTGAAATATTGCAGGAGTTACCAAAATGAGACACAGACACCAAGTGAGCACATGCTGCTGCGAAAATGCCACAGGTCAGCTTGCTCAACGCATGGTTGCCACCCACCTTCAATTTTTAACAAATGCAGTATGCGAAGCGCAGTAACATGAGGTATAGGCTGTATATGAAAGGCAGTTAGACCAACCGGACGCTAGGGGGAGCCAGTCCCCAACACCGGGCTTGTTTCTCACACCAGCGGCATGTCTGTCGGGTGAGTTGTTCCCAAAACCACCTCCGGTTCTATAACTCACTAGAAAAGCCCCCAGAACCCACTGAAAGCTGCTACGCTTTCCGTTACAGTTTATTATGGGGAACGGAGACAACTTTAAGTCAGCCAAGGGAGGAAACCCATGGGGGAGTCCGGGAGAGGTAACAGAGCTTCGACTGTCCTGTCCCCGTGGTGTCTGGGCTGTGCTACCTTCCGGGCACCCTGTGTGACTGCACGGGGAGTTCTGCCAACCAGGGACACTGCCCAGCCTTAGAATCCTGGGTCTCTTCTGGCATCCAGCACCTAGGGATAGCTGACTTCCCACATGGCCAGTCTTAGTCTCCAGCCTCAGAGGAAGTCGAACTGCAGGACTCAAAGGGCCCCTACCGCACATCACATTGCTGCCGCTGGACTTGGCTCAGGGACTCCCGCCCCCATGTCACAGTGTTCTCTTCAGTGCAGCCAACCTACCCTAAACCACATTATGGGACTGTCCAGTGTGACCCAAGGCCACCAGGCAAACAAAGACCCTCCTGTCAGGCATGGCATCCCAAGGGCTTTGAGGTCACTTCCCAGCAGCAGAGTGCAAGGGCAGGGGGGTGTTCTTGGGAACAGCTCAGTTGTGGACTATGCAGTTTGCATGCCCACACTGTGGTCTGAAGGTGTCCCACCCTCCACATTAGTACGTTGAAATCCTCACCTTCAAGATGATGGTGTTATGACATGGAGCATTTGGAGGTGATGAGTTCATGAATGGGATTACTGCCCTTATAAAAGGGACCCCAGAGAACTCCCTCATCTCTTACACCATGTGAGGACTCAGTGAGAAGGTGCTGTCTATGAACAAGGAATTGACCTCACCAGCCACTGGATATGCTGGTGGCTTGATCTTGGACTTCCGGCCTCCAGAGCTGTGAGCAGCACACTTTGGTGGTTTCTAAGCTGCCCAGGCTGTCCACATGGACTGGGATACTATGTATTGCATCAGTTCCACCCCTGGGCTGTTATGCCAAAGAGATGCCCACAGGGTTCCATGAGGGCACAGGCATGGGATGGTTACAGAGCCATTGGTTGCTGTGGTGACAGGTCCTCACTGCTGAGGATGTGGAAAGGTGAATATGGTGGAGGCCTCAGTGGTAACTGAACTGAGTAAAAATTGTTCTGCTACAAGGGCCTGCACATGGGGTGCCCTTGACAAGAGATGTGCACATGGGATTTGCACATGGTGGTGCCCTAGGTTGTGTGTATGTGTGCATGGATCAGAGAACTCCAGGAAGAGCCCATTTTGCTGACGATTGATTCCTAAATGCAAATGCAACTTCTTCCAAGATGCAACGTGCAGAAGAGTGGGGGCAGGGCAACAGGCTATTGCCATTCCTGAGAACCGGGCTTACCTTTTTGGAAACCTGTGGATAGACTGCCCATCCAATTGCTGTTGGTGGTAGGATGTCCCCAAGTCTCGTTCTGCTGCAGGAGAGTGGGGTCACTGAACACAGAGCTATCTACAGCTGCAGAGGCTGTCTGGCAAGCACAGGGCTGTGGATACTGCACCCACCAATGGGCTGAAGGACTTTGCAGCTCAGGAGCCTCATTGGCTGTGCCAGAGTGCGGTTTGTCTAATCTATATCCCGCCCTTTCCCCTGTAAATTTTGAGCCCTCAAAATCATCTTTAGAGAAAGGCATAGACCTGTCTCCTAGGCTCATCCTTAACTTTGGCAAATACATTTTCTAAGGTGATTGAGACTTGTCTCGTCATTTTCCCCTATTGACAGGTCCCTCTCATAAGGAAACTAATCCCATTTGTGAGGCTCCACTTTCATGACCCAGTCACCTCCCAAAGGCCCCACCTCCTAATACCATCACCTTGGGGGTAAAGATTTCAATATATAAATTTGGAGAGTGGGACACAAACATTCAGATTGTAACCCCAGTGACTGGATTTAGGGCCCACCTGAAATCCAGGATTATCTCAATCCAAGATTCCTAATCAAGTCTGCAAACAGGAAGTCCTGTTTTTCAAATTGGATCACTTTTGTAAATTCACAGAAGTGTCATTTTGGAGGGTTACCATTTAGTCCTCTCTGCGGGGTGTCTTAACTTCAATCCTCTTGGAGGCCATCTGTTGAGAAGTGTGTATGTGCGTCATATATCCATGTTATAGGTGAGGAGATGGAGGCTCAGGGACATTAAGCAGCCCCGCATCCCACAGCTAGAGGCTGCAAAGTCAGGACTGAAGCCCACTGGAGGACCCCTGTGCCCTTAAGAGAGATGTGGGGGTGGCGGCTGGACCGAGGAAGTGGATTAACTGCAGTAGATAGCGCAGTAGAGGTGAATGGAGCTACAGAGGCAGCTGGCTCCCTGCGAGCACTTTTGGGATGAGGGAACCTGCAGCCCTGGCTCCCGGGGTGGGCCATGTGCCACTGGGGTTGCCCTTTACTGTGTGATGCCATAGGCTACCTGGGGAGGTTCCTGGCCCCAACACCACCAAACGCTCCCCCTTCCTTTTCTCTGGATTTTATTTTTGCTTTACATATATTTTTAATTAACACGTAATAATTGTATATATTTGTGAGGTTTTGTTTCTGTAATTCCTTCCTTCCTGTCTGGTGCATAGGGAGGTGCCCCATAAATGTCTTCAGTGAGGGAATGACTGCATCGCCCCACGCTCTGCTCATCCTAGCAGGTGATGGGGTCTTTCTCCCCACCCCTCAGAGCAGGTTTTACACTTTCAGGTTTGAGGAAAAAGCATTTTGAGAATTGTTATGGGTTCCATTTTGTATCCCCTGCCCCCCAGTCATCTGTTGAAGTTCTAACCCCAGGACCTCAGAGTGTGACTCTAATAAGCCCCCCTTGTCCTTGGGGGATACATTCCATGACCCCCAGTGGATGCCTGAAACTGAGGATAGTACCCAATCCTACACAGCCTGTGCTTTTTCCCATACATACATAGCTATGGTAAAGTTTATACATTTGGCACAGTAAGAGATTAATAACAATAACTAATAATAAAATTAGTGGGGTGTGGTGGTGCCTGCCTGTAGTTTCATCTACTTGGGAGGTTGAGGCAGGAGGATCACTTGAGCCAAGGAGGTAGAGACCAGCCTGGGCAACAAAGTGAGATGTTGTGTGTAAAAAATATATAAAAATTTGAAAAAGGTAAATAAACTAGAATGATTATGATAATATACTGTAATAAAAGTTATGTGAATATGGTCTTTCTGTCCTGCAAAATATCTTAACAAAAATAACTACAGTGGACCATGGGTAACTGAAACTGTGGGTGAGGAGGACTATGATATTTGGAGATAGGGTCTTTTGAGAAGTAATTAAGGTTAAGTAAGTTTATTGGGGTGGGCCCTGATCCAGTAGGACTGGTATCCTTATAACAAGAGGAGATTAGGATGCAGAGACACCCAGAGGGAGGACCATGTGAGGACACTGGGAGGAGAGGACTATCTGGTAGCCATGGAGCGAGGCCTGAGGGTGAACCAATGCTGTCTACACCTTGATCTTGGACTTCCAGATCAAGGAAAGAAATAAATGCCTGTTGTCTGAGCCACTCAGTGTGCAGTGCTGTGTTAGGCAGCTCTAGGAAATGGATAGAAGAGCTGATTAAAAATGCACATTCCTGCCACTCCATGGAACTGACTTCCTAAGTCTGCACTGGGGCCCAGAAATCTGCAGGACAGGACCCTGCTCTAAGGTTCTTAGAATCCACACTGAGAAACACTAATTCCAGTTTAGTCTCACAACAGCAAAGAAGTGAGGAGAGAAGAGAGTTTCTCAAACTTCATTTCACTATGCCCCCCAGAAGGAGCCTTTTAAGACTTTTTTTTCCTCATTGTCACCACGACCCTGCAGCTTCCACAGCACAGGTACTGTGTATCTGTTTATGTGCCAGGTTCTTCAGAGGCTGCCAGCCACTGTGATGCCTTTAGCCCCTGAGAACGAATTCTCACCCCCTGGGGAGGCATGTCATTCCCAATGAGAATGCATAAAATAGAACAAGAATTGCTCTCCACTTTTTTTGTATGCATATGTACACATATGCACATGCACACACAGATGTCCATTGAGACATAGAACATTTCATTATACAGTTCACAAGGAAAGTGCTGCTTAAAAGAATCCCAACCAGAGCACAGAGAATGGGAAACTGTTATAGGATGGAGATGTGTCAGCCATGGAATTACACCTAGCAGAATGGCTGGCTGCAGATGGAACTGCAGGGGAAACTGGTGGATTTGGGGGTCCCAGAGTTGGGCCCCGAGCTAGTCTAATGCTTCTTAGGCCCTCCATCTGTGCAGGGGACCCTATTGCTCTTCTGCAAGCTTTCTGTGAGGTTAGAATGAAGGAGCAGTGGCCTTTGCATGTGCCCTCCAGAGGTCATTACTGCAGTTGTAATTTCATCCTTACGGGGTGAGATCCAGGCTGGATTTGGGGTTGGTCACTCACTATGCATCCTGAGGCAGTGAGTTCACTATGCATCCTGGGCAGTCTGGGGTGGGAGGTGGAGCCAAGATGGCCAAATAGGAACAGCTCCGGTCTACAGCTCCCAGCGTGAGCGACGCAGAAGACGGGTGATTTCTGCATTTCCATCTGAGGTACTGGGTTCATCTCACTAGGGAGTGCCAGACAGTGGGTGCAGGACAGTGGGTGCAGCACACCGTGCGCGAGCCAAAGCAGGGCGAGGGATTGCCTCACTCAGGAAGCACAAGCGGTCAGGGAGTTCCCTTTCCTAGTCAAAGAAAGGGGTGACAGACGGCACCTGGAAAATCGGGTCACTCCCACCCTAATACTGCGCTTTTCCAACAGGCTTAACAAACGGCACACGAGGAGATTATATCCCGCACCTGGCTCAGAGGGTCCTATGCCCACGGAGTCTCGCTGATTGCTAGCACAGCAGTCTGAGATCAAACTGCAAGGCAGCAGCGAGGCTGGGGGAGGGGCACCTGCCATTGCCCAGGCTTGATTAGGTAAACAAAGCAGCCTGGAAGCTCGAACTGGGTGGAGCCCACCACAGCTCAAGGAGGCCTGCCTGCCTCTGTAGGCTCCACCTCTCGGGGCAGGGCACAGACAAACAAAAAGACAGCAGTAACCTCTGCAGACTTAAGTGTCCCTGTCTGACAGCTTTGAAGAGAGTAGTGGTTCTCCCAGCACGCAGCTGGAGATCTGAGAACGGGCAGACTGCCTCCTCAAGTGGGTCCCTGACCCCCAAGTAGCCTAACTGGGAGGCACCCCCCAGTAGGGGCAGACTGACACCTCACACGGCTGGGTACTCCTCTGGGACAAAACATCCAGAGGAACCATCAGGCAGCAACACTTGCTGTTCACCAATATCCGCTGTTCTACAGCCACCACTGTTCTGCAGCCACCTCTGCTGACACCCAAGCAAACAGGGTCTGGAGTGGACCTCTAGCAAACTCCAACAGACCTGCAGCTGAGGGTCCTGTCTGTTGGAAGGAAAACTAACAAACAGAAAGGACATCCACACCAAAAACCCATCTGTACATCACCACCATCAAAGACCAAAAGTAGATAATACCACAAAGATGGAGGAAAAACAGAGCAGAAAAACTGGAAACTCCAAAAAGCAGAGTGCCTCTCCTCCTCCAAAGGAACGCAGCTTCTCACCAGCAACGGAACAAAGCTGGACAGAGAATGACTTTGACGAGGTGAGAGAAGAAGTCTCCAGACGATCAAACTACTCTGAGCTACAGGAGGAAATTCAAAACAATGGCAAAGAAGTTAAAAACTGTGAAAAAAAATTAGATGAATGTATAACTAGAATAACCAATGCAGGGAAGTCCTTAAAAGAGCTGATGGAGCTGAAAGCCAAGGCTCGAGAACTAAGTGAAGAATGCAGAAGCCTCAGGAGCCGATGCCATCAACTGGAAGAAAGGGTATCAGTGATGGAAGATGAAATGAATGAAATGAAGCAAGAAGGGAAGTTTAGAGAAAAAAGAATAAAAAGAAACGAACAAAGCCTCCAAGAAATATGGGACTATGTGAAAAGACCAAATCTACGTCTGATTGGTGTACCTGAAAGTGATGGGGAGAATGGAACCAAGTTGGAAAACACTCTACAGGATATTATCCAGGAGAACTTCCCCAACCTAGCAAGGCAGGCCAACATTCAGATTCAGGAAATACAGAGAACGCCACAAAGATACTCCTCGAGAACAGCAACTCCAAGACACATAATTGTCAGATTCACCAAAGTTGAAATGAAGGAAAAAATGTTAAGGGCAGCCAGAGAGAAAAGTCGGGTTACCCACAAAGGGAAGCCCATCAGACTAACAGCTGATCTCTCGGCAGAAACTCTACAAGCCAGAAGAGAGTGGGGGCCACTATTCAACATTCTTAAAGAAAAGAATTTTCCACCCAGAATTTCATATCCAGCCAAACTAAGCTTCATAAGTGAAGGAGAAATAAAATCCTTTACAGACAAGCAAATGCTGAGAGATTTCGTCTTTCTTTCTTTCTTTCTTTCTTTCTTTCTTTCTTTCTTTCTTTCTTTCTTTCTTCTTTCTTTCTTTCCTTCTTTCTTCTTTCATCTGTCTGACAGGATCTGGCTCTGTCACCCAGGCTGGAGTGCAGTAGCACAATCATGGCTCACTGTAGCCTTAAACTCCTGGGCTCGAGTGATTTTCCCACCTCAGCCTCCTGAGTAGCTGGGACAACAGGCACACACCACCATGCCTGGCTAATTTCTTTATTTTTATTTTTTTGTAGAGATGGGGTCTTGCTATATTGCCCAGGGTGTCCTCAAACTCCTGGCCTCAAGCAATTTTCCCGCCTCAGCCTCCCAAAATGCTGGATGACAGCTGCAAGCCACCACAAGCAACTCTGTCATAATGCAGTCTTTATAACCAGCTGAGCACAATCTCTACTCTCAAAATAGGGCTCTGAAGTCTAGGAACAAGTCCTCAGCTCCTGAAATGACAGAGGAGGAAGTGAGTGAAGTGAATGAATGAAGGACACAGTCAATATTGAGAATAATCACAGTGATTGCAACTGTAAACCCTCCCTGACGCGGCCTTGCTCTGAATGCTACTCTGTTGGTCTTTCAGGATGGTATCAGCACTCCCAGCAGACAGAGTGGCTCAGGGCTCACACCAGGTCCCTCAGCCCACACCCATCAGACTTGGGGTTCAAACTCAGATCTGTCTGTTTTCAAGACAGAGCCCAACCAGCCTGCCTGAAATCAGCCAGTGAAGACTTAATTGAGGGATTGCTAGGAGACAGATGGTCTCACTGGGTAGATCATAATCAGGCAATGCCAGAGGGAGGATCCCCACTGGCCACCCCATTCCTACTGTGTCTGAGGACACATGGACGAAGCCTCAGCTCAGGGCTTCGTGTTAGGGTCCTGGATTTGGGGTGGGGGGGCAGGATGTGCCTTGTCGGGGCTCCCTGCTCACCACGCCATGGCTCAGCCTTGTCGCTGCTGGTGGGCCGCCTCTGCTCCTTTTCTCTTCACTCCCTCTCTTCTTCCAGTGATGCTTTGTTCTTTTCCCTTTGACGTTTCCAGAAGATGCAGATGCCTCCAGCTATTACGAGTCCCATGGCAACAAGGATCAGAGGCAGAGCTGCTTTCCATGCCGTGAACTGGGAGCTTCTGGAGAAGGTAGCTGGAGAAGATTCCCAGAAGCCAGGAATATTGGGGTAAGAGAGTTTCTGTGTTCTGAGGTCAAACTTGCTAAAGAGTTCAGTAGTCCAGGGACATAATATTTGCAAATTACTGTGAAATAGTTTCCAAAATAGTATGTATTTGCACAGCTGGTCTATGGACCGAATGTCTGTGTCCCCCAAAGGGGTTGAAATCCCAACCCCTACGGTGATGATGTTAGGAGGTGAGGCCTTTGGGAAGTGATGAGGTCATGAGGGTGGAGCCCCTGTAACGGATATGATGGGAATGGTGCCCTTATAAAGGGGAGAGCCCAGAGAGCTCCCTCACCCCTTCCACCATGTGAGGACACAGTGAGAAGGCGCTGTCTATGAACCAGGAAGTGCCCTTGCCAGACACCAAATCTGCCACGCCTTGATCTTGGACTTCCCAGCTTACAAAACTGTGGGCAATAGCTATCTCTTGTTTCTAAGCCACCTGGTCTGTGGTATTTTGTTATAGGCACACAAATGGAGTAAGACAGTTGGGTTTAGACATATGCATAGGAAGTAGATATTAGATATCTATTTGTAGATAGACAAAGGGAGAAGTGATAAAAAGAAATATCGCAATAAGGTAAAAATATGGTGAATCTGAGTAAAGGGTGCACAGACAACTTTTCTATTAATCTTGCAAAGTTTCTGTAAGTTTGACATCATTTAGAAAAGTAAAAGTGAAAGTTTTTGTGAAAAGCTAAATTTGGAAACAACCAAGATATTTTTTAGTAGGTGAATGGATCAATAAACAGTGGTCCATCCAGATCCTGGAACGTTATTCATTTCACAAAAGAAACAAGTTATCAAGGCAGGAAAAGACATGGAGGAAACCTAAATGCGTACCACAAAGTGAGGGAAGTCAAAGTGAAGGGGCTACAGAGGCACCGTCCCAACTACAGGACATTCCAGAACACCTGGAAACTATGGAGACAGTGAAAACATCAGTGGTGGCCAGGAGTTAGGGGAGATGAATGAATGAGCGGAGCACGGAGGATTAAGGGCAGTGACATTATTTTGTATGATACTATGACAGATATGTGGCATTATATATTTATCTAGAACCATGGGACACCATGCCAAGAGTGAGCCCTCATGAAAACTGCACTCTGGGTGCTGACGGCATTGTCAACGGAAGTTCATCAAACATGGTGGACGTTCCTTCTGGTGTAGGGTTTTTATGCTGGGGGAAGGTGTGTGAGGGGGTTAGGGGAAGATGGGAACTCTCTGGACTTTCTACTAAAATTTGTTGTGACCCTAAAACTGCTTTAAAAAATAAAGCCTATTTTAAAAAACCCTAAAAACTGTTGATATTAGGATGTACATTTCTTGTTCCCCCAAAGGCAAGGCTCTCCCCAGGGTCCCTGCACCCTTATCTCTGTTCCTCTTCAGTAATCAGCACCCAAACAGTGCACCTCCTGGGATGCCCCAGCCATGTGAGGACAGGGACCTGCCACCCATCCCTGCTTGCCACAAACCCCACAGCTGTCTCTTAATGTCCCCAGTGTCCAGGGCCACGGAATCCTGTGCTCAGTGATTGTGAGGACAGAACTGAATAGAGGACTCACCGGGCAGGTGGCTCTCAGCCACCTTCCTCCTTTCAGGGAGGAGGGGGCTGGAGATGGAGCAGGAGAGACCCTCCACAGCCCTGTCCCAGAGCGTCAAGCTGGATGCCACAGCCCAGAGCCTGGTGGTGGCTGAGGCTGATAGATTGGTCACAGCAGGCCTAGCCTGGCCCCTGAAGTCTCTCCGTTCCACCCAGGACTTGGGGAAACAGCCTGCTGATGTGCACTCCGCCCTGACTCCATCCTGCTGGTCTGTCACCTGGATTCTGGGCTCTCTGCCCAGCCCTGAAGGAAGAGACAGCAGCTTGAATCTTTGCAGCCATGGCTGCTTCTATTTAAAGGAAAAACAAAATCTTGAGGATTTCCAATGTATTTTGGCAATTTCACAAACTGCCTACCCTGTGTTACACACCATCCCTAACAGAGTTCCCCATTTCCCAGACAAAAGAAGGGAAGCAAAGTGGAAAAGGTCCAGGAAGATTGAATAGGCATCCTGTGTTGCAGAAGTAGAATTCATGGCACAAGATGGGACCCAGGCTTGTCTGTTTCGAAGCACAAGTTCTGAGTCACTCGGGAAACCTCCCGTATCTGAAGACTCTCTTCTCTCTCTTGGCCTTTCTGTCTCCTGTCATTATTTCTCTGTCTCTCTCTTCCTCCCACTCTCTGTTGCTTACTGTCTTTCTCATTTTCTTTTACTGTCTCTCTGTCTCTGTCTCTATCTCCCTCTCTCTGTCACTGACTCTGTCTCTTTGTCTCTTTCATTCTCTCTGTGTTTCTCTCAGTTTCTCATTCTCTCTGTCTCTCTCCATCTCTGTCTCTCCTGTCTTTCATTCTCTGTCTCTGCCTGTCCCTCCCTCTCCATCTCTCTCTTTCCCCATCTCTATAATTCTGTCATTCTTTCTTCATCTCTCTCTGTCTTTCTCTCATCTCTCTGTCTTTCTCTCCATCTCTCTTTCCACCTCTGTCTGTCTCTCCCTGCTTCTTTCTCATTCTATCTCTTCTTCTCTGTGTCTCTCTCATTCCCCCCATCTCTCTCTTTCCCTTCCCTTCACTTTCCAGTCCACTGGTGTAAGGAGGGAAAGGAAGATGAGGAAGGTGGCTCTGCCTTCACCGCTGTGCTTCCCGGGAGCAGTGCAGGCCAGCACGGCAGCTGGGAGAGTGCACTCTCACCCTACTGAAAAGCCCTCCACCTGAACACGCTGGGCCCCAAGGCCATGCCTGGAAGTAGACTGACAGCCAGCTAGCCACCAGCCTTACCTGCCACCTGCACCTGCACAGTGGCCTCGCCGAACTTTACACCATCCTTGAAGCGGCAGCAGTATGTCCTGTTGTCAAAGGTGGTGACCCTGTGACTCCTCACCATGGCCTTGCCCCTGGCCACGTGGTCACTCATGAAGGTGGTCCTTCCTCTGTACTGCCACTTTTGCTCTCCATCCATGTCCATCCCTCTCTCATGCATGTGCACAGCTAGGGAGGGCTGGCACCTGTACCACCTCAGCTCCATGTCCTCGGCACTGATATTGGGGAACAGCTGGCACTGTAACTCCACGTGTCCCCCAGCCATAGCCAGAATAGGGGCATGAGGCCCAGTGACATCAAAGTCAGCTTTCCCTGGGGGAGGCAGATCAGAAAGGGCTGGGTTAGGCCATGTGTTGGGAGGCCAGGGCACTTCCCCCCTGCCCCTCCCTCTTCTTGGAAGCTTTGGGGACCTATTGAGCCCTGAGCTGCTGGGAGATGCTTCAGCTTCCCGCCATGCTGGACACACCCCCACCTATGCCAGGGCACCTGCCTCGACTTGCACAGGAGTCTGTCCCTCAGTTTTGACAGATGCTGGCCAGTGGGAGCTGCAGGAAGACCAAGGTGACAAAGCAGATGGACAGGAAGGCCTCTGGATCGCATGTCACTGCCATTCCTGCCAGGCCGGAGCCACGCACTGTCACTGGGAGAGGAGCCACCGCCAGGAAGCTAACAGGTGCAGAGGAAAAGTGCCATGGAAGAAAAAGAAGAAAAAGGTCATTTACTCTCACTCTCAAACAAGTTATTAATGCTATAAATGGAGACACAGCAAGCCTCATGTGCTCCTGTACCCATCTCCTTGCGGGTAACACACCTCTCACCCTAGTCTGTCTGCGGAATTCCACGAGGACATCCAGGAGGGAAGGGGTTTGATTTTCTAATTGCTCATAAAGAGCTGTAGCCCAGTCTCTAGCTGGTGACTGTCATGAAACTCCAGAATGCTGGGGGAGAAAACCCAGACTCGGATTAAGCAAATTCGAGGTCAGAACGACATCAAGGGATTCCCTTAATGTCCCTTGCTTTCCTGCTGTCCCCATGGGGACTTCTACAGTCAGGGGCTGGGGGCTGGGCCCAATCCTCAGAGCTCTTCAGCTGGGATGGGCAGGCCAAGACCCTCATGAGTCTCTTGTGAGCATTTCTTGTAACCTTGGTTTAGAGAGCAGGTGTTGGTAAAAAGTTCTGTGACCTTGGGCGGTTCTACCCAGCACAGCCATCCAGGTTGGGCATTTACGTGTGTGATTAGGGAGTTGTGTGGGCACAGGCTCTTGTCCTGTTTGGTTCTTGCATTGCAGGAAGGCCCTGTGGTCCTTCTGCCCTTGGGGATGGGGAGAGGGTGGAGGAAGCAGAGACACTGAAGAGCAAACCACATCCTGACCATAGACAATGCTCACCTGGCACCGAGAGCTGCTGCAGCTTCCCTGGGAAGTCCTGGCAACTTTGGGGGAATGAATTTAGTTTCCTGCCAACTCCAGGTAGGGTGTGACCCAGACCAACCACGCTGTCTCCAAGCAGTGATGTGAAAGGCAACCTAGACATCTGGCAAAAGCCGCCAAGTCCCCCAGTTTCCAGAGATTCTTCCTTTTGTTTTTTGCAAAAATATGTAACTGTACCTTTCTGGCAGTTGCAGCAGAAAAAAAAAAAAAGGCTTCCTGAAGAGTGTGATCCCCAGTGTGGAACACCCCAGGGCTGGGGAGCAGGAGATAGAGCCCGCCGGGAGGAGACGGGTCTCAGGGTGGGACCCAGGCCAGCTGAAGGAGCTGCAAATGCAGATAAAGCCTGTGGTTATCTGGCAGCGTGCAGGCCCAGCCTAGCTGGCCCAGGTCCTTCAGGAAAGGTGTTTATGATCATGTCGCAATGTCCTAATTCCTGTATTGTCCCAGAGGGACGTTCAGGGCTCCTCTTCCCCAGCCCTTCGCTGCCCTCCGTGGCTGTGGGGTCATGGGTGTCTGTTCTCACTGGTAGCATCCCTGGCCCAGCTTAGAACCTTCATGCTGATTTCTCGCACCCAGCCGCAAGGCCTATTCCCTCCTCACCTTCTTGTTTGATGATTCAAAAGTCTGGGCCTTTTCCTGGGTGGTTTTTGTGAGAAAGGAGTCCTTGCTTTCCTAGAGGGAGGAGCTTTATCCAAACTCTGCAGACGGGCTGAGCACTCCCTGTGCCTGCGGGCGGTGAGGAAATCCAAGTGCCAGGTCCCTCCTATGTCCCTCCTTGGGGGAGCGTCTCTTTGGTCAACCGGTTGTTCCCCCTTTTATATGTCAACACGTAAGAATTATGTCGTCCTGTGATCTGCTTTTACCAGACAATGACGTGACCTAAAACTCGACTCACTTGTCCTTTTTAAAAAAATAATTGACCAGACGCGGTGGCTCACACCTGTAATCCCAGTACTTTGGTAGGCTGAGGCAGGCAGATTGCCTGAGGTCAGGAGTTCAAGACCAGTCTGGCCAACGTGGTGGAAACCCATCTGTACTAAAAATACAAAAAAATTAGCCCAGCATGGTGGCCTGTGCCTGTAATCCCAGCTACTTGGGAGGCTGAGGCAGGGGAATTGCTTGAACCAGGGAGGTGGAGGTTGCAGTGAGCCAAGATCGTGCTACTGCACTCCAGCCTGGGTGACAGAGTGAGACTCTGCCTCAAAAAAACATTAATTAATATGTTGTTAAAGACAGGGTCTCACTCTGTCACCCAGGCTGGAGTACAGTGGTGTGATCTCAGCTCACTGCATCCTTGATCTCCCAGACTCAAGCAATCCTCCCATCTCAGCCTCCCAAGTAGCTGGGACCACAGGTGCACCATCATGCCTGGCTAAATTTTTGGTATTTTTTGTAGAGATAAAGTCGTGCTATGTTGCCCAGGCTTGTCTTGAACTCCTGGGCTTAAGCAATCCTCCCACTTCGGCTTATCAAAGTACCGTGGTTACTGGCATGAGCCACTGTGCTGCATCCAGTCACACTTGTCCTGATGACTTGGGAAGAAGGACTCAGGTTTGAACAATCTAGAGTGAGCCGCTACGATGTACAGAGCACACTGTGTTGAGAGCAGATTGTGATGCCTGTTGTCGGATGAAGAGTGTCACAAGCACTGGGAGAAGCTATGGCAGAGAAAGGTGTCCTGGCGGTGTGGGCTTTCAGCCCATGGGTAGGTCACCTGACACGGTGGTCCTTCTGTGCATGAGCCCATGTGTGGCCCAGAGTCTCTCATGTGGGCAGTCGGGGCTCCTGCAGACACATTCAGCTCAACCCACCTCAGGTACAATGTTTAAAGTTCAAAGGCAAGAAGAAGACAGGAGGTCACACACTGCACAATTCCATTCATATGAAATGATCAGACAGGTAAATACAGGGACAGAAAGAAAACTGTGGTTGTTGGGGCTGAGGAGATGGGGGAGGTGGAAATGGAGATGAGGAATAACTGTTTAATATTTTGGGGGTTTTATTTAGGGTGATGAAAATATTTTGGAATTAGATAGAGGTGGTGGTTGCAAAACATTGGGAATGTACTTAATGCCACCAAATGGTATGCTTTAAAATGGTCAATTTTATATTATGTAAATTTTATCTCAATTGATAAAAAAGAAAAACATTAAAAAAAGAAAAAGCAGAAAAAAAGAACAAAAACAACAGAGTGAGAGAGAGGAGAGAGAGAGAAAACAAACAAATAACAAAAAAAAGAGCTGCATATCCACCCTCTTGTGGATGGGATTATGGTTAAAAAACAAGAAAACCCCCAAATCTCAACTTTGTTAAAAATGGGATTGTCTGGCCTTTGGTGCCCTCTGCAGGAATGGATGTCAGTGCACCAGTCCCTCTTCCCAGTTTTCTTTTTCTTCTTTTCCTCAACTTTTATTTTAAATTCAGGGGTACATGTGCAGGTTTGTTACATGGATTTATTGCATGACACCACTGAGGTTTGGGATCTGAGTGATCCTATCACTCAGGTAGTGAGCATAGTACCCAATAAGTTAGTTTTTCAACCCTCTCCCTCTCCCTTTCTCTCTGCTCCAGTAGTCCCCAGGGTCTCTTGTTCTCATCCTTATGTCCATGCGTGCCCAACGTTTAGTTCCCACTTATAAGTGAGAACATGTAGCATTTGGTTTTCTGTTCCTGTATTAATTCACTTAGGATAATTGTCTCCAGCTGCATCCATGTTGCTGCAAAGGACATAATGTCACTTTTTTATGGCTGTGTTGTGTATATGTACCACATTTCTGTATGTACATATACACATGGTGTATATGTACCACATTTTCTGTATCCAGTCCCCCAATGACAGGCACCTAGGTTGATTCCATTTCTTTGCTATTGTGAATTGTGCTGCAATAAACATATGAGTGCATGTGTCTTTTTGGTAGAATGATTTCTTTTCCTTTGGTTATGTACCCAATAATGGCATTGCTGGGTCAAATGACAGTTCTACTTTTAGTTCTTTCAGAAACCTCTGAATTGCTTTCCATGGTAGCTTAACTAATACACTCCCACATGGTGTATAAATGTTGCCTTTTTCTGTACAAATTTGCCAACATCTGTTAATTTTTTCACTTTTTAGTAATAGCCATTCTGACTGGTGTGAGATAGTGTCTCATTGTGATTTTGATCTGCATTTCTGATGATTAGTGATGTTGAGCATTTTTTCACGTTTGTTGGCTGCATATATGTCTTCTTTTGAGACGTGTCTGTTCAAGTCCTTTGCCCATTTTTAAATGGAGTTGTTTTTAGCTTGTTGAATTGTTTAGGTTCCTTATAGATTCTGGATCTTAGCCCTTTGCTGATAGTTTGTGAGTATTTCATGAGTATTTGAGTTTGTGAATATTTTCTCCTGTTCTGCAGGTTGTCTGTTTACTCCATTGATGGCTGCTTTTGCTGTGCAGAAGCCCAGTTTCTCCTAAGATCCCCTAGAAGCCAGAGAGATTTTCTGTCGGAAGGAGTCCTCTTGTATTTCCCTCCCCCTCCATCTGTTCTGGGCCTGGGAGCCAGCTTTGCTCTCTGGGCCCTGAGCAGGCCAGTTTGTGTCCTCTTTTCTCAAAGCGCCTCTGAAAACAGCTCAACTGGTGTTTTCCCTGTAGACCCTCTCTCTGTCCTATAAATGGGACCAAACCCATAGGGGCAGTCTTGGAGGACAAATGACACTCTTCCTAATCTCTCCTTCTTCTCCCTATTCCCTGCACAAACTTTCTACTTTCCACAACCCCTGGGACTGTGTGCATAGGGATTCCGGATCCTCTAAGCATTTAAAACGATATTTACCCAAGTCATGGATGATATGTCTCACCTCACTCTTGGATGGTAAATTTGCTCCCTGAGGCTTTGCAATTTCTGTCTACACAGTGTCTAGTCCAGGCCCAAGTGGTACCTTGCAGCAAGCATACCCCGCTTCTGTTTTCCTAAGGCCTCCCACTCTTTAATGCAAACCATGTATTTTTTCTCAATATTATGTAAAGTGCTCTGTAAATGTAGCTGGAAGAGCCCCCTAACAAGCAGATCCGCCAAGCAGCCCCTCCAGCATGGACATTTAAGGATTGCCTTTGTGTCTTAGACTCTGGAGATAGTGTTAGTTGAATGACTACCAGGTGGGTGCAATGAAGACTAAAAGCCACAGGCTGGCCACTCTTGAGGAGACAGGACTCAGAAGGGGCACGCAAGGATGCTGGGGCCTTCAGGATGAGACGGAAGGTTCAGCAGAAGAGAAAGATAAAAGAAAAAGAAAAAGTGAGATGGGATACAGCAAGGGAAGAAGAAGAACTAAATTAAATGAAGTAAATGAAGTAGGGTCATTTTGTACACAGATTTGACGCAGATTATTTATTCATAAAAGTCTGTGTCAGGCATTCAGGTCCTTTGGAATGCATTAGTGAATCAAATGAACAAAAGTTCATTTTGTTGATATCAGGAGTTGATATCCTTCTTTCTCTAATGCCTCCTTCTCCTTTTCTTCTTCTCCACATTCTCATCTTCTTGCTACTCTCCATCCTGCTTCTCCTACCCTCCTCCTCCCACATTTTTCTTACATTATTCTTGTATTTCTCCTTTTTCTCTCTCATTTTCCCTTCCTTTTCCTCCTCCTTTTCTGCTTCTTCTTCATTATCATGATCTGCTTTGTGGTTGTCTTTTTACGCTCTCCCTCTTCTTTATTCTTCTTTGCCATCCTCATCTTGGCTATCTTTGTCATCACCTCATTCTCCTTCCCTTATCTCCTTCTCCTTCTCCTCCTCCTCTTCTTCCTTCTTCCCCTTCCCCTTCTTCCCTCCTCCTCCTCCTTCCCCTTCCCCTTCTTTCCTCCTCCTCTTTCTCCTCCTCCTCCTCCTCTTCTGAGATTTTACCAGAGCCAAACCTCGTTGCCTAAGGGAAATACCTAATTGTATTTAACTCTAAACTGCCTGACTTAATAATGGGGGTGAGGACTGAGAAAACCCATAAAAGTCATAGCCTAAGGAGACCAAGGCTTTCTACAAATAATGGCATACGTCAGCTCAGGAAAACACTTCCATTTCCACCACAAATCTGGAAAGTATTCCAGATTTTAAAGGACATACACACATAGCTCCCCAGACAGACACAAAATCACACAGCTATGTGTGTAGCTCCCCAGACAGACAAAAAATCACACAGCTATGTGTGTTATGTCCTTTAAAATCTGGAATACTGTTATTTCATTGTATCGTCTAATTTCTGTGGTAGTGCATCCCTGGGCATGTTGAATAGAAGTGGTGAGTGCAGACATCCTTGTCTTGTTTCTGATATTAGGGGGAAGGCATTCAGTCTCTCAGCATCAAGTACTTTGTTAGTTGTGGGGTTTTTATAGATGCCTCATAGCATCTCAAGGGAGGTCCTTTCCATTCCTAGTTTATTGAGTGTTTTCATCCTGAAGGGGTGCTGAAACTTGTCAAATGCTTTTTAAAAAATATTTTCTGGACCTGGCACAGTGGCTCACACCTGTAATCCCAGCACTTTGGGAAGCCGAGGCAAGTGGATCTCTTGAGCCCAGCTTGGCCAACATGGTGAAACCCTGTCTCTATAAAAAATACAAATAATTAGCTGGGCATGGTGGCATGCACCTGCAGTCCCCACTACTCGAAAAGCTGAGGTGGGATGATCACAGTAAGCTGTGATTACACTGCTGCACTCCAGCCTGGGTAACAGAGTGAGACGCTGTCTCAAAACAAAACAAAACAAAACAAAAATATGTTCTGGATATTAATACCTTACCAGACATATTATTTCCAAGTATTTTCTACAAGTGTGTGAGTAGCATTTTTACTCTATTAAAGGTGCCCCTGAGGGACAAAAGTTTTAAATTTTTATGAGATCAAATTTGTCCTTTTTTGGTTGGTGTTGACTGGGTTTGTGGTGTCATATGCAAGAAATCATTGCAAAATCCAAAGTTATGAAACTTCTGCCCTATATGTTCTTCTAAGGGTTGTTTAGTTTTAGCACTTTCTTTCAGGTCTTTGATCCATTTTGATTTCATTTTTGTATGTGGTGTAAGGAAACTGTCTAACTTCATACTTCTACAGCCCTATTTTTTTTTCAGATACTTCCTTTTCCACTGAGTGATCCTGGCACCATCTTGAAAATCATTTTATCATATATGTGAGGGCATCCATCTTGGCTTTCTATTCTACACATTGGTGTGTGTGTCTGTCTTTGTGCCAATATCACACTGTTTTGATTACTGAAACTTTCAGTAAGTTTTGAAATCAAGCACAGTGAGACTTCCAGCTTTGTTCTGCTTTTTCAATGGTTTTGGCTAATCAGAGTTTCTTGTTATTCCATATGAATTTTAGAATGGTACTTTCTTTTTTTTTTAAGTCTTTGGGATTTTGGTAGGAATTGTATTGAATTTGTATATCATTTGGGGTAATATTAACATCTTAACAGTATTAACTCTTCCAACCCATGAACAGGGGATGTGCACATACAGGTGGGTACACCCAGACAGACACATGAGCTCAGTAATCCTCAGAGATGGCACAAAGACACCAACAGATGTTCAGAAACACACAGCCCAGGCTGCCACGGTCACTACTGCCCTTCTTACCTTCCTTAGCAACAACCACCATCTGTCCACTGTGTGTTTTACTTGCATCTCTTGTTCCCTGTTTCCTACAATGTCACCTTCAAGTGGACAGGGTTATTTGTTCTGTTTTATTCACGGTAGCCCCTACTAGAAGGTCTGTTACACAGGAGGAGATTAATACTTGGTGAATCACTTGGGCTGAAACATAGACACACACACGTGCATGCGTGCGCTTGCACACACACACACACACACACACACACACAGATTTTAACAAACCTCATCATAGGTCCATAGCCACTTGATTTTCATAATGTTCTCAACTGCATGTCACGTGGCAGAGAGGTGTCTCCTGGATGATAAGCCAATACCAAAAGGTGAGTTTACCTAAATGAAAATGTAGACCCACACAAAAACCTGTACAGGGATGTGTACAGCAACATTATTCATACTTTTCAAAACTTGGCAGCAACCAAGAGGAAGAGGTATAATAAATTTAACAAAAGTACAAAACTTATAGTCTGAAACCCACAAACCTTGTTGAAAGGCATTGAAGATTTAAATGTTAGATCTCAAGAGCATAGATAAGTAGGCTTAATATTAAGAAGGCAACACTACCCAAAACAATCCACAGATTTCATACAATTCCTGTCAGTTAAGTACCTTGCAGAATTTAAAAAGTCAATGCTAAAACTCATATGGGAACAAAAAGGCCTCAGAATACCACAATGCTCTTGAAAAAGACCAAAAAAGGAAGACTCACACTTCAGTTTTAAAACTTGCCTCAAAGCAACAGTAATCTAGATTGTATACTAATGGCACAAGAAAAGTCCTTTATATCAATGAAAGACAACAGAGTCCAGGAAGAGTGAGGTGAGTATAATGGCAGAATGAGCTTCTCCAAACACCTCTCCTTGCAGAGAAACATGGAAAAACAAGCAGAATGGCCAGGAATAACTTTGTCAAAATTCTTGAATACTGTCAAAGGTTTTTTTTTTTTTTATACTTTAAGTTTTAGGGTACATGTGCACAACGTGCAGGTTAGTTACATATGTATACATGTGCCATGTTGGTGTGCTGCACCCATTAACTCGTCATTTAACATTAGATATATCTCCTAATGCTATCCCTCCCCCCTCCCCCCACCCCACAGCAGGCCCTGGTGTGTGATGTTCCCCTTCCTGTGTCCATGTGTTCTCATTGTTCAATTCCCACCTATGAGTGAGAACATGCGGTGTTTGGTTTTTTGTCCTTGCGATACTTTGCTGAGAATGATGGTTTCCAGCTTCATCCATGTCCCTACAAAGGACATGAACTCATCATTCTTTATGGCTGCATAGTATTCCATGGTGTATATGTGCCACATTTTCTTAATCCAGTCTATCATTGTTGGACATTTGGGTTGGTTCCAAGTCTTTGCTATTGTGAATAGTGCCACAATAAACATACGTGTGCATGTGTCTTTATAGCAGCATGTTTTATAATCCTTTGGGTATATACCCAGTAATGGGATGGCTGGGTAAAATGGTATTTCTGGTTCTAGATTCCTGAGGAATTGCCATACTGACTTCCACAATGGTTGAACTAGTTTACAGTCCCACCAACAGTGTAAAAGTGTTCCTATTTCTCCACATCCTCTCCAGCACCTGTTGTTTCCTGACTTTTTAATGATCGCCATTCTAACTGGTGTGAGATGATATCTCATTGTGGTTTTGATTTGCATTTCTCTGATGGCCAGTGATGATGAGCATTTTTTCATGTGTCTTTTGGCTGCATAAATGTCTTCTTTTGAGAAGCCTCTGTTCATATCCTTTGCCCACTTTTTGATGGGGTTGTTTGTTTTTTTCTTGTAAATTTGTTTGAGTTAATTGTAGATTCTGGATATTAGCCCTTTGTCAGATGAGTAGATTGCAAAAATTTTCTCCTATTCTACAGAATGGTTGCCTGTTCATTCTGATGGTAGTTTCTTTTGCTGTGCAGAAGCTCTTTAGTTTAATTAGATCCCATTTGTCAATTTTGGCTTTTGTTGCCATTGCTTTTGGTGTTTTAGACATGAAGTCCTTGCCCATGCCTATGTCCTGAATAGTATCGCCTAGGTTTTCTTCTAGGATTTTTATGGTTTTAGGTCTAACATTTAAGTCTTTAATCCATCTTGAATTAATTTTTGTATAAGGTGTAAGGAAGGGATCCAGTTTCAGCTTTCTACATATGGCTAGCCAGTTTTCCCAGCACCATTTATTAAATAGGGAATCCTTTTCCCATTTCTTGTTTTTGTCAGGTTTGTCAAAGATCAGATAGTTGTAGATATGTGGCATTATTTCTGAGGTCTCTATTCTGTTCCATTGGTCTATATCTCTGTTTTGGGACCAGTACCATGCTGTTTTGGTTACTGTAGCCTTGTAGTGTAGTTTGAAGTCAGGTAGAATGATGCCTCCAGCTTTGTTCTTTTGGCTTAGTATTGACTTGGCAATGCGGGCTCTTTTGTGGTTCCATATGAACTTAAGTAGTTTTTTCCGATTCTGTGAAGAAAGTCATTGGTAGCTTGATGGGGATGGCATTGAATCTATAAATTACTTTGGGCAGTATGGCCATTTTCATGATATTGATTCTTCCTACTCATGAGCATGGAATATTCTTCCATTTGTTTGTATCCTCTTTTATTTCATTGAGCAGTGGTTTGTAATTCTCCTTGAAGAGGTCCTTCACTTCCCTTGTAAGTTGGATTTCTAGGTATTTTATTCTCTTTGAAGCAATTGTGAATGGGAGTTCACTCATGATTTGGCTCTCTGTTTGTCTGTTACTGGTGTATAAGAATGCTTGTGATTTTTGCACATTGATTTTGTATCCTGAGACTTTGCTGAAGTTGCCTATCAGCTTAAGGAGATTTTGGGCTGAGACGATGGGGCTTTCTAGATATACAATCATGTCATCTGCAAACAGGGACAATTTGACTTCCTCTTTTCCTAATTGAATACCCTTTATTTCCTTCTCTTGCCTGATTGCCCTGGCCAGAACTTCCAACACTATGTTGAATAGGAGTGGTGAGAGAGGACATCCCTGTCTTGTGCCAGTTTTCAAAGGGAATGCTTCCAGTTTTTGCCCATTCAGTATGATATTGGCTATGGGTTTGTCATAGATAGCTCTTATTATTTTGAGATACATCCCATCAAGATCTAATTTATTGACTTTTTAGCATGAAGCATTGTTGAATTTTGTCAAAGACCTTTTCTGCATCTATTGAGATAATCATGTGGTTTTTGTCGTTGGTTCTGTTTATATGCTGGATTACATTTATTGATTTGCGTATGATGAACCAGCCTTGCATTCCAGGGATGAAACCCACTTGATCATGGTGGATAAGCTTTTTGATGTGCTGCTGGATTTGGTTTGCCAGTATTTTATTGAGGATTTTTGCATTGATGTTCATCAGGGATATTGGTCTGAAATTCTCTTTTTTTGTTGTGTCTCTGCCAGGCTTTGGTATCAGGATGATGGTGGCCTCATAAAATGAGTTAGGGAGGATTCCCTCTTTTTCTATTGATTAGAATACTTTCAAAAGGAATGGTACCAGCTCCTCCTTGTACCTCTGGTAGAATTCGGCTGTGAATCCATCTGGTCCTGGACTTTTTTTGATTGGTAAGCTATTAATTATTGCCTCAATTTCAGAGCCTGTTATTGGTCTATTCAGAGATTCAACTTATTCCTGGTTTAGTCTTGGGAGGGTGTATGTGTCGAGGAATTTATCCATTTCTTCTAGATTTTCTAGTTTATTTGCATAGAGGTGTTTACAGTATTCTCTGATGGTAGTTTGTATTTCTGTGGGATTGGTGGTGATATCCCCTTTATCATTTTTTATTGCATCTATTTGATTCTTCTCTCTTTTCTTTATTAATCTTGCTAGCAGTCTATCAATTTTGTTGATCTTTTAAAAAAAACCAGCTTCTGGATTCATTGATTTTTGAAGGGTTTTTTGTGTCTCTATTTCCTTCAGTTCTGCTCTGATCTTAGTTATTTCTCGCCTTCTGCTAGTTTTGAATGTGTTTGCTCTTGCTTCTCTAGTTCTTTTAATTGTGATGTTAGGGTGTCAAGTTTAGATCTTTCCTGCTTTCTCTTGTGGGCATTTAGTGCTATAAATTTCCCTCTACACACTGCTTTGAATGCATCCCAGAGATTCTGGTATGTTGTGTCTTTGTTCTCATTGGTTTCAAAGAACATCTTTATTTCTGCCTTAATTTCGTTATGTACCCAGTAGTCATTCAGGAGCAGGTTGTTCAGTTTCCATGTAGTTGAGTGGTTTTGAGTGAGTTTCTTAATCCTGAGTTCTAGTTTGATTGCACTGTGGTCTGACAGACAGTTTGTTATAATTTCTGTTCTTTTACATTTGCTGAGGAGAGCTTTACTTCCAACTATGTGGTCAATTTTGGAATAGGTGTGGTGTGGTGCTGAAAAGAATGTATATTCTGTTGAATTGGGGTGGAGAGTTCTGTAGATGTCTATTAGGTTCGCTTGGTCCGGAGCTGAGTTCAATTCCTGGATATCCTTGTTAACTTTCTGTCTTGTTGATCTGTCTAATGTTGACAGTGGGGTGTTAAAATCTCCCATTATTATTGTGTGGGAGTCTAATTCTCTTTGTAGGTCTCTAAGGACTTGCTTTATGAATCTGGGTGCTCCTGTATTGGGTGCATATATATTTAGGATAGTTAGCTCTTCTTGTTGAATTGATCCCTTTACCATTATGTAATGGCCTTCTTTGTCTCTTTTGATCTTTGTTGGTTTAAAGTCTGTTTTATCGGAGACTAGGAATGCAACCCCTACCTTTTTTTGTTTTCCATTTGCTTGGTAGATCTTCCTCCATCCCTTTATTTTGAGCCTATGTGTGTCTCTGCCTGTGAGATGGGTTTCCTGAATACAGCACACTGATGGGTCTTGACTCTTTATCCAATTTGCCAGTCTGTGTCTTTTAATTGGAGCATTTAGCCCATTTACATTTAAGGTTAATATTGTTATGTGTGAATTTGATCCTGTCATTATGATGTCAGCTTGTTATTTTGCTCGTTAGCTGATGCAGTTTCTTCCTAGCCTCGATGGTCTTTACAATTTGGCATGTTTTTGCAGTGGCTGGTACCAGTTGTTCCTTTCCATGTTTAGTGCTTCCTTCAGGAGCTCTTGTAAGGCAGGCCTGGTGGTGACAAAATCTCTCAGCATTTGCTTGTCTGTAAAGGATTTTATTTCTCCTTCACTTATGAAGCTTAGTTTGGCTGGATATGAAATTCTGGGTGGAAAATTCTTTTCTTTAAGAATGTTGAATAGTGGCCCCCACTCTCTTCTGGCTTGTAGAGTTTCTGCCGAGAGATCAGCTGTTAGTCTGATGGGCTTCCCTTTGTGGGTAACCCGACCTTTCTCTCTGGCTGCCCTTAACATTTTTTCCTTCATTTCAACTTTGGTGAATCTGACAATTATGTGTCTTGGAGTTGCTGTTCTCGAGGAGTATCTTTGTGGCATTCTCTGTATTTCCTGAATCTGAATGTTGGCCTGCCTTGCTAGGTTGGGGAAGTTCTCCTGGATAATATCCTGTAGAGTGTTTTCCAACTTGGTTCCATTCTCCCCGTCACTTTCAGGTACACCAATCAGACGTAGATTTGGTCTTTTCACATAGTCCCATGTTTCTTGGAGGCTTTGTTCGTTTCTTTTTATTCTTTTTTCTCTAAACTTCTCTTCTTGCTTCATTTCATTCATTTGATCTTCCATCACTGATACCCTTTCTTCCAGTTGATCAAATTGGCTACTGAGGCTTGCGCATTCATCATGTAGTTCTCCTGCCATGGTTTTCAGCTCCATCAGGTCCTTTAAGGACTTCTCTGCATTGGTTATTCTAGTTAGCCATTCGTCTAATTTTTTTTCAAGGTTTTTAACTTCTTTGCCATTGGTTCGAACTTCCTCATTTAGCTTGGTGTGGTTTGATTGTCTGAAGCCTTCTTCTCTCACCTCATCAAAGTCATTCTCCATCCAGCTTTGTTCTGTTGCTGGTGAGGAGCTGCGTTCCTTTGGAGGAGGAGAGGCACTCTGCTTTTTAGAGTTTCCAGTTTTTCTGCTGTTTTTTCCCCATCTTTGTAGTTTTATCTACCTTTGGTCTTTGATAATGGTGACATACAGATGGGTTTTGGTGTGGATGTCCTTTCTGTTTGTTAGTTTTCCTTCTAACAGTCAGGACCCTCAGCTGCAGGTCTGTTGGAGTTTGCCGGAGGTCCAGTCCAGACCCTGTTTGCCTGGGTATCAGCAGCAGAGGCTGCAGAACAGCGGATATTGGTGAACAGCAAGTGTTGCTGCCTGATGGTTCCTCTGGATGTTTTGTCCCAGAGGAGTACCCGGCCGTGTGAGATGTCAGTCTGCCCCTACTGGGGAGTGCCTCCCAGTTAGGCTACTTGGGGGTCAGGGACCCACTTGAGGAGGCAGTCTGTCCATTCTCAGATCTCCAGCTGCATGCTGGGAGAATTGCTACTCTCTTCAAAGCTGTCAGACAGGGACATTTAAGTCTGCAGAGGTTTTTGCTGCCTTTTGTTTGGCTATGCCCTGCCCCCAGAGGTGGAGTGTACAGAGGCAGGCAGGCCTCCTTGAGCTGTGGTGGGCTCCACCCAGTTCGAGCTTCCAGGCTGCTTTGTTTACCTAATCAAGCCTTGGCAATGGCGGGCGCCCCTCCCCCAGCCTCACTGCCACCTTGCCGTTTGATCTCAGACTGCTGTGCTAGCAATGAGCAAGGCTCTGTGGGTGTCGGACCCTCCAAGCCAGGTGCAGGACATAATCTCCTGGTGTGCCATTTTCTAAGACCATTGGAAAAGCGCAGTATTAGGGTGGGAGTGACCCGATTTTCCAGGTGCCGTCTGTCACCCCTTTCTTTGACTAGGAAAGGGAATTCCCTGACCCCTTGCACTTCCCGGGTGAGGGGATGCCTCGCCCTGCTTTGGCTCATGCTCGGTGCGCTGCACCCACTGTTCTGCACCCACTTTCCAACACTCCCCAGTGAGATGAACCCAGTACCTCAGATGGAAATGCAGAAATCACCCATCTTCTGCGTCGCTCATGCTGGGAGCTGTGGACTGGAGCTGTTCCTATTTGGTCATCTTGGCTCCACCCCCCTCAAAACTGTCAAGGGTTTACAGGAACCAGGTAAAGAAGAATAAACAACAGTGAAAAATGGAAGGAAAGCCTGGTGGATAGTTTACTTGTCCTTGCTCCAACCTCTCCTTGGCTTGGTGCCAGTCTTTTAGACAACAACCTGAGTTCCCAGTGTGGGGCCCTGGTCACACGTTCCAGAGGGAGTGGAGATCTTATTTGCAAATTATCATGTTTCTATGTTCCAATCTATCTGGGGGCTACGTAAAGTTCTGAAACAAGGCTCTCATCTGTTTTGTCCAAGTCAGAACCCAGTCAATGTGGAAATCTGGCAGGAATTGCTTGGAAGTGTTAAGTAAGGCTGGGCATGGTGGCTCAGGCATGTAATCTCAGTACTTTGGGAGGCTGAGGTGGGTGGATTACTTGAGGTCAGGAGCTCAAGACCAGCCTGACCAACATGGCAAAACCCTGTCTCTACTAAAAGTACAAAAATTAGCCAGGCACGGTGGTACACAGGTGTAGTCCCAGCTACTTGGAAGGGTGAGGCATGAGAATTGCATGAACCCAGGAGGCAGAGGTTGTAGTGAGCTGAGATCTTGCCACTGCACTCCAGCCTAGAGGACAGAGCAAGACTCCATCTGAAAAAAAAAAAAGAACAAAGAAGATGTTAAATAAATAAAAAGTCTGCTGCTACCTGGAAGAATACATTACAATATTGTATGTATTGACATCTACAATAGACCATATATACAGCTCAGGGGGAGAAACAGGAGTGAACATTTCTTTTAGAAATTAGGGTATTCAAAAGCACCCAGGTATACTGGGGAATTGAGAAAGCCCTATGCATGCCTGGAGCCAGGGGACATTGTCTGATAAGACCTAAAGACCTAAAGAAAGCCTTATTTTCAGCACTGGCTGATCACCAGGCACAGTTCAACAGAAAGCAAAGACTGGAGCAGTTGTTGACAGCCTGGACACGTTAAAGGAATGCCCCAGCACAGAGCCAGTCACAGAAAGAGGAAGAGGCGAGATTTTGTTTCTTCTTCTTTTTTTCTTTCTTTCTTAGCTCCTGGCATTCAAGCAAATTGCTGTCAAAACACTCAATAAACACGAGCCACAGATACAGACACCAGCAAGTACATACAAGTAATACGGTCTCCGCAAAAACACTCTGGAAAAGTAACGAAATGAATGACAACTATAGCCTTCAAAAAACAAGAACAGCAAGTGCTAGAGAATGGGGAGAGTTTCACTTTCCTTAGCCCCGGGAGGGCAGCTCAGCTTTACTTTGAGAGTAGGGTAGCTTTGAGGGCCCTGATGGATGGACCACCAGCCTGGGCACAGTGGTGCTGGGGGCATGCAGCTAGGACCAGGGGCTGTCCGCTCAAGCCTGTCCCATTGTACTAAACGAGACCAAATTGTAGGTTGTGCGCTTATGTGAGGGTGAGCCCAATGTGCCCTGCGATGGATCCCGTGACACTGTTTACATGACCTATTTGTGTGGTTACATAGCCTTTTATTTAAAAGACAGAAACCCCTTTTACGAAGTTATTAAATTAATTATATGTTTAAATGTTAAAGAAAAAAAGAGCTGCAGAGTGTTTATAAAACTGTCTTTTAGAAAAAAACAGGCAAGAAGACGATTTAACCATCTAAATGGAAAAGGGAAGAAAGTATAATAGAAACTTTGCTAGTTAAAAAAAAAGAAAAACAATCCCAAAAAAGTCCCTTTCTTGTAAACTTACAGAAAATTCTTTGTGGCTGTTGGAGTTTAGTTTGTACATACACAGAGTTATCAGACATTATTTATAAAACTTAGTTTAAAAAAGACAAAAAAAAAAAAAAAAAAGCCAAGCTGTGAGCCAACCAGAAGGCCATGCTCTTGGATATCTTTTGCAACTGTACCAAAACTGACTTACTCCTCTGCCCTTCCTGCGTCTGTCTGTTGCCAGTGCTGTGGTGTCGTCTGTGCCTGTTGAGGTTTTGTGCAGTGGTAAAGTGCTGGTGCTTCTGGTGACCTTTGACCTGTGGGTGTCACTTCTTGTGCCTGTTTCCCATGTCCAATTTTTTGAGTTTAGTTGTGCTTTTGCTTCTGCTGCCTTGCTGGACATAAGCTGGGGTGCTGGGTGGCACCTGCTGCATCAGAGCTTGAGGAGTCTGTGCCCACCAGTAGCCACTGGTCCCTAGAAGGTGAGATGTGGGGTTGTGTCATGCCCACTCCACTGAACCTTGGCTATATCTGTGTTTGGGCTTGGGCTAACCTGGGGGCAGGGTAGGTGAAATTAGGGGTTCATTGGGGTCCCCCACACTGCTTCCACATGCACCACCTCTGTCCTTGGATGGTGGCATTGCAGGGGCCAAGGAGTCACTGTGGAGTCACCGGGGTTGGCCAGGTATCTCTATCCATAGAATGCCTGAGGTCATGCAGGTGTCTCTATCATTAGAATGCCTGGGGTCAGCCAGGAGTCTTTCCTGTTAGAATACCTAGAGTCAGCCAGGTGTCTCTATCCTTAGAATGTCTGAGGTTGCCCAGGTGTCTCTATCATTAGAATGCCTGGAGTCTGCCAGGGGTCTCTCCCGTTAGAATGCCTGGGGTCAGCCAGGTGTCTTTATCCTTAGAATGCCTGAGGTCCCCCAGGTGTCTCTAAAATCAGAAAGCCTAGGTCCAACCACTAGTCTCTCCTGTTAACATGCATGGGGCCGGCCATGTGTGTCTATCCTTAGAATGCCTGAGGCCACCAAGTTGTCTCTATCCTTAGAATGCCTGAGGTTGCCCAGGTGTCTCTATCATTAGAATGCCTGAGGTCAGCCAGGAGTCTCTCCCATTAGAATGCATGGGGTCGGCCAGCTGTCTGTATCCTTAGAATGCCTGAGGTCCCCCAGGTGTCTCTATACTAATAATGCCTGTGGTTGGCCAGGAATCTTTATCATTAGAATGCCTGGGGCCGGCCAGATGTCTGTATCCTTAGAATGCCTGAGGTCCCCCAGGTGTCTCTATAATAATAATGCCTGTGGTTGATCAGGAATCTTTATCATTAGAATGCCTGGGGTCGGCCAGGAGTCTCTCCTGTTAAAATGCCTGGGGTTGGTTAGGTGTCTCTATCCTTAGAATGCCTGAGGTTGCCCAGGTGTCTCTATGATTAAAATGCCTGGGGTCAGCCAGGAGTCTCTATCATTAGAATGCCTGGGATAGGCCAGGAGTCTCTCCTGTTGAAATGCCTGGGGTGGGCCAGATGTCTCTGTTTTTAGAATGACTAAGTTTGACCAGGTATCTCTCTCATTAGAATTCCTGAGTTCAGCCAAAAGTCTGTCTCTTTAGAATGCCTGGAATTGGCCAGGTGTCTCCATCCTTAGAATACCTGAGGTTGCCCAGGTGTCTCTATCATTAGAATGCCTGGGGTCAGCCAGAAGTCTCTATCATTAGAATGCCTGGGGTAGGCCAGAAGTCTCTCCTGTTAGAATGCCTAGGTCAGCCAGGTGTCTCTATCCTTTGAATGCCTGAGGTCACCCAGGTGTCTCTATCATTAGAATGTCTGGGGTGGGCCAGGAATCTCTATTATTAGAATGCCTGGGGTCAGCCAGGAGTCTCTCCCATTAGAATGCCTGGGGTCGGCCAGGAGTCTCTCCCGTTAGGATGCCTGGAGTCAGCCAGGTGTCTCTATCATTAGAATGCCTGTGGTTGGCAAGGAGTATCTCCCATTAGAATGCCTGGATTGGGCCAGGTGTCACTATTCTTAGAATGCCTGAGGTCACCCAGGTGTCTTTATCATTACAATGCCTGGGGCTGGCCAGGAGTATCTATCACTAGAATGCCTGTGGTTGGCCAGGAGTATCTATCACTAGAATGCCTGTGGTTGGCCAGGAATCTCTCCCATTAGAATTACTGGGGTCGGCCAGGTGTCCCTATTTTTAGAATGCCTGAGGTCACCCAGGTATCTCCATCATTAGAATGTCTGGGGATGGCCTAGAGTCTCTGGATAGAGTGCCTGGGGTCAGCCAGGTGTCTCCATCCTTAGAATGCCTGAGGCCACCCAGGTGTCTTTATAACTAGAGTGTCTTGAGTTGGCCAGCAGTCTCTATCATTACAATGCCTGGGGTTGGCTAGGAGTCTCTCCCAATAGGATGCCTGGGGTCGGCCAGGTGTCTCTACCCTTAGAATGCCTGAGGTTGCCCAGGTGTCTCTATCATTAGAATGCCTGGTGTCAGCCATGAGTCTCTACCATTACAATGCCTGGGGCCGGCCAGGTGTGTCTATCTTTAGAATGCCTGGAATCAGCCAAGAGTCTCTATCATTAGAATGCCTGGGGTCAGCCAGGAGTCTCTCCTGTTAGAATGTCTGAGGTCAACCAGGTGTCTCTATTCTTAGAATGCCTGAGGTCACGAAGCATCTCTATCAGTAGAATGCCTGAGGTCAGCCTGGAGTCTCTCTCTTCAGAATGCCTGGGGTTGGCCAGGTGTCTCTACCCTTAGAATGCCTGAGGTTGCACAGATGTCTCTATCATTAGAATGCCTGAGGTTGGACTGAAGTCTTCATCATTAGAATGCCCAGGGTTGGCCAGCTGTCTATACCCTTAGAATGCCTGATGTTGCCCAGATGTCATTACCATGACATCTTAGCCATAGAATGGCTAAGGTCAGCCGGGAGTTTCTCTCATTTGAATGCCTGGGGTTGGCCAGGTATCTCTATCCTTAAAATGCCTGAGGTCACCCAGGCGTGTCTGCCATTAGAATGCATGGGGTAGGCCAGGAATCTCAGTCATTAGAATGCCTGGGGTCAGCCAGGGGTCTATATCATTAGAATGTCTGAATTTGGCCAGGAGTCTCTCTTGTTGGAATGCCAGTTGTCTCTACCTTTAGAATGTCTGATGTCGCTGAGGTGTTTCTATCATTAGAATGCCTGGGGTTGGTCAGGAGTCTCTCCTGTTATATCATTAGATATATCATTAGGGTCTATATCATTAGAATGTCTGAATTTGGCCAGGAGTCTCTCTTGTTAGAATGCCAGTTGTCTCTATCTTTAGAATGTCTGATGTTGCCGAGGCGTTTCTATTGTTAGAATGCCTGGGGTCGGCCAGGTGTTGCCATCCTTAGAATGCCTGAGGTTGCCAGATGTCCCTATCATTAGAATGTCTGAAGTTGACCAGGAATCTCTTCAGTTAGAATGCTTGGGGTCAGCCAGGTGTCTCTATTCTTAGAATGCCGGAGGTAAGCCAGGTGTCTATATCATTAGAATGCCGGGGGTCAGCCAAAAGTATATATCATTAGAATGTCTGGGGTCGGCCAGGAGTATCTCCTGTTAGAATGCCTGGGGTCAGCTGGGCGGGGTGGCTCACGCCTGTAATCCCAGCACTTTGGGAGGTGAGGCGGGCAGATCACGAGGTCAGGAGATCGAGACCAGCCTGGCTAACACAGTGAAACCCCATCTCTGCTAAAAAAAAAATACAAAATATTGGCCAGGTGTGGTGGCTCACGCCTGTAATCCCACCACTTTGGGAGGCTGAGGCGGGCGGATCATGAGGTCAGAAGATCGAGACCATCCTGGCTAACATGGTGAATCCCCGTCTCTACTAAAAATACAAAAAAATTAGCCGGGTGTGGTGGCAGGCGCCTGTAATCCCAGTTACGTGGGAGGCTGAGGCAGGAGAATGGCATGAACCTGGGAGGTGGAGCTTGCAGTGAGCCAAGATCGCGCCATTGCACTCCAGCCTGGGCAACAGAGCAAGACTCCGTCCCAAAAACAAAACAAAACAAAACACACAAAAAAAATTACCTGGGCATGGTGGCAGCACCTGTAGTCCCAGCTACATGGGAGGCTGAGGCAGGAGAATGGCGTGAACCTGGAAGGTGGAGCTTGCAGTGAGCAGAGATGCGCCACTGCACTCCAGCCTGGGCAACAGAGCCAGATTCCATCTCAAAAAAAAAAAAAAAATGCCTGGGGTCGCCCAGGTGTCTCTATTATTGCCATGCCACAGGTCAGAAGAGATTCTCTCCCATTAGAATGCCTGGGGTCTCCCAGGTGTCTCCATCATTAGAATGCCTGGGGTCGCCCAGGTGTCTCTATCATGTGAATGCCTGGGGTCAGCCAGGAGTCTCTTTTTAGAATGCCTGGGGTTGCCCAGGTGTCTCTATCATTAATATGCCTGGGGTCACCCAAGTGACTCCATTATTAGAATGCCTAAGGCTGGCCATGGGTCTCTTCCATTAGAATGCCTGAGGTTGCCATGCTGTCTCCATCATTGGAATGCCTGAAGTCGGCCAGGAGTCTCTCCCATTAGAATGCCTGGGGCCACCCAGGTGTCTCTATCATTAGACTGTCTGAAGTTGCCCAGGTGTCTCGCTCATTAGAATGCCTGGGGTTGGCCAAATGTTTCTCCCATTGGAATGCCTAAGGTCGCCCAGGTGTCTCTACCATTAAAATGCCTGGGGTAGACCAGTAGTCTCTCCCATTAGAATACCTGGGGTCTCCCAGGTGTCTATTTTTAGAATGCCTGGGGTCTTCCAGATGTCTCTATAATTAGAATGCCTGGGGTTGGCCAGGGGTCTCCCCTGTTAGAATGACTGTAGTCGCAGAAGTGTCTCTATCATTAGAATGGTTGGATTTGTCCAGGAGTCTCTCCTATTAGAATGCTGAGGTCACCCAGGTGTCTCTATCATTAGAAAGCCTAGTGTCGATGAGGAGTGTCTCCCATTAAACTGCCTGGGGTCCCCCAGGTGTCTCTATCATTACAATGCCTGGGGTTGGACAGGAGTCTCTTTTATTAAAATGCCTGGGCTTGCCCAGGTGTCTCTATCATTAGAATGCCTGCAGGTGGCCAGGAATCTCCCCCATTAGAGAGCCTGTGGTTGCCAAAATGTCTCTATCATTAGAAATACTGGGTTCACCCAGGTGCCTCTATCATTAGAAAGCCTGGGTTGGCCAGGAGTCTGTCTCATTAGAATACTTGGGGTTGTCCAGGTGTTTCTATCATTACAATGCCTGGGGTCAGCCAGGAGTCTCTCCCATTAGAATGCCTGGGGTTGCCCAGGTGTCTCTATAATTAGAATGCCCGGGGTCATCCAGGTGTCTCTATCATTAGAATGCCTGCATTCAGACAAAAGATTTTTCCATTAGAATGCCTGAGGTTGCCCAGGTGTCTCTATCATTTAAATGCCTGGGGTCAGCCAATAGTCTCTCCCTTTAAAATGCCTGGGGTCATCCAGGAGCCTCTATTATTAGAATGTCAAGTGTTGCCCAGTTGTCTCTATTATTAGAATGCCTGTGGTCAGCCAGGGTTCTCTCTCATTAGAATATTTAGGGTCGCTAAGGTGTCTCTATCATTAGAATGCCTGGGGTCGGCCCAGAGTCTGTCTCCAATTTGAATGCCTGGGATCACCCGATGTCTCTATTATTAGAATGCCTGGAATTGGCCAGGAGTTTTTCTTATTAGAATGTCTAGGGTCTCCCAGGTGTCTCCATCATTATAATGCCTGGAGTCGGCTAGGAGTCTCTCAAATTAGAATGCATGGGGTTGCCCAGGTGTCTCTATCATTAGAATGCCTGGAATTGCCCAGGTGTCTTTTTCATTAGAATGCCTGGGGTCACCCAGTTGTCTCTATCATTAGAATGCCTGGGGTCAGCCAGGAGTCTCTCCCATTAGAATGCCTGGAGTTGCCCAGGTGTGTCTATCATTAGAATGCCTGGGGTCGCTTAGGTGTCTCTATCATTAGAATGCCTGCAGTCGGCAAGGAGTCTCTCCCAACAAAATGCCTGTGGTCGCTAAGATGTCCCTATCATTAGAATGCCTGGGGTCGGCAAGGAGTCTCTCCCATTAGAATGCCTGGGGTCACCCAGGCATCTCTATTATTAAAATTCCTGTACTCAACCAGGAGTCTCTCTCATTAGAATGCCTGAGTTCACCCAGGTGACTATCATTAGAATGCCTGGGGTCAGCCAGGAGTCTCTTCAGTTAGAATGCTTGAGGTCGGCCAGATGTCTCTGTCCTTAGAATGCCTGGCATTGGCCAGAAGCCTCCATCATTAGAATCCATGAGGCTGGCCAGGCATCTCTCCCATTAGAATGCCTGGGGATGGCCAGACATCTGTTTGGCCAAATAGGAGTCTCTCTGGTTAGAATGCCTGGGGTCACCCAGGTTTCTCTATCCTTAGAATGCCTGAGGTCACCAAGGTGTCTTATCATTAGGATGACTGAGGAGGGCCAGAAATCTCTCCCGTTAGAATGCCTGTTGTCGGCTAGGTGTCTATCGTTAGAATGCCTGAGTTTGCCCAGGTGTGTCTATAATTAGAATGCCTGTGGTTGGCCAGGAGTCTCTATCATTAGAATGCTTGGGGTCGGCCAGGAGTCTCTCCTGTTAGAATGCCTGGTGTTGGCCAGGTGTCTCTATTTTTAGAACGCCTGAGGTCGCCGAGGTGTCTCCATCCTTAGAATGACTGAGGTGGCCAAGGTGTCTCCATTATTAGAATGCCTGGGCTCAGCTATGAGTCTCTATCATTAGAATGCCTGGGGTCAAGCCAGGAGTCTCTCCCTTTAGAATGCTTGAATTCGGCCAGGTGTCTCTATCCTTCCAATGCCTGAGGTCGCCAAGGTGTCTCTCTGATTAGAATGCCTGGGGTCAGCCAGGTGTCTCTCCTGTTAGAATTCCTAGGGTCAGCCAGGTGTCTTTATAGAATGCCTGAGGTTGCCCAGGTGTCTCTATCATTAGAATGCCTGAGGATTCCCAGGAGTCTCTATAATTAGAATGTCTCAGGTTGGCCAAAATTCTCTCTGGTTACAATGCCTGTGGTCGGCCAGGTTTCTCTATCCTTAGAATGCCTGAGGTCACCCATGTGTCTCTATCATTAGAAGGACTGGTGTTGGCCAGGAGTCCCATTACAATGCCAGAAGTCAGCCAGGTGGCTCTATCCTTAGAATGCCTGAGGTCACACAGTTGTCTTTACCATTAGAATGCTTGGAGTTGGCCAAAAGCCTCTATCATTAGAATGCCTGGGGTCGGCCAGGAGTTTCTCCCATTAGAATGCCTGGGGGTGGGCTAGATGTCTCTGTCCTTAGAATGCAGGAGGTCGCCAAGTGTCTTTATCATTAGAATGCCTGAGGTCAGCCAGGAGTCTTTCCTGTAAGAACACCTGGGGTTGGTCACGTGTCTCTATCTTTAAAATTCCTGGGGTAGCCCAGATATCTCTATCATTAGAATGCCTGGGGTTGGCCAGGAGTCTCTCCCATAGAAAGCTGGTGGTTGCCCAGGTGTCTATCATTACAATGCCTGGAATCAGCCACGAGTATCTCCCATTAGCATGGCTGGGGTTGTCCAGGTGTCTCTACCATTAGAATGCCTGGGGTCAGCCAAGAGTCTCTCCCATTAGAATGCCTAGGGTTGAAGAGGGGTCTCTATCATTACAATGCCTGGGGTCTGCCAGGAATCTCTCCATTAGAATGCCTGGGGTCGAGAAGTTGTTACTATCATTAGAATGTCTGGGGTTGGCCAGGTGTCTCTCTGGTTAGAATGCTTGAGGTCGCCCAGCTGTCTCTATCATTACAATGCCTGGGGTTGGCCATGAGTCTCTCCAATTAGAGTGCCTGGGGTGGCCCAAGTGTTCCTATTATTATAGTGCCTGGGGTCGCTCAGGTGTTTTTATCATTAGAGTGCCTGTGGTCAGCCAGGAGTCTCTTCCATTAGAATGCCTGGGGTCGCCCAGTTGTCTCTATCATAAGAATACCAAGGGTCAGCCACGAGTCTCTCTCATTAGAATGCCTGGGGTCGCCCAGGTGTCTCTATCATTACAATGCCTGAGGTCAGCCAGGAGTCTCTCCCATTAGAATTTCTGTAGTCACCCAGGTGTCTCTGTCATTACAATGCCTGGAATCATCCACGAGTCTCTCCCATTATAATGATTGAAATCATTCCAGTGTCTCTATCATTAGAATGCCTGGGGTAACCTAAAAGTCTCTATTATTAGAATGCCTGGGTTTGGCCTGGAGTCTCTCCCATTAGAATGCTTGGGGTCTCCCACATGTCTCTTTCTGTTGGGAAAAAGCTGAGTGTTGGGAAAAAAGCTGAGGCAGGGCTTGCATGTCTGACATGATGTCCAGGGCTCAGAGCATAAAACCTCTCGTGGCCTCTGGAATGAGTCTAGACTTGCTGGCTCCTTGCTTCTAGCTTAAACTAGAAGAACATGCTCCCCATTATCTCAAGTAGCAGAATATGTCCCATATGCTTCAAAGGAAATGCTAAACCATCACAGCTGTAGATCATGTGCTTGCCCTTTTGACCCCCACATTCTCATCACCCGTTTCTTTGCTTGATCACCAATAAATAGTCTGGGCTTCCAGAGCTCGGGGCCTTCACAGCCTCCATACTAGCATTGGCCCCCTAGACCCACTTTCTTTCTCAAACAGTCTTTTCTCATTCCTTTGACTCTGCCGGACTTCATCACCCCCATGACCTGGTGTTGAGTCTGATCACCCCGACATCTGTCATTACAGTATCTGGGGTCGGCAAGGAGTCTCTCCTATTAGAATGTCTGTAATCCATCAGGTGTCTCTATCATTAGAATGCCTGGGGTCGCCCAGTTGTCCCTTTAATTAGAATGCCTGGGGTTGGCCTGAGGTCTCTCCCAATAGAATGCCCGGGGTTGCCCAGGTCTCTCTATCATTAGAATGCCTGGGTCAGCAGGAGTCTCTCCCATTAGAATACCTGGGGTCACCCAGGTGTCTCTATCATTAGAATACATGGGGTCAGCCAAAAATCTATTCCATTAGAATGCCTGGGCTCACTCAGGTGTCTCTATTGCTAGAATGCCTAAAGTTGGCCAGGAGTCTCCCCCATTAGAATGCCTGGGGTTGCCCAGTTGTCTCTATCATTACAATGCCTAGGATTGGCCAGGGGCATCTCCCATTAGAATGTCTGTGGTGGACCAGGTATCTCTATCATTAGAATGCCTGGGGTACGCAGTGGTCTCTATCATTAGAATGCCTGTGGTCACCCAGGTTTCTCTATCAATACAATGTCTGGGGTCTGCCTGCAGTCTCTCAAATTAGAATGCCTGGGGTCAGCCAGGAGTCTCTCCATTAGAAGGCCTGAGGTTGCCCAGCTGTCTTAATCATTAGAACGCCTATGGTCGCCCAGGTGTCTTTATTATTAGAGTGCCTGGTGTCACCCAGTTGTCTCTATCATTAGAATACCTGGGGTCACCAAGCTTTCTTTATTTTTAGAATGCCTGAGGTCGGCCAGAAATCTCTTCCATTAGAATGCCTGGGGTCACCCAGGTTTCTCTATCATTAGAATGACTGGGGTTGGCCAGGAATCTCTCCCATTAGAAAGCCTGGGATCGCTCAGTTGTCTGTATCATTAGAATGCATGAGGTCAACCAGAAGTTTCTTTCATTAGAATGCCTGGCGTTGCCCAGGTGTCTCTGTAATTAGATTGCCTGGGGTCAGGTAGGTGTCTCTCCCATTAGTATGCCACGAGCTGCTTAAGTGTATCTATCATTAGAATGCCTGGGGTCACCCATTTGTCTCTATCATTAGAATTCCTGGGGTTGGCCGAAAGTCTCTCCCATTAGAATGCATGGGGTCACCCAGGTGTCTCTATTATTAGAATGCCTGTGGTTTGTCTGGAGTTTTTCACATTATAATGCCTGAGGTTGCCCAGGTGTCTCATTAGAATTACTAAGGTTGCCCAGTATTCTCTCCCTTTAGAATGCCTAGAGTCTCGTTGGTGTCTCTATCATTAGAATGCCTGGGGTTGGCCAAGGGTCCCTCTCATTAAAATGCCTAAAGTAGCCCACTTGTCTCTACCATTATAATGCCTATGGTCAGCCAGAAGTCTCTCCCATTCGAATGCCTGAAGTCGTCCAGCTGTATCTATTATTAGAATGCCTAGGGTCGGCCAGGAGTCTCTTCCATTAGAATGCCTGCAGTCATCCAGGGGTCTCTATTATTACAATGCCTAAGGTCGCCCAGGAGTCTCTCCCATTAGATTGTCTGAGGTCACCCAGGTGTCTTTCTCATGAGAATGCCTAGGGTCAGCCGGGGGTCTCTCCCCTTAGAATGCTTGGGGTCGCCCAAATGTCTCTATAATTAGAATGCCTGGGGTTGGTTGGAGTCTCTCCCATTAGAATGCATGCTGTCACCCTGGTGTTTCTATCAGTAGAATGCCTGGGGTCTCCCAGTTGTCTCTATCATTACAATGCCTGGGGTGGGCCAGAAGTCTCTCCATTAGAATGCCTGAGATGACCAGCTGTCTCTGTCATTAGAATGCCTGGGTTTGTCCAGGAATCTCAACCATTAGAATGCCTGGGGTTGCCTGGGGTTGCCCAGGTATTAGAAAGACTAGTGTTGGCCAGGAGTCCATCTTGTTAGAATACCTGGGGTACCAAGTCGTCTCTATCATTAGAATGCATGGTATTGGTCAGGAGTCTCTCCCATTAGAATGCCTGATGTTGCACACGTGTCTCTATCATCAGAATGCCTGAAAGAGCCCAGGTTTCTATATCATTAGAATGCTAGTGGCCGGCCTAGGGTCTCTCCTATTAGAATGCCTGAGATCGGGCAGGAGTCTCTTTTATTAGAGTGCCTGGGGTCTCCCTAGTGTCTCCATCATGAGAATGCCTGGGGTCAGCCAGGAGTCCTCCCCTTACAATTCCTGGGGTCACCCATGTGTCTCTATCATTAGAATGGCTGGGGTCGGTTGGGATTCTCTCATTAAAATGCAAGGGGTCGCCCAGGTGTCCCTATTATTACAATGCCTGGGGTCAGCCAGGAGTCTCTTCCATTAGAATTCCTGGGTTCCTCCAGGTGTCTCTATTATTAGAATGTCTGGAGTTAGCCAAGAGTCTCTTCCATTACTATGCCTTGGGTCACCCACTTGTCTCTATTATTACAATTCCTTGGATCAGCCAGGAAACATTCCCATTAGAATGCCTGGGGTGGCCCAAGTGTTTCTATCATTAGAATGCCTGGATTCCACCAGGAGTCTCTCCAGTTAGAATGTGTGGGTTCGTCTAGGTGTCTCCATCATTAGAATGCCTTGTGTGGCACAGCTGTCTTTATCATTAAAATGCCTGAGGTAGTCCAGGAGTCTATCCCATTAGAATGCCATTGGCTGCCCAGGTGTCTCTATCATTAGAATACCGGAATGGGGAAGGATTCTCTCCCATTAAAATAGCTGGGTTTGCCCAGGTGTCTCTATCATTAGAATGGCTGGGGTTGCTCAGGTGTCTTTATCGTTAGAATGTCTGGGTTTGGGCAGGAGTCTCTTTCATTAGAAGGCCTGGGGTCGTCCTGGTGTCTCTATTATTAGAATTCCTGGGGTTAACCAGGAGTCTCTCCCATTAGAATGCCTGAAGTCACCAAGGTGTGTCTATCATTAGAATATCTGGGGCTGGCTGAGATTCTCTCCCAGTAGAATGCCTGGGGTTGCCCAGTTATCTCTACCATTAGAATGTCTGGGGCCGGCCAGGAGTCTTTTATATTGGAATGCCTGAGGTCGCCGACGTGTCTTTATCATTAGAAAAACTAGGGTCATCTGGAAGTTTCTGTCATTAGTATGCCTGGAATGTCCCTGGTTTCTTTATCATTACGATGCCAGGTGTCAGCCTAGAGTGTCTTTCATTAGAATGCTTGGGATCGCCCAGTTGTCTCTATCATTAGAATGCCTGTGGTCGGCCAGGAGTCTCTCCCATTAAAATGCCTGGGGTCGCCAAGGTGTCTCTATCATTAGAATGCCTGGGGTTGGCCAGGAGTCTCTCCCATTAGAATGTCTAAAATCACCCAGGTATCTCTATCATTATAATGCCTGAGGTCTCCCAGGAGTCTTTTCCATTGAAATGCCTGGTGTTGCCCAGATGTCTTTATCATTACAATGCCTGGGGTCAGCCAAGATTCTCTCCCATTAGAATGCCTGGGGTCGCCCATGAGTCTCTCTCATGAGAATGCCTGAGGTTGGCCAGGAGTCTTTCCCATTACAATGCCTGGGGTTGCCCAGATTTCTCTATCATTACAATGCTTGGGGTCAGCTAGGAATCTCTCCCATTAAAATGCTTGAGGTCACCAGATGTCTCTAACATAAAAATGCCTGGGGTTAACAAGGAGTCTCTTTCATTAGATTTCCTTGGGTTGTTCAGGAGTCTCTATCATTAGATATTCTGGAGTCACCTAAGGGTCTTTATCTTTCAAATGCCTGGGGTCAACCAGGGGTATCTCCCATTAGAATGCCTGAGGCCTCCCAGGTGTCTCTGTAATTAGAATGCCCGGGGTCGCTTAGGTGTCTCTATCATAATAATGCCTGGAGTCCCACAGGTTTCTTAATAATTAGAAAGCCTGGGGTCAGCCAGGAGTCTCTCCCATTAGAATATCTGTGGTCACCCAGGTGTCTATTATTTGAATGCCTGCGGTCAGCAAGGAGTCACTGCCATGATAATGCCTGGGGTCGCCAAGCTGTCTCTACCGTTAGAATGCCTGGAATCAGCCAGAAGTCTATCCAATTAGAAAGCATGTGATCTCCCAGGTGTGTCTAACTTTAGAATGCCTGGGGTCAAAAAGGTGTCTCTATCATTAGAATGTTTGAGGTCAGCCAGGAGTCTCTCCCTTTAGAATGCATGGGTTCTCCCAGATGCCTGTATTATTAAAATACCTAGGGTCAGCCAGGAGTCTCTCCCATTAGAATGTCTGAAGTCTTCAAGGTGTCTCTATCATTAGATTGCCTTAGATAGGCCCGGAGTCTCTCCCATTAGAATGCCTGGGGTAACCCGGGTGTCTCTATTATTAGAATGCATGGGGTCAAATAAGAGTCTAATAAAAATGCCTGGGGTCACTCAGGTGTCTCTAATATTAGAATGCCTGGGGTTGGCCATGAGTCTTTCCAGTAAAATATCTTGGGTCACCTAGGTATCTCTGTCATAATGCTTGAGTTTGACCAGGAGTCTCTCCCATTAGAACGCCTGGGGTTGTCCAAGTGTCTCTATCATTTGAATGCCTGAAGTCACCCAGGTGTCTCTATCATTAGAATGTCTTGGGTTGGCCAGAAGTCTGTTCCATAAGAATGCCTGGCGTCACCCATTTGTCTCTATAATTAGAATGCCTGGGGTTGGTCAGGAGTCTCTCACATTAGAATGCCTAAAGTCGCCCGGGTGTCTCTATAATTAGAATGCCTGTGGTTGGCCATGTGTCTCTCCCATTAGAATGCCTGGAGTCTCCCAGATGTCTCTATCAATAGAATGCCAGGGGTCATCCAGGAGTCTCTCCCTTTAGAATGCCTGGGTTCACCCAACTGTCTGTATAATTAGAATGCCTGGGGTCACACAGGTGTCTCTATCACTACCATGCCTGGAGTCAACTAGGAATCTCTCCCATTAAAATGCCTGGAATCACAGAGGTGTCTCCATCATTAAAATTCCTGGGATCAGCCAGTAGTCTCTGCTATTATAATACCTGGGGTAACCGAGGTGTCACTATCATTAGAATGCCTGGGATGTGCCAGGAGTTTCTCATTTAAGAATGCTTGAAGTTGCCTAGGTGTCTCTATTATTAGAATGCCTGTGGTGAGCCAGGAGTCTCTCCCATTAGAATGTTTGGGGTTTTCCAGGTGTCTCTATTATTAGAATGTCTGGGGTTGGCCAGAAGTCTCTCCCTTTAGAATGCTTGAAGTTGCCCAGATGTCTTTAAAGTTAGAATGCCTTGGGTAGGCCAGGAGTCTCTCCCAGTAGAGTGCCTGTGGTTGCCCAGGTGTCTCTATCATTAGAATGCCTGGGGTCGGCCAGGAGTCTCTCTGTTTAGAATGACTGGGGTTGCCCAGGTGTCTCTATTATTAGAATGCCTGGGGTCAGCCACAAGTCTCTCCCAGTAGAATGCCTGGGGTTGCCCAGGTGTCTCTATAATTAGAATTACTACAGTCGGCCAGATTTTCTCCCATTAGAATTCTCAGAATCTCATAGGTGTCTCTATCATTAGAATGCTTGGGGTCACCCAAGTGTTTCTATCTTTAGAATGATGGGGTTGGCCAATGGTCTCTCCTATTAGAATGCTGGGGGTCACTCAAGTGACTATCTTTAGAATACCTGGGGTCGACCAGTTTCTCCCATTAGAATGCCTGGGGTCACCCAGGTGTCTCCATCATTAGAATGCCTAGGGTTGGCCAGGAGTCTCTTCCATTAGAATTCCAGGTGTCATACTGGTGTCTCTATCATTAGAATGCCTGGGGTCAGCCAGGGGTTTTTCTGAGTAGGATGCCCAGGTGTCTCTATCATTAGAATGCCTGAGGTAAGCCAGGAGACTCTTCAGTTAGAATGTCTGTAGTCACTGATGTGTCTCTATCATTGCAACACTTGGAGTTGACCAGGAGTTCTTCCAATTAGAATTCCTGTTGTCGCCCATGTGTCTTTATCATTACAATGCCTGGGGCCAGCCAGATGTCTTTCCAATTAGAATGCCTGAAGTCGTCCAGGTGTCTCTATGCTTATAATGCCTGGGGTCGGTCAAAAGTCTCTCCCATTAGAATGCCTGGGTTTGCCCAGCTGTTTCTATCCTTACAATGCCTAGGGTCGGCCAGGAGTCTTTCCCGTTAGAATGCCTGGGGTTGCCAAGGTTTCTCTATCATTAGAATGCCAGGGGTCAGAAAGGAGTCTCTCCCATTAGAATGCCTAAGGTCACCCAGGCATCTCTATCATTAGAATGCCTAGGGTGGCTTAGGTGTCCTATCACTAGATTTCCTGGTGTCGGAGAGGGTTATCTCCAGTTAGAATGCCTGGGGTGGCCCAGGAGTCTCTATCATTACAATGCCTGGGGCCCGCCGGGAGTCTCTCCCATTAGAATGTCTGGGGTCACAAAGGTGTCTTTATCATTACAATGCCTGGGGTCCACCAGGAGGAGTCTTTCCCATTAGAAAGCCTGGTGTCTCCCAGGTGTCTCTATCATTACAATGCCTGGGGTTCAACAGGTATCTTTATCATTAGAATGGCTTGGGTGGACCAGGAGTGTCTCCCATTAGAATGCCTGGGGTCACCCTGGAATATCTGTCATTACAAGGTTTGGAATCTGACTGCAGTGTTTCCCATTAGAATGCCTGAGGTGCCCAGGTGTTTGGTCACTAGAATGCCTGGGGTCAGCCAGAAGTCTCTTCCATTAGAAATTTGGAATTGCACAGGTATGTCTATCATTAGAAAGTCAGCGGTCGCCCAGGTGTTTCTATAATTACAATGCCTGGGGTCCACCAGGAATCTCTCCCATTAGAATGCCTGTGGTCCCCAAGGTGTCTCTATCATTAGAATGCCCAGTGTCTTTATCATTAGAATGCCTTGGGTCGGCCAGGTGTCTCTTTTATCAGAATGCTTAGTCACCCATGTGTCTTTGTCATTACAGTGCCTGGGGTCAAACATGAGTCTCTCCCATTTGAATGCCTGAGGTCGCCCAGGTGTTTCTACCATTAGAATGCCTGTGGTTGCCCAGGTGTCTCTATTATTAGAATGCCAGGGTTCAGCCAGGAGCCTCTCTCATTAGAATGTCTGTGGTCACCCAGGTGTCTATTATTAGAATGCCTGGGGTCAGCCAGGAGTCTGTCCCATTAGAATGCCTGGGTCCCCCCAGCTGTCTCTGTCATTAGAATGCCTGTGGTCGGCCAGGGGTCTCTTTCATTAGAATGCCTGTGGTCCCCCAAGTACCTCTATTTTAGAATGTCTGTTGTCTGCCAGCAGTCTCTCCCATTAGAATGCCTGGGTTCACCCAGGTGTCTCTGTCATCAGAATGCCTGTTGTTGGCCGGGTGTCTCTCCCATTAGAATGCCTAAAGTGACCCATGTGTTTCTGTAATTACAATGCCTGGGGTTGGACACGAGTCTCTCCCATTAGAATGCCTGAGGTTGCCCAGGTGTTTCTATCATTAGAATGCCTGTGGCCGCACAGGTTTCTCTATGAGTAGAATGCCTGGGGTTGATCAGGAGTCTCTCCCATTAGAATGCCTGGGGTCACCCAGGTGCCTTTATTACTACAATGCCTGGGGTCAAACATGAGCCTCTCCCATTTGCATGCCTGGGTCGACCAGGTATCTCTATTATTAGACTGGCTGGGATGTGCCAGGAATCTCTATTTTTAGAATGCCTCTTTTCGCCCAGGTGTCTCTATGAACAAAATGCCTAGGTTCAACCTGGAGTCTCTTTCAACAGAAAGCCTGGGGTTGGCCAGGAGTTTCTCCAATTAGAATGCCTTAGGTTGCCCAGTTGTCTCTGTTATTAGAATGCTTGGGGCCAGGTGTCTCTATCATGCCTGTGGTCAGACAGGAGTATCTCCAATTAGAATGCCTGGGGTCACCTAGTTGACTCTATCATTAAAATGCCTAGGGTCGCCTAGGTGACTCTATCACTAAAATGCCTAGGGTTGCCAAAATGTCTCTATCATTAGAATGCCTGTGGTCAGCCAGGAGTGTCTCCTATTAGAATGCTTGGGGTTGCCCAAATGTCATTAGAATGCCTGGGGTCAGCCAGGAGTTTCTCCCATTAGAATGTCTGAGGTCACCAAGGTGTCTAACTCTACCATTAGGAAGTCTGGGGTAGCCCAGGTGTCTCTATCATTAGAAAGCCTGAGGTTGGCCAGAAGTTTCTCCCATTAGAATGCCTGGGGTTGCCAAGGTTTTTCTAGTATTAGAATGCCTGGGGTATGCCATGAGTCTCTTTCGTTGGAATGCTTGAATTCACCCAGATCTCTCTGTCATTAGAACGCCAGGGGTCAGCCAGGGTCTGTCCCATTAGAATTCCTGTGGTCGCCCAGGTGTCTTTCTTATGAGAATGGCTGGAATTGGCCAAGAGTTTCCCTTATTAGAATGCCTGGGTCTTCCAGCTGGTTCTTCTATTAGAATGCCTGGGGTCAGCCAGAAATCTCTTTTATTAGAATTCCTGGGGTCACCCAGGTGCCTCTATCATTATAATGCCTGTGGTCGGCCAGGAGTTTCTCCCATAATAATGCCTGGGGTTGCCCAGTTGTCTCTATTATTAGAATTGCTGGGGTCTGCAAAAAGTCCCTATCATTAGAAGACTGGGGGTCCCCCCAGGTGTCTCTGTCATTAGAATGCCTGTGGTTGGCTAGTAGTCTCTCCCGTTAAAATGCCTGGGGTCGCCCAGGTGTCTGTGTCAATAGAACGACTGAGGTTGGTCAGGAGTCTCTCCCATTAGAATGCCTGGGGTCGCCCAGGTGTCTCTATTATTAGAATGCCTGGGGTCTGTCAGGAGTCTCTTTTATTACAATGCCTGGAGTCACCAAAATGTCTTTATCATTAGAATGCCTGGAGTCGGACAGGAGTCTCTTTACAGAATGCCGGGTGTCGCCTATGTGTTTCTATCATTTGAATGCCTGGGTCGGCCAGGAGTCCCTCCCACTAGAATGCCTGGCTTGCCCAGGTGTATCTATCATTAAAATGTCTAAATTCGGGTAAAAGTCTCTCCTATTAGAATGCCTGAAATTGCCCGGGTGTCTCTATCATTAGACTGCCTGGGGTCAGCCAGGATGCTCTCTCATTAGAATGCCTGTGGTCACCCAGGTGCCTCTATCATTACATTGCCTAAAACCTGCCAGGAGTCTCTCCCTTTTGAATGCCTGGAGTTGCCCAGGTGTCTCTATCATTACAATCCCTGGGGTTGGCTAGAAGTCTCCCGCAATAAAATGCCTCAGTTTGCCCAGGTGTCTCTATCATTAGAACAGCTGGGGTCACCCAGGTTTCTCTATCATTAGAATTTCTGAAGTCAGCAAGGAGTCTCTCACATTCGAATGCCTGGGGTTGCCCAGCTGTCTGTATTATAAGAATGCCTGGGGTTACCCAGGTGTCTCTATTATTAGAATGCCTGGGATCAGCCAAAACTCTGTCCCATTAGAATGCCTGGGGTCACCCACATCTCTATCATTAGAATTTCTAAGGTTGCTATGGGTCTCTCCCATTAGAATGCCTGGGGTCAACCAAGAATCTCTCTCATTAGAATGCCTGGTGTCACCCAGCTGTCCCTATCATTAGAATGCCTGGGGTCACCCAGGAGACTATTTCATTAGAATGTCTGGAGTCACCCAGTTTTCTCTATTATTAGAATGTCTGGGGTCGGCCAGGAGTCTCTCCCATTACAATGCGTGGGTTCGCCTAAATGTGTCTATTATTACAATGCCTGGGGTTGGTTAGAATGCATGAGTTCACCCAGGTGTGTGTATCATTAGAATGCCCGGGGTTGCGCATTAGTCTCTGTCATTACAATGCCTGAGGACGGCCAGGAGTCTTTCTCATTAGAATGCCTGGGGCCATCCAGGTGTGTCTATTATTAGAATGCCTGGGGTGGGCCAGAAGTCTTTCCCATTAGAATGACTGGGTTCACCCAGGTGTTATTATTAGAATGTCTGGGGTCACCCAGGAATCTTTCCCATTAGAATGATTGGAGTTGCCCAGGTGTCTCTATCTTTAGAATGCCTGAGGTCGGCCAGGAGTCTTTCATAAGAATGCCTGGGGTCATCCACGTTTCTGTCTCTTGGCCATGCCTGGGGTCGGCCAGTGGTCTCTTCCATGAGAATGCCTGGGGTGGCCAAGTTGTCTTTATCATTGTAATGCCTGGGGTGGGTCGGGGTCTCTCCTGTTAGAATGTCTGAGGTCGCTCTGGTGTCTGTATCATTAGAATTGCAGGGGTCACCCAGGTGTCTCTCTCATTAGAATGCCTTGGATCAGACAGGAATCTCTTCCATTAGAATGCTTGGAATAGCCAATGTGTCTCTATCATTACAATGCCTGGGGTTGGCCAGGTGTCTCTCCCATTAGAATGCCTGAGGTCACCCAGGTGTCTCTACCATTACAATGCCTTAAGTCGCCCAGGCGTCTCTATCATTAGAATGCCTGGGGTCAGCCCGCATATTCTCTTATTAGAATGCCTGTTGTTGCCCAGGTGTCTCCATTATTAGAATGCCTAAGTTCACCATGGAGTCTTTCTTACTAGAAGTTCTGAGATTGCTCAGCTCATGTGTCTCATTATCATTATCATTATCATTATCATTATCATTATCATTATCATTATCATTAAAAGGCCTGGTGTCTGAAAGGGGTCTCTCCCATTAGAATGCTTGGGGTCACCCAGGTGTCTCTATAATTAAAATGCCTGTTGTCAGCCTAGAGTCTCTCCCATTAAGTGCCTGGGGTCTCCCAGGAATGTCTCCCATTAAAATGCCTGGGGTTGCCCAGATGACTCTATCATTAGAATGCCTGGGATTTTCCAACAGTCTCTATCATTAGAATGCCTTGGGTTGGCCAGCAGTCTCTCTTATTGGAATGCGGGTTCGCCCAGATGTCTCTATTATTAAAATGTTTGGGGCTCACCAGGAGTATCTTCCTTTAGAATGCTTTGAATCATCCAGGTTTCTCTATCATTAGAATACCTAAGGTTGGCCAGGAGTCTCAGGAGTCTCTCCCATTAGAATGCCTTGGGTCTCCCAGGTATCTATCATTACAATGCCTACAGTCGGCCAGGAGCCTCTCTTATTAGAATGCCTGGGGTCACCCGGTGTCTTTATCATGACAATGCCTGGGGTCAGCTAGAAGTCTTTATTATTAGAATGCCTGGGGTCAGCCAGGAGTCTCTCCCATTAGAATGATGGAGTACACCCAGGTTTTTCTATCATTAGAATTTTGGGGTCAGTCAGGGGTCTGTCCCATTAGAACACCTGGGGTCACCAAGGTGTCCCTATTATTACAATGCCTGGGGTCAGCCAGTAGTCTCTCCCAATAGAATGCTTGGGGTCACACAGGTGTCTCTCTTATTATAATGCCTGGTGTCGCCCAGGTATCTCTCCATTACAATACCTTAGGTCGCCCTGGTGTCTCTAACATTAGAATGTCTGGAGTAGCCCAGGTGTCTCTATCATTAGAATGCTTGGGGTGGGCCAGCAGTCTCTTTCATTAGAATGCCTAAGATCACCGTGTTGTCTCTATTATTACAATGTCTGTGGTCAGGCAGGAGTCTCTCCCTTTAGAAAGCCTGATTTCACCCAGGTGTCTGTATCATTAGAATGACTGGGGTCATCCAGGTGTCTCTATCATTAGAATGCCTTGGGTCAGCCAGGAGTCTCTCTCATTAGAATGCCTGGGGTCACCCAGCTGTCACTATCATTACAATGCCTGGGGTTGGCTGGGAGTCTCTCCCATTAGAATGCATGGCGTTGCCCAGGTGTCTTTATCATTACAATGCCTTGAGCCGGCCAGGAGTCTCTTCCATTAGAGTGCCTGGGGTTGCCCAGCTGTCTTTATCATTACAATGCCTGGGGTTGGCCAGGAGTCTCTCCCATTAGAATGGCTGTGTTTGCCCAGATATCTCTATTATTAGAATGCTTGGGGTAGGCCAGGAATCTCTTCCATTACAATGACTGAAATTGCCCAAGAGTCCTTATCATTAGAATATCTGGGGTCACTCAGGTGTCTCTATTATTAGAATGCTTGTGTTGACCAGGAGTTTTATCCATTAGAATGCATTGAGTTGCCCAGGTGTCTCTATTATTAGAATGTCTGGGGTCAGCCAAAATCTCTCGTATTAGATTGCCTGAGATCGCCCAGGTGTCTCTATCATTTCAATGCCTACAGTGGGTCAGGAGTGTCTCCCATTAGAATGCCTGAAATTGCCCAGGTGTCTCTATCATTAGAATGCCTGGTATCAGCCTGGAATCTCTCTTTTCAGAATGCCTGAGTACCCTCAGTTTTCTCTATCATTACAATGCCTGGGGATGGGCAGGGATCACTCCCATTAGAATGCCTGGGGTCACCCAGGTGTCTCTATCATTTGAATGCCTAAGGTCGCCCAGGTGTTACTAGCATTAGAATGTATTGGGTCCAACAGGAGTATCTTTCATGAGAATGTCTGGGGTTGTCCATGTGCCTCTGTCATTACAATGCTTTGGGTCGCCCAGGTGTCTCTATCATTAGAATGCCTGTTGTCGGGCAGGAGTCTCTCTCATTAGAATGCCTGGGGTCACCAGGTGTCTCCGTTATTACAATGTCTGGGGTCACCCAAGAGTTTTTCCCATTAGAATTCCTAAGGTCGCCTATGTGGGTCTATCATAGAAATTTTGGGGTCACCCAGGTGTCTCTATCATTAAAATGCCTTTAGTCAGCCAGGAGCCTCTCACATTAGAATGCCTGGGTACCCCCAGGCCTCTCTATCATTAGAATGCCTGGGGTCAGCAAGGAGTCTCTCCAATTAGAATGTGTGGAGTTGCCCAGTTGACTTTATCATTACAATGCCTGAAGTCGACTTTGAGTCTCTCCCGTTAGAATGCCTGGGGTCACCCTGGTGTCTTCATTGTTAGAATGCCTGGAGTTGCCCAGGTGTCTCTGTCATTAGAATGCCTTGGGCTGCCCAAGTGTCCCTATCATTAGAATGCCTGAGTTCAGCCAAAAGTCTCTCTTATTAGAATGTCTGGGGTCACCAGAAGTCTTTATCATTACAATGCCTGCAATAAGCCAAATATCTTTCCTATTAAAAATGCCTGAGGTCACCCAGCTGTCTTTATCATTAGAATGCCTGGAGTAAACCAGGTGTCTCTATCATTACAATGCCTGCAGTCAGCCAGGAGTCTCTCCCATTAGAATGCCTGGAGTCTCCCAGGTGTCTTTATCATTAGAATGCCTGGAGTCACCTAAGTGTCTCTATCATTAGATAGCCTGAAGTCACCCAGTTGTCTTTTTCATTGCAATGCCTGGGGTCGGCCAGCTGTCTCTCCCCATTAGAATCCCTGAGTTCACCCCAGGTGTGTCTATTATCACAGTGCTTGGGGTCAGCCAGGAGTCTCTCCCATTAGAATGCCTGGATCACCCATTTGTCTCTATCATTACAATACTGGGGGTTGGCCAGCTGTCTCTCTTATTAGAATGCCTGGGGTCACTCAGGTGTGTCTATCATTACAATGCCTGGGGTCGATCAGGAGTCTTACCCATTAGAATGCCTGGATCACCTAGGTGTCCCCATCATTACAATGCCTGGGAAGGCCAGGAATCTCTCTTATTAAAATGCCTGGGGTCACCCAGCTGTCTCTATCCTGAAAATGCCTGAGGTCATCCAGGACTTTCTCCCATTAAAACTCCTGAAGTCACCCAGGTGTCTCTATCATTAGAATCCCTAAAGTAGGCCAGGAGTTTCCACCATTAGAATGCCTGAAGTTGCCCAGGTGTCTCTAACGTTAGAATGGCTGGAGTCAGCTGGGAATCTCTCCCATTATAATGTTTGTGATAGTCCAGGTATCTCTATCATTAGAATGCCTGGGGTCAAGAAAAACTTCCATTAGCATGCCTGGGGTTTCCCAAATGTCTCTATCATGAGAATGCTTTGGGTCATCCAGGAGTCTCTTCCATTAGAATGCCTGGGGTCGCCAAGGTGTTTCTATCATTAAAATACATGGGGAGGGCCCGGAGTCTCTCCCATTAGAATGCCTGGGGTCATCCAGCTGTCTTTATCATAAGAAAGTTTGGGGTCAGCCAGAAGTTTCTTTCATTATAATGTCATGGGTCGGCCAGGTCTCTGTCATTAGAATGCTTTCAGTCAGGCAGGAGTCTCTCATTAGAATGCCTGGAGTTGGCCAGGAATCTTTCCCATTAGAATGCCTGGGTTCACCCAGGTTTCTTATTTATTAGAATGCCTGGAGGTGCCCAGGTGTATTTACTATTAGAATGATTGGGGTTGCCCAGGTGTCTCTATCACTGGAATGCCTGGGGTCGGCCAGAAGTCTCTCCTGTTAGAATGCCTGTGGTTGTTCAGGTGTCTCTATCATTTCAATGCCTGCTGTTAGCCAGGAGTGTCTCCGATTAGAATGCCTGCCTTCACCCAGGTGTCTCTATCATTAGAATGCCTGGAGTCATCCAGTTGTCTCTATCATTAAGATGCCTGCAGTCAGCCAGGAGTCTGTCTTATTAGACTGCCTGGAGTCACTCAGGTGTCTCTATCATTAAAATGTTTGTAGTCACCCAGTTGTCTCTATCATTACAATGCTTGTGATCAGCCAGGCGTGTCTCCTATTAGAATGTCTGGGGTCACCCAGGTTTCTCTATTACTACAATGCCTGTGGTCGGCCAAAAGTTTCTCACATTAGATTGCCTGGGGTCATCCAAGTGTCTCTCTTATTAGTATGCCCGAAGTCGGCCTCGAGTCTCTCCCATTAGAACGCCTGGGGTCTCCCAGATGCCTCTATCATTTCAATCCCTGGGGTCTGCCAAAAGCCTCTCCCATTAGAATGCCTGGGGTTGCTGAGGTGTCTCTATCATCAGAATGCTTGTGCTCGGCAAGCAGTCTCTCTCATTAGACTGTTTTGGGTGGCTTAAATGTCTCTATCATTACAATGACTAGGGTAAGACAGGCATCTCTTTAATTAGAATGCCTGTGGACACAGATGAGTCCCCATTATTACAATGCCTAAGGTTGCCCAGGTGTCTCCATCATTACAATGCCTAGGGTTGGCAAAGAGTCTCTCCCATTAGAATGTCTGGGGTGGCCCAGATGTCTCTGTCATTAGAATGGCTGGGGTCGGCCAGGAGTCTCTCCCATTAGAATGCCTGGTGTCACCCAGGTGTCTGTATCATTAGAATGCTTGGCATTGGCCAGGAGTCTCTCCCACTAGAATGCCTGTGTTCACAAAAGTGTCTCTATCATTAGAATGCCTGGGGTTGTAGGGGTCGGGCAGACTGTCTTTCATTAGTATGCCTGGGGTCACCCAGTGTCTCTATCATTACAATGCCTGGGATGGGCTAGGAGTCTTTTCCATCGAAATACTTGGGGTGCCCTGGTGTCTATATCATTGGAATACCTGGGGTCAGCCATGAGCCTCTCCCATTAGAATGCATGGTGGCCCCGAAGTGTCTCTGTCATTTGAATGCCCAGGGTAAGCCAAAAGTCCCTTTCCCATTAGAATGCCTGTGGTATCCTGGGTTTCTCTATTATTAGAATGCCTGGGGTCAGCCATGAGCCTCTCTCATTAGAATGCGTGGTGGCCCCAAAGTGTCTCTGTCATTTGAATGCCCGGGGTAAGCCAAAAGTCTCTTTCCCATTAGAATGCCTGTGGTGTCCTGGGTTTCTCTATTATTACAATGCCTGGGGTCAGCCAGGAGTCTCTCCTATTAGAATGCCTGAGGCTGCCCAGGTGTCTCTATCATTAGAATGCCTGGGGTCAGCCAGGAGTCCCTCCCATTAGAATGCCTGAAATCGCCCAGCTATTTCTATTATGAGAATGCCTAGTGTGATCCAGGAGTCTCTCACATAAAATTCCTGTGGTCACCCAGGTGTCTCTGTCACTAGAATGCCTGGGGTTTCTAAGGTGTCTCTATCATTAGAAGGTTTGGGATCAGCCAGGAGTCTCTCCAATTAGAATCCATGGAGTCGCCCAGGTGTCTCCCATTAGAATGCCTGTGTTATTTCAGGTGTCTCTATCATTAGAATGCCTGCAGTCGGCCAGGGGTCTCTTCCATTAGAATGCATGGGTCCCCTAGCTGTCTCTATCATTAGAACGCCTGGGGTCAACCAGGACTGTCTTCCATTAAACTGCCAGGGGTGGTCCAGATGGCTCTATCATGAGAATGCTTTGAGTTTTCCAGCAGTCTCTCTCATTAGAGTGCCTGGGGTTGCCTAGGTGTCTTTATTATTGGAACAACTAGGCAGAGGCCAGAGTCTCTTCCCCTTAGGATGCCTGGAGTCGCCCAGGTGTCTCTATCATTAGACATAATATGTCTATCATTAGACATAAAATGTCTGGCGTTAGCCAGAAGTTTTTCCCATTAAAATGCCTGGGTTCTTGGAGGCGGAGGTTGCAGTGAGCCAAGATCGCGCCATTGCACTCCAGCCTGGGAGACAAGAGCGAGACTTCGGGAAAAAAAGAAAGCCTGGCTTCATCCAGGTATTTCTATCATTAAAATACCTTTGAATGGCCTGGAGTCTCTCCCATTAGAGTGCCTTGGTTGCCCAGTGTCTCTATCATTACAATTCCTGGGGTTGGCCAGGAGTTTCTCCCATTAGAATGCTTGGGGTTGCCCAGGTGTCTTTATCATTAGAATGCCTGGGGTGGTCCAGGTGTCTCTATCATTAGACTCCCTGGGGTCAGAAAAAAGTGTCTCCCATTAAAATGCCTGGGGTCACCCAGGTGTCTCTATTATTAAAATTCCTGCAATTGTCCGGGAGTCTCTCCCATTAGAATGCCTGCAGTCGCCCAGGTGTCTCTATTATTAGAATGCCTGCAGTCGCCCAGGTGTCTCTATTATTAGAATGCCTGGAGTCGCCCAGGAGTCTCTATTATTAGAATGCCTGCAGTCGCCCAGGTGTCTCTATTATTAGAATGCCTGGAGTCGCCCAGGAGTCTCTATTATTAGAATGCCTGCAGTCGCCCAGGTGTCTCTATTATTAGAATGCCTGGAGTCGCCCAGGAGTCTCTATCATTAAAATGCCTGTGGTCAGCCAGGAGTCTCTCCCATTAGAATGCCTGGGTCACCCATGTGTCTGTATCATTACAATGCATGGAGTTGGCCAAGAGTCCTTCCCATTAGAATGCCTGAGGTCACTGAGGTGTCTGCATCATTAGAATGCCTGGGGTTGCCCAGGTGTCTCTATCATTAGAATGCTTGGAGTCGCCCAGGTGTCTCTATCATTACAATGTCTGTGGTCGGCCAGGAGTCTCCCCCATTAGAATGCCTGGATTTGCCCAGGTTTATCTATCATTAGAATGCCCGGAGTCACCCAGGTGTCTCTATCATTAGAATGCCTGAAGTCGCCCAGGTGTCTCTACAATTAGAACGTCTGGGGTCGGCCAGAAGTGTCTTTCATTAGAAAGCCTGGGGTCACCCAAGTGTCTCTATCATTAGAATGCCTGGCATCGGCCAGAAGTTTCTCTCATCAAAATGCCTGTGGTCGTCAAGGTGTCTGAATCACTGGAATGACTGGCGTTGGCCAGAAGTCTCTCTTATCAGAATGCCTGGGGTCTCCCAGGTGTCTCTGTTATTGGAAGACTGGAGGTCGGCCAAGAGCCTCTCCCATTAGAATGCCTGAAGTCTCCCAGGAGTCTCTAGTATTAGAAGGTCTGACATCAGTCAGGGACCGCTCCCATTAGAATGCCTGGGGTCACACAGGTGTCTCTATCATTAGAATGGATAGAGAGCCGGAAGTCTCTCCCATTAAAATAGCTGTCCCTTCTGTCTGTCTCTTTCCCTCTCGCCTGTCTCGATCGCTGCCTCTATCCCTCCCTCGGTTTCTATCGCTCCATCCATCTCGTCCTACCTCTTCTTCAAGCCCTGTGTGTGTGTGTGAGCACGCGCACGCGTGCGAGAGCTCGGGTGTGTCTGTGTGTGGGGGAGTGGATTTCCTCCTGGTGGGATGTGTGTGTGTGTGTGTGCGCGCGCGCGCGCGTCTGCCCGCACGTGAGAGAGCACCCAGGTGTGTATTTGTGTGGGGAAGCAGATTTGCTCCTGGTGGTGGTGGGGTGTGTCTGGGTTTCTCTCAGCCCCTCACACCCAGGATCAGGCCGCCGCCTCTAGTGCCAGCCCGGGGCAAAGCAGGGCCAAACCCTGAACCGCTATAGCCCACGCCCTCTTGCCAATAGACCGGGTCTTGGTCGGGACAAGCGAACGTTGTGGGGGCGTTGTGAGAAAAACCCCCGCGAGGCTGGGCCGGCTGTTCGTCCTTGGGCCAGCCTTGACGGCTCTGGTTGGTTGGGGCAAGATGGGGCCTCGCAGGATCTTCTGAGCGGCGAGGGATCCAAAACGATACATCCGCGACAGGGCGGAGGAATGGAAGGGGTCCCAGGATCGTGGGCCCTGGGCCGTGACGCCTCGGAGCACTCCCTGTTCCGAGCGGGCCGGATGTGGCAGGATCCCGGGAGCTCGGGAGCCACGGGAAGGCCGCGGGCGAGCGGCTCGAGGGTCCACGATCCGAGCCCCGCGGCCCTGGGCGGGCGGTGACAGCTGGAATCCGGCCGGCAAGGCTGGCCGGGCACTTGGGGGAGCCAGGCTCCTCTTCTGGCGCCTACGACCATACCACCCTGAACGCGACTGATCTCGGAAGCTAAGCAGGGACGAGCCTGGTTAGTACTTGGATGGGAGACCGCCTGAGAATACCAGGTGCTGGAGGCTTTTTTTTTTTTTTTTTTTTAATGGCTTTTTCTTTACTTTTCTTCCAGACAGAGTCTCGCTCTGTGACCCAGGCTGGAGTGCAGACGCGCCATCTCGGCTCACTGCAAGTTCCGCCTCCCGGGTTCACGCCATACTCCGGCCTCAGGCTCCCGAGAAGCTGGGCCTACAGGCGCCCGCCACCACGCCCGGCTAATTTGTTCTATTTTTCCTAGAGACGGGGTTTCACCCTGTTAGCCGGGATGGTCTCGATCTCCTGACCTCGTGATCCACCCGCCTCGGCCTCCCAGAGTGCTGGGATTACAGGCGGGAGCCACCGCGCCCGCCCGGCCTGCTGTAGGCTTTTTTGGGTTTCCCGCTGCCTCCCTTCCCCCTGCAGTCGCCATGCTTCCGAACCTTCTCTGACTCTGCTCTCCCTTTATAGCACACCTATACCCCAGCGGCAGCCGGGGACATCCTACTTGGGGTCCCAGCTACTCAGGAGTTCAGAGGTGTCAGGGCCCAGGGCCCACGATCCTGGGACGCCCTCCGGTCCTCCGCCCTGTCGCGGAGGCAGCGTTTTGGATCCCTCGCCGCACAGGGGCTCCTGCGAGGCCCCCTCTTGCCCCACCCACCCAGAGCCGTCAGGGCTGGCCGAAGGCGAACAGCCGGCCCAGCCGCGCGGGGCCTTTCTCTCACAACGCCCCCACCACGGTCGCTTGTCCCGACCAAGACCCGGCCGGGGGGGCAAGAGGGCGTGGGGTGTAGCGGGTCGGGGGGTGGCCCTGTTTTGCCCCGGGCTGGCACTAGAGGCGGCGGCCTGATCTCGGGTGAGAGGGCCTGAGAGAAACCCAGACACACCCCACCGCCACCAGGAGCAAATCCACTCCCCCACACACAGACACACCCGGGCGCGCTCGCACGCGCGCGCGCGGACACACACACGCACACACGCACGCGCACACGCACGCACACACACGCGGCTTGAAGGAGAGCAAGGACGAGATGGATGGAGAGATAGAAACCGAGGGAGGGAGAGAGACAGCGATCGAGAGAGACAGGGGAGGGCGAGAGGGAAGGAGACAGACAGAGAGGCTGAGAAAGAGAGAGGCACAGAGAAAGAGAGAGAGAGAGACAGAGAGACAGAGGGAAAACGACAGAAGTACCGCGAGGTCCAGGGGGAAACCCAGAAGAGAGAGGCGGAGGGAGCTAGAGAGCGAGAGCGATAGAGCCTTAGAGAGGAAGCGCCCGGCTCCGTTAGGCAGCGCCCTCTTGAGCAGGCCGGGATAGGGTGGAGGGGGCTTGGGCTGCGCCCAGAACACGGGGGCCAGGCGGTCCGTGCGAGAGGACCAACGGAGCGCTGAGGCGGGCGTCTTCTTGGATGAATTGCTTGCTTTGGAGGTGGGTTTCGTAGGCTCCTGCCTTTCTTGGCACCTCCCTGTGCTCTGGGTGCCTTGCGGCGGGCCCCGAGATTTGCAGAGCGCGCCCGCCCGTTTGGCGGGAGCCGTGGCACCGGGCGGGCCCGGAGGCCTGGGTCTCTGGCGAGTCCTCGGGACTGGAGTCGTCGACACGAAGCGGGGGGCATTGGGAATCCCGGGTGCACAGGGACTGTTTTCCCGGTGGCTGGCGAAGCAATGTCCTTCCCCCGGGTAAAGCAGCCCATGCGTTCCGGAGCCGACGTCTTGGCTGGCGTCTGTGGCACCCGCTGCCCCTGCCCGCCCCTTCACCCGGTTTGGAAGGGTGCGACGACGGCGCCCGATGGGTGAATTGAATCGCCTGGGCGTTCCGGGAGCGGGAAGGCACCGCGAACGGCAGGGAACCCAGCGGCTGCGCCTTTGGGGTCCGGCCCCCTGCCCTCCCAGGCTGGAGCCGGGCTCCTGGCGGGGCGGCGGCGAGGCGGAAGCGGTGGGATGCTGCTGCCCGGCCGGCGTGCAGTAGGGGCGGACCCCCAGCAGGAGGACCCCGGCTGCGGCTGCAGCGGGGGTGTAGGTGGGCGGTAAAGGGGGAGCAGAGTCAGGGGAGGTTGGGAAGCATGGCGACTGTGGGGGGAAGGGAGGCAGCGGGGAAGCCACAAAAGCCTACAGCAGGCCGGGCGGGCGCGGTGGCTCGCGCCTGTAATCCCAGCACTCTGGGAGGCCGAGGCGGGTGGATCACGAGGTCAGGAGCTCCAGACCATCCCGGCTAACAGGGTGAAAGCCCGTCTCTAGGAAAAATAGAACAAAGTAGCCGGGCGTGGTGGCGGGCGCCTGTAGGCCCAGCTACTCGGGAGGCTGAGGCCGGGGAATGGCGTGAACCCGGGAGGCGGAGCTTGCAGTGAGCCGAGATGGCGCCACCGCACTCCAGCCTGGGCGACAGGGCGAGACTCCGTCTGGAAGAAAAGGAAAGAAACAGCAAAAAGCCAAAGAAAAAGCCTACAGCACCCGGTATTCCCAGGCGGTCTCCCATCCAAGTACTAACCAGGCCCGACCCTGCTTAGCTTCCGAGATC